>NC_000017.11:61935980-63185980 GCF_000001405.40 Homo sapiens | reverse complement strand
TTCTTACAAAGGCCCAAAAGGCAACAACCATTAAGAAAAAAGATTGGCAAAGTCAATCTTTTCACCAAAGACACCATTAAGAAGGTAAAAGGGCAAGCCATAGAGTGAGATAACTACTACAAATCAACAAGAAAGACAATCCAATTAAAAAATAGACAAAAGATCTATACAGGATTTACAAAAGAGAATATCCAAATAGCTAATAAGCACATGTAAAGGTGTTCAATATTATTGGGAAATGCAAATCAAAACTCCAATGAGATACTGCTACACATATACAGTGCAGAATGGCACACAAAACAAACAAAATAGCATCTGACAGTAGGGGGCAAAGGAACACTGAAACACTGCTGTGCTGATGGGAATGTAAACTGGTAGCATCAAATTTGGATAAAAGGTTTGGCATTTAAAAAATGTATGGTTTCAAATTTGGAAAATGTTTGCCATTTTACAGAAACCATATGACTCAGCAAGTCCACTACTAGTTGTATAAAAAAAAGGAAAAGTATACTAATAGGTGCATCAAAAGACACATAACAAATGTTCATAAAACTGTTCATCATAGCCCAAGTTGAAAATGTCCATCAAGGCCAAGTGCAGTGGCTCACGCCTGTAATTCCAGCACTTTGGGAGGCCGAGGCGGGTGGATCACTTTAGGTCAGAAGTTCAAGACTAGCCTGGCCAACATGGTGAAACCCTTTCTCTACCAAAAAAATACAAAAACTAGCCGGGTGTGGTGGTACATGCTTGTAGTCCCAGCTATTCGAGCCTGGGTGACACGGCAAAACCCTAGCTCCAAAAAAACATTTTTTTAAAAAAGAAGCCAGGCCTGGTAGTGCACGCCTGTAGTCCCAGCTACTCAGGTGGGTAAAGTAAGAGGATGGCTTGAGCCTGGGAGTTCAAGGTTGCAATGAAACATGATTGCACCACTGTACTCTAGTCTGGGTGACAGAGTGAGACCCTGTCTCACACTCTGTCCCCAACCCCCCCTCCAAAAAAAAAAAACCGTATTACTGAACAAAAGAAGATAGTTTCAAAAGAATACATAGGGCTGGGTGCAGTGGCTCACACCTGTAATCCCAGCACTTTGGGAGGCCGAGGTGGGGGGATCATCTGACCAACATGGCGAAATCCCATCTCTACTAAAAATACAAAAAAATTTAGCCGGGTGTGGTGGCAGGCGCCTGTAATCCCAGCTACTCGGGAGGCTGAAACATGAGAATAGCTTGAACCTGGGAGGCGGAGGTTGCAGTGAGCCGAGATCGTGCCATTGCACTCCAGCATGGGCGACAGAGCAAGACTCCATCTCCAAAAAAAAAAAAAAAGAATACATACTAAATGATTTTATTTATATAAAGTTCAGAAATTGGTAAAACAAATAATTGATGATGGCAGTCAGAACAGTGGGTATGTTTGTAAGGGGAGGATAATGATGCAGAGGAAGCATGAAGGAAGCTTCTGAACTGCTGAAAACATTCAATATCTTAATTTGTGTTCACTTCATAAATTTTCATAGCAAGGCATAACTGTTATTTGCATTCCTTTCTGTATTTATAATTTCTACAAAATTACAAAAAATGTATTAAAAACTTAGGGCACTGACCTTGAGAATGAAACAATATTCTCAACAATACTTGTTTATGCTTTTTTACTCTAAGAAACAAGTCTAGAATTATGAAAAAAACAAATAACACTACATATTTAAGCTATATATTTTAATACTATTTAAGTTGCTCAGATGAGGGATACTAAATATCAGCAAACTTACTACTCTAAACATTTAGATCTTTCATTTAAAGTTCCTGTCTTATAAAGACATAATATTAGAAATCAAGAGATTTCAAGGAAATTATATATGAAATATGTTATGTTTTAAATAGATCTTCAACTAATGAAAACTTTTATCTATTTTTTCCCACTCAGGAAAGACTGCACCAAACACATTTGCATTTCTTTTTTTTTTTTTGAGACGGAGTCTCGCTGTCGCCCAGGTTGGAGTGCAGTGGCGCGATCTCGGCTCACTGCAGGCTCCGCCTCCCGGGTTCACGCCATTCTCCTGCCTCAGCCTTTTGAGTAGCTGGGACTACAGGTGCCCGCCACCTCGCCCGGCTAATTTTTTGTATTTTTCGTAGAGATGGGGTTTCACCGTGTTAGCCAGGATGGTCTCAATCTCCTGACCTCGTGATCCGCCCACCTCGGCCTCCCAAAGTGCTGGGATTACAGGCGTGAGCCACCGCGCCCAGCCTGCATTTCTTTTTTTAAAAAACAAATGACAAAGACTCAGTTTACCAGATTTACTTAAATTTTAAAAAATATTTTATATATTTAGGGAATACAAGTTCAGATTTCTCACATGCATGTATGACACAGTGGTGGAGTCTGGACTGTCAGTGTACCCATCACTCGAATAATGAGTGTGCATTATACGCAGCAGGTAAATTTTCGACCCTCTCAAACTTTAGTTTTTAAATTTCAGCTTAACATTACTAATTTAAACCACTGTCAAAACTAAGTTGCTAGCATTCATCCACAACTAGAAAACATCCTTTATTTATATTAAACTAGAAATGTATTACGACGAATGCATTAATATCTTGCACTACTAAATAGAGAAAAAAATAGAAATTATTTCTGTGGAAGATTCATGCTGCCATGCTGGCAATGTTAACTTCACTTGACAGAAAAAAATAGGAATTATTTCTGTGGAAGATTTATGCTGGCAATGTTAACGTCACTTGACACTACACCTGGCTCACATTTCAGACACAATGGAAAAGCAGATCCATGCTGGTGTTAAGTGTACAATCTTGTCCTACCACTACTCAAGAGTCAAGGTTCAACTAAGAGTATATTTAATAATGAAAGCAAAGTGCATACAGAGATTTACTATTTTGAAGTTTAAAAAAAAGGTCCTATTATGTGGCCTCATCAATAAATTCAAAAGTTTAAGACAAATAGGGACTCCAATGAGCTGTTTATAAATACTCTAGATTAGGCACAATGAAAAAGAAAGTCGAATTCATCTGAAATCTTCAAAGAAATGTTCCTTAATCCTCAATGGTGCTTGTTATAGTTTAACATTTCTGTTCAAATGAGTGTGTTGAGTTACTTGTTATGCAAGGGTAGCAGCTGCTCCTCACCATTTATCGGTAAGCACTTCGACTCTTTCTTGACCCTTTTCAACAATTCTCTTTGTAGTGATTTTCTGCCATCAACTATTTTAGGTATAAGTTGATACAAATTTGAAGCTGCCCATGGCACTACCACCAAATAACATGGAGGAAAATGAAGTGAGGCCTCCATGACCTCATGATTGAATGAAGCAAATTGTGTATCAAAAGAAGAAAATCCACTTCCAAAACATGGAAATCCAATCAAGGTGGAGAAAAATGACTGTTCCTCAGCTTCTGCTTCTTCAGGAACCCCTTTGATTCCCCAAAAAAGTCCTCAAATGAGTTTTCATAGAAGTTGAATAAAAATGGGTCCCTTCCACCAAAAATGTCCCTGAAGGCATCATCTGGGTTACAGGAATGTGACGCCAAACTAAAACGAACTGTCAAAATGACTTCCAACTCCTCCTCCACCATTTAATTTCTCTGCCATATTTGTCACAGATGTCCCATTTTTTAGCATCTGATAATATCTCATATGCTTCAGCTACTTGTCGGAATTTTCTGTTTCTTCTCTATTCTCAGGATTTTTATCTGGATGCCACTTTGGTGCCAGTTTCCAATATGCCTCTTTAATAACCTTGGAGCGGGGGGAGCCAGGTGGGCATGTCTCTACATGCCTAGAACTTCATAGTATTCTACCAAGTTTCAACAGATTGTAGGAACAGGCTGGAGGACATGAGCGGTGGTGTCAGGAAGAAGGGGAGGCAGGGCTCGGCTCTGGCACAGCAGTGCTGGTGGCAGTGATGGCACCCCACGCTTTCCTCTGAAAACCTTTGTTTTAAATTGGCTATTTAGGAATTCTGTGGAAATGACAGCCAGAACACAAGTTCTCAACTTCTCTTCCGCCTACTACCTACACCTCACTGGAGTGATACAACTGTCAAAATAAGGGTGGTAGTGACACGAGGCAAGTACACTGGAAGCTGAAGGTAGATGAGAACAGGAGTGATGCTTCATTTTCTGTAACCACCGAATAACAAGGGAAGAGTGAGGAGCCAAGAGCAAGGGAAACAGCAACAACCTTAGATCTCTCCAGCTTTTCTGGTTGACAGATGCTGGTGAATCCACTTGGAGAGGGGGCTGTACCTGCTAAATGTGGTCCTTGGAGGTTCAATCATTCCGAGAGGCAATATTATTACCCGACAAAGCAGAATTTAAGGTGGTAGGAGGTGTCGGTGTCAAGTGAAATTTCTGTTTTCCTGGAATTGACAAGTAGGGCCCACAGGGCAATGAACAAAAGACCTTGAAGACGCATTTTAAATACAGACCTCTGGGACTACCTTTCTCCCTGCTGGCTTGTTGAAATGTTCCATTTCAGTAGGCATGACAATACAACTTTCTCCCTTCCTCACCTGGTTCATGGTTTTCAACATGCCTAGAAAGAAGTTCATGCCTGTGCCTATAGGCCCCAAAGTTGAGACTGTAGAGGGTAGTCTATACCACTCAGGTTCATCTACCTTCCACTAGGCCAACTGAACCTACAGGGAGCTAGTTTAGAGAGAGGACCAACAGCAAGAGGACAGAAGCCCTTCCAACATCAACCCTGGGTAAATTCAGGTTATTATCAGAAGACCATTAAAGATATGTATCACTAACAAACCATGGGCAGTTATATAAAGAGTATCTTTATTTATTCTCCCTCCTCTCTACTGAGAAGAGTAAGCAGAAAGAAGAGGCGGCTCTGTGACATTGCAAATTTAGTAGGAACACACACGTCCCTCTAATTCGGAGCTAAATTACATCACTATGCCTACTCTTTTTTTTTTTTTTTTTTTTTTTTTTTTGAGATGGAGTCTCACTCTGTCACCCAGGCTGGAGTGCAGTGGTGCAATCTTGACTCACTGCAACCTCTGCCTCTCAGGTTCAAGCAACTCTCCCGCCTCAGCCTCCCTAGTAGCTGGGACTACATGCACCTGCCACCATGGCCGGCTACTTTTTGTATATTTAGTAGAGACACGGTTTCACCATGTTGGCCAGGTTGGTCTCGAACTCCTGACCTCAGGTGATTCACCCGCCTCAGCCTCCCAAATGCTGGGATTACAGGTGTGAGCCACCATGCCAGGCCTTTGCCTACTTTTTTCTACTACTATATTCTCAGTGCCTAACACATAGGAGGCATTCAAGAAATATTTTCTGAAAGCATGAAGTAAGTACTTCTTAGAGAAGGACACAATCAGATTTGAATATAATAAAGGTTCTTCTGGTTGCATTGAGGGTAATGGATTGGAGGAGGATGAGGCAAAAAGACTAGAAAGTTTCTCAGCTTCCTGATAACACAAACATATAAATCTGCCTATACATCATTCATCCTTTTAAATAGTGATACTGTTTAAATAGTAATACTTGTCCTGAACCCATCAACTCTATCATCCTTCCCTCCTTTTAACAGCAATATTGTCCCTTTTCCTATCTAAAATGAATCTTTCCAATTATATTTTGGATCTTACTGAAGCCTGTCCTCAGGGAAACTTGATAAAAAAGATTAGTCTTTCTCAAATTCATACTCGTGCTTTCAGATGAGTTTTTCCCATTGAGTGTTAAACATATTCCAACATCTTCCAACAAATCACAAACAACTTTACTTGACCACTCTTCTCATATCAGCTAACAACTTAAAGTGGAGCAATGGCATTAAGGCTAGAGGGAAGCCATTATTTTTGTTTTTTGTTTTTTTGAGATAGGGTCTCACTTTGTCAACCCAGGCTGGAGTTCAGTGACACGATCAGCCTCGAACTCCCAGGTGGGCCCAAGCAATCCTCCCACTTCAGCCTCTTGAGTAGCTGGTACCACAGGCATGTGCCACCACACCAAGGCTTTTTTTTTTTTTTTTTTTTAAAGAGATGTAGTCTCCCTATGTTGCCCAGGCTGGTCTTGAATTCCTGACCCTCTTGCATTGACCTCCCAAAGAGCTGAGATTATAGGCATGAACCATGCCCAGCCTAGAAGAAATATTTTGTAAATTAAAGGAAGTGCTAGGAAGAGCACAGAGACAAAACAATTATCCTTATTTTGGGAGGGTGAGGGGAGGAAAGGGATGGAACAGGATTCTTAGAGGAGGGTGTACTTGAAATTAATGGATGAGTTTGACATTGAACAGTAGAGTCAGGGAAAAAGAGCAGAGGGAACAATTTGTAGGTTCAAATTGTTTGACTTGCCAATTCAACATAAATACAGGACTTGATCACAACTGATTAAATGCAGCATATTTAATATTATTTTAAAACAGTGTTTGAAGTTTATTTCTGGAATAATGTTGATAGTACTATTAGTAGTAGTAGTGATGACTGTAACAATAACTTATTGAGATATTACTGTACTTTTCTAAATGCACTATATGTATTAAATCATTTAATCTTCACGACATTTCTTATCTTACAAATAGCAAAAGTGAGGTACACAAAGATTAAGTTCTTGCTTGTCTATGGTTACAGAGTTAGTTAAGTAACAGAGACAATATTTAAGTCCAAGCAATCTGGTTCTTGAGCCTATGTTCTCAACCATTTCATCATCCTGCCAAGAAAACTGTGATTATTAAGTACAAATTGTCTAAATAGCTACTTAATATATTTTTATCTTTAACAGCATCTAGCAGAATTATCTGATGATACAATGAGCACAGTCCCTTATTCTTGAGGAGTTTATAGTCTCACGGGGGAAATAAAAAAATAAAGTTTAATTAAATCACAGTAAATTAAACTCTGTGATAAATATAATACAGGCCCCCTCAAAAAGAGGATTCTGTAAAAAAGCAGGTACTGAATATTTCAGAATATATGTTGGTCATTATTTTCTTGATGATGCCAATTCTCCAGTCAGAGATGGTTTACACTTTACAACATTTGAAAAAAGTACCTTCTACTTAAGGTAGCCAGTGTGCACAGGGATTAAACAATGATTAAAACTGTGCCAAGAAATGAATGTCTAATAGCCAATGTATCCAAATTCCTAATCTGTATTCCTAACATGGCAAGCTGCACACAAATAATACACAAACACTATATCTCTAGTTCCCCAGACTCTCTTAATTCTCAGCATTCTTTTAGCATTTGCACATCAGATTGTTTACATTTTCTGATTTGTTGATTATAAACTGCTTATTCTCATCTATTTCAAGACTTAGAAATCTGTGCCATATTTAATCAAATAAACTCATGCTTTCTCTTTAACAGAGTTGTAAAAACAATGATTAGTTTGGCCCAACTGCCAAAGCAAACCTGGCTATATTTTCATTTCTTAGTTCTCGAACGATTACCTGAATTTTTCATTGTTCTGAGGAATGTTAGAAAATAAGCAGCTGCTAAAAGCAGGGGCCGCAATTTGTCACAACAAATGTTGAAAAAGGCACGGAAGCTCTTCCACATCCTTCCAAAACTGAGCTCCTAGCTGTGAGAATCAATGCCCACTACTTTTCAAGAATCAAAGCAACCACCTCTAGCTTATGTGCGCCCATAGGGCAGTTTTTTGTGTTTTTTTTTGAGACAGAGTCTTGCTCTGTCGCCCAGGCTGGAGTGCAGTGGCGCGATCTCGGCTCACTGCAAGCTCCGCCTCCCGGGTTCACGCCATTCTCCTGCCTCAGCCTCCCGAGTAGCTGGGACTACAGGCGCCCTCCACCACGCCCGGCTAATGTTTTGTATTTTTTTAGTAGAGATGGGGTTTCTCCGTGTTAGCCACGATGGTCTCGATCTCCTGACCTTGTGACCCGCCCACCTTGGCCTCCCAAAGTGCTGGGATTACGGGCGTGAGCCACCGCACCTGGCCCAGGGCAGTTGGTTTTAAGGCGCTGCTCCATATTTATTAGTGCCCTTGAGCATAATAGAAGAGGGAAGAAATATAAGAAACAAGAGTTGCAAAATAGAGATAATTGTTGAAACTGGAGGATAGGGACATAGAAGTACCTTGGGGTTATGTTTATTTATACTTCCCACAATAAAACTTTTTTGGATTTGTCCAAGTGACTTTATTTGGACAATGCGATCTTACGAGGAGAGGCTTGAAATGTGCCTGTACAGTTTAACTTGTGTTCTTGTGCTCTGGTGATACACCAGGAGAAGCTCCTGGCTGATACCCCTTCAGCCTGAACCCAGAAACAATCACAGATGATGAGCTCAACTTGAATGCTAGAGCCATCCAGCCAACCTACAGCACGAATCAGAGCCATTTCAACCAATACTTGCAAGCCCATGAGTTTTTTAAAGTGCTTATTTTTGGTTGCTGTAAGTTTTGGAGTGGTTTCTCATGTACCATTATTGTAGGCATTTAATTTTTAGGTATTTGACTCAAATACAACCATAACTTAATTAGCAGACTACGATAAAATTCTAGTGGCTTTTCTTACCATATATTTTCTGCTCAATCTAAGCATTCTCTTAGTCATTTTCCTACTCACTCACTACCATCTAGTTGCTATCTTATTCCAGATTCAATTCCATTTCCTATTCATCTACTGATCTTCTCTTTCTAAAACTATAATTGGCAAATAATAAACTATTACCTATATAACATATACAATTCAATAAATTTTGTGTTTTTTTTTTTTTTTTTTTGAGACAGAGTCTCACTCTGTCACCCAGGCTGGAGTACAATGGCACAGTCATGGCTCACTGCAACCTCCACCTCCTGGGTTCTAGCGATTCTCCCACCTCAGACTCTTGAGTAGCTGGGACTACAGGTGTGTGCCACCATGCCCAGCTAATTTTTTGTATTTTTAGTAGAGATGGGGTTTCACCATGTTGGCCAGACTGGTCTCAAACTCCTGACCTCAAGTGATCCGCCCACCTCGGCCTCCTAAAGTGCTGGGATTACAGGTGTGAGCCACCGTGCCCAGCCGCAATTCAGTAAATTTTGATAAATATATACATCTGGTAAAACTACCAAAATCAAGATACTGAACATTTTCATTACTCTCTGGAAGTCTGTATGTGTCCCTTTGCAGGCAAACTCACTCTCAACTCTAGTCCCAGGCAACCACTGATCTTTTTCCTGTTTTTTTTTTTTTTTTTTTTGAGATGGAGTCTTGCTCTGTCGCCCAGGCTGGAGTGCAGCTGCACGATCTCGGCTCACTGCAAGCTCCGCCTCCCGGGTTCAGGCCATTCTCCTGCCTCAGCCTCCTGAGTAGCTGGGACTACAGGTGCCCGCCACCACACCCGGCTAATTTTTTGTATTTTTTAGTAGAGACGGGGTTTCACTGTGTTAGCCACGATGGTCTCGATCTTCTGACCTTGTGATCCGTCCGCCTCAGCCTCCCAAAGTGCTGGGATTACAGGCGTAAGCCACCGCAACCGGCCTTTTTTCTGTTATTTTAGTTTCTATTTTCTATAATCTTACATAAGCTTATATAAGTAATTAAATAGGTTATATAAGGAATTAAACAGTATGTATTCTAGTCTGGTTTTTCATTCAGCCTGTTTTACAGATCGTCATGTTGTTGAGTATGTTAATAGTTTGCTCCTTTTCATAGCTGAGCAGTATTCCTTTGTATGGATACCACATTTTGTTGTTTCCCTGCTGATAAACATTGTATTGTTTCCAGTTTTTGGCTGATATGTATAAAAGTGCTATAAATGTCCATGTAAAGTCTTTAAGTGGACATATATTTTAATTTCTCTTTGGAAAACACATAGGTGTGTAATGGCTGAGTTATAAAGTTTATAATTTTAGCTTCATAAGAAATTGCCAGTTTCCAAAGTGACTGGTGACTTTATACTCTCCCAGGCTGTGCATGAGAGTTCCTGTTCCTCCATATTCTCGCCAACACTTGGCAGTGAGAGCCTTTTTAATTTTAGTTATACTAATAAATACACAGTGGTATCTCATTCTGGTTTTAATTTGCAGTTCTCCTGATAATGGTGTTGAACATCTTTTCACGTGTTTAGTGACCACTCTTACATCTTCTTTTGTGAACAACTGTTCAAATATTTCATCCATTTTAAAACTTCAGTTGTCATAATAAAATGGTGGTTGTTTCAAGCCAAAAAAAATTCAGTTGTCTTCTTGTTAATTAGTAGTAAGGGTTTATTTATTTTGGATCAAGGGTGTCAGGTATATGTACACTGATATTTTCTCCTATTTTATGGCTCCACTTTCCATTTTCTAAACACTGTATTTTGAAGAACAAAACTTTTAAATTTAGGTAAAGTCCAATTTTGCACATTTTTCTTTTATGACTCACATTTCTCATGTCCTATCCAAGAAATCTTTGCTTGCCCCAAGGTTGCAAAGATTCAGTCCTAGCTCTTACATTTAGGTCTAAATCTTTTTTTTTTTTTTTTTTTTTTGGCGGGGGAGACAGGGTCTCACTCCGTCGCCCAGGTAAGAGTGCAGTGGCACCAACATAGCTCACTGCAGCCTCAAACTACTGGGCTCCAGCAATCCTCTTGCCTTAGCCTCTTGAATAGCTGAGACTACAGGCACACAGCACTGCACCTGGCTAATTCTTAAATTTTTTCTAGAGACCGGATCTTGCTAGGTTGCCAGGGCTGGTCACAAACTCCTAGGTTTAAGCAATCCTTCAGCCTCAGCTAAATCTTAACTTTTGTGTATGGTATGAGGTAAGGGTCAATGTCCATTTCTCCACTTAATTTCCCTAACATTTTTATTTAAAAATAAGTCCTTTAACTTTATTATTCTTTTGTAAAATTGCTTTAAACTTCGTTATCCTTTTGAAAAATTGCTTTGGGTATTCTAGGTCATTTGCATGTTCGTATTAGTTTGCAAATGTCTACAAATAGTTTTTTTCTTTGGATTATGTTCACTCAATTTGGGGAAATTGCTATTTTACCAATATTGGATCTTATAATCCATAAACATGAGAAATCTGTTGGTTGTCTTTAATTGGTCTTAACAATGTTTATTTATAATTTTTAGTGTACAAGTCTTGATCAAATTTTGCTAAATTTATCTCTGATAATTTTATGATATTGGATGCTGTTGTAAATTAAATTGTTTTTGGATTTAATTTTCCAATGGTTCTTTGCTAGAATATAGCAATACCATTCATTTTTATATAGTGACCTCACTGACCTTCTCTTCTGAACACATTTATATATGTAATTACATTTATATAAATGCAATTATAGAAATCTATATTACAGGTATTTGTGTTTATATATTGCTCTGCTAACATACAAACATATTTATGTAATGTAAAAGTAGTTAGAGTAGGAGAGGGGAATCTCCGCATTTACTCTGGAATACTGACATATCAAAGCAGGTTACCAGGGGCTTTATTTACACCAAATTTGGTAGAAATAATGATGATATGCTAAGGAATTAATTAGCTCTAGCATCAGGTTTCTTAAACCAGAAACGGAGATGGACAAAGATTACATTCTCAATTCTTCAAGCATGTCCCTAAATGTATACAGAAACTTTCTTTAATGTTCGTAGGAGCAACAATTTGGGGGGGCAACACTTTGAAACTTTGTGTTTTCCAACTTAATTCCAGGAAACAGATTTCAAGTTTCTCCAAGTGGGGATAAAGGTAGGTGGAGTGGAGGTAGTATAAGGCTGTAAGAAAATGAGGGTAACAAAAGAGCTGTAAAACTAGAAGTACTGTAAAGAATTGAAAGAGTATACCAGAAAAGGGCTTTACCTCACCCTGCATAGCTTTACTGCCAAGAGATGACTAAGTCAAATCAATTAATGTGGAAAATTATGCATCACTAAGACATTAATAGATGCCAAAGTCATGTCAAAAATCTGCCTTCGTCACTGGCAGTGACAGCATGGCAGCTGTCATGAAGTTCATAAGGTACCAACAAAAGAGAATGGCACAAGTGGCTGTAGGGGAGGATGCTAAGGTGAAGGTGTTAACAACCCAGGCCAGTAAAAGAAAGAACTTGTAGAGTGGAATTATAGTAGCTATTGTTCCAGGTGAAATAGTGTTCTTGTCATTTTTACTACCATCGGTGCTATGCTATTGTTCTCATAAAGCATAAGGAAGCCAGTTACATCACTTAATTTTTTTATATGAATAAGTCTGATTATTATTAAAAAATTTATTTTGTGTATGTATGTTCAAGCATGGAAGTCATACATATTCTTAGAACAGTGTAATTATGTGAAAAGGGCATGAAGTGAAGATCACCCCAATATTAACAGGAAAAGCCTGTTTATTCAGCACTTGCTACAGCAGGGGAGTCAGCCACAATCACCTGCATTTGGCAGAGACCCAAAGGCAGGCACAGGAATGGGAAAGTTTTATAATAGAAAAAAGGAAAGGCTTCAGATATGCGCTAACTGGAAGCACCTGGCTTGGAGAAGCTACAGGCAGGTTAACTAGAAACAGGGCATACCATGAGATTGATTAGGGGTGCATATTTGGCTTTCTCCAGTTGGTCTTAAGTTGGAAGCAAGGGCAAAAATTAGAGAGGTCATCAGTTAATAATCAAGCCCTGGCCATTTTGTCCTGATTGTTACAAGGGTTACTGTTATCTTCTTGGACTGTCTGCTAGAGACAGTGGTCTGACTTGTAGATAGCAGGTTGGTTTCTTGGGTTGGTTGCTGCAGACCAGAGGACAGAGTTCTATTTTTATATATGGTCACTGTCTGTCTACACACTCAGTCTCTCAAAGGATAGTGTTAAGATAAACTTCATGTATTTCTCTTTTTTCCTTGATTTTTGAGGATAAATGTGTTATATTTTGCTAACAGATATTTTCCTGAAATTCTCTTTGTTTTATAGACAATTATGTTATCTAATTACATTTATTCCCTTTCCCTCACACTGATTGATCTTAGGTGGTGGATATGGCAGAATTCTGATCCAGTAAAGTTTTACGCACCTTCCTTCTGATATGCCATTCGCATTTACCTTGTATGTAGCCTCCCTTCCATGGAAGAAGATAATTTAGCAGAAATTTAAAACAATGAAAAATCAAAAACCACTAAAAGATATACCACTCCCTACCCTCCTAACCCCCAAGGTAGTGAAATTAGATTATAAACACAGATTAAGAAGTCATAGTTGTAGTTGTTCAGGCTTATAAGCCTTTTTGCAGTAAATTAGAAAGTCTAAAGAGAAATTCTTAGTAGAGAGAACATATGTTATTTATATATATTTATAACATACTAAGTTTCTTCTTTTTCCCTTCCTCTGAGTTCTTAGGTTCATTTCACTCATTCAGCACACATTTAGTGAACACCTACTATGTTTCAGTGACTACATCACTATGGATACAGTAGCAGGCATAAAGGAGATGATGTATTAAATTATTTAAATGGGTGATTTTCATAATTTTAGTGTTTATTTTTCTTGTTTGGATGTTTGAGAAGAAATGACTGAGGGACTGCAGTTATTAAAAGTTTTCATTAGAAAAATGCTGTGATGGCCGGGGGCGGTGGCTCACACCTGTAATCCCAGTACCTTGGAAGGCTGAGGTGGGTGGATCACCTGAGGTCAGGAGTTCAAAACCAGCCTGGCCAACATGGTGAAACCCTGTCTACTAAAAATACAAAAAAATTAGCTGGGAATGGTGGCGGGCGCCTGTAATCCCAGCTACTCAGGAGGCTGAGGCAGGAGAATCGCTTGAACCTGAGAGGCGGGGGTTGAGAATGTGTCATTGCACTCCAGCCTGAGCAACAAGAGTGAAACTCCATCTAAAAAAAAAAAAAAAAGAAAAGAAAAGAAAGAAAAAGAAAAATGCTGTGATGACTCAGCTGTAGTTTAATTCTTTCTTCTCTCCAGGGCAACCAGCATATAATCAGTGTCATTATAAAAAATGTTACTTGGTTAGGGACGAGATAAGGCAGTTATTGTACTGGATAATTCACTGTATAGAATAAATTTTAACCAAGAAAATAAAATATCATTGCTCTGGTAAGGAACCAGAAAACAGCATCCATATTTTATGCCCTTCATTGTAATGGAAGTTTTACTTCTACACAAATGAATTCTAACCAATGCTCTTTCACTTTAAGACATGTAAAAGAAACTATGTAAAACAAATAATACCTTTAGATTTTAAGGGCAGCTTTCTGTTCCACAGTACCAAAGAGGATTTACAGGGATTAACAGAAGAGTAAGTCTTTAATATGTAGATATAGTAGGCATCTTGTGTTATAATACAAAAATGTATTATGTGCCTTTTGATACTCAGTTTTAATAAAACATTAATCATCAGATAACATTCATCAGATAACAACATTCCTTTCAAAATTGGTTTGCAACAGAGCCAAGAAACAGAAATCTAGACTGTATTTTAAAGCTTGTGGCTCATAATCCTCTTCAAACCCTTAAAGAAATTCTCCAGTTGTTTTGCATGATAGCTCTTATTCTCTATTAAAATTTTTTTTCTGGCAGCAATATAAACATCAGCTTCACCTACTCAGAATTATAATGTAACTATTGTGACTACTGTAGAAGGTAATATAAAAGCAGAAAATAATAATGCTGAGCATACTTCAATGATCTAAGAAATAGATTTGGGGCTGGGTGCGGTGGCTCATGCCTATAATCCCAGCACTTTGGGAGGCGGAGGCAGGCGGATCACATGAGGTCAGGAGTTCAAGACCAGCCTGGCCAACATGGTGAAACCCTATCTCTACTAAAAATACAAAAATTAGCCAGGTGTGGTGGTGTGCGCCTGTAATCCCAGCTACTCGGGAGGCTGAGGCAGGGGACTGCTTGAACCTGGGAGGTGGAGTGCAGTGAGCTGAGATCGCACCACTGCACTCCAGCCTGGGCGAGGGAGCAAGACTCCATCTCAAAAAAAAAAAAAAAAAAAAAAGAAAGAAATACATTTGGGACATTTGGGATTTGTGGCTGGATGAAGTAGACTATATTCTCTATCCCACCCCACTCCCAATCTAATGCCAACAGATTGAGTAACACCAAATGGAGATCAGAAGCAGAAAGGCAAATTTTTGAGCAATTCAGTATCATGCGTAGTACCATAACAATGATAGGCAAAACTTGTCAAAATTTTGATGCAAAATTCTAATTCCTTTGAGATTTAGTACCAAGTCCAAATAAGACAGTTTGCTCAAAGAGATGGATCTTGTAGTCCAACTCTAGAAGCCTCCTTGAAAAGGGAACTTCTTTGTATTACAAGTAATCAACTGGTTAATAATACCATTTCGATTTCAGAATATATAGAATTCCCCAGAATTTAATGGGGATTCTGTGTCCAAATAGGTGGCATTCTAAGAGTCTTTTAGAGCACAGTCTACTCCTGTCTAGCTTCATTGTGAGCACAAAATAAAAAAATACTTTTACATACTTTAGTATGTGTGTGCAATTTAAAAATACAAATGCTAGAATTTTTCCCCCAAAGGAAATAATGGCAGGGACTTTTCAGTAATTGAAGACCTTCCAGCTGAGGATAACTAATAACAACTGAACAAAATAATTTTCTTTCTTTTTTTTTTTTTTTTTAAATGGAATCTCGCTCTGTTGCCCAGGCTGTGAGAGCAGTGGCACGATCTCGGCTTACTGCAAGCTCTGCCTCCCGGGTTCACGCCATTCTCCTGCCTGAGCCTCCCGAGTAGCTGGGACTACAGTCACCCACCACCACACCCAGCTAACCTTTTTTTTTTTTTGTATTTTTAGTAGAGATGGGATTTCACCGTGTTAGCCAGGATGGTCTCAATCTCCTGACTCGTGATCTGCCCGCCTCGGCCTCCCAAAGTGCTGGGATTACAGGTGTGAGCCACCATGCCCCGCCAATAAATTTTTTTTTTGAGACAGAGTCTTGCTCTATCACCCAGGCTGGAGTGCAGTTGGAGTGCAGTGGCGCGATCTCCGCTCACTGCAAGTGCCGCCTCCTGGGTTCACGCCATTCTCCTGCCTCAGCCTCCCGAGTAGCTGGGACTACAGGCACCTGCCACCGCGCCTGGCTAATTTTTTGTATTTTTAATAGAGACAGGATTTCACTGTGGTCTTGATCTCCTGACCTCGTGATCTGCCCGCCTTGGCCTCCCAAAGTGCTGGGATTACAGGCGTGAGCCTCCGCACCTGCCATAAATTTTTAAAATTATTATTATTATTATTATTTTTTGAGATGGAGTCTCACTTTGTTGCCAGGCTGGAGTGCAATAGCGGGATCTTGACTCACTGTAATCTCCGCCTCCCGGGTTCAAGTGATTCTCCTGCCTCAGCCTCCCAAGTAGCTGGGATTACAGGGGTGTGCCACCACACCCAACTAATTTTTGTATTTTTAGTAGAGACGGGGTTTCACCATGTTGGCCAGGACGGTCTCCATCTCCTGACCTCATGATCCAATCCCAAAGTGATGGGATTACAGGCATGAGCCACCATGCCCGGCCATTTTAAAAATTCTTAAAGCATTAAAGAACTGACATGATGGTGATGAATCACCAAGACAGTATCAGGGAGAAGATGGAATTTAGAATGGAGGTACTGCCTAGAGAGAGCCACTTCAGCACTGGGAAGCATCTGTTAACCAGGGAGAAATGACTGATCAGCTGGAGAGAGAGAGAAAAAATCATCATCCTAGCTTCATTTATTTCTACAAATATTTCCAAATACTGAATCTAACATATACAAATAATTAGGGGCATGAAAATACAAAAGAACTAACATAAGTAATAGGCAATGGAAATAGTAAAGGTGAGCATTAGAGGACTATAGCTAATCTCACAAGATAATTCTTAACACTGTAAAAATAAGGTGTAAAAGGGTTAGTGTCTTTGGGAGGATGAGTGGTGGAGATGGAGGAAGGAAAGAGAAAGTTACAGGAACAGGAGTCATTTGATGACCATTTCTCCAACACCACTAGAGGTAACTGGTTGAGGAAACTCTCCTTTCTTTCCTTTCCAAAGCAACTTCACATTTAAATTGTTCAGTCATGTATAATGAATCCTCCGGGTATAGCTAAATCATAATAGCTGAGAACAAATGATATTCCAAACAGTAGCATACATGTCTAAGCTAATAAAGGATCTAAATCAGGAACTCTTGATCTGAGACCCTCTGATAAATGCTGTTTGAGAAGTCTGCAAATCCTTTGAAACTGTATGTTTTAACAGTAAGTGAGTAACGGATATTTTCATTCTCCCACTCTCCAATCCTTCCTTGCCACCTTCTAAAAAAAAGTAAGGAATCCCACTAAGCCATAGCAAAGGTTACAAACTCAAATATCTTCAGGACACAAGCAGTTTTAACATATCTCACATAGCTAGGGGTAATGGTTATAGGACATGATAAAGTATATGTTGAATTGCAGAGTATAAATACAGCCTGAAGGCATTCTAATTTTTAAGTATATGCTGGCTTACCAGTTTTTGGATACATTCTCTAGAATAATTTGTTTTAAAATTAAATGTAAGTTGGAAGTTAAGATGGTGGTCTGAGATGTTTTTCATAGTTTCACATCTCTCACTGTGAAGGGTCCAGAGAACAGAAAGGTAGGAAGAATGGTCCCTTGCAGGTAGGTAGAAAAACTAGATCCATATTAAGCTATCAATGGCACGAGTCATTATTAACATGCAACTGGGGAAAAATAATGCCTAATTAGGGAAGCCACACAAAATTATATGAAATCACAGGACCTCATCTCTTGAAAAGTATGTGTTTCTCTACTTACCCTTCCTCATCCCCTCTACCTCTCCTCCGAAACTACTGCCTTCTTTGATTTTTCTTTTTGAAGATATGAGAGTCTTGCTATGTTGCCTAAGCTGGTCTCAAACTCCTGGCCACAAACAATCCTTCTACTTCGTCCTCCCAAAGTGTTGGGATTACAGGCACGAGCCATCGTATCTGGCCAGCTACTGCCTTTTAAAAATTAACTCACCTAGGGCATAAGTTAAAGAATCAATTTTTAGGGAATTTCTCTAGTTGCAGAGGGGAGTATTTAGATGCCTAGCTTTAGGGTATAGAATGGGAGCTAGCAATAATGCAACTTGGTTAGAACACTCTAAATCTTTTTTTCTTTCCTTTTCTTTTTTTTTTTTTTTTTTTTTTTTTGAGACAGAGTCTCACTCTGTCACCCAGGCTGCAGTGCAGTGGTGCGATCTCGGCTCACTGCAACCTCTGCCTCCTGGACTCAAGTGATTCTCCTGCCTCAGCCTCCTGAGCAGCTGGAATTACAGGGGTGAGCCACTGTGCCAGGCCTGAACACTCTAAATCTTTGATTCTTATTAATTTTGGTTTGTTCAGACTAGTTTTCACATAAAACTATTACACTGGGCAAACAAACCTAAATGTTTTATTTATTTATTTTTTGGAAACCCAGACAGTGGGCAAAATTTTGTATGTAAGTGTAGTTTTCTATAGAGTTAATTAATACATTTCATCAGTTTTTTAAAAGGGCATGTGACCATAAAAATTAAGAACCACTGAACTAAAGATAAGCAAAAATTAAGCCAGTTTAAAAATGAAATAAACTAAGTTAGAAAACAAAAGAAAATAACATTCACTGTAGTGTACCCATTAATGAACAGATTGTCATGTAAATGCCACCAACCCAACCACATTTTCTGAAATTTTATACTTGTAGAACATACAATATAATTATATTTTTTCATTATATTATCATTTTTGAGTATTTACTATGTGCTAAGCCCTTTACTTACTTAGGTAATATTTAATTCTCATGACAATGCTATGAGGTAGGTATTATTACCTCTATTTCACAGATGAGGAACCTGAGACTGAGGAGGTTAAGTAGCTTATACAAATGTACAGAGTTCAAACTTAGATCAAAGTTAGTTTCTAACCATTAACCAATGGTTCTTGAATTTTACTGTGTGCACAAGAATTACATCTATGGCATAGCGTCAATGAATGGCACTGGAATTCCCACTACCAGAATGCTTTCTTTCTCCATTCATAATTCTTTTCCCTCTCCTTCCTTCCTTCCTTCTTGTATTCTCTCCACTCACCTAAGCTTCTGTCTCCTTTTTTTCTCTTTCTTATTCCTATCCCCTTAACTGAACTGCAGACCTACCAGTAGTGCTTATGGGCACCATTCTTAGCCCCACAGGAACACATAAACCCTATGTTTCAACCAAACCCTTACAACTCGAACATTTTCCCCATATATATGTATCTGATGAGAAAAGAAGCTTTTGTAGCCATCTGCATGGGGCTGTGGAGATCTAACACTGTTATGGGTAGAAGTGGTATACCTAAAGATGCCAGCTTTGACTTCTTACAGGGTTCTTCTCCATTAATGAGAAATTCAACCAATGGGACAAGTTCTAATATTCTCAACATTACTGTTCTGAGCTCCACATTCAAACCTAAGGCAGTGAGTTTAATGGTTTTCTTTTGCAGTTAGAATCTTAAATTCTCTGACCTTTCTTTCAGAGCTCAGGACTCCTAGCAGAAGCTAATAAAGAATATAAGTTTTATAGAAATCTATGCTTCTACGATTAAGTGATTTTCTAACTATTTGCCTTTGTTCCTTTATATGCTTCCTAAAAACAGTAAGTAAATTTGTCTACTTAGTATTTAATAATCGTACATAACTTAGACATACACAGATAAATGGAAAAAAAGTCCTCCAAACAATCTCTATCTCTCTCTCTCTCTCTCTCTGTGCTATCTAGGAATACAATTTTTATGACATTACAAACTCTTCCTTTTGCATTAAAGAATTCATTAGTTTGGCACTTTGGTAGGGGAACAGGGTTTCAAATGCTTACACTACAATCTTCCATCACAACTTCCTACTCTTCTGATTCTCTCCCATTGGAAACTGGAATCACTGTAGAGATGGGATATACAGAGGTGGAAAGTATTCACTGTTTAGCAACTCTTGCACTAGTGTTTCCTGGCATACAAAACTGCCCCCAGTCTACAAGGGGTACTACATGCACATCAATGTATGATGATGACTATTTGGCTTAAATGGGATACAATATTTGACCAGCTCAAGAACCTTCAGTGCTTGACTGAAATTTCTAAGACTGATATTTCTTACTGAAATGTTCCTTTGGGTTTTAAACTGAGGTTTCTATTGTTTGCTTTCAACAGACATATGTTTGACATACAAAATATGGTAAAGATCCACTACTTCTGCAGTGTTATATTTCCATATTATTCCCTTATTGGCCTGGATTTCCTCATCAATAGCACAATTCATTCAAATGTGGAAAGAAAGGCATTGATACACTGATCAGAGTAAGGAAAGTAATATCATATCATCAAAAGTCACATTAATCTAAATGACAAATTTATTTTCTGTTGGTTTCCAAATCTGGGATGTTTTCTAGAAGTTGCACAATAAATAATATGATGTAATTACCTAGGCTTAAAAGAAAAGCACCATTCTAGGAAGAAGTAATCCACTGCAGTGTAGCAGTACAGACCGGGTAATGGGAAAGACCTACAGACCGTTATAAGAAGGGCAGCAGGGAGCTTTTAAAATGAAAAGGCTAGAGTATCAGTAGCACTATGGAACTTTTCTGTTGGAAGACAAGGATGAACAATTCATGCTTCCAGGCAATGGAATGGCACATATCAAATACGCCGAAATACAGAGAAGACACACTAAACCAGGTATCTCCAATTTGAAAGCTTTTTGGGCATAAACTGGAACTTTGTCAAGTGCATTTCTTTCTTTTTTTTTTAAATAGGGTCTCACTCTGTTACAGCCCAGGCTGGAGTGCAGTGGTGCTACCATAGCTCACTGCAGCCCCAAACTCCTGGGCTGAAGCGTTCCTCCTGCCTCAGCCTCCCAAGTAGCTCAGACTACAGCCACCACGCCTGGCTAATTTTTATTTTTGTAGAGGGGTGGGTCTCGGTATGTTGCCCAGGCTGGACTCAAAACTCCAGGCCTTAAGCGATTCTCCCACCTCAGCCTCTCAAAGTGTTGGAATTACAGGTGTGAGCCATTGCACCTGGCCAGACAGTGCATTCTGATGGTTAATTTTATTTGTCAACCTGACTGGGCTAAGAGAGAGCCAGTAAAACAACATTTCTGGTGAGTGAGGGTGTTTCTAGGGGAGATTAGCATTTAAGTTGGTAGACCAAGTAAAGAAGATCATCTTCACCAATGTGAATGGACATTGTCCAATCTGCTGAGGGTCTGAATAAAAGAAAAAAGTAGAGGAAGGGTGAATTTGCTTTCTCTGCTTGAGCTGTGACATCTATCTTCTCTTGCTCTTGGACATTGGTGCTCCTGGTTCTCAGCCCTCTGGATTCAGACTGAGACTTACACCATGGTTCTCAAGCCTTTGGTTTTGGACTGGATTACTATACCACCAGCTTTCCTGGGCTTCCAGGTTGCAGGTGGCAGTTCTTGGAACTTTATGGCCTTCATAATTGCCTGAGACAATCCCTCATAATAAATGCCTTTCTCTGTATCTTTATCTATAACCTATTGGTTCTGTTTCTCCAGAGAACCCTGACTAATACATTCACTGCTTCATTTAAAACTTATAATTACTGCAGTTATAGCTTCAGTTTCCTTTGTATTTACTGTGATGTGTTTTGGCTTTTATATAAAAGTATATTGACTAAAAATATGTAATATACTTCATGCCACTTTCATGAGGTCTGGGTTTAGAAAAATCTCTCATGGTGCCATATTAAGATTTTGATGCTGGCTAGGCACAGTGGCTCACACCTGTAATCCCAGTATTTTGGGAGGCTGAGGTGGGAGGGTTGTTTGAGCCCAGGAGGTTGAGGCTGCAGTGAGCTATGATCACACCACTATACTCCAGCCTGACCAACAAAGCGAGATACTGTCTCTTACAAAAAAAAAAAAAAAAAAAGCTGCTGATGCTGCAGCTAAGATTTGCTAATTTATCTCCCAGTAGTGATTTGTTTTTCTTGATCAACACAGAAAGGAATGTTCAAGAACAAAAGTAACTTAGCACCCATTTGTACTGTATCTTTCCCTACTACTACTATTTAAAAAATTTTCAAAGTATAACATTATTCCTCTCATCAATATGTAGCCAGTCTTTAAACAGCCAAATGTATTTATGCCAAAAAACAAACATGTATTACATACATTATAGAAAATTACTATACCCAGTTACTATCTTGGACTATATTTACTGATTTAAGACAGATATCCTTAGAATAGGATTTCCTAAACTAGGATCCAGGGAACTGAGATTTGGTTTGTGCTAAATGAGCTACGCTAAACTACGAGGTCTATGAATACAGGATTCTATTCAGCATTTTCATCACTGCATCCCTTGTGTTCAGACCAATGCCTACTACTATAGTCGTCAACAAATATTAAATATTAAACAAATATTAAATATTTCCTTTCAAAGAAGGAAAATATCAGAATAAAAGGTAGTGGTAAAGATTAGAGATGTATAATAGTATATAGTAAGTTACTTTCTTCCGTAACACTCCAGCTTAAAATCCTACATCATCAAATTGTACCAATAACTGTCCTTCCTTCTTGTAGTTTCCCTAGACTTCAGGTCAGACCACTCATTCTTTGAAGATTATAGCTATTGGTTTACTCTCATACTCTCCAACAGTATTACAATAACAATTTTTCTATTCACACAGATGATCTTCTGGCCTCAGTTTGTTGACTTCCTCCCCTCCGGTGATCTCATTCCCCAATCCTCTTTCAGTCACCCACTCCCATAGTTATATTCTTAACACTGTCATTACTAATGACTACAAACTGTCCATAACCTTAATCTTAAATGCCTCTGACAACCACTTGATATTTCTAGCTCATTTCTTTGAGCCTATTGGTACCTAAAACCCACTGAATCTACAAAAGTTCACTGTCCTTCACCCCTCATGTTCTCATTTCCTCTCCTGCTTGGCTTAGATTTCACAGTCATCACCATAATCACTCCTTTGCAAATACCCTCAACTCCCTTGATCCTCTTTAATCTTCTCATTCCAATCTGGCCAAACCCCAACCCTGGTTAAGGTCCAATTCTTCACCTAATGTGTAACTCCAGTATACAGTTCCAGTACAGTTAAACGTGTCTGCTAACAAGTCCCTCGTTAAATTAATGACCACTAACGTTAAGTGGGACATTAGTACTGCCCAGCAATCCTACTACATTTCCCTAATCCATTCACTCTCGGAACACATTCCATGGCTTCTTCTCTTTCTTCAAATCTCAATATTTCTTTCCTCATCCTCACTTTCAGCTGGTTACATCACTCTCCATTTAATTTAGAAAATAAAAACAATCAGAAGAGGCTTTCTACCAGCTCACGTCACCATATCTACCTACTTACCTGCTGCATCTGTTCCCATAAGATAACCTTTTTTCTAGTTAGTTCACTCCTTTCCATAGTCAACCCCTTCATTTTTGCTTTTTATCTCATTTGTCATCTACTCAAGTGTGTTATTTCAGCATTTCCTATCTTTCTTCTGCATCATCAATTTCCTCTCTCTACCAGAGCACAGCATTCTAGTTTATTTAAAATAAACTGAAATTTATTCTAGTTTAGAAAATCCTTGCTTGTCTCATAGTCTCCTACAGCTACTTCCCTACTGCTCTGTTCCCTTTCATCACAGAATTCTTTGAAAGAGCAGTTTATACTCATTGATTACAATTTCTCTTTCCCACTCACTTTTAAACCCTCAGTTTTGTTTTTTTTTTTTCCAGACAGGGTCTTGTTCTTCACCCAGGCTGTAATGCAGTGACACAATCATACTTCACTGCAGCCTCAAACTCCTGGGTTCAAGTGATCCTCCTGCCTCAGCCTTCCAAGTAGCTGGAACTACAGGCACATGCCACCATGCCTGGCTTTTTATTTTTATTTTGTAGAGTTGAGGTCTTGCTATATTGCCCACACTGGTCTCCAACTCCCGGCCTCGAATGATCCTCCCGTCTTGGCCTCCCAAAGTGCTGCAATTACAAGCATGAGCCACCGCGCCCAGCCTGCAATCAAATTTCTGCCATCAAGATTCTACCAAAGTGGCTTGTCAAGATTGTCAGTAACCTGCAGGTTGCAATTTTAATAGTGTCAATGCAAAGTCTCAATGAAAAGGTGACATTTTAGCAAAGATCTTAAAAAAGGCAAGGGAACAGGGTAGGGCTAGTATTAAAAATATTTAACAACTGGGACAGCATGAGCACCTACTACTAATCGGTGGATGTACACTTGAGCAGGGTCTTAGAGGTCATCAAAGTAAATCTGGTGATGACAGCAGAGTCATCAATATATACATGTCCTTAAAAGATGTGGGCCTGAATGAGAATACCAACAAAGTGAGCACAGAGAAGATATCTATGGTCCAGGTCTTAGAGTATTCCAACTTTTAGAAGTGGGAGAAGAAAAGGAAGTAGCAAAATACACTATGAAAATGATGCCCGAGAATTAGGAAGAAAACAAGAATAAGGTGATAACTTGGAGTCACAGAATAAGTGCTTTGGGGAAGAGGGAGTCAGTAACTGTGTTAAGTGTTGCAGGTAAGTTAAATAAAATGAGAACTGGAAACAAGCATTAGATTTAGCAATGCAGAGGGAAGAAAGTGACTGCAACAAATGGAAAAACACAAAGCTGTTCAGAGTATATGGAATCTACCTATTTTATTTTATTTTAGACATGGTCTCACTCTGTCACCCAGGCTGGAGTGCAGTGGCTTGATATCGGCTCACTGCAACTTCTGTCTCCTGGGTTCAAGCGATCCTCCCACCTCAACCCCCCAAGTAGCTGGGACCACAGGTGCACACCACCACACCTAGCTATTTTTTTGTATTTTTAGTAGAAATGGGGTTTTGCCATGTTGCCCAGGCTGGTATACATTTTATTTCACAATGGTTATGAAGAAAACTTTTGGGTTTTGAGAAAACTCATTAAAGGATGAGGCTTCAACTGCACTTTCAGGTAGCGAGCAAGCCTATCCATCCTTTTTCGTTTGGCAAGCCTTACCACTCCTCTACATCCTTTTCAGTCATAATACATCTGGGTAAGGAGACACAGTTAACATGTGAACAAAATCAAATACACAATGCTTTTCTATATAAGACAGACTATAAAAGCCAAAAATATTTGAGGATGACCATGGGGGGTTAAAGTGATACAAAAGGCTTCTGAAGGACATGTGAAGAGACAAACACACATAAATTTTAAAAAAGCCAAAAGCAATACTCATCAAAAATATGTAGTATTGGTGAAAGTTCTGAGGAAAATATTTTGATACATTTCTGGAAGAAATGTACCAGAGGGAAATCTAGTAATATAAAGATTTAAGATTTTGAATAATCCTGGATTTCTATCAATTCCATTTCAAGGAATTCATTCTAAGGAAATAACGGTAGATATGAACAATCATTCAGCAATTAGTATGTTCACTGAAGCACCTTTATAACAACAAGAAATTAAAACAATTTAAATGTTCAGCAACAGTATATTGTTTTTTAAAAATTATGTTACATTTATATAATGAAATGCCCTACCAGGAGAAAAAATGATGGAATAGTTGTTAAGGTAAAAACACATACAACGTAATTTTAAAAAGTCAATTTCAAAACATGATATATACAATATCACCTTAAGTTTTTTAAACTATTTTTTAATTTTGTGTAGCGATGGGGTCTCACTATGTTGCCAAGACTAGCCTTGAACTCCTGGCCTCAAGCAATGCTCCTACCTCAGCTTCCCAAAGCAATGGGATTACAGGCATGAGCCACTGTGCCCAGTCTATCGCCTTTACTTTAAAAGTACGTATTATGGACTGAATGTTTGTGTCTCCCCCAAATTTATTTGTAGAAACCCTAATTCCCAGTGTGGCTGTATTTGGAGAAAGTAATTAATGTTAAATGAGGTTATAAGTGTGCAGCCCTGATCCAAATAGGATTAGTGTCCCTATAAGAAGAGAAACCTCTCTGCTCTCATTCTCCCTCCCTCTCCTGACATGCATGCACAGAGGAAAAGCATGTGAGGACACAGTGAGAAGGCAGTTATCTGCAAGCCAGGAAAAATGCCCTCACCAAAAACTGAATCAGCCAGAACCTTGATCTTGAACTTCTAGCCTCCAGAACTATATGAACAGTAGTTTGTTGTTTAAGCCACCCAATCTATGGTATTTTGTTATGGCAGCTTGAGCAGATGAATAAAATACAGCCTTTTCTCAGTATCTGCAACAGACTGATTTCAGGACCCCCCTCCCAATCCCATACCAAAATCTGTGGATCCTCAAGCTCCTTGTATACAAAATGACGTAGTATTTGCATATATCCTACGTATATCCTCCCGTATATTTCAAATCATTTCTAGGTTACTTACAATACCATATGCAATGTAAATGCTATGTAAATAGCTATTATACCATATTGTTTGTATTAGTTTTTACTCTTGTATTATTATTTTTGTGTGTGAATTTTTTAAATCTGTGGTTGGTTGAACCTATGGCTGTAGAACCTGTGGATATGGAAGGCCAACTGTATGTAAAAAGATTGCTAGGCTATATTCCAAAATATTAACAATGGCTTTCTGATTAGTGGGGTCATGGATTATGTATATTTTCTTATTTTAGCTTAGTTGATATTTTATATAATACGGATAACTTTTTAAATAAGAGCTAAAAATATTTTCAAAAGACAGTGAAAACATTCTTCAGAAAACTTCCTGACAGTACTTATGTTTCCAATAGAAACTAGACACTTAAGTTTATTTTAAACCAAGAGAACTAAGATCATAACTTCTTCAATGGGTCCCAATAATCCCCGTCCCTTCTGTAATCATGACCTTTTGTAATTCCCTCCACTTGAGTGTCTTGAGTGTGAGTTGGACCTACTGGCTGGCTTCTAATGAAGAGAATATGGCAAAAAGTGATAGAATGTCACTTCCATGATTAGGTTATAAAAACTGTCACTGTCTTGCTGGTACCCTTTCTACCTCTTGCTTGCTTGCTCTCATGAAACAAGGTGCCATGTTGTGTGCTGCCCTACGGAGACGCCCACATAGCAAGGAACTGAGGGTGGCCTTTGGGTGAAAACCAGTGAGGAATAGAAGCCCTCAGTTCAACAGCCCATGAAGATCTGAATCCTTCTAATAACTATGTGTATAAACACAAAAGAAGATCCTTCCCTAGTTGAGCTTCAAGATGACTACAGCCTCAGCTGTCACCTTGATTGCAACCTGTGAGAGCCACAGAACCCTGCTATGCTGCATTTGGATTCCTGACACATAGAAAATGAGATAACAAATGCTGTTTTAAGCTATTACATTTTATGGTAATTTGTTATGCAACAATAGATAACTAATACAAATACCTACTCTGAAGAACACTCAATAAACAGAATTTAACCAACACTTCCTGCAAGTCTTACAAATTTAAATGTGATAATTTATAAATTCTAGATAAGAAAAAACAAAAAGACTAAGAGGATTTTAAGTGACTTAGAGGTAAAGGATGGCAGTGGAAACATCAGATACAGAATTCCAGCTTCTTGCGTGTCAAAACCCAAGTGAAGAGTACCTTTCTGTCCCTTCTTTGCTCCCACAGAATTCTTCCTGAACACTGCGCTGCAGGAACATATGTTCTGCTTAAGAAACACATTTTTTTCCAAGAAGTAAATGTGTAATAGTATATACATGTGAGAAATATGTTGTTAGCAATAACTGATGTTCCAGGCATTGTGCTAAGTAAATTATAGGTACTAGCTTATTTAACTATCACAAACACCTTATGGAGTGAGTGATATTACTATCTTCATTTTATAGACAAGGAACCAGAGTAGATTAGAGATATTAAATAAAAGTCACCAGCTAATAAAGTAGCACAGCCAGAACTGAACTCAAGCTTCTCTGTTCCCAAGCCTGAACTAGACACCACTATGAAAAACTGACCCCATTAAAAATAAACACGCATACACACAACACAACTTAGTATTTATATATAGACTGCATGTAAAGATGCCCAATAACTACAGTATACATGAAATTTTATTCTTTTTGTGAAGCATTCATTGAAAAAAAGATATAACTTTACCTACAATATCCTTAGATAAAAGGCAGTAAAAAGTCAACATAAAACATTATGAGGCCAGGTGTGGTAGTCACTCCTGTAATCCCATCACTTTGGAAGGCTGAGGTGGGAGGATTGCTCGAGCCCTGGAGGTGGAGGCTGCAGTGAGCCCAGACCCTGCCACCGCACTCCAGCCTGGGTGGCACAGTATGACTCTGTCTCAAAAATAAATAAATATATTTTATATTTTTATTTTACATATTTTATGTATTTATGTATGTTTATATTTTTATTTTACATATTTTAATATGTCGTATCTTTACAACCTTCCTGTGATATAGGTAATATTATCATCCCCATTTTACAGAGGGAAATTAGGAAATTAACAAATCATGGTTAAGTAATTTGCCCAAAGTCACACAAGTAGTAAGTAGCAGAACTGGTATATGAACACAGGCAGTCTGGCTCTAAACCACTGGCATTTTACTCTAAACCAGAACATTTTACTTCTTCAAAAGCTGGAAGTTAAAATGGTTTTACAGTTAATGAAAATATTGCCCCTTTGGATATCTAACTAAATTACAGATCTAAACACCACATTCAGAGGCCAAGCCTTCAGATTTTGTGATGTAAAACACCTTAGAAAAGTTATCTAAAAGTTAGTGTGATGAGATTATTAACCTTCTAAATGCTGGGGCACAGAAAATCATACCCCAAAATATGGTCTCTTGACATGCTGAACTAAAGAAGCAACCTCAAGGGCTTTCTGGCCTCCCCTCCCACTTCCTGTCTCAATCTTCTGCCTCTCCCAAAGCATAGGATGAGGCTGTTCTCTGAAGTTCCCTTATCTGCCTAGAAACTGGACCCACCAAAGAGGAACACAATTGTCCCCGATCCCCTTCCTAAAATTTCATTAGCTACAGAAGATTAAAACTCACATCACAAACAATGAAAAACTAAAGATCAGGAAAACAACTAAAAATGTTCAAAGTAGGGTGGGCATGGTGGCTCACGCCTATAATCTCAGCAAAAGTGCTGAGGGAGGCCCAGGTGGGAGAATCACTTGAGGCCAGGAGTTCAAAACCAGCCTACACAAAATTGTGAGACCCTGTCTCTACAAAAATAAAAATTAAACAGGTGTGGTGGCATGAGTCTGTAGTCCCAGCTACTCAGGGGGCTGAGGCAGAAGGTTGCTTGAGCCCAGGAGTTGGTGGTTGCAGTATGCCTAGGCAACATAGGGAGATCTCATCTCTATTTAAAGAGAGAGAGAGAAAAAAAAAAGAACTTACATGGATAGGAAAGTTTGGGGAAGAAAAGCCATTTATATTCATATTCTAGTTCTTATGCTTATTTCCATAACCAGTAATAAGGCAGTATCTCATACTTCTAATACACAACTTATTTCTGTTTCATTTGTCTCCTAATCTCTACTTTAGACTTCATATCCTGATAGGCCAATCCCATAGTTCTATTATTTCCTTTTTCATTCTCCTCTCAAGTCTATCCACTATACAACTTCTAGCTTTTTGTTCTTGTTGTTCTAATAATTAACAGGTGCTTTTTTTTTTTCCATTTCAACCTTTACAATAGCATTTCTTCTTTCTTTTTATTTGGTGCAAGGGAGGTTACCAACTGTTTTGAGAACCTGTGATTGGAAAAAGTACATATGTACATGTAGCAAGTTTTTACTTATCATTTTAAAGGGCTAAGACTCCCCCCAAAGCTCATCAATTTTACTCAGGTTAAAAATTCTGTTTCATACTTATTGTATTTACAATAAAGCAGAATACAAACACAATATAACAAAAGATATGAAACAGGAGGAAAAGGCTCTTGGTACTCATAGGACAATGCAAAATCATACAGAAGATTTTATGTACAAGCACATAGTTTGTAGCAAAACCAAAGAAGCATGGTTAATTATTTAGGATAAAGATAACATTTTATAATGTTCTCGGAAATTTTTTAAATGGAAGAAAGAAAATGAAAAAAATATCATCCTTTGATTTTAATGGAAATGACCATGACTATACAGGAGTTGGGAAAAGACAGTTCAAGGAACTACTCACTTTAAATAAAACACTTTGTTTACAATGGCTTGTGCTTATGCTATAGAATGTACAATACAGATAAAAAATCCAAATGAAAAAAATTTTTACAGGTGCAGAATATACACAAATATGAATATGCACTAACTGTAATCAAACTGTTTTCTCTTTGAGTTTTAAATATATGCTAATTTTGCTGTCACCTTAAATAACACTGTCCTTTGAAAGACACTACCGTTTTTTAAGAGATTTAAAAGAATCCATATAAAAAGATTAATCTCAAATTCCTCTGAATATATTTGGTGTTGATAAAAGCCTGCCTATTTCAAGACTGGTGTGGGCTTTGGCCCTTAACCTTTCATGCACATATAGTCAAAAGTCCTATAAAACTGTCAACTTGGCCTACCATTATCTGTGTCAAAGGTCACTTCTATACTTGAAATTTTATATTATAATGTGAAACAGAAACACTTAAAAAACTAAAATAAAAACAGAGTATCACCATCATTTAGTGTCATCAGATTACTGAAAATTTTCAACAGAAGTTCATTGTAGAAATTTTAGAAAATGCAGAAAAGTATAATGATGATGATGATGATGAGTAACAGAAAGGGTGCTAATGTCTTGTTTATTTTGCCTGAGCTAAGCATGTGGCATATACATTATATTTCACTTAATCTCTGTAACAATCCTATGAGATGATAGGTTGTTTTGTTTTTGTTTTTGTTTTTTTTAAAGATAGGTCTATTTTTATCAGTCACACAGCTAGTAGGTGGAAGAGAAAAAAATTAAACCTAGATCTAACTCCAGAACATAAGCTCTTATTCACTAATACATGCTGCCCAAGAAAGAAAATTAAAACCACCTGTAATGCCACCAACCAGATATAATCTCTGCTAACTAATATTATCTCACAACAATCCTACTCTAACTTTCCAATAATTCAAAGTCTCCCCTCCTTAGGCAACCAGTGGTACGGTTTGGTGTATTCTTCCAGAAATTTTTTCCTATGAATATATATTCATGTATCTATATAAAAGCATAATTTGTTAAATTATAGAAATAATGTTGCTGTGACAGGAGACTGTGGAATGGAAAAGTTAAGTGACATGTTCCAGACCATAAGATTCATCAGAGAAAAATCAGAATTGAAATGCAACAGGACACACTTAACAAAAAATGACCCTAAACCTTTAAGTATTTTTTCTGATTAAGACCTTGTCTTATACCTTAGGATCATCACTGCAAAAATAATAAAATCAACTAACAATTATGAGCACTGACTATGAGCCAAGCATTCTTCTAAGTGCTTTATATATATTAAACTGATTTAAAATTATCATCTCTATTTTTACAGATGAAGAAACAGGTAGAAAGGTTAAGTGACTTGCCCCAAATCACACACCTAATAAGTAATACTGTAGATAGAAAAGTGATAGAGTGTAGGATGAATCTATTTTCTTATTTTGGAAATTGCTTTATTGAAATCACTAACAGTTGGTTACCCTTTTTCATAAAAATAGAATATGACTATCTCATACTTAACTGAATTTTCTGCTTTTAAATCTAAGGACAGTAAGGAATGCTCATGGAATTTACACAGTGACAGGATTAGAGGGCAATATATTTTTGGACTATATTGTGTCCACTTCAAGAGCTGAACAACAAATCCTGCTTGTGACCCTAGACAAATCACTTGAATTCTCTAGATCTTAGTTTCCCCACTGTGAGACAATTAACACACACAATTCCCGGAACATCCCCTTTATTCTGGTAGTTTACTTAACACCATCGATTATCTCCACAGTTGTAGCTGCAGAACCAAAACATACTGTTTGCTTGTATTTTTCCCACATTTTTTGCATACAACAAATGTAACTTGAGGAACAGTAAACCTTTAATTAGATATTATAGAAGATAATGCTATATAATGAATCACTCAATTTAATATTCCAGCTCAACAGCTATACTCCAGAGTAGCTTTCCCTACACTTTTGGACTTAACCATCAGTGAATTGGTTTGGTTTGATCCACAATTTCCTTTTACATGCAGGACAACACAGAAAAGTTAGACGTGGGTACACAGATGTCAGGTACAAAAAGACATACCAAGAAAAATATATAAGTCTATTTCTCAGACACAAAAGCTACCAAAAGGTTTAAGTTTAGATAACACAGAAACAACACTGGCAGTTACTCCCCAGATATCAATAGTGGTAGAAGGAACCCCAAAGACTTTCAGCATTGTTCACTGAACCACTGAACAATGACTGTACAGTGAGTAGCCTGCAGCAGCCCTGTAACCCAATTGGTTCTCAAAGCATAGAATCTCAAACAGCAGCTTCAGTATGATCTGAGATTTTGTTAGAAATGCAAATTCTTGACCCACTCCAGACCTACTGAGTAAGAAATTCTGGGGGCCCACCAATCTGCATTTGGACAAATCTTCCAGGTAATTCTGAAGTAAGTTAAAGTTTGAAAACCACTGCTCTAACCTTCAGTTTGTGATTGTTGCCTCTGGGAGACAAAGTATTTTCCTAAATTTTCAGGTGATAATGAATAAAGCAGGCAGACAAGAAGGTATCAGAACACTAGTAGCCTTAACTGTATTACTCTGTATGAATGTACAATAAAATATCATCAGTGGTGTTAGTATATCCTATGTGAAAGAAATTCAAAAATTAAGTATTATTTCACTTTATAATACTAAAATTTGCATGAAAAAATGCAAAATCTTTTTGGTTTGTGAGTATACTCATCAATTCATTTGGTTATTGTTAATTTTTGATACTATGTAGAGATAATAGCTTCAACCCTCAGGTTACCATTCTTATCTTGGTAGAAACTAATTTTCAGAGCATCTAATAACTTGATTAGAGATGAGCAAATCACTATAAAGTTTCTATGCTTTAAAATTGTTTCAGATAAGAAAAGGAAAGACTTTTTTAGCAGCACTTTGATATTGTGTTTTAGTTTCTTCCTTGCTTTCTAAAAATCATAACCGAGCTTTAGTTTAATTCTAATTCAACAAAGAATTCATGCCTGTGGAAAATATACATAAATAATCACCTGAGTAAGACTTTAGCTTTAGATTAGATTAAAGATGTCAGATGGGCAATCAGGAAGTGAAAGATTAGGCCCCCATGACAGTCATTCTGACTTGCAAATCTGGAAAAGGCCTCTGATAGGGTTTTCCTTCTAAAACTCAAGAAAGGGATAGAAAATTAGCACACTTATTTTACTTTATAACACTAAAATTTGCATGAAGAAATGCAAAGTACAATATTCGACTGCCCAAGAAGCGTGACAATACCTCAAAACATGAAAGATTCTTCTAATCGTGTGCTATAGTACCATTTAAAGAACTACTTTGTTCCTTTTGAAAACAGAAAAGCTGGTTCCTAATACAAAACTGTGATTGATTTAGAAAAGAATGGTTATCTATAAGAGTGGATGAAGCCGTTTCAATACCCCGAAGGAAAGCAAAATCCCCAAGGTCTTTCAGTATTCAAAATTGACTCATAAAATGAAACGTCTCTCATTTTATGAGGTTTGGCCCAAATTTTCTCCTACTGTTTTGTTTTTTGTTTTACTATGTCCTATCTGGCTTCGAAGGTATATTATACTGACATTTCAGATCACAGATACTGATATCTTCCCCAGAACTAGGAATCATTTTACTCTGCTGACCCCTCATGCTGTAAATATGTAGTAGTTGTATTCACTGTGGTTTAACATCAATTTTAATGAGCAGGAATAAACAAAAGACCTAAAACCAAGTCTTCCAAGGTCCTTCCTTTACTAATGCTCTAATCTGTATACTCAGCTAGAGCTGTGAACATTTCTGACACAGCTCTATAGACTGACTGTAGAGAGAGTGTAAAGGATGTTGCCAGGCAACTCATCTAAGTTTGAAAGAATCTAAGCATTGATAATGAGTCTTTCTCAGTTTGGCTCCCACACAAGAAGGGTTTTAGTGAACTCTCACATGTGTTTACAGGCCATTCACAAGAGGTATTTCTAAAAGTAAGTATCTGTATCCAAAAGGAGTCCATCTCGGAAACCTATATTTCTTTTCTAATTCAAGTTTAATGTTTCCAGCATCACAAGTATTTTCTATAATCACCAGAAATCCAACAGGAATTAGGCATAAAGGTTGTATGCAAAAGTGTTGCATAGAACACTTTTGTGTCTAGTGTTGAATGAATATTCTTATTCACATCTTCAACATTTCTGTTTGCACATGGCCACAGCAAAATTTCTTTAAGTATCTCAAATCACAAAAGTAACCCTACTTACCTAAAACTACTTATCTACCAAAATTATTTTAATTCTTTTGAAAATTACCTTTGAAATTATTTTCAATACTTACTCTCATTATTGTATCAAAGTCAAAACAGGGCATTCAGTAAAAACTATGTTCTATTAAGAAGAATAGGCAATCAGTTGCAAAAGAGGTAACATGTTTTTATGAGTAGTATACATGCAAAACACTGCTCTGCTGGATGGGCCTGATCCAATCCTCCCTCTTTCAAAGCAGACACTTTGCATGCATGCTTACCAGGGCAGTATGCATCCACGTCCAGTTTCTGAGCTGAAGTGAGGGTTGGTGAGCCAAGCTCGGATTCTGGAATTCGTGGGCTCTCAACAAACTTTGCCTTCCTCAGAGGGGCTAAGAACAAAAAGAGAGAGAGAGCAAGCAAGAGACAGAGAGAGCAAGAGAGAAAGAAAGAGAAAGGAAGGGAGAGAAACAGGGAAAGAGAAGGAAAAAGGGAAAGAGAGAAACATAGAGGGGTCATGAGTAAGGGGAACAGCAGGCAACAGATGGAAGCACTTAAATGAACGACACACTCTGTCAGACTCAGATCAGGTTACCCTATTTTTTGAGCCAGAAAAAAAAAAAAAAAACTAACTGCATTCTTCATAGAGGAGATGGGTCTTGTTAAAAGTCACTGAAAACTGGAAAAGCTAAAATCTAATATTCAAAACTATTAGTATAAATTGTGATTGTCTGTTACCTTATTTCTCTCTCTTTATAAAGCAAAGAGCTTTCTTACTTTGGCTTCTTTTGCCATTAAATACAGATGTTAACTAAGGAAAGCACAGGACTATGTTTCAAGGTTTTGTTTATAATAACTGTAATCAAAAGGTTTTTGTTATCCAGAAATAACTACTCTAATACTTGGTCATGATAAACACCATAAGTAGGATTAAATATAAGCCATCAGGCCTAATCTACGTAGCTTAACAAGAAAATCAATTACCTTACTTCTCAGCTATTAATGTAAGAAGTCAAAACTGCTGGTGGACTAAAGCATTAACTAGGCCCTGCTAGTTTGACACTAGAAGCTAAAGACATGTGATTTAGTTACCAATTTAATCATGATGCCTATGGAATATTAATATCTCATGCCATGGAATCCATTCATTCTTGTAAGGAATAAAGTATAACTCATGAATTGAAAGTTTTACTTATTGAAAGTATGTACACATTTTATTTACTAATTTTTAGGAGGAAAAATTCAGGAATGCTATTGATACACATTCGAATAATCAGTTATTGTAAAAGTTAAAATATGAGGATTGCTTAGGTGCTTTCAAACTGAGTTCTATTAAATAAACTATAATAGGGTGACAGTGCTTAGCACAGTACTGGCACAAAGTATTAGTTGAATCTGAAATTGATTTGTTTGTATTATATATTAGTGTCATAATCATAGGTGGCCAAGACATGTGTCTAAGATCACATTACTTTTCTCAAAAGTTTCTGCATGTTCTTCAAAGTCCTCATCCATTACTGACCCACAAGAGATTCTACGTTATTCCTAAAAGACCCTGTAAAAAGTAATATACAACTCTGTTATCACAATGGTCAGAAATCTCCTTCATTTTCTTTGAAGGATAAAAATCAAGTATTAAAAGTATATAGAAACTATTTTCAAAATGTGTCAATACTCAAAACCAACAGACAACTAAGTCACGCTTTATACCTTAGGGTATGTATATTTTCAGTATATGTTAAAAAATAATAAAGCCTGTTACTGTCTCCATGGCAACAAAGGCCTAACATTAAGAGTCCTAACAGTATGGTTCTGTCAAAAGCAAGCTTTGGAATAGCAGAACTCTCACCTTTGCTATGAGTGTGAGACTTGAGCCTGTTTTTAAAAATCATTATTACAAATAAAGATCTCAAGTGATTTATATGTATATATGCAGGCTACTAATAGCCAATATTAGAATCTCTTTCATTATAATTTCACCAACAGATTTAAAAATAATGAAACAGTTTATTTATTCAATACTGCTTAGTATAGGAAAAATGATTATATAGTAATTTAATCCTTAAGGCTCTTAAGTCCTTTACTAGAATTTTATTAAAGCATTGTCATGGCATCAGAGTAACTGTTTTACCTGCTGAGTTCTGACAAAGACAGCACAGGTCCCTGCTCAAGGGACTCTATATATCTTAAAATCTTAAAAACATTTTTTAAATAATGAAATTTAGGGCTAGTAGACAGACCAGAAACTTAAGGTAGAAATGTAAGAAAAAAAGTGAAGGATGGCAGGAGAACTTAAGGGAGGTATGAGGCGTGTACAAGAATTATGAGATGAAGTCAAGGGAAAAGATCAGGGTTCTAGAGATCATACAGAAAAAAGGAAATAGCTGAAGACTGTGAAGAGAGTATGGACTATATGGTGTTAATCAGAAGTTAAACAGATCTGGCAGAGGAAAAAAAATAAAACCTCTTACTAAAATACACAATTCTCCAGCAAAGAGAGTTATTTTAGATCTATGAAGCTCGATGTATACCAACTTCTTTATTTTCCCTTCTCAGGAAATTCCAACTGAGGTTATCTTTATAGCTCACAGGAGACATTTAATTCTTTCTTCTATCTACTCTTCACCTCTTCCCTCATCCATGGGGTACTGTGCTTGTCTAATAATAAAGTTAAACTGTTTTATAAGGTAGATGATAATGGTGTTCTCATCCAAGTCACAGAAAACTAGTGTCATTTGTAAGTCAAACACAGCAGGGACAATCACAGATATGATAAGTTGAACAATAGTCATAATATTGCTTGGTGGAGAACATAGAAGGGCAAGTTGGAAGATGGGGCATAATGTTTTACCTGGAAGCCTGGAATTTTAATATGCTTCATTGTAAAAAATGGTACATAAGATGATTCATGTGAGTAAGAGAATTCCACATTAAAAGGCCTTCTCTGATAGTTAAAAGAAGAAAGAAAGTGGTTGAGATGAGATGGGTAGGAACAATCTAAAGCCCAAACTTGGCATTTTATTGTGATGTAAGAGATAACAGAAACTACTGCACAAATAAGTGATTGGAACTGACACTGGGAACATCGATTCTTATGCCCTCAATGACTTGAGTTACAGAATCTGGCAGAGGTTGAGCAGATGAATGCATATCGGCTTAGAGGTTAAGTAGAGTGATCTGAAAAATCTAGGTCTTGATTCTAGCATATATTAATAGTAAGAAATTAGGCAAGTTATTTAGCCTTACCAAGCCTCAGTTTCCTCATAAAGTCACAGTATTGTTATGAGGCTTAACTAATTCCAAACATGTATAAGTATTTAAGCACAGTGCTTGGATACAGTGATATAGCTCACTTATTAAGTTTATTAATACATGGACTAGTGAGGGCTACGGCTACAGAAAACAAAGTAAGAAAGTAGTTTCAGACATACTATAGAGACAGCATAACATGGCAGCACATTAGTGAGGAATTTGAGAGTGCAGGAATTAAGGGTAAGGGCTCTGAAACCAGAATGCTTACATTAGAGTCCTATTTCATTCATTTTTTTTCTAGCTGTAAGAACCTTTCTGTGTTTGTTTCCTTTCATCAGTTATTTTGGGCTAATAATATCAAAGACAATTTGTGAGGATTATATTAATTCAAATAAAATCCTCAAAACAGTACCTAGCCCAGAATAAATGTTCTAAAAACATCAGCTGTTATTATTGTTTTTGCTGTTGTCATCACAGATTCAGCATGATTTGGAAGTCTGAACCGTGCATATATGTTGAGGCATGGGGGTAGTAAAACAAAGATGTCTAAGGGGATGTGAACAGTGATATCACCAATTATTTTTTAATTGAGAAGGGAATCATGTTGAAGAAAATACAATATGTTATGCCTTAGTAGAGTATCCAAATCAAAATGGTCTAAGTTAGACAACAATAAATATGTGGTACAGAATGGAAGTTAAACAGTATTCTTTAGACCATGGGTTCACAAAATGTGGTGCCTGGACCAGCAGTATAATATCACCTGGGAATTTGTCAGAAATGCAAATGATCAGGCCTCACCCCAGATAAGCTGGGTCAGACACTCTGGAAGGTGGGGGCCCAGCAATCTGTATTCAGCAAGCCCTGCAGGTGATCGTATGGCACACTGAAGTTTGTGAACACTGGATTAGAGAATCCACGAACACCACATGCAAACTGCTCATTAAGAAAATTTTCTTAAGAAAAAAGCTGTAATGAAATACAAATCAAGGCCTCATCTGTGAGAGTATCAACATGTGTGGTAAAGTTAGAATTTCTTTTCTTTTTTCTTTTTTTTTGTGAGACAGGGTCTGGCTCTGTTGCCCAGGCGAGAGTGCAGTGGTGTGATCTCAGGTCACTGCAACCTGCAACCTCCTCCTCTCAGGCTCAAGTGATTCTCCCATCTCAGCCTTCCGAGTAGTCGGGACCACAGTCATGTGCCACCACGCTTGGGTAATTTTCGTTATTTCTTTTTTTTTTGGTAGAGACAGAGTTTTGCCATGTTGCCCAGGCTGGTCTGGAACTCCTTGGACTCAAAAGATTTGCCTGCCTCAGGCTCCCAAAGTGCTGGGATTACAGGCATGAGCCACCCACGCCTGGCTATTAGAATTTCTTTTCAGTCATTCTTTTACCGATTTAACTCTTGTGTTGTTGTTGTTGTTGTTGTTGTTGCTGTTTTTTAAAGAGTCCTAAGTTATAAAGTATTAACCATATGGGGTCTATTTTGAAGAAATAACAATACTATCTATACTCACTAATTCTTCCCATGATCACCTGGGAGGCAGGTGGTTGAGGGAGGATAAGAGCAATCAGATTCATCACACAGGAATGCTAATGGTGAAAAGAGAAAATCTACCTATCGAGGTTCCTCTGTATGCTGGAATGCTGTAGATAATGTTGAAGTATATCTAGTCAAAGAAATATAAGGGCATTAAAATAATAAATAATTACTGAGGTATTGTCTTTAGTAAATGTTTCATAGCAGAAGGGATTTTTTAGGAGGAAACTGGCAGAAGACTCAGATAAGAATATACAGAGAGAACAGTATGGAGGCAGACCAAATGAAAGCAAAGATCAAGAAAATGTAAAATGAAAGATAAATATAAAGATAGGCAGAACAATAAAAGTACCAAGAAAGTATTTTCACAAAGTTGGATTTGAGATTATAAAGTATATTTAGTAAAGTTAACCTGAAGATAACTTAATAAACATTAATTGTCCAGTGTGGTAGGAAAATAAAAATGTTTGTGCAGGCAAGAAAAAGAAATACAAGGCATCCAAAGTAGAAAGAAGTAAAATTATCTGTTTGCAGAAGACAACTTATATGTAGAAAACCCTAAAGACTCCAGAAAAATACCTGCTGGAACTAATAAATTCGGTAAAGTTGCAGGATACATAATCAACTCACAAGTTAGTTGTATTTCTATACACTAACAATGAACAATCTGAGAAAAAAAACCTAAGGAGACAGTTCAATTTAAAATAGCAACAACAAAAAAATAAAATATGTAGACATAAACTTAATCAAGGAAACAAAGGACTTGTGCACCAAAAACTATCAAACATTGCTGAAAGAAATTAAAGAAGGTACAAATAAATGAAAAGGCATCCATTCTTCATGGACTGGGGGACAATATTAAGATGGTACACCACCCAAGTGATCTATAGATTCAATGCAATCCCTATCAAAATCCCAACGACTTTCAATGACTTTTTTTTTCCCCAGAAATAGAAACATCCATCTTAAAATTCATGTGAAATCTCAAGGGAACCTAAATAGTCAAAACAATCTTGAAAAAAATAATAAACTTGGATTTCTCACACTTTCTGATTTCAAAACTTACTACAAAGCTATAGTAGTCTAAACAGTATGGTACTGGCATAAAGACAGACATATAGACCAATGGAATAGAAAAGGCTGGCCAGAAATAAACCGTATCATCAATAATTTTTGACAAGGGTATTAATACCATTTAGTGGGAAAAGGACAGTCTTTTCAACAAATGGTTTTGAGGAAACTGAATATGCAAAAGAGTGAGGTTAGATCCTTATCTTACGTCATATAAAAAATTAACTCAAAATGGATCAAAGACCTAAAAATAAGAGCTAAAATTGTAAAACTCTTTGAAGCAACATAGAAAGAAAAGATTTGAACTATAGAATTGTAAAGAAGTAGAGAGAAACATTGAGAAATTTATCTGGAAAGAGAAAACTATATTTTAAAAAGTTTTAACAAAGCTTTCATATGCAGAATCTTATAACATTTTAGTTCCTAAACATTTACTAGAAAATAAACCTTTGAATATCATGAATTTTCTGTAGTGGGAGTGGGAAAGAAGGGTAGAAGGAGAGATAGTGTTTGTGTCATTCTTTGTTTCCTTCTTATTAACCCTGGATCTCTGTTAGGTTTAAAATCTGGAAATAGGTGGGAAGGGCATCCTCCTACCCTATCTAATGTGCTGATTAACTATTTCTCATGATTGTGCTTCAACGGTGACATAAGCAACATCCTGAAGAAAGCAGAAATGCAAGGAGATTTTCCCTTTTAATTATTCATTTCCTGCAAAATGGTGGGGGGATCAAGAACAATAAATAAAAATAAAATAAAGCACACACAAAAAAAAACAGAGAGAAGGAAAAACCAGTAGAATCTGACATTTTGGCACAGGGTAGATAAAAGTGAAAAATGGTGAAGAGGAAAAAAATGATAATTCATATTCCCTGTTAATTCTGAGAAAGTAACTATCTAAAGAAAAGAAAAAAACAAAAATAAAAAAGATACAATGCAGAAAAAGAAAATGAAAATTTGATATGATAATCTTTATCAAATAAAGCCTAGTCTATTGTAGAAACAATTTCTGACTCTTCATAATGCAAATAAAACTATACTTCTCTGAAACCAATTATAAATTAATACACAGCTGCAAAGTATCTTTCTAGTTATTTCTTCTATGTAAGTATAAAAAAATGAAGTACATGTTTTATAAACCTCTCATCTCCCTCTATCTTCCCCAATACTACGTGTTATGCCTTTTAGTTCCCTACTCGACATACTCCAAATTTCATATAAAAACTGTTGTGTGTAGTTTTACATCCAATTTATGCTGAAGTGTCAAATAATTGGAACACATTTATTTAAATGTGAATGTATATTATTGTAGCTAGAGATATAGTATATGTATACATTTCTGAAAACAGACTATTAGATATCTGATTTCTCTGTGATTTATACAAATATAAAGGAAATATAACATGTATGCAGTGTGGCAAAATAAAGATGACTTTGTTTACCAATACAAATATCAATTAGTATGTGGCCACTAGTTATCTACTATGGACTCTCATATGAACCTTTCCTATCCCTATTTATCATAGTGAACAACTGTAGAAATGAAAAAACGATTCATTTCATCTAAGCAAAAAGGCAACATTACATAGTTTCACCATTTTTAAGATTAACACAGCAATTATATCCATTTAAAAAATATTGAAATCTACCTAGTCAGCAACAACTCGTAGCATATGGTCTCAATATAAACACAGGCCCCACTAGAATATATACCATAAAGAATACAGAGCTAAGTGTGGAGAAAATATTCTGACTTTGAGTCTATTGAAAATTTAGCATTTGAATATTAAATTCTAGAATTTTTTCTTTTTTTTAAAGACAGGGTCTCACTATGTTGTTCAGGCTGGTTTCAAACTCCTGGACTCAGGCAATCCTCCTGCCTCAGCCTCCCAAAGTGCCAGGATTACAGGTGAGAGCCCCTGTACCCAGCAAAATGTGAATATTAAATTCTTTTAAAGAAAGTACTTATCACCTAAAGACTTTTATACTAACTCCTAATAATGAAAATAAAACAAAAACTCTAAAGTAACCAGAGCCAAATAACTGAAATGTCATCATTTAAAATCTATAAATAATTCAATAAGGGATGAAATAACTATATACTAATAGTGACACAGCAAATTGTTACAAAGAAATAGCAAAAATAATGGAATTTGAGAAGGTATACTAGCATATTTACCTGCAGGTAACAATTTCAAAACATGTATTATAACAAATATATTAATAAAGTTTTCTACTGATTAAAATAAAGAGGTTGTGATATCAGAGCTAAATGCTTTTCTGTATTTAGTCATTTCTTGTTCAGAAGTTATAGCTGTGAAATATAAATTGATAATTTTATACACAGGCAAATATTGCTAAAAGCTCTAGAATAATTATGACATTCCTATTTAATTTTTCATCTTTATCTCCTTCTTTAAACATTTCATAAAAAATGTGACATAACAAAGGCCCCACTCTCTACTAGAAATGTTACTATGTAATAAATAAGAAAAGAGGCATCATGATAACTTTTTAAGGATTAGCATAATCATCTGAGAGTATTGGGATACTTCACAAACATGAAAACTCAGATGTGTTAAAAATGCAAATTTGGTGCTACATGAAATTTTCACATACAAATAATGACAGTTTAAATGAAAATTATTTTGTTAGAAACCTGCAATAACTATTTGTAAACCAATTCCATAAAACATATGAGCTGTTCCCTTCAATTCAATGAATGCTTCTGTGTTCCTACCATGTGCACAGAGCAGTAAGAAATGCTTCAGGGGATTCAAACATAATTAAGACAGTGTCCAGCCTAAAGGAACTTAATGAGGGGGTAAGACAGAAGAAGAACAGCTATGATACAAACAGGAGAAAGCCAAGTGCCATGAAAATGGGACAAAACATAGGCTACACAATTTAAAGAGAAAAATGTATTGCAGATGCCCCCCAACTCATCGGAGTTTAATATATGTTAATTTTCTATTAACAATTGGAATTATAAGGTGATTTTAAGAAACTCGTTTCAGAAGACCCATTAATTTCACTAATTTATCTTTTTTTAAAGTTTCATGAAAATTTTATGGTTACAACAATTGAAAAATAACTGGAGAAAAACATGCTCACAGCTTATGTCTTTAAAAATTTGGAAAGCACAAATTAAACCCCAAATCAGGCAGAAAAATAAAACCATAAAGATTAAAGCAGAACTCAATGAAACAGCAAATAAACTTATTTGCTTTTCAGAGGAAAATGATGAAACGAGAATTTAATTCTTTGAAAAGATAAACAAAATAGAAAAAACTTACTCTAGACTGACAAAGAGAAACAGCAAAACATGAACTATCAAATTAGGAATAAAAATGGGGCCATCACTATTGACTCTGCAGAAACGTAAAGGACTATAAGGGCATATTAATAACAACTTTAAGCCAACAAATTTGATAACTTAGATGAAATGGGCAAATTCACAGAAAGACACAAATTATCAAAACTCATTCATTAAGACATGGAAAAATCTGAATAGATTTATAACAAGTAAATAAACTGAATTAGTAATTAAACATCTTACCACAAAAAAGCCCAGTCTCAGTTGTCACCACTGGTGAATCCTAACAACTGCCTTAAGAAGAAATAATAGCACTCCTTTACAAACTCCACCAGAAAATTAAGAAAGAAGTTGGGACAGGAGCAAGTGACTTAGAAAATCAAGTTACTTCAGATATATGTGGCTAGACTTTATACCAACAGTGTATAAGAAATCTGTAGCAATGTCTGGCTTATGAATTTAGTTTGTTCTAACTTAGTTCAATCAATTAAAATAAATATCATCACACTTTGCCTTGTTTTAAAAATTAATGATACCATTTTAATGTTTATCAAGTAAAAAAGTTTAAAAACTTTTTCCAACATTACATCTATAGACGGTAGTTTTCTTATAGAGCTTTATACAAACTTTTAATTTTGCTCTGATCTTATTTGGCACTCAAATAAGAATTAAATGTAACAATTTTTTTTAAAATGAGTATTTAAATGGAAGAGAAAACATCCCTAAATTTTGTTTTAGAAAGACTGATGAAATGGGATCATTCTGTTGGGTCTTATAGATGGCCTATTTCTTTTAGTTAGTGATGCAAAACTTCTTGCTAGAGCCCAGTTCTAATGTGAGGTACACAGCTCTAAAAACAATTACCTCACTTTCAAAAAAAGCTATGTAACGACAAATAAAAATACTTTTTTTTTTTTCTTGAGACAGAGTCTCGCTCTGTCACCCAGGCTGAAGTGCAGTGGCACAATCTAGGCTCACTGCAACCTCACCTTCTGGGTTCATGCAATTCTCCCACCTCAGCCTCTGGAGTAGCTGGGATTACAGCTGTGCACCACCATGCCGGGCTAATTTTTTTTTTTTTTTTTTTTTTTTTTTTTTTTTTTTTTAGTAGAAACGGGGTTTTAGCATGTTGGCCAGGCTGGTCTTGAACTCCTGACCTCAAGTGATCCGCAAACACTGGCCTCCCAAAGTGCTGGGATTACAGGCATGAGCCACCACACCCAGCCTATTTTATACTTTTATTTAAATTTTTACCTAAGCTCATTCGACCTTTGTAATTTTTCTATGTAAAATACATTAATCCTGTTTTGCAGATGGGAAAACAGAATCATAAGATCTCTTGTCCAAGATTACAGTAATTAAGTGGTAGATCACAGATTCATATCCTGATATTTTGATTTCAAATATTATAATATTTCATTTATAATACTCTTCCTGGGCAGGCATGGTGGCTTGCGCCTGTAATCCCAGCACTTTGGGAGGCCAAGGCAGGTGAATCACTTGAGGTCAGGAGTTCAAGACCAGCCTGGCCAACATGGCGAAACCCCATCTCTACTAAAACTACAAAAATTAGCCAGGTGTAGTGGTGGTGAGGGCCTGTAGTCCCAGCTACTCGGGAGGCTGCAGCAGCAGAATTGCTAGAACCTGGGAAGCAGAGGATGCAATGAGCCAAGATGGTGCCTCTACACACAGCCTGGGCAACAAAGCGACACTCTGTCTCAAAAACAAAACAAAAAACTGTTTCTCAAGGTATGGGACTGATTTTAGGATGTAAAAGATGATTTAAAATCATCCATAAAAACGGCAGTAAATAGCACTGAATTACATAGCGCAGTGGGCATTACTAGTGCCCACCAATATCCTGGTCTCCATTCCCTTCTAGGCAGAGGGGTGACTACAATTACCAGCTGTTGTGCAGTTTAGAAGACTAGTTTGAGCCAATGAAATAAAAGCAGAAGTGACATAGTCCCTGCATGATTCTACAGTGTATCTCTTCCTCTGACAGAAAAATCATGATGAAAGTCTCACGTTGAGATAGTGAAACTACAAGATTGAAGCAGCAATAAAGGACAGCTGCCCTGGAGAGTTGCCAACATTTGTTGGGTGAATTAGAAACCAACATTTGTTGTATGAATCTGCTGCCATTTTAAAGATGGTTTGTTATGGCAATATAGTTTAGCCTATTCTGACTAATGAAATTGCTACAAAAGTTACTCTTTTCAATTATCTGTCAATCCTTCTGAATCTGTCAAGAAGAAAATTTTAATGTGCGGCTAGTATCAGCTAATCCTCCTTTTTAACAGAGAGAGTTGAGCTTCAGAATCATTTGAAGGTTTAAGTAGCCAGATTAATGTTCTAGTTAATCTTCTAGTTATGTTCATGATATTGATTTTCTAGTTTGACTAGTAGTATAAAGTTTCTTTAAAAGTAAATTATTTAAACAAAAGCATGAAATTCCAAGAAAATATTAGGTTAAACAAAAAGTAGTTATAATCAGGTGGGGCAAAAATCATGAAAATCCTATACCAAATGAATGAAATTAAGAAACAGTGCAGGTACCAACATGTATTTCTTTCTTTCTTGAGATAGGGTCTTGCTCTGTCACCCTGGCTGAAGTGCAGTAGTGTGATCACAGCTCGCTGCAGCCTTGACCTCCTGGGATCAAGTGATCCTCCTACCTCTGCCTCCTGAGTAGCTGGCGTTACAGGCGCATGCCACCACACCCAGCTAATTTATAAAAATGTTTTGTACAGACAGGGTCTCACTATGTTGCCCAGGCTGATCTCAAACTCCTTGCTTCAAGCAATACTCCTCAGCCTCCCAAAGTGCTGGGATTATAGGCATGAACCACCACGCCCAGTGGCCAAACTCTATTTCATCATACACAGTCTCGCTCTTGTTGCCCAGGCTAGAATGCAGTGGTATGATTTTGGCTCACTGTAACCTCCACCTGTCAGGATCAAACAAGTAGCTGGGACTACAGGCCTGTGCCACCAAGCCCGATTAATTTTTTTGTATTTTTAGTAGAGATGAGGTTTTGTCATGTTGGCCAGGATGGTCTGGAATTCCTGAGCTCAAGCAACCACCCACTTCTGCCTCCCATAGTGCTGGGAATACAGGAGTGAGCCACTGCACCCGGCCAAACTCTATTTCAATAGAGCAACTTGACTTAATTCTCCATTTTCTGTCTAGTTTGTGTTGAGTTATAAGCAAAACATTTAGGCAAGTGCATTTAAGTTGGTGTTCAGTATGAAGGACACAAGTGGCATTACAGTCATGACTGGAATACTGGTTAGGTAATAAGAGAATTGGGAGATAACAAGTATAAACAGAGAAAGTAATAAGTTAAAAAAAGACTTCTCATATGAACAGACATAATTATTTGAGCAATCTAGTCATTTGATGAGATAGATAATCAGAGCAGTCTCCTCTTAAAAAATTTTTGCCATCTTTTCAGAAGGGCCAATCCAGTTCTCTATACTTTTAATAGCCTTCAATTCCACGGATGGCATAGTCAGAGGTCAAAAGTGAAGAAAGAGGAAGCACAGACTGAATCTGTGTGTGGTACACACGTGTAATCTGTGAAGAATCTATGTCCATGGTTACAATGCAGCTTCGTAACTTAGACAAGTGTGGTATGTCAATACAGAAAAGCTGTAGTTACTGTATTAAAGTGAGAGTAAATCATGAGGTCATTCTTGAAAGCTTTAGAGTGGGTTCTCACTCAAAGTTTCTAAATTGTGTTACCACACTTTGAAATATGTGAAGGATTTTATCATGACCAAACCTGGCACAGAAAGAAAAATCTTTTAAAAACATGTTTCTGATCATTAAGAAAGAGAAAGGAAAAGATAGGTAAGATGGTGAAGAGACGTATTTCATTTCAGAGGATAGAAGAAGAATACAGATTGACAAGAAGGGACAGGATATGCAAGTACACAGCCTAAAGTAGCCCTTCCAACAACCGTCCAAGCAGAACAAGGGCTATTAGCACTAATACAAAAGAAAGAAAGCAATGTTTTCATCTTAATGAACTGTTTGAGAAAGACTGAAGTTTCTCAAGCTCAATTTCAGCCTATGTATTTATAAAAATTATGGTCCTCTCACAAAGATGTATCACTACAGTTACAGTACAATTATGTTTTCTCCTCGTATTAGGGTAGGCCAAGAGCTGAAACAAACAACTTTATCTCAGTAGCCCAATACAATAGATTTCTCATTCAATATGCGTATTCAGTAGGAAGCTTCTTTCTATAATGTAGTTCCAACAGTATCTTACAGCCCCAGAGTTCTTTGTTGGATTCTCTGCATCCAGAGACGCAGGGGGTGGGAGGGGGAAGGGTCTTTTACAAATTGCACATGTAAAGTTTCTGAACTTTGCGAAACGTCTGGAACTGGAACACATTGTTTCCAATCATACCTCCTTCAAGCTCAGTCATGTGACACACTTAAGTGCAAGGAAAGCTGGAATATGCAGTTACATGCAGTTTACCCATATGCCCAGGAAAAATGGAGAACAGGTTTTATAAAAAGATAGTATTCTTTGCTATACTCTATATAATACCTTGGACACTCATAAAAATGAGATGCAGAGCTAATAAAGTAGCAGATCCTGTATTAAATTTAGCCCTCTTTCTTTCAAATGGGCTGAATATACATCATCAGGACCTAAGATCAACCTAAATTTATTTATTTATTTCCAGACTTTTTTCATCAAATATAATGCTTTATATTACAATGCCTAGAATAGTATCTGGCATATGATAGCTGGTTAATCATTATTTGTTAATTGAATAGTATAGAGAATCAAAGCAAAGACAGACATTACAAATAAGAGTTTTACTATACAAAGTGAGTCTTAAAAAGCGCTCATGGATAAAACAAATCTTTGTCACCTGAGAAACACAGAGAGGCTTTCATGAAACAAACAGATTATATAAACTATCTTCATTATAATGACTACAACCATTTAATTTCTAGCTTTAATGACTGGATTCTTTTCTATAAAAGATATCCAACAAAATACACTGAGAACAAAGAAGAATTACAAGGGAAACACATTTGAAAAGAAAAGACACTTTAGCTGTGTATTGGCTCTTTCACATTGAGGGATATTTGAAGTATACAACACAAAAGAAATCAACATCTTCTTTATGCCTTACTTTTAACAGTCAGGCCAAGTAGCTGGTTCCTGGCCCTCCAAAGCAGGTAAGTCAATTGTGGATCAGTTTGTCCTTCTGAACTTACTTTTAAGCTCTATTTAGGCAGGTATGGAGTAATTTTTTACTCTGAGGCTAGTTTAGCCTTACTACTAATGTGTGTTCTTACTTGGATCTCTACTGAATGCTCCAGGTTTTTAACAAGATCTTTCTGGTCAGAATGAAAAAAAATAAAAAATAAAAAATAAAAATCTCCCATTCCTGTTGGGACTCTAGGAATTGTTCAGTTCTTTCTTTAGCCTCGTGGAGTCTCATTGCACATCTCTGAAACTCAGTATTAAAGATGCAAAAGAACCCCTCTGCAGAGTTCTGCAGTTGTCTCGGATTAGCTCTGTCCTCAGTACTCTGTAACTTCTGGTTGCCCTTGCCGCCTCAATCTCTGATCTCAATTCAGCAAGACTGTCATTCTCTGCTAGAGTTCTCCACAGTCAGAATACCTTGTGTCAGAAAGCCAGGATTCATCTAGTTCTTGTCACCCTCAACCCACGCCCTTTCTCTCAGGGATCACATTACCATGCTGTCAATTATCCAATGTCTGAAAACAGTTGTTTCTGGTGGGAAGGCAAGTCCGTTACTGGTAAATTCATCATAGTAGGAAGAAGCCTCTCATTGTTATTTTAATTTGCATTTTCTATATGTTTATTATTCAGACTGTGGCTGACAAAAGGTAGAGCCTTTGTCTGTTTTATATACTGCTATATCCTTAGTACTGCCTATAATAGTGCCAGGCACAGAGCAAGTACTATTACTTGTTGAATGAATTAACTAGTTTACATTTGTGTAGATATTTATAGAGGTATAAGTGATCTGTTCATGTCCTTCATCTATTTAGAACTTAAGGCCTAAGAAAACTGGGGATTCCAAGCTGTATCCAAGGTAACTCAGAATAAGTATGTTCCTTCTACATAAGTTCTATTTTCATGCAATTATGTTGTGCCACATAAAAGGATATACCAGACACATTGATATACAGATAGAACATAGAAGCAATAAATATGGAGACAACATACTGATCCAAAGAAACAGTTACTCAAAAAATGACCACAATAACTTAGGATATTCCTACAGACATTACTTCAATGGGATTTTGAATAACTTAAAGAAATTCTCATTTCAAGAAGAAACTGAGATTTAAATCTTCATTTATCTGTAAATCTTTATCTTATAAGGAAATAGGCAAATTACTATGGCCTGCAACTGTTGTAAATGACATCTCTTTACAGCAGTGAATAGCAAAACTCAGTGTATGAGATAAAATAAGGCAGTGTAAATTTCAATTACCTATTTTATTATTTTTGCATATACAAATCAATAATCTGAGCTCAGAAAAGCCTTTTAAACGTGCTAAGCTGAAACACAATACTCAACTGCCAATAAGTTTAACGTTATTAGGTTTCATTTCCGTATATCTAAAGAGTACTAGGTTTTTGACAATATAAAAAGGAGTTCCAAATTTCAAAGTTTGGATATATTGGCTAATACGTGATTACTGCTTTACTGACACGAGCAATTCTAACTGTTTGTCAGACCAACTTCTGAGTTTTAAAGTAGCTATGATAAATAACTCCATTAAAATTTAAGGTATTATATAAACATGGTTCATCATAGGAAAAATAAAATATATAAGAGAAAATGGTGTAAATAAAATTTACCAGAAATCCTATCTCTGTTAAAATTTTGTAATATATGGCCTTCCTATTTTTAAATTTTATATAAAGTATTACTGTCAACAAAAAAAAAGCTAAAAGTGATTGATGACTTCTCTTTCAAATGTATGGCTTTTGAAAGGAATATTGAGAACCTAAAAGTGGAAGGAAATTCACTGATCAACATTTTATGAGTTGCATCACTATTATTAAGATGAATATTAGCACTGTCTTTCTTTGTTGAGTAACTCTCACCTTCTCAATAAATATCTCAAAATAGATTTTACATATTTAACTTACATATTTACAAATTCAATCTATGCAACAGTACATAACAGATAGTGATATGACTGTAAGGTATGAGGCAAGATGTACTTGTTTTTGTGGGGTTTTTTGCTTTTTATTTTTAGCTAGGGTCTCACTCTGTCGCCCAGGCTGGTGCAGTGGCACAAGCATGGCTCACTGCAGTCTTGACCTCTTGGGTTCAAGTAATCCTCCCATCTCAGCCTCCCAAGTAGCTGGGACCACAGGCGCATGCTACCACACCCAGCTAATGTTTAAATTTTTTGTAGAGATGGATCTCACTATGTTGCCCAGGCTGGTCTCGAACTCCTGGCCTCAAGCAATCCTCCTGCCTCGGCCTCCCAAACTGCTAGGTGTGCGCCACAGTAACAGGCTAGATGTTCTTGTGTTGTCAAAATTGTTAGTATGCCCCCTAAATTGGAAGAAAAAAATCTTTTCCAGCATCTTTCAAGATAGAAATATTACATATGTATTATCTTCTCTTATTTATGTGGAGTATGATAAAAGAAATTATAGGATAAAGTAAAAAACACAGTAACTGAATGGAGGGGCTTTTAAGCAAGACTTGTGCTACACAGCCTATCATGTAGTCTTCAACCAATTATTTAACTTTTCCAAGCTTGGATTCCTTGTCTTTAAAATGTGAGCCATAATCTGAGTTGTTCTGATAATTAAATTTATAGGGTAAAATATAGATAAGACTAAAAAATAATTAGTATTTATTTTTCTTTGGTAATAGACAGCTGAAGTATAATGCATTACTCAAGGCCACAGACCAAGTTACCCTGGAACAGAAACTAAAATATGGATCTTGGACTCATGATTTAGTGATCATGTACACAACAGATGCTCTGTATACATCTTTAAGCTAAGTGGCCTATGTAATTATTATAATAATATGCCACTCACCTCTCAAGGTAAAAGATTTAAATGAACATATTTCTGTAAAATTAGCATAGTGCCTTGCATATATAATGTGCTCAATGCTAGGTGTTATTAGTATATAATGACCATGGTAGTGGGGGTGGTGATATGACAGGCAATAGAGGAACATGGAGACATACCAACAAAATTATAAGAAGTTGGTCAGAATGTTTGGCATCTAGAGCGGATGAAAAATTACAAGAAGTAATTTACTCACGCTTCTTACCTCAGTTATGTCTGTCCCTTTCCCCACCTCTCCCCACAAGAAGGATAACTGCTATTTAATAGGTGAAAGTTACTCCCTTGCGTGGAATACATATTATAACAGGATACTAGTACAAGTGCTCTTGTATGTTTAACAGGGAAAAGTACAATATGTTGGATAAGAGGTGTTTGTATGAATGCTAGAAACCAGTTCCTTTTTGAATATTTTACCAACTATGATTTAAAATCATGCTAAGTTGGTTTAGCATGATTTAAAATCATGCTAATGTTGGATTTATGATTCTGGTTTTATAAATTTGCAGTACAAATTCTACCCATTCTATGTGTAGGAATCATCAAACTCTACTAGATTATAAACTGTTTTAAGGCAGGGGCTTTAGGAAAATCATCTCAGAATAGTGTTTTGAGAATAATACACAATGCACTCATGTTGCTGTTTTCCATTTTGCATTAGCTGTCAATAATGGCTGAAAATATGCTGACTAGGTAAAATTACATAAATTCCTTGCAAACATAGTTTTACATATAATAAAGAACTGAGGAAGAAACAGACTTGGACTGGAAGCAAGTATATAACAGTGAGCCATCATTTACTGACAATTCCAAATTGAGTTCTCCATGGCAGACCCAAAAGATCTTGCATTAACAAAGAAAACAAAAAGAATTATGGAAGGTTATTCCATTTTTTTTTTTCTTTTTCGAAACTTCAGGATAGTAAGCTGAAGAAGATCCTAGTCAATCAACGTGGGAAGTAAAAAACTACTGGCCAGGCGCGGTGGCTCACGCCTGTAATCCCAGCACTGTGGGAGGCAGAGGCGGGTGGATCACAAGATCAGGAGTTTGAGACCAGCCTGGCCAATATGGTGAAACCCAGTCTCTACTAAAAATACAAAAATTAGCCAGGCGTGGTGGCACACACCTGTAATCCCAGCACTGTGGGAGGCAGAGGCGGGTGGATCACAAGATCATGAGTTTGAGACCAGCCTGGCCAATATGGTGAAACCCAGTCTCTACTAAAAATACAAAAATTAGCCAGGCGTGGTGGCACACACCTGTAATCTCAGCTGCTTGGGAGACTGAGGCAGGAGAATCGCTTGAACCCAGAAGGCGGAGGTTGCAGTGAGCCGAGATTGCGCCACTGCCCTCCAGCCTGAGAGACAGAACAAGCATCCATCTCAAAAAACAAAAAACAAAAAAAACCCCTGCTACTATTTGCATATATGTGAACATTGTGCCAGTACTGTAACACAATTCTGTAAGGATAAATTAAAAACAAAGTGAGTCTTTGTCTCATAGACTAAAATGACTATTGAGGCATTTTCAAAGATTAAGTGTGAAGGCCAGTAGCTTTCCGGCTTGTTGCTGGAATGTGCAGTTGCTACTAAATCACAACAGAGAATACTTAGTAATTCTAACCCTGAGTAAAGAATCATATTTCTCTGACCTTAGAATATTTGTCAGAAATTTCTATTATTTGTAAGAGGACAAGTTGCTTTTCAATCTCCCTAAAACCCTGGTATAATCTGGCTAGCAGAGAAGAGGGAAGATAAGAAGATGATTAATTCCTGAGACAAACAGGGTATAGAAAGCTCTGGTGGAAAGTAAACCATGAAAAAAGAGAGCTAGCTGGAGAGACAGAACTAGCATTCTGCCAGAGAAGGCTTTGATTTAGGGGTAGAAGCAGGAATTTTTATTCTGGCTTTCCTTAAATACACAAAGGCATGAGATACTGTTTGCCTTACTCTTCTTGGTTGTATGGTAGCAAGAGGGTGTTCTATAAATACTTAAAAAGTAGATGCTGATTTGGCTCAGAGGTCTTTCTTTTGTTGGGTTTTCATAAATCTCTTGCCACCTCTGGTTTTTAAACTAAATAAAATATATTGCTCTATTCATCACATTATTTTGTTTAAGATTCGAAAAAAAAAAATCCTAGTAGTAGGATAGAGGTAGAAGCAGTGCTGCAAAATATTGTAAAGAGGAATGGAAGCTAAACAGCAAATCTCAATAGAAATAAATCGATACATCTTCTTGTGATTTCTGTCATTTTACTAATGTAACACTGTATGGTAAAGAGAAAAACAGAATTACCTAAAGCCTGGAACAACAAATGTTAAGGAGGAAAACAATAAAACCAAAGTTTTTATAAGATTGGGCACTAAAGCTAGATTTAAGCTGAATGTATGCACTCCAATGCATAAATATTTCCATGGCTAGAAACAAATAACTTTAGAAAGTTTCAGTGTTTATGAAAGACAAAAATCTCAAAATCCTATTGAGGAGGTTCTGCTCCTGCATTCAATAGCTTTCAAATCTTGATGGAACCCTGGAGCTCATGTAGGCTGGCGAGTCTTACAGTGTGGCCTATGGACCAGCATCACCTGGAAACTTGTTCAAAGTGCAGGTTCTCAGGCACCACACTAAAATGACTGTGTCAGAAACTCTGAGGGTGGGGCACAGCAATCTGTGTTTTAACAAGTCCTTTAAATGATAATATGAAATGATATTACTTTCAAACTTGAAAGCTGGTTATGTTTACTTAAATATCCGTTAATACTGGATATTTGGATCAGTCTTGTGATGAAAGCAAATTTACATTCCAACCTAAGCAACTGGTGTAATGTAGAAAAAAAAAAAAACCAAAGTAATTGTTTTAAACAGTAATAACGATGTGATATTTGGTAAGAAATACATGTTTTATCCTCCCCTTTTTTTCTGGGAGTGGAATGGGATTGTTCAGAAAGAAACCAACATGATCAACCAACAAGTGATCCCAACCTCTTTCTTTGCCCAGACCAGCTTTTATTTTACATCTGCAGCAGCAGAGCCTCAGAATTTCTACATGACAATTTTTAAAGTCTAGATTTTATTATGATTAGGTTTTAGTTTGCATACTGATGTAACAGTAATTACATTATTCTTGCCATTAAATATTTTACTTTATGAAACTGTGCTGTGAACTTAAAAACTGTGGTGGAGAATCAGTCTTATATTTCTGTTGTTATACTACAACACAGTCCACAGTAATTTGCTTAGAGCTATTTTCTTTTAGGTAAACTCTATTTAGACACAATTCTTGAAAAGCCTTTCCTGTGTTTCCATGCAGTGTTTTTGGTCTTGTGATCTGCCTCATGTTTCTCAGTTTCAGCTCCCTGAATCTTCACTGATGCTGGTTGACTCTTATAAACTCTGCTAAACTCACTTTCCCACAACTCTGAAGGAATAAAGTTAATGTGCTTTGTTTTTGGATTCCTGAAAAACAAAATGTTTATTATCCAGGGATTTTAGTGGTGTCTTTGCATATCAAGGTAAGATGCAGTAAGGTATGTATATTACCACAAGCAGCTCTAAATTTAGTGTTTACTAAACTTACTGAATCAGAGCTTTAAATTCTCAGGGGAGCCTCAAGGCAGAATAAACTACTTTGCCCTTAATAAAGGATATGTATAATTGTGTAGTAGTAATAACCACAATAAAACTCTTTATTATACAGACTCAATTATAATAAAGTTTAGGTTAGACTATGCCCCTTGAAATGTAAATATGCAGTAAACTAACAGATAAAGTGATTGTCAACACTAACTCCTATCAGGAAAGGAATTAACAAAACAGCAAATAAAAGATAGTAAATTGGTTTTTAAATCTTTTTTTTTTTTTTGTGAGATGGAGTCTCACTCTGTCACCGAGGCTGGAGTGCAGTGGTACAATCTTGGCTCACTGCAATCTCTGTCTTCCAGGTTCAAGCGATTCTCCTGCCTCAGCCTCCCAAGTAGCTGGGACTACAGGTGTGCACCACCACGCCCAGCTAATTTTTGTATTTTTAGTAGAGCTGGGGTTTCACCATGTTGGCCAGGCTGGTCTTGGTCAACTCCTGACCTCAGGCAATCCACCCGGCTTGGCCTCATAAGGTGCTGGGATTACAGGTGTGAGCCACTGAGCCGGCCAAGTAAATTGTTTTATTGTGCTACCTAAATAACAACAAAAATGATTAAGATGAGAGAAACAATTAAGTTGGATACTGGAGAGGAAATATAAATAGCCTTCCCAGCTTTATTTCTTATTTTATAACTCTATACATCTATAAGAAGATTACTATAAAGAAAAGATAAGGTGGTGATTATAATTTTTTTGATCTAATTGGACTCATCATTAAAACAGGTAAAATACCGTATATATGAAGCCAACTTTCTTGCTCATAGTTGTTCTTACGTGTTGTTGTCCATAAGTGTACTTTAGTAAATCTATCACATACTTCTATAAAAGTTTTCAAAATTATTACATTATTAATAATAAAGATCACTTAAAAGTTTTGAATGTCTATGAGCATACACAGATGATGTAATATTCAGTGCTCATCATATGCACACAATTTCTTATTTTATAACTGTATAGATATATAAGATTACTATAAAGAAAATATAAGGTGGTGATTATAATTTATTTTTCTAATCTAATTGGACTCATCATTACAACAGGTAAAATACTATAGATATGAAGCCAACTTTCTTGCTCATAGTTGTTCTCATGTACAGCTACTTATGTTCAGCCTCCCAAGTAGCTGGGACTACAGGTGTGCACCACCACACCCAGCTAATTTTTGTATTTTTAGTATTTTTAGTAGAGATGGGGTTTCATCATATTGGCCAGGCTGGTCTTAAACTCCTGACCTCAGGAGTTAAGCACATTGCTAAGCACTTGACATACACTGTTCATCTTCATAACATTCTTATGAGGTAGCTACTCTTGTTATGCACATTTTATAAGAGAGGAAATTGAAACTTGGAAAATGTGAATAACATGTAAAAAACTCACACAGCTAATAAGTGGTAACGCTGGAACCTGAACCTTGTATGTCTTACTACAAAGTCTAGGTACTGCTGGGCATGGTGCCTGTATTCCCAGCACTTTGGGAGGCCGAGGCAGGAGGTCTGCTTGGGCCCAGGAGTTTACCACCAGACGGGGCAGCACAGTGAGATCTCATCTCTACAAAAGTTAAAATTAAAAAAAAAATCAGCCGGACACATGGTGTAGCATCTGTAGTCCCAGCTATTTTGGAGGCTGAGGTGGGAGGATCCCTGGAGATTGTGGCTGCAGTGTGAGCCATCCAGCCTGGGTGACAGAGCGAGACCCTGGCTCAAAAAAACAAACAAAAAACCCCACAAAGTCTGGCTACTTAACTACTTCTATAAACCGTCCGTAAGTATGCAACTGAACCAAGAAGAACATAAGATTCTTTACACATAGCTCTCTAGTTTGAGAGGGCATTTAGTAGGCTCAACAGATAGGAATGACACGTTACTAAACACAAATTTCCACTCACAATTAAATTTTGACCTAAGTCATATACAGACAAGACCATAATTCACAGGTCTATTCCACAAATTCTCCTGAGAATAATTTGTGGTTTTTCTCAGGATTCTCCCAAACTTGGTCAGGGCTACCGAAAAATATGAAGGTAATATATACAGAAGTCCTCTTATCCTACACCGACAGGGACTAGTAGCGGATTGGTTTTTCTAAAATGTTGCAAATGAGCAAAGAAAAAGTTGGTACATGTATTAAACACTTTCCCTTAAAATATAAATGTACATTTATTAAACAAACTCTTGCTGTAAGGCCAAGGCCTTTTGTTTGAATATGAATTCCAACTTTTCTTTTTTGTGTAAACTGCACTAAAATGTATAATCTAGTCAATTTTTTCAAAATAAACCAAATCTTAGACAACCTAAGTAAAGACAGATTTTTAAAATACCTTCACCCAAATTCACTGAAAATTTATTTTTAATTTTTGGGGGTACGCAGTAGGCATATACATTTGTGGGGCGTATGAGTTATTTTGATACAGGCATATAATGTGTAATAATCACATCAGGATAAATGGGGTATCTATCACCTCAAGCATTTATCCTATGTGTTAGAAACAACCCAATTATGTTCTTTTAGTTATTTTAAAATGTACAATTATTATTGAGTAGTCATCCAGTTACAGCATTTTTTTAGCACCTTACTTTTATTGATATTGAGTTTTTCCAAAGCTTTTAACATAATTTTCCTAGAAACTCTTTTATAGGTGCTTTCTTTCTGTATTTGTATCTAACATATACATAATTTAATTATATTATCATAATAAGAAGTACAATGGGCATTAACTTAACTGCCTCTCATTAAGTAAGCACAGGCCACCACAGGAATAACAGAAGTACCCAGGTGCATTAGAAGGTAGCCTACTGGCCTCTAATATACATCTTGTCCTGACAACAGTCAGTAGGTGTCACAAAGGGAATGAAAACTTTAATCCTGCAAGTGATTAGGGGAAGGTCAGTTAAGAAATCTTCTCTTCTAACTGGTAGAGTTAGCTCACAGTGTGCAGGGCATGGTAATATGCAGAACGCAAATAAAATGAGAAAGGTCTGAGAAGTCTAACAACATTTTCATATGCCACCATGCTTGTAAGGCACTAATTGTCAATATTTAGATTTGGAAATAAAGCAGAGTATAAAATCCTGCCAGTTTCTTATGGTGACTAATGAGAGCCAGTGCCCATAACTGAAAGGACCATGATGGAGTAAGAAATTAAAGCATGAATAGATTTTCATAAAGAAATCATTTCTACTTTGTCACATTTCAGTCTCTAATCTATACAATTTTTGTGACATTTTACTAGCTATTTTCTCAATAATAAATGATTTGGGAAGTAAAGTGTCAAAAGCATAAGAGAAACATAAAACTATTTTGGACAGATGAACCTTGATAAGAAATGTCTTTTCAAAATCCAAGGCATAATCTGGAAAAATTATATAATTAGAATTAAAGTCAAATTAAAATTAAGTTAGAAGTAGAAGAGGTAGCTCATAGTTCAATGTCACATTGTATAAACAAATGAAATATCATTTAAAATAAGTATAAACTAGACTAGACATTAATATATCTACAAAAATGGTTCATTAAAGCAATGATTTATCCCCAGAATGGAGAAGGGTAGAAAATATTAGACATTTAGTACCATAAGAAGAATTCCTTATTGAACACAACAGAGAATACCCAGCGGTAATAACAAGAAAAAACAGCAAATTTTAATCGCAGTGTTGACAAGCTAAATCTGTCCATTTTTTGGTACTTAAAAATGAGAAACTTAGTCATAACTGCAGTATGTCCCCAGCCTCAGGCTTAGGTAAGCAGTACCTTATATATCAGCAGTACCTTTTACATTATAACCTTTCAGTAATAAGCTTTAAAAACAGGTCAAAATCAGCATGAAGAGAGCTATTTCTTTCTTTTCTAGGCACTATAATACTGTTAGAGTCCTAAGAATCAGTGGGGGGTGGGGAGGTAAAAGGAACGTGACTCATGTGTCATACTTACTTCTAGCCTCAGTTGTAAAGTGTTTACCATCACAAGTCTGATCAATAAATAAAACAGTGAGTCACAAATTTTCAAGATCTCACTTTAATAAAACCTTAGTGAGTCGGGCATGGTGGCTCATGCTTGTAATCCCAACACTTTGGGAGGCCGAGGCAGGCTGATCACCTGAGGCTAGGAATTCAAGACCAGCCTGGCCAACACAGTGAAACTCCATCTCTATTAAAAAATAAAAAAATCAGCCAGTGTGGTGGCATGCACCTGTAGTCCCAGCTACTTGGGAGGCTGAGGCAGGAGAATCGCTTGAACCCAGGAGGTGGAGGTTGCAAGTGAGCCGAGACTGCACCACTACACTCCAGCCTGGGCGACAGAAGAAGACTCCGTCAAAAAACAACAGCAGCAACAACTAAACCCCCCACTAAAAAAACCTTAGTGAGTAAAGGCTCTTAACATCATAATAGTGTTATCTGCTTTGGCCTGCTTAGCCGAAGGCATTCAAGCTAAGAATATTATTGAAGCTCTAGGTAAGTGCAGGATGTTTTATTGATTTATTCAGTAAATATTTATTGAACATCTACTATATGCCAGGCATTGTGCTAAAGACTGAGGATATAATAATAAAAAGGACAAATACTCTCTCTCCCTTTTAGGGAGACAAGACGTAAACCACACAAATACTAAATAATAACAGCAATAATTGAGCACTTATTGTGATCAAAACTGTTCAAAGTCATTCACTCATGTAATCCTCATAATAACCCTAGGAAGTAGTAGGTACTATTACTACCTGCTTTTTGCAGATGCGGAAACTGAGGGAGAGGTTAAGTTACTTGCCCAAGGACACAGAAGTAAGGCATATCAGTCAGAATTCAAATCCAGGCAGTCTGGCTCCAGAGTACACAAACTATGTAAGATAAGCTTACGCTACATTATATTGCTAACTAATTTAAAACTTAAATTTGTAATAAATGCTAAGATGAAAAGGCCTGCTGTGTACTGAATGTATAATTTTACCACAATTATATCAAAGCTTCTCATTATATCATAACAATGTGACAATATATTTATCATACTTTTTTGGTAAAGGGTTCTTTTAAATAAAACAAGGAAGGAGAAACTACATACTTATCAAGTGTTTTGGACTGAATATGAAACCAGTTCCCACAGGAAGTAATATAAACTCACAATGAAATACTCTGAACATTAATGGTTACAATATTACTGTTATCAGGAGAGGACACCACCAGTATCCATTTGACAGCAAGATGTTTTCTAAATCCAGGCATGTTTATATTGTCATATAAATTTAAGCCTTCTGATTCAAGTTGTAACTACTCTCTGCTCACTTAAAAAACTCAGCCTACCTAGTAAAGGTAAAAAACGGCTTCCCTTCTCAACAAAGAAAAAAAGGAAAAGTACACAGGACTTTAAAGAAAGGTATAGAGAGATACATAGGATCATGCAGTTGCTATTAAGTGACAGCATCATCATCAACTATCATTATTGGACAGTTACTATGTACTAGAGGCTGTTGTAAGCATTTTTCCTGTAAAAATTCCTTTAATTCTTACAAATCCTAAGGGAGTTGTTATACTCATTTCACAGATGAGGAAACTGAAGCACAGAGAAGTTATACAACTTGCCCAACGTCACACTGCTAGTAAGCGCAGGATCTGAACTATTACATCATATTGCAGGAGTTAAGGTAAAACAGTTAACTGCTTTAGGGATCCTTTCAGCTATCTTAACGAGAAATTTACTGGAGTAAGGATGTTGAATGGAGAAAGAGAAACATTTCATTTTTAAAAGTCTTAAAGAGTCCTATGTATCAGTGGTCCCCAATCTTTTGGGCACCAGAGACCCATTTTGCGGAAGACAATTTTTGTTGGGGGTGGGGATGGTTTTGAGATGTAACTGTTCCACCTCAGATCATCAGGCGTTAGAGTCTCATAAGGGGCAAGCAACCTAGATCCCTCAGATGTGCATTTCATAATAGGGTTCATGCTCCTGTGAGAATCTAGTGCCTCTGCTGATCTGACAGGAGGCGGAGCTCAAGCAGTAATGCTTGCTCGCCTGCAGGCTCACATCCTGCTGTGCCGCCCAGTTCCTAATAGGCCACGGACTGGTACTAGTCTGCAGCCTGAGCGTTGGGGATCCCTGCTACATGTGACTATATATCACAGACACCAAAAAGCAATTAGAACTCTAAGAAGTGTATTTGACTGTAAGTTTCTCATTAAATGCTTCCTTCTCCCACCGATTTTATGTAGCCTCTCTCTTTCTTTCTCCTCTTTAATGAAACAGAATACAAATATTTGCCAAATGTAGACCACTGCAGCTAAGAGTTTGGACTACAGTTCAGGAGAGCAAAAGGCAGAATCATATGTCAAGAAAATCATGATCCTAGTCACTCAAACGGTTCCAAGCCTCAGTTTCCAGCAAAAGTTACACCATCTTGGTTCCTTCAATATCTTTCATACTGCTCCTTATTCATCTCATTTGTTTTTTAAAGTGGGTTTTTCTCTTTTGGTCCCTTAGGTTGTATTTCTTAAGATTTACTTCTTGATCCCCGAGAACAGATACTGAAGTTAGAGAGAGGTCTAAGTTGGAGCTCTGATCTCTTATGCCTAAATTCTTCATGGTTAGCCTGATTAGGTCTTGTTTTCTTCATAAATAAGATTAGGGCCATAATAATTCAAAGTGCCAACGAAAAGACAAAATGAGTAAACATGAAAATTCCTCGTAAATTCTTATGAAATATTTACTTTCTACCTTTTCTATTTGTTCAATTCGCATCCTAAAGAGACCTTATGGCCGGGCGCTGTGGCTCATGCCTGTGATCCCAGCACTTTGGGAGGCCAAGGCGGGTGGATCACAAGGTCAGACATTCAAGACCAGCCTGGCCAAGATGGTGAAACCCCATCTCTACTAAAAATAAAAAAAATCAGCTGGGCGTGGTGGCAGGTACCTGTAATCCCAGCTACTCGGGAGGCTGAGGCAGAGAATTGCTTGAACTCAGGAGGCAGAGGTTGCAGTGAGCAGAGGTTGCAGTGAGCCAAGATAGTGTCACTGGACTCTAGCCTGGGTGACAGCGAGGCTCCATCTCAAAAAAAAAAAAAAAAAAAAAAAGATTTTACCTACTCTACAGTTTTAACTATACTCTCTACGGGTATAACTTCCAAATTTACAGCTTAAAACCTTACTTATTTTCAAAGTGCTGAAAACACATTTCCCCTTTTTCTTTTTTTTTTTTTGAGACAGAATCTCACCTTGTCGCCCAGGCTGGAGTGCAGTGGCGCAATCTCGGCTCACTGCAAGCTCCGCCTCCCGGGTTCAAGCAACTCTCCTGCCTCAGCCTCCCCAGCAGCTGGGACCACAGGCGCCAGCCATCACATCTGGCTAATTTTTTTTGTATTTTTAGTAGAGACAGGATTCCACTGCGCCAGCCAGTATGGTCTTGATCTCCTGACCTTGTGATCCGCCCGCCTCAGCCTCCCAAAGTGCTGGGATTACAGGCGTGAGCCACCGCGCCTGGCCCACATTTCCCCTCTTATATCGTCCTACCACCCTGAACTCAATGTCTATCAATCTCTTAAAATCAGCTATCTGTCTAAGCTTTTCCTATTAGCAAAGCCATCATTTTTCTTCTTAAAATTGTATAATCATCTTTGGCAGATCTTTCATATTCCTGTACTCTATAGCTGGCCAGTCACCAATCTGCTTATTCCTCCAAAATCTTTTTCTCTTTATACATTTTCCATGGCTACCATGTTAGGTTATCACTGCCCTAATGGCTTCGTCATTTTGGTCCCAGTTGTCTCTTCCAGAGCATCCTTCATGAAACCTCTGTTCCAGACAAACTGATTTATTTACCACTTGAATGCATTTTGTACACTTTTGCTTCTGAGATTTTACTTAAGTCACTTTACCATTTTACTTTCTAGTCTACATAATAAACAATATTTTCTCCAATTTAAAAAACACACTCATCTTTAAAATATTAAAGCAAAGTATAATTTATCTGGGGAATCTGAGTAAATTATGTTTCCATAATCTTCTGTTTTTGTTTTGTTTCTTTTTTGAGATACAGTCTCACTCTGTCGCCCAGGCTGGAGTACAGTGGTGTGATCTCGGCTCACTATAACCTCTACCTCCCAGGTTTCAAGTGATTCTTGTGCCACCCAAGTAGCTGGGATTACAGGCATGCACCACCATGCCTGGCTAAGTTTTGTATTTTTAGTAGAGACGGGGTTTCACCATGTTGACCAGGCTGGTCTCAAACTCCTGACCTCAAGTAATCCACCTGCCTTGGCTTCCCAAAGTGCTGGGATTACAGGCATGAGCCACTAGACCCAGCCATGTTTCCATATCTTCTGGAGTGCTAAGATGATTTCTTTCATACTTCATTTTGTGCAGTTAACCACTCTTCTTTCCTTCTAAATGACATAACTTTCTTTGGTCAGTTATTTCCTAAAGCATGCTCCTTGGAACACTTACTTGTTCCACATGGTTTTGCAGGGGCATGTAAGAAATAAAGTGTCTGCTGTCAAGTTTTAGAGATGCTAGATTAAACAATTAAAAAGTTCCCTTTATTGTAGGACTTCTCAGGCTTTAAAATGCTAAACCGTTTCTCTATCATCATTCTTCTCTAGTTCCGACATGAAATATTCCTTTCTCATCCCACTACAGCTTAACTCAACTTCAAACCACTATTCACTTTTTTGAACTGAGTAAGCCTTCCAGATTCAACCAGATTGAGTTTTTCATCCTTGCCTCTTGATTCTCAATCTCTTTCTCCAGGGAAATATGCACCCTCCCCTCCCCCTCTTCCCCCCTCCCCCCGCAAGAGATGAAGTCTCACTCTGTGGCCCAGGCTACAGTGCAGTGGTACAATCACAGCTCACTGCATCCTAGAACTCCTGGGCTCAAGCGATCCTCCCACCTCAGCCTCCCAAGTAGCTGGGACTACAGGCATATGTATGCCACCACACCCAGCTAATTAGAATTTCTATTTTTAAAATGATACCCAGACCCGATGATCTAAGTAGCATGTCTTCAACTGGGGAATACATATAGGTGAGGAGTATTATGTTGGGGTATGCAAATTTATAGGAGAAAATGTAGTATATTTTCCTGAAGAGTGAGTTTTACTTAAAGATTTTTTTGGGAAACATTTTTATTATAAAATAAAAATACATGTAGAATGTACACAGTTTTAAAGAAATATGAGATTTGCAAGAAATTTCCAGGTTTCCTTTTGGGTACCACTTCAGGCTACATCCCAGATCCCTTTGGTAAGTATTCAAATGCCTTTGCCTTAAAGGAGCTCCCAAAGAAAAGTCCAAAAATCACTGATGTAGGCCAATGGAGAGGAATGGGGGGAAAGTAAGTATCAAAGACTAAGAGAATGCTTCCCCTGTGTCAAGTACTATACTAGATGCTTTATCTATATATTTTTCTTAATGCCTACAATGACACTACAAAAATGCACTACTTCATTCATCTTATAGAAGAGAAACCTCACAGAAGTTAACCTGTCCTAAGCTGCAAAGTTTACAGTGGTAAAAATGTTTTCTTACATAATGTTGGAGTGATAAAAAACACACATTTATCACCGAAATATTATGATTAATTCCCATGAGAAAAAATAGCTAGGATGACTAGAAATGACCCTTTTAAAATAATTTATCACCAATAGGAGTCCTTCATGTCTTAATGTAGACTCTAACAGAAATGAGGTATTTATTTTCTAATAAAAGCTTATTACTAACAAATTCCCAGATATTCAGAAGTGTTATTAGGACAACATGTTTAAGTTTCAGTTAGTGAAAACCAGGGGAAAAAACCTAAGAGTTTACATTTGAAATTGTTATATTCTATTCACTAGCACATTCCCTCCCCCCAAAAAAGTAACGCCTACTATTAACTAAGATTTTACCCAGTTGTATGTTATATGAACAATATTGAATAGTTTTTTTTTTTTTTTTTTTTTTTTTTTTGAGACAGGGTCTCATACTGTCACCCAGGCTGGAATGCAATGAAGTAATCACGGCTCACTACAACTTTACCTTCCCAGCCTCAGGCGATTCTCCTACCTAAACCTCCCAAGCAGCTGGGACCAGAGGTGTGCACCACCATGCCTGGATAATTTTTTGTATTTTTTGTAAAGACAGGGTTTCACCATTTGCCCAGGCTGGTCTCCAACTCCTGAGCTCAAGCAATCCACCCACATCAGCCTCCCAAAGTGGTGGGATTACAAGCATGAGTCACCACCTGGCCTTGAAAAGACTTTTTAAAGAATTTCAGAAAGTAAGATGGAAGTTGTCAAACTAGTTTGAAATTGAGGGGCTAAATGATCATCCAAAGTATTAAGTCTTATTTTTTTCATAGAACTCTGCCAGTTAAATCTGCAACTTGAATTTTTACATGCTGAAATAAACTGGATGGCCTTTAAGAAAACCTAACATACATACAGATTCACCAAATCAGCATAATAGGGATTATTATAAAAGGACTTACTGCAGCATCTCTTAAAATAGGGAGGTCTATAGTGGATTTTACATTAGCCAGTTTACAAACAAACAAATAGGTTAATATACAATCTTTAAGGAATATATAATAAGATCCCAAACATAAAAAAAAAATACCAAAGGATATGGTCAAGAAAGATTACTTGAAAATGAATAAATCTGCTAATAAAAATACTAACCTCATTAAAAAGTACCTAAACCAGTCTTTGTTATTAATTTTTTTTTTTTTTATGAGACAGAGTCTTGCTCTGTTGCCCAGGGTCTCACTATGTCACTTGGTCTGGAGTGCAGTGGAGTGATAGTGGAGTGATCATGGGTCACTGCAGCCTCAACCTCCCAGGCTTAGGTGATTCTCCTGCCTCAGCCTCCCAAGTAGCTGGGACCAGAGGCATGTGCAATCATGCCTGGCTAATTTTTTAAAAAAATTATTTGTAGAGATGGGGTCTCCTTGTGCTGCCCAGGCTAGTCTTGAACTCCTGGCCTCAAGGGATCTTCCCATCTCAGCCTCACAAAGTGCTGGAATTACAGGTGTGAGCCATGGCACCCGGCCTCTTTGCTACTGTTAATAAAAATTATAGTTTCAGAGATAATGGATATATAAAATCCTTTGTTTCTATACATACATGTGTGAGGATAGTCATAAAGAAGCATTAACTTATAATGTACACAATTATTAAATATACATAAAATTTAAAATTCCTATTTTATTTACTTGCAGAGCAATAGTTAAAATGTGAATATTTATTTGATCCGTTATAGATGACGGAAGCAAAATCTTGTTATTAATGACATATATAACTGTTAATACAAATGATTAACCCTTTCATTATCCCTTAACATATTAATTCTCCCTATTTAAAGGCTTTCTAAACATTGGGCAAAGGCACTTGTATAAACAGATAGGCAAAGTCTCAAAAATGGAAGAAGGAATAGAAATTGAATGGTATAATGACAAAATAACAAAAATCTTCTTTTGCTAATTGTGTAAATTAAAATAACCTAGTCATATCACTGACGTATATATTTTCCAAATAAAGTGCATTTCAGAAGAGCAACTCAGACTGGGAGCCACAGCTCATACCTGTAATCCCAGCACTTGGGGAGGCCAAGGTGGGAGGACTGCTTGAGCCCAAGTTTGAGATCAGCCTAGGCAACATGAGACTTCATCTCTATAAAAATGTTTTAAAAAAATTAGTTGGAGGGCCGGGTGTGGTGGCTCACTCCTGTAATCCCAGCACTTTGGGAGGCTGGGGTGGGCGGATCACGGGGTCAGGAGATCGAGACCATCCCTGGCTAACATGGTGAAACCCCATCTCTACTAAAAATACAAAAATTAGCCGGGCGTGGTGGTGGGCGCCTGTAGTCCTAGCTACTCAGGAGGCTGAGGCAGGAGTATGGTGTGAACCCGGGAGGCAGAGCTTGCAGCAGTGAGCTGAGTTCGCACCACTACACTCCAGCCTGGGCGACAGAGCGAGACTCTGTCTCAAAAAAAAAAAAAAAAAAAAATTAGTTGGATATGGTGGCACATGCCTGTAGTCCAAGCTACTCAATAGGGTGAGGGAGGAGGATGGCTTGAGCCTGGGAGGTCGAGGCTGCAGCAAGCCATCATTGCACCACTGCACTCCAACCTGGGCAACCCTGTCTCAATCAATCAATAAATCAATAAGAGCAACTTAGGAAGACAAGTAATTGAAAGAATAAGACTAAATGAAAATATCTTTTTCTTTTTTGAAGTGGCTGAAGATCACTACAAATATCCTAATTTTGAAAAACCAAGTTCCTACTTTCAAGACATTTCTAAGTTACCATGGTTAGCTGAGGAACTAAAAAGAGAAAATAATTAAAAGCCAGAAAACAAAGAGTCTTTTAAGAAAAGTCAGTATATAAAATCAATATATCTTGTTGATAATTACCAAATGATCTAAAAATACAAGTAAACAAAGGTAAATTTCTAATTTAGTCTAAACTCAACTGAGAAAATAAGACAATAAATATCATAACTTGCAAATTGTGTTGTTAAAAAAAATTCTTAAACTAAGAAAGTCCATTTGTAAACACTCCAGTTAATGAAATAACAAGAATGATTTTATGTATTAAGAAAGCTTGTTTACAAAATTCTAGATTTCCATATTGTTATTTTTTAAAAAAGGTATTTTATTTATAAGGATACTGCAACAGGAAGTAGAGCTCTATTCTGGAATTGCAATCTAACAGGAGAGACAATCTAACCTTCACATTTACATTGAAAAATTGAGTTTTTAACAGGCTTCTCTGCAATGCATATTCTTTTTTAAAATATAAAACCATTTCAAAAGGTTCATATATGCATATAAATATATAAAGCAAAAGAACACACAATTAAAAATTAAATAAATGTGCCAAAATACAGCTTCTTAATGGCTTCCTTGAAAACTAGATGTCAAATTATCTTAGGCTGTGTTTATTTTTCTATAAAGAACAAAGTAGACTTTACAGCTCAGAAATCCACGTAACAAATACTCTACTCATCATACTCACAGGTTTTAGTTTTTCTTCCTCACTAGTCAATACTACAGAGTCTTTTCCCCTAGAAAAGCTGAAAGGCTTCTTATTCACTGGTCATGTTGTTATCAGACCTGACACATCAGGAATGACCCACACTTTAATCTCCAGCCAGCTCTTTACGCTGCCCAGAACTTACTGTGCGTTACAGGTGATACTTCTTATAGCAGATGTTGATTATGGTCCCAAAGCACAAGAGATGCTCCCAAAGGGGTTTAGAACCCCTAACAACATCACCTGCTTCTTTTTGTATCCAGAGAAGCACTGTGGTATTCTGTTTTGAACAACTAATGATTTCAAGAGATTACACAGACGAGTTCTTTTCATTAGATTGGTTGACATAAGCTTGTCCTTTCAGAATACTGCAGCAAATATAGGTTGTATGATTCCATTAGGATAAAAGAAATATTTTTACACAATTTTTCTCTGTGGCGCAGTTTAGTTCACCCTCTGTTAGAGCAAATTACTGGAAGAACTGGTTCTTAGGTTTCTAATGGCGCAGCGTTAACAGAGTGAATGATTCACGGATGTTCTTCTTAACATTCAGGAGTAACAAGGAAGGCTAGCAGTGCAGCCCAGGTCCAGAGCTGATGAATGGTGCAGTGCTGCTGTTGTCATAGCAACCAAGAGGAAAAAAGCAGCACCATATAAGGATCTGTGACATGGATTCTGGGAACAATTTATATTAAAAAGCTGTAAGCTCCTCATGCCTTAAAGCTGTAAACTCCTCTCTTACTGTTTCCTTCTCATGTTTTGCTCTTCTGATTTTCTGAATCAGAGCTGTGTGAATATACGCTGTAAAACAGTTACTTAGTAGGCACCAACAAAAAATGCAATTGAGGTAATTTAAAATATTAATACTTTAGCAAGCTAATATAGGTCTGCAGTATCTCCATAATTTATTAAGTGTTAAAATTATACAGTGATTTTGTTGCAATGTAAGGAACTGTCTAGAGTTTGAGATAGCAGAAAATTCATTTTTAAATACTTAGAGATATTAAAACCCTAATTAAATGCCTTTCATTCAGATGGTATGCATCAGATATGCCAAAACTGCAGCACTATCAACTGATTGACTAATAAAGTAGCAATGACACCAATTTCAAAGAGAGGCATACTATCACCTGTATTCCTTCTAGATAAAGAAAGTTTCAAAAGACACTTACTTCACTAAAAATGCTCATAGCCTTCATTCATGAACAAGAAAACTTCTCCGTCAATCACTTGTAAGACAGGGTTACTGGTCCACTCCATGCTTCTAAAGGCCTCTCCCTAACTGGGCCTGGACAATCGTTTTCTTGTCATAGTTTTCCCTCACCTCCCAGGAATTAGGAAGAGCTCCCCCTTCCAGGGGATAGTAGGATAGCTTCCAAACGGTATCACAGGAGAAGAGGGAGCCAGTGAAAGCACCAATGCATAGAATTGTCGTAATGGTACTCTCTCTATAGTCTTCTGGATGTTGCTCTGAGATGACTGGTGCAGAAAAATATCTTTCATTAGATTTATTAAGCATGGGTCACTGATGCTATGATATTTCATCTATTTATATAGGGTAGTTCTATATGAAATTGTTCTATATCATATCTCTGTGTTACTTTTCCATCACCATTTATTTAATGCAATATTCAGATACAATACAAAGCAAAATATTAGGTAAATTTACCTATTATACCATTCTCTTACATGGGCAACACTGCCATTATAATACCAATTCTGGAAAAGTTACGTATTTGTTGGTCATAGATTTATGATGCATTTATCTCCATAAATGAAGAACCTCAGTAAAATGTGACTAAAAAGAATTGCAATGTAGTGGGATGGACATGCATTTGACTAGTCTTGACTGTAGTTGGACTAACAGCTTTGCTACTTCTAAATATAACCCTGAGTAAGGCACCTAACTACTCTGACCCACTGATTCATCTCAGTAAAGCATTTTCTACCTTATTCCTAAAGCTACTGTGGGAATAGAAAAAAATAAATACAAAGCAAAGGCTTAAAATTCTAAACATCTATATTATCTTTTTTAATAGTATCTAAGCAAAACAGCAAAGAAAAATGAAAAGTGGAATTTCAATAGAACTCCATAAACACAGAAAATTGCCTGAAAGGGTAAATATTTTTCCAGGCTAGGTTTTATGTTTGACTGGATATTGTGTCCCATCACACTGCATATACTTTTCACAAGTAGCTAGTAGCTATTTCTTTTTAGAATTATAGTAGATACAGATACTGCGGACTAGCGTTCAAGGATTATTTAATATAATAATGTACAAGTAATTCTACTGCCTCAACATGACTTATAAATGTCTTCAGAAAATAGTAACTTGGTAATAAAGAAGTATAAGTGGTTTCTATGGAATGGTTAATATCAAAGAACATGCAAAGTGATTGAGTTGTTTAAAATAACCTATTACTTTTTATCCTACCTAACTAGAAAACTGTAGGGCAAACTCAAAAATGAGCTATTATGTTTGACTTGGAAATTCCATGGACAGCCTATCTCATTCTGTTTCCTGGATAATCTAATCTCTTCTACCTAGTAAGTTTTTTAACTCAAATATTGTCTTGTGCCAGTAGTTATTTTTGAGGGAAATTCTCTTCAGTTGTGACTTTTTAGAATACTAATTATTCAATATCTTAGGTAAAAAGAGCAACTTTCTCTCCCACCTCCCCATCATCAAGTCATGTTGAGCAGATCTTTGCATTAGAGAGATACCAGAAAAGTTCTGCAAAAAATGTAAACTTGGACAACAAATAATTTTTTCTAACGTTGCTTATGCTGTGTAGGAGCTAACTGGGATGAGGACATGATTAAAATACTTCAAAAGACAAAGTACACAGGTTTTGTTTTGCTTGAAAAATTGGATTTAACTTAAGGGTGGAGAGAGATTTAAGGAGTTAAGCTCTTCCCCTTGGTTACTAATTTTTAACTCCTTTATGATTAATTTAGGTAAGTCATGCTAAAACTTATACAGTTTTACATTCTTTTTTATTTTTATTCTTTTTTCAGTCTTGCTATATTAAAAGCTTTCTCTAAGGAGTAATCATCCGTGCTAAACTCTATTGTGCTTAAAGGTAGGGTAATATTTATGAAGAGATGTACATACGAAATCTCTATTCTCACAGGAGTTAAGAAAGTAACCATTCTACTAGCTATAGCAATTCAAGCTTTGGCCAACTTTCTACGCGGGGTTGTGTCTTTCCTAGCAATGGCTACTGCTTCAGATCAGGACTTCAATCTGCAGCAGTAGGGTAATGAGTGACAGAGAAGAAAAAGAAATATATTCTTAAAAATCATATATGTGATCCCTATACATCAGCCAACTACTTCATCTGGTGGTCAAAGAAAAAGAGAGTAAAGAGTAAAATAGTTACAACTCTAAAGGATAAACTGGCAGGGTTGGATATACTGAGAAGCAGTATTTCTGTTTAATGAATGTCGTGAATGATATGTAATGGATTTCTGAGGATAATTTTCTTTATACTCAGTTTTTATTTTATATGTTGACTTTACTATCTAAACCCTGAATAAAATTATCCCAAATGTGTGATGCTACCTCTAAATGATAATTGTAACATTTGAAAAAGGTCATGAGTTGGCAGGTGGTTCTTTCAGAATGTTTTTATTGATAAGCAGGGCATAAAAGGGCATACTGAGCCATAAGATACACATATCAAATCTCCTTTCTCTCACTTTACTTACTTCATTAATCTAAAGTTATAAAATTTACTGAATGATATAGATGTATACATAATTTTTTCTAAAAATCGTTTTCAGAAATCAGAAACATGAACATTAACCAGAAATGGGGAAAACAGAGATGTTCAACCAACTCTGGTATAACTCAAAACACTGCTCATTGTGCTATCTAAACAAAGTCATCAAAACAGATAATACCACATAGACAATTCTAAAATGACCATATTTCTTGGCTGGGCACAGTGGTTCACACCTGTAATCTCAGTGCTTTGGGAGACCGAGGTGAGAGGGTTGCTTGAGCCCAGGACTTTAGACCAGCCTGGGCAACATAGCAAGACCCCATCTCTACAAAATAATGAAAAAATTAGCCAGGTATGGTGGTGCACGCCTGTAGTCCCAGCTACTCAGGAGGCTGAGGTGGGAAGATCTCTTGACCCCAGGAGGTTGAGGCTGCAATGAGCAGTGATTGTGCCACCACACTCCAGTCTGGGTGACAAAGCAGGACTCTGTGTCTTAAGAAAAAAATAAGTAAAATGAAATAACCACATTTCTTAACTTTTGAAATTCTGCCCACGACATGAATGACTGACGGACAAGGTAAGGATGCGCATTTACAATTAAGAAAGGCCAGCTGAACTGAAAATGTCCTCTGGAACACTCTGCCCTCTGGTGTTTAAAATCCTCCTCTAAGAGAGGGAGTTACTCTGCCATGCCACGTGTTTATTACTCTTATGGGCTGAATGTCAATTTGGGTGCATAATTTTCTATAATGAGAATAAATATATAGTTTAGCATTATAAAAATTTCTGTTGTTATAATGTGAACATATATTCTGTTCTAAGCTTTATATTATCCCATACTATAATTTATTTCCTGTTTAGAGAGTTACTAAGGCTTTCTTTTGAATCGTGGATATTTATTTGACTTTTGTGATGCTTTGTGACTGAAAAGTATTCCTCATGGCCAAAATTGTTTAGCCCTTAAATTCCACATTTGCCACTTTCTAAACTGCTCACATTCCATAGCAGGTGGGAAGTTAAGCAAGTAAAGAAGGACAAGGTCAATTAAGTAAAAAAATTAGACTTCCTAGGGACCATGGCATAAATCATGGTGAGTTTTCTGGGGAAGGTCACAGAAGAAGGATGGACAATGAAGGATTTTTTTCTGTAATCTTCATGGTATTTTCCATGTTTAAAACTGATACCCAATTCTTGGAAACACAACACAGGAGCTAAAAAGGATATTAATCAAGTGATTGACAACTTTTTCACATGTTAGGATTCTTTTTATTATTTCCCCTTGTTTGTCACAAGAAGTGCTTGGCACAAAAAGAAACTCTACACACATTTCTGTATTCCTCTCAGCCTTAAGGTGTTATTATCTTCACTGTACATATGAAGAAACAGAAGATCAAAAAGAACTAATCTGCCCAGAGTTTACAAATGACTATGTAGAACTCTAAACGGGTTCTTCGTTCAGCTGGGTTCTTGACCAGTGTGACCCTATCAGTTCTTTGGGTCCTAGAGTTCTGAGCCTTAACCCTGCCACATTACAGACATTCCATAAAGATCTGTTGAAAAACAACATTACCTTACACAGTGACCTCAATGTTAGACATTTTTCTTGGTGCTGACTACTTGTCCTCCCTGGAACTTTGCCTACTGCCTCCCCCTAGATTCCCTTGGATTAACAGGTTCCACTTACTTCCTGTGACACCTAACAATTACCCTACTGCTGATCCACCCTAATCTTTAGGGTCTGCTTATGCATCTACTTCATGAGTGCTACCACACTGTTATCTTACTAACTTGCCTTCTCCATCTCAGGTCCTAGGTGTCCTTGGTTTGACCCTTCATTGGTCACAGCACTAAAAGGAATGCTGGACCGTCAATTCAACACTTCAGATTTAGGCAAACATTTCTTTAAAAATGTAGAGAAAAGAAGCTATGAGCCCATGGTCAATAATTTTAAAAGAGAATATGGTTTGAGGGTATAGATTAAAAATAAAAAGCAATGGCCGGGCGCGGTGGCTCACGCCTGTAACCCCAGCACTTTGGAAGGCCGAGGCGGGCGGATCACAAGGTCAGGAGATCGAGACCATCCTGGCCAACATGGTGAAACCCCGTCTCTACTAAAAATACAAAAATTAGCTGGGCATGGTGGTGCACGCCTGTAATCCCAGCTACTCAGGAGGCTGAGGCAGGAGAATCACTTGAACCTGGGAGGCGGAGGTTGCAGTGAGCTGAGATTGTGCCACTGCACTCCAGCCTGGTGACAGAGTGAGATACAGTCTCAAAAAAATAAATAAATAAAATAAAAAGCAATTTATACAATCATAAACATATGGAAGCATCTAAAAAAATATTGCCATATCAGAAATTTTTTGATAAAGACAGATTGTGCCTGAAAAAGAAATATACAAAGAGAGGGGGAAATAATCAAAGATGAAGAGTAGAAAACCATAATCAAAGATGAAGAGTAGAAAACCATCTAACAATATTGTCCACGAAGAATAGAGCCCCAGTTGAGAAGAGCTATGTTTTGAAGATAGCAAAAAGGATTGCTGGGATGTTTTTAGAATTAAAAAACAGACAAGGACAGGACAGATCTGCTGCATGGGAAAGATAAATTATGTAGTGATTTTATTATAAGCTTTCATTTATGAATCACCTTCTACGAGCTAAACTCTTTACTAAGTTCTTGACACACATCTTATTTAATTAATTACTTTTTTGGCAGGGAGACAGAGTCTCACTCTGTCAGTGGTGCTATCTCAGCTCACTGCAACCTCCACCTCTCGGGTTCAAGCGATTCTCCAGCCTCAGCCTCCCGAGTAGCTGGGATTACAGGTGCATGCCACCACACCCAGCTAATTTTTTTTGTATTTTTAGTAGAAACAGGATTTTGAGATGTTGCCCAGGCTATTCTCAAACTCCTGAGCTCAGGAAATCCTCCACCTTGGCCTCCCAAATTGCTGGGATTACAGGTGTGAGCCACCATTCCCGGCCATGATATCTTACTTAATCCATACAATACTCTGTGATGCAGAAATACCAATAATACAATACAGGTAACAAAACATACTCAGAGTAGTCAAGTGACACGGCCAAGGTCATACAGTTAATAAGTAGCAAAGTCACGGTTTCAACCAAGTATATCTGACTCCAAAGTCTGCCATGTTTAACAATATCCTGCTCTAAGTAAGAGACAGAACAATCCATTACTCAACCCTTGGTGCTATGGTTTGAACGTGTCCTCCAAAATTCAGGTGTTGAAATTTAAAGGCCAGTATGACAGTAGAAAGAGGTAGAACCCTTAAGCGGTAGTTAAGCCATATAAAGGCTCCTCCCTTTGTGGCTGGGATTAAGACCTTATCAAAGAGGCTACAGAGTTAGGTTATGTCACACCTCCATCTTCCCTCAGGTGTGGACGAAATGTCCCTCCCTCCTGGAAGATGCAGCAACAAGGTGTTATCTTGGAAGCAGACAGCAGCCCTCACCAGACAACCAAACCTGCTGGTGCCTTGATCTTAGACTTCCCAGCCACCAGAACTGTGAGAAAATAGATTTCTGTTCTTTATGAATTACCCAGTCCCAGAGGTTTTTTCTTATAGCAACCTAAACAAATTAAGACAACTCTGATTTTGCTTTAATGTTCTCCATTAAGAAAATTATATTTAATAAACATCATTAAGAGGACATTAAAGACCAAGTTTTGAGGACAAGTTAAAATACACATAATCAAAATCCAGACCCACACAATTTACCTTTCAGAATTCTAAAAGGACAGGAAGACATGAACATGAAACTACCAATAACAGTTTCTGTAAAGCCATGCAGGAACTTCACAGAACTACAGGACTAAAGGATGTCAAAATGTGGACACTAGGAGTTTCTATTCAATTTCTCAAAAGAAAAAAAATGCTCACTGAAAGTTGATAAGGGGTCACAAGGAAGAGTAATTTCAAAGTAATCTCATGCCCATTTTCATATGGTTACTAGAGCAGAAGATGATGAAAATAACACAGCTGTACTACCATCTTGGTATCAGACAGGCTGTAAATAAAGTCTTTTAAGCTACAGAAAAGTAGACATCATGGCTGCTTTCCAGGATATAAAAGACTGCCACGTGAAAGAAGAGGTTAATTTATGTCGTATAGTTCTACAAGGCAGAACTAGGACTAATGGGTAGGAGCAATAAAGGAGGACATTTCCATCCATGTAAATTAGAGAACTGACAGTTAAAACTACTGAACAAAGGAGCAGGCTATGTTACAAAGAAGAAAGCTCACTATCACTGAAAGTGTTCACACAGAGACTGTTGACTATCCACTAAGTTTGCTGTGAAGATTAAATTTGCTCATATAGGTAAATTACTTAACACTGTCTAGAATAGGGTAACAGCTCAAAAAATATTATCTTTAATTACTACTACTATTATTATAATTATTACTTGTAAGTTTAGCTAAAACTCGCCTGTAAAATCATCTAGGTCTGATGACTCTTGGAGATCTTTGATTTCTATGGTTACCAGGCTAGTCATAATTTTAAGTTTTCTTGAGTCAAATTTACAGCAGTTTTCTTCCATCTCATTCAAGGTTTTTTTGTGTGTATTGTTTTGCTATAAAGCTATATGCTGTATTCCCTTATAATAAAAAGATTAGTGACTAATTTCTTGTTCTGTATGTTCTGTATGTTATCTTTTCTCACTCCCTCTTTTTCATTTTGATCACTTCTATCAAAGATTGCTCTATTATCTTAGTCTTTTCAAGGAAACTGGCTTTACTGATCAAGTACTAGTTTTTTGCTTATTCATTTTCCCTTTTAACTTTATTGATTACTTCATGTTTACTATGTCTTCCTCGATCTCCTTATTAGTTCATTTATTTTCAGTACTTCTTGTTTTCTAATAAAAGTATTCAAGGTAATGACTTTTCCATAGAGTACCACTTTGGCTACATTTCATAAGTTTTAATACATAATACATGTTAATTTCCAACTTTTTTTTCAATTTTGGTTTCTGTTTTAACCCAAAAGTTATTTTAAAAAGTTATTTTAAAACTTTAAAATTTTAGAAGTAGAAAAGAAATTTCTCCCTATCTTCTTTGTTGTTAGATTCTATTTTGATTTTCAATGAAAAATATGTGCATTGTACAGAGATTTCTTTATGGCCAACTATATAATCAACTTTTTAAAATTTTTTATTTTTATTTATTTATTTATATTTTTTTTGAGATGGAGTCTTGCTCTGTCACCAGGCTGGAGTGCAGCCGCATGATCTTGGCTCACTGCAACCTCTGCCTCACGGGTTCAAGGGATTCTCCTGCCTCAGCCTCCCAAGGAGCTGGGACTACAGGCACATGACACCACACCCAGCTGATTTTTGTATTTTTAGTAGAGATGGAGTTTCACCATGTTGGCCAGGATGGTCTCGATCTCTTGGCCTCTGATCTGCCCGCCTCGGCCTCCCGAAGTGCTGGGATTACAGGCGTGAGCCACAACGTCTGGCCTATAATCAACTTTTATAAACAGTTCACAAGTGCTGGAAAACAATACAAGTATAAGAAATCTTATGTTTTTCAGTATGAGGTTCTACACTCGGCTGAATTAAGCTTTTAAAAACTTGACACATATTAACTTTACATATTTATGGGGTATATGTAATATCTGGATACAGGCATATAATATGTAATGATCAAATCAGGGTAACTGAGATATCCATCACCTCAAACACTTATTTCTTTTTGTTTAGAACATTCCAAGTATTTTAGCAATTCTGAAATATAATGAGTTAAGTTTAATTGCTTATTATTCAAATTATCCATATCCTTTAATGAGCTGTTCATTTTATGAGGCATGAAATCTGCCTTAACTCATTTATGCCTAGTGTTCCACTATTGGAACGCTAAGCTTGTGGGAGTTATTTATATCCTACTGCTCAAGGTCATGGCCAAGGTCTGATTTTTGACATGAAAAAATTTGTAGCCTCTGGCATAAATGGGTTAAATATAAATTCATCAACTTTCCCTTTCATTGCTAATGTTTACTATATGAAGTTTTTATTTTTAAAAAACTTCCTTATTGAGATATAAGTACAATTTAATGGATTTAGTTCATTCACAGAGTTGTACAATTGTCAGCATAATCTAAGTTTAGAACATTTTCATCACCCCAAAATGAAACCCTATACCCTTAAGCATTCACTACCTATACCATCGTTGGTGACCCCTTTCCCTTAGGTAACCACCAATTAACATTCTGTCTCTATAGATTACTTGCCTATTCTGGACATTTCATATAACTGCAATTGTATAACATATGTTCTTTTGTGACTGGTTTCCTTCACTTAGTGTAACGTTTTCAAGGTTCACCATGGATCATGAAAGCATTTATTTTTAATGCCAAATAATACGAATATATCACTTTTTATTTATCCACTCATCAGCTGATGAACATCAAACTGTTTTCACTCTTTGGCTATTATGAATAATGCTGCTATGAACATACATGTACAAGTTTTGGTGTGAACATATGTTTTCTTTTCTCTTGGATAACTTTATACATTTTGATGCCATGTTGTCTCATGCATAAAAAAGCAATAATCGTTAACATCTACTTCATGAATTGTATCTGCATAAAATATCAAATAAAACTTTTTTATTTGTGTTTAATATTATTGCAAATAATACTATCCTTTTCTCAACATTTATTTGGTATATATTTTTCATTCCTTTATTTGTAAGCTTCCTCTCAATTTGTTTAGAAGCATCTATTATAAATAACACTCCCTGGAAATGCTTTTTATACATTCTGATAACTTTGTCTTTATAAGGGAAACTGAAATCACTTTCTTGTGACAAGCAACTTATTTTATCTTATTTGACTTTTAAAAATATTTTTCTTATTGTTTTTCTTCCATTCCAATTTTCATCATAACCTTGCAAATCATCTAACCTGACAGAAATGAAACCACTTCATCTTAAAAGTATCAATGACTTGTTATTTTGGCTCTCTCTTCATTAAGGGTCATTTGGGCACTTTCGCAAACTTTCCCTAGTGGTGGCTGAATAGAGGTAGGAAGACAAGGCTACTATATTTCAAAAGAATACATACAGTAATACTACACTTACTACAAATAATCCTTTTATAAATAAACACTACAATACTATAAATAAAACTTTCACTTTGTATGAGTGACTTCCATTCAAATATGAAAAGAAAAAAAACTAGAAAATTACTTTCTTGTCTAAAACCTCACAGGTTAAATATAAAAAGAGAAGGTTTAATTATTTTGAAATCCAGTGTGTGCAAATATCACAAAAGGATTATTTGTTTGATAATTCATGCCGCCTTTTAGGTGTTCAACATATACGCAGTGGCAAAGGCTCACCCCTTAACCAAACTTTAGTCAGGTTCCTCTGATACCTCTTTTCAACGTTCTTGCGTGGGCCTTGTCCTCACGCCTCCTGGCCCAGTTGTAGCAAGAATCCTGCTAACTCAGTTTAGTGAGAATCCCCCTACCCTTGATAATCTGGTCAACATGGCTTGCCTTCAGCAAGGCACTGTTTAGTTGGTTCGGCAATAATCCCCTTACTCTTGAAGCTTCCTCTTAATAATTTTCCATCCACTGATTCTATCCTCTGCCCCACTCTGCTCCTTAGCTATAAATCCCCAACATTCTTTACTATATTCAGAATTGAGCCCAGTTCTATACTATTGCAATAGAGCCTTACTAAAATCTGTTTTTACCACTTTACTGTCGAGCTCTGGTTTTCTTTAACAATACTGACTCATGATAATTGAAATTATTATATTGAATTAAGTAATAACCCTCTAACATTCTCTACTTTTGATTTGGAAGACTACAGAAATAACCTCTTCAAGGAAATAAGGGCCCCCCCTTTTTTCCAATCCTACACTGTTTTACAATAGCCTAATCTTTATCTCATAAACCAGAGAATCTGAAGTTAGAAACCAAATTAGAAACAGTACCCTGAATGAGGTCCAGATCTAATAGTTTAATTAGTCTATTATTCCAAAAGAGCTTAAAAGTCTTAGTATATATTTCCTCATTTAACCTTACAAAAACATGTGGTCTCTAACAGTTAGTAATGATGGAACTTAAGACTACCATGCATGTCTCCTATATTTTTTAATCTAACAAATTCATTATACTATATTATGAATTCCAATGTTTATCCTAAAATTGCAAGATATTTACTCAGATGCCACAGTATTATAAGTATGCTGAAATAAATCTTGACTATAGAGACTAATACTATCTACAGGCCCTTTATATTTTCCAATTCACTTTTCAGTAATTTTTCCAGGATGTTTATAAAACAAGACTATGTTTCCATTTTTTCCAAGATATAAATGAGAAGAAAAATAATATTTGTTAATGTTTGTTATGTTAGACTATATGTTTAAGAAATCTTATTTAATCTTTGCAGCAATTCTGTATTTTTTTCCCATCATAAAATTCACCACAGTACATCTTGAATTCTAGTAGGTTTTCAAAAATTGCAGGATAAGTATATTATTATGCAAAGAACATATCATGAATATACTAAAATATATCAGACTATGTAGAATAACACTATGTATAGGCCCTTTTCAATGTCAAAAGAGCTTTTCAAAGATTTCCCCAGGATGTTTCTGGAACAAGTAAATGTTTCCTTTTTATTCATGGCTTTGGCCATAGCTAGCATCTAAAATATCCAGGCTCAGCATGATCAAATCAGTTATTGTGACTTATTTACCATCCAAATTGGATTGCCACATGGTCATTCCAATTTATTGGCAACAAATACTTTGAAAATCAGGCCATTTTTTATCCCAGAGATTAGATAATAATCTATTTGATGTTGGTATTTGAAGATTACTCCTCAGAAAAGTAGACTGACTGACTTAGCGTAATTGTTTCTTGAAGGCTACCTTGCAAAAGCTCAGAACACATATTTGACATAGCTGATAAACACTCAATACCCACATCTCTTTAGAAACTATAATAATAATTTAGCTAACATTTTGACTACTTACTCTATGCCAGACGCTGTCTTACGTGCTTTACATGTACTAATTAATCTAATTCTCTTATTACTCCTATGGGGTAGATACTATTATCAACCCTAGTTTAGAAATAAGGGAATTGAAGTACAGAGACTTTAAACAAATTTGAGCGAGATTACAGAGTCAGGAAATGACAGGGTTCATTTTGTTATACTGTCTCAAGAGATTTTGCATTTTATACAAGATAAGACTTACAGAAAGCTATACAGCACAACTTATGTCATCCCTCTCCCACTTCCGAGTAAGAGTTATCTCTCTAGGCTACCAACAAACGCATGCATGTGTGTATGTATGTCTGCATATGTATCATTTAAAAACACACATGGGTTCCTATTGAGAAATATTTGGATTTTCATTTTTTGCTATATAAACAATATCACATATAGTACGCACATACATACACATTTTCAAATCTGATCAAGCTTATTTGTAAAACAAACTCCTAGTAATAAGATTGGTGTATTAAGGATTATGTGCCTTATAATTTTGATACATATTGTCAAATTGCCATAAAAATGGTTGTACCAGTTTTCACCCCTACCCAAAGTATGTATATGCAAAATTTAAGTTTTACTAAATTTAACAAATGTACATAATGGGTAAATAATATAAATTCCGTAAGAGTTGAATGAATGAAGTTTTAGCATCCTTAATCATCTATCTATGCTGAGGATCTTTATGATACTATGGGAAAGCATCTTGGAAGGAGCACTGGGCAAGAATCTAGAGACCACAGGGAGCCTCTGCTTACTCTTTTCCACATCGCCCCCAAAGCACAGCAATACCTAAGTAAGCCCAACGAACCTTGAAACCTGCCCAATTTTTAGGTCTTCTTTACTGCTTAAACCATTTGGCTGTATCTTTTATTACTTGAAACAATAAAAATCTTAATTGATATACTAGATGCTCCGGATGAGCTATTTAATTTCACTAAACCTTGATTTTCTTCTTGGTAAAATGAGACACATGTGGAGGGACTGGGGATTAATCCTAACTCTGACCGCTGCCTAGCTGTATTATCCTCCACAAGACATTTTACTTTCAGCAAGACATTTACCTCTCTATGAACTTAATTTGCTCATCTGTAAAGTGGAGACACCAGTGACAAAAACACAAGCTAATAAGAGTATGCCACACAACAGGCATTATAATGAAAATTATTGTCATTATTATTGCTATTACTCATTAAAAAGTGCGACTTTAAAAACATATGAAGCTTTAAAGTTCCCACTGGTATCTAACATGAAAAGCAATTTTTACAAATTTCTCAACAAATTTTATTAACAATAACGGCTAACACTTTCTGAGCCCTTAAACACGGTTTTTAAAAAGTATAAAACAATGTGATTATAAGAATAAGACAAACACCCATGAAGTCGGTTGTATTATTGTTATCCCCATTTTACAGATGAAGAAACAGAAGCAAACAGTCGTGACGTGACACTCAGAGCTGGGATATAAACCCAAACAGTCGGACCACAAAGTCTATGTCTCTCTTGAACACATTTACTACATTAACTTATTTTTGTACTGAATAGAGTGAGGTGTGTATACATTTAAAAATTAGTTTTCAAGCTCTAAACTATATCTATTCTTGAGCTGGTCTTTACCCATTCTTACTCCCTCCAGACTGAAAATGAGTCAAACTATTTGGAAATGGACCTATATCTGCAAATGAGTCTTTATATACACCGGCATGGAAGACTAAGATAAATATGTTAAGAGTATAAAGGTTACAGAGTAACAATGATAGGAAAAGGATACTCCTTTGTCATATCTTACAAAATGAAAACATAAGTACCCACCTTATTAGAAGTGGAGACAATGACTAATAATGACTATTTAAAGATCAGGAAAACCTATGTGGCTGTCCCCCAGTATCCATGGGGGACTGGTTCCAGGACCTTCCTTGGATTATGCTCAAATCCTTGATATGAAATGGCACAGTGTTTGCATATAACCTAGGCACATATTTCTGTATACTTCAAATCCTTTCTAAATTACTTATAATATCTAATACAATGTAAATGCCATGCAAATAGTTGTTAGACTGTATTGTTTAGGGATTATAAAAAAATCTACATGTTCAGTACAGATGGTTTTTTTAAGAAAAATATTTTCAATCTGTGTTTGGTTGAATCCATGAATTCAGAGGGCTGACTGCACAAGGCTAATGAATATGTGATACTCTAGTCCCTCATACTTCATTCTCTACATACATGCCAACAAGATTCAATTACAAGGTAAATTGGATCATACTACTACCTGTTCCTCCTCTGTTTAAAATCGTACAATCCTGGTGTGTGATGTTCCCCTTCCTGTGTCCAGAGGTGGGGGGAGGGAGGAGGGGGGAGGGATAGCATTAGGAAATATACCTAATGTAAATGATGAGTTAATGGGTGCAGCACACCAACATGGCGCATGTATACATATGTAACAAACCTGCACATTGTGCACATGTATCCTAAAACTTAAAGTATAATAAAAATAAATAAATAAAAATAAAAAGGAAAAAACAATAGAGAGAGAATAAATAAGGTAAAAAAAAAAAAATCCTGCAATCAGAGTAGGCTCCTTACCGTGACCCTAAAAACTGTGGCTTCTGCCCACCTCTCCAACTCTTTTTATTTATTTATTTATTTTTATTTTTTTTAGTGGCAGGGTCTTGCTTGTTCTGTTTCCCAGGCCTGAGTGCAGTGGTGCGATCAGAGCTCATTGCAGCTCCACCTCCTGGGCTCAAGCAACACTCCCACCGTAGCCTCCTTGGTAGCTAGGACTACATATGGGTGGCATGCCATGACACCCAGCTATTTTGTTTAAATTATTTGTTGTAGAGACAAGGTCTCATTATGTTGTCCAGGGTGGTCTCAAACTTCTGGCCTCATGCAATCTTCCTGCCTCGGCCTCTGAAAGTGCTGAGATGACAGGTATGAGCCATCGTGCCCCAGCTCTAACTCATTTTCTACTACTGTCCCTTCAGACTTACTCTGCTCAGGCCACACTTGCCTTCTTTCCATTCCTTGAACATGCCAAGCTCATTTCTGCTTTAGGACTTTTGTTCTGACTGTTAGCTCTGCCTGGAAAGCTCCGATCCCAGATCTTCCCATGGCTGGCTCCTTCTTAAATTGAAAACTCAGCTCAATTATCTCCTCCTTTGACTCTCCCCAGTCATTCCATAGAAGGAAACTCTACCTCAACCCCAGTTTCTATCCCCTTCCATATTGCATTACCTTTGTAGTAGTTGCCACCATTTAAAATTCAAGTATTTATTTACTGGCTATGCATTTATTACATCTTCTCTCAACTGAAATATAAAATCCTTGAAGGCAGGGGTCTTAGTGGTCCTTTTCACCACTCTATCATATCTAGAGCAGTGCCTAGGCATGTAATGGGCCTTAGACAAATATCTGTTGAATGATTAAGTAAAAAGCACTGAAGAATAATAAGCAAACTGCTTTTAACTGTGCCAGAGACAAGAGACTATTAGAAAGTCACAAAGAAAATAGAATATGATGACTCTTCTGGCCCTATTCATTCAGTTTGGTTGGTAATATGAATACATACAAGGCACTTGAAAGTTTGAATGTATGGAAATGGAGAAATTACTAAGTGTAGTCCTAATGGCCTGATTAAATTATTGCATTTTGATAATTAATGCCAAGAAAGAACCATTCTTTGGAGAAAATTTCTTTACGGTCGGCTAATTTTTTTCCATTCAACTTTCCTTTTACTTACTTATAACAAGATATAATTAGAAAAGAAGGGGTAACTGATGATTAGGTTAAGAAGGGATAATGGATGAATAATCTACTGAGGTTTTTATTTTGAATTTCAAAGTAATTTCATTCCAGGTTAAACTAGACAATTCTTATCATCTGCTTCACTTGGCAGAAAATTGACCAAAGAAACATTTTCCTGACATACTCTTTCAGTAAAGTTGTTTTCTTCCAAAATTTAAAAATGCATTCTTAATCATTAAATTGCTAGGCCTTTGATAGTCTTCAGTAAATTAAACTATGAGAAATTACAGAAGCTTCAAATACTGTAAAATTAAAACTCAAAAGTTCATACATGTCATTAATCAATTACACTCTGCATTACTGCTTCACTACAATACCTCTGTGATATTAGGTATGTTATTGACTTTGTTATATTTAATAGTTATCTCTTAATAAACGTTGACTATTAAGTTGACATTCAAATTAAGATAGGCAAATGGGATAGGAAAGCGGTATCTCTAAAACTTCAGGCAATCCAGCTCACTTCTACATAGAAACTGGACTTACTATTTTTTCCACTCTGTGTGGTAAAATGAAACACATCACATGACAGCCAACAGATTTGGGATTTTTATATTTTTAGTAATCAATAATACCTTTGACTGTAAAACAGGGAGAATTTCTAAGCACTGAGATTTTATTTAAGCCTAATCACATAAAATTCATCATATTTTTGGACATTAGAAGGGAACTGGTATTTCAGGATATTATGTTTTTAGGCTATTTTACCTATTTTTTTAATCTAATGACCAAAGTGTCTTTAGACTGAAGTATCTAACGGCCAAAGTGACTTTGATTCATTTATTTTTTGAAAATGCCAATAATACACAATGTAAAGAGGCATAATTTATGCTTTGTAGAACTATAGAAGAAATGCTATTATTTTAATGAAAATTATAAACAGTGAAAAAGTTTCACTCTACATAGACAGAAGTGCCCAAAAATTTCATTTCTCATTTTCTTCTGAATTGTCATAATGATAATCAAACTTCTCTACTGTCTAGCTCAATGTCAGACAGGAAACAGTCGACATATCCTTTGTGAATAACTTAATTTCATGCCTCCATGCACTTAGAACCCATCAATACTAGCCAACTTACTGACATCAGGGATATATTGATAATGCTAGAAGAAATCTAACAAAGTGACCCAGGATTACATATTTTCACACATAAGCATTCTTCAACTATATATTAAAATTTATTTCCTGAAAAGACGTAAAAGGACAAAAGTTCATTTAATAAAGCCACAGTTTCACACCTAACAACTTGATCTAAATGGGTAATACATATTGTGAGATCATATTAAAGTCAACATAATCCATAACTTATGAATTATAGTAAATATCCTAAGAAGTTAATGTCCAGTGTAGAGGAAAATATCTAAATTATCTTTTAAAAAAATATATAAAATATACAAATAGCAATTTCAAATAAAATACGACTGATGTACCTTTGCTGAACTATCAAGCTCCTATTATCCTAAAATTAGAATGTCTCCATCTGTTAACCTGACATGAACAAGCTGATAAATGAAATCAGAACAACAGTGTATTCTGGCAAAACCAGGAACTTCCTGAAAACCTAGAAAAATATGTTCACAACAGATGGGTCATTTAGAAAATAAATACATCAATCTGTCAAACTGAGTACTGTTCTAATTCTCTAAATTAAAATCAGTTGGAGTTTTTTTTTTAGTGTCAAGAGTCTGTGACATTAGGAAGGCCAGAGAGGAAAAACCTAAAGATGCAAATATACACATCTGACGTGACCTAAAGTGTCATATCGTTAGGTTTCCTGTTAAACATACTAAATTTAGGTAAAGTCCTTACCAGTTAACTTCTTCACAGGCTGGAGCCGAACACTGATAGACTGATGTGTGAGTAAGGGGGAGGATGGAAGAGAGCGAGACATGCCCTCCATAATCCGAATGTGCTGCATACCTTCACTCACTGGAAGTGGCGGGACAGCGTAGTCTGGCTCAAAAGCACAGTCGCTTTCTGTGGAGATGCCACCTGTTAGAAGGGGATGGAACAAAAGAGCTGGTGAGAAAAGATCCTGCCTTCCCTATTAAAATACATCTTATAGGATAATCCAGAACAACAAATATTTTCACTGTGAAAAATCAAAGTATTTTCACTACATGCATTCATTTCTACACTTACTATGTACTCAATTCCAGGTCTAGCACTACGAAACTGAAGATGAGTAAACTAAGGTTCCTTCTTATAAGGTGTTCACTATCTCATGAGAGATGCAATCATATAAGGAAATACAAGAAAATAATTTCCACATAAGTTGTATAAAGAAATGATCTTACTTTTTTTTCTGATAAGACACACATTAAAGGTATTTATCTGCTTAGCAAGCCATCGTGTGCAATTGCTAGTAGGATCATTGTAACTCTATTTCTTTCTCCCCTCCTCCAAGAAAATACATAAAAATTCAAGTGGGTAAGACTGACATTATTATATAATGATCTTTGAATCTGTTCTAATTTTTAAAAAGAGTAATTACATGCTGTTTACTTCTACTTATATGCTGTTGACTTCCACTTCTGGTAATGGCAGAATTATGTACTTCAGATAAACTTTTCCCAAGGAAAATTAGAACCATAAACATATGGTATAAAATTATATATATATAAATTTTTACATATATATATATATATATACACACAGAGAGAGAGAGAGAGAGAGAGAGAGTGTATGTGTGTGTGTGTGTGTGTGTGTGTGTGTGTGTGTGTGTGTGTGTGTGTAGTCTAAGGCCCACCAAGGGGTGAAAGTGGAGATAGCAAAACTCCAACACTTTTGTTAAAAGCCCAAAGAACTATACTCTAGGAGAAAGTAGGAACTGAAACTTGACTGGTTCTCACAGGGACTAAAGCTCAGCTCTAAATATTTCCCATAAAATTAAATTAAGACAGTTTTGCATTGACAGTGCCTACTAAAAACAAACATAAATCTTTGTGGAGGAAGGTAATATCATCGTAGGTCTCAAATTATTTATATAATTGATCACATACAGCATCTAGCCCTTAATTAACAATAACAGAGATAAGATAACATGAACAAAGTAAATACAGAAGCCATATAAACCAGAAATAGTCTCATAAGAATACTGAATACAAAACAATGAGGGACAGAATTTAAAATAATATGCTAAATATGTTTAAGAAAATAAACGTTTAAAATTTTAGCAGAGGAATGAAATTATGAAATTAAAAATTTAATAAATAGATGTAAATGTAGATTAGACATCAAATCAGTAAACTGGAAGATACGTCAGAAGAAAACATTAAAATGATGAATGGAGAGTCAAAGAATGGAAATAGATTCTTAGATATGACACCAAAAGCACAAGCATTAAAGGAAAAAATCAATTGGATTTCATCAAAATTAAAAACTGTATGCAACAAAGGATACTATCAAGAGAGTGAAAAGACAATGCTCATAATGGGAGAAAATATTTCCAAATCATGTATCTGATAGAGTCTAACATCTAGAACAAGCTTATCTAGCCCGTGGGCTGCATGCGGACAAGGACAGCTTTGAATGTGGCCCAAATCAAATTTTATAAACTTTCTTAAAACATTACTTTTTTTTTTTTTTTGCAATTTTTTAAAGCTTATCAGCTATCGTTACTGTTGGTGTATTTTATGTGTGGTCCAAGACAATACTTATTCCAATGTGGCCCAGGGAAGCCAAAAGATTGGACACCCCTGATTTATTAGGTTGGTGCAAAACTAATTGCAGTTTTTTGCCATTACTTTTAATAGAAGGTATAAAGAACAACTTCAACTCAACAACAAAAAGACAAACAATCCAATTTAAAAATGGGCAAAGCTGGGTGTCTTGACTCATGCCTATAATCCCAAGACTTTGAGAGGCCAAGGCAAGTGGATCACTTGAGCCCATAAGTTTGAGACCAGCCTGGGCAACGGAGTGGGATCCCATTTCTACAAAAAATATTTTTTAAAAAACTAGCCAGGTACAGTGGCATGTACCTGTAGTCCCAGCTACTTGGGAGGCTCAAGTGGGAGGATCACTTGCGCCCAGGAGGTTGAGGCTGCAGTGAGCCATGATCACACCACTGCACTCTAGCCTGGGTGACAGAGTGAGACCATTTCTTGAAAAAGAAAAAAAAAAAAACTTCAAAGTACTTGAATAAACATTTCTCCAAAGAAGATACACAAATGGCCAACAAGAACATGTAATGTAGCTCAACAATCATTACAGAAAAACAAAGCCAAAATGAGAGACCACTTTATACCCACTAAAATGGGTATAATAAAAAAATAGGAGAACAAAAAAAAGTTGGTGGCAAAATTAAAATCTTCATACACTTCTGGTGGAAATGTAAGACGGTGGTTCCTCAAAAAGTTAAACACAGAATTACCATATAACTTAGCCATTTCACTCCTTTGTATATACCCAAAGATACGAAAACAGGTTTTCAAGCAAAAACTTGAACATGAACGTTCACAGCAGCATTATTCATACATAATAGCCAAAAAGTGGAAACAACCCAAATGCCATTAACTGGTGAACGGATAAACAAAATGTGGCATATTTATACAATGAAGTATTATCTAGCCATAAAAAGAATGAAGGTCTGATTCATGCTACAACATTCAAAAGCCTTGAAAACGTACTAAGTGGAAGAAGCCAGACACAAAAGACCACATTTGTATTATTCCACTTATATGAAATGTTCAGGAGAGGCAAATCCACAATCTGCCATGTTCTCTCCATTTCTTCAACCATGACCTTAGTTGAGGCCACTATTATCTTATCCCAAACTTCTGTTGGGAGAAATCTAGGATTTATTCTCTATCCTTGGATTTCAGGAATTTTATTAGGATTAACTTTTTTTCTTCTCATTCATCTCTGGGCCCTTTCACTTACTATGCTGACTAAATCTTCTCTTCCAACATTTCTTTTCTCTCTCTGGAATTCTGGTCAGATGAATACTGTATCTCCTAGACTTACTTTTCAAGTCTCTTTCTCTCATCCTTGATTTCCAATCTTTCATGAATATATCTGACATTGATTCATATGAAATTGCAGTATTTTACAGTTACATAAACAAAGAGGCATGCCATTAGTGTAATTCCTTAACTGAGGAATCCTTTTATTGAAAAAAATCAGCCTTAGTATTTCGAAAGCAATATATTTGATTTAGTGAAGCACCTCTTTTCACTTAAAATGTTCCAATGTTAAAAATTAGTTGATAATTTTAGAAACTAATAACACTCCTTAAGGAATAATACTGCAATTAGTCCAGTTTGGCTGTCCTACTTTACTTTTCTGCTTAAAACTATTTTCTTCCATCTTCTTTGTCCTATAAATTGTGCCTGAACTTATTGTAGCTACAGAGAAAAAACTAAAAATACATGTTTAAAGTACTGGTGAGCAGAGAATTTGATTATATACCATTTTTTCCTGGGTAAATAGCGATTTCAAAATCTCAGTGGTTTACATTGCCTGTATGCTCATGAGCCTTCAGACTGACTCTGAGTCAGCTGATCTAGGTTGGGCATGATAGGGCTAGCTAGATACCAGTACTATGGTCAGGTTCAGAACACTGCTATGTGTCTTCAATATTGGGCCCAGTCACTGAAGGCAAGTGAACAGACATAGCATGCTCTTCTTGGCAGAAAAGAGGAGTGCAGGAGGCCAAGTCAAATCAAAGGAACATACTTAAGACTTCTGCTCAAGGCTGGGCACAGTGGCCCACATTTGAAATCCCAGCACTTTGGGAGGCTGAGGCAGGAGGGTTGTTTGAAGCCAGGAGTTTGAGATCGATGTGGGCAACAATGTAAGACACTGTCTCTACAAAAACGAAAAATATTAGCTGGGCGTGGCGTACCTGTCGTCCCAGCTACTCGGAAGGCTGAAGTAGGAGGATCAATTGAGCCCAGGAGTTTGAGGCTGCAGTGAGCTACGATCATACTACTGTACTTTGGCCTGGGCAACAGAGTAAGACCCTGTCTCTACTGAAAAAAACAACAAAGAAAAACCTCTCTGCTCACTAACATTCCACTGGCCCAAGGAACTCATGGAGCCAAGAGAAGCATCAGTGGGGCAGGGACATATACTTGGCCTATACCAGTGGGAGCTTCTGCAAAGTTGCATAGCATAAGGAATACATGTATAGTTTTATAACATGAAGTTAAAAAAAAAAGGCGGGGCGGGGGAGGAATCCAATTTACCAAGCATGTAAGACAGCACCTACTGGTACTCTACATTACTCAATATTTATTTTCTACTTTTCTTTTCCTGCTTCAGTCAACCAAATTAAAAGTGACTGAGATAATATGATGGAGATGTGGCAGAATTTAAAAACTGCTAACTTGACAGAAAAAATTCAGTTATGCTGGACACCTGGTGACTAGACATTCAGAAGTTGAGGTCAGAATGCAGCAGAATCTAAAGTGTATGGACACCAAAGAAATGTTAGGAGTGACTATGATCCAACTGAAATTTCAGTTATCACGAGGTATTATACTTAACATAAATGATTATTAGATATTAAAGTTCAAGTTAACAGAGAAACTCTTCCATTGAAGACAATACATATTCTAGAGAACTGCCTTCTAGTTTTTCAAGTAATAAAAATAACCACAAATAAAAACCTAGAAATCAAAAACCTCTAGCATAATATGTTCACTTGTGATAATTCAGTGAACTGTATACATCATTGGTGAATTTTTCAGTTTACATGTCATGCTTCAATAAAAGTTTACTTTTAAAAAGTACACAGGAAAAAAATATATAGCATGGTGATAAACTGGCCCCTAAAGACAAAGCGATTTTGCATTATGTAACAGAAGCAAAGGAGTTTTGCCTAAATTATTCCAAATGTCTTTTTAACTCAGAGCTCGTATCATCACTCTGTGACTCTGTAACATCCTTACAAGTCCACACGTCAGGCAAGAAACAGGCCCCGAGAAGTTTAACAACGAGTATAGGATCATATGATCAGACAACATGATTGCCTATGTAAAAATTCTAAGGTATCTACAAAAAAGCTATAAGAAAAAATAAGTCAGTAAGGCAAATTCACAGGTTACAAAGTTAATGTACAAGAATCAAGTGTCTTTCTATATACTAGCAATGAACATTTGGAAAATTTTAAAAAACATTTAACCAATATCATTACAATAACACTACTAAAAACATAAAATATTTAGGAATACATCTGACAGAGTACATACCATGTACTCTGAAAACTACAAGAAACTGGTAAGAGAAATTAGAAACCTAAATAGAGTCAGGAGTTGTGGCATGTGCCTGTAGTCCCAGCTACTACTTGGGAGGCTGAGACAGAAGAAATGCTTGAGCTCAGGAGTTTAAGACCAGCCTGAGCAACATAGTGAGATACTGTCTCTAAAAAAATGAAAACAAAACCCAAAAATGCTAAATGGAGCAATGTACCATGTTTATGGATCTGAAGACTCCATAACACTATGTCAATTGTCTCCAAAGTGATCTACAGGTTTGAAGCAATCCCAATGGAAATATAGCAGGCAGTTAACTTTTATAGCAATCAATAAGCTAATTTTAAAATTTATACAGAAAAACAAAAGAACTAGGATAGCCACAACAATTTTGAACAAACAAAACCAAAACTGGAGTCCAAACAGTATATAATTTCAAGACCTACTATGTGGTACAGTAATCCAGAGCTTAGATGGTGTTAGAAAAACAATGGACACAAAATGAATGAAACAGTCTAGAGCATCCAGAAAAAGAACCACACATATAGCCAACTAATTTGTGACAAAGGTGAAAGGATAATTCAGTGTAGAAAGGATATTTTCAACAAATAATTTTGTTAGCTACTAGACCTCCAAATGCAAAAACACGGACCTTGAAGCATACCTCTACTCATGAAAACATCAAAGAGAAATTAGTCACAGACTGAAAATGTTAAAAAAAAAAACTATAAAACTATTAGAAGAAACTATAAAACTATAAAATTATAAACATTTTAGAAGAAAACACAGGAGAAAATCTGTGTGACCTTGGGTCAGGTAGATTTCTTACAAAGGATCCCAAAAAGATGAACCATATTAAAAAACGGATGAACTGGAATTCACAAAAATTAAAAATTTCTACTCTTCAAATGATAGTGTTACAAAATGAAAAGCAGTACCGATTGAAAGAAAATACTTGCAAAACACATATCTAATAAAGGACTAGTAGTTAGGCTGTAAGAACTCTTAACTCAGGAACAAGAATGCAAACTACCCAATTTTAAAAATGGGCAAAAGATCTGAACAGACGCTTCACTAAGTAAGAAACATGGATGATAATATAGTTTGGATATTTGCCCCGCCCCTATCTCATGTTGAACTGTAATCACCAATACTGAAGGTGGGCCTGTTGGGAGGTGTTTGGATGATGGCCGGAGGGGGATCCCTCATAGCTTGTTGCTGTCTTCGTGATAGTGAGTTCTCATGAGATATGGTCATTTAAAAGTATGTATCACCTCCCTCCACCCCTTGCTCCTGCTCCCGCCATGTGAGAAGGTGGCTTCCCCATCCACCTTCCACTATGATTGAAAGTTCCCTAAAGCTTCCCTAGAAGCCAAGCAGATGCCAGCACCATGATTCCTGTACAGCTTCCAGAATTGTGAGCCAATTAAACCTCTTTTCTTTATATACTACCCAGTCTCAGGTATTTCTTTATAGCAATGCAAGAATGGCCTAATACAGATGCTCAACATCATTAATCATTACAGTAATTCAAACTAGGAGTTACTACTACACACCTAGTAAAATGGCTAAAAAAAAAAAATACCAGCAAAACCGAGTGCTGACAAGAATGAACTACAGCTCTCATATACTGCTGGTGACAATATCAACTGGTATATATAAGTTGGGAAACAGTTTGGCAGTTTGTAAGTAAACCTACCATATGACCCAGAAATCCAGCTCCTAGGAATTTACCCAAAAGAAATGAAGATATATGTCCCTCCTCCCACACACAAATAGAAAAATTATTACTCTCCACAAACTGAAAAGTACCCAAATGTCCATCAACTGATGAATGAACAAATTGTGACATATACATGCAACAGAATCTTACTCAGCAATAAAAAGAATGAACTTCTGATGTGTGCACAAAAATTAAAAATGGGTAATATGTTCTTATACACCAATAACAGACAAACAGAGAGCCAAATCATGAGTGAACTCCCATTCACAATTGCTACAAAGAGAATAAAATACCTAGGAATCCAACTTACAAGGGATATGAAGGAGCTCTTCAAGGAGAACTACAAACCACTGCTCAACGAAATAAAAGAGGACACAAACAAATGGAAGAACATTCCATGCTCATGGATAGGAAGAATCAATATTGTGAAAATGGCCATACTGCCCAAGGTAATTTATAGATTCAATGCCATCCCCATCAAGCTACCAATGATTTTCTTCACAGAATTGGAAAAAACTACTTTAAAGTTCATATGGAACCAAAAAAGGGGCCCGCATTTCTAAGACAATCCTAAGCCAAAAGAACAAAGCTGGAGGCATCATGCTACCTGACTTCAAACTATACTACAAGGCTACAGTAACCAAAACAGCATGGTACTGGTACCAAAACAGAGGTATCGACCAATGGAACAGAACAGAGCCCTCAGAAATAATACCACACATCTACAACCATCTGATCTTTGACAAACCTGAGAAAAACAAGAAATGGGGGAAGGATTCCCTATTTAATAAATGGGGCTGGGAAAACTGGCTAGCCATATGTAGAAAGCTGAAACTGGATCCCTTCCTTTCACCTTATACAAAAATTAATTCAAGATGGATTAAAGACTTAAATGTAAGACCTAAAACCATAAAAACCCTAGAAGAAAACCTAGGCAATACCATTCAGGACACAGGCATGGTCAAGGACTTCATGTCTAAAACACCAAAAGCAATGGCAACAAAAGCCAAAATTGACAAATGAGATCTAATTAAACTAAGGAGCTTCTGCACAGCAAAAGAAACCACTATCAGAGTGAACAGGCAACCTACAGAATGGGAGAAAATTTTTGCAATCTACTCATCTGACAAAGGGCTAATATCCAGAATCTACAAAGAACTTAAACAAATTTACAAAAAAAAAAAACAAACAACCCCATCAACAAGTGGGCAAAGGATATGAACAGACACTTCTCAAAAGAAGACATTTATGCAGCCAACAGACACATGAAAAAATGTTCTTCATCACTGGTCATCAGAGAAATGCAAATCAAAACCACAATGAGATACCATCTCACACCAGTTAGAATGGCAATCATTAAAAAGTCAGGAAACAACAGGTGCTGGAGAGGATGTGGAGAAATAGGAACACTTTTACACTGTTGGTGTGACTGTAAACTAGTTCAACCACTGTGGAAGACAGTGTGGTGATTCCTCAAGGATCTAGAAGTAGAAATACCATTTGACCCAGCCATCCCATTACTGGCTATATACCCAAAGGATTATAAATCATGCTGCTATAAAGACACATGCGCACGTATGTTTATTGCAGCACTATTCACAATAGCAAAGACTTGGAACCAACCCAAATGTCCATCAATGATAGACTGGATTAAGAAAACGTGGCACATATACACCAGGGAATACTATGCAGCCATGAAAAAGGATGAGTTCGTGTCCTTTGTAGGGACATGGATGAAGCCGGAAACCATCATTCTGAGCAAACTATTGCAAGGACAGCAAATACCACACGTTCTCACTCATAGGTGGGAACTGAACAATGAGAACACATGGACACAGGAAGGGGAACATCACACACCGGGGCCTGTTGTGGGGTGGGGAAAGTGGGGAGGGATGGCACTAGGAGATGTACCTAATGTAAATGATGAGTTAATGGGTGCAGCACACCAACATGGCACACGTATACATATGTAACAAACCTGCACATTGTGCACATGTACCCTAGAACTTAAAGTACAAAAAAAAAAAAACTCAAAAAAAAAAGTCAGTAATACGGTCAAAAGACTATATACTACATGGCTTCATTTACAGAATATTCTGGGAAATACTATAGTATTAGAAAACACTTAAGTCGTTGCTAGGGATTAGGTTGAGGGAGACAACTAATTACAAGGGGGCATGAGGGAACTTTTTATGGAAATAAGCTATATTTGATTTAGTGGTATTTAACATGACTATATATGTTTTAAAAATTCATGGTATGTACACTTAAAATGGCAAATTTTACTTATATAAATTAAATAAACCTGACTTTTAAAAAACCTAATTTGTAATAACATACTCACTGTACACTTATGATTTGTGAACTTTTCTAATTGGATATTTTATCTCCAAAGTACACTTTTAAAATAACAGCACAGGTGGTAGTCTGGTCCCTAAAACGACTGTAGGCATGTTAAACATAATACACACAATAACAATGCATAATTTCTCAAAGGTCTTTCATGTATGTCTGAAACAATGGGGTTTGGCCTAAATTATTCCTAATGTTCTTTCATGCAAAGATTTATACCACTCTGAGACTGCAATTATCTCACACATTCACATACTATTAAATATTAAAAAAAATTAAGCAGAGAAAGTTTAATAACTAATTAAAGATCATACAGTCAATCAGCAACAGAAGAAAATTAGAACCCAAATCCTTACCACGGTCTACAAAGCTCTACATGATCTGGCACCCACCTACTTAATTGTCTTACCTCCTCCCCTTCCAACTTCTCTGACTTCATCCCTTCCCACTTTCCCCCTCAATTCACACAGCACTTATCATTACCTGATATGACTTTCTTCTTTTATTTCTCTCACTCCTCCAGAATGAAAGTATCTTAACAGTAGGGACTTTCTCTCGTTTGTATATCACGTAACTCAGACTGATTGAGACATGGGTATTAGGGTAGCCCCTAGCTGGGCAGAGGGGCAAAGCTGACTCAGGCCTCCAGTCTTCTGTGGAGACTCAGCTCTGGCCCTTCCATCTGCCTGGAATGCTCTGTCCCAGGGTCTTCTTTCGGTGTTTTCGTCTCACAATCTCAGCACAGGAGGTACATCTTTACTTGCAGAGGCTTTAATGCCCTGACTAGAATCTCCAGTGCAGACTTGAACAGTAGTAATAGCAGACATGAGAAAATGAACAACTTTCAGCTTTTCAATAGTATGTCTGCATCAGTGAGATGCAAACAGAGAGGACTCCTAGTGAAATAAATTCTATGAATGAAATCTATATGGAAAAGCCTTCAAAAGGAGTGCTAATGTTATTCTGCAGGAGACAGAAATCATAGACAAGAGACAAACCATGAGTGTAAAGACTCTACAAAAGCCTTCGGTAACCGTTATTCCCTTCAGAGACATGGGAGAATTCAAAATGAAAAGAAACCCTTTGAACAATTTTAGAGCAGGACAGTATTTGATCTACAGTCACCTCCAAAACTTACATGAGATCTCACACCAAAGACAAACTTTATGACTGTAATCAGTGTGTAAATTTCTTCAAAAACAGCTCTTGCTTTATAGTGCACAAGAGAATATACACTGGGCAAAAACTCAACACAAAGACTGTGGGAACCTTTAGTAGGAGCGCTGATTTTACTGTGCACTGGAGCAGATATCCATGTTGGAGAAAACTCGACAACAGCACTGACTGGGAAAAAGCAGAAACTTTCACCTTACAATGGCTATACACACATGAGAGAAACACAACGAATGCGGTGAATTCAGGAAAGTCTTGAGCAGGAACTTTAATATTACTGAACATGTTTAGACACATTCTGGGAAGAAAGGCTATAAATGCAATGACTGGGAAGGTTTTCAGAAGTTATTCAACCTATGCCTATGGAAAAAGGTGAGGACATATAAAGGAGAGAAATCATATATGTAATGAATATGTTAGAAAAGCTTCAACAGTCCTTCTTGCCTTTAAAGATATGAAAAGTCACACTGGAAAGAAACCTTATGACTATATACCACATAGGAAGGCCTTTAGCCAAAAATTTTCTCTTGTTCTACACAAGAGAATTAATACAAGGAAACAAATCATATGACTGTTTAAAAAAATCAGTAAGGACATATATTTGAAAAATTTAATTAGGTTCCAATTCCAGGAAAGATGGAGTACGCATACCCTACCTCGTCTCTCTCATTGAATACAACTATAAACCCTGGAAAGAATGCATAGAGCTTAATTCTAGTTTCCCATCTGGCATGTAAGGAGCTTAGAAGTTTTCACTTCATCTAACATGTAAAAAACTAAACACGTTGAAAAATCAACAACTCTTCTTACATTCTTTAGAGAAGGGAAGTCACAATGTAAACTGCTGTGCCAAAGTTGGAGAGAGACAGGTGACTATAGAGAATGCAGAAACGCACAAGCAGCAACCTCAGTGGGAACCAATACAGAAGTAGGAAAACCTGAACTGTAGTTGATGAATTATTGGAGGCTCAGGCAGACAAGCCTGAGAAATCAAAATTCTGAGGGGACCCAGTTTCAGAGGGGCCCCAATCTTTTGTGAGTTTTATCTCCTGGAGCACTATGAGACTCTCAGTCAGTATTGAGGAAAAATCCACTCCTACTTCCAGGAGGGGCAGAGGAAAGTAACCATTTTGAAATGTACCAGAGAATGGTATTCTTCTTAACCATCAGGAGAAATTATTTTCCCAGAGCTTAACCACACTTGTGAAAGAAAAATACCAAACTTCAGCTTCCTCTAGCCATCCTGTTCCACCTAACTATGAGAAGGGAGAAAAAAAACAAAAAACAAAGAAAAACAAAGAAAAAAACAGAGAAGCACTGGTAAAGTTCATAGGGAAGGGGCACAGGCTCACCAAAAGACAAGAACTTACCAAAGTACTTAGATGCTTCCTTTTCCCACACACCTGAACACTACATTACTAAAGGTTTATTCACCACAGTTCCTTCCACTCAAAACATCATGTCTACCTTTCAGCAAAAAATTGCAAGACACATTAAAAGGCGAAAGATACTGTTGGAAGAGACAGAGCAAGGATTAGAAACACACCCAGTTACAGTGTGTCCGGATTTGGTTCCTTCCGATGGGTTTGTGGTCTCACTGACACAGACCTTCGTGGTGATTGTTACAGCTCTTAAAGGTGGCACGGAACCAAGAGTGACCAGCTGCAAGATTTATTGTGAAGAGCAAAAGAACAAAGCTTCCACAGCACAGAAAGGGACGCCAGTGAGTTGCCGCTGCAGGCTGGGGTGGCCAGCTTTTATTTCCTTATTTGTCCCCGCCCATGTCCTGCTGATTGGTCCATTTTACAGAGTGCTGATTGGTCCATTTTATAGAATGCTGATTGGTGCATTTTACAAACCTCTAGCTAGCTACAGAGCGCTGATTGGTGTGTTTTTACAGAGCACTGATTGGTGCATTTTACAAACCTCTAGCTAGCTACAGAGCACTAATGGGTGTGTTTTACAAACCTCTTGTAAGAGAAAAGTTCTCCAAGTCCCCACTTGACCCAGGAAGTCCAGCTGGCTTCACCTCTCAACAGCAGGGATTAAACACCCTGCTATAAACTGGTTCTGACTATAAATGTAAACAATTATGATTAATATGCTATGGGCTTTCATGAAAAAAAGTAGATAACATGCAAGAACAGATGAGTAATATAAGTAGATGGAACTTCTATGAAAGAATAAGAAAACGTACATCAAAAACATTAGAATAGAAATTAAGAATGCCTTTAATGGCCTCATTAGCAGACTGGACGTGGCTGAGGAAAGAGTCTGAGCTTCAGGATATGTCAATAAAAACATTCAAAACTGAAAAGCAAACAGAAAAAAGAACAGAACACCTAAGAACTGTGGAACCACTACAAAAGGTGTAAATATGCATAATGGGAATAACAGAAGAAGAAATATTTAAGGCAATAATGACTGAAGATTTCCCCAAATTAATGTCAGATACCAAACCATAGACCAGAAAGCTCCGAGTACTCCCAGCAGGATAAATGCCAAACAAACTATGCTTCAGTAAAACACATTCAAACTTCAGAAAATCAAAGAGAAACAAAAACATCTTAAACCAGAGGGAAAAAAACCTTACCTACAGGAAAGCAAAGAAAAAATTATTAATATACCTGATATCTCCTCAGAAACAATACAAGAAAAGATAGAATGAAATAAAGTGGTTAAAAAAAAAACAAACCTAGAATTCTATACCCTGCAGAATCATCCTTCAAAAGTGAAGGAGAAATAAAGACTTTCCCAAACAAAAACAGAAAATTTGTTGCCAGAAGACCTGCCTTGCAAGAAATGTTAAAAGTTCTTCAGAGAAATAAAATGATATAGGTCAGAAAGTCTGATCTACATAAAGAAAGGATAAGCCTTAGAGAATGAATACGTGAAGATAAAGACTTTTTAAAAAATTCTTAATTGTTCTAACACATAAGTTGTTCAAAATAATAATAGCAACAATATATTTGATTATGTATGCTTGTGTGTGCTATGTGTATATGTATAATATACATATACACACACACATACAGACACACATGTGCATGTATGCTTGTGTGTGTGTGAGTAAAATAAATGACAACAATGATATAAGGGATGCCAGGGAGGAATTAGGGATATTTTGTTATTACACAGTATCTGTACTACCTGTGAAATAGTACAGTATTATTTGAAAGTGAACTTAAATTTATGTAAATATATATTGCAAATTTTAGGCAGCCACTAAAAAAGGTGAAAAAAGAAGTGATATAAGAAAGGAAAGAAAATGGAATTATATAAAATTTTGAATTAAAACAACAAATGGCAGAAAAGAGTAGAAGACGAATAGAAACTGTGAAGGGCAACAAACAGAAAATAGTAACAAGTATGGCAGATAATAATCCAACTATATCAATAATCACTTCAAAGGTCAATAATCTAAATATACCAATTAAAAGTCAGAGATTGTAACAATGGGTCAAAAAAACAGACCCAACTAATGTGTTACTTACAAAAAACTAACTTTAAAGGAGTCAATTCCCCAACAAGACTTAACAGTCTTGACTGATGAGTATGTAACAAGAGAGAATCAAAACATGAGGCAAAAATGGATAGAACTACACGGATAAATAGAGGAATATACTATTACACTTGAGACTTTGACAGCCTTCTATCAGAAATGGACAGATCCAGCAGGCAGAAAATCAGTAAGGACACAGTTGAACTCAACAGCACCATCCATCAACTGGTTATAATGGACACCTATGGACTACTTCACATTACAACAGCAGAATACACATTCTTTTCAAGCGCACATGGAATGTTCATTACAAGTGAACACATTCTGGGCAATAAAGTACACCTTAACAAACTCAAAAGAATAGAAATCATACAATGGTTGCTCTAAGACCACAACAGAATTAAACTAGAAATCAATAACAGAAAGATAGCTGAAAAATCCCAAAATACTTGGATAGTAAACACACATTTAAATAACACACAGTTCAAAGAAGAAATCTCAAAAGAAATTTTAAAATATTTTGAACTAAATAAAAATACAACTTTTCAAAATCTGCGGGATGCAGTGATAGACTGAAATTTATAGTGCTTAATATATATTAGAAAAGAAAGATCTAAAATCAATAATCTAAGCATCTATCTTAGGAAACTAGAAAAAGAAGAGCAAATTAAATTCAAAGCAAGCAGAAGAAAAGAAATAATAAAAACTAGAGCAGAAATCAATGAAATTGGAAATGGGAATCAATAGAGAAAAATCAACAAAACCAAGTCCTGGTTCTTTGAAAAGAAAAAAAATTGAAAAGATCAATAAAATTGAGGAGCTTCTAGCCAGGCTAAAAAAGAGAGAGAGAGAAAGAGACACAAATTACTAATCCCAGAAATGAAAGAGGGGTATCACCACAGATTTCATGAACATTAAAAGGATAATACAGGAATATTATAAGCAATTCTACACCCACAATTTGATGACCTAGATAAAATGACCAATTCCTTGAAAAACACAATCTGGCAAAATTCTTACAAGAAAAAATAGACAATCTGAATAGGCCTATAACTATTAAATAAATTTAATCAGTAACTGGTAACCTTCCAAAACAGAAAGCACCAGGCCCAGATGGGTTCACTGGTAAATTCTACTAAACATTTATGGAAGAAATTACACATATTCTCTACAATCTTTTTCAAAAGGTAGAAGCAGAAGGACTACTTCCTAACTTATTCTATAAGGTCAGCATTATCCTAATATGAAAACCAGACAGATACAACAAGAACACTACAGAAATTTCTCTCATGAACGTACGTGCAAAAATTCTCAATAAAATATTTACAAATCAAATCCAAAAATGTATAAAAGGAATTACACACCATGACTAAGTGGTATTTATACCAGGTATGCCAGACTAGCTCAACACTTGAAAATCAATTAACAAAATCAATCACATGAACAGGCTAAAGAAGAAAAATCACATGATCATATCCATATGATCAGATCCATAAAAAGCATTTGACAATATCCAAAAGCCGTCTGAAGACTGAAAACAAATATTATCAGGCAGACTGGGGAAGGAGCACAGAACTTAAAGTTCTGAAGTGGTACTGAGTTTACTATGTTTTTTCCTTGCATTTTACCTGGCTTGGAGAGCTCAAAACTCAGAGAAGTATCTACTGGGTAAGATCAGAAAAAACTCCAAGAGAATCCCTCCCTTTCTGGTCTGAGGACCAGAAAAAGGGGCCCTTATGGCTCCAAGAGACTGGAGGAAATCTCCCCCTTTTTTTCCCTTTCCCCCTTTTCTTCCATCCCAGTTCCCAGGCGGATATGGTAGTGGTGACTGGGCAAGCACCTGAAGTCTGAGAGAAGGGAATCTTTTTCTCTTATCCCAGGAGTTGTGGTCCCAAGGGTGTGAAGTACATCCTCATTGCTGTTGCTTTTTTCTCTGTCTGTTCTCTCATCACTTGGTCTGGATGAAGACACAGCTACAGGAAGTGACTGGCAGAGTAGTTATGTCATGGCTCTGCATGACACGTAGATGACAACAGCACAGCAGCCCCATTCAGGGGTGGTCCTGAAGGAGTGGTGAAGTGAAGAAGTGAAGCCCTCCCTGTGGCAGAAATTTGAGCAGGGCCTGATTGTCCATTTTGATTGTAAGGAGAGATAACAGAGGTACTGTTCTATACTGACTCATGGACAGTGTTTAATGGTTTTACTGGATATTCAGAGACTTGGAACAATTAGAAAACTGATTACAAAGATATCTGGTGTCAAAGAATTTGGCTGTATCTCTTTGAAAGGGAACACACATGAAGTAATCTATGCCCCATGTGAATACCTGACAAAGAGCAAACACAGCAGAGAAGGGGCTGCTTAACCTGGTAAACAAGATGGCCTGTTCTGGGGACTCAGTCAGTCTCAGCCAATGAAAATGGCCTAACCAGCCACTCTACCCTACCCTCATTAACAAAGGGATGGAGTTTATACATGGACTTAGCAAAATGAACTTCCACTCATCAATACTAATCTAAGGCCACAGCTGAATGATCACCCTACAGTCCATACATGTGCCGGGGGACAGGTAGGTACATATGCCAATATATGGTACCATTCATAGGACGATCAGAAAATTACCTCTCTGCTCATTTCTAGCTCCTTGTGATTTCCCCTTCCTTCTTAATAAATCAACTATAAATTTAAAATAAATTTTGTTACATTATTTACCACTTCTGTGTTTATAGTGTGAAGGTTTTCAGGTTTGTCTTATTCTGCCCCCTTGTGGGAACTAGCTCTTCAAACTTTCACTAGGAAAAAAACATTAAAACCAACTGCTCTTCATATGAAACAAAACAAAAAATGTATCAACTCTATAATAATTTTCCCCAGGCTTTACCAATAGATACCTTCCTAATAATTTCTTATCCAACTGTTTATGACCCTTCAAAAAGACTTACAAAGTTTTTTTATAACTTTTATCTCTTACCAGAAAAATTCACATAAGAATATTTTAAAATAAAATCTTTCTAGATGTTCATACCTTTTCTGAACTTCTTTTTTTTGAGATGGAGTCTCGCTCTGTCGCCCAGGCTGGAGTGTAGTGGCAAGACCTTGGCTCACTGCAAGCTCCGCCTCCCGGGTTCATGCCATTCTCCTGCCTCAGCCTCCCAAGTAGCTGGGACTACAGGCGCCCGCCACCACGCCCAGCTAACTTTTTTTTTTTGTATTTTTAGTAGAGACGGGGTTTCACAATGTTAGCCAGGATGGTCTTGATCTCCTGATCTCGTGATCCACCCGCCTTGGGCCTCCCAAAGTGCTGGGATTACAGGCATGAGGCACCGTGCCCGGCCTTCCAAACTTTTTAGTTGTCATGCTTTTATTCCTTTTCTATCATAAAGGTGAATAAGCAAGGAGCGGCTTCTACAAGGCTTCTAGTGTTAATTGGGCCAATTATCATAAGCTAAATAGTCTATTTAATATGTTCTGATACAAAATGTGCTTGGGGCTACGTATTCCAAGAGCTTAAGATTATAAATTAATTATCATAATCACTTTGCAAATCTGAACACTCATATATGCGGAAACAGTGGAATACATAATGGGTTACTTAGACTATCAACCAATATACAGATTTTAAGAAATTAAGAATTTAAGTATGTTCCTGGAGGGATGGCCATGCTATACTGTTAATTGAGAGAGAAGGGGAGAACTAAAACTGCATTTTATTTTTCAAAAACCTTCAAACTGGTTTATATATGCATACGCATCCTTGCATATGCCAGTATGAGCTCAGAGGAAAACATGGAAAGATACAAACTGAATGTAGGTATTTGTTACTTTAGGAGAGTGGAACAGGAAGAAGCCTTAACATATCCTTTTTAAATGTCTACATTGTTTGGTATAAATTAACTTTTTAAAAAATTAATGAAACTATAACAATACATTCTAAGACATATCCCTAACATTCTAAATAATAATGAATTATTGGCCTCAAGTTGGGGCTACGTATTCCAAAAGGCATCTCAAGTTTAATTTTATAAAAATAGTGTTTTAATTTAAAAAATCTACAACAAATTAAATTTCTGAAGAAATACAGAACAAGCAATAAAGATATTTCAGAGGGATTTATCATTTAAGCTCAGATCTTCCAAATATTATCCAACCACCAACAAACAAATATATACTTTATATATCAGAATGAAAAGGTTCTAAATACATGCTACCAACAATACTGATTTGAAACTTGGGATGTAGATAACTATAAAGCCAGAATATAATATAAAATTAATATTTCCTGTAGGAAAATAATAGTACTTTCACAACACTATTCTGATAATTAAATGAGGATTATGCACCTAGTTTACAACCTGGCACATAAACAGAACGGTCTTATTCATTAGTAATGCTACTATACTAGATATATTCTTATACTGAGATAAAGAAATAATACACTGAATATTGAAATAATTTCCTTGTCACTCTACGTAATTAACCACAGTTGGTTCAATAAAGAAATCACTGTAACTTTCCAGACTGAAGAATAATTTGTGTGTTTCAAGAGCATAAACATCTCATTTCTACTAAATATTTTACATATTTGCAAGGAAAGAGGATCAGAATATAGTATATTTGACAATTTAATATACTAGTTCTATTGACACACCAGCATGTATTAATCAAATAAAGTTGGCTACAAATAATGGAAATCATGCAAAGCCACATCGTCCGCATTTTCCCATCTTCCAGCATGAGCTGGTTTCGTGGACATCATTACACCAGTACACATCTTGTACACCAGAACTCAATGCCTGCATAATGCTATTTTTGCAAAAGAAAATAAAAACTGGGTTTCAATCATATCATGCTGGTTCATCTACCCACTTAATGTCTAGAACCAAGTAAGTTGCTTACATATATATGATCACTAATGAAAAAAATCATTTAATGCAGAAAATGGAGCCAGTAAAACAAACAAAAAAACCAACTCTGATAAAGTAACTCAAGATTTCTGAAATACAGAATCCGAATTCCAGGAATTGTAGTTTCCTTCATCAAACTTGATAACCTAAATACAAGGCACTAGCACTGTTCTGTATGCAAAGACCCTGCTATTAATAAACTCTTACATTACTAGGAAAAATGGAGACCCAATAGACAAATAAGACAAAATATAGTAAGTAATATAGTGCAATTATATATAATACGCTATTGGAAAGTAGAAAATAACCACCTAACCTGCGGCAGTCATACTGGGGTTAAACTAACACAATCAGTTTTACAGTCACATTTCAAGAGCCTGTCTCCCATCTCCTACATATAATAAGCAGAAGACATTGGAGGTCTCTGCCCCTAAACTGGAACAGTGAGTATGAGCATGTTTGAGTCAAAATCCACTGTACCAGAGAGACAGATCAGAGACCAAGGAACTTGTTAACACAAAGGAAAGAAAAGGACCCTCATGCACAGAGGGTAAGACATTGGCACAGTCCAACAGACAACATATATTTCTGCTGCTACTGGAGAAGAAACATGAAATAGAAACTGTATCCACAATCAGGCAGGGCAGATTATCAGGCAGTATGCACCTATATGGGGATCAGCTGTCTACAGCTAGCGTTTGTTCTGAATGAACTAGCATCTGTCCTGGTAGGTTGATGTTCATGCATACTAATTTTAAAATATTTTGAGTGCTATCTATATTGTAATAAAACAGAAGGTTAAGATGAAGTAAGCACACTATGCCTTAACTGAATGTAACTAAAACCCCTGAATATAACTGAAAATCCTGGAAAGAATGATGAACCAGCAATCTGAGACTCAGAAAAGAAAACAATAGTGGGCAAACTGTGGAAGAAAACTAGAACTTAAAGTACAACCAGTTCAGCAATGAGTTTCCAGCTGTTTTTTATGTACCCCAAACCCCAAGCCTGAATCCAAATCCTGGAGCTACACACCAGGAACAAACACAAAGAGATACAAAATAAGTCTTCTCTTTCTGGTTAGAAAGTGGGAATGGAGGGCCTCTATATGGGACTGCGTGAATGGGGGAAATCCCCTGGCTTTTTCTTCTTTTACCTTTCTCATCCAGCCCTGTTCCTAAGCAAGCCCATCTCACAACCAGCAGCTATAGCTGAAGAGACACATAAATCTCTGAGGAAGAGGAATTTTTCTTATCAGAGGACCAGTGGTACAAGGAATGTGACAGAACTGCAAGGAGAAATAGACAAATCCACAGTTATAGCCTGAGATTTCAATATTCCTTGCTGTTCAACAAGTAGAAAGAAAATCGGCAAGAAGATAGAAGACTTAAATAACACTATCAATCAACGTGATCAGGTTGACATTTATAGAACCTTCCACCCTAAAACAGCATAATACACTTTCTTTTAAAGCGCACACAGAACAGTTATTAAAATAGATCATTTCCTGGGCCATAAAACAAGTCTTAACAAATTTAAAATGATTCAACCTACAGAAAGTTTGTCCTCTGATCACAATGAAATTTAAGTAAGAATCAATAAGAGAAAGATATCTGAAAAACTTCCAAATGTTTGGAAACTACATCAACATACTTCTAAATAACACATGGGTCAAAGAAAAAATCAAAAGGGTATTTTTGAACTAAATGAAAATACTACTTATCAGAATCTATGTAACTAACTAAAGCAGTAAACAGAAATTTATAACACTAAATTCCTATATTAGAAGAGAAAGCTTTCATATCAATGACCCCAGATTCTACCTTAAGAAACAAGAAAAAGATAAAATTAAACCCAAAGCAGGCAGAAGAAAGAAAATAATAAAGGACAAAGTATAAATCAATGACATAGAAGACAGGAAAGCAATACAGAAACCAAATACAAAACTGATTCTCTGAGATGTATAAAACTGACAAATCTTTGTCCAAAATGATCAGGACAGTGAGAAAGAATACCCAAATTACCAGTATCAGAAATGAGAATGCTTACATCACTACAGATTATGCAGATATTAAAATGTTTCTCAAGAAGAAACACATAATTTTAATAGTCCTATATTTATTAAATAACTTGAATTCACATTTAAAAACCTTCCAGCAAATAAAATTCCAAGCCCAATTAGCTTCTGAGAAATTGTATCAAACAGTTAAGGATGAAATAATATCAATTCTACACGATGTAGCTTAGGAAACTGAAGAGGAGGAAACTGAAGTTGAAACTTCCAACTTATTCTATGAGGCCAGCATTATTCTGATATTAAAACCAGATAAAGACATTAGAAAACAAGAAAATGAAAAGTCAATATTCCATGTGAATATAGATGCAAAAATAATTTAAATTCTTAGCAAATCAAATACACCAACCATACAAAAACAAAGTCACAGGTCAGACTTGCCCTCCTTTAGAGCATTGTTTCCTATCATAATAGTCCAAATCAAATAAATAATGAAGCTATTTGTACCACATAATTAAGTAAACTGATCACGTTTTCTACTGGAGGTGACTGGCTTGGACATCAACTACTCTGGATTCTGCTAAAGAACTGACGACATTATTCTAACATCTCCTTTCTTACACATTATTTATCTTCCCTGTAGTTCAGAACTTTCTTTTGCTTACTATTTTATGTATTTATCACCATTTCAACCTTGAGACTCTCATCAGTTGTCTAAAACTTTTCTAAAGACAATTAATTGCATCAGGTTTCTACCAATCTCATTTTCCTGAAGACCACTCTTCTGGAGGCTTCTAACCCACTCCAATCTGAACTGCTAGCCCTCTATCCCCTTCTTTTTATTGTCATTCTGAAGGATCTTTCTGCTTTATTGACTTTCCTGTCTCTTGTAATTCATTTCTTTCATTTGGCTGACTTTTTCATTTGATGGATCACATCCTCCAACAGATTCCTTAGAAAGTGTATAAGACAGGCAGATTGTTTTTGAAAATGTATACATCTAATTCTATTCTTATATTTGAATAATAGTATCAATGCATATGGAATTCAGAGATTGAAAATTATTTTCCTTCAGAATACTGAAGATGCTGCTTTATTTTTCAGTTTCCAATGCTACGACTGAGAAGTGCAAAGCCAACTCATTCCCTCCCACCCCCCAGAAGCATGAACGATCTGTTTGGCTCCAGTGATTTCAAATTTCACCACAATGTGCCTTAGTTTGGATCTATTTTCATCCATTGTACTAAGCACAAAGTGAGCCTTTTCAATCAGGAAACTTTATGCTCTTCAGTTAAGAAAATTATCTTGAATCATCTTGATGATTTCTTTTCCATTTTCTCTGGTGTTTCTTTTGACAACTATTATTTGAATACTGAAATTCCTGGACTGATCCTGTGATTTTTCTTAACACTCCTCCTTCGTTTCTTATTTTTGTCCTTTTGCTCTATTTTTTCAGAGTTTCTTTCAGCACATTAGTCTCTGATAATTCTACGAAGCTTTTGGTTTTTACTATCAGAATTTCAATGCCTAAGAGCCTTTTTTAAAGTCATAATATCACTCTTTTATGTACTTCTTTCTTGTTTCATGGTTATTTTCTCTTATTTCTGGGGATAATAGTTCTATAATTTTCCTCTGCAAAAATGTATGTCTCTCCAAGTTGTTTTATTCCATTTAACTTCTATCTTTCATACATTTAGAGAGTTTCTTCAAATATCTACTCATCTTTGTTAGCTGCTCATATTTAAGGGCAGGGGACTGAAAAGCTGATTTGGAGCTTTGATACATGGAGTGAGCTAACTGGCCTGTTTATTTCAGGAATCTCTGATGACTAAATTTCCTCTTTCTTCTTTTATCTTCCTTTTTTTGGTCAGATTCTCCAGAAAAGACTTTTTTTTTCCAACCTCCTGCCTGAAATCTGAAGGTCTAACTGCCAGTATTCTGGGAGCCCAGTAGGAGAAAACAGGAGAGAGATATCTAAGGTCCAATTCTCCCATTTTTAGCATGGGACTTCTGCCCTCAACTATGCCTGGTGTCTCCCAGGCTACAGTGTTTCTGGTTTTCCCCACTCCTAAGGATAAATTTTGCTTTTGGTTAGGGGTGAGGAGTTCAGCATTTGCCCAGCTGACTGGTTAGGTGGTTTTGGGGAGGAAGTTCCAGAAACCCAATGCTTCTTCATCTGACTTTCAACCAATTGTCACTGCATCTCCATTTCCACACACTGCCATTCTCAAGCTTTTTGAGACCTCTCGAGGTTGTTTTGTTGATTTCCTCTGCTACTGTTGGAGTTCAGTTTTCAATTATTCATATACTCTCCAGTTTCTAAAACTGTGTTGATACTTTCTCCTTCCAATCCTTCTTTACTGATCTTTCAGTGGGTTTCTCGAGGTAACAAACGTTTTATACTCATCCCATCTTTTACTCCTAATACTATTTCTCATTCATTTCAACTCATTATTGATAGTTTTTTATAATTTTCTTTCTGGCCAGGCGCGGTGGCTCACACCTGTAATCCTAGCACTTTGGGAGGGTGAGGTGAATGGATCACTTGAGGTCAGAAGTTCCGAGACCAGCCTGGCCAATATGGTGAAAACTCATCTCCACTAAAAATACAAAAAAAGCCGGGCCTGTAATCCCATCTACCCAGGAGGCTGAGGCAGGAGAATCGCTTGAACCCGGGAGGCGGAGGTTGCAGTGAGCCAAGATCAAGCCATTGCACTCTGCACTCCAGCCTAGGCGACAAAGCAAGATTCCATATAAAAAAATATATATATTTCTTTTGAATAAAGAGATATTACAAATAAAATCTCTAAAAAGTTAAGAAACATGCTTTTACTATCAATTAACTCTAACAATGATACAATTCCTGGTGACTTCAAATTGAGATCACGTAGTTGTCCTCTGGATCACAGAAATCCCTGGTTTTGTTGTTTGAAGTTTTAGCTTTGTTAATAAAATTCAATTACGCTCATTGATTTGAAAAATATTTTAACTGACAAAGCTCAGAGTAAATTAGATAAGTGATTTCAAACATCTATATTTGATACTTAATAAAATTTGACATTTAATAATTACAATTTTAGTAGTAATTTGTACTAATTTTATTTTTAGAGTTTTACATAATCTCATTTTTATATCAAAATATGTTTACAGGGAAAATAAGAGTGAATAAGATAAATTCCAGACATAGTCATAATACATGCTTATTACTTAAGTATGATTAAGTATTAGCATAAGTTAAAATTTTCAACTCATATTATTCCTCTTTTTAATCTGCAACAAACAGTTTTATAAAAATAGTACAGCTCTAAAAACTGGGAAGAGCAAACTTGGAGAAAAAGAGGGACACGATTATAGAATAAATAAATCTGAAGCTTTTACAGGATTAAAAACTGCACATCTGTAAATCTCAGCTTTATTTTATTTTATGCTATTAAAGATTCTTTGAAAACCAAACTCAATAAATGATTGTCTGAAATTTTATAATCTATTTTTCATCATTTTGGGTTCTCAACTCATTCTCTTTCAGATCATTCATTCACCATTTATTTAGTGACTACTATATACTATGTACTTATTATTGGCACATAAGGATACAGCAGTGAACAAAGCATAAAAATCACTGCTATCACGCAACATCCATTCTAGTTTTGAACAGAGAAAATAAACAGAATAAATAGGAAGGTGGTAAGTACTATAAAGAAAAAGGAATAGAGAGCTGGTGGTCATGCAATGTTAAATAAGTTAGAAAAGGTCTAACTGGGTATTTCACTGACTCAGAATGTTTTTACCTAGTTTTGAAGTTGTCCCTTCAAAAATTAATCAAAGGCCTATGATAATAAATTTTAAATAGAAAAGAAAAATAAGTAGGAAGATCCTAATATAGCAATTACCAACAAAAACCATTTCTTCTGAGACAGCTAAGACAACAAATACTATATTGATGAAATTTAAAAAGCCAGTGTGTGATGATACTCCAACAAATGTTGGTGTTGAAAATTCACTTTTGGATCCATTCCAAAAGTGATATCCAGATATATACCATAATGCTTCAAAATTACTTAAAAGTTAATATCATTTAAAAAAACAGGCACAAGACAATATTTAATTTTCATATATCTTGAATAAATAATATATAGATTTTTACATCATATCATTTAAATCCTAAATGAGAAACTAGAATATCTAAACTATACCATGGCAATATCCTAGTCTCCAAATTAAGTACTAGAAAGAAATATCTATCGTTATTTTTTGAAATTTAATAATCAATCTGATGAAAATTTACCTTGCCCAGAGCGGCTTTGGCGAGAGTCTACACTTGACTGTCTTCGATCCGGTGGTTCCTCGCTCCCTCCATCTGCATAAAATTAAAAGGAGCATAAGCAAATAGATAATGAGATTGACATAACAGTGTCTCTGACATTATCTACATTTAAAACTACTATATCGATCATTTATTTGTATTTCCTATAATCCGGATCATTAAAATATTTGAGGATTTTTCTTATATAAACCAATGGTTCTTACCCTGATTTTTGTGGGTTTACACTCCCCTCTTGAAGTCTTAAGAAAGTGTAGGTGTTTTTCCCCTCCCCCATATGTATATACTCTACTTTGCATATAATGAAGGAAAGTTATCAACACCAAAGTTCAGTCACAGAATTCCAGTTAAGAAGGCCTGATTTAAAACAATCTTTTAAATTAATTACAGCTGCTTTTTCTGTCTAAAGTACAACAGCACATCAAATAATCCCTAGTACTGTTTTACTATAATAAGAATTACATTCGTATGTTTTATGAAATAAAAATCAATAAACCTATAAAATAAATCAATAAAAGCTAAAAACCAAATAAATCTTGAGTTTATTTTACCATGATTTTTAAAATTATATAGAAACAAATCCATTTCATTGTATACATCTTCTTTTAAGAAATAACCAAAACAGTATATTCCCTCATGCATGTTAAGAAAAGCTAAAACAAATTTTACTTTATTGTAAATAATTGCCTCAATTTTGTTATATAGAAACAGAAAAATTATGCATCATAAATTCATTAAAATAGGCACAGTAAAACAGAAATTAATATATTAAGAATGTAAAGTATAATATAAAATATGAAACTAAACCAAGCAAAATCTTTAACATAGTGGTCTATACACCTATAAATTTGTTATCACTTTAATCAGATGAAAAATGCATTAAGGCATCAAACAATTTCCTTTGTTCGTTCTTTCATACAATCACTTGTCTTATTTTTAACTTGACAGGGAAAAGGGGTAGTAGCTGCAAGCAGGTTTAATAAAGAGTATTCTTGCTCTGTCATCTACTTATTCTATGGTTTATTGTTTTTAATAGAGCTCGTGTAGTAACATCTATTGCTTTTTAAACAGAATGGCCTGTTTTTTAATTCATTATTGATATAAAGCTTCCTTTTAAGTATATTTATTATATGTAAGGCCTAGCAATAATTAAATCCAATTCATGTATATATATCAACTATTCTCTATTTTGTAGAGGGCTGTTAAACTAGCAAGTACAGTAACATTTAATCAATCGATTCCAAATATACGACGACAATACAAAATAATAAGTACATTGCCAGGAAATATTCATATCTCTTAGTCCACAGTAATCTAGTAAAACACTCCACTAATTTAGTCAGATTTGTAAAATAACTTATCACATAGAAAGATACTCAAAGTGATAGGCAACCATATTTTTTCCTCCAGTATGAAAATACTTTTTAAATATAAATCAGTTTATTTTAGTTCTGCTGTTACTATATAAGTTACCACATTTGAATAAAAATAGACATGTTGACAAAATAAGGTGTTATCTGAAAGACAAATATAAGAAATTTTTCTTTGACATTATTTTTAAAAATTAAAGCAAAAATCTACTCATGGATTATCATCTCTGAATGGCTGATCTGCCTCTGTTGAAATTAAAACTTAAATTCTTTAATTTTGTCCTTTTAAAGGAAATGTGAACATTTACAATCCTTCTTAACTGTATATCAAATTCTAAGTAAACAACTCTATAAATATGGATTCTTTTTAATAAGGCTCAGTATTTCAACTGGGCCAACTCAAATTTAATTTCTAAGTTTTAAACCCTCTAGGATTCCTTCTACCTCACTCTCTTGTGAATTAATATTCAATATGTCCAAAAATCCTAAAGTTTTCTCTTCTTTCTAAAATGTATTTAAGAACAGAAAGGCAGCCAATAATTACTATGTACTCTCTGCCAGGTATTTTACATAGTTCATCAAAGCCCTATGAAGTAAAGACCTATTTCACAGCTGAGAACACTGAAACTCATGGTGACTAACTGAAATCCAATGACAAAACCAGTAAAAATGAAACTGGATTTTAACCCAAGGATGTTTGACTCAATACATCTCTCTGATACTAATTTCTACCCAAATTTATTAAATATTTTGAGTTCAATTCATGTTCCCGTTTTATTCTTTTCTCATAAAAACGATGTTAAAAAAGCACTAATCAGTAACTATAGCAATTATTCCTTTACAGAATAGAGGCATTCTAACAAAGCAGGTTATGAAGACTTAGTCTTACAATATAACCTTCCTATGTGCTTCCAATATAAAATCAAAAGATATATTCTCTAAAGAAAAAAAAATGTTTTTCCCAAAAGCCATGTTTGGTGTCTCTGTCTATTCATTCTACTAAAAGAGAGCTTCTCTTGACAATCAACTGGCCACAACCAAAATAAAGTACCTCAGTAGGAATTCTGGTACACTGCCAACCCTATAACCCTCCCTCTCCAGGTCTATATTACTGCTCCTTTCTAATGAAGACCACTATTTAAGAAATTCTAGGGCTGAGCAAAATGATTCACACCTGTAATCCCAGCACTTTGGGAGCCCAAGGTGGGAGGATCGCTTGAGGCCAGGAATTTGAGGTTACAATGAGCTATGCTATGATCACACCACCACACTCCAATTAGGTGACAAGGGGAGACCTTGACTCTTTAAAAAAAAAAATTCTACACTCTATTAAGAAAATTTGGCACCTGACATTCTGTATACCCATGCTTAGGTAACTAAAGTCCCTATCATGCATCTATTCCCCACATCTATGAAATCTATCACAGCAAGCTTAGGTATACATGCTTTACAAGGAATTCAAGAAAAAAGCTGCTCTAACAAGAAAAGAAGTAAGTAAAAGTAGTTCTTTCTAAATGCTTACAGTGTGAAAATACGATACATTTTCTTTTTAGTGAAAAGGTCAATGCTCATGACACTGATATATGAATTACTCTTATCAAATCAACCACTTGAGATGGAAACATTTTTAACTCACCTATAGTGAGGCACAATGTTAACCTGCATGTGCTGTCATAGAAATTACATTGTGAGAAACAACTAAGAACCCTGACCTGCTTAATGTTTTTTAAAAAAATCTTTAAACACATTTACCTAGAATAATTTGCATTTTAAAAAGATACCCCTTATAGTAGTGTAGAGACTAGGGTGGTGGTTTTCGATACTGGATGAACAAACACATGTGGTTCTACTCTAATAAAATTTTCTTTATGGACACTAAAATTTTCATTTCATATAATTTATATGTCACAAAATATTATTATCCTTTTAATTTTTTTTAACCATTTACAAATATAAAAACCATTCTTAGATTATGGGCCCTACAAAAACTAGGAGTGACCTAGATTTGGCCAGTGGGAAATGACCCCTGATCTAAAGGCAGGGAGATTAGTTTAGAAGGCTAATTAGAGCAATCTCTGTGAAAAGGAATGAGTTGAATGACTTGAGAGTAAGGCCAGTAAGGATGAGAAGGCGGCTCTGCAAATGATGTCCGGCCTAGGGGCCATTGAAAGTTTAATGGCTGCATGGGCTCAAGGACCCTTTTCTTGGCTCTCTCTAGGTGATCCTTTAGTGAGTAAAATGTAAAATTCCCAAAAAACCACCCCAAATGAATGGAATACCTGACTGCTTAATTACATGTTACATCTCAATCTTCTCTGTGCCCAAGAAAGGCTCTTGCGAGGTGACTAAAAGTGCACAATGCACTGTGAAAGAGATTTTTTTTCCCCTTAAGTTTATGGTTTTTATTCTAAATAAACATTGTTGAAAACCACAATATCTAGATTATGTGGTAATATCATTTCCTATTTTCATGAAAAACTAATGTGTACATAATTTCTACAGTCTGAATTTGATACTTGGGTTTGAAACCAAAATTATATTTTGAATATGAAAATCCATTTATAAAAATTTCTGTAAACAAGTATTTTACATAAACACTTCATGATAGTTAATAAGGAAATAAAAGCAGCCCAGCAAAAGTTTCTATTGGTAACCTATTTTCTCCAAATGCAGAATGAAAATATGGCATGTCAAAAAAGACAGACCCAGGCAAAACAGAAGAATACAACAGTCCTCTGTAGAGGACCTACTCCTTTTATTTAATTTGTAATTATTTATAAGAAGTTTTCATGAAAAAAGCACAATGGAACCCAGTAATCACTAAGATGCCTGAGACAGACATCAACAAATTACTAGAGGAGATATGAAATAATATGCCTGTGAATGAAATACAAAAATAAGAAACTTTTTAGAATGTTTAATTTGTATTCTACTTTTAGTAAGGTTACCAGGAAATGTGTGGGAATATATACTCATGTACATACAAATGAACAAAAAGTCAGTATGTGGGCATAATAAGACCTGAGTTTTAGTTCCATATCTGTCATTTTTAGATGATTTCTCTGAGTCTCAGTGTTTTCATCTGTAAAACTGAGGTCAAAGTAACATCTTCTTCTGAAGGCTGTTGTGAGGTTCAAATGAGCTAACACATGTGACAGCACTTTGTAGTCTCTAAATTGGTGATTTTCAACCAGGAGCAAACCACGGACTTCTAGGGACATTTTTGGTTGTTACAATTGGAAGAGTGCTACTCATTTCTAAAGGGCAGAGGCTAGGGATGCTGCTAAATATTCTAGAATTCACAGGACTGCCTACCACCACAAAGAATTATCAGGCCTCAGATTTCAACAGTGCCAATAGCTGAGAAATATGTTCATAATGTAAATGTTCATAACAATCATAATTATCAAAATTATATACAAATAAGTTAATTATCTTATTGTAAATAAATTTAATATATAGAAAATACGGTGAAAAATATAACTCACACTGATATAGCAACTATCAAACTTCACCAAATCTTAAGATTTCCCATATTTACATCAATTTGTTTTAAACTAAAACACTACCAGTTGTACACAGCTGATATTTTCATTATACAGTTCTCCAATACAGTTTCCCTTCTTCCATCCCTCCCCAAATTAACCGCTATATCTTAATATGTAAAATCACAAGCATGTTTTTATACTTTTATTACATATATATGCCTCCACAAATGTTTATATTACGTAAGTGTAATGATACTATATCATCCAGCAATGTGCCATTTTTACTTAATACTTATGTTTTGAAATTTATCTGTGTGGACGTTCATTTTAACTCTAGAATTCATTTTAACTCTAGAATAAAAACATGCATGTTTTTATACTTTTATTACATATATATGCCTCCACAAATGTTTATACTATGTAAGTGTAATGAAACTATATCATCCAGCAATGTGCCATTTTTACTTAATACTTATGTTTTGAAATTTATCTGTCGAATTCATTTTAACTCTAGTATTCCACTGTATGAATATATCAATTGTATCTATTCTCTTACTAATGAAGATTTAGATAGTCTCCAAATTTATAGTACTTCAAAAGGAAGTCTGCAATGAACCATTTCCTATAGCACATGTCTAATCTGCTTGTATATAAGCTCCTTGTGCACATGTTCAAGATATAGAAGCGAAACTACTAAATAATATAATGCAAAAACTCCATAAGAGCAACCAAATTTCTGCCAAAGACAGTTGCGTTAATTTTTATTTCCACAAAAAGTTAATGTTCCCATTTCCTCACAATCTCACGAATACTACTCAGGTTTTTTTCATTTCTGCTAAACAACGCGAATTGGTATCTGATTCTTGTTTAATTTGCCTTTCCCTCATTAATAATGAAGCTGAGCATATGTTTTACTGGCCATTTGGTGTGTGTATATTCTTGTTTATATCCTCTGCCTATTTTTGCCACAACTTTCTGATCTGCACGTTTTCTGATGAGAAATCTACAGTCATTCAAATTGTTGTTCCCCTCTAGGTAATGTGTTATTTCTCTCGGGCTGCTTTCAAGACTTTTTCTTCATCTTTAGTCTTCAGCAGATTGATCACATAGTGATAGAGTATGAATTTCTTTGCATTTATCCTATTAAGGATTCAGTCAGCTTCCTGAATCTGTAAACTTGTGCTGTTTACCAAATTTGACAAATTCCCAGCTATAAGTTCTTCAAATATTATTTTAACACCACATTTTTCCTTCTCTTTTTCTGGAACTCCAATGTTATGAATCTAGATCTTCTGTTATTATCCTACAGATCCCTGTGGTTCTCTTCCCCGCCATCCCCTGCTTTTCTCTCTATTGTTTAGATTTGGATAATTTCTATGGATCTGTCTTCAAGTTCACTAACTCCTTCTGCAGTCACTTCCATTATGCTACTGAACCCATCAAGTTTGCTTCTTGTTTGGGTCTTTATATTTAGTATTTCTAAAATTTTCATTAGGTTCTTCTTTATATATCTCCTATTTCTTTCTTAAGACTTTATTTTTCCTTTCATTTCAAGAAGGTTCACATGATTGCTTGTTGGAGTATTTTTTAATTTTTTTCCCATTGGGAATTTATTTATTATTATTTTTAATAAAATAAAAAATAGGGTGTTGATTTAATTTCATACATGAGAGATAAAAATTTAAGACTTTTCAGGCTGAAATATGTTACACTTCAGAAGAGAGGCATCAATTGTTATAGTAACAATAAAAGGTTTCCTTCATTATTTCACCCCAAAGAGAAGCATTTTTATAATAGTTGCATTAAAATCTTTGTCAGATAATTCCAATATCTTGGTCATCTCTTGGAGTTGGTATCTGTTGTCTTTTCCCTTGCAAATTGCTATTTTCCTAGTTCTTTCTGTATCAATTTCATATGTAATTTGTATGTCAATCTTTGTATATAATTTTGGTTGCATCCGGACATTATGAATGTTTTGAGTTATGAAACTCCAAGTCTTCTTTAATACTACAGGAAATGTTAGTTACATTTTTCAAAGCCTTTGCTATTGATATCTGTACTGCCTGTGTACCCTGAAGTGGTCAGTCAGGGTGCTGGGCAGTGATCTGTTAGGTCAGTTCTAAAGTCCATGGTATGACAATTAGGACCAAATTCACACCTGTGAAGTTCAGGGGTGACTCCAGGAGCTCATAAAAACTTAATGGGGTTGACTTTGAGGTGCCCCTCACAGCAATCTTTTCAGCACTTTCCATTTCCCTAAGACTCCTCTTTTGGTACCCTGACAAACCTAGGGCTATAGTAACCTTGCTCTGCATGTACTTCATGACTATATCTGTGTCTGGAGCACAGTGCTAGGAAGAATGAAAAAAAAAAAAGCTTTCATTAATAATCTAAAGAATGGCCTGACAACTCTTGGTACTATAGCTCCACCAGAGAGGATGGTTCCCCTTTCTCAGTATTTTGGCTTATGTGAATTCTTGATGTTACCACTAAGGTCGGGGGTTGGGGCAGCAGAAAATAAAACAACAGGAAAGGGGTGGTGAGCATTTGGCATATTCTGAGTGTTGAGTTCCTTTCTCATTCCTCAAAACAGATTTAGAGGGCTTCCACTGTAGATATCTCTTTTTGTGCCCTGGTCACCACTCCTAGCTTTTGAACTACAATGTAAACCTAGCCTCCACGCCTGCCCCAGTGCCAGGTGAGCCCCGACAGCTTCAGGCTCCAGGCTAGACCCTGCAGCCCCATGCTCCAGACCTGCCCTACCACCAGGCTGGCCCCACATACCCAGGGCTCCAGACCTATCTCACCGCCAGGCCATTCCAAGGGACCTGATGCTATAGGCAGGCTCCTAACTACTCAGACTCCAGGCCAGCCACAGGCTCCACACTAGCCCCAGAACCAGGCCAGCTCTCAAAGTCCCAAGCTTCAGACCCACCCTTTGCCAGGCTAGCATCTGTGGCCCCAGGATCCAGGCCTGACCCTGAGGGCCAAGGCTCCAGCTGACCCAGGTCCAGGCCCATCCCAATAGACCCTGACAACAGGACGTACCTTGCAGGCCCAGGCTACAGGACCAAGACTTGACTCACAGACAACAAGCAGGAGGATCACTTAAGCCTGGGAGGTCAAGACTGCAGTGAGCCATGATCGCACCACTGGGTGCAATCTGTCACCCACTGCACTCCAGTCTGGGCGACAGAGCAAGACCCTGTCTCAAAGAAAGAAAAAAGAAAAAAACCTTCTGCACAGCAAAGAAAACAATCAACAGAGTGAAGAGATAACCTACAAAATGGAAAAAATATTTGCAAACCATACATCTGATAAGAAGCTAGTATTCAAAATATACAAGGAACTCAATTCAATAGCAAGAGAACAAATTATCTTATTTAAAAATGGGCAAAGAACCTGAATAGACATTTCTCTAAAGAAGACATATAAAGAGCCCACAGGTGTATATATAAACATGCCCAACAGCACTAACCATCAGAGAAATGCAGATTAAAACCACAATAAGCTACCACCTCATACATAATTAATAAGACAAAAGATAAATGTTGCTAGGGATGTGGAGAAAAGGGAACTCTTGTACACTGTTGGTAGTAATATAAAATTAGTACAGCGATTATAGAAAACAGTATGGAGGTTCCTTAAAAATTTTAAAATAAAACTACCATGTGATTCAAGAATTCCCACTTTTGGGTATATATCTGAAGGAAATTAAATCAGTATGTCAAAAAGATATCTGCACTCTCTCGCATATTCATTACAACACTGTTCACAATAGCCAAGAGATATGGAATCAACCTAAGTGTTCATCAACCAATGAATGGATAAAGAAAATGTGGTGAATGTGTGGGTGAATACACAATGTAATACTATTCAGTCTTAAGAAAGAAGAAAATTCTGTCATTTGCAACAACATGGGTGAACCAGGAGGACATCATGCTATGTAAACTAAGTCAAGCACAAAAAGATAAATACTCCATTGTCTCACTTATATGTGGAACCTAAAAAAGTCAAAATAACTGAAACAGAGTAGAATGGTGGTTGTTAGGGGCTTGGAGGGAGCAGGGGTGTGCAGGGAGAAACGGGGAAATGCTGCTCAAAGGGTATTGAGTTTAGTTTGATAGGAGAAATGGGTGCCGGAAATCTATTGTACAGAATGGTGACTATAGTAAATAATAGTGCACTGCATAATTCTTTAAATTGCTGAGAGTACAGATATTAAATATTCTCCACAAAAAGCAAAAAAAAAAAAGTTTGAGACATTAGATAGGTTAACTAGCTTGATTTAATCCTTTCACAATTCATACATATATCAAAACATCACATTGTATGTCATAAATATATACTTTTATTTTTAAATTATAACTTAATATACAATAAACAGTATATAAAGATTAATAGATTATCCAGAGACAATAAAATCCACAATAATTTTTGTATTCCAACCATTTGAAAAGGAATATATTTAAAAAGATGGAAATATATAAAAGGAAAATTGTAAAAAGGCTCTATAAGGAGTTTATCATTGAATAGGACAGGCATTTATGTATCAATATTAGATCAAGCTTAAGAGATTAAGAGATACTTTAAAAGTAATTCTGAGAGTCTCCTAGTGAAATGACTGTATAATTGTTTGTTTTTGTATGTTTGTTTGTTTTTCAGATAGGGTCTCGCTCTGTCACCCACAACGGAATACAGTGGTGTGATAATGGCTCATTGCAGCTTTGAGCTCCTGGGCTCAAGTGATCCTCTCATCTCAGCCTCCTGAGTAGCTGGGACCACAGGCACACCAAGACAGCTGGCTAACTTTTTTTTGTAATTTTTGTAAAGAACAGGGTTTCACTATGTTGCTCAGGCTGGTCTCAAAATTCTTGGGCTCAAGCAATCCTTTCGCCTCAGCCTCTCAAACGGCTAGGATTACAGGTGTGAGCCACTGTGCCTGGCCCCAGTATTTTTTAATATAAAGACTATAATTCTTATACCTCCCAAATTGAATGGAACCAAATTACTTTTACTTTTTCATTCTATCAGACTTCTTTGAATTAATTATATGACTGATTCATGTCATTTTACAGTTATACAGCATTAGCAATCATTATGTAGAACCTGTCCATATATATATTGAAGATTACATACTCAGTAGATGTCCAGCATCTTTAAAAGCTCAGAATATAGATAAAAGCCCACATATTTTAAACATGTCAGACACTGATGGAAGACACCTTAGTTAAGAACTCTGGGCCATCAAAAAATTATAGAGAAAATCGTGAAAAGGTAGTGGCAGTGGAACAGTTTTTGGATCTTCCAAAATTCCAACGTAAGTATCATCAGAACAATAACAGAGAGTAAAACAACTACCCAGGAACAAGAATTACAATACTGGGTAACAAAGTGTGATATTGTAAGAGATATATCTCTACACACACACACACACACACACACAATACTGGGTAACAAAGTGTGATATTGTAAGAGATGTATCTCTACACACACACACACACAATACTGGGTAACGAAGTGTGATACTGTAAGAGATATATCTACACACACACACACACACACACACACACACACACACACACACACGTCTTTGTCCCAGTTTCTGACACAGGCCTCTTAATCTTTTGGAATTTCCTGGGTGACGGGAGTGTCCTTTGTTCTAATGAGTTAATTCTTGGTGGGCTCCTGGATGGGGGCTGGTCACCAGAAAGACCAAGCCATGATTAGAAGCTAGGAACTTTCAGCCCATCATGCCCCATCCTCCTGGAAGGAGAGAAGGACTAGAGATTTAATTAACAGTCCAACATGCCTACGTGACGAAGCCGCCATAAAAATTCCTGAACTACAGAGTTTGGGAACTTCTGGGTTGCTGAATATGTGCACAGTGGTGTGCCCCCAAGGGGGCATGGAAGCTCCGGGCTCTTTATCCAATACCCTGCCTTAAGCATCTCTATCATCTGGCTGTTCCTGAGTCATATTGTTTTATAATAAACAGCTAAACATGTGTAAAGTGTTTCCCTGAGTTCTATGAGACATTCTAGCAAATGCTCAAACCTGAGGAAGGGGTTGTGGGGACCTCCAATTTTTTTCCTTGTCAGAAATACTAGAAACTCAGACTTGCAACTGGCATCTGAAGTGACTGTCATGTTTGTGGGACTGAGCCCTTAACCAATGGGATTTGACTCTAAACTCTAAGTAGCCAGAATTGAATTGAATTATAGGACACCTGATTGGTGTCTTCAGAGAATTGAAGAATTGCGTGGTGGGGAAAAAATGCCCCCACACATCTGGTCACAGAAGTGCTCTGTATGAAGAGTATAGTAGAAGAATACTGTTGGATTTTCCTTTGTACAAAAGGTATCCTTGCAAACCCTAAAATATAAATGGGTATTGCTAAGAACAAACAAAACAGCTATAGACCTGAAACTTAATGAGCATCTAAATGAGACAAAATGGGGAGGAGGGGGCTGGGGAGCAATAGGGTGTATGACAGACCACGAAACTGGCAATCACTAGAATGCAACTCACCGGAAAATACAAAGAATTAATTTGATAACACCAGCTGACAATGAAAGGTGTTTGCCCACTCTAAGAACAAATGAGTACATGGGGCCTGCAGTAGAAAGTTCAGAAGAGGCTGGACCAGTTTAGCCATGTGTACTCTTGAAACTGATGTGCCAAGCTACGGCTCCATGCTAAAAAGAAAGTCCTAGAAGTGGAATGAAAATTCAGCAGAAAATGGACAAAAGGGACAAAGAAAAGAGAAAGTCTAAATCAAAGTACAAGAGGAGAACAGTGCTAGAAGGCAAGCTGCAATGTAACACTTCACAAAAAAACAACAAAAGAGAAAGCTATGTGGAGTTAGAAAAAGCTATCATGACATGTCTCCTTATACATACTTGGGTAAACTAATTTTAAACAAAAATGATCAACAAGAAAGCATCAGGGTCAAATCCCAAAGACAGGAAAGGAAAGAAAGAGAATAAAAAGCATCGTAATACCTCCAATGAAACTACACCAAAAAGGCTTATTAAAAAAAATTAAAGCTGTAATATACAATTCAAAACTGTAATGTGCAATTTCAAAAAGTTCTAAAAATGTTAAGAAAATTAGATAACACATCAAAGAGCAATACAAATCAGAATCAGAAAAACTCAGAAATGAAGAGACAGAAATCAGAAAAGAATTATAAATAAAATTCATTTCAGTAATGAAGACTAAACTAGAAGAAACGCAAGATCAAATAAACAAAATGATCTTAAGAGAAAGAGAAGGTTAAAGGGAGGAAAGTTTTTAACAAATAAAGAGAAGAAAGGGATTAAAAAGGATTTGCAGGAAAGTGACAAATACTGAAGACAGGCAAAGATGGTCCAGCATAAGGATAAATAGGAATCTCTAAAGAAAACCAGAGAGAACAGAAAAACTGTAATTCAAGATCCCTTTTCAGAAAAAAAAACCCTGCATGTATATGTATGTTTTATATATGTATATATACATCTAGTTATATATGTATTTATGTTAATATGCATATATGCATACATAGACATATATACATGGAAGGATAAACACACACACACACATACTTGAAACTATGTATTTCAAGAGTACCCTGTATACTTGACATTATCAACTTAGATCAATGCACTAAATTCTACTAAAATTACTGGATTTAAAAAGGGGGGGATCATTTGAGTATTTAAGCAAAACTATCATGTAATCTTTTTGTTTGTTTTTTGTTTTTTTGTTCTTTGAGACAGAGTTTCGCTCTTGTCACCCAGGCTGGAGAGCAATGGCGTGATCTCGGCTCACTGCAACTTCCACCTCCTGGATTCAAGCAACTCTCCTGCCTCACCCTCCCCAGTAACTGGGATTACAGGTGCCAGCCACCACGCCCGGCTAATTTTTGTATTTTTAGTAGAGACGAGGTTTCACCATGTTGGTCAGGCTGGTCTCGAACTCCTGACCTCAGGTGATCCGCCCACCTCGGCCTCCCAAAGTGCTGGGATTACAGGCATGAGCCACCGTGCCTGGCCATAATCTTTAAAATTTTAATTAAATTTGTTTATTTTGAGACAGGGTCTTGCTACACTGCCCACCCTGGTCTCAAACTCCTGGGCTCAAAAAGAGCCTCCACCTCCTGCCTCCACCTCCCAAGTAGCTGGGACTGTAGGCACACATCAAACCTCATTTCCAAAACATGATTTATAAAGAAAAAGAAACAGAATAAAATGGAAAAAGATATTTAAAATACACAAAGAATCTGAGCTAAAGATTTTACATTCAGTAAAACTTACCTTTAAGTATAAGGGGTAAAGACAAACTGCTATCAACATGTAAAAACTCAGTGAATACTGTTATTAGTTCTTCCTAGTTCCATTAGAAAAAGAACTTTAAGCCAACAAAATAACTAGAAAGATATCAAAATAAGCACTAGTGGTGAGATTAAATATGCAGTTGTTTCCAGAATTAAGATTAAATGAGGACTTGTTTTTTTTTTGAGACAGAGTTTCGCTCTTATCTCCCAGGTTGGAGTGCAGTGGTGCGATCTCAGCATACTGCAACCTCTGCCTCCTGGTGCAAGTGATTCTCCTGCCTCAGCCTCCTGAGTAGCTGGGATTACAGGCGCCCACCACCATGCCCAGCTAATTTTTGTATTTCTGGTATAGACGGGGTTTCACCATGTTGGCCAGGTTGGTCTCGAACTCCTGACCTCAGGTGATCTGCCTGCCTCAGCCTCCCAAAGTGCTGGGATTACAGGCGTGGGCCACCACGCCCAGCCCAAACGAGGACTTTTAAAGAGAGAGATTGTAGTATGTAATCACTACATGATCTGACAATACATGTACAGTACAACCATAAGTGAATGGGGAAGAATAGAGACAGCATGAACAACAACAAAAATTAACTGATTTCAATAATTGGTGGTGGTAATATTCTCAGACCACTCTCTATATAAGGAGGGATAAAGCAAGCGAGTAATTATGGGACACACTATTTCTATCTTCCCTTACGAACCAGATTTCTCAGTGTGGAAGAAAGGAGCTATGAAGGTAGTACAGAAGTACAGTAAAAATTCTGTAATACTGAATCTATATTGGAAACATCAATACAATCTTATAAATCACAGGTATATCCTAACTCTATCCACTGAAAACGCCTAGAAACAGACTGATCCAGTAGCAGTGGACATGTCTAGTGCCCAGGTTGTGATCTTGAAATGCCATTCTCCATTAAAAGAAACCCGGACTTCTTAAAGAACTAGCTGGTCTGAAAAGGAAATGTACTAAATGAACCTGGAACATCTGACATCCCCAATAGTAAGGAAACTATCAAGACTATTCTCAATTATGGTCATGTCAAAAAGGTTAGTGAAGAGGGTCTCACTGGCCAGGAGATCATAAAATGTTTAAAGAAAACAAAAAAACAAAACAAAACACTAACTGGCCACATTCTGAGGTTGACAAGAAACCAATTATCTTGAAAACTGGGAAAATGAAAAAAAAAAATCAAGCTTTGATGCTGCCTTACCTATATTACTAATAGCCAAAGGATACATAAGAGGAATCTCCCTAAAAATTATTTTGGATAATAAGTGGGACACAAAAGATGGAATTAGAATATCACCATTCTGCAACTTGCAATGAATTAATAGCTGTATAGGCACTGGGGCTCAGTGCCTAAAAACATCAAAAGAGAGTAAAAACAAGTGATGATAGGAACACAACTACAGCTTTGCCAAAGCTACCAAACCTGAATCTGGTCAAACTTCTGAATATAGCTGTCAATTTTCAGGAAAAACAAAGTACAGAAGAAAATGTTTAATTGTTCCTGAGTGCATATTCAACAAAATCCAGCTACTGATTTTCAAGAAAAGCAAAGGGAAAATGTTAAGTTGTGTCTGAGTACACAAACAACATAATTCAGACTGAAGGAAATTCTACAGGTCCAATGACCCAGATCTCTTAACAGATTTTAAAAAAAACATAAAAAAATTAATTCCCAAAGAAATCAAAGAGATGATACAAACAAAGGAAAAACACCCCGGGCTCATGGATCAGAAGAATCAATATCATTAAAATGGCTATACTGCCCAAAGCAATTTACAGGTTCAATGCTATTCCTATCAAACTACCAATGACATTCTTCACAGAACTGGAAAAAAACTATTTAAAAATTGATATGAAACCCAAAAAGAGCCCAAATAGCCAAGGCAAATCCTAAGCAAAAATATCAAAGATGGAGGCATCATATTACCTGACTTCAAACTATACTACAGGGCTACAGTAATCAAAACAGCATGCAAAAACAGTAACAAAAACTGATACAAAAACAGACACATAGACCAATAGATGAGAATAGAGAACCCAGAAATAAGGCCACACATCTACAACCATCTGACGTTCAACAAAGCTGACAAAAACAAACAATGGGGAAAGGACGTCCTATTCAATAATTGGTGCTGAGATAAGTGGCTAGCCATATGCAGAAGACTGAAACTGGACCCCTTCCTTACACCATATACAAAAATCAATTCAAGATTGAGTAAAGACTCAAATGTAAAACCCGCAACTATAAAAACCCTAGAAGACAACCTAGGTAATCCCATTCTGGACATAGGAACTGGCAAAGATGTCATGGCAAAGACACCAAAAGCAACTGCCACAAAAGCAAAAATTGATAAATGAGATCTAATTAAACAAAAGAGCTTCTGGACAGCAAACGAAACTATCAACAGAGTAAATAGACAATCTAAATAATGGGAGAGAATTTTTGCAAACTATGCATCTGACAAAAGTCTAATAATCCGGCATGTATAAGAAACTTAAAAAACCAAACAACCCCATTAAAAAGTGGGCAAAGGACATGAATAGACATTTTACAAAAGAAAACATACCCATGTGGCCAACAAGCTTTTGGAAAAAAAAGCTCAATATCACATCATTAGAGAAATGCAAATCAAAACCACAATGAGATACCATCTCACACAGTCAGAATGCCTATTACTAAAAAAGTAAAAAAATGATAGATACTGGCAAATTGCGGAGAAAAGGTAATGCTTATACACTGTTGGTGGGAGTGTATTCAGTTCACTTATTGTGGAAAGCAGTGTGGCAATTCCTCAAAGAACTAAAAACAGAATTACTATTCAACCCAGCAATTCCACTACTGGGTATATACCCAAAAGAATACAAAACTGTTCTACCATAAGGACACATACACATGTATGTTCATTACAGCACTGTTCACAATAACAAAGACATGGAATCAATCTAAATGCCCATCAATGGCAGACTGGGTAACGAAAATGTGGTACTTCTATACCATGGAATACTATGCAGCCATAAAAAAGAACAAGATTATGTCCTTTGCAAGAACATGGATGGAGCTAGAGGCCATTATTCTTAGCAAACTAACACAGGAACAGAAAACCAAATACCACACATTCTCACTCATAAGTGGGAGCTAAATGATGAGAACACATGGAAACAAAGAGGGAAACAACAGACACTGGGGCCTACTTAAGGGTGAAGGGAGAGAGCAGAGAGAGGATCGAAAAAAAATATATCTATTAGCTACAAGGCCTAGTTCCTGGGTGATGAAATAATCTGTAAAACACACCCCCATGACACAAATTCACCTATAAATCAACCTGCACGTGTAAACCTAGACCTAAAATAAAAGTTTTTATAAAAAGAAAAAAATTATAAAGTCCTAAATTATTGTAGAATAAAGATTCACTTTAACAAAACAGAAATCTATGGCATCTTATATCAGAGGTATCAGGATGTGTAAATACAGTCTTAAGTCAATTTTCCTTCCTTGTGATCATTTAATTTAAGTATACTTCTTCTCTTTTACTTGGGAGTCAATTATAATAAACAACACTCCTATGCAGGTATGTCATAAATTTTCATTTTTCTTATTTTTCTATGTGGATAAAATGGCATATATGCATTGCATTCTCTGTTTTAACATCAAAACATGCCCTCAACTGGACATGATGGCATGTACCTGTAGTCCCAGCTACTCAAGATGCTGAGGCTGGAGGATCACTTCAGACCAGGAGTTGGAGGCCAGCCTGGGCAACATAGTGAGCACAGTGAGACCTTGTCTCTTAAAAAAAAAAACAAAAAAATCCTTGCCTTTGAATTATGTCAGAAGTAACATCAATAAAACATAGACATTTCCCCTCACCAGGACTGTTCTCCTAAACAATAAAAGGGAAAAAATAAATACAAAACAAATCTTCCAATAATTTTAAATTTATGCAATCTGCAGAATGCCAGAGTTTCAACAAAACAATCCACAGGAGAAATACAGATAAGAAATGGCTTAAGAAATAGTTTCAAGTCAGCAAACCAATGATGTTAAGACAAAAAAAGTCACCAATTTTGACACAATCATAATCTAAAATGTTTTAATTGCCTTTTTTATTTATGAGACAGGGTTTCGCTCTGTCACCCAGGCTGGAGTACAGTGGCATGATCTCAACTCACTGCAACCTCCACCTCCTGGGCTCAAGTGATCCTCCCTCCTAAACCTCTGGAGTAGCTGGGACTACAGGTGCACACTACCTTGTCTAGCTAATTAAAAATTTTTTTGGTAGAGAACGGATCTTGCTACATTTCCAGGACTGGTCTCAAACTTCTGGGCTCAAGCCATCCTCCTGCCTTGGCCTCCCAAAGTGCTGGGATTACAGGTGTGAGTCACCACACCCAGCATCCTTAATTTTAAAAAATGAATCAGAAATACATTACAGTAAAATTTCAGTAAGTTTGAAAAATTCTCTAAGACTGAAACTTTAATTACATCTTACCCCAGTGGAAACTAATCATAAAAGTCGTCATTAGCTCTCAGGTAGAAGTAAATACAGATTTTTAAAAAAAATAATTAAAATCACCACTGCCCCAAGATGGTGTAGAAACTTTTTTTTTTTTTTTTTAACACAGAGTCTCACTCTGTCACTCAGGCTGGAGTGCATGGACACAATCATGGCTTACTATAACCTCGACCTCCTGGGTGGGCTCATGTGATCCTCCTACCTCAGCCTCCCAAGTTCCTGGGACTGTAGGTGGGAGCCACCACCCCTGGCATATATATATATATATATATATATATATATATATTTTTTTTTTTTTTTTTTTTTTTTTTGGTAGAGATGAGGTCTCACTACGTTGTACAAGTTGGTCTCAAACTCCTGAGCTCAAGTGATCCTCCCACCTTGGTCTCCCAGGCGTAAGCACTGCACCTGGCCTTAGAAACCTCTTTAAAAGTGGTTGTGGTATCCTCATAGAATCTAGGAATCCATTACTCAAAAAAGCAAGACTGCAATGATACACAGTACTTTAAAGTTTTTGCTTGTTTAACACTATTCCTTCATTACAGATAAGGCCTCCTTCACATAATATTTGCATCTATATTTATGGACAAAACAGAAGGCCTTCAGTTGTCAAAAAAAAAAAAAAAGTGAAGATGTTTGCATAATACTGATTACCCCAGAGTACAGGAAATAGAATAGAGTTATGTATGTACATGATGATAGAACTTACTCACATCAAACTTAAGTTAAAGACTTACTTCAAATATATCATAAACTTTACAAAGGACAACCCACTGATGTAAGAAGTGCAGAAATAAAAAAAAGATCTAGCTGCCCATCTCAATTGGGGTTTCCTAGATTTCAGATAAACATCAGAGAATACTGCTGTTTTTTTAATCAGCATACTGTTAAATCCAGCAATTATTTATAAATAATATAAAACAATATTATTTCAATACTGAGAAATACTGTTAATAGATTGTTCTCTTCCCATTATTTCAAAAGGGAAAATGTCATTAGAATTTACCTCACAGAGTAGACAGCTTTAAACTCAGCTATATTTAGGCACCAACATAGTCCTAGTAAAGAAATGTCATTTATGTAGGAATATTCCATATATAATGATTTCCTATGAAGGAATTTAAGTTAGAGAAAGTCTAATAAGAAAGTGAATAAATAAGTCCAAGAAAAATGTGTTATTTCCTGCAACTGGGTGACTATTCCTCTCAATCCAGGATCAAAACATGACGGTTGAAAAATAACTTAATCTAGCCGAAGCTCATCTTTAGTGTTCTCAGCTAAATGATCTGCTAGAATACTAGGTTTTATGAATTAAAATGTTGAAGGAGGTTGTCTTCAATACTCTAGAAACTAAAATACAGAACCCTAATAGGAGGGGTGGAGGTTATTAAAACCACAAGGAATACAATGGATACATATAGATTAAAGTTTTACTATTCAGGTATGAACTCTGGTCCCTTTTACTAATCAGATACAAATCTGCAAGAACTGGATACACTTAATGCCAATAAGAGCACACATGAGTTAGAGGACATGAATGAAATATAAAGAAAATACAAAAGGAAGGAGCAGGAACATAAACTAAAGACCACTTATGGCCGGGCACGGTGGCTCACGCCTGTAATCCCAGCACTTTGGGAGGCCAAGGCTGGGGGATCAAAAGGTCAGGAGATTGAGACCATCCTGGCCAACATGGTAAAACTCCATTTCTACTAAAAAAAAAAAAAAAATACAAAAATTAGCTGGGCATGGTGGCACATGCCTGTAATCTCAGCTACTCGGGAGGCTGAGGCAAGAGAATTGCTTGAACCAGGGAGTCAGAGGTTGCAGTGAGCCGAGATCGCGCCACTATACTCCAGCCTGGCAACAGAGCGAGACTCCATCTCAAAAGAAAAAAACAAAAACAACATTTATGAGCCAAAGGCTACGTATGAAAAAGTATATGCTTAAAATATTCCATGGCTACATAAGCACTCTGATAAACAGAAGAAATGAAGAGCAGCTCTTCTATTTGGGGTAGAAAAGAGAAAAGGAGCTAGACTTGGTTTAGGCATTTCTGCTGGATATAGTACTAGTAAAATCTTTATAACATTATCTCATTTAGTACTAATAATAATTCAATGAAACAAGTAGTACTACCATTTTAAATGTAAGACAGATTCAGAGATGTAAAGTGACTTTCCCAATATCACACCACTAGTAAGTAGCAATACTAAAATCAAAATTGTCTGGCTTTAAAACTGTGTTCTTTTTCAAGGCTCTCTACTGCTGAAGGGGAAGAGAGCAGAAGTAGACAAAGCAGAGAGACCAATTAAGAGGCTACTGCAAAAATTCAGAATAAGAATGAACACTTGGACTAAGTGGTTAGTGGAGGTAGTGAGAAGAGGTTGGATTCTGGATATATTCTGAAGATATGGCAAAGAGAATCTGCTGTCAGAAGAGTAAGATAAAGAAATTGAGGACAATTCTAATATGTTGGGCCTAAAAAATGGACTTGCAACTTACTAAGACAGGAAAGACTGCAAAAGAACTGATTTGGGGATGAGGAGACTATGCGGAGTTCAGTTTTGGAAATACTAAGTTTCAAATGCTTATTAGACAAATAGGCATAGAAATATAGATATGCCATCGGCACACAAATCATTAGTAAATAAATCCCATTTAAACTATGAAACTGCATGAGATCCCCAAGGAAAGAGTATATACAAGAATGAGACACAAAAAGAGAGAAAAGAGGTCAGAGGACTAAGACTTGGTGTGGAATCGAACATGTAGAGGCTGAAAGCCTGGGGAGAATACTGTGAGAATAGGAACAAGACAAGGAGAGTATAGAAACAAAGAAGGGGTTTTATGGAGTGGAAAAGATCAAATATTAAATATTGATAGGTCAAGTAATATGAAGATTGAGAATTGATCACTGCATTCAGCCAGTGTAAATGGTTTAGCATGGTCTCTCTCTGTGGAGTGGCAGGGGTGAAACCCGATGGGATTAAGTTCAATAGAGATTAGAAAGAACTTCCGGAAAAGGTTTTATCTCTCACTAGACATGGACAAAGACGGTAGGTCCCTGGATATGCTGGCTGCCATCTTGTAAACACAGAAGGGAATAAACCATGAGATATAAATTAACACTTTCAAAGATTATATGAAGAGATGGAACATAACAAGGATGTTGTTGACACTGAATTACTGAAGAAAACTACCCTATCTCTGGACTAGAGTTATACAATCTAATAAATTATCTTCATCATAAAAACCAGAGGTCAGCACACTCTTGCGAGCCAAATCTGGCCTGCCACCTATTTTTGCACAGCCGGAGAGCTCAGAATAGTTTATACATTTTTAAATGACTGCAAATAACTAAAACAATATTTTGTGACTCAAAAAATATTTGAAATTCAAGTTTTAGTGTTCACAAATAAAGTTTTATTAGTACACAGTCATAACAGCAAATAAATTATTTACTGTATTTGTGTTGCAATGGCAGAGTTCAGTAGTTGTAACAAAGATGGGATTAAGTTCAAGTGATTAGAAAGAAATTCTGGAAAAGATTATGTATCTCCCTAAACATGGGAAAAGATCAATGGAGCCCCTGAATATGCTGGCTGCTATCTTATAAACCAAGAGGGAATAAACCATAGGATATAAGTTAACACTTACTACCTGGTACTTTACAGAAAAAGTTTGCTAACCCCTTATATCAAGCTATTCTGATTCAAATTTTCTGTTACTTGCAACCATAAAAATCCTAAATAATATACTCCCCTATACTATGGTAGCACCAAACTACTCAATGACATTCAAAAAGCAAACATATTATAAGGCCGCTATCAATTTATGCTCTCTCCTCTGCATAAAATGTAGCTCCCTCCACTTGACTGTATAATGAAATTATAGCCAATATGTACGTGCTGGGTGTCTAGCAGAGTTGAGCTGGACTCAATCTTTGAACTATTACAATTTATATGACTTTAGGAAAATTAATTATCTGTATCTTAGTTTCCTTATCTGTGAAATTGTTATCATAATGCTCTATGTGGTTGTGAGAAACAAATGTAGTAACATTCACAAAATATACGACGACATCTGGCACAAAGTAAGCACATACTAAACAAATGGAATCTTCATCTATCATATTCATGATCAACAACAAGTTCCTTTTACTGAAAGATGTCATTCCTCTTCCTACATAGACTTTCTGGATGCCTACCAGAAAGAACTTCTCTCTTCTGTGCTTCTTCAGCACGTTATTCATACAACAGTCCCGCCTTATCTGCAGGATGTGCACTATGTTTTTTCCTCACCTTACGACAGGGTTATGTCTTGATAAACCCATTGTAAGTAGAAGATATCATAAGCTGAAAATACATATAATACAACTAACCTACAGAACATATAGCTTAACCTACTCTACCTTAAATGTACTCATAATACTGACATTAGCCTACAGTTGGGCAAAATCACCTAACACAAATTTTTTAAAACTATAACACTATCTTCTAATAAAGTGTTGACTGTTTCATGTAATTCACTAAAGACTGTACTGAGAGTGAAAGAATATGGTTGTATGGGTACTCAAAGTACAGTTTCTACTATACATGCATCACTTTCACACAATCATAGTTGGAAGATCATTTAAATTCAACCATCCTAAGTCAGGAACCATTTATACATACATAGCTATAATAAAGTTTAATTTATGAATATTTGACTGATCCATGGATTCCTGGATCAGTCTATATGCAGCCAAAAGTGAGATCCACATGTATCCCCCTCAACATACAGTTTCAACAGATAATACCAGAGATAAATAAACAAATTAACTAAATAAATCATTTTCCTAAGACTCTAAAAGCTAGAACAGCCTCTGCCTTCTTCATATTAACCTACACCTCAGGGAAGCCACAGCTTCTCAAGTATGAGCTAGGGTTTTCAGGAACAGTACCAGATTTTATTTGCAAAGACACAAATGAAAGAAAAGGTCACTTAGAGAAATCTAAAGAGTTCAATGTAACTAGAACACAGAAAGTATGGGTAAGAAGCAGGATATGAAACTAGAAAAGTAGGCTGAGGCATAATCATAAAAAGCATAATCACAAAAGGCATAAATATTATTCATGATGATCAATTTGAACTTTATGCTATAAATGTAGGGAAGAAAATGATGGGCATTATGCAAAGGAGTGGCATGATCTGACAGGTGTTTTCAAAAGATAACCTTGGCAACTATATATTTAAGTCAATGGTGTGGACCATGGCCTAAAAGTAAAGAGATCACTGCCATAAGCTCAGAGGAAAGGAAAGCCTAAATAAATGCACTAACATTGAGACTATGAAGAAAAGGGTAGGCTTGTGAAATATTTAGGACACAGAATTGCAAAGACTGTACTCATTTGAAAGAGTCATTTTAATCGCTGCCATCAATTTATTTTTCCTTTCTTCCTTAAATCCACTCCCATAAGACTTTTGTCCCTATCATTCCAGATAATCCACAATTACCAAAATCTCTTATAAAGTCCATTGTTAAGTCCAACAGTCAGTTCTCAGTTTTATTTTTTGATTTATCAACATTTGATGCAGTTAATGTTTCTTTCTTGAAGTCTTCTCTTCACTTGATATCCAAGATGTCACACTTGCCTGGTTTTGCTCCTGTCTCTAGGGCTCCTTCTGTCTCCTTGGCTTATTGTTTCTCATCTCCCCAGTCTCTACATGATAGACTGCCCCAGGGCTCACTTTTTAATCTGTATTATTTGCCATATATATTCCATTGGTTAGCTCAAATAGACTCATGGTTTTATGTTTTATCATGCTGATGGTTCCCAAATTTATATCTCTAACCTGGACCTCATCCATGAAGTTCATATTTATGGAGTTGCCTACCCTATATTTCCACTTTCTTTCTTTTTTTTTTTTTTTTCTTGAAACAGGGTCTTGCTCTGTTGCCCAGGCTGAAGTGCTGGGGCATGATCACGGCTCACTGAAGCCTCAATTTTCCAGGCTCAAGAGATCTATCCACCTCAGCCTCCTGAGTAGGCGTGCACCACCAGGCCTGGCTAATTTTTATTTTGGAGGTTATGCTTAAGGCCCCTTTAAGATGGGGTCTTGTTATGTTACACAGGCTGGTCTCAAACTCCTGGGCTGAAGTGGTCCACACAACTCAGCCTCCCCAAGTGCTAGGATTACATGTGTGAGCCACTGTGCCCAGCCTCATTTCCACTTTTATATCACACAGGTATCTCAAAATTTAACATGTCCTAATAGTCCTCCAGGAACCTGCTCCTCTCACAGTCTTCCTCATCTCTGTAAACAGCAACTCCTTTCTTTTGGTTGTATAAGCCAAAAACCGTGGAGTCATCCTTAAGTCCTCTTTTTCTCTCCCACTGCACATACAATCCAACAGTAAATGCTGTCAGCTATTCATGATATACCCAAACTACTTCTCACCCTCTGCTACCACCACCCTGAGTCCCAGCCACCCTCATGACTAACCTGGTTTCTCTGCTTCCATCCCAGCCCAGCTTCAATCTATTCTCAATACTGCAACCAGAATGGTTCTGTTAAAACACAAAATAGATCATTAAACTCTTCTCCTCAAAACCCTCCAAAGGTTTCTCATTGTAAGTAAAAGTCAAAGTCTTTAGATCAAAGCTCTACATTACCTGGCCCCTATTACCTCTCTGACCTCATCTCCTACCACTCTTGCTCTCTGACTTTTCTGAAGCATGCTGGCTCTCCTCATTGTACTTTAAACACTCTAAGAATATACTCATATCAAGGCCTCTGCCTGAAATACTTCTCTCCCAGATGTCCGCATGGCTTGTCCTGCATCTCCTTTGGGTAGATACATAACTGTCCCCCCAATCATGCCTTCCCTCATCACTCTAAAATGGTACCCCACCACCACCATATTCACACAGATACACATTTTTTACTTCTTCCTTGCTTTATTTTTCTACCTAGTACTTATCACTAATATATTCTATGTTTTACCTATTCATCTTAATTCTGGTCATCTTCACCCACTAGAATATAAATTCCATGAGGACAAATAATTTTATATTCAATGCTTTATTAGCCATGCCTAGAATAGTATCTGACACATAGAAGGTACTCAAAAAATAGCTGTTGAATTAATTAATTTGCATAAGTAAAACAAGAGAAAGAAGGGAATTCTGGATGCCTCAGAATTCTTTGGGAATTTGGGAATTTCACTTGCTTGATTATAATACCATTAAGAGAACAGAAGATGGAGGGTTGGGAAGGAGAAATAATATTCCGTTTTACTAAGGGCTAAATTTAAAATCTGACTTACTCTCCTTATCTTTTATTTTAGGTTTAGATGTACCTGTGAGGTTTGCTACACAGGTAAACTTGTATCACAGGGGTTTCCTGTACAGATTATTTCATCATGCAGGAACCAAGGCTAGTACTCAATAGTTATTTTTTCTGATCCTCTCCCTCCTCCCACCCTTCACCCTCAAGTAGGCCCTAGTGTCTGTCTGTTGTTCCCCTCTTTGTCTCCATGTGTACTCATCATTTATTTCCCATTTATAAGAGAGAACATGTAGTACTTGGTTTTCTGTTCCTGCATCAGTTTGCTGAGGATAATGGCCTCCAGCTCCAACGGAGCAAAATATAGAGCCCAGAAATAAGGCCGCACACATACAACCATCTGATCTTCAACAAAGCTTACAAAAACAAGCAATGGTGAAAGGACTCCCTATTCAACAAATGGTACTGGGATAACTGGCTAGCCGTATGAAGAAGACTGAAACTGGATCCCTTCCTTACACCATATACAAAAATCAAATCAAGATGGATTAAAGACTTAAATGTATAACTACCCTACTTAGCACCTCATTAATTCCAGGTCTAGAGCTAGATGGAGGGAAACATGAACAGTCAGAAGTGAAATTGTCTAACCCTTTTTGTTTTTCCAAAAAACAAATAAGGTGTTCTCAAACTGGAGTTCTGCAATAATTCTCAATACTCAACCCAAATATTTATGTTTTACTTGATGGAGTTCAGGACATGATACCTCAAAATATGGTACCTTGGCATTTAACAGAACAGAAGCAGAAAGATCACTCTCATCCTCCCCTCACACTTCTTCCTAAAGCAGACTCCTAAAACCTAGAAAGGATTTTTTAATCTTCTCCTAAAGCAGGTCATAAGACCCTCATTCAAGAGGTGTCCTACCTATACCTGGGGTAAAGAAACGCCTTTATCTCTGAAGACAGAGGGATACAGAAAAGAATCCTGATAAAAAGTCTTGCTAAGGACTCCCACACCCCAACCCCAGTTTACTACCATAAAATTCCACTTTTTTATCCAATCACACTTCTTCACAGCTATCCACTTATTCATCAAATCTAACATTAAAAATACACAGATTTACCCGTTTCTTCAGGTCTTCATTTCCTTATGAAGGCTTCAGTTGCCACATAAAATTCATTAAGTAAATTTGTATGCTTTTTTTATTGTTAACAAATCTGTCTTTTGTTTTAGGGGTCTCCGTCATGAACCTAGTGATGAATGAAGAAAAGATATTTTTCTTCCTCTACATACTTTTAAATCCATTATTCTACTAGGGAGCCCCTATTCATTTATTTGTATATAAATTGGAAAAGTCTGTCTATATAACAACTGCCTTTTTGAAATACCCACTTGGATGTCTCAAATATACCTCAAACTCAAAGTATCGAAACATGAAATTCTAAACTTCCTTTCATCCCTTCAAACCTGATACTCTCCAACAGAGCTCCCCATCTCAATGAATTCATCATCAAATATTACTGATTTTCTCTCCTAAATGTCTCTTGAATCCATCCACTTGTCTCCATCTCCAACCTGCATCCACTCCTATATCCATTCTCTTCTCAACATATATCCACAAATAACTGAGTAATCATTTAGAAATGCAAATCTAACAGTTACCTCACTTTATACTTAGAATGTTTAAATGTTCTCCCGTCAGAAGATATAAAATTGAACACGATCTATAAGGTTCTACTTTTCCAGCTTCATTTCTAATTGGATCTACTTTTGTTTTTCTAATATTGGCTTTCTTTCAGTTTCTGATCTCTACCTTCAGATGTCTAAAGCAGACACCTGAAAAACAACTACTGTATACCTAAGGAGTGGGGATAAAACAGTTTTCACCTAAAATCCCTGCCTTCGTATATGAAGATATAAAAATTTCAAAAGATATTAGTAATAGGCTATTTTTATGTCACATGGTTCACAAGAAACCTCTTACTCCCTATATAGAGAGACAGCTACTGATAGACTAAAAATCAGATCTCCCCCTCTCCATTTCACTTCCAAGAAAAAAACACAACCTCTTTCTGTTTTGACTGATAAGTAAATTCAAATATATAGACACTCACTGGAAAATCAAAGTAATACAAAGTCAAATAATCATATATTATGTAAATATTCCTCAAATTTGTTTTTTCAAATAAATTATACTTTATTCATCCCATTATGCCTAAATAATATTTTGTCTTTACTGGTTATGCATAAATGTTTTTTAAAGTACTTAGCATAATACCATGCACTTGTGGGTACTTAATCTGTACTATATTACTTGATTATAATAATAATGGCAATGAAACTAGAAATTTGAGATTAAAATATGTTAAAGAATTTATTAAAGGCCGGGTGTGGTGGCTCCCAGCACTTTGGGAGGCCAAGGCAGGTGGATCACCTGAGGTCAGAAGTTCGAGACCAGCCTGGCCAACACGGTGAAACCCTGTCTCTACTAAAAATACAAAAATTAGCCAAGCATTGTGGTGGGCGCCTGTAATCTCAGCTACTCGGGAGGCTGCAGCAGGAGAATCACTTGAATCCGGGAGGTGGAGGATGCAGTGACCGAGATGGCGCCACTGCACTCCAGCCTGGGCAACAAGAGTGAAACTCCATCTCAAAAAAAAAAAAAAAAAAAAAAAAGAGCTGGGTGTGGTGGCACGCACCTGTAGTCCCAGCTACTTAGAAGGCTGAGGCAGGAGAATCGCTTAAACCCAGGAGGCGGAGGTTGCAGTGAGCCGAGATCGCACCACTGCACTCCAGCCTGGGCAACAGAGTGAGACTCTGTCTCAAAAAAAAAAAGAATTTAATAAAGATAACAGTATGACCTTTGTATATGCAATATACAAAATTTAACAACAATATTCCTTTCCCTAAACTTATCATTAGTAAAGTTCTTGAGTGTTACATTTTGTATTTTTCTCCCAAGGAACTAGGAAAAGTGAATACAATGATTAAGTAGTTGGATAATGAGAATCATTATGACCAAATAGAATATAGAAATATTTAATCAAAGAATAAAGAGAGAAGCCAGGCATGATGGTGTGTGCCTACAGTCCCAGCTACTTGGAAGGCTAATGTGGGAAGATCACTTGAGCCCAGGAGTTCAAGACCAGCCTAGGCAATATAGTGAGACACCCATCTCTACTTTTTAAAAATAATTTTTTTAAATAAAAAGAATATGGAAAGAACTGAATAAAAGAACCCAGAAAAGACTCATATGCAAATATAACAGATTCTTAGTACATGAGAAAGCTGGGATGATAAATCACTGGATGTAAGAAAAGGGTATTCAACAACAAATATGGTGGGGAAAATTGGCTTTCTCCACATGAGAAAAAAAGATTAGACCCTTTTCTCATACCATAATCCCCTTACCAAAACAATAAGAAAAAAGGAAAAAAATCCAAATGTATTAAAAATATCGAAGTGAAAAACAAAACTTCAAAACTATTTCAAATATAGAAGAATATATTTGTAGTCTCTGAGTAAAGAAAGATTCCTGAAATAACACGTAGTATAAAAAAGAATGATAGATTTGAATAAATTGAAATTTTAAACTTCTATTTAACAGAAGTTTGGAGTTTCCGTCCTAAAACCAAAGGGAACGTTTTAAGACAGTGTACAGACTGACAGAAGATACCTGTTATAAATGTCACAGGCTAAGGATCAATCTAAAACATGGGTCTGCAAACTTTTTCTATAAAGAAAGTAAATATTTTAGGCTTTGCAGAGCATATGCTCCCTGTCACGACTACTCAACTCTGCCATTGTGGTGCAAAAGCAGGCACAGACAATATGTAAATAAATGAGTGCGTCTGTATCTCACTAAAACTATTCAAGAACACTGAGATTTGAATTTTTTGTAATGTTGATAGGTTGCAACATTTTATTCTCCTTTAATTTTTTTTCGGAATGATTGGAAAATAAATGGGAAAACCATCCTTAGCTCACAGGCCACACAGGCTGGATTTGGCCCATGGGCTACAGTTTGCTGAACCTGCCCAGAATCCATAAAGAATTCCTATAAATCAATAAGAAAAAGACAAATAATCCAACAGAAAAATGCATAAAGGATATAAAGAGGTTATTAACAAATGAGGAACTCTAAAGGCCTATAAAACATATGAAAAGATGTTCAACCTCACTATAAATTAAGGAAACAAATTAAATCACTAGGACATTACCTTTCTCCTACCAGACTGAGAAAAAGGAAGAAATCTGACCATATGACTACTGGATAGGAAAAAGAAAAAACTCTCAGACACTTCTAAGAATATAAATTGGTAAAGTGACAAAGTAATGAAATCATGTAGTAAAAGTGATAATGCAAATAACCTACATTTGCAAGTCCATTTCTAGGTATAGTTCCTAGAAAAACTAATGTGTGGGTAAGGATATTCACTGGAACATTATTTATGATCACACACACAAAAAAGACCAGAAAATTCAAATTCATATTAGGAGGGAAATGGATGGAAGAAATGGGCTCATAAAATAGAATACTATACAATACATAAAAGAAACATACTGTACAATACATAAAAGAAACAAACTAAGTTTCTAACAAGAGCAAAAAAGCAAGTTGCAGAATGACATAGAGGAAATGATACCACCTATTATATTTTAAAACACACAATACTAAACAAAAATCGTTCATGGATACATTTATACTGATAATCTTCATCTCTGATAAAGGAGATTCAAACATTAATCTTTTAAAATCAAATTCTAAATCTGTCTGGTCTATATATTATCTATATCTGTGTGCATCTGTGTTAGGATACAGTTACAGCAAAGAGAACCAGTAAAAAACCAAGCCATGTTTTATTTGGAGAACTAATGGAATGCACATATTAGAAAAATCAGATGAACATTTAAGAAAATTCATTCTTAACGCAAAATAGAGAATGAACTAAAGGGTACTGAGATTGGAGACACAATAATTTAAGTGACATGAGATTCTGAAGAAATGAGAATGAAGAAGTAAAGAGAAGACAAAGTTCAGAAATACACAGAAGTTTTAATCAACTGGGCTTGATGACTGATAGATGTTGGCAGCCATTTTGGGGAGTACAGAAAACTTAATATATTTTTCCAACTGCTTCCTGTATATACCTGCTATGGGCTTTTAAATTGCTTTCAGAACTGTACATCTGCATTAGCTGATGATGATAATGGCCATCAGCTACATCTAAATGATTGAAAAGGGATTTTAGAAAACAAAACATCAGTTAAAGCAATTTTGAAAGATGTAGCAGAAAAGTTTTCTCTGCTTTGCAGTTTCTGCCAGAATATACATATAATGTATGCTTCTGAGGGCTAAAGATACTGTTGAATGCTAATACAGCTTAATCTTCAATTACTAGAGGAAAAGATGATGAAAGAGTTCAAAGTACATGAGTACAAGTCCCGACTCCACCATTTACTATATGACTTTGGTCAAGTCACTTAACTTCTTGCTCTCTGCCTCAGTTTTTTCATCTGTTAAATGAGTAAAATGATAGAATTTATTCCACAAGGTTGTGAAAATTAAATCAGCATCATTATGTATGGGTTTATATATGTATGTATATGGGTTTATAATTATGTATGGGTTTATATGCGTATATGTGTGTGTGAATACTAATCAAACATGTTTGTGATTATTATCTGTACATCAATTACTGAGAACCCATTAAGTGATGGGGCATTATACTATGTGCTAGAGAAGTGGCAATAACATATTTACACTTTTGCCCTCTTAAAGTACATAGACTTTACAATGTGAGAGACAAGATACGTGAATGTATGTGCTGTCTTCAATCTACTTAACTAATTAATTGCTGAAGCTATTTCTCAATCTAACCAAGCCTATCAACAATTTTCATGTCATGTAATCTTTCAACAATTGCTAAAAATCAATTGAAATAGGTTATGGTTATACAAAGAAAAGTCTTTTCTAAAATACAAATAGTTTTATGAACAGGTCTTCAATAGAAAAAAATAAAATACAGATCTATGGATGTTGTTACTTTGTAAACTATATTTTCATTTTTATCTCTAAGTTTTCCAGTTACTCTATGTCTTCCATCCTTAATGTAGGCTAGTCTAGAAGATTAAAAAATATATAAAACTCCCAGAAACTTAGCTCTCAATTCCACCTCCCCATTCCAAGAATGTAACAAATTCTTCACTGTTAATTTCTTCTACCCTTAACCACACTGTGAATCTGAACGATTCATAAACAATACCCTCAGAAACTACTTAGGTCTTAAAATTACAAAGACAATGATGGCTAAATAAATACTAACAAGAGTTTTTTATTGCTTAGTTGAAAATGAATGTAAAGCCTTTTGTTTTCATGCTGTAATCGAGTATTTTTTAATACAATGTTTATTGTCAAAAACAGCTTATACAACAGTCATTCCCTCATCATCTTACTTTTTAACACTCTTTCAACAAAAGATATCTTAAATGCATCCAGCTCTCTATTGCAAATTTACAGTAGTAATCCTTGCCAGCCATTTTGTTTTCAGCTTGTAACACTTGCAGCCAGCTGCCTTCAGCCTGACTCTATTAGCATATTGGATAATTTAGAAAATAAGCACAGAACAGAAACTACAAAATATAGTTGACTTTTATCAGGACATATCTATATATATTTTCTTTAATATGCTTTATTTTATGATGCTTTACTTCCTTTCAATATTATTCATTCTTTTAATGTAAATGCTCATTCCTGCTCACAGTAACTTTCCCTCCCCCAGATCCTATAACTGAATTTGACCTATTACCATTTAAATATAAGAATTTTCAAATTTTAGTAGAATAAACTACAGGCATATTTTAAATATTTTCTGTAAACGCACAGAAGGGTTGAATATTTGGTACTATAATTTGCAACTATATTCCAGCAGACTATCTAGCCAAGAATAATAAATACGTAAAAGCTAACATACATTATTCTCACATCTCAAGGGTATTTCTAATAGCTAGCAGACAGCAAACAATTTTCCACCTGTTCTGACTTGCAGCATCCTGCTGTTTGCGTGTCAATAACAATGTGCCCTCACCAAGCATCACTAAAGTCTTAGATGACAAATTATCTAATGCAATTTTAATATGATGGGAAAGGGTGGGACCAAAGAGTTACTATGAGTGTCCTGCTCTTCAGAGCTCTTTTCCATCTCATCCATCTCCTTCCCCCAACAAGTCCCACTCATTCATATTTCATAAGTGTTCTGAAATTATGTTATTCATTAACCCAGTCTATCAGTTAACATAAAACTCTTTTTAGAGAGACTCTTCTAGTTCATTACAGAATACTACTTAGAAAGTTCATTAACTCGATTGAATATAACACTCCCTTTAAGCAACAACAAGCAAAGCAAAAAATAAAAATAAAAAGAGAAGCTGAAAAAAAATGTTCAATGATTAAGATTACTGAAGTGCTTTAGCGACTTCATTTTCTCTTCCAAACCCCTTCCCATCTCCGAGGCATTTTTGTTTTTATGTGATACTAACCACCCAGGCTGCTGTAGAAGCCTCTAGTTAGAATGGATTTCGAGGCTGCTGTATCTTGTGAGGAACCAATCAGATTTCTTTGTTTCATCTGCAACATTCCATCAGGATTATATAACATTTTAGATCCATGAAACATTTCAATAATATAGTATATTTCAATCTGTAGTTAGTTACTGTCACTAAACTTGACATAAAAAATCTCACATTACTCTTTTGTGTTATTCGATAAAATCAAAGAAATATAGTACAAATGAGAGATTTGTTTTTAATTTTTTTTTCTTTTTGGGGAGAACACTTTGCTTTGGCTATAAAAAAGGAGTTTCTGAAAATATACAATATGAGTACTATGGAGACTACTAGGATTAGTGCTGAATCCTTATTATTTTTGTCTACAGTAAGGTGGGTAAGGTAATCCAACACAGTGGCAGCCAGCCAGCCATACAGTTGTTAATTCTTATCACATACAAAATGTCTTTAGCATGGAATAAAACATTATACATTTCTAAGCTCAGGCTGAATCCTTTGCAAATCTTTTAAAAGCACAGAAAAATTAAGTATTTAAAATGTTTGGACAAATATTTTCTCAAATAAGAAAATCTGAACTCTGAATGTCATACTCCAATTTACTACCCACAACACTAACTAAAATAATATACCAGCAGCATTTTTAGCTATATGATCAGAATACTTGCATTACACTTGTAATGGAACCATACACATATTCTCTATCTCTCTCTGCCATAGATAAATGCTGCATAACTTAAATACTGCTCTTCTGTGCTATTAATACAGCAACTCAAATATTCAAAAACATAGTAAGCTGCAACCTGTGAATCTAGTATTTTCCCTCTTTTTACAACTCAAAGGCATCCCATAGATGATGGTTACAAATCAGCACAGGATTAAAATAGTGCCCCCAACACATTAAAAGCTGACTCTGCTGGGTGTGGCTTAAGTAAACATCTCGTCTCAACTGGACAGCTACCCAGTAACACAGCCACAGAAACCGAAAATATGTGAGTACATAAGTAAAGTGCTTCTTTTGGAGGGGGTGGGAAACTAAGCCTCCATGTTTCATCTATGCTTGATGCTCAATTGTTTCTATACTGTACTTCTGAAATGACAGTGCCTTGAGTCAATGCTGAACATTGTTCAAGAAACCAAGGACAGAGAAATGTTACTTGTCCTACTTCCTCTCCTTTATTTTATGCTCCCTGTCTACAACATGGCCGTTCTTACAAACATTTTGCTTTCATAAAAGAGGTAATCATTTAAATCAAGACTATGTGCAATGCGAACTCACACTGCATTACAGTCATCAATAAAATATGAAGTGCCAACTCCAAGGTTCATTCTACTGATTTTCCATATCTCACCACAGAGTGCGCTACTAATGTTTTCTGCTATTATAAAATGAACAATATAGGGAAAGAGACATTGGCAGGAGCTGCAACAAATGTACAACAGAGAAAATATAAAAACTAAAAGTGCTTACTTTTTAAAAATCCAGTATTAATAGATATAACCTTCACAAACACCTATCTATATAGACACACACATTACACATGTTTAGTATAAATATAAATGTTTATAAACTACCATGCATGCATCTAGTAATGCTATAAATGCAATATACCTGAACCTCTTTATATAGAGGGCATGAAGATTTTAGAACTACAACAGTTTCATCCTTACTGGCCAGAATCAAATATTAAAACAGCTGAAGACATCTGACATACTGAACCACATCCAAGGCTTTTATCTTGTTAACAATTTTCTCTCCTGTTCACTGTAGCAAACTCACCTCTGGATCATATTGACGGTTATCTTTTTCCCAAGCCCTGTACGTGCTGCACCATTTTGTTTGTCTTCTGGACAGTGGAGAAATTGTCAGAACAGCAGTGAAGGAGTGTACTGGAGTCAGCAGAGTCAGTGCCAGCCTCCTACTGCAGTCTGTATATTGAACGCACTCAAACCCACAGGTGCCTACGTAAAATCCTCCAGCTGCAGCCTGCAACTTAATGTTTCTTTCAGCAGTAAATCTGTATGCTACTTTCACTTTGCTTTAATCCAACAAAAGGACAGAATGCACAAGAGTATGCCAGATGATTTTGCAAAAAATACTTATATAGACATTGTCTCTATTAAGTAGCCAAAAATAAATGAATTTTTTAATCATGAAGATTCAGAAGGACAATCACCAAAAGAGAAATGTATTTCTAACATTTCTAAAATTCTAAACTGATAATTTTTTCAAGAAAATTTAACATTAAAGACTAACACGATATGTCTTAATTTTCTCACATAAATAGCTTATGAAAGTAATTTTTTACATACCATATCATGTATAAATGCATAAACAGGCCTTCCTCCCATACCTTTCATCAACAAATAATTCATTTATTAGGAGGAAATATGGAACTTATCTGATAAAAGGCAAAGTGAATCTAAATAAATCAATGCTCACTCAATAAACGACAGATAAAACAAGAAACAGAGGGTCACAGTCCTTTCACATAAACTTCAAACACATACACTCTTATCCACTAGAATTAAAAAATTGGAAGAAACCTTTAAAAAGACAAATCTAAAACTTTGATTTTTCAGATTAACAAATTAAGGACAGAGAGGTTAAGGCTAAAGTACCTTTCCCAAGGTCATAAAGTTATTCTATAGCACAGCCTGGTCTTTTAAATACACCTTTTTAGTAAACACTTAATAACTACTGAAACTCACTCAAGATTAAACAGTAACCTGTATATTGCTATAACTATTACATAAAGTCTATAGTTTAAAAAAAAATTATGAAAAAGAAATATCCAAGCCCAAATAACTAAACAGGTGAATTCTACCAAACATTTAAAGAAATAACAAATTCTACAATTTCTTCCAGAAAACAGAAGAGCAGAAAATACTCCCAATTCATTTTATGAGGACGGAATTACTCGAATGTCAAACCAGATAAAGACATTACCAAAAAAAGAAAACTACACACCAAAATCCCTTTATGTACATAGAAACAAAGATCCTCAACAAAATATTAGAAAATAAAATACAGTAATGTAGAAAAAGAACAACAAACTATGAGTAGGTGGGGTTTATCCTGGAAATGCTAGACTAGTTTAGTATTTGAAAATCATTCAATGCAATCTACCATACTAACGGTTCAAAGAAGAAAACTCATATGATCTTATTACTTGATCAGAGAAAAAGTATTTTTTTAAAAAATTAGCACTTGAAGAAAACTAGAAAACTAGGAATACAGGGGAACTACTTCAACTTGATAAAGAACATCCATAAAATATCTACAGCTAGCATCATATTTATTGGTGAAAAGCAATGTTTCCCCCCAGCCAACGCTCAGGAAACAAGGCAAGAATACCACTCCCCCGACTCTTAGCCATCATTGTACTAGAAGTGCTGGCCAGTGCCATAAAATGAGAAAAAGAATAAAGAGCATACATACTGGAAAGGAACAAATAAAACTCTCCCTATTATCAAAAGACATTATTGTCCACTTAAAAGATTCAAAGGAATCTACTAAAAAACAAAAACAAAAAACATCGATTAGAACTAATAAGTTAGTTTAGCAAAGTCATAGGATACAAAGTAAAAAAAAAATCATATACTTATGTTTTATTTTATTTTTTGAGATGGAGTCTCGGTCTGCCGCCCAGCTGGAACACAGTGGCACAATCTTGGCTCACTGCAACCTCCACCTCCCAGGTTCAAGTGATTCTCCTGCCTCAGACTCCCGAGTAGCTGGGATTACAGGTGCCCGCCAGCATGCCTGGCTAATTTTTGTATTTTTCGTAGAGACAGGGTTTTACCATGTTGGCCAGGCTGGTCTTGAACTCCTGACCTCAGGTAATCCGCCTGCCTCAGCCTCCTAAAGTGCTGAGATTACAAGGGTGAGCCACCGCACCCAGCCTATATATATATATGTTTTAAATATAAGCAATGTACAATAAGAAACCAAAATTTTAAAAACAAGAGTCCACCCACCCCCTTATCTGTGATTTCTCTTTCTATGGTTTCAGTTACCCACAGTTAACTACGGTCAGAAAATATTAAATGGAAAATCCCAGAAATTACCAATTCATAAGTTTTAAATTACACCCCATACTGAGTAGTGTGATAAAATCTCAAGCCATCCTGCTCAGGATGTAAATCATCCCTTCCAGCATATCTACTGCTGTATACTGTACCTGCCGTTAGTAACTTCTGGCATATCCATGCTGTATACCCTACATGCCCGTTAGTCGTTTGGATATGCTTAGTAGTGATCTTAGTTATCAGATCAACAGATCACATCAAGAAGGATGAATAAAGTACAATAAGATATTTTGCGAGAAAAGACCACATTTATATTTGCTATAATATATTGTTATAATAATTGTTCTATTTTACTATTGTTATTGTTGTGAATATCTTACTATGCGTAATTTATAAATTAAACTTTATCATAGGTACCTATGTATGTGTAAAAAAAGACATAAGTACATATAGGGTTCGGTGTTATCCATAGTTTCAGGAATCTACTGGGGGCTGTGGTGTGTATCCCCTCTGGACAAGAGGGCACTATTGTACCACTAGCTCAAAAAAAAAAAAAAAAAACTTACATGTAAGTCTAATGAAACATGTACAAGATCTATATGCTGGAAACTACCAAATGCTGATGAAAAATATCAAGGAAGAACTAAACAAATGGAAAGACATAACATGTTCATGTACTAAAAGAAGATCCCACATGGAAAAAATGTTCTATCCCAGTTGATCTATAGATTTAATGTAATTCCACCCCAAATCCCAGAAGGATCTTTTTATAGATAGACAAGATGATTCTAAAATTTATATAGAAAAGCAAAGGATCTAAAATAGCTACGACAATTTTGAAAAAGAACAAAGTTGGAGGAATTATACTACCCTATTTTAAGACTTACTCTAAAGCTACAGTAATCAAGACAGTGCAGTACTGGCAAAAGAATACAAAGAGATCAGTTAACAGAACAGACAGTGCAGAAATACATCTAAATAAATACAGTCAATTGATTTTTAACAACAGTGCAAAAGCTATTCAAAGGAGAAAGTGTAGTCTTTTCAACAATGGTGTTAGAACAATTACACAACCCTACAAAAACAAACAAACACATCAACCTTAACCTCACACTTTATATAAAAAACAATAAATCATACATCTAAATATAAAACTTTCAGAAGAAACACAGGAGAAATCTTTATGACTTGTGATTAGCCAAAGAGTTTTTAAATATGATAGCAAAAACATGAACCATTAAAAAAAGAAAAATGAACTTTATCAAACACTGTTAAGAGAATAAACAAAGCAAGCAAAACACATATCCAACAGAAGACTTGTACACAGAGCACACAATGAACTCTTAAAATACACCAATGAGAAAACAAACAACCAAATAAAAAATGGGCAAAAGATCTGATGACACTTCACCACACAGGATACACGGAAGACAAGCACATGAAAAGACGTTCATTAGCCATCAGAGAAATGCAAATTAAAACCACAATGAAATACCACTACACACAGAATAGCTAAAATTTTTTACAATTGACAATATCAAGTGCTACCAAGTGGGTGGAGCATTTGGAACTCTTATATGTTGCTGGTGGGAATGAAAAGGGTACAGCTACTCTGGAAAACTGCTTGGCAGTTCCTTGTGTAGTTAAACATATACTACCACATGATCCAACAATCCTACTTCTTAGGCATCAGCCCTACAGATACGAAAACTTATGTTCACACAAAAACCCATATATGAATGTTTATAGTGGCTCTATTCATAATCACCTAAAATTGGAAATAATCCAAATGGTCTTCAGTGGGTGAATAAATGAGCAAACAATACATCCATACAATGGCATACCATTCAGCAATAAAAAGGAACACTCGCTAGTACTTTTTGACACAACAACTCAGATGAATCTCAAAGGCATTATGCCAAGTGAAAGAAGTCAGTCTTCAAAGGTCATACACAGGCATACCTCAGAGATTTTGCTGGTTCCGTTCCAGACCACTGCAAGAAAATGAAGATCGCAATAAAGCGAGTCACACAAATTTCTTGTTTGCCCAGTGCAGACAAAAGTTATGTTTATGATACACTATAATCTATTAACTTTGTATTATGTTTGTAATAGCATTATATCTAAAAAGAAATGTATATAACTTCATTTAAAAATATTCTCTTGCTAAAAAATGTTATCATCTGAGCCTTCAGCAAGTTGGGATCTTTTTGCTGGTGGAGGGTCTTTCTCTATGTTGATGGATGCTGACTGATCGGGGGGTAGTTTCTGAAGGTTGGTGTGGCTGTGACAATTTCTTAAAATAAGACAACAAATGAAGTTTGCCACATCAAATAACTTTTCCTTTCATGAAAGATTTCTCTGTAGCAAATGATACTATATTTGATGGCATTTTACTCAGTAGAATTTCTTTCAAATTGAAGTCAATCCTTTCAAACCCTGGCACTGTTTTATCAACTAGGTTTATGAAATATTCTAAATTATTTGCTGTCATTTCAACAATGTTCACAGCATCTTCACCAGACACAGATTCCATCTCAAGAAACCACTTTCTCTGCACATCTGTAAGTAACTTCTCATCCATTCAAGTTTTATCATGAGATTACTGCAATTCAGTGCATCTTCAGGCTGTATTTCGAATCCTAGTTCTCTTACCATTCCCACACATCGACAGTTACTTCCTCCAATGAAGTCTTCAAAGCTATCCATGAGGGTTGGAATCAACTTCTTCCAAACTTCTGTTAATGTTGACATTTTGACCTCCTCCCATGAATCATAAATGTTCTTAATGGCATCTAGAATGGTGAATCCTTTCCAGAATTTCCATTCACTTTGCCTAGATCCATCAGAGGAATCACTATCTATGGCAGCTATAGCCTTGAAAAATGTATTTCTTAAATAATATGACTTAAAAGTCAAAATTTACTCCTTGATCCATGGCTGAAGAATAAATGTTGTGTTCGCAGGCATGAGAATAACATTAATCTCCTTGAATGTTTCCATCAGAGCACTGTGCAGTAGATCTCAACGGTGGGCCTAAAATATTTAGTAAGCCATGCTATAAACAGACATGCTGTCATCCAGGCTTTATTGTTCCATTTATAGAGCACAGGTAGAGTATATTTAGCATCATTCTTTAGGACCCTAGAATTCTGGAAATGGTAAACGAGTACTGGCTTCAATTTAAAGTCACCAGCTGCATTAGCCCCTAACAAGAGAGTCAGCCTGTCCTTCAAAGCTTGGAACCCAGGCACTGACTTCTCTCTAGCAACAAAGTCCTAGATGGCATCTTCTTCCCATACAAAGCTGTTTCATCTACATTGAAAATCTGTTGTTTAGTGTAACCATCTTCATAGCTCATTGGTTTCCCAGGTGAAGGACGGGGGAAGAGAGTGACCAGAAACGAATATCATGATGTAACCTGTAAGGTGATGTATGCTAATTGTGGTGGTAGCTACACACATTTACACATGTGTGAAAATTCATAAAACCGAACACCAAAATAAAAAAGTAAATTCGACTTTATAGTTTTTAAAAACTTCAATTACCACTGGATGGTCATGACTTCCAATTCTCTCTCTCTTCCTCTGCCTTCTCCTGTGGGTCCATAACCCAAATATCTAACATCCCCTGGATAACCCATCATCACCTCAAATTTCACATTTCATAAAATGAATTCATTACATTTCCTCCCAAACCTCAAATGAAGAGCACCATCATTCACCCAGTCACTTAACCCAGAAACTTCCTTTATAAACATGGTGTTGTCCTTGAATGTAAGTTTAGTTATATCATTATGACATAGGAAACATCTATTTGGTTCTGCCTCCCACCCCCAGTTCCTGACACAGAGCTTCTAAAACCCTTATAGTTTCCTCAAACGCTTATAGTGTTGGGATGATAAGGGCATCTTTTATTATAATATTTGATCTCAGTCACCCAGTAATAGACACAAGAGCTACTAAGAGCCTTGGTATTTTACTACCAGGAGAGATAAGAGTGTCTTTTTGTATGTTAATGAGATTACTGGTGGCTGAAAGCCCCAGAATAGCTTCAGGATGGGGGATGACTGCCAGAGGAACCAATCATCAAATCAGGGGAAACTTTCAGCTCCACCCACCCCAACTTCTGGGGAACGGAAAAGGACTGGAGATTGAGCTCAATCACCAATGGCCAATGATTTCATCAATCATGCCTACATAATGAAGCTTCCATAAAAACTCTAAACAATGGGGTTGACAGAGCTGCTGGGTCAGTGAACCTCATGTCAGGAGAGTGGGGCACCCCAATTCCACAGGAGCAGAGTTCCCATGCTCAGATCTTATCCTATGTACTTCTTCATCTGGCTGTTCATATAGATTCTCTGTAATATCCTTTATAATAAACTGGCAAATGTTAAGTGTCTTCCTGATTTCTGTGAGCTGTTCTGACAAATTACTGAACCCAAGGAGGGAGCCATGGGCACCTAGAAATTATAGCTTGTAGGTCAGAAGAAGTACAAGGGTCTAGACTTGGCAATTAGTGTCTAAGTGGGGGGCGTCTTGTGGGACTAGTCCTCAACCTGTGGGGTCTAACTAACTCCTAGTCATCAGAATTAAATTGTAGGATACTCAGTTGGTTTTGGAAGAGTTGGAGAATTGTTTAATGGAACACATCTGGTGTCAGAATGTGTGAGTATAGAACAAGTTGTTCTTTTAGTGATCTGATATATAGCACTGCTGTATCTCCAGTAGCTCTAGCAAGCACTTGATAAGTATTTTTGTTAAGTAAATTAAAAAGTAAGACTAAGGCTCTTCCTTCATTTGACCTACACCCAATCAATCATGTAGTTCAGTCGATTCTTTTCTCCATACCACCACCAGGCTCTTAGTTCAGACCCTCATTATCTCTTGCCTGGATGCTGCTGCAATAGCTCCTACAGATGGCATGTCATTTTGCCTACTCAGAGTCACATACGCCCCTTTCTGGGAAGTGCCCTTTAAAAACTCTCACTCCCATACTAATTTACTCCCTCCCTCTACCATAGATGATTTGCACTGGGATAGGCAGCTAACCCAAGCTGAGATGATCACAAACCTCAGCCACACCCTAGTCCAAAGTGTAACTGACTTGTCAAAGGGTGGACACCAGACCTAAATAAGACCGGAGTTGACCTACCCATGAGCTTATGGATGTGAAAACAAAAGAACTGAATCAGTATCCTTCTCTGGGTGCCTGGACTATAACATACAAAACTCAGTTGTTGGTAGCTATGTTCTACTATTTGAACTAAAACAAATGTGCAAGGTTGCAAGAGAATGAAATAGATATGCAGAAAGAAATAGATATAAGAAATGGGAGTGAACCACCACAGTACCAAACTACCTATATATAGTTCACAAAATGTGTCAAGTTTTCTCACAACTTCGTCTTTACACTTGCTGTACTCTGTGCCTGAAACATCCTCTTCCCCATTTCTCAAAGTGGCTAACTGCTATGTAGGCTTGGTGATAGTCACCACCTCCTCCAAGAATTGTTCCATTTCCCTCCAGTCTGAGATTGAGTCCTTCCCTTGGAACTCCCTTAGTACTCCATGTAGAAGGTTCATCACAATACTTCTCATACTATATTTTAGTAATACTGGTTTATTTATTACAGGCAGTATAATCTGGCAAAGACTATCTCTTTTATTTCTAAGTAAGCTGTGTCCCCCAATACTCTACTTGGTCCACATTAAGTGCTCACCCTATAATCAGGGATGGAAAAATAACACAGAAAGGAAGGAAAGAAGTATCTAATAATACCTCATCCTTAGAGCATGAATCCACTGGAAGCTTAACAGAAAGGAAAACTGAATGGTCTGACCATTTTTTAAAATGGAAACAAAGTAGAACAGCAAAGTAACACAATATTCTGAGTAAAGAAGTGACTATAGTGACTAGTATATGAATAATACCAGAGCTAAGATCATGAAGTGTGATGTAAATTTTTGAAGCAAATAGTATAGCCAGGCTTTACTTTGAAAAAAATCATTTTTTCTTCAATATTCTCTTTCTCCCAAAGAACATTCCCCAGCCAAGCCTTCTGTGGTTAGGATGAAAGGTGACAACAAAAAAGTAGACAAATATGTTTCTAATACTTGAGTTTGGAAAAACCTGACCTCTTTCAGGTACAAAAAAGATTTATGTCATTAAAATTATACATTTAGGAAAGAAATTAAATAGGAGCAAATCTCCCATCCACTCCTATTCCAGAAGAGAATTCCCCTGGTCAAGAACAATCATAGAAATCTATCTTCTGGGATGATCTGCTGGTTGGTTTCCCAGGCAGGCCTCTGATACTAAAATCCTATAGTTTGGGGCCCAGTCCTCAGCTTTGCAGTCAAGAACCATGTCATTTAAGATCTTCGAAGTGGTAAGCCTCAGAAAGATTAATTTATACTACAACAGCTCCTCATTTCTGCAAACTTCTTATCAAAATATTTGGATTATTAACAAACTTAAGGTGGTCTTGTCTTTCCTATCTTAGGCAAATTTGGGCTTGTCCTTCTAACTCTTGGTATGAGAAAGACTGCTAATTTTTAAGATTAAAAAAAACAAAACTAGGTTAGAAAAACAAAGTGGCAGACTCCACTAGTTGCCTATCCAATCCTTTATTTCATGCTAAAAGAACGCTGACTTTATTTTAGGTATTTGCTTCAAGGGAGGCTGGTTCTCAGGGGTTGAACTTTGATTAGTAAATGAATCTCAATAACAACATTTGCAATTTCATTAATTGGCTTAAGAAAGGTTAAGTGATATAACCTGGCCAACTGGATGTGAGGTGAATCGGGGGGTGGGGGGTGGCATGGGGTGTCTGTCTGGAAAGTTTCCCTTAACTTAAAAAGGGACCCAAGAAGGGATTAGTTGTTCTAGTAGTCTATGAACAATGCTGTGTGTGGATGTAAAAGTTGAAGGTACTGCAGTCCTCTTGCAGCTATGTAAGGACAAACCTGAGAACAATAAACAATACACTGAAAATGGCAGAGAGAAAGAAATTGAGTCTTTGGTGATGCTGTTGAGCTTCAGAATTAATTTACCTGTAATTGTTCTACTGCTGGAATTCTTAGTTATATGAATGTATAAATCCCCTTCAATGTCTCAGTATTTTAAATTGTATCTCTAGTAATTCTAACCATCCTAACTACCACAATAACAAAACTGACCAGGGAGGAGACTCTACGGGATCTAATCAAATTCAAATTTTAACATAAAGTTCATATTTCCTCTAAAAAGTTCAAGTTTAATAAATATGGGGTCAAGAGGACTAAGCTTAGATGTTAAAATGATTTTTACTTACCAGTTTAAAACCCTGCAGTGGCTCACTTGCAGCTTTAAGGATATAATGCAAAGTCTTTAGCATGGCACACAAAGCATGTCATTAACTGATGAGTGATTACTGTGATTAACTGTCCATTCTTTTTAGCAACTTTCTTACTCACCCTAGGTACCAGAAATAGAAAGAATTACTGCAGTTACTGGAATGAACCAAATAGTCTCCTCTCTCCATCTACTAGCAAATGCTGCTTTCTCTATTTGGACCACTATTAACTTGTCCTTCACAATTCAACTTGCATTCTCCTCTCCTCCCAGCCTATCCTCCAAGTATATTGTTGCTGTTGGTTTAGAAATCTCTCTCCTTTATTAGACTTTGAGCTCCCTGAGACTAGGAAATATCTCCATCATGAATCACAATTTCTGATATACAGTAAGCACTAAAAAATCTCTGTGGAGTGAATTAATGAACCAAAATTGGAGGCAGCCATAAGTTCTTTCCATTACAGTATAAGACAACACAGATTTATAAAATATACCTATCATCAGAGAAAGTTGTACTGAACAGCACTGTTCTAAAGGGTTTGTAAATTATTTCAAAATGATTGAAAACTAGTTATATCTAATTTTTTTAAATCACAAAACATAAGACCAGAATAATTATGACTTTCTCAGAAAATTTATGCCATTTAACAAATATGTATTATAAAACATTATGCTATAGACCAAGGATACAAAATGGATAAGAGATATTTCTGTTCCAAGTAACACTCTTGGTCTGGCACAGACTACTGGCTAAGCAGCTTTACAATAATTATAAATATTATTTACCAAGTTCTTTCCTAATCAAAACTATGGAGTCCAAAAATAAAATCTTTAGTGAACAAAAAGGAAATAATCCCAAAATTTTCAAATTTTTATACACATTTCAAGCTAACGTAGGCTGTGTAATATATGAGGATAACTCTGGTTAAAGTACTTAACATGGTGCATAATAAACATTTAATAAATGTATGCTGAATCTGAATCAACTGTATGAAGAGATGAACAAAGTATTTTTTTCCAAGTTTAAATCTTCAAATACATAAGGATACTTCAATACCATAGGCTCCTGTAAAATAGTAAAACCATTTTTTGTATAAATAAAATTAGTATTATATCTTTATCATATATCTTTTTATCAATATTATTTCACTGATATATCCTACTGACTACATGAAGTAATTGTTTTCCTTTTTCCCTTTTTTTCTTTTAACAACAACACTGGCCTGAGAACATATGAAGTAGTTTTATAAAAGACATTTCAGTAGAAAGTTATTGAGCCATGGAGTTACCATATGAAAGATGGCAGAATATGCTACCCCAAAACATGTAACTTTGGCATAAGGATTATTTTGAACTAAAGGCACTTGAAAACCAGCAGATCCAAGAAGGGCACTCTGACTTTCCTTTTTCTTCCTGAAAAGTGGAGATGAAACTCCAATGTAAAAGCTGTCCTTCCTGTACCTGGAGAAAAGAAATATTCTTATCACCCGAGATGGGGAGTTGAGGCAAATCTGAACCAACCAACCTTGTAAGACAAGCCCTTATCTTCCTAGCCATTTCTCCATGATTAACTGCCCTAGCCCAAGCCCCTGTGTCTTTTTATGTTTTTACAATTTACTACTCTTTGTCCAACTTAGTACATATATGTCTAGGTCATCATTTCCCTGTGGAGGCATACATGTAAAAATCTGTATGCTTTTCCTCTATTAATCTGTCTTATGTCAATTTAATTCTCAGGTCCAGCTGGAGACCCTGAGAGTAGAAGTGAAGTTTTACTTCCCCTATACAGGCAAAACATTCTGTCTCATTCTAATAATAAAGACAACATTTTCAATGTTACTTGTTCCTTCAATATAACACAAGTGAAATATTTAAAAATTAATATTAAAGGAAAAAACAAACCCTACCTTGTTCATTCTTGGTTTACAGACATGACCAGCTTATTTTCCATCTCGGTAAGGTATTAAAGATCCATTTGGGGCTCCTCTAAAGAACCGGGACTTCTGATGGCAAGATTTTTAGTGACAACTCAAAGAATCATGACTCTAGGTCAGAGCACTCTAAATCTGGAAAAAAGTAAGTTAACCTATTTTCTCTGGGGAGTCAAATAGAACCAGAATAGAATAGAAAAAAAATTCTATGAAAATGGAATGAGGTGGGGGAGTGCGGAACTTGTTTTTAAGGTCAAATTTTTGGTTACTGAGTTTCTTTAACGTAAGGAATAAAATATGTAAGAAAGATGCTTCCCATTTATAGAAATGTATTCTAGAGACCCTTGAGGACAAAGAGTCTATGATTGCTGTATCATACCAATTTTAAAACTATCATTTGCTCTCCCTTTAATATCGCACTCATTTCTTGGTTCTATCATTAACTTTTCACTATTATGAGTACATGTATGGGTTTGTATTAAAATTCCCATATATCTCAAAAAAACAGAAGCATAACTATATTATCATAAGGAGACCATGAGATGGTATAGACTAATACCATAAATTTGCAAAAGCACAAATCTGTTATCAAGAGGTTTTTTTTCTTTGAAATAAAGTTCTCTAAGAAAACAAAAATCTAAATATATTCAGATGAAAATTTTGACAGTATTAAAATAATTTATCATTTTAATTTGGCACAAACATTGTTCTATATCAAAATATACCTATGAAAAATAGCGTATTAAGGACAAAATCATATATTTAACTCATTATTTAAATCCCTTTTTTAAAGAATCAAAAATCAGTCTATTACTCAATATTTCTTTTTCTTCGTTGCACTCTCAAATTTATGAATGTAGAATTATAAGTGGCATACTGATATACACTTGGATTTTTACAGTAACCGATCTTCAGCAATAGCATCCAAACTAAACCAGTTTAAATTGTTTAACTTAATACTTTAAAAAAATTGTTGTTAAAATGTGAATTGATCATTTATGAAAGTAGTTTTACCAGGGAAACTTCAATCAGTACTAAGAAACCACTATTTTAAATTTCAAGTGCCTTGTACAAGTTGAGGATAGGAAGAAACTAAATAGAATGAAAATGAACTTCCTTTAAATGGGAAAGAATTAGTCACAAAACGACTTGTGCTGACTGCATAAGCCTTACATAGCTTTCTGTCTTCCTTCTTTACCAACATGGAGGGATGCAGCAAACTTTGAAAGTACCAACCTATGAAAGTAGATGATCAGGGAATAAATCTTTAGGCTAAAATATTGCAGTACAGTGCTAAAAAGGCTTGTAACATTTAAAATTGTTCTGAGGTCCTGGGGAAGCATAATCCTAAAGTTGGAATAAGAGTAATTTACAAAGAAATTCAGAGTATGGAAATAAACCACAGAGCTAAATAAATTACATTTGAAAGCAAAATTTAGTGCAAAAGTTTAACATTTTATCTCTGAATAGTTATTCATTCAATATATGATCACTGAATATCCAATATGAGCCTGGAACAATGCAATGTACCAGTGTGCCAGTCTCTCTAACCAGAAATTTCAGAACAAATTATTTCTTCCCATTCTTTTCACTTCCCAGCCACTCTAGTAAACAAATCTTATATAGTCTACCTCAAAAATGTCTTCCTTGTGTATCCTCTGTCTCTTTATTCCTACTGTCACTTCTTGAGCCTTTTCATTGTCTCTTAATTAGTATTTCCTCACTGCAGTCTATTCTATACACTGATGCCAGAGTTATCCTTAAAATGTCATAAAGAATGTTTTCATTCATAAAACAAATATTACTAAGTACTTGCTATGTGCCGGGCAGGTACTGAGGATACAGCAGTGTAAAAGAGAATGGACTTACATGAAACTTGTACTCTAGTAGGAAAGACAGATAATAAAGCAGAAAAGCAAGACATATAAGATGAATAATGATAATCGCTACAGAGACAAAATTTAAAAGGGAGGACAAAATAAAAAGGTGACATGAAGAAGGGGTTAGAGTCTTAGATCTGGTGGCAAGGAAAGACTTCACCGAGAAGGTGATTTCTGATTAGAAATATCAATGAAGTAAGGGAGCTAACTAACATTCTAGGCATAGGGAGCAGCATGCATAGGAGTCCTCGAGTAGGAGGAGGTTAATGTTGCTTAAAGGAATGAACAAAAATAAAAGGGAGATTTACAGGATACGAAGTCAAAGGTCACCAGCAACAGATATTACAGAATCATGGAAGGACATAGGTACCTAACCAACTCATGTTGATATTTTATTTTTTATTTTATTTTATTTTATTTTATTTTATTTTATTTTAATTTAATTTTATTTTATTTTATTTTTGAGATAGGGTCTCACTCTGTCACCCAGGCTGGAGTGCAGTGGTGCAATCACGGCTCACTGCAGCCTCAACCTCCCAGGTTCAAGCGATTCTCATGCCTCAGCCTCCCAAGTAGCTGGGATTACAGATGTGTGCCACCACACTCAGCTAATTTTTTTATTTTTAGTAGAGATGAAGTTTCGCCACGTCGCCCAGGCTTGTCTTAAACTCCTGGCCTCATGTGATCCGCCCACCTCAGCCTCCCAAAGTGCTGGGATTACAGGCGTGAGCTACCATGCCTGCCCCGTGATCTCTTATTTAAAGACTGTATTTGGCACCTCATTGCTGAAATTCTTCAATAGCCTTCACTATTTCTCATTCCATTCTACCTTCCAACCCTCTCTCCCTACTTACCCATCTCCAAAGATTCTACCCAAAGATAGTAAAAATGAAGAAGGCGTCCACAACCGGAAGACATTATGAAACTTCATTCACCAACTTCTAATCATCACATGTGCCACTCTAGTAGGGAATCCCTAACATTTTCAGTAAATATTGTATGAACATATAAGCAGGTTAAAATGATTGAGACCAATGTTCTACAGCATACTTAAAAAAAAATTACCATCAACTGTATTAACACACAGTTAATAAGGAGGAAAGCCATGGAGAAATACTAATGGTAATTAGTTTAGTTTACATTTAATGTCTAATAGGGTGATTTTTCAAATAATAAAACATATAGGAAACTGACATATTTAATATGTTTCTATGAAAAACAAGAAAAAAATCAAAGAGCAAAAACTTACACAAATTTCTCAAAGTATTTCTCAACTCTAGCACAAGAAGCCACCAAATTTTTGGCTACTTGTTGCTCTGGTATAATCCTTAGCAACTTAAAATCTCTTACATCTGAGTCACTACTTCAAAGAAAAGACAGTTTCCAGGTCTCAGTTTAGACTTAATTCCACTCAACTGTCTCATTTATTCAGGGACAGCAATATACATACAGTGAGAATTCAATGGCTTCTATTCCTACTAGCTGTATAATCTTGGGCAATACATTTAATATCTCACCTATAAAGTCTCTCACATATTTGCTACACAGATTAAATTAGGTAATGCACATAAAAGTCCTTTTCCTCTGTGAAATACAGAACACACGCAAATGTGTGTATACTCCATCTTGAATAGGGGCTGGGTAAAATAAGGCCGAGACCTACTGGGCTGCATTCCCAGTAAGTTAGGGCATTCTTAATCACAGAATGAGATAGGAGATCAGCACAAGATACAGGTCGTAAAGACCATGCTGACAAAACAGGGTGCAGTAAAGATGCCGGCCCAAACCCACTAAAACCAAGATGGCAATGAGAGTGACCTCTGGGCATCCTCACTGCTACATGCCCACCAGTGCCAAGACAGTTTACGAATGTCATGGCAATGACAGGATGTTACCCTATATGGTCTAAAAAGGAGAGGCATAAATAATCCACCCTTTGTCTAGCATATAATCAAGAAATAACCATAAAATTGAGCAACCAGCAGCCCTCAGGGCTGCTCTAAGGAGTAGCCATTCTTTATTCCTTTACTTTCTTAATAAATTCGCTTTCACTCTAATCTATGGACTAGCCCCGAATTATTTCTTGCACGGGATCCAAAAACCCTCTCTTGGGCTCTGGATCGGGACCCCTTTCTGGTAACAGTTCTATTAAACTTTCAAGGAATAAATAATTTATATGATAAAGAAGCACCACAAAATACAGAAATTATCACAATTCATCTTGTAAAGTTAGTAAAACCCTAATATTAAAACAACAATAAAAAAAGGATGAATGGAAATAGATATGAACACATGAGTGTGAATACATGTGTCTATCTGATGAGAAGCACTATTACAGAATTGCTACAAATTTGTGGAATATAAACAAAACCAGTCAGTTCAGATTTGTTTCAAATGCAATTTCAAAGTTCTTAGCACTTAGTTCACTCTCCAGTCACATTTTATTTTATAGCACAGTATCCTCTGCCACCAAATCAGAATCCTTATTTTCTGTTATAAGGCCACATTTTGATACTTCCTTGAAAGATGTTTCATTTCAGCACAAACTCAAAACTCTAACATCCTCCTGTAAGCCTGTGAAATCAAAACAGGTTATCTACTTCAAAGATACAGTAATGGGACAGGCAGCAGGTAAATATTCCCACGCCAAAAAGGAGAGAAGCAAAAATTAAGGAGTAATCAGCCCCAAGCAAGTCCCAAACTGAACAAAGCAGACATTGAATCTTACAACTCCAGAATAATCTTTCGGCCAGGGACAGGCACAATGGCATATTCCTGTAGTCTCAGCTACGTGGGAGGCTGAAGTGCAAGAATTGTTTGGGCCCAGGAGTTCGAGTCTAGTCTGGGCAACATAGCTAGACCTCATGTCTTAAAAAAATACACACATACACACACACATACACACACAAAATAATCTTTCGCTCTATGTGCCATCACCTGGACACTCTAGGTAATACCCCCTGTTGGGCAGGGGTGAGCTCCCAAGGCCTCAGGCAACCCAGCTCCCATGACTTTGCTGGGCTCAGCCCACATAACTGTTCTCACAGGATAGAGTTGTACACTGGTGCTTACAGCTTTCCTGGGCCAGTGTTGCATGCTGCCAGTGGCTGCAGCAGCAGCCCCACTTCCAAGTCCCTCATAGGCATTGCCCTTGTAGGGAACCTCTGTGGTGGCTCCACCCCATGGCAAGTTTTTGCCTGGGCCTGTGGGCTTTCTACAACATTCTTTGAAATCTTGAAGAAAAGCACTCTTCCACACCTCTTGCATTCTGCACACCTGCAGAATTAGCACCACACAGACACTGCCAGGCTTACTGCATGCGTCCTCTGGAGCTGTGGCACAAGCCACATCTAGGCTCACTTGAACCACAGCATGTTGCTGCCACAATCTATGGCATGTACCTTTTGGAGAGGTGAGTCAAGCTGCACCTGGGGCCACTTGAGCCACACAGCTGGTGCAGCCAAGCAGGACCACACTGGCATGCAAGGAGTAGACACCTGAAGTCCTGGGTAGTAGCCCATCTCCTAAAGCCATTCTGCCCTCCTCAGCCTCTGGGCCTGTGATGGGAGGTACAGCCTCCAAGGTCTCTCAAATACCTTGGGGACCATTTTCCCATGAATTTGATGACTAGCACCTGGCTCCTTATTCATGCTAATCTCTTTAGTAACTGGTCATCAGGTCACACTCTTGTTTTGTCTTTCCAAACATTCTTTTTCATTCTTTACATGGCCAGGCTGGGAATTTTTGAAATGTTTATGCTCTGCTTCCCTTTTAATTATAAATTATATCTTTAAATCATCCCTTTGCTCCCATAGCTCACTGTAAGTGGCCAGAAGTAGCTACACAGCATCTTGAGCACTTTGCTACTTAGATTTCTTCCACCAGAAATCCTAGTTTGTCATTCTTTTTTTTTTTTTTGAGATGGAGTTTCGCTCTGTGGCCCAGGCTGGAGGGCAGTGGCATGATCTCGGCTCACTGCATCCTCTGCCTCCTGGGTTTAAGCAATTCTCTGCCTCAGCCTCCCAAGTAGCTGGGATTACAGGCGCCCACCACCATACCCGGCTAACTTTTTTTGTATTTTTAGTACAGATGGGGTTTCACCATCTTGCCCAGGCTGATCTTGAACTCCTGACCTCGTGATCTGCCTGCCTCAGACTCCCAAAGTGCTGGGATTACAGGTATGACCCACCGCGCCCGGCCTAGTTTGTCATTCTTAAATTCCACCTTCCATAAAGACCTAGGGCATGGACACATTGCAGCCAAGCTCTTTGCTACTAACAAGAATAGCCTTTATTCCAGTACCCAACAAGATATTCCTCATTTACCTCTGAAATCTCATCAGAATGGTCTTTACTGTCCACATTTCTATCAATATTCTGCTCATGACCACTTATGTAATCTCAAAGAAGTTCCAGATTCCCCTAGTCCTAGGGATTTCTTGGTGTCTTCACCAGAATTACCCTTAACGCTCTGTTCATGGCAATACAGGCTTTTTCTAGCCTGCTCCTGCAAATTCTTCCCTCTACAATCTATTATTCACTTTCAAGCTGCTTCTACATTTTCAAGTATTGTTATAGCAACAACTCCACTCTCTCAGTACCAATTTTGTCTTAGTCCATTTTCTGTTGCTATAACAGAATACTTGAGACTGGATAATTTATAAAGAAGAAAGGTTTATTTTGGCTCACAGCTGTGAAGGCTGGGAAGTCCAAGATCAGGTGGCCCATCTGTTGAGGGCCTCGTGATGCTTCAACTCATGGCAGAGACCAGAAGGTCAAGCAGGCACATTTGAAAGAGACAGGGGAAAAAGGAGGCTGACCTGCTTTATAACAACCAGCTCTCACAAAAGCTAATGCAGTCTCACAAGAAAGACATTAATCCACCTTAAAGACCTAACTCATCTCTTAAAGGTACTACCTCCCAACACTACCACATCGGGGACCATGCCTCAACATGACTTCTGGTGGGAACACATCATATTCAAACCACAGAACCCTGGAAGAAAAAATATATTTTTCTAGTATAAAAATACTTGCATTACATACTATTGCACATACATCGTTTATTATGAGCATTCATTATTCAGAGCGCAATAAAAATTTTAACTAAGTTCAATATGCAATGGATAAAAAAATTCCAGTGACATGGTTTGGATATTTGTCCCCTCCAAATCTCATGTTGAAATGTGACCCCCAATGTTGGAGATGGGGCCTCAAGAGGTATCTGGGTCATGAGGGTAGCTCATGAAGGGTTGGTGCCCTCCCCATGGTAATGAGGGAGTTCTACTTAATTCGTTCATGTAAGAGCTGGTTGTTTTAAAGAGCTCCTACACCCCTCTCTCAATTCCACTCTTGCCATGTGACACACTTGATCCTGCTTCACCTTCCCCTAAGAGTAAAAGCTTCCTGAGGCCTCATCAGAAGCCAAGCAGATGCCAGTGCTATGCTTCTTGCACAGCCTGCAGAACTGTGAGCCAAATAAACAAACATCTTTTCTTTATATTACTCAGTCTCAAGTATTCCTTTATAGCAATACAAAATGGACTAATACAAACAGTCACACATGATTCTAACAACACCTTGTATTTACAGATGAACTGACTTTTGTGTACATGGGGTACACAGAATTTAACCCAGACTCAAATATCAAGCAACCAGCATACTATACTTAGTACTTAATGATTAATGAATAAATATTTGTTGACAGAAATTAAACACACCATCAATAAAAGTAAAACTTCTGCCTGGGCAACATCATAAGACCTCGTCTCTATAAAAAAAATTTTAAATTAGCCAGACATGGTGGCGTGTGCCTGCAGTCCCAGCTACTCAGGAGGCTGAGGCAGGAGGATTTCTTGAGCCCAGGAGTTTAAGACTGCAGTTAGCTATGATGACACCACTGAACTCCAGACTGGGCAATGGAGCAAGACTCTGTCTTGAAAAAAAAGAAAAAGAATAAAACAATAAATTGGACTTCATCAATATTAAAAACTTTTGCTTTATAAAAAGCCCTGTTAAGAGGATTAAAAATACAAACTATACAGTGGCTTACACCTGTAATCCAAGCACTTTGGGAGGCCAAGGCAGGCGGATCACCTGAGGTGAGGAGTTCAAGACGAGCCTGGTCAAAATGGTGAAACCCCGTCTCTACTGAAAATATAAAAAATTAGCCAGGCATGGCGGCACATGCCTGTAATCCCAGCTACTGGGGAGGCTGAGCCAGGAGAATCGCTTGAACCCGGGACGGGGAGGTTGCAGTGAGCTGAGATCAGGCCACTGCACTCCAGCCTGGCAACAAGAGCGAAACTCTGTCTCAAAATACAAACAAACAAACAAACAAACAAAAACTATAGACTGGGAGAATATATTTTCAAACCATGTATCTGACAAAGGCTAGAATATATAGCGAACTCTCAAAACCCAACACACACACACACATACATCCAATTGAAGACAGCCAAAAGACATGAAGAGATATTTCACCAAAGACATGCAAATAGCAAATAAGTACATGAAAAGATGATTAACATGATGAGCCATTACAAAAATGAAAATCACTCAATGAGTACAATGTATGTTATTCAGGTGATAGATATTCTAAAAGCCCTGACTTCACCACTAAGCAATCTAGGTATGTAACAAAACCACACCTATACTCAATAAATTTATACAAATAAATAAAAATTATTTTAAAAAACTACAATGAGATACCTCTATATACCTATCAAAATAGCTAACATAAAGCCAGGCACAGTATCTCACACCTGTAATCCCAGCACTTCGGGAGGCCAAAGAGGGCCGATCACTTGAGGCCAGGAGTTTGAGATCAGCCTGGGCAACATGGTGAAACCCAGTCTCTACAAAAAATACAAAAATTAGCCAGGGGTGATGGCATGCAACTGTAATCCCAGGTACTCAGGCGGCTGAGGCATAAGAATTGTTTGAACCCAGGAGGCAGAGGTTGCAGTGAGTCATGATCACGCCACTGCATGCCAGCCTGAGTGACAGAGCGAGACTCTGTCCCCATAATAAATAAATAAATAAATAACATTAAAAATAGTGACAAGACCAAATGCTGGTAAGGATGAGGAGAAACTGAATTACTTATACATTGCTGGTGGGAATGTAAAATGGAAGAGTTGGCACTTCCTTTATAAATTAACATGCAATTAAAACATGAGCTGGCAATTGCACTCCCGGACATTTGCCCTAGAGAAATAAAAAATTATGTTTATACAAAACCCTGTACACTAATATTTTTCACAACTTTATTCAAAATAGCACAAATTGGAAACAATTCAGCTGTCCTTCAAAGGGTGAATGGTTAAACAGTGGTATAACCATACCATGGAATACATGCAATAACAAGCAACAAATATTGATACACGACAACCTGGATGAGTCCTGTGAGAATTATGCAAAATTTAAAAAGCCAATCCCAAAAGGTTACATACTGTACAACTCATTTATATAACATTCTTGAAGTGATAAAATTTTTCAAATGGATTAGCAGTTATTATCAGGGGTTAACAAGGGAGCAGGTGTGAGAGGGAAGGGGGTACTGTTATTAAAAGGCAAACCAAGGAATCCTTGTGGTGATGGAAATGTCCAGTATCTCAACTGTTATCAATGTTAATATCCTGATTGTGATATTATACTATACAGTTTTGTAAGAGATTACCACTGGGGGAACCCAAATATACACAAGATCTCTCTATATTATTCCTTTTTTTGTTTTATTTTTTGTTTATTTTATTTATTTATTTATTTTTTTTTTTTGAGACAGAGTCTCACTCTGTCGCCCAGGCTGGAATGCAATGGAAAGATCTCAGCTCAATGCAATCTCTGCCTCTCAGGTTCAAGCAATTCTCCTCTCTCAGCCTCCTGAGGAGCTGGGATTACAGGCGTGTGCCAGCTAATTTTTGTATTTTTAGTAGAGACGGGTTTCTCCACGTTGGCCAGGTTGGTCTTGAACCCCGACTTCCCGGTGACCCGCCGACATCAGCCTCCCAAAGGGCTGGGATTACAGGCATGAGCCACGGCGCCTGGCTATTCCTTACAACTGCAGGTAAATCTACAATTATTTTAAAGTAAAACGTTTAATTTAGAAAATAACTGCTCTTTTTTTTTCATAGACAGGGTCTTGCTCTGTAACCCAGGCTGGAGTGCAGTGGTGCATTAGCAGTTCACTGTAACCTCAAACAACTCCCAGGGTCAAGTGATTCTCCTGCCTCACTAGGACTACATGTCACCATGTCTGGCTATTTTTTAATTCTTTTTTTTAGAGACAAGTTCTCACTATGTTGCCCAGGCTGGTCTCCAATCTCTGGCCACAAGAGATCCTCTTGCCCTGGCCTCCCAAAGTGCTGGGATTACAGGAGTGAGTCACCGCGCCCTGCTGCTGCTGTCATATTGTTCACAAGTTCTAGTAATTACTCGCTCTATAAATTATAAGAAACATTTTTCATTAAAAAATAATCTCTAACCAATTTGAGGTTTAGTACCCATAACTGTTTTTCTTACACTAGAAATAGATGTTTTGTTAACAAAAAAATTGTATCACACTCGTTCCATGTCTAGTCTGAACAGAAAACCTTGAATCCACTGAGGAGTGACTGGAGAGTATAAAAGTAACATGATTTCCATGGAAACCTGGAGATAAAGAAATGTTTCAGAATTTGTTTGGGCTTAAGGGGAACCATTTCGAATAGAAGACACTCAGGACACGACCCTGTATTCCATGTGCATCAATTTAAAGCTGATTAATAAAACACTGTATAAAAACTAAAATCCTATACAACAGAACAGTGAACAAAAACTTAAAAATGAAACTAAAGAAATAGTTCTTTAAAAAAATCAGTTAACTGTAAATTTATAGCAGCCCATACATTTGTATCATTTTAGTAAAAAATAAAAAATTTAATTTAGAAAATATCTACTATCTTCATCATTTATCTTTATCATTTACTGATAAGGGATTAGTCATCCTTTCTGTTATGAACCAGGAACATGAATGAAATCTAAAAATCTATAAGTAACGCAAGGGTGTCAAGTCCATTCAGTAGAGAAAGAATAGTCTCTTCAAAAAACAGTGCTAGGGAAATTAGATTTCCACATGCAAAAGAATGAATTTGGACCCTTCCTTCATACCACATGCAAATACTTACTCCAAATGGATCAACAACCTAAATGTAAGAGTTAAAACCATAACTCTTAGAAGAAAACATAGGAGTAAATCCTCATGACCATGGAGTGAAAAGACAACCCCTATTATGGGAGAAAACATTTGCAAATCACATATCTGATAAGAGATTAATATCCAGAACATATAAATAACTCCTCCAAGTGAATGACAAAAACACAAGCAATCCAATTCAAAAATAGGTAAGGGACTAGAACAGGCATTTCTCCAAAGACATAAAACGATCATTAATGAAAAGATCCTCAATATCACTAATCATTAGGGAAAAGTCAAGTCAAAACCACAATGAGATACCACTTCACACCTACTATAATTTTAAAAAAAGGAAGAAAATCACAACTGTTGGCAAGGATGTGGAGAAATTGGAACCCTTATGCCATGACAGAAAGAATATTAAGTGTGCAGCCACTGTGGAAAACAGTTAATTCATCAAAAAGTTAAACATAAAATTACCATATGACCCAGAAATCCCACTCCTATATACCCAAAAGAAATGAAAAAACTCAAAGAAACTCATATTCCAATGTTCACTACAGCATTATTCACAGATTAAAAATGCAAACAACCCAAATGCCCATCAAAGGAAGAACAGACCAACAAAATGTGGCACAACAGAATATTATTCAGCCATAAAAAAATTTTTTTTGTAGAGACAGGGTTTCACCATATTGGCCAGGCTGGTCTCGAAGTGCTGATCTCATGATCCTCCTACCTTGGCCTCCCAAAATGCCGGGATTACAGGCATGAGCCACCACACCCAGCCTTAATGATGTTTTTAATTGCTATACCATTTTATAAAATACTTTTTCAACATATAATAATGTGGTTTAAAATTTTTTTCTAATTGGAAAAGTTCTGTTAATTTTCTGATGTACAAAAATCTTTGTATTCTTGGAATAAATTCTACTTCTTGTAGTACATTACAGCAATTATCTGTGTTTAAGTTTTACGTACTTTGCTCACTTTTGTTTCTCTATCTCCTGCCTTCCACACATTCTCCAAAGGCTATGTTATGCTTATGATACTAATCTTTCTGAATTCCCGAATATCTGAAATTGCCAGTATCTCCCCACCCCCACCAGCATACTTGAATAATGATTTACCAAAACAATGACACAATGATATCAAACAACGGCATTACTTGACTCAAAGAAGCGTATTTGAAGTTTTTTAATTAAATAATTTAAGGTGATAAAGTTAGGAAAAATAAGAAAATATATATAAACATTTAATATATATGAACTTTTAGAAAATATAAACATATTTTCTTTATAGCTCATTTAATTTAAAAGAACCACACAGCGGTTTTTTTTTAAGAAAATTTCACAGTACTTGCTACAAGCATCAGAAAAAAATAATTTTCACATCATAAATCTTAATTAACTGTTATAAAATTCAAAGCTAATATTCTCATGTCGTTAGGGGGAAAACTCTGCCAGATAAAATTTATCTTATTTCAAGCAAACTATCGCAAGGACAAAAAAACCAAACACCACATGTTCTCACTCATAGGTGGGAATTGAACAATGAGAACACATGGACACAGGAAGGGGAACATCACACACTGGGGCCTGTCATGGGGTGGGAAGCGGGGGGAGGGATAGCATTAGGAGATATACCTAATGTAAATGACGAGTTAATAGGTGCAGCACAGCAACATGGCGCGTGCATACATATGTAACAAACCTGCACGTTGTGCACATGTACCCTAGAACTTAAAGAATAAAAAATAAATAAATAAATATCTTATTTTAATAAATTTGATATAAAAACTATTTCTGTGAAATATTTATCTAGTGGCCCACAGAAAAATTCAGATCAGCTATTTAAAAGACAAATTAAGACAGATAATTCCCTTCATTACAAATGCTTTTTAAACTAAAGACTACGTTGATTTAAAAGAAAACCCTAAAATTATATACCTATGAGAAAACTTCCCTTATTAACCCCAAAAATAAGCCATGAGCCATCAATTAATATAAAGAATAAAGTATCTACCCAATTATTCATTAAGGGTTAAGGAAAAAAACTGTAATAATAAAAACACTAATGATATCTTTCCATAAATACATTTTCTCTTAATATAACATTTATTGTTGCCTCGGAATAATCTCTTAGTATGAAAAAAATTCTGATTCTCTACAAATAGAATTCTCTGCATACACAATACAAAGCACTATTTTTATAATAATTCTAAATTGTAAACAATTTGTGTGAAAAACCAGGGAATAAATATTAGAATCAGACTCCTAAAAATCATTACTGATATAACTAAATACCCAGAAAATCAAAGGAATTAGCTATAATACTACAGTAGAACCTTAACATGTATGGATTTAATAATATAATTTCTACTAACACAGTAGTTATTCAAAAGTCTAGTATGTAATAATTTGTGCTTTTGCTAAAACGTCTGTCTAGTATGAATTGACCACTAAACAAACCAAGCAAAGACATTAGTGGCCATGCACAATAACACAGACTCGGAAAAATTAGTTCAGAGAAGTGACTAAACAAATAATCAAAACAACATCAATAAATCCCTGGCGAGGAGAAGAATCTGATTTCCAGAGATAACACATTATATAATCTAAAATGTCCAGGCTTCAACAAAAAATTACAAGACATACAAAGATACAAGAAAGTATGACCTATATACAAGGGGCAAAATGCAAACAGTGGACATTGTCTCTGAGGGAAGCCCTGATGTTGGAGATACTAAGCAACTTTAAATTGCCTATTTTAAATATGTTCAAAAAACTAAAGGATACTATGTCAGTAGAACTTAATGTAAATATGAGAACAATGTCTCACCAAATAAAGAATACCAATAAAGATTTAAAATTTTTAACGAATCAAATAGAAATTTTGGAATTGAAAAATTCAATAATTGAAAAAAAATTCAGTAGACATGATAGCAGATTTGAGCAGACAAAAGAAAAAAATCAGTGAATTTAAAGATAGGTCAATTGAGATTACACAATCTGAGGAACAGAAAGAAAAGTATGAAAAGTATGTAAGGTAAGTCAAAAGAAAATATCCAGCATAAAGCATATAGAGACAAAAGGATTAAGAGAAAATGTTAAGAGTCAGAGATGATATGCGTATGGTCTATCAATTGTATAACTGGAGTTCCAGAAAAAAAAATGAGAGAAAAATTAAAATCTGAAGACATAATGGGTAATAGTTTTCCAAAACTGACAAAAGACATCATGCCGCAGAGTCAAGAAATCCTACAAAATGAATAAAAGCATGAATAGATGATAAAGATTTTTTTTTTTTTTTTTTTTTTTTTAAAGACAGGGTCTCACTCTGTCGCCCAGGCTAGAGTGCAGTGGTGTAATCTTGGCTTATTGCAACCTCCGCCTCCCAGGCTCAAGCGATTCTCCTGCCTTGGCTTCCCAAGTAGCTGAGATTACAGGCATGTGCCAACACGTCTGGCTAATTTATGCATTTTTAATAGAGACTGGATTTCGCCATGTTGGCCAGGCTGGTCTTGAACTTCTGGCCTCAAGTGATCCGCCTGCCTCGGCCTCCCAAAGTGCTAGGATTATCAGGCGTGCACTGCCACACTTGGCCAGAATATAAAGATTTTTTTCAATGATAAAGATTAAAAAAATACTCTTAGGCATACCAGTACAAATCTAGAAACCTTAAAAGAGAAAAGTGGCAGGTTGCCTTTAAAGGAGTAGCAATTAGACTAACAGCTGATCACCAGAAAAAAACGGAAGAAGCCAGAAGACAATAAATAACGTTGTAAAATACTGAAAGAAAATAACTGCACCCTAGAATTATACTCGCATAAAAGTATCCTAGAAGTAACCAGGAAGAGTAGCATCCACTTGTAGGCCCAGCTCCTCGGGTGGCTAAGGCAGGAGGATCACCTGAGTCCGGGAGTCTAAAGGCTGCAGTGCATTAGGACTACACCTATAAATAACTACCGCACTTCAACCCGGAAAACAAAGAGAGACCCCATCTCTTAAAAAAAAAAAAAGAAAAAAATCTACAAAAATGAAGGCAAAATAAAGACATTTTCAGATAAACAAAAGTAAAGTTTGTCATAGATGACTCCTCACTAAAGTAAATTCTAAAAGAGTCTTCTTGGCCAGGTATGGTGGCTCACACCTGAAATCCCAATGCTTTGGGTGGTCAAGGCAGGAAGATCACTTGAGGCTAGGAGTTCAAGACCAGCCTTGGGAAACATAACGAGATCTCATCTCTACAAAAACATTTTTTTAATTAGCCAGGTGCGGTGGTATGCACCTGTAGTCCTAGCTACTCCAGAATCTGAGGTGGAAGGGAAGTTTGGGCCTAGAAGTTTGAGGTTATAGTGAGCTATTATAGTGCCACTGCATTGTAGCCTGGGTGACAGAGCAAAACCCTGTCTCTAAAAATAAAATAAAACAAAACAAAGGGTGTTATTCAGATAAAGTTACTTCTATCTAGAAAGTGAGGGGTGCAGGAAGGAATGAAAATCAATGAAAAGGTCAAATATATGGGCATATCTAAGTAACAGTGACTACATAGAACAGTAATGTCTTGTGGAGGTTAAAGATAGGTGAAGAGAATCTAAAGCTCTTGCATTGTCCAAGAAGAGGGTAAACATATCAATTAAATATCAAACTTCAATAAACTAAGTATTGTTTTAATCTTTAGGTAACCACAGAAAAAATTTCAAAAGGGTATGTAATTTCAAAATTAATAGAGGAAAATATGGAATCATAAAAAATGTTTTGAGTCCAGGCATGGTGGCTCACACCTGTAATCCCAATACTTTGGAAGGCCAAGGCATGAGGATCATTTGACCCCAGGAGTTCAAGAACAGCCTGGGCAAAGTACTGAGATCTCATCTCTACAAAAAATTTAAAAAAAAATTAGCTAGGTGTGGTGGTGTACACCTGTAGTCCCAGCTACTCAGGAGGCTGAGGTGGGAGTATTGCTTGAGCAAAGGAAGTTGAGGCTGCAGTGAGCTGTGTTTGTGCCCCTAGACTCCAGACTGGGCAACAGAGTGAGATCCTGTCTCAAAAAAAAAAAAAAAAAGTTTTGATCAACACAAAAGAAAGGAAGAGAGGAAAAAGAAAGATAGGAGAGAAAGAAGCATAGAATGGATAGGCCAAGTAGACAGCACACAGATACCCAAATATATGACTGACCAAATTCATGCAGACCAAAGACTTTCTTAAGAGAAAAAAAAATGTCTGAATAAAAGAAAAGAAAACTCAACTATATGCTATTAACAGCATAAGCACACAGAAATGTTGAAAGCAAAAGTATGAAAGAAGTCATATTTTGCAAATACTAATTAAAAAAAACCTGGAGTCCTTATATTAATATGAGAAAAAAATGAACTTTTAAACAAAAGACATTATTAGAAATAAAGAGAGGCATTTCATAGTGGTTTTAAAAAGGTCAATTCACCAGGAACATGTAACAATCCTAAACTCGAATGTTCCTAATAAGACAGCTTCCAAACATACAAAGCAAAAATCCTCAGGAACTAGCAGGAGAAATAAAAAAAATTCACAATCATAATGTGGTATTTTATCACACTTTTCTCAGTAAATAATTTTTTAAGTAAGGATATGAAATGTTTGAGTGCCATCATTAACAAAACTGATCCACACTGAATCCAGTAACTGTGACATTCACATTATTTTCAGGTACATTCAGAACATTCACCAAAACTGACCATATGATTAACTGTAAAGCAAATCTCAATAAATATCAAAAGAATAAAATAATACAGAATAGATTTTCTGATAATAGTATAATTAAGCTAGAATTCAATAAGAAGAAGCATGACGTAGTAAAAAAAACACACACACACACACAAAACAACAAAAAAAAACATATTTGTCTCTGCTCATTTCCTGGCACACAGCTCTAAAACTTCTGAGTCTTCAGAGTGATAAAAGTGGTTTTCTATATGCTAACGAGACGAATGATAGGTACCTGGGGGCTCCTGAATAGCCTCAGGACAGGGGCTGGCTGCCAGGGAGGCCTACCATGAGAGTCAGCCTTACCGTCTGATTTCTAGAGAGGAGAGATGGGCTGAAGGTTGAGTTCATCACCAATGACCAATGAATTAATCATATGTGCATAATGGAGCCTCCATAAAAACCCAAAAGGATGGGGTTCGATGGGATTCTGGGTTGATGAGCACATGGAAGATGTTGAGAAGGCGGCATACCCAAAAAGGGCATGGAAGCCCAGGGCCCTTTCCCCTATACCTTGCCCTACCCACATCTTCCATCTCACTGTTCCTGAACTGTATTCTTTAATAGGCCAATAATCTTGTAAAGAAACTGTTTTCATGAGTTGTGTGCACCATTCTAACAAATGATAGAACCTGAGAAAGGGGTCATGGGAACCTCCGATTTGTAGCCAAGTCGGACAGAGGTTGTGGGTAACCTGGGGATCCACCACACGCAATTGGTGTCTGAAGTGGAAAGCAGTCTTGTAGGACTGAGACCATAACCCATAGGGTCTGTGCTAACTCAGGGTAGACAGCGTCAGAATTGAATTGAATTGTAGGACATACAGTTGGTGTCTACCAGAGAACTGAATTGAATCACTGTAGGAAAAAAAAAAAAAACCCACATATTTGGTGGCCAGAAATGTTGGTGTGAGCAGTGGAGGAAAAAACAGTTTTCCTTTTGTTAATGTAGGGGAGTTTGTTCTTACAATAAGATAAACAAAAAATCAGCAACAGTTTGGAAACTGGTAAATACACTTCCAAATACTTATGGGTCAAGAAGAAATCACAATTGGAATTACAGAAACATTTTGAAATCAATGACAATAAATACAGTACCAATATAAATTTATAAACTGCAGAAAAATAAGTTGAGAAGATTACGAAGAATACAAAAGTCTACCACTCATTAATAAAAAACAAACATTCTAATACATTTCTTTTCAATATTTTTTACCAAGGAAGTATATATAGTTTTACCTCAAAAGCCTAAGACTTAACCCCTTGTTCTAAAAAAGAAAACCCATAAACTTTATTTTAATGGCTATAAAAAATTCAACTTATATTTCACTTTCTGTATAAATCTTTGAGGACAGTTATTTTTATAATTTCCTTCCCCAAAGAGTGCCTAGGATTGCAATAATTTCATTTGTTAATTCAAAAACATAAACTTAGGTCTAGAAGGTTTTTAATAAGCAAATGCACAGAAACATTACTCTCTAATATATTAGAAATAAATATTTTTCTTCACAAGGTTTTCCTTTCTTTCGACTATTCCTGATACGCATTCAAGTGTTCCTACCTCTTAATAAAGCGTATGAAAGCCCAAAGAAATGTAAACTTTCTTTTAAGTTCTAAGTTAAGCATTAATAAAGTGTTACAGCATTAATTCAGGACCCTAAAAGAACTTGTATTTGTAAAATATCACGCACAATAAATGTAGCATAGTCACTTACCACTTGACCTGTTTTTACGACTTGATTTCCCACCAGTAAGCAGCATCTTGAGACTATTCCGAAACATGGTTATACTCTTCTACTGCAAAACTGTAAAAGAAAATATAGGAAAATGTGTTTAAGAAAACTTTATTTTCATAGCATAAGAGGGTGACTATAGTCAATAACTATACATGTTTTAATAACTTAAAGGGTACAACTGGACTGTTTGCCACTCAATAAATAAATGATTGAGAGGACAGGTACCCCATTCTTCATAATGTGCTTATTTAACATTGCATGCCTGTATCAAAACATCTCATGTACCCCATAAATATATACACCTACTATGTACCCACAAAAAGTAAAAACAAATAAAAATTTAAAAAGAAAAAAGAAAACTTGTCTATTCAAAATACTAAGAATTTAAAATTAATTATAAAGAATTAACTATGTTTACCCCCATAAATATATACAACTATTATTTACCCATAATTAAAAATGAAAATTAAAAAGTAATAAAAGTGCTAAACCAGAAAAAGATAATTAACTATGTTTAAATATATAGTACAAAACTGTAACTATATGATAAAAAAGACTATTAAACATTTAAATAATTCCTTAAAAGAATACAATACTTTTGACCACCCTAAGAAATAAAGGTAGATATCACTGAGGATGCAGAGCAATAGAAAACATAATTAGGTAGCTATAAATACTGTCTACCTTTCACTTGACTCTCCATTCTTGGACAATTTTCCTACCTGACGCACAAACACACACCGCCCCCCCACCCCCCACCACCACACACACATTCTAGAAACTTACAGCACCTACAGAATTTCCACTGGTCAAGCCAGAATTCCATCTCACAAGACTACAGCTATGCATGAATCCGTGCTTATTCCATGTCCCACTCCTACCAAAGGAAAACTCTCTGACTGCTTTGGATTACATCCTCTCTCACCTTCTCAAGAATTTTATTTTAAAAAATCATCTTCCTTTTCTCTCAAACAGCTTTAATTCTTTTTCTCTCTCCTGAATCATTCCAATCATAACATGAACATATTTTAGTCTATCTTGTTCAAAAAGAAAGTCCCACTCTTTACTCCACCACAATTCAATGACTGCTCTTATATCCTCACTCTTCTCAACAGCAAAATTTCCCAAAAGTGTTGTAAGTACTTGGTGTGTCCAGCAGATTAAATAGAGCAAACATGAAGTGGGACACAGGTCAACAGAAAATATCCAAACCAAAGCATAGAGAGATAAAGACAAAAAATTATAGAAAAGAGTACTAGATGCATATGGAACCACTGAAAAGTTCTAACATATGTATAACTGAAATTTCATAAGAGCGTGAAAATTGGGAAGAAGCAATATATGAAGTGTGAGCAACCAAGAATTGTCTAACATTAATTAAAGACATGAAGCCATATCTGAAAGAAGCTTGTCAAACTCAAGCAGAATAACCACAAAGAAAAACACTGAGCAAATCATAGCCAAACTGCTAAAAACTAAAGACAATCTTTTAAACAGCCAGACCCCCAAAAAACACATTTAAAGTAGCAAGAATCAACAGACTGAAAGATACTTTCAACAGTAATGATGAATAGCAAAAAATAATGACTTAAAAATTCTGAAAAAAAAAAAAAAAAACTGGCGCCAATCAAGCAATTTACTCTCAGTTTAAAAATATCTTTGCAAAATGAAAATCAAAAGAAAAAACAAATAATTTATTACTAAAAGGGAGTTCTTCCACCAGAAGGAAAATGATACTAGAAAAAAGCATATACATGCAAAAAGGAAGAGCCATAGGAAGGGTAAATATGTTCTTAAGTATTAATAAATGACTATAAAAATAACAATGATAGGCTGTTCTTTAAAATATATAGATTTAAAATGCATGACAACAATAAAAAAGGAAGGAGTAGGGTAATGGAATTGAAGTTTCTAAGATATCTGTATTACCCAAGAAGAGAAGTAATAATTCATGTTAGACTTCAATAACTCAAAAACTCATGTAGTAATCTCTAGGATATTCATTAAAAGCAAACTGAGGAGATAAAAAGAATAAGTAAAAACATTTGACTAAACCAAAGAAAGTAAGACATAAGAGAAAAAGCAGCATAGATCTGTGGATAAATGTAAGACAAATAGTAAGGTTTATAATTTAAACTCAAATTATATCCATTACTATGTTCAACACTCTAGTAGAAGACTATAAACATAGATGAACTGAATGCAAAATGACAGGAAAAGATATACCATTCAAACACCAACAAAAAGAAAGGTGGCATCACTATGCCAATATCAGGCAAAGTAGACTTAAGGCAATATGCATTACTAAAGAAAGGCATTTCTTAATAATTAAAAAGTCCTATCAACAAGAAGATAGCATAACTCTTTTGTCTATATTGAGACAGGGTCTCATGTTGTCACCCAGGCTGGAGAACAGTGGTGTGATTATAGCTCACTGCAACCTCAAATTCCTGGGCTCAAGTGATCCTCCCACCCCAGCCACCCAAGTAGCTAGAACTACAGGTGTGAGCTCCCACACACCACTAATTTTTCTCATTTTTTTTTTAAAGATGGGGTCTTACTATGTTTCCCAGGCCAGTCTCCAACTCCTGGGCTCAAGCAATCCTCCCACCTCGGCCTCCCAAAGTGCTGAGAATACAGGCGTGAGCCATCTCATCTAGCCAAGATATCATAATTCTAAATCAATGGACCCAATAAGAAAGCCTGAAAACATTTAAAACAAAAAGTATACAAAACTAAAAGGTGACAGACAAATCCACAGTTACATGGGAGACCAACACACCTTTGTCAATAGCTACAAGATCAAGTAGATTTAAAAAAAAAACTATGATATGTTTGAACTACACAATTAAATAACTAGACTTGAATATATATAAGCAAATTTCTCTTCCAAATAAAAACAAACTATAACACAAAACACATACCAAAATGGACCATATGTTAGGCCATAAAGTATCAGTAAATTTTGAAATCTTTCAGAGTATATTCCCTAACCACAAAGCAATTAAGCTAGAAGTAAATATTTTTTTAATCTAGAAAATCTCCTGTTGCTTAAAAATTAAGTGATATACTTCTAAATACCCATAAGTTGAACAAAGTAAATAAATCACAACAGGTATTTTTAAATATTTGTAATGAATGATAATAAAAATGACTTATGGGAACTCATAGGATAAAACTAAAGCAATGATTTTAAAGGAATTTACACCTTAAATGTATGTATTAGAAGTAAAGGATGAAAATCAGTATCTAAGCTTCTATTTCAAAAATTTCAAAAGCAAGCAGCAAATAAAAACTCAAAGAAAGTAGAAGGAAGGAAAAGAGTAAAAAGAAAAAAATGAATGAAATAGAAAACAAATGCAAAACAGATAAAATCAGCAAAGCCACATATCAGATTTATGAAAAGTATTAAATCTGCTAAACCAAGGCTGATTGAGGAAAGAAAAAAGAAATCACCAATATCAGAAATGAAATAGAGGACATCATTTCAGATCCTTAATTTAAAAAATAAGATATTGTGAACAACTTTATACCAAATTTAACATTTAATATAAAATGTATAAATTCTTTGAAAAATATAACTTGTCAAAATTAACAAAATGTTGAGCAAAAAATATAAAATAGCCCTATCTCTATTAAAGAAATTGATCAAAACTCTTCACACACACACACACACACACACACACACACACACACACACACACACACAAACTATACAGCCAGGTGGTTTCACTAGTGAATTCTATCAAACTTTTAAGGCACAAATAACACCAATTTTATAAAAATTATTTAAGAAAATAAAAGAAAAAGGAAATACTTCCCCACACATTTTATAAGTATTGCATGATATTAATCCCAAAACCTTACAGATATTATAAGAAAAGAGAAGTGCAGACCAACATACCTCATGAACATAGACACAGAAATATCCTTAACAAAAGACACTGAAAACTCTACAATGTTGCTTAACAGTAACAAAAAAAAACCATTAAAGACAACCTAAGTAAGTGGAGATAAGCCATGTTCATGGATTGAAAAGTTGAATACTTACTGTTAAAATGTCACTTCTCTCCAAATTGTTCTAAAGAGATAACAGTCTCAAATTCCAGCAGGCTTTTTTTTTTGTTATTTTTTAGAAATTGCAAAGCTGATTCTAAAGCACACATGATAATGCAAGGAAATGAAAACACCAAAGCAATGTTGAAAACCAACAAAAAGGCTTGGGCATTTATACCACCTGAATTCAAAATTTACTCTACAGCTCTTTCTTGTTGATGAGAATATGGTATCAACAGAAGTACTAACAAGTAGATCAACAGAATAGAACAGACAGTCCAGAAAAAGACCTACACTACATGGCCATTTGTTTCTGACCAAGTCATTAATAGGTAAAAGGAAAGTCTTTTCAACAAATCGTGGTGAAACAAAGAGATAATGCATTTTTTAAAAAAAATGACCTATATATCATGCTATTAAAATTAATTCAAAATAAACATCACATAAAAGCTAAAATTATAAAGATTTTTTTTAAAAAAATTCAGAGCAGTGTGAAGAAGAAGGCAACAACAACCTCCAGATCAACCAAAGCCCGTGAGTCACTGCATCCCTGTGATCAGTGCCCACATCCCACCACTGATGCCACCATGCCCACGAGAAGGATTGAAGGGGATAGATACTAAACGAGATAAAGCCAATGTGAAGGATAAACCACAGAGAAAATCCACAAGGTTGTCTGCTAAACCTGCTCCTCTAAAACCAGGGCCAAAGCCAAAAAAGGCCCTTGGTAAAGAAAGGAAAGAAGGTACCCAAAGCGGGTAAGGGGAATAACCCTGCAGAAAATGGAAATGCCAAAACAGAGCAGGCACTGAAAGCTGAAGCTGCCGGAGATACCAAGTGAAGTGTGTGCATTTTTGACAACTGTGGACCTCTGGTGACTGTACGGTTTGAAATACTATTTTTTATCAAGTTTTATATAAATGCAGAATTTTGTTTTCCTTTTTTTTTTTTTTTTTTAAAGCTATGCTGTTAGCACACAGAACACTTCATTGTTGCTTTTTGGGGAAGAGGCATATATCACTACTAGAATGTATCCAAAGCTGGATTGATGTAAGGAAAACACCTTTTCCCTTCTAGTTTTAAGAAACTTCCTCTTGGCTCCCAGGAAGAAGGATTTCCTGACTTTGACACACATAGCCACCTTGGCACAAATGCCACGTGGTATGAAAAAACAAATTCATTCTTACGTCCTCTTCTCCCTTTCCACCTTCAGCACAGACTTAACTCCTTAGGCCCAAACACCTGTTGGGACCTGAGCCCCAGTAATTGGTTACCAGTGTGTCAGGCAATCTGAACCTTCCAGTGATGCCACTGAGATGGCGCCCCTCAAAAGAGCAGCAGTTGAGGATCTTCAGATAAATTTTGCCATTTTCATTTCGCTACCTGAAAGTCAGGGCTGGCTCATGAAAAGTTGTTAAACAACAGCTAAATGTGAAATGTCAACCCTCCCTCTAAACTTTCCCTGTTCTGAGCATCAAATGAAGACTTCATGGGTTTTATAGTGGCTTTCTGATTTTTGGTGGTCCATCAAAGAAGGAGTCTGAAAGTTGTTGTACACTGTTAATGATTGTCTGCCCATGTCCTGCCTGAAATACCATGACTGTTTCTGGGAAGTATCTTCAAGAAAGCAGAGTACAGTTTGAAAAAAAACAAACAAATTAAAAAACAGACTGTCTCACTATTTACAGGTAGACAAAGGATTCTTAGGAACATAGAAAGCAACAGCCACTTAAAAAAACATATATTTGGAGGTTATTAAAAATTTAAAAACATCTGCTAAGATAACATTAAAGAAAACAGGCAAGCCACAAACTGGGAAAAATTATTCACAAAACATATATAACACAGGACTTACATCCAAGATACAGTAGTCCCCCTTTATCTGCAGTTTTGCTTTCCATGGTTTCGGTTACCTGCAGTCTAAAAATATTACATGGAAAACTGCAGAAATAATTCATGTTTTAAATTACACACCATTCTAAGTAGCCTGATGAAATCTCACACCATCCTGCTCCATCCTGCCTGGGAGGTAAAACATCCCTTTGTCTAGTTTATCCAAGCTGTATATGCCACCTGACCACTGGTCAATTAGCAGCCACCCTGGTTATCAGATCAGTTACTGCATATAGCGTGTACAGGATTTGGTACTGTCATTTCAGGCATCCACTGTGGGGTGTGTCTTGGAATGTGGATACGGAGGGACTACTGTATATAAAGAACACCTACAACTCAGTAATAAAGAGACAATCGATTTTCAAATGGGTAAAAGATTTGAACAGGTAGTTTCAAAAAGTAGATATATAAATGACCCACACCCAAATTATAAGGGCTCAACATTATATGTCATTGCAGAAATACAAATTATAATTAGCTATCCACTATACTCCCACCAGAAGAGCTAACTTTAAAAAGTTTGACAATATCAAATATTGATCACAATGAAGAGTAATTTAAATTCCAACACACTATTTTAGGAGTATAAAATGGTACAATGGCTTTGGAGAAAAATATAGCTGTTTATTATGAAACTTACTGTACACCTAATGCATGACTCCACCTCTACTATTTACCCAAGAGAAATTAAAACATATATGCATAATGAAAAGACTAGTACAACAATTTTCATAACAGATTTATAATACCCTATACCTAGACTAGGTGTCCATCAACAGACGAATAAACTATGGGATATTCACAAAGAGGAATATTACTCAGCAAGAAAAAGGAATGAACTACTCATACAGTCAACACAGATAAATCACAACATATAATATGCCAAGTGAAAGAACCTTTACATAGAAGCATATGCATTGCATTATTACATTTATACCAACTTCAAGAATAATCTATGCCAAAAAAATCAGAATAATGGTTGTCTCTTGGGGGTAGATATGGGGATCAACTTAGAAATGGCACGAGGAACCTTTCTAGGATGATGGTAATATTCTATATGTTTTGAAGATGATTACTTTTTTCAAATGAAAAATGTAAACAAATGCTAAAATCCACTTAATGATATTCATGCTTAAATAGGAGAAAGCATATAGATGTCTGCAGATTATTACTTTGAAATGCATCAAAAAATAAGGTGGATTGATGGACTGATGGAGGCATAGAGAGGCAGATATGTGATGAATTATAACAAAATAAAATGTTAACAGTAAACTGTAAGTAGTGGATATACATGCGATAACTAAAACTATTTAAAATGTAAATAACTGAGCTGTTAATGGCTTGGAGATGCTCCCCCACTTCTCCAGAGAACTGCCTTTGGCTAACTGGCACCATCTTGCCCAGAAAGCTTCATGCCTTACTACTTCTACCCTAGAGAGGTTCTCAGTCAATGACTAATTATTAATCATTGAGATACAAAAGACCAGCTTCCTTAATTCCAGGGGAGGGCAACTCTGTGGTATGATTTATGCTCCAAAACCGTCACCCATAACTTCTTATGTGTTCTTCCCCAAATACTTACCTCCAAAAGACATCTTATATACCTGATTGTCTTATCAGTTTCCCTACTAGAATATAAGCTCCAGGAGGGAAGAGAAGATGCCTGTTTAATTCATTGCTACAGCCCTGTAAATGGAAAATAATACTTGATACACAGGAAGTGCTAAATATTTGCTGAATTTATCAATTACATATTTTTGTTTGTATACCATTGTCCATATCAAATCCCTTATAAAGAAATCTGGTCTTGACCAGGCGCAGTGGCTTATACCTGTAATCTCAACACTTTGGGAGGTAGAGGCGGGCAGATCACTTGAGGTCAGCAGTTCAAGACCAGCCTGGCCAATGTGGTGAAACCCTGTCTCTACTAAAAAATACAAAAAAGTTAGCCGGGCATGCTGGCATGCACCTGTAGTCCCAGCTACTTGGGAGTCTGAAGCAGGAGAATCGCTTGAACCCGGATGGCAAAGGGTGCAGCGAGCTGCCAGAGGACTCCAGCCTGGGCAACAGAGGGAGACTCCATCTTGGAAAAAAAAAAAGAAAGAAAGAAAAAGAAAAAAAAAAAAGAAAAGAAAAGAAAAACGAAAAGGAAACCTGGTCTTATTAATCTTTTTAACCACAACACCTAGTTCATGGTAGGCTCTCAACATTTCTTGAATGAGTAAATAAACTGAGCAAAGACACAATTCATCAGATTTACTGACTTAGTAAAGAAGGGGCATAATAAAAGTAAGTTTCATTGAGCGAGAAATGATTTTAAATCAACCAGAACAATGAGGACTACCTAGAATGAATGTGTACCAGGGAATCAAGAAAAGGCATGAAAATTGTAGGAATAGTTCAAAATTTTATCTGAGGGAAAACCAAGAATATTCTAGGCTTACTTAGAACTTCTAACTCAAACTCTGATTATTTACACATAGTTGTTCAAAGTTTTGAAAGGAAAAAAATGAGTGCAGATTATCATTATCATAAAAACAGCAACTTATTACTTAAAATTTACTAAGAGTCAAAAAAAGACCAGGAGAACATACTTAAGTTGATTTAGGTAAAATATTTTGGTGGGTGGCATAAATTATAGTGATGGCTACTTCTTGAAGATATAGAGGGTTTTTTTTTTTTTTTTTTGCTAGTTCTAAAACTTTTTTAATTACTTCAATATATAGAAAAGTAAAACATAAAGCTACTCATCTCATAGTTACATTTTGATTAAATGATTTTCCTCAAGTTAACATACCAATAGAAAACTGATCATAATAAAATATTAATATAGAAATTCCACAAATTGAAGCTAAGTGGGAGAAGGCAGTTTGGTCTAATTGACACTAATGTAAATCTAAATTTTACCCTGCTTTTCCAAATTTTGCATCCAAATTTTAAGATGTTCACTCTCTCAGGAGGAATCATCAGATACATCCCTGGCAAGTGAAATATCTGGACAGGAAAATAACAAGCCATTGACAGGCCCCCAATCATTTCTAATTTTCTTACACTTAGCTGATTTGAACATTATGTTATCTACATGGTCCCTAAGCTTTTATGTTTGTGACACTCATTCTAAACCATTCAGGAGAAGTAATGACTTCTTAATGGTCCACTAAGGCTGGAGACTCAACAACCTATTTCAATGTCTTCTTCTGCTATATTATTAACAGGCAATCAATTTTCATTTTCAATGTTCATCCCTCCTGTATATTTAAAGCCCTTTTCTTATCCTGTTGTTTAAAAAAAGTAAAACATCCCATGCATAAAAATGTTTATGTAATTAATAATGTAATCAAATTAACTATTAAGTACTTCTGTACTATTTTGATGATCATGACATCCTGTTAATATTTCCATTCTAATGCCAGCTTTTTATTTTAACTTATTGTAGATTCAAGGGGACATGGGCAGATTTGTTTTCTTGGTAAAATGCGTGTGACAGGGTTTGGCGTACAGATTTTGTCACTCAGGTAATAAACACAGTATCTAATAGGTAATTTTTTGATCCTCACCTTCCACACCCCTCCATCCTCAAGTAGGCCCTGGTGTGTGTTCTTCCTTTCTTTGTGTCCATGCGTGCTCAGTGTTTAGCTCCCACTTGTCAGAACATAAAGTAATTGTTTTCTGTTCCTGCATTAGTGTGCTTAGGATAATGGCCTCCAGCTCCTCTGTCCATGTTGCTGCAAAGGACATGATCTCATTCTTTTATGCCTGCATAGTATTACATGGTGCATATATACATTTTCTTTATCCAGTCTACCGCTGATGAGCATTTAGGTTGATTTCATGATGTTGCTATTGTGAACAGAGCTATGATGAACATCCAAGCACATGCGTTTTTGGTAGAACAATTTACATTGCTTTGGGCATATACCAGGGATGTCCAATCTTTTGGCTTTCCCGGGCCACAGTGGAAGAAGAATTATCTTAGGCCACACATAAAACACATTGATGCTAATAATAGTTGATTAGCTAAAAAAAAAAAAGTTACAAAAAAAATCTCATAATGTTTTAAGAAAGCTTACAAATTTGTGTTGGTTATCTAAGTCTCTAAGTAATTTGTTTTATGAATTTGGGTGCCCCTGTGTTGGGTGCACATACGTTTAAAATAGTTAGGTCTTCCTGTTGAACTGAATCCTTTGCCATTATGTAATGCCTTTTTGTCTCTTTTGACCATTGTTGGTTTAAAGTCTGTGTATTAGGCTGTTCTTGCACTACTATAAATACCTGAGTCTAGGTAATTTATAAGAAAAGAGGTTTAATTGGCTTGCAGTTCTGCAGGCTGTACAGGAAGCACAGCTCCACCACCTGCTTCTGGGGAGGCCTCAGGAAGCTTTTACTCATGGCAGGTGAAGCAGGAGCAGCCACATGAAGTGGCCAGAGCAGGAGTGAGAGACAGTGTGTGTTGGGGGGAGGTGCCACAGACTTTCAAATGACCACATCTCTCAAGAGCTGACTCACTACTGTAAAGGTAGCACCAAGACATGAGGGATCTGCTCCCATGACCCAAATACCTCCCACAAGGCCCTGCCGCACTTCCAGCATTGGGGATTACCATTTAACATGAAATTTGGGCAGGGGCAAATATCCAAACTATATCAGTCTGCTTTGTCTGAAATTAGAATAGGAATCCCTGCTTTCTTCTGTTTACAATTTGCTTGATGGATTTTTCTCCATCCCTTTACTTTGACTCTATGTGTGTTGATATTGATATATGTGGATTTGATCCTGTCATTATGTTATTAGCTGGTTATGATGCAGACTTGACTGTATAGCTGCTTTACAGTGTCAACTGTCTATGTACTTAAGTGTGTTTTTTGTGGTGGCCAGTAATGGTCTTTCTTTTCCATATTTAGCACTCCCTTGAGGACCTCTTGTAAGGCAGGTCTGATGGTAATGAATTCCCTTGGCAATTGCTTATCTGCAAAGGATCTTATTTCTCCTTCACTTATGAAGCTTAGTTTGGCTACATAGGAAATGTTTGGTTAGAATTTCTTTTCTTTAAGAATGCTGAATATAGGCCCTCAATCTGTTCTTGCTTGTAGAATTTCTGCTGAAAGGTCTGCTGTTAACCAGGGTTCCCTTTTTAAGTGACCCACCCCTTCTTTCTAGCTGCCTTTAACATTTTTTTCTTTCAGTTCAACCTTGGAGGATCTGATGATTATGTGTCTTGGGGATATTCATCTCACATGGATTTTCTGCATTTCCTGATTTGAATGTTGCCCTCTCTAGTGAGGTCGGGGGAATTTTCATGGATGACATTCTCAAATATGTTGTCCAAGTTGCTTGCTTTCTCTCCCTCTTTTTCAGGGATGCCAGTGAGTCATAAATTTGATCTCTTTACACAACCCCATATTTCTCAGAGATTCTGTTCATTCTTCTTTATTGGTTTTTCTTTATTTTTGTCTGAGTTATTTCAGAGAACTGGTCTTCTAGCTCTGAGATTCATTCCTCAGCTTGGTTGATTCTGCTGTTAATATTTGCAATTGTATTATGAAATTATTGAAGTGAGTTTTTCAGCTCTATGCAATCACTCTGGATCTTAAAATGGCCATTTCATCTTTCAGCTCCTGTTTCATTTTACAGTATTCCCTATATTCCTGGTATTGGGTTTTGACTTTCTCCTGAATCTCAATGATCTTCATTTCTAACCATGTTCTGAATTCTCTGTCATCTCAGCCTGTTTGCCAGCTTTTTAAAAAATATCTTTTTCTATATCTACTTCCTGCTTAAATGGTTTTATATTACTTTTATTCTCATTTTTGGTTTTGTGGTGGATTGGCTTATTCTTATTTTTGACCTGGTTTCCAGTCTGAGAAACAAGTTTCTTGACATTAGAACTATGCCAAATAAATAAATTATACCATTAAAATGCTTTAATAGTTTAAAGATTGAAGAAAATATTTTAAATAGTAAGAAAATTGAAAATAATGTAAAGTAATACATTAAGATATTGTCTTAAAGTCTCTAATTATAAAAATATGACCACAAACTGATCCAAATGATGAACTAAGTATTATCTTTCCAGTCAATCCATACAATCTCCTTTTATGATTTTCTCCACAATAATAATTTGGATATGACCTTCAGAGTCCTTTTGAATACAAATCTGTTCATATAATTATAAAAAGTAAGCTACATATATTTAAAGTAAATGCTATCCATTTTCTAGCATTTGTCAACATAGAGCTTCTCCTCTGAGAAATTTCTGCAGGAGAATACAACACACACACACTAATGCATTTAATAAACACTTCCAATAACTTTTTAAACATTACAGATAAGATGCAGGGTTAATAATGCACACGATGAAAATATTGGTGGTGCACAGCTGTAGTCCCAGCTACTCAGGAAGCTGAGAGGCAGGAGAACTGCTTGAGACCACAAGTTCAAAGTTACAGTGAACTATGATCACACCACTGCACGCCAGCCTGGGTGACAGAAAGAGAGTGAGACTCTGTCCTTTTTTTCTCTTTAAAAAAAAAAAAAAAAAAAGAGGCTGGGTGTGGTGGTTCACACCTGTAATCCCAGCACTTTGGGAGGCTATGGCGGGCAGATCACCTGAGGTCAGGAGTTTGAGACCAGCCTGGCCAACACGGTGAAACCCCATCTATACTAAAAATACAAAAAATTAGCCAGACGTGGTGGTGCGCACTTGTAATCGCAGCTACTTGGGAGGCTGAGGCAAGAGAATCACTTGAACCTGGGAGGCAGAGGTTGCAGTGAACCCAGATCACGCCACTGCACTCCAGCCTGGGCAACAAGAGCGGAACTCCATCTCAAAAAAAAACAAAGAAAAAGAAAAGAAAATTTAGTGAATATCTGCTGAAAGCATGAGAGGCTCTAAAAAATACAATCACAAATAATCTCAAAAAAAACGAAGAGAGAAATAGAGAAGAATGGAAGAACTCAAAAGAGCATGTATTTAATCATACTGGGAGAAGTAAACAACCAATGACAAATGCAATAGTGTTCTTAAAAGAAAAACTTCAGCCAAATTAAATTTAAACGAGTTTAATTGAGCAATGAACGATTCACAAATTGGGCAGCTCCCAGAATCACACCAGATTCAGGGAGACTCCAAGGATGCTTCATGGTTAGAACAAATTTATAGACAAAAAAAAAAGGGAAGTGACGGACAGAAATCGACTGTGAGGTACAGAAACAGCTGCACTGGTTACAGGTTGGCATTTGCCTTATTTGAACACACAGCAGTCTATGAGTGGTTGAAACATGGCTGCTGGGATTTGCTAAGACTCCGCTATTGCTACAGGCGCGTACTCCTAAGTGAGGTTTTTAATCTTGTCTGCCTATTAAGCTGGGTTACAGTTTGTCCACAAGGACTCAAATATAGAAGTACGGAGTCCTTCTCAGGCCATATTTAGTTTGCTTGAACAGTGTGAATGATGAGAATACTAGACAGAAACACAAATCTAGCATGAATTTGAGGCTTCTGGAAAACGTAAAAACTCTGTTTCAAAAAAAGTTATATACAGTAATAGGATCAAGCCAATACAAGAAAGACAAATCATTTGTCCACCATCTGGAAATTGCATGTTTTTTCCTCTGTGAAAGGCATGCTGAAGGACTAATAATTATCAAGAAAGGCCTTCTTTAAGTGTTGACTGAGATAAATTGCTAGATGCCTCAGATATATTCTAGGACATAACTTTGGAAGTTCTTATAATTACAGCAGTGCTATCACTGTTCATTGTGGTCTTGAACTCCTGGCTCAAAGGATCCTTCCATCTCAGCCTCGGAGTAGCTAGGACTACCGGCGCACACCACTATGCCCAGCTGATAATCTTTGATAATTTCCCTAAAAGCAAAATTTTGAACTGCACTGAAGAGCTTCAAATTATGCAATCTCTTTCAAGACTGGAGGGCAAAGGAAGGAAATGGGACAATTAACAAAGAAGTCTTGAGAAAGGGAAGTAACTGATGATGGGTTCCACAGTCAGCCTTGTATGTAGTACAAGCACTGCTTCAATTATGAATCCTCATTTTTGCAATACTTATTATCAGGTCATGTACTGCTTTCTCTTTCTACCCCTTCAAAGCTCTTTCATACAGCACCTAAACTGCCAGGGCCATCTGGTGGCCAATACTGGGAGCTAGCTGACCCAGTGTTTCTTTACCTCAACACCCTCCACCAACCTTGTTCCCCATTAGACTAAATTGCCTAACTTCTGAATTTCAACTAAGTCAAGTATTTTATAAAATATCTTATCAAATATTTCCAGATAGATTTACAACTGAGTTCTCAATCCACCCGATTCTGGATCCTTACATTATGAGCTAAGAATTACTATGTCCCTTGTTCGTCCACTCCAAACCAACTACAACTGTCAACACTATCTAAGCCACTGCAGGCTGGCCTTCCCAGGAAACAATGTGAGCCAGCCAGACAAGATAACAGGATTTATAAAAGGTCTTGAAAAGAACGGCTTTATTATTCTACAATGCATGTAAACTGTAAAAGAAAGAAAAAAATCCAAAGAAAATGGAAACATGATGGATTTATCTAAAAGTGACGTAATAATGAAATAAGTGATAACCGTTTCATCCTTCTTCAGTTTTCTTATTGCTTTGCCCAAAGTATTGCATCATCTTTCAAGAAGATATAAAAGAAATATGACACATCAGCTTTGTAGCCTTTGTTAAAGCTCTTCATTTAACACAGTAAACAATACAAGAATTTTCATTTTCTACCCAAAATGTCAAAGAGAAGAATATTTCCAGAGGAAGATGTATCACAATTATTTTATCAGAAGAAGAATGCAAAAAGACAGATGGCAGTACTCCAGATTCTATTGATAAAGGTGAAATTAATCATCTAAGGGAAATCTCAGACTATGAGTCTTCAGATGACCATACCCTAGATTAATTTTCTCAAACTCAAGAACTGGTAAGTGAATCCTAGGAATACAAGGTTGGTTCAGCATATGAAAATCAATGTAATATACCAAATTAGTAACAGACAAAAACTTTAATAATTACCTCCATAGACACAGAAAAAGCATCTGACAAAAGGCAACACCCTTTCATGATTAAAAAAGAAATACTCAACATACTAGAAATAGAAAGAAACATCCTCAGTCTGATAAATGGCATCTATAAAAAGCCTGAGGCTAACATCATGCTTAATTCTGAAAAACTGAACACTTTCCTCCTAAGTTGGACAAGAAAAAATCATCCATTTAACTAGCCTGACAAACATGGCAAAACCCCATCTCTACTAAAAATACAAAAAAAAAAAAAAATGAGCCAGGTGTGGTGGTGCATGCCTGTAATCCCAGATACTCAGGAGGCTGAGGCAGGAGAATCGCTTGAACCCAGGAACCCAGGAGGCAGAGGGTGCAGTGAGCTGAGAATGCGCCACTGCACTCCAGCCTGGGTGGCAGAGTGAGACTTTGTCTCAAAAAAAAAAAAAATTCTACTTACCACTTCTATACACCATTGTACTTGAAGTTCTATTCAGGGCAATTAGGCAGAAAAAGAAATAAAAGGCATCCAAATTAGAAAGGAAGAAATAATAACTCAGTCTCTATTCACAAATGACATGACCTCATATGTAGAAAATCCTAAAGAATACACCAAAAAACTATTAGAGCTAATAAATGAATTCAGCAAATTGGCAGGACACAAGATACACATTAAAAAATCAGTTGTATTTTTTTTTTCTTTTGAGACAGGCTCTCACTCATCCAGGCTGCAGTGCGTGGCATGAGCATGGCTCACTGATGCCTTAAACTCCTGGGCTCAAATAATCCTCTTGCCTCAGCTTCCACAGCAGCTGGGACTACAGGCACATGCTAACACATCTAATTTTTTTTTATTTTTCTTTTGCAGAGACGGGGTCTTGCTATGTTGACCAGGCTGGTTTCAAACTCCTGGCCTCAAACAATCCTCCTGCCTCAGCCTCCCAAATTCCTGGGATTACAGGCATGAGCCACTATGTCTGGCCTGAAAAATTAGTTGTATTTCTTTAGACTATCAATGAACAATCCAAAAATGAAATAAAAAATACATTTACAATAACATCAAAAAGAATAAAAAATTGTTATTAACAAAAGTATAAAACTTGTACACTGAAAATTATAAAACATCACTGAAAGAAATTAAGGAAGACCTAATTAAATGGAAAGACATCCATGTCCATGGATTGAAAGACTTAATGGTAAGATGGCAATAGTCTCCAAATTGATCTGTAGATTCAACAAAATACTTAACAAACTCCCAGCTACTTTCCTTTCAGAAATTGAGAAAGTGATCTAAAAACTAATGTGGAAACGGCAAGGGACCCAGAATAGCCAAAACTTAAAAAGCAAGAACAAAATCAAACCAAGTCAATAGAGGTTCCCCAAAGGTGACCACATTCTAACTTCTGGAATTTGTGAATGTTACCTTACATGGCAAAGGGACTCTGAAGATGTGATTAAGTTGAGGACCTTAAAATAGGGAGATTTTCCTGAATTTTACCCAGGCAGACCCAATGTAGTCACAAATGTCATTAAAAAATGGAAAAGGGAAGTAGAAGCATCAGAAGAGGAGATGTGATGACCAAAGTAGACATCAGAGCAATGTAGCCACAAGCCAAGTAACGCAGATGGCCTCCAGAAGCTGGAAAAGGTAAAAAACAGATTCTCTCCCAGAGTCTCCAGACGGAACACAGGTATGCCAAAACATTAGTTTTTGCCCCATAAAAAACTCATTTCAAACTTCTGACTTCCAGAACTGTAAGAAGTATTAAAATAGTACATTTGTGTTGTTTTAAGCCACTAAATTTGTGGAAATTTGTTACAGCAGCAATAGGAAACAAATTATAATAGTAGCCAACATGTATAACATAGTTACATATGTCATATGTTACAGAAGCATATAACAATGTCTCAAGTGTCTATAAAAGCATGAAGAGTTGTCACACTATTAATGTGGTGATCCAAATGCTATGTTGCTATTTAAGAATCATTTACTGTATTATATGTATCTTTTTATATGTAAGAGTAAAGTTCTCAGTTCTCAATAAAAACACCTGAATTTTTTATTTGGCACTGAAATGACTCTACACTTTTTCTTACAGTAAGTTATTCCATATCATTTAACAAATCAGTGAAACAAAAAATACTGGACTAATAGTATACTCATTATGACAAAAAGACACTTTATACATTGATCAAAAATTTATACCATGTCTGAAGAGTTCAGAGGACAGCAGAATCTCACAACATATCACATAAGAACTATTACACTGGGATGGGCCATGGCTATGCAAGGGATACAGAAACATAAATCTTATACTCAATCTTGTCTATGCAACCCTAAAGGTTTCTAGTTAGATTGCTATAGGGAAAGATAAGCGCATACAATCATCCTTGGGTATCTGCTGGGGATTCATTTTAAGACAGCCCCACACTTGCCCCATACACTCACCCTATGGATACCAAAATCTGCAGATGCTTAAGTCTATTACGTAAAATGATACAGTGTTTGCACATAACCTATGCACATCCTCCTGTATACCTTAAATCATCTCTAGATTCTTATAACACCTAATAATGTAAATGCTATGTAAATACGTATCTATATTTGCATTATTTATCTACTTATTTTTAATATTTTTGATCCATGGTTGGCAGACACAGAACCCCACACACAAAGGGTCAAACCTGGCATGAAACAACACAAGAAACCGTGCGTAAAACTCCCCTCCACCACTCCACCCATCCAGACATTAAGAAGTGCTTTCAATAAATGAGATGAAAATCAAGGCTTTAGGGTCCTAGTCAGTCTCCTCTGGTCTTTAATTCCTCTCTCTCTCAACTGGAATCCTGGATTCATCATTTCACTTGTTTTTGCTCTAGATTCTTATAACCATAATACAATGTATATGTTATGTAAATACTTATACTATATTTATTTGTATTATCTACTTAGCTTTTTTTGTTTGTTTTTTTGTTTTTTTTTTTTTTGAGACGGAGTCTCGCTCTGTCACCCAGGCTGGAGTGCAGTGGCGTGATCTTGGCTCACTGCAAGCTCCGCCTCCCAGGTTCACGGCATTCTCCTGCCTCAGCCTCCCGAGAAGTTGGGACCTACGGGCCCCCGCCACCACACCCGGCTAATTTTTTTGTATTTTTAGTAGAGACGGGGTTTCGTCGTGTTAGCCATGATGGTCTCGATCTCCTGACCTCATGATCCGCCCGTCTTGGCCTCCCAAAGTGCTGGGATTACAGGCATGAGCCACCCTGCCCGGCCTATCTACTTAGTTTTAATACTTTTGATCCATGGCTGGCAGACACAGAACCCACACACGCAGAGGGTCAAACTTGGCATGCAACAGCACAAGAAAACATGCATAAAACATGCATAAAATTCATCATTTCATTTGTTTTTTTAATATTATTTTGTATTTACTAATTTTTCCCACAAGAAAATGATCTGTCATTTCAATCACTCTCCCACCAAACCCCCAAACTCCCTTGCCCCTTTGCTCTCTGATTCCACATAAAATACAAATCAAAATTCAAGCTGATTCCAACTATACCAAGGCGGCTGAACACTGTTAAAAAAAGTCATATTAGTTAGTGATATACCAAATATGTCAGAAATCTATGCTTGCAAATCTCAACTGACCCTTTTCACCTCTTAGCAATCTACTGCTTTTTTAGTCAGTTCCCTGTGAACATTCTCTGACCTCATTTCTTTGCATCACTCTCAACCCATATTTTCAGCTTCCATAACACAAAGAAAAATACATGCCATAAAAATTATCAGAAAGAACTCTGTCAACTACCCACCAACAAACCTACAGACCTAAGCCCATTAACACACACCCTCTCCTCCTATTAAAATAGACATATTCCTTTTTCTCTCTGAGGTCAAATTATCTACCTTTGCTCTGTATCCCACTCCCACTCATTCACCCAGGAACCTCTTATATTTTGACTTCTATATTTTGAAACTCATCCTTTAATAGCTATTTCTATCAGCATTTCAAGATGCTCCCGTCTTTAAAAAATAAAAATCATGGTAGGGCACAGTGACTCACACCTGTAATTCCAGCACTTTGGGGGTCCAAGGTGGGAAGATCACTCGAGCTAGGAGTTCAAGACCAGCCTGGGCAACATAGGGAGAGCTGATCTCTACAGAAAATTTTAAAAAAAAAACATTAGCCAGCAATGATGGTACATGCCTGCAGTCCCAGTTACTTGGGAGGCTGAGGTGGGAGGATTGCTTATGCCTGAGGTCAAGGCTGCAGTGAGCTCTGTTCGTGTCACTGCACTCCAGCCTGGGTGACAGAATGAGACTCTCTCAATAATTAATTAATTCCTTTTTCAGTGTCCTCTCCTCCTAGTTCATCCATTGCCTTTGCTGTCATCTATCATCTGGATAACCAAATTTCACTCCAGGCCTCTCATATGAACAACCCTCCTCTGGTATTTTCTAGCCCAGTAAATTAGTATCATCGCTAAGTTGCTCAACCATCCTTTATTAGTTTTTACTCACCAAACTTCTCTAACCAAAAAGCATGCCTTGGCCGGGTGCAGTGGCTCATGCCTGTAATCCCAGCACTTTGGGAGGCCGAGACAGGCGGATCACGAGGTCAGGAGTTCAAGAGCAGACCAGACTGACCAAGACGGTGAAACCCCATCTCTACTAAAAATACAAAAAAAATTAGCCAGGTGTGGCGGTGCGCACCTGTAGTCCCAGCTACTCAGGAGGCTGAGGCAGAAGAATCACTTGAACCCAGGAGACGAGGTTGCAGTGAGCCAAGATTGCGCCACTGCACTCCAGGCTGGGCGACAGAGTGAAACTCTGTCTCAAAAAAAAAAAAAAAAAAAAAAGCATGTGTTTTTTATTCTATGAGCTTTGCAGGAATGGCTTTTCTCTAGATAGCTGGATTAGCTCCATCAATGACCACAGCCATTATCTAATAAAATATTTTAAAGTTATATTACAGAATTCTTTTGTCGCCAGTTCAGTAAAAGGGCTAATGAAGAAGAATACATAGAACTACCACTACTACTTCCTGCATCATTCGCCTTCCCTTGGTTTCTCCAAGCACATAATGAACAGGTTTAGTATGCCTGTGAAGTTAAAATTAAACTGTTATTTTAAAGGATTAAGTCCAGGCACTAAGCATTCTTATAAATAACATCAAGAAACAACCAAAACACACTAACACAGCAAAAAACTTATTTTAGAAACACGTTAGTGAAAATTCTTCGCAAATTATATCTTTTGCACTCAGCGACACTTCTCTACTGCATGAATACAGATGGCAATGCCGCCTCAAATCTTTTTCTAATATTAATCTATAAATTTTAAAAACAAAATGTCTTCTGATCTTCTATCTGTTCACTGTTTACTGAGAACAAACTAAGTATAAGGCCCTCAGCAGGTACTGCAGATAATTTTTTAAAAGGTTAACAAGCAGTTCTGCCTAAAAGAAGCATCAGTCCGTTAATGAGAATTAAAGAGAAGTGAGCTCAAGTAAAATTCAAACTAGAAGGTGCTAGGTATCACAAGAGAAAGATAAAGTGTAAAGGAAATTTATAAGAGAGAGGGGATTATTTAGAGGTTTAAGTAAACATATTCGTCAAGTACTTACTATATGCTTTTGCATAAGTAAAATAATTTTCACATCCCAGAAATAAAGTACAAGGGGAACTTTATACAAAATCTTTGGCTCCTTTTCTCCAACCTGAATGAAAGTAGAACACTAATCTTGCTTCTTTTGGTGTCTAATGCTCAGTTCCTGGGCATGCTGAAAAACTGCAGCTAGTACTGGTTTGTCTTCTGAAAGTTTCAAAGCCATACCTGAGTGCTGATTTTGAAAATCTGGGGCATCTAAAATCATACTCGGTGAGAATCATCTTATTATTTTTGCCCTAATTGTATAACACTAAAAAAATTGCTTCCGTTCTTTATTCTCTTCCAAATTCCTGATTTGCCTACTTTTGGCTGTAACCCAAAGCAACTGTTACCATGCCTTAATACATGATCTCACTGTACATCGACTGCTTTTAAACTTCATAAACTTCATACACCATTCTTGCATGAATGCCATTACTAATCCCAACAAACAATCAGAGAAAACCTCATTATGGTGTGAGCAAAGCTTAAGTGAAGAAAACCTACAAAAAACGTAATTAGAGCAAGAAACTCCATCTTGGCCAGGCACAGTGGCTCACGCCTGTAATCCCAGCACTTCGGGAAGCCGAGGTCAGCAAATCACTTAAGGTGAGGCATTCAAGACCAGCCTAGTGAACATGGCGAAACCCCATCTCTACTAAAAAAAAAAAAAAAAAAAAAAGTTAGCCAGGTGTGGTGGTGCACGCCTGTAATCCCAGCTACTCGGCAGGCTGAGGCAGAAGAATCGCTTGAACCTAGGAGGCAGAGGTTGCAGTGAGCTGAGATTGCACCACTGCACTCCAGCCTGGGTGACAGAGCAAGACTATGTCTCAAAATAAAATAAAGTCAGTCTAGTCTAAGACATCTTGAAAACAGAGTAATCTGATTTCCCAGATATCTGTCCCTTATCTTGTAATAAAAATTATTACTCTCATCAAGCAAAAATATCATAGGTAAATCAAAAAGATCGTGTTTAGCAGAAACTTACTATATTTAATATGGAATATATTAATCTTCTAACATGCCTTTTTAATCATGTTACTGCTGGAATTTCTATTAAGTCTACGGCAAACAAAACAAACAAAAAAAACTCAGTGACTTCAGCAAGATAGCTGACTAGAGACACCTAATGCTCGTCCCCTGCACCCCTTCCCTGTACTCCTTGCCCCTCTGCACTTCCCACCCACCACAAGAAAGGACCAAGGCAACAAACAGCTAAGATTTGACTGGAATGTCAAAGGGAGAGTGCTGGGGTACAGTAGGGTGTGAAGATGCACCCGTTGTGACTGGAAGTCCAGGAGACCAGCATGGAGGTACCCAGCCTCTGTAGCCCTATCTTCCCACCTGGATCAGATCTGCCTGGAGTCAGGAAAGACTTCCTGTTGCAGGGAAAAGGTAGGCAGAAGAACCCCACTAGTCCCCACTGCCACCACAAATATCTACAGTCCTTGCAACAGGAGACTCCTATAGTCCTCACAAGCCCTGACCCCCGTTAGAAGAGCTGCAGGGAATTCATGCAGTTCCTAGATTAGGAGCACAAGGTGTGCACTCCCTAACCCCCATTCACGCTCTGTGAACCCAGATACTGCAACATGGTGCTATCCTGAGACCAGGGCCACCTCTGAAGTGCGCCCTCATCTGGGGGCCAGTAGCCACTGCACCTCTCCAGCACGGGGGCTCCATCTTTATACTACGAATTCCACACCAGTGGCTGAACACCACGACCCCAGGAGCACAAAGTCGGGGCCCAGGAATAGCTGTGACTCTGGTCCTGCACAGCAAAGAACCAACTCCCACTGCTCTCACTTATAGCCAGAGGAACAGTCTGGCAGTCCTACCCAGGATGAACCTGCCCTAGAGCTGCCCAAACTGTTGCATGTACTCCCCCAGCGGGAGAGGCCCTCAAGTCTCTGAGTAGCTGATATGTTGTAGAATAGCTACATGTTCATATGCAGGGCATGAGAAACAGCCCGGCAGTGCACCATTCCCTGCAGACAAGGCCATGGCTAACCCAATGGACATGCACCTGCAGTCAGGGCCTCAGAAATAGCTCTTCGAGACACTCCTGGTAGACATGATCCCAGGCTTGCTGAGCAGCTGTGCAACCATGCCTCAGGCCTGAGGAACAGCTCTGCAGGCCACTCTGTCTGGTAATACCCCAGGCCGGCCAAGCAATCACGCATCTGCATCCCAAGCCTGAGAAGCAGCCCCACAGGCTGCCCTTGCCAGACATACCCCCAGTTCCACTGAGCAGCTGTTCACTTGCATTCCAGGCCTTTGAAGCAGCCCTGTGGGCCACCCCTAGCAGACATCCCTCCCCTTCTGGGCTAGCCATACAGTCATGCGCCTGTGTTTCAGGTCTAAGAAACAGCCTCACAGGTCACCCCCAGCAAACACAAGCCTCTGGCCAGCCAAGCAGCTGGACACCTGTGCCACAGGCCTGAGAAACAGCCCTGTGGTCCACCCAAGCAGATATATCCCCGGACCAGACCAGCAGCTTACACCCAAATCAAGGGCCAGAGAAGTAGCCCCATGGGCCACCCCCAGCAAACACATCCCCAGGTCAGCCAAGCAGGTGTGTGCTTGCATCCTGGGCATGAGAAATAACCCTGAAGGCTGCTCCTGGCAGGCACGTCCCAGGCCAGCTGAGCAGCCAAATGCATGTGCTCCCAGCCAGAGTAATGTCCCCGGCTTCCAAACCCAGCCCCAAGTTAGCCAACCCACTATGTGCACACAGGGACCTCCAACCTGAGAAACAGCCCAGTGAGCCTACCCCTGGCAAAGCCACACCACTACTGCCAAAAATTCTCTCAGCCTAGGCCAAAGAGACATTTGCAAACATAACTAGCATGAGTTACAGCTGAAGAAACTACATGGACACTACACTACAGCATCTGCCCAGAAATAGAGCCAACATGCCCCACCTAACCGTCATGCCAAGACCCATTCATATGAATAAGTCTTTCCCTATGAAGCCTACTCCATAAAATTGGAAGAGGTGACTTTACAATCAGATGCATAAGAAATCAATGTAGGGACACATCAAATATGAAAAAGCAAGGAAATATGATGCCTCCAAAGAAATATAATAATTCTCCAGTAACAGGTCTCAATCATAAGGAAATATACAAAATGTCAAAAATAATAATCTTAAGTAAACTCAGCAAGATACAAGAGAATACAGATAGACAATTCAACAAAATAAGAAAAATTATTGATAACTTGAATGAGAAATTTAACAGAGATAGGTATCATAAGACAGAACCAAATACAAATTCTATGGATGAAGAATTCAATGAATGAAATAAAAAATCCAATTGAGAGCTTCAACAATAGATTAGACCAAGCAGAAGAAAGAATTTCTGAACTCTGATGACAGGTCATTTGAAATAACACAGAAGACAATAAATAATTTTAAAAAATGAAGAAAGCCTATAGGATTTATGGTACACCTTTAAGTGAGCAAATATTAGCATATAGGCATTCTGGAAGGAAAGGAAATGTGAAAAAAAGTAGAAAATATATTTCATGAAATAGTAGCTGAAAATGTCCCAAATCTTAGGAGAGAGATGAACATCAAGATCTAGGAGGCTCAAAGAACCACAAACAGATTCAAGCCGAAGAGGTCTGAGGCACATTACAGTCAAATTGTCAAAAGTAAAAGAAAAAGAATTCTAAAAACAAGAGAAAAACATCAAGTCACATATAAGGGAATCCCCATTAGTCTTAGTAGAGTAGATTTCTCAGAAGAAACCTCACAGGCCAGGAGAGAATGAGATGATATATTGAAATTACTGAAAGAAATAGAAAACTGGTAGTCAAGAATATTATGTCCAACAAAGCTATCCTTAGAGATGAAAGAAATAAAATACTTCAGACAAGCCAAAACTATGGGAATTTATCAACATTAGACTGATTTCAACACCCACTGTCAGCGCTGGAGAGTTCATCTAGACAGACTCAACAAAGTCAACAAAGAAACATCAGATTTAAACTACACCACAGACCAAATGGATTTAACAGACACTTAAGAGTGTTTCACCCAACACCTGCAGAATACACATTCTTTTCAACAGCACATGGAACATTCTCCAGGACTGACCAAATTAGGACACAAAGAAGTCTAAAACATTGTTTTAATTTAAATCATACCAAATATCTGACCACAAGATATTTAGAATGAAACTAAAAATTACAAGAGCAACATTCAAAACTATACAAACACATGGAAATAAAACAACCTGCTCCAGAACAACCAATGAATGAAGGAAAAAAATAAGAATTAAAATTTAAAATTCCTTAAAACAACTGAAAATAGAAACACAACATACAAAAACCTATGAGAGACAGCAAAAGTAGTATTAAGACACAAGTGTACAGTGATAAATGCCTACAGCAGAAAACTAGAAAGATTTCAAATAAACAACTTAAGGATGCATCTCAAAGGAACTAGAAAAGCAAGAACAAGCCGAACCCAAAATTAACAGAAGGAAAGAATACGATCAGAGCAGAAATAAATGAAGTTGAGAGACAAAAAAAATACTAAAGATCAATGAGACAAAAATTTGGTTTTTTGAAAACAGAAACAAAATTGAGAAACCATTAGCTACACTAACAAAAAAAGAGAAGACTCAAATAAAATAAAAAATGAAAGAGAAGATATCACAATGGATACCACGGAAATACAAAGAATCACTAGACTACTATGAATATATGTCAATAAATTTTGAAACCTAGAGGACATAGATAAATTCCTGGAGACATACAAGCTAACAAGACCAAATGAAGAATAGAAAACTTCAACAGACCAACAAGCACTGAGACTGAATCAGTAATCAGAAAAATTGAATCAGTAAAAAGTCTCCCAGCAAAGAAAAGTCCAGAACCAGATGGTATCACTGCTGAATTTTACCAAAGCCTTAAAGAATAATTAATACTAAGAGTTCTCAAACTATTCCAAAAATTGAAGTGGAGGGAATTCTCTCTAACTCATTGTATAAGGCCAACATAACCCTAATACCAAAACCAGACAAAGACACAACAAAAAAAGGAGACTACAAGCCAATATCCCTAATGAACATAGAAGCAAAACTTCTCAACAAAATACTAACAAACCAAATCCAGTAACACATCAAAAAGATAATACACCATAATCAAGTGAGATTTATCTCAGGAATGCAATTATGGTTCAACATACACAAATTATTAAATGTAATAAATCACAGTAACAGAATAAAGGAGCAAAACCATACAATCATCTCAACAGATGCAGAAAAAGCATTTTTAAAAATTCAACATCCCCTCATGATAAAAAAACTGTCAATAAATAAGGTATAAAAGGAAGTACCTTGACACAGTAAAGGCCATATATGACAAACTCACAGCTAACATCATACTGAATGGGTAAAAGCTCAAAGTTTTTCCTCTAAGAACTAGAACAAGACAAGAATGCCCACTTTCACTCTTATTCAACATAGTACTGCAATTCCTAGCCAGAGCAATCAAGCAAGAAAAAGAAATAAAAGGCATCCAAATTACAAAGGAGAAAGTCAAACTGAACCTGTTTGCAGATGACATGATCTTATATGCAAAAAAATTTTAAATTAAAATAAAAAATAAAATAAAACCTAAAGACCCTACCAAAAACTCATAAAATTGATCAACGAATTCAATAAACGAATTCAAACGAATTCAAACAAATATCAGTAGTACTCTATACACAAACAATAAACTAGCTAAAAAAAATCCAGAAGGCAATTCGATTTATAATAGCTACAAAATATAAAATACTTAGAAAGAAATTTAACTGAGGAGTTGAAGACCTCTATAAGAAAAACTACGAAATACTGATGAACAAAATTGAAGAGCATCCAAACAAATGGAAAAATGTCTTATGCTAATGGAAGAAGAGTGTTAAAATGATTACCCCAAACAATCTATAAATTCAATAGAATCCCTACCAAAATACCAATGACATCCTTCACAGAAATAGGAAAAAGAAATCCTAAAATTCGCATGGAATCACAACAGTCTTCAAATAGCCAAAGCAATTCTGAGCAAAAAGAACGAAGTTGGAGAAATCACACTACCAGACTTCAAAAGATACTACAAAGCTGTAATAACCAAAACAGCATGGTACCGACATAAAAACAGACACATAGACCAGTGGAACAGATAGGAGAACCCAGAAATTAATCCATATATCTACAGCCAACTGATTTCTGGCAAAAAACCAATAACATACATTGCAGAAAAATCTCTTCAATAAATGGTGCTGAAAAATGGTGGTAGCAACAACGCATTAGAGGTCCTAGTGGGATTAAAGGATTATTGGAGTCAGGGTACTAAAGGGAGAAAGACTGAAAGACAGCAAGTGGTGGTCAGAGATTGGGATGCATGAAACTGAAATTATGGGGAGGATGCAGCTATTAGTCAAGATCTAGGGTATGACTATGGGAGTGAATGGTTGAGGTAAATTGGAAGACAAATTCATTGAAGGAAATAAATTCAAAGGACTGAAAGATCAAAATGTTGAAAAAATATCTACATGATCAAAATTACCAAGAATTAACATTAGAAATAGTATTGGTAAGGTGGGGAGAACTAATTTTTTTGTTTTTAAGTATAAAGGGGGAATCCTGTGTAATAGAGAATTTTGCTGAACCTTTGTCCCCAGTTCCTGAAAGGTAGTCTCTAAATCCTGGGAATTTCCTGAGTGTCTTTGTTATTCATGGTGAGCTCTGATTATTTATGCTAACAAGATGACTCATGATAGGTCCCTAAATAGTCTGTGGTAATAAAATGATGCAGGATAGGTGCTGGCTATGCTAGAGAACCCAGCCACATAATTAAAGAGTTGAGATTTTGACCCATAGGAGACTGACCAAGGTGGGGCAGGGAGATGAAGACTTACTTCCATCAGCGGCCAATGATTCAATCAGTCATGCTTACACATGAAATGCCACAGAAGATTGTGGACACTGTGTAAACAACGTATGATTTGCTACATGTCTTTGTGCCAGGAGGGTGATGTATCCTGACTCCACAGGGAGAAGACATCAGAAGCTTCACATTTAGGAGTCTCCCGGCCTTATGTGTCTCTTTTTGGATGATGCTGATTTGTATCCTTTATGACACAATTAAGCCATAATCAAACCTACAGTGCTTTCCTGTTCTATCAGTTGTTCTAATGAATTATCAAACGTGAGGGAGTAGCAAGAATCCCTAAATTTTAGCTAGTTGCTCAAAAATGAGGGTGCCTCTGAAATCCCCCAAGTTTGCAGCTAGTGTTTGAAGAGTAGTCTTACGGAGGACTGTGCCCTTAACTTGTGAAGTCTGGCCTAATTCAAGGTAGTCAGTATCAGAAATCATTGTAGGGAATGCCCTACAATGAACCAGGAGATACAGTCAACAACAATAAGAGGTTGTAGGTAATATAGTCAGATGACATGAGATACAAAGCTAGAGACTTTCAGGGAAGAAAGAAGGAGAATAATGTGAAAGCTGCAAATGGGGAATAATAGGTCTAGTGGTCTGAGAGTTATGTTCACAGCAATGCAGAAAAGGAGAAAAGAGGAAGAATTACAGGAACATATCCTTGAGAAGGTGAGGGGGGGTAGGTTCTAATGGACAACTGAAGGAAATGACCTTCAACAGAGAAAAAGACAGTTATTTCATAATAAGATTGGTAAAGATGCAGGTGGTGGGAAGATTATTTCTATTTTCTTAATGAAACAGAAAGCAAGGTCATCAGCTGAGAGAGAAGATGGAATGGAAATACTGACAATGTGAATGCAAGGGAAAGATATAATCATCTAAGCAATGGGAACGTGAAAGAACTAGAGTTAACAAGACAGCTGGGCAGCACTAAACCATGAACTTAAAGTCATTAAGTACTAGCCAAGAATTGAAAGTCAACATAGCTGTTTGCTCGAGCCATATTCACCTACAAGTATACAGGTATAAAACAGATGGAGTTGGTTTTCATCAAGGTTTGGCCAAGCAAGAACAACTCAGGGAGAGAAGTCAAGAGGGTTGAAAGTAGACTCAGAAGAGCAAGTGTAATGACAGGCTTTGGGAACTCAGCTAGTTGGAAAAGGAAATGAGGATATGAGGGTACGATGTAACAGAAAAGGTGGCAAATGAGAAAGTCCCAGTGAGATGAAAGAATTAAGACTCTTGGGTACTAGAAGTAAGCCAGAAAAATAGGAGGTGGTAGGTGGAGAGTAAAATGTCAGAAACTGATAAAGAAATCAGAATCTCTGGGAGTGAGTCCTAGGCATCTATAGTTTTTCAAAGCTCCCCAGTTAATGCAGATGCCCTGAGAGTTTAAAAGCATCTGCACAGGATATGCCACAGAGTTGAATGGCTAAGATAAATCAATGGAGGAGAGGAAGTCAGGAAGCCAGAGTATTGCATGTTAAGTATTCTTTACCCAAAATGCTTTGGGCCAGAAGTGTCTCAGATTTCAAATTTTTTTCAGATTTTGGAATATATGTACCACAGAGCATCCCAAATCTGAAAACCTGAAATCTTCCAATGAACATTTCCTTTGAGTTGTCATGTCAGCACTCAAAAAGTTTCTAATTTTAGAGCATTTCAGATTTTGGATTTTCAGATTACAGATAACCTATATGAAAAGCATCTGTATGGATCCTGAAATCACCAACAACTACATGACTGGAGTAGTGGGAGAGAGCCCAGAAGTCTAGATGCAGCAATAAGAAACAAACAGAACATCTCTGTTCCCAATAGGAGGAGCCACCACTAAAGAACTCTTCAGGGGAAGGAGTGCCCTCAGGAAGAGAGCTCAGTTTCAGGTACAGTAAGGAAATCAAGGTATTGTTTAGAGAAGAGGTTAAAAAGAAACGGTGTTTTACAGGTGACTGACAATAAACTCTAAAAGGCACAGAGGAAAGGTTTCAGAGTCACACAGTGGTGAAAACTGGGGTCAGACAAGAGAGACGAAGGAAAGAGAAGGTTCAAGCCAAACTAGTGGAGGAGAATAAGGCCAGGAAATCTCAGAAAGCAAGCTGCCATTCACTCATTCATTCATTTATTTATTTGAGACAGGGTCTCACTCTGTTGCCCATGCTGGAGTTGCAGTGGTGCTAACACGACTCACTGCAGCCTAGACCCTCCCAGGCTCAAGCTATCCTCCTGCCTCGGCCTCCCATGTAGCTGGGACCACAGGCATGTGCCACCACACCCAGCTAATTTTTAAAATTTTTTGTGGATACAAAGTCTCACTTTGTTGCCCAGACTGGTCCAAACTCCTGGCCTCAAGCAATCCTCCCACCTCAGCCTCCCAATACTAGGATTACTAAAGGCGTGAGCCACCGTGCCCTGCCTTGCCACATTTTTTAAAAGTACAGAAAAGCAAGAGAAGAGAAAGCTCTGTAAATTTAAAAAATGCTTTCCTAAACCCAGCCACACTCTAAAATATTTTTAAAATTTATTTCAAATAAAAATGAGTCCCAGAAAAGTATCAAGGTTAATCTCATACGAAGTTGCTAGTATAAGAAATGAGAGAATAGGAGTAGAATATCCCTACAGACAATGAAGGCATGCCAGAAAGACATGCCCATATAACAGACCAAAACTGTTAACATGCTATTGCAAAATAAGGTAAAAGATCTTTACTTTAAAGAATAAGACCAAAAAAAGAGAAAAAACTGGGGTCAGAAAGGCAGAAACACAGAACTATAAAGACAGGAATTACTGGCAGCATTGGGTTTCTCATGATATAAAAGGGATAAAGTATACCGTGAGATTAAACCTGAAAATCTCAGGGCATATAAGGATGGTAAAACTGCATGTATAGAAGACACTTATAAAGAAAGGAGAATCAGACTTTTCATCTGCACAAAAGGCTTGAAGACAGTGGTATAACGTGTACATGCTGCATGAAAAAAAAGGATTATGATCCATGAATACTATGTCTGGTCAAAATACCTTTCACTAATCAAGATAAAAGACATCTTCATTCAAGTAAGGATTAGGAAATTATGCCATATACATTCTGGGGAAATTATTCCAAAATTTTATTAAATGCTTTGCTGGCATCTATTGAAATCAACATGGGGCTCTTTTTTCCAGTCTCCACAACTCCCACAGTTGCAGCCAGCAGTACAGATATGGCCAAATCCAAGAACAATATCACAGAAGACCAGTCCTGAAAATGGCACAGAAATGGCTTCAAGACATTCAGATTCTAAGGAATGCATAATTCTGCCAACAAGCCCAACAAAAAAGTCCTCGAAAAGATTCAGGCCAACATTTCCAAGGCAATGAGCACCTATACAGAGGCCAAAAAGGTGCTCCTCAAGCCCAAAGTAATCAAATTGGTACTCTTAAAAGGTACCAGCCCTGAACTGGATATCACCCACACCATCCATCCCAGTCTCTTTCCCAGCTGTCCATACTGTCAACATACTAAGCTTTGGCAACCAATGGCCAGTAACGAGGTCAAGGCCAAGGCACAGGACCCATAGAGTCCCCTCTAAAGACCCCAGAATAAAGACTTTTGTCTATCAACTTTTAAGACCAAAGAACTGTATAAAACTTGGACTGCTGTCCACATGGGCAGGCATCTCCCTATGCTATTTTGTATAAATACAATACGAAGCCCCTAACTCTCCCCAAAAAAAGAGAAATAATCATGTAGTTTTTATCTCAGAATGTGTTAATATTATACAATATTTTAATATTTTAATGCCCTTGCCTTCCTGCAATAAACTCTACTTGATCATAGTGTATTACCTTTTAAACACGTGGCTAGATTTATTTTGCTAATACTTTATTTCAAATGTTTGCTTCTCTAGTCATAAGAGTGAACTAATGTTTATAATAGCAAAAAAAGGAAACAATCTTAACATCCATCAGTTGGGAAATAACATAATAAATTATGGTACAGTGTACTATAAAATATTATTCAGCTTTTAAAAATTAGAGTTCCATTTACTGAACTGAAGTGATAGCCATGATATATTGTTAAATGAGTAATACATGTTACTAAGCAATAAATAATATGATCCCTATTTAATTAGAAAAACAAGAAGCCTGTATATTTATGTGTATATGCTTATATATTTTTGAGCAAAGAGAAACACACTGAAAAAATACTCCTTATCAAAGTGTTGGTTAACGTTGGCTACTCCAAGGAATATAACTAGAGAAGGGAGAAACCCGAGGGGAGAGGAAAATATCAACTTTTTCTTTATTGACTCCTAGAGTTTGTTTATTTTAGTGGTTGCAAGCAGATGTATTACTTTTGTAATTTAAAAAAATAGGTAGAATGTTAGGGGATGGGGAGAATATTACTTTTGTAATTAAAAAAAAATAGGTAGAATGTTAGGGGATAGGGGAGAAATACCCCAGCTGCCCATTATAAGTAATGACAATTAACATTTGTTGACAACCAATAAATGCCTACATTTAACATATCCAAAGACAAAAACAATTAAATTATCTAAAGCAAGGAGAAGACTCATTATATGAAGTTATTTTAAAATTCAAAACAATCCAATCTGGAACCAAATTTGCATATAAGTAGTCTTTCCCAAGTGCATTAAGTGAAATGTCTTCAGGATGAACTATTCTTTAGTTTATAACTAGCACAAACTTATCAGTTTATAAAGATCAGGAAAACTAAAGATGAAACTAAGAGAAAATGAGTCAAGTTCATTTAAAGAAAAAGATTCAATAATTATACTAAAGATACACAGATAAGCAGAAATTGACAAAGTGCTACAGAAATAACTGAAGCTTAGGGAAAAATGGGATTGTTATATGTCAAAAATGTTTATGTAGAAACAGAATGCTTGTTCCCTGGGGCTGCAAAGAAATAGCACTTGAACATAAATTTAATTCTCTCAGCAAGGCCATTTTTACTTTCTGCAGAAAGGGTACACTCGCCAACAGTTTTGCCACAAGAGTGCATGGAACAAAGGAGACAGGGTCATTTATAACCTGACGCGTCCACCTTACTGCTGTGTCTGGTTTCCATCGGCTGGAACGGGACCTCACATTCTGTATTTGTCACGATTGGCTAGCGACTTGGAACTTTTTAAAAGAGGCAAAGGCAGAGGAGAACAAAGGAAGGAGGAAGTAACTTGTGGAATGCTAAGAAAGGTAAAAATACTTCCAAATAAGGAAGAGGAACAAGCTACGACCTAATGCTTTCTTGGACCAGTATAAGCATGCCAGGGCAAGTATTTAGGCTAAATTGTGAGAGCTAAGAATATAAAGTACATTAATTTTTTTTATTACAGGTAGTATTTAAGAATGTTAGCACGGATCTTTGAATAAATTTTGCTTCTAAGAGAAGTTACTATTTATTCCTAATTAGACGGGGAGGAAAGTTTCTTTGAAGAGGAACCTCTACTTTATTTTTTACAAGATTCTAAATAGTTAACTGATTATACCACAGAAAAAGGGGCAAAATTTTCCAATATATTATTTTACACTGTAAATAGATAAGTCCCTTTTTTATTAAGTAGGTAGATATCAAAAAAAAAAAAACCAGACAAACCCTCCAAGCAGTCCACCTTGACTGACTGTCACATACAATGTTTCAAAAAAGAAAGATTACAAAAAGCTGTCAACCTGAGGCACTGGCTGGGGGTAGGGGTGTAAGGAGCAAAGTTCAAGTTATTATTCACAAAAAAAGATATTTGTAGAAGTTAAAACTGTTTACATAATCAAACTGAAGAAAAGCTGTCAAGGGGCGCATCTCAAGAAACACTATGATTTGAGATTTTATAGAAAGGATTAAAATTAATTTTTGTCAAGTTAGTAGTGTTCAAAAGAAATAGTCCAAAAAAAATGCATAAAAAGAGTAGGCCCAGCAGTATCTGAGTTTTTCGGTTTACAGTTATTCAAAAACTCTTTCTCTCAGCTTTTATCAAATACTTCACAAAAGAAAATTTAAGGATATGAATAAAATAAATCAGTATCCAAACTACCATGGGTTTCTAAAATGCCTTGCAAGGCTGAAAAGGAAATCAAGACAAGATAACAAAGAAAAGCTGGAGTGACAATGCCAGTAAAAAATTGGGAGGAGCTGGCATATATCAAAAAAGAAAAATTTAGGATACTTTCCACAGGCTAATAAAAATTACCATTTATTAAGTACTAGACATCGTCCTAAGGATTTTCACCAAGATATTTTTCATTTCATCATCATAAAAACCCTGTGAGATAGATTTTTGGCCCCTCATACAATTAGTGACAGAGCAGTAATTCAAACCCATTTTCATGATTCAAAACTCATAAAGTCATATTCTTTCCAATATATACTGGTCTCATCATTGGAATTTCTAAACTTACAACTGAGCAACAGTACTGTCATCCTATAATATAGGAATGTCTGAATAACAGCTTTCAAACAAAGTCTGTCTCTACATTAAAAAAAAAAAAAAATTAAAAAAAAAAGCCCGAAAATGGAAAAGCTGATTCTCTGATCCTGAGGCAGAATATGGGTGTATGTGGTTGGACGGTTATTTATGTGGTTTAATAAGTCTTCATTCCATAGGCCCACTAAAGCTATTTACATTCATTCACACTAATTCACAATCCCAGGGTGCCCTAGAGGATTCCATGGAATTTGAACAGAAATAGAATTACAGAGTACAATAAATATGTATCAAGTTTCTATAACCTATAACCTAACTAGCTGTGCCTTACCAAATTTCAGCAACCACAACTAGAAATTGTGGGATTCCTCCACCCAATGAAAGATTAGGAATAAAGGGCTAAGAAGTGACTACCTTCATTTAGGCAGACAGAATTGCCTGAGATCTGAGATTTGAAGCACATTCTCCAAGCATAAAATGACTAAATCACAATCTCTATATACCCACTCTCGTTTCCAAGTTCAATAACTATAATCTACTTATAAGGCTGGATTAACCAGGGGATTTCCATGGCAGTAAAAAACTGGGGCCATATTTCTTAATGTTGTCAATCTTTATAATCAGCTACGTCATCATATGATAATGCTAGCATGGTATTACAGACAAGGAAATAAGAATGGCTACCTGGTCCAAAGATCATCCATTTGGAATGACAAGTTTTCCACTATTATTGCTTACGTACTTTTCTTTATGAATTTTATGTCTGTAACATTGGCTGATATCTACGAAAAGGAATATATCAATCACTGCCTTTTCATAACACTTTGCCACATAAAGAAAACAGTAAAATCTATCATCATTGGCTTACTGAACTTCAGGGAAGTGGCAAATATTAATAGTATGGTACATATGTTTTTGAACTATATTTTTCCCAGGGGTAGAAAAAATATGTAAGACACAGGATTCTGAATTACAATTTTAGCTTTTAAGGAAGAATATGAAATTTCCATCCCCAAGTCAAAGACAATAGTAGTAAAATTAACAACTTATACATAGTAGTCAATAAATATTTAAATGAATGAATATGTTAATACACTCCATAAAAATACCCCAGTTTTTCCAACATAACTAATCCACCTCAACTTTTAAACTTTACACACAAGGTGTCTGCCTAACAAACTAATATACAAAATCAAGGTTTTTAAAAATATAACAATGATCTTTTATTGCAAAAAATGTATATGAGAAACTGAGATGTGAGCGAAGAAAAACATTCTACTACATGCTGTTCTCCAAACTCCTCTCCACCTTTTAAAGAAAAAAAAAGGAATAGAATCTTGAAACACACTTTGTGAGAGTCTTATTCAGTGTTAGATGTAATAAGGGTGTCATCAGAGAGGTACAACAGGGGCCTGTGAGATAAATCATTACAAAAGCAAAGTGGCCAATCTTCTCAGTAAATAGAAGGAATTATGCCCTGCGAAGCCCTTCAAAAAAGTAGCTGGTATATCTCCAACTCATGATATTCAACGAACACTTAATGGGCACAGGCTATGTAACAGACCAAGGACTGACAAACTTATTCTCTAAAGAGCTAGCTAGTAAATATTTAGGCTTTGCAGGCCGTATGGTCTCGACAGCAACTAGTAGTCAACTCTGCTGCTGCACCCAATACCCAATATGTAAATAAGTGAATATGGCTAAGTTCCAATGGAACTTTCTTTATGGACAATGAAATTTGAATCTCCTTTAATTTTCATATGTCATGAAGTATCATTCCTCCTTTGATATCTTTTCAACTGCTTAAAATTGTAAAAACCATTCTTAGTTTGCAGGTCATACAAAAACAGACAATGGGCTGGATTTGGTCTATGGGCTATAGTTTGGCAACTCTTGCATTGTACAAAGAAAATCATTTGGCTAAAGTTCAGAGAATCTTCTCATCTTCCTCTTGCCACCAGCAAACATAAAAAAGAACAAAATCTGGTTTATCTTTAGGGTTAGTTTTAGTTACAGTCCAGGACTTACTCTGAGTAATATTTTAGATGGTGTGTATATTTCTCTAAACCTACCTCCTGGTGCCTAAAGTTTCCTCTAATTCCACAATAAGAGATGAGGTTTCAAAGGCATAACTGAGATAACGGTCAACAATCCTCACTCAATAAGTAGATAATGAGCACCTACTATGTACTAACTATACTGATGCTGAAAAGATGAAAAGTCACAGTGCCTGCTTAAAAGCTCACACATTAGTGATGAACCAGTCATATTAAATATTTAAAATATGTTACGGCCGGGTATGGTGGCTCATGCCCGTAATCCCAGCACTCTGGGAGGCTGAGACGGGCCGATCATTCGAGGTCAGAAGTTCAAGACCAGGCTGGCCAACATGGCAAAACCCCATCTCTGCTAAAAATATAACAAAATTAGCTGGGCATGGTGGCACATGCCTGTGATCCCAGCTACTCAGGAGGCTGAGGCAGGAGAATCACTTGAACCCAGGAGACAGAAGTTGCAGTGAGTCAAGATGGCCGCCATTACACTCTAGCCTAGGCAACAGAGTGAGACGCCGTGTAAAAAAAAAAAAAAAAATGCGGCAACTACTATATACACCAAGTGCAAGGGGAGAATAGATAGAGAACATCATGCCCAAGCCCACCTGGAGGAGTAAGCAAAACCTTCTTCACTCGGAAGACATTGGGCTAACGCATGATGGCTGTGAAGCAGTTTGCCCAGAGAACAAAGGAGAGGGCAGGAGTAGTCCATGAAAAAAAGAACTTCATAAAGGCATGAAAAGGTAGGAGAATACTACATACTGAAGGAACCACACACAGTTTACTACCGCTAAAGCACTTTGAAGACAGAAGTGGCAGGCAATGAGTCTAAAGAGGAGGCAGGGACCAGATCATTAAGGACCTTAAACGGTTTGCTAAGGAGTTTCCACTTTATCCATTCAGTGATGAGGAGCCAGTGAAAGATTCTGAAGAAAAAAGTGACATGATCAAATGACTATCTAGAAAGATCACTCTGGAAGCAACGCAATGGAAGAAATGTAGGCAAAGTTGACAAAAACACTAAAGGTGTTTCCTCAGCAATTGGATTTTTAAAAAAACACACCAACAAGATCATTTCTATAATGCAACTACTCAGTTTAAATGAGTGACATGAGACTCTCTTAAGTTCTGATAAACAAAGAAAGGAGTTTAAGATGCACTATAAACCATGTAGTGAATAAAGACAGAAATTGATATTACGGGGAAGAAAAGGCATAATAGAACACTAACACAATTATTTTGACTCTTAAATTTAGTAATGCTTACCTTTAACTATTCAAGAGCAAACAAGAGACCGAACATAACAAGATACGTCATGTGTGGCCCACAACAAAAAAACAACTTATATGACATATCCACAAACACAGCTTTCACATAATTTATAAAGATTTTTTAAAATAAACTGACCTAATAAATTTGTTTCCAGAAAAAATTATGGTATTATAGTTACTTTGACCCTTCTAGAAAAAAAAAGGTCCCAGAAAGTTTTTTCACTAATTGCGTAACCTGCTTTAGCCTTCTAAAACTCAGACCCAAAGTTCCTGTTCTCCATCTAATATTACCTTGAATCTTAAATACGCAAAGTAAAATGTCCTCTGAAACAGCGGTCCCCAACCTTTTTGGCAACAGGGACGTTTTTCCAGACAATTTTTCCAGAGGGTAGGGGGGCAGAGATGGTTTGGGGATGAAACTGTTCCACCTCAGATCATCAGGCATTAGATTCTCATAAGGACGGACAACCCGGATCCCTCTCATGAGCAGTTCACAATAGGGTTCAAGCTCCTATGAGAATCTAATGAAGCTGCTGATCTGACAGGAGGAGGTGCTCACACAGTAATGCTGGCTGGCCAGCCACTCACCTCCTGCTGTGCACCCTGGTTCCAAACAGGCCATGATGGTCCAGGGGTTAGAGACCCCTGCTCTAAAAGAAAGAAAACTGGCTGGGCACAGTTGGCTCACACCTGTAATCCCAGCACTTTGGGAGGCCAAGGCAGGTGGATCACTTGAGTCCAGGAGTTTGAGATGAGCCTGGACAACAGAGTGAAACACTGTCTCTACAAAAAGTACAAAAATTAGCTGGATATGGTGGCACGTGCCTATAGTCTCAGCTACTCAGCAGGCTGAGGTGAGAGGATCGCCTGAGCCCAGGAGACGTAGGCTGCAATAAGCTAAGATCACACCACTGCACCCTACCCTGGGAGACATAGTGAGATCCTGTCTTGAAAAGAGAAAAGAAAGGGAAAGCGAAGGGCAGCAGGAGACTGCTGAGTGGGAAAACACAGCTCTAGTCTTTAAGCTCTTCTTTAACCTATTTCTCTCCGTGGCCTTTTCAAGAAACTCATCAGGGATATACACTCTGCATCACCATACACACATCTCCTTAACTCATTTTTTTTTTCATTTTAAACGGTCTTCATCTAATGCAAGTTACTACAAAAGACGCTATTCAAAGAAACCAAGCGGTATTCTCACGGTATTACAACGAAGTCTAAACTATTTATTTGTATAGTATATTTACAGAGTGCCTTTCCCTCAAAATAATCACAGCATTTGATGACTACAGGCACATTAAGCAAATATAACAATGCTGAGTCTCAAGTCATTCAGAAAGAAAAAAAAAGTCCAAATAATTGAACTAGCTTCCAAACTATTTTATAATATTTGGTGCCTTGATTAGACTAGTACTAGAAGAGTAAACAGCCCTCTGCAACAGCTTGTTCTAGCTCCCTGAATTAAAATCTGCATATTGTACTGTCAGCAAAAATATCCCAGCTAACATTGGTGATTCTGGGTAAGTTCAATCCAACAATATTCAGCTAGTGTGCCCAATCAGAGTGTCTCAGATCTCATTTTAATTCTACTGTAAAAGGAAGAAATATGACAAGGAGAGGATTTTCATGCATTTCTTTTATGCACACTTGTTCTACCATATATTCAATCAGTACCAACTACCCTAATAGTCCCCTTTGAAATGACTGGATTAGTATACTCCTTTCTAGGGTCTCCTTCCCTCTCCATTCAAAATAATTCATACTCACTTAAGAAATAAAGAGCAAAGGCAGTTATGGGGAAAAGAAGAAAAAACAGAGCTAGCGTGGGACAGTCAAGAATTCATGATGGAAGAGGGAAATAATCTATTAATGTTTAACAATGTTAGTAAAATCCTAATTTGCAAACCAAATTAAGTTTTACAAGTGAAGTATGCTAAAATGAACTACCAACCAGTAACCAATACAAATACAAAGCATAGTCTGAGTGTATGACAATTTATTAAATATATTAAATTACGTAAGCATATATGCTGAATAAGTTTTAGCCATAAGCAGTAGATTATATTGAATTCCCATATCAACAAATGTATATAAAAAGGGAAGTGTTTGGTTACATGAGATATGCAATTCGCAGCACAATAAGGAAAGGTTTCTGTTGAAAAAGAATGGCAGAAGCAATTTGGCTAAGAGAAGAAAATAACTATTATAATTGTGAAAGATGATGTTCCATTTCTTAAACTGGGTAAAAGGCATGTAAGTGTTGGCTGCATTGTGAAGTCTTTATATTTTACACATTTTTATAAATACTTTGTCATATGTGGTCAATATCTTATAAAACAATGTTTAAGTGTGAGAAAAATCTGAACAAACATTTGTTGACATTAGAGGTAAAATGTACATAGGCATCTAATCCATTTGTGCTAATTATGGTAGTTTTTAATATAAATGAAAAAGAGGTCATAAAAATATGAGTAGGAAGAAAAATATTGTAATTTATCCTTAATTTCCCTACAGAAAATAAGCAGTAAAGGTTTACTGGTGCTCTTAAAAAGGCTGTGTGTGTGTGTATGAATGTGTATTTATATACACACACACACACACACACTATATTAAACTACTTGAAATTAACTTTTTACCTCTGAAGTTCCCTTCAAACCAACCACCATCACAAATATTTCCTTAACCACATAAAAAGTACTAATACTCCTCTACGCATAATCCCAGAAATAAGTTAAAAAACAAATTCCTAAAGAGAAATGTTCACACTGCAAATAACTGTATCTTTTGTATATATGCAGACTTAACATCTATGTGAGTTGTCCAGGTTTATCCACATCTATTGTACTTGCTTTATGATGGGCACATGCATTTTAATTATGCCTTGCCAATACTACCTTGAGTGAGAGGGCAATATAGCATATTGATGAGGAGCACAGGTTCTGGAGCTAGCATTCCTAAATGGAAACTTAGCTCTTCTACTTCTCAGCTATATAGTATTGGGCAAGTTATTTAACCTCTCTGTGTTTCAGATTCTCATCTGTAAAACAGAAATAACAACACATACCTCATAGGGTGTTGGAACTGATTAAAACAACGTACAACGGGACTGGCAAAGAATAGGTGCTACATAAATGTGAGCTGTTACTACTAGTACAGCTGGCCCTTGAACAACATGGGCTTAAACTGTGCTGGTCTACTCCTATGCAGATTTTTTTCAAGCAATACAGTATTCATGGGATGCAAAAACCGAGTATATTGAGGGCCGACTTTTCCCTATACATGGTTCCATACACCAACTGCGGGATTTGAGCATGCAAGGATTTTGGCATATGTGGGGGTCCTGGAACCAATCCCCTGCATACAATAAGGGAAGAATGTAGTAGTAATTGTATTGCACCCTCTTCCTGAAAGTACCAAAAACATTCTTAAGCAATCTGAATTCCTAACATCAAATGCTACCTATATTTAAAATAGACACCAAATCTGAGGCCTGATTAACAGTAAGTTTAAAGCCCTTCAACTCTGAAGAAAATAGGTGATTCACAGATCTACATAATACTCTATCAAGAACAATCTGAGAGGACTGGTTCCCCGAGCGCAACTATCAATTTCTTCCCTTACACAAGGGGGCAGTGATAACAAGAAAAGAATCGGGCTCTGTAACACCTCTTCCTACAGACAGTAGGGGGTGGCAGTACATATGGCTTACAGTCAGAACAAAACAGGAAGACCCAACAGAATTCTCTTTATTCTCCTCTGGCCCTTTCCTCTGTTCTTCAGCCCCAACAGCTTCTCAAGGTAAGGGACATATCTACAGAAAAGACTAAAACCCAAAATCAATCACCAAGGAAAATCTATTTTTGTCTTTGAAGCAAATGATCCCTCAATGGCTGAATTTGGATCTAAGGGAAAGCCAATCAGTATGAATTTTCAGATTATCTGGCAAATTACTATAATGAGAACAGCATTCACACATGTAATTTAATTTCTTTACAAGAATTATAACATAAAACATTAAAATCTCATCAATAATTAAGTACATTCTAACGAACACATTTCCATATTTCTGCTTTTGTTATATAGTATATTCACACTCATTGTATGTATACATATAAGTTACATTAAATAGATCATGGAGTTGTCTTTTGTTACTTCTGAAATTCCAGCTATGTTCTGACAATCCTCTCGAAACAGATGTTCTTAAATGGAAGTCACAATGTTTTGCAGCATGTTGGTAATTTCTTATGTATGTATAATATACATGCACATATATCTATATAGAGACATAAATAAATATCTAGATACAGAGGGGAGCAAGAGAGAGGGAGAAAGAGAATGTTTAACGTTTTATTTCGTGCTCACATCCCTAAGAGGATCTACCTGGGAAATGCTGCAAGAAGCACTCCACTGACAGTATCCATGTTGTTGCTTTTTATGCCAATTTACTGTATTCTTTTTTTTTTTTATTTCACCATCCCAACACCAAGAACATACAAGAATATTTTAGTACTGCCGTTCTCTATAATTAACCATTGTGATAGATACTGGCTCCAACCCCTCAAAATGCCTGAAAATCTATCCCTTTTGTTCACCACACTGCTTTGTTTTCCTCATTACAGATATTTTCACCTGTGTAAAAATCAGGAAAAGGGCACATACGAAAAATACTTCCCTTTGCCTAATGATCTTTAACTCATAATTATGGTCAAGACGTTTGGGGTTTTGTTTGTTTCTTTTCCTGGAGAGGAGCAGAGAAGAGAGTGAAAGACACCCGAAACACCAAATCTTCTTCCTAATGTTAATTATCATTGTTTATGTTTTGTGAAGACCATTCTAAACATTCCACACCTGGAAATGAAGACTGGATACAATTGTACCAATGCTCTACACGCTGATGGCAAAACCTGGAATTATTTTAGCCCTATTTTTTCTTTCCAATCTCACAGCCAGACACAATTTGCTTTTTTTCTTTCACGTGGTTACTTTCTCTACCTCAAAAAAAATAGCTTATCATAGCTCCTCCCGATTTCCTATGGCAAAATATCTAGCAATGAGCCTTATTAATCTTTTATTATGCTACACCTCCTTTCCCAGAGGAATTATTAATATCGCTAATAACACTTCGACCATGAATTTCAACGCCACAGAGGCCAGCCCATCCTGTGCCTTACCTGGCACATTTCGCAACTACTTTTATGCTGCATTCTGGGGGCACATTTTGCAACTCGTTCTGCACCACATTCCCTGCCACGTTTAGCAATCCGCCTCGCATCTTATCCTTGGTCCCCGTCATCCAGAGACGCTCTAGGTACCAAATTCCATGACATCTTCGGTGACAGCCAAGTGGCGACCCCACACGCCTCTGAAGCCCGCCTTGGTGTCATATTCGGAGCCAGCCTTCCCCACGCCTTGGACACCGAGGCACTTCGCTGCCCATTTCGCCGTCTCCCCGCTCGCCCCCGCCCCTCTCCCCGGAGCCGAGGCTGTGGAGGCGAACGACCCTGTCACTGAAGCGACCTTTCCTCGCCCTGCTCCCCGGGCCCCTTACCTGCCGCTCTGAGGGGCTCTCTGCACCTCCGGGTCAAGCCCCAGTCCCCGGGGTCTCCTGTGAGGACCGCGCCGCCCGCCGGCGCCGCCCGCGATTCCCGGAGCACCTCGCAGTCCTCCAACGCCCCGCGGCGAGTCTGCACCCCGGAACGGCGCGGCGGGGCCTCGCAGCCGGCGAGCGCAGCCCGCGGCGGTGCTCCTGTCAGCGGCGGCTCGGGGGCCAGCTCTCGCCCCTCGGCTCGGCTCGGCGGCGGCGGGCGCCTCGCTCCGCCTAGCGCGCGGCACAGCCGGGAGGTGAGCGCGAGGGGGATGGGAATGGGGGCGGGGCCGCCCGAAGGAGGCGCGGAGGGCGGTGGCGGCGGGAGGGCAGCGCCAGCGGCCCTAGGCCGGGCGCTCGGAGCGCTCGCAGCTTCCCCCGCCGGGCGGGCGGCTCGCGCGAGGCGGCTGTGCCAGCGGGCCCCGCCGGAGCAGCGCGCCCAGCAACCCGCGCCCCGCCGGCCGCTCGCTAGCGCCGCCGCCGCGCTGGGGGCGTCGCACCCTCTGAGGCCGCCCGCAGCCCCGCCCCCTCCGGGCTGGGGTGGGGAGGGGCGCGAGCGCGGAGGGAGCGCGCGTGCGTGGGGGCGCGTGCGTGGTGGAGCGCGCGCGCCCCCGCCCCTTCCACAGTTTGGGGGTGGGGAACGGCTGGAAGAGGGAGTGGGGACGCAGCCCTCCTCCGCGCGGAGAGACGGGGCCCTGGCTCTGGCGCTCTGGGATGTCCTGGCATTTCTCGTATCCCCGGGGGGCTCGGACTTGTGGGTGGCATTTGGAGGGGCAGCAGGGAGGACGCTCGGTAACTGACAAGGCCCTACATAGTTGGGCTCCGCCCTCAGGGGTGATGTCACTCTCGAGGTGGCTGCTGCTGTCACGTGCGCCCATTTCAGGGCCTGTCCTCCTGCTTTGATGACCGGAATGCTCTCCTAGATCTCCCCCACTTCGGTCACCTCAGGCACATATCACTCTGAGAGTCCTCGAAGCCTACAAGTGTCAGTTATTCTTTCCCGGATTCTCAGTGGTAGTTTGTAGACGACTTCAAAAGGCCACGGTTGGCTGTGGGGAGAATCAGAATGAGAAAGAAAAACAAAACAACAGTGGGGTTTGTGGGGAGACCGAGACTGTTATTTAGAATAATGGCTGAAAATTCACCAACCACAGCTTGCAAACCTGAGGTAAAGTCGTGGCGCTGCTTCTGTCACTGCCAGGTTGACTAAGAAGTAGCGTGGTTTTAAGAGCTGGTCGACAAGGGCGGGAAAGCCACCACATTAATACCTCGTCGAACGATGTTAGGTCATATTTCACCCTCCACCTAGATCTTCTTCCCCTCTACTGTTTCCCTCCTATCATAAAACAGCAAGTCGGCTGTGGGAGGTATTTGGGACATAAACATCATCGCGTGCTGCAAGATGATGCGAAGCAATCACCGTTACCAACTCTGCCCGGCTCGCCTTCCCTTCCATAAACTGAGATGACCTTTCGTGGTCATCCAACTTCTTAATCAGATGACATGATTGGAAATAGATGCGCCAAATTACATCAATCAAGGAAGCTCTGTCTGTGGCGCTTCCAAGGTAGAGAGGTTTGTTTGATAACAGCACTTTAATCTGCCCCATCCTGTAGCACTTCATCCAGGAGTTTCTTCGATTTTCAAAAATTAGTATTAATTTCAGAACAATACAAGAAACTGGATATGAACATGTCCATCCAACAGCTCTTCTTTACAGTGAATGCTTGCAAAGTCAGAGCTAGAGCAGCTTTGAATAATACAGCTAACATGGCAAGGTGAAGGGCTGACATATGGAATCTTTTGGTGTTAACTCCAGAAAGTTAGATTAATCTAATGAAAACCCATCTACCTATGGTATTAGAGGCAAGGTAGTGATTACTTACAGGGGAATTGATTGAGAGGGGACAGGAGAGAGCCTTCTGGTTTGCTGGAAATATTCAATATCTTAATGGTTACCCGGGTGTATACATATGCAAAAAGATCTGTGCACTTCATGTCAGTTTTTTAAAATCACATACACACAAAGAAGCATTACAATGTCATCATCACTGCAGTCGGAAAACCTCAGTTTGAATCTCAGTGTCACCCAACACTTACCTGCTGTGTGACCTTGAACAGGTCTCCGGACCTTCCTTTCTTCATCTGTCTAACGTGGGTGATATTAATACTTACCTCACAGATGGATGTAAAGATGAAACAAAATTTTGGAAAATACTTAGCACAAATCCTGTTACACAATAAGGACTCAGGAAACAGGAGCTATTATGTTATCCTTCTTACACTTGAATTTACCCTATTTAATTCTCCTTCGGTCTTTTTTTTTTTTTTTTTTAAGATTACTTTCTATCTAAGCCTTTCCCTGCGAGTTCCACTGAGGCTAATAACATTCCTTCTCTGAGAAATAACAAAAGGCAGTCAGGGGTGTAATGTTGGTTTTCAAACTAGTTCAGGTGGCAGTCTCTAGAAATTATGGTGCTCAACGTGGAGCATCATGAAATACAGATAGATTTAACTCTGCCATATGGAATTGACACAATTTTACAAGCACTAAATCTGGCAATTTTATGGTTATGCAAATCTCCACATAATCACATAATAAAAAAATGGGGGCTTTTTGTTGTTGTTGTTGTTCTTTTTTTTTGAGATAGAGTCTCGACCTGTCACCCAGGCTGGAGTGCAGTGGTGCCATCTCGGCTCACTGCAACCTCCGCCTCCCGAGTTCAAGCGATTTTTGTGCCTCAGCCTCCTTCCCAAGTAGCTGGGATTACAAGCACACACCACCACCCCTGGCTAATTTTTGTATTTTAGGTACAGATGGGGTTTTGCCATGTTGACCAGGCTGGTCTCGAACTCTTGACCTCATGTGATCCACCCAACTTGGCCTCCAAAAGTGCCAGGATTACAGGCGTGAACCACTGTGTCCAGCCAAAAAATAATGTGTTTTTAAGAAATAATATGTCTGTGTTTTTCTCTTTAAATTTATTTGCAACTTTTTTACAAGGTAGGAAGTACCAAAAAATTAATAATAATTCACAAAATGAAAACCTTTAAACCCATTTTTCCTGGAAATTAGAAAAACACTGTAATTGTTCAATTTTAGCAACAGAGCTCTTTATTGGATTTACCCACAGTAAGATCTGATAGCTGTAACCCACATGGTCCCCTGCGCTGATAAAGTGAGTAACTCTGACTCACTGTCCTCACCATACTTCCAAAGATCAGTCACCACTTCTTTTAGCCAACCTTTCCCAAATCCCATTTTCATGTGGGCAGTGTCCAGGAATGAACTCACTGCTTCGCTCTTTTGATCATCCACCATCCTTCTATTCTGCCAATTCTCTTCCAGGTCGTTCTACTGTCCAGTCTTATAATTTGTTGCCACACTCTAACTTTGAGGAGGAAACAATATGTCCCTGACAGAGTTGTGAGTGGGGTATAGTAGGGACAGAGAGCAACATTGCAGCAAGAAGCCACCTCTGTTCTCAACTCCTCTCCCTGATTCCCTTTTCTGTCACTATTACCTGAAATCCTGAGAATACTAATTTTATTACCTACTAAAAATCCATTCTAGTAAAGATGTTAGTCTATAACTTAAATTTGGAAATGTAACGTATGCCGTGTAATAAGAACCTGCAAATAATTGTTCATAATGTAGCCCATCCTTGCCCTATACCTCCCAACATTTTAGCATCATCTGTATCATTCAAAATGCCCTTTCTTGCCCTTTCAACTCTGCACTATCACCCACCTCTGCATATGGTGTCTTCCCTGGCTACCTCTAAGTCTCTCTTTCTTTCTTTCTTTCTTTCTTTCTTTCTTTCTTTCTTTCTTTCTTTCTTTCTTTCCTTCTCTTCCTTCCTTTCTTTCTTTCCTTCTTTTTTGACACAGGGTCTCACCCTCATCACTCAGGCTGGAGTGCAGTGGCACCATCATGGCTCACTGCAGCCTCTATTTCTCAGACTCAGGTGACCTTTCCACATCAGCCCCCTGAGTAGCTGAGACCAAAGGTGCATGTCACCATGCCCAGCTAATTTTTTATATTGTTATAGAGATGGAGTCTCGCTATGTTGCCCAGGCTGGTCTCGAACTCCTGGGCTCAAGCAATCCGCCTGCCTCAGCCTCCCAAAGTGCTGGGATTACAGGCATGAGCCACTGTGCCCAGCCCTCTATGTCTCTTAAGTAAACCATCAGGTTCACCTTTTTCTACCCTTTTCCCTCAACTCTCTCTCCCTAAATAAAAAGTCATACCACCCACCACTGAGTGATCACCTACTGGCAGCAAATATTTCACCAGCTACTTTATATGCACAACCTCATTTAATTCCCACAACATCCTATCAGATAAGTATTATCTTAATTTTTTGGATGAGGGGGGTTCTGAGAGGTTAAATAACCAGCCCAATTTTACACTGAATGATGCGTAGAGCCAAAAACTGAACCTAGACATAAACTTTATTCTCTATCAGTTACCCTGAGGAGATTGCCATATAAAGTGTAAAGGAGAACAAAGATTACATATTTTTTAAATGTGGGTTGCCAGTTGCTCATGCCTGTAATCCCAGAGTCTCAGAAGACTGAGACAGGAGGATCACTTGAGGCCAGGAGTTCGAGGCCACAGTGAGCTATAATTGCACCACTGCACTCCAGCTGGGGCAACAGAGTAAGACCCCCCACTAAAAAAAAAAAAAGTGAGCCATGTCACACAATGGAAGCATTTCTGAAAGGTTGATGTAAATGAGATTTTTGTCATTGATTGTTTTTCATAATCTCATTTCTTGTTGATCTGTAATTAATGACTTACCCAATAGCTTCAACATTTTCCCCACCAACTCTACCTCAGCCTTTTGATGAATATTTAATATTTCTAGATGAACACTTAAAAACATTTCCACATAGAGGAGCTACTACTTAAAAGAAGTTTCTAGTAAATCCCTTTTTTGTAAAATGAAAAATGCATGTAAAATGTGAATAAACAAATGCTCATATATTTTTACATTGACATTTATAAATGTTTGACAAGTATTTGCACCTACTGTTCGTATATAGCTGTGATAAGTGCCATAGGGCATATAGAATTGATTTGAGGAAAGTCTTGCCTACTTAACTGTCATAATCTATTTGAGAAACAGAATGCTTAAAACATTTAAATATATAATATAGCATATTATAGAATTAAGTCTGAACATGAATAAAACAGCAAGTTCTGTAATTAATTACAAGAAGGAGGGATACAAGTTTGACTGGGATGGTATAGAACTGCTTCTTGAGAAAAGCAGAATAGAAAAAAGAAATGGTTGGAAAGAAGGAAGGAAGGGCCCTGAGAGCTCAACGAAAGTCCAGAGGAGGGAATGAATACGACAACCTCTTAAGTCAAAGAATGGATCTCTTTTAAAGATGAGTTGCTTTCTTAATAAAGACATGAACTCAGCTGCCATTAGGACACGTTCTCTCTCTCATTTCTGACCTTTTGTATTAGGCTCTCTCTCTCTTCTCATTCTACATTTGAGCATTTTCTCTGTTTCTCAGGCTCATGTGTTGTAAAATACATCAGCTAACAGCATTCACAGATTTAGCTAGTAAGGAGAGACTGACTTGATTCTCTGGATATAGAGTACAAAAATTCCAGGAAGGGCTCTGATTGGCCCAGCTTGGATCAAGAGCTCTCTTGCAGCCAATTCCAGGGGTGTACATTATAAATTGTGCAACATGTGTTTAAGTATGAATGCATTTATTTTTTCTGAAGAGGGAATCCATTGGTTCCATTAGATTCTCAAAGGAAGGGATTTGTAACTCAAAAGTAGCAAAGAGCTACTACAAATACAAAATATGCCAAAACCATCTCTCATTCTTCTCTCCCAAAGCAGCCCTTCTGACTCCCCTGCTCTGTCACTGATACTCCAGTCTTCTAGACTGCTAGACTTGTTACCTTGTTGTGTTTTGATACTTCTCTGTTCTTTGCTCCCTGCATTTAGTTATTCAGTAGATTATGTTAATTTTTCCCATGCAGTGGTTTTAGAACTATTCTTTTCTGTTTCCACAGGCACAATCCTTGACTATCAGCTGTCATCTTCTTTAGCTCACTAAATAGTAACATCTTCTTAACCAGATTCTTACCAGTTGTCCCTCCCTGCTCAAATCCACCTTATTAGATGAGTGTTTTAAACTCTGCCTTTCTGTCATTCTCCTGCTGAAAGACTCCACGATGTTTCCTTTCCTGGGCAGTAAGAAACACCCTGTGCAGTCTGGTCCAGGCCCATCTTTTTAACCTTTTACCAACTGATGTCTTTTCTCCTTGTTAATAAATGCTCTCCTATTCAGCCACACTTGTTGCTCAACGATCTGTTCTTTAAACGTGAAATGTGTCTATTTGTAGTTCACATCAATGTTTGTCTTTATTAAGAAAACAACTCATCTTCAAAAGAGGTCCATTCTTTGACCTAAGAGATTGGTCCCTTCCTTCTCTACTCCATCCATTTCTTTTTACTGCTTTGCTTTCCTCAAGAAAGCGAAGAACTCAAGAAGAAGTTCCATACCATCCCAGTCAAACTTGTATCCCTCCTTCTGTGATTTATTACAGAACTTACTGTTTTACTCATGTTGACACTTAATTCTATAGTATACTGTATTACATATTATATATTTAAATGTTTTGAGCATCTTGTTTCTCAAATACATTATAGGTTCCGAGGGATATTCCAGTCCTTTAATGAGTCTGGAATTCCGTACACGTGGACCCCTAGTTAGTTTTTTACCCATTCTTACCCGGTTTCTTACTTAATATATTCCTGGTAACATGTACAAACATTGATTACGCAAAAATTAAATGCATTGAATATTATAGGAGCAGAGATTTTTTCTAGGGAGCTGAAAAATAGTATTCAATTCCTACTTGCAATTCACCTTTTTTTTTTTTTTTTTTTTTTTTTTGAGACAGAGTTTAACTCTTGTTGTCCAGGCGGGATTACAGTGGCACAATCTCGGCTCACTGCAACCTCTGCCTCCCAGGTTCAAGTGATTCTCCTGCCTCAGCCTCCTGAGTAGCTGGGATTACAGTGTGCACCACCATGCCCAGCTAATGTTGTATTTTTTTTAGTAGAGATGGGGTTTCACCATGTGAGTCAGGCTGGTCTCAATCCCCTGATCTCAGGTGATCAACCTGCCTCAGCCTCCTGAAGTGCTGGGATTACAGGTGTGAGCCACCACGCCCTGCCTAATTCACCTTTAAGATACAATCTTTGATAATGTATTTCCAGCATGTATTATATGTTCTAATTTTGTCCTAATTAATATCTACCTGACAGGGTAAGCTAAAGTTTCACGGCTTTGTATATATCCAATGACTCCTCCTTTGCTCAATTGTATTGTTTCAAAAACTTATGCTGCTTATTACTAGCATCAGCATTTTTATTTTTCCATTTTTGACTCATATTTGTAATAGTGGAGAAAATGTAATAAAGTATTCAAATGATTACGTAAACATATACCAAAAATAGTGATGCTACCAAAAATAGGCCCTGCTGGGCACGATGGCTCATGCCTGTAATCCTAGCACTTTAGAAAGCAGAGGTGAGAGTATCACTTGAGCCTAAGAGGTAGAGACCAGCCCAGGCAACATAGTGAGACCCTATCTCTACAAAAAATAAATAATAGCCAGGCGTGGTAACACAGGCCCGTAGTCCCAGCTACTCAGGAGGCTGATGCAGGAGGATCACTTAAGCCAGGAGGTCGAGGCTGCAGTGAGCCATGATCATGTCACTGCACTCCAGCCTGGGCAACAGAGTGAGAAAAAAAAAAAAAAGAAGAAGAAAATAAAGAAAAAGAAAAGAAAATAGACTCTTGACTGGTAGGCTGTGCCACTGTGTAAGAAGAGCTTAAAATATCCAGTCATCAGCAGATCGGCAGATGCATAAATGTCACAATTCAATGTATAAAAAGTGACTGAGGGATGACATTGTATAATACAAGAAAGTTTTAGTTGATCTAAAGTTGAAACATTGATGATCACCTCTTTGGGCTTATAGTTAACACATTTATTTTTCAAGAGCAACATGTAAAAAAAAATGCCCACATACAAAGATTATGCCACTGAGCCACCACATATAAGACCTGAACTTTGAGTTAATTCTCCAATAGCTGTGTGGGTTTTCATGAACCTGATATATGCCCTCACTCAGAGCACATAAGTAGTTATAAGGTAGTTAATAAATATTACTATATTCCACCTATAGGGAATTCCAAATTCAATAAAAGACTGGGATATCTCCCGGAAGCCAAGGATAAGAGTATGGTGGATCTGTAGACTCAGCTGCCATTAGAACATGTTCTGTCTCTCACTTCTGACCTCTATTTTTTTTTTTCTATCAGACTCTGTCGTTCTGTCTCTCTCTCTCCTCTCATTCTGCATTTGATTTAGCTACAGAGTGGAGTGGGGTGGGGGGCAGTCAGCGGCAAAAGAAAAAGATTGTCCATTGCAGAGAATGAGCCCACAATTATGGCTTAGTACCACAGCCCATATCAATTAGGCATGAGTAAAAGTAAAGGTAAGAATACAAAGGGTTGTGTAAATTGTTTTATTTCATATAATGGAATACACTTAAGTTTCTTTTTAATCAAATGAGGCTTTAGACAGATGTCAATTTTTTTTAAATAAGAGAATTATAGTTGGTTGATGTGAAATGTAGAGAGGTTTTAATTATTTAAAATAATAGTGGGGGCGTGTGCCTGTAATCCCAGCTACTGGGGAGGCTGAGGCACGAGAATTGCTTGAACCCGGGAGACGGAGGTTGCAGTGAACCGAGATTGTAACACTGCGCTCCAGCCTGGGCAACAGAGAGCGACTCTGTCTCAAAAAAAAAAGGAAAATAAAAATTAAAAAATATATATAGAGAAGAGGTGGGGGGAAGAAAAGATAAGAGGAAATGAAGGTGTAGATTGGGCCTTATCCCACTCAGCTGAAGCCCAGTGAGCTTCACATTGACTACATTGAGTCAATCCAGCCCGACACGCACCCTAAAAGGAACAAAGGGGAGTAAAGAATCAGAATTCAGGCTGGGCGTGGTGGCTCATGCCCATAACCCTAGCACTTTGGGAGGCCAAGGCAGGTGGATCACGAGGTCAGGAGTTCGAGACCAACCTTGCCAACATGGTGAAACCCCGTCTCTACTAAAAATACAAAAATTAGCTGGGCGTGGTGGCATGCACTTGTAGTCCTGGCTACTCAGGAGGCTGAGGCAGGAGAATCACTTGAACCTGGGAGGTGGAGGTTGCAGTGAGCTGACAGCGCACCACTGCACTCCAGCCTGGCAACGACAGAGTGAGACTCTGTCTAAAAAAAAAAAAAAAAAAATCAGAATTCAATAGAGGAAAAGGGAAACGGGTATTTTAACATATTGTTACCAACCTAGTAATTGTAATGAAACTTCATTTCATTACCGACTTGGAACTTGGCTATCTGAAAATCTGATCTATCAGGAGCACAGCAAAGAACCAAGGGAATAAAGGAGATGGAAAAAGGCCTCTGGAAAAACGGAGACCACTATGTTCATGCCCTGAAGATCATGCCCATTACTCCTAGACATTCATCAAAGCCCCTTCTCAGGGCCTATTAATTTTTACTTGGATTTGATTTTAGAAAAGCTGGGAATCTGATTTTCAAACCCATAGAAAAGTAAAAGCAATAAACTGGAAGGAGGAAAAACTATCACTGCAGTCATGCAGACAGCAGTGAGAAGAGAAAGCTGGAAAGCTGGATGTCTTTTTTTTTTGAGGTGGAGTCTTTCTCTGTTGCCCAGGCTGGAGTGCAGTGGCGCTATGTCGGCTCACTGCAACCTCCACTTCCCTGGTTCAAGAAATTCTTTTTTCTTTTTTTGAGATGGAGTCTCCCTCTGTCGCCCAGGCTGCAGTGCAGTGGCGTGATCTTGACTCACTGCAACCTCCACCTCTCAGGTTCAAGTGAGTCTCCAGCCTCAGTCTCCCGAGTAGCTGGGATTACAGGCACCCGCCTCCATGCCCAGCTAATTTTTTGTAGTTTTAGTAGAGATGGGGTTTCACCATGTTGGCCAGGCTGGTCTCGAACTCCTGACCTCGCGATTCACCCGCCTCAGCCTCCCAAATTGCTGGGATTACAGGCATGAGCCAAAAACACCTGGCCCTCAAGCAATTCTTGTGCTTCAACCTCCCAAGTAGCCACCACCATGCCCAGCTAATTTTTTTGTATTTTTAGTAGAGATGGTGTTTCACCATGTTAGCCAGGCTGGTCTCAAACTTCTTGCCTCAAGTGATCCGCCCGCTTTGGCCTCCCAAAGTGCTGGGATTACAGGCATGAACCATGACACCCAGCTGAAAGCTAGATGTCTTTAAGCAAGGTGTAGATGAAAAAAAAGTATAAATATTAACTTAATGATCAAAAAGCACAGTAATTTAGTTCCTTCAGCGTAGGGGAAAACAGCCCTACATACCTCCATAAGCCTTGGGGAAGAAACTTTTAAAACTGATGTCTGTATTAACTGTGAGTAAACAAGAAGGTTAAATTACATTCATATAAAGACACTTCCTGAGTTAGGCAACACTCAACTTTATGTAAATAGTTCCATAAGGCACATAATAAAATTTTAAGATGTGGGAGGTTTCATATCACATTAAGAAATGCAAAGAAGTCAAGTGTACAAATGAACACCACAAAGTAGGTACATAAGGCCAGAAGTTGCAGATATAAGGAGATAATGGCCCTCCATGGGCAATCTTGCAGAGCTTCTGTTCCCACGCAGATTCTCACTGCATCGGCTTGTGTTATGACACTGCTATTTGTGTATTTCCCATTTTATTACCTTCTAATTGTATTCGTCAGGGTTCTCTAAAGGGACTAATAGGATAGATGTATATATGAAGGGGAGTTTATTAGGGGAATTGACTCACAGGATCACAAAATGAAATCCCACAATAGGCCATCTGCAAGCAGAGGAGCAAGGAAGCCAGTCTGAGTCCCAAAACCTCTAAAGGAGGGAAGCCGACAGTGCAGCCTTCAGTCTGTGGCGGGAGGTCCAAAAGCCCCTGGCAAATCACTGGTGTAAGCCCAAGACTCCAAAAACTGAAGAACTTGGAATCTGATGTTCAAGGGCAGGAAGCATCCAGCACGGGAGAAAGATGAAGACCAGAAGACTCAGCAAGTCTGCTCTTTCCAATTTCTTCTGCCTGCTTTATTCTAGCCATGCTGGCAGCTGATTAGATGGTGCCCACCTAGATTGAGTGTGAGTCTGCCTCTCCCAGTCCACTGCCTCAAATGTTAATCTCCTTTGGCAACACCCTCACAGACACACCTGGGAAAAATACTTGGCATCCTTCAATCCAATTAAGTTGACATTCAATATTAGCCATCACACTAATCACGTCCCCAAAGAAGCTAAGTGATAGGAAGGATGTAGGACCAGTCTGTGAATAAGTAAATTGAATAGGAGCAAAACATTAAAAATTTAAACAATTATGTATGAAGATGTTTTCAACTTATCATAGTTTTGTGTTATCCAAGATCTTTCAGGGAATGTCTGTATTGTGTATAAGAAATATCACTTACAGGACAGGCGCAGTGGCTCATGCCTGTAATCCCAGCCCTTTGGGAGACCTAGGTAGGAGGATCACCTGAGGTCGGGAGTTGCAGACCAGCCTGACCAACATGGAGAAACCCCATCTCTACTAAAAATACAAAATTACCCTGGTGTGGTTGTGCGCGCCTATAATCCCAGCTACACGGAAGGCTGAGGCAGGAGAATCACTTGAACCCAGGAAGCAGAGGTTGCGGTGAGCCAAAATCGCGCCATTGCACTCCAGCCTGGGCAACATGAGCGAAACTCCATCTCAAAAAAAACAAAACACACTTTGGGAGGCCGAGGCAGGCGGATCACGAGGTCAGGAGTTGGAGACCAGCCTGACCAACATGGTGAAACCCTGTCTCTACTAAAAATACCAAAATTAGCCAGGCGTGGTGGCGCGTACCTGTAATCCCAGCTACTCAGGAGGCTGAGGCAGTAGAATCACTTGAACCGGGGAGGCAGAGGTTTCAGTGAGCCAAGATCGTGCCATTGCACTCCAGCCTGGGCGACAGAGGAAGACTCTGTCTCAAAACAAAAAAAGAGGTATCACTTAGAGTCCGGGCGCGGTGGCTCACGCCTGTAATACCAGCACTTTGTGAAGCCGAGATGTGTGGATCACTTGAGGTCAGGACTTTGAGACCAGCCTAGCCAACATGATGAGATCCCGATCTCTACTAAAATTATAAAAATTAGCTGGGTATGGTAGTACATGCTTATAGTCCCAGCTACTCAGGAGGCTGAGGCAGGAGAATCGCTTGAACCTGGGAGGTGGAGGTTGCAATGAGCCGAGATTGCACCACTGCACTCCAGCCTAGGTGACAGAAAGAGACTCCATCTCAAAAAAAAAAAAAAAAAAAAAAAAGGAAAAAGAAAAAAAGAGATACCACTTATAAATTTTAAGAAATAATTCAAAACAGAACAAAGATTTATATAAAAAGATGTTTATAACAGTAGTATTTAGCATCTTTAAAATTGGAAACAATCTAGTTAACCAATGTTTAAAAGTAGTTCAGTAAATTATCTTATGTAAATATTTGATGGACGATTATGCAACCATAAGAACTATATTAGTCAGAAAGTTTTTATGGAATAAATTTAAAAGACAAGATGTGTGCAGCATAATCTCAACTATGTACAAAATATATAGAAAGAAATATATAGAAATATATGGAAAGATATGGAAAGAAGATGGGACAAAAAGATCCCGTTAATAATAGACACCAAAAAAATGTCTGAAACCTAGGAACAAAATGTATGTGTGATGCCAACACAAAGCCAAATATTCACTGGAAGACATTTTAAAAACCTGAGTATATGAAAAGGTGTACCATGATCCCTGATAGGAAGACTCAATATTGGAAAGATGCCATTTTTACCCAAATATTTGATAAACTCAGTGTAATTCCAATCAAAATTACAATAGGATTTTTAATGAAATTGACATGTTAATTTTAAAATTCATCTGGAAGAATACATACTTAAGAAGAGGTGGGACTTTTTTTTTTTTTGAGACAAAGTCTTGCTCTGTCACCCAGGCTGGAGTACAGTGGTGCCATCTTGGCTCACTGCAACCTCCGCCTCCGGAGTTCAAGTGATTCTCCTGCCTCAGCCTCCCGAGTAGCTGGGATTACAGGTGCATGCCAACATGCCCAGCTAATTTTTGTATTTTTAGTAGAAGTGGGGTTCACCATGTTGGTCAGGCTGGTCTCAAACTCCTGAGCTCAAGCAATCCACTGGCCTCCGCCTCCCAAAATGCTGGGATTACAGGCATGAGCCACTGCGCCCGGCAGGGACGTTTTTTTAAGTACAATGAGGAACCTCATTCTACCAGGTATCAAAACATTTTATATAGGCGACTGCCACTGGCTAAAAATAAATAAGTAAATAAACAAACCATATTATACAACAACAGTAATTCGAGTATGGTATTGGCTCACAAACAGAAAAATAGATAAATGAAAGAGAATAGATCATCAGCTACTGGCACAAGCACGTGTGGAAACATTTCAAACGATTGAGAATGGGTGTCGGGACAACTGATTATGCATTTAAGAAAATAAGATATATCTGGCAACATGACAAAACTCCATCTCTACAAAAAAGATACAAAAATTAGCCGGTCATGGGGGCACACACCTTTAGTCCCAGCTACCCAGGAGGCTGAGGTAGGAGGATCACTTGAGTCCAGGAGGCAGAGGTTGCAGTGAGCTGAGATCACTCCAGCCTGGGTGACAGAACAAGACCCTGTCTCAAAAAAAAAAAAAAAAAAAAAAAAAAATATATATATATATATGTATATATATGTATCTTTTACGTCACACCATTCAAAAATAAACTCCTTCTTCCCGGTGACTGGTATGGACCAAGTTCTGAAGCAGCGAGCAGGGTGAGGCCAATGTGGCTGGGAATGCATAGCTGGAGGCACACAGGAGGCAGACAGCATGGCAGGGACATTTGTTATTTACAAGGGTATTGAGAAAATTAGGAAATATATTGAGGATGGTGCGAATGGGTTTCTCTGTGTTGGAGAAGGGTGAAGCCTAAAATGAACCTTATGATGCTGGGTTGGAGAAATCAGTGTGTTTTGTATGTCTACTTCCTGGTTTTGATGCTTGTGCTGAGTTTAGGTAAGATAATGCCCTTGTATTTAGGAAATATGAGTTAAGGGCTTCATGTCCTCAATTGCTCTCAAATGCATCCAAAAAAATATCTAATACGTATATAGTGTACAGGTAGGGTGGAGGAGAGAGAAGAGATGAAGCAAATGTGATGAAATAACAATTGGGGGATCAAGTGAAGACTTTATGGGAGTTCATTGTGCCATTCTTGCAACTTTTCTGTAAGTTTGAAATTATTTCAAAATATAAAGTTTGAAAAATAAACTCCAGATGTATCAAAAATTTAAATAATTTTACTTCTTGGAACCTATCCCCCAAAATACTCTAACATATACACGAATATATTATATATGTATAAGAGTCCTTATTTCAACATTCTTGATCATCAAGAAAAGTTAGATATATAGGAATATGCTTCAATAGGAAATGGTTTGATAAATTGTAGAATGTTTATACCATGGAATGTTATGTAGGCCTTAAAAAGAATGGCTGGGCGCGGTGGCTCACGTCTGTAATCCCAGCACTTTGGGAGGCCGAGGCGGGTGGATCACGAGGTCAGGAGTTCAAAAGCAGCCTGGCCAGTATGGTGAAACCCCGTCTCTACTACAAATACAAAAATTAGCCGGGCTTGGTGGCACATGCCTATAATCGCAGCTACTCGGGAGGCTGAGGCAGGAGAATCGCTTGAACCCAGGAGGTGGAGGTTGCAGTGAGCCAAGATCATCATGCCACTGCACTTCAGCCTGGGTGATAGAGCGAGACTCTGTCTCAAAAAAAAAAAAAAAAAGAATAAAGTAGATGAGGCACAGTGGATCATACCTGTAATTTTAACACTTTGGGAGGCTGAGGCAGGAGGATTGCTTGATCCCAGGAGTTTGAGACCACCCTGGACAACACAATGAGAGCCCATCTCTATAAGAAATTTTTAAAAATTAGCTGGATCTGGTGTGCACACCTGTAGTCCTAACTACTCAGGAGGCTGAGGTGGGAGGATCACTTGAGCCCAGGAGGTTGAGGCTGCAGTGAGCTGTGATTGCGCCACAGCATTCCAGCTCTAACCTGGGCAACAGAGCAAGATCCTGTCTCTAAATAAATAAATAAATAAATAAATAAACAGAATAAGGTAGATTTATATGTTCTGACATGGAAAGATCTTGAAGATATAGTTAAATGCAAAAACAAGTGGACCAATAGAGTATGATATCATTTATGTTTTTTTTAAGTTTAAAAAACTGCTATGGGGTAGCATGTGTGTGCACATACATGTGTATCTGTGCTTACAGACACATAGAAAATGGTCTGAAAGAACATACATTAAGAATCTACTGAGCTTGCATGTGTTGGGGGTGGGACCCGTGGCTTCCCCCTGTGCCTCCAGGCCACCGAGGTCTGCATCTGCCCTGTGGAGTTCAACCCCCACTTCGTGGCACCTATGATACCCAAGGTGGAGTGGGCGGTGTTCCTGGAGGTGGCTGATAACTTGCACCTGACCCAGGTGCTAAAGGGCCGGTTGAGGGATATGAGGAGAACGAAGAGTTTCTGAGGACCATGCACCTCCTGCTGCTGGAGGTGGAAGTGATGGGGGGCACCTTGCAGTGCCCAGAGTCTGGATGTATGTTCTCAATCAGCCACAGGATCCCCAACATGCTGCTGAGTGAAGAGGAAACTGAGAGTTGATTGTGCCAGGCACCAGTTTTTCTTGTTATGACCGTGTGTATTTTTGTTGATGTATACCATTTCCGAATTCTGCCACTTGTATCCCTAACCCTTGACCCAATGACACACCAAACAGTGTTCTTGAGCTCAATAGTATATATATATTTTTCTCATTAAAGGTTCAAAACAAAAAACAAAAAAAGAACACACCTTAAACTGTTAGCAATGGTTAACTCTAGAGAAGGAGAATGGTACTACTCTTTCCGATTTTTCCATAGTGGCCACGTAATCTTTTAATTACCAGTTGAAAAACAGCCTAAGTACAAAAAGGCAGGAATATGTACACTACATTTTCAAAAGATTTCCTCTCAAGTTGATTACGATATTTAATGTTGGGAGTTATCTTTATATACCTGGAAAATTCCTAGTCCAGATCCCACATATAGGGAATTGGCCTTCCAATGGACTGTGCCCGGGTGCACCTTATCTTTCACTTAACAGAGGATTAGGCAGCCTGCTGAGCCACTCCCTACTTGCTGGGCAACAGTCCAGGAGTGAATTCCCTTGCAGCTTTCCAAAAGGAGGTCAAACAAGTCCTCAGGGACTCTCAATGGAAAGAAGTTGCCAAAGGCTAAATTTGGCATTGAAGTCAGGCCCTGGACTGGGATAAACTTGTGCCAGCACTTTTCACTTATGCTTTCAAGACCTTGATCAGAATAGGCAGAACTAGACAGCTCTTTCCAAGAGCAGCTTAGCAGCTCAAACTGGAAAAGCTTACCCAAGCCAGAGTTTTGGAGTGAACCTGAAAATGTAAAATTCTTTCTCTGCCTCCTTGACTCCTACTATCTCTTATTTGAAGGGATAATTCCTGCCAACCTGATCGGAGCCCCATTTTAGCCCTACTCAAGACAGAAAAGAAAGGCTGGCATAGTTTTATTTCCCCCACCCCGACCACCTACTCCCTGGTTTTTTAGGTATAACTGACCAGTTTTGCATTTAATTTGTCTTGTTTGGTCTTGTCTTTTCATACAATATTTTATTGAATTGTGATTCACATACCATAAGAACAATCATTTAAAGTATATAATTCAGTGATTTTTAGTATATTCACAGAGCTGTGTAACTGCTGTCACAATAGATTTTAGAGCATTTTCATCACCCCAAAAAGACATGTTTTACCCATTAATGGTCACTTCCCATTTCCGCCTCCTACCCCTAGGCAACTACTAATGTACATTCTAGCTCTATAGCTTTGCCTATGCTGGACATTTAATATCAATAAAATGATTCAATATGTGGTTCTTTGTGTGTGGCTTCTTTCACTGAGTATAGTGTTCTTGAGTTTCCTCTGCATTGTAACATGTGTCAGTACTCCATTCCTTTTTGTGGCTATATAATATTCCATTGTATATCTATATCACATTTTATTTATTCATTTATCAGTTGACCGACATTTGAGTTGTTTCCACTTTTGGGCTATTTCAAATAATGCTACTATGAACATTTGCATCCAAGTTTTTGTGTGGACATACATTTTCAATTCTCTTGGGTATATACTTAGAATTGCTGGGACATATGGTAACTGTATTTAACTTTTTGAGGCACTGCCAAGTTGTTTTCCAAAGCAGCTGCACAAGTTTGCATTCCCATCAGCAATGTATGACACTTCCAATTTCTCCACATCCTCGCCAACACTTGATATTCTCTGTCCTTTTGATTATAGCTCTCCTATCGGGTATAAAGTAGTATTTCTTTGTGGTTTTGATTTGCATTTCCCAAATGATGTTGAACATATTTTCTTTCAATCTCTGGTAAATAAGAGAATGTATTTTCATGTGCTTATTGACCATTTGTATGTTTTCTATTTTTTATTCTAGGTGACTGTTTTCTTAATTTTGTTTTCAGATTTTTCATCAGTAGTGCATAGAAATACAATTGCTTTTGTACACTAATTTTGTATCTTCCAACCTTGCTGAACTTGTTAGCTCAATAGTTGTTTTTGTTTTGTTTTTGAGTCTGATCATCTTGATGAAAAATGTTGCTCAGCCAGGATGAGCCCTCAGCTGCCGTGTCCTACCAGATCTGCTTTTCCCTACTCATTACCCGCTTTCTGTTATTTCTAGGAGGGAAGGCTTAGTGCATTTCTTTTGAAACTTTGCCTGCCCCTGACCTGCCTTTCTCTAATCTGTGGCAGGTGTTTCTTTGGCTACTAATCCTATGTAACTAAAGTTTTTGCCACCACTTACTGTAATGCAGAAACTGGTAATACTGTTTGCTAGGGAACAAAGACTGCAATAAATTCCTCATCTGCTAATCTTCATAAATATCATTTCATGCATCTGTTCATTTACTGCAATTTCTACCAATAAAACCTAGGGTTTATGTGGTCTGGTGTTGGTGTCACTGCACCAATATGATGTTTATCATTATTGTCAACAAGTGCTATCTTAGTTCATTCAGGCTGCTATAACAAAATACTATAAACTGGGTAAATTATAAATAGCAGAAATGTATTTCTCATTAATCTAGAGGCTGGGAAGTCCAAAATCAAGGTGCCAGCAGATTTTACGTCTGGTGAGGGCTTGTTGTCTGGTTCAAGGATGGAAACTTCTTGCTCTGTCTTCACATGGTAGAAGAAGTAAGGGTCCTCTCTAGAGTCTTTTGTAAGGGCAAGAATTCCATTCACAAGGGCTCTGCCCTCATGACCTAATCACCTTCCAAAGTCCCCACCTCCTGATACTCTCACCTTGGGGGTTAGGATTTCAACATAGGAATTTTGGGGGAACACAAATATTCAGACCATAGCAAGCCACAAAGAGGGGAGATCCCAAAGAGGATTCCACCACTTCAGACCATGGAGTAACCACAGATGCAAATATTCCATACCAGCAGAAGAAAGTGAACCAGGGGTAATCTGGGAATATGCCATCAAGCTACCCTCCACTAAGCCAAAGATGAATTATGTAGTAATTGTTACTATAAAACATAGTATTTTAAATTGCCATCTAAATAAAGTATGATGCAGCCATCAAAAAGAATAAGGGGGCTCGGTGCAGTGGCTCACGCCTGTAATCCCAGTACTTTGGCAGGCCAAGGTGGGCAGATCACTTGAGGTCAGGAGTTCGAGACCAGCCTGGCCAACCTGGTGAAACTCCGTCTCTACTAAAAATACAAAAAACAAAAAAAATATAGCCCGGCATTGTGGCGCACACCTGTAATCTCAGCTACATGGTAGGCTGAGGCACGAGAATAGCTTGAACCTGGGAGGCAGAGATTATAGTGAGCCGAGATTGCACCAGTGCACTCTAGCCTGGGCAACAGAGCAAGACTCTGGAAGAAGAAGGAGAAGGAGAAGAAGAAGACATGTTATATAAAACAATTTTCAAGATACAGTATTTTGTAAAAAAGAAAATTATAGAAGTCTGTGTTGTATTAGTTTTCTACTGCTACTATAAAAAATTAACACTAACTTAGTGGCTTAAAACTACACAAATGTATTGTCTTATAATTCTGTAGGTCAGAATCTAGTATGAGTCTCACTGGGCTAAAAATCAAGGTGTCAGTAGGACTGTGATCCTTGCTGGAGGCTTCCTTGCCCATTCAGATGTTGGCACGATTCAGTTCCATGCAGTTGTAGGATTGAGGCCTCAGTTTTCTTGAGAGCTTTCAGCTTGGTGGAGGTGAAAGTTTTGAGGGCTTCTCTCTTAGCTCCCAGAGGCCTCTCTCTGGTCCTTGGATACAGTCTCCCATATTTCAAAACTAACAACCAGGCATCCAATCCTTTCACACCGCCATCTCTCTAACTCTTCTTCTGATGTCACAGCTGGGACTTTTAAGGACTCATGTGATTAGACTTGACCCATCCAGAAAATCCTGGCAAGGAAATAGGGGAGACTGCAGAGTGATGGTTAATGGGTAAGGGATTTCTTTTTTGGGTGACAAAACATTTTGGAATTAGATAGTGGTGATGGTTGTATAACTGAATATACCAAAAGCCACTGAATATACTAAAAAGGTGGATTTTATGGTATGTTAATTATATCTCAATTTTTAAAAGTATTAAACACCAGTTGCAGCCGGGCACAGTGGCTCACGCCTGTAATTCCAGCATTTTGGGAGGCTGAGATGGGCAGATCACTTGAGGTCACGAGTTCGAGACCAGCCTGGCCAACATGGTGAAAATCCATCTCTACTAAAATATACAAAATAGTTGGACATGGTGGTGCATGCCTGTAGTCCCAGCTACTTGGGAGGCTGAGGCAGGAGGAGGCAGAGGTTGCAGTGAGCCGAGGTTGCACCTCTGCTCTCCAGCCTGGGCGACAGAGCCAGACTCTGTCTCAAAAAAACAAAACAGAAAACAAAAACCATTTGCATATATTTATTTTAGAGACAGGATTTCACTCTGTCACCAGGCTGGAGTGCAGTAGGGTGCAATCATAGTTCATTGCAGCCTCAAACTCCTGGGCTTAAGCAATCCTCCCACCTCAGCCTCCAAGTAGCTGGGACTACAGGCATGCACCATCATGCCTGGCTAATTTTTGTTTTAGAGTCAGTCTTGCTATGTTGCCCAGGCTTGTCCTGAACTCTTAGCTTCAAGCAATCCTCCTGCCTCAGCCTCCCAAAGTCCTGGGATTACAAACATGAGCCACCGCACCTGACTGAAAACTGTTTTTAAAAGTGTAAGCTGATCTACTAAGTTCAAATATAATGTCATCATTTCATTTGGGTTCAATAATTTTTAAATGGCATTGGTAGATACTGAGATTACAAAGATGAAAAGACTTTGTCTCTGCCTTTCAAGAGCCCAAAGTCTAAAAGTGGGGGGAATCACACAAAGACTTCATTTTAATTAAACTTTGTTAGGACTAAGAGAGAGGTGTTCTTTGGGATCACAAGGGCCATACTAGGAAGACTGGGCTTTATTTTAAAAGCAGTCGGCCAGGCGTGGTGGCTCATGCCTATAATCCCAGCACTTTGGGAGGCCGAGGCGTTTGGATCATTTGAGGTCATGAGTTCGAGACCAGTCTGGCTAATATGGTGAAACCCCGTCTCTACTAAAAATACAAAAATTAGCTGCGTGTGGTGGCACACGCCTATAATCTCAGCTACTCGGGAGGCTGAGGCGGGAGAATTGCTTGAACCCAGGAGGCGGAGGTTGCAGTGAGCCGAGATCACGCCACTACACTCCAGCCTGGGCGACAGAGCAAGACTCTGTCTCAAAAACAAAACAAAACAAACAAAAACAAAGAAACAAACAAACAAAAAACAGTCTCTATTGGGAACCATGGAAGGTTTTTAAACTGGGGATTGACATGATTAGTTTGTGTTTTAGACATATCATCCTGGAAGCTGTTTAGAAGACTGATGTGAAGGCAGCAGGGCTAGTATCAGAGAGATGAGTGAGGAGACAGTTGTAGTAGTTTGGGTGAGAAATGATAGAAGCTTGAATGAAAAGCAGTGGTGATAAGAATGGAGAAGAGGAGGTCAGATTCAATAAATATTTGATAGATAAAACTGTAGGACTTAGTGTGATGAGGAATGAGGAAGCTGGAGAAGTCTAGGATGGCTCGCAGATTTCTAGCTTGGATCGCTGGGTGGATGGTGGTGCCATTAACTGAGAAAAGGAATATAGGAAGAGGTTTGCAGGCTGAAATGAAGAGGTAGTTTTGGATAATACTTAGGTATAAGGCACCTGGAAAAGGATGGAGAGGATGTGCCCAGCAATCAATGTAACTTTGATCAAGCTATTTAACCTCTCTCTGCCGCAGTTTCCTGATTTATAAAATGGCAGCATTGTAACAAGGGCTAACAATAATAAATATATTCGGCCGGGCACAGTGGCTCACACCTGTAATCCCAGCACTTTGGGAGGCCAAGACAGGTGGATCATGAGGTTAGGAGTTCAAGACCAGCCTGGTCAACATGGTGAAACCCCGTCTCTACTAAAAATACAAAAATCATCTGGGCATGGTGGCATGTGCTTGTAGTCCCAGCTACTTGGGAGGCTGAAGCAGGAGAATTGCTTGAACCGGGGAGGTGGAGGTTGCAGTGAGCCGAGATTGCGCCACTGTACTCCAGCCTGGGCAACAGAGCAAGACTCCATCTCAAAAAAAAAAAATTAAAAATAAATAAATAAATAAATAAATTCATATTTATATGTGTAAATTTTTCCCCAAATTCAAGCATTTGGGATTTTTCACCTAATTTACTTTGGGGAAGTTGCAAACTATATTAACTGTTTATTAAATATGTATCTAGCTCTCTATAAGAAGACTTGCCGAGTGGTATTGGAGGCATATTTAAATTTATAAGTGCAGCTTTATGTAAGCCAACTCAATGAAAATACAGAAGTAAAAGAAAGATCAGATAGTGATAATCTGCTGCCACAAAAGACTCAGAATAAGATTCTTTTAATTAGACATTCCTCCTGGTGAATATAAGCCAATTTACTTTGGAGAAATTAGACTTACATAAATTTCAAAAATAAAGATAGCTAACTTTTATTTTTTTCATACTGCATCCTAATTAATATTTTTTTTTATCCTCACAACAATTTTATTGTGGTAGATACTATTAGCCTTCTCATTTTAGGTTAATAGTATCTACCGCAATAAAGAAACAGAGGCTAAGAGAGGTTGAGTAGCATAACCAAAACCATTAATCAGGTAAGCAATAAGCCAGGACTCAAACCCAGTCCTCTCTGACTACAACCAAGAGCTGTTGTTATATATAGAGCCATGTACTCTGATTGTATATAAAGCTGTGGTTAAATCAATTTAATGATCAAAATAATCATCTGGTCTGATTTATGTGGAAATTATTGACCCTTCACTATTGCTTTCATATTCCTCTTCCTCTTTAGCATTCTCAGTTAATTTCTAGGTTCTGTTTGTAATCTGCACGTGAGGTCCCATTATTTCCCTGTCCATCTTCCCTTCCTCTCGTTATATTGCTCTATTCAGCACACAAATTGGACATGTTCAGTAAACAAGGCAGGCCTTGGCTTAAAACAGCAAAATTTGTGATATCTTCAGAAGAGCTTTCTTCAAACCCATTCCTGACCTGTGCTTGTGGAGCCAGGACTGCTGAAATTACTGTTGCTCAGCCCAGCAGCCCGTCAATACAGAAACTTTACAGAGGAAAGCAAATGCACATTCATGATGAGATGGGTTGGTGGTGCTGGAGGAATTTGCTGTGTGGGAATGGAGATGTGAAGAGTTGTTTGTTCTTCATAAGAGAGCGTGGCTGTGCTTCTCCCAGGAAATGGAAAGGATGCCAGCTGAGCACAGGCACCTCTAGCACTGGAGCAGTCAAGTACATAGGAGAATGAGCACAGCAGGATTCCTCATAAGATGGAGCTATGTTTGAACGAGGGCACTTCTGGACTCCTCAGACCCACGTAGGCTATCTAGGCCAGGGATAGTGTCTGCTCATGGTTATTTGCCTGAATAGTGACCAAAAGTTTTGAGAAGAACCTTGCCGAAGGACAGAACTTTAAATTAATTTAACATGCAGATTTTTTGAATGGTTGGACTGTATTTATCTTTTCATGGTGGCAAGGCACCTCAATAATCAGGATGCATTGTGTTCAGGATCTAATTTCCCAAATGTCAGCATGCAATACATTTCAAAAGTCATTCACTTTGCAATGTATTTTTCCCATTACACTCATATGGCAGAAATTATTGCAAATAATAGCCTAGGAAGTTGCGATCGTCATTATATCAGCTAAGGGGTCTGACTGGGCTGTTGACAGTGAAGGTTATTTCTACTGAAAAGAGAAAGAGAATTCCACACTAGTTCAAAAATAAACATATTTGATGTCTTCTATCAACTGCTCCTCCACCTCTCTCTAGCTTCATACTTTCCCTTGATTCCTCAAGCCTGTCTATTTATAGATGCCTGAATGTATAATAACTTACTATTTTGCCTCCGTGTATTGCATGTAATTCTCACTGCTTAGAAAAATCTATGCCCCTTCTTTTCTGTATATTTCCATCTAATCTTTAAAGCCAAAATTTACCTTTTTTCAGATGCCTTCCTTATAATAAACACATCCCAAGTGTAATCATTTTTTCTTTTTCTTTTCCTTATCTATTGCAGCTTTAGTCTACACTACACCATATTTCTTGACGTTACTAAAATGTTTCTTTGGATTTTACCTCAAGTTGGTTTATGGGTGTGTGTTTTAGCCTCCAATTAGATTTTTTTCTCTGGAAAGCTCAAGGGCTGTGTCTTTTATTTCTTTAACATCCAGAATAGTACAATGACTCATATTAGAATGAAATAAATGACATACCTGTGATATACTCTCACCAGCCTTATACATTTGACAAGGATACCAAGAAAGATTTTATTAAAGAGGCATCAAATCAATTTCAAAAGGTTAAAGATGAAATATGAACATCCAATCTGTCCTTCATGGATTTTTCATCCAAGACCTTATTAAAGCTTTTCTTGTTTATATTTATATTAGTTTCCTTTATCAAATCTCAGAATAACAATTAACAAATTGATGGAAGATTCTGTCTTAGAAAACAACAAGGTCAGTCACTCATTACCAATTTATTCTTCAACAAATTTAATTATCCCATAAACATTTATTGAGCATATACTATAGAGACAGCCTATAGCAGACATAGAAAGGACATTAAATATACAATCTATTTGAGAAACCAAGACACACAACATGAAATAAAAACAAAAAGAGAACAGAAACTTAAAAGTTCTAAATAAGTGACCCAGACAACATGGTGCTGAGTTAGAGAGGTGGGAGAGAAGATATAAACGAAGGAGTGGTCAGTGAATACTTCCTGAAGGTATTATGATATAACTTGGCCTCAAATGATGGGCAAGAGAGAGGCTAAAAATACAGAGAGAAGAATGTACATGCTGTGTTTGAGTGATGATGAGTGTTTAATTCAGCTGTATAAAAGAGTATAGGAAGAGCATTTTAAACACAAGACATCATTATTATTGTTGTTTTAAACAATCAATATTACTTTAGACATCCGTTTCCTGGTGCTTTTTATTCCTTCTTGCATTTCTGGGCTTCTAGCTGGGATTTCTTTTACTTCTATCTGAAGAATTCCCTTTATGATTTCTTTTAGTACATGTGTGCTGACAATGAAAACTCTAGGTTTTTATTTTTATGAAAATGTCTCTATTTCATCTTTATTTTTAAAGGTATAGAACTCCCCCCACCTCTTCTCCATTTCACCATTATTTTGCTGGGTATAGAATTCTCAGTTTGCAGTAATTTTTTTCCTACTCTTTGAAGATGCCATTGCATCATCTCCTGGTGTCCATCGTTTCTGTTGGACAAGTTAGCTGTCAGTCTTTGCTAACTTTCGTTGCTATTTGAAGATAAATTATGCCTTCTTAAAATCTCACTAATTTTAACATTTTTTATATTTGTGTTTAGGTTTTGCGGTTTGACTAGGTGTGGTTTTCTTTATATTCATCTTGCTTTGAATTCATAGAGCTTCTTGAATTTGTGTGTTAATGCCTTGTTAGTTTGGGGAAATTCTTGGCTACTGTCTTTTCAAATATGACTCCTGCCACATTCCTTATTTCTACTCCTTTGGGACCTTATTGACAATCATATAAGATCTTTCTTCATATCCCATATGTTTCTTACACTCTTTTCTCTATATGCCATACTTTTTCCTCTGTGCTTCAATCTGGATATTTTCCCTTGACCTGTCTTCCAGTTCATTAATCTCTTCTGCCGAGTCGAATACTGTTAAACTAATCTTTTGAATTCTTCATTTCAGTTATTATGTTTTTCCATCTGGGCTTTATAATTAATTATTTTTTATGCATTCAAATTATCTTTTTTAAAAATAATTTTTGGCTGGGTGTGGTGGCTCACACCTGTAATCCCAGCACTTTGGGAGGCTGAGGGGGGTGGATCATCTGAGGTCAGGAGATTGAGACCAGCCTGACCAACATGGAGAAACCCCATCTCTACTAAAAATACAAAATTAGCCAGGTGTGGTCGCACATGCATGTAATCCTAGATACTCGGGAGGCTGAGGCAGGAGAATCTCTTGAACCCAGGAGGCAGAGGTTGTAGTGAGCCAAGATCACACCTTTGCACTCCAGCCTGGGCAACAAGAGTGAAACTCCATCTCGAAAAAAAAAATTATAGAGATGGGATCTCACTATGTTGCCCAGGTTGTTCTAAAACTCCTAACCTTGGCCGGGCGCGGTGGCTCACACCTGTAATCCCAGCACTTTGGGAGGCCGAGGCGGGTGGATCACAAGGTCAGGAGATCGAGACCATCCTGGCTAACATGGTGAAACCCCATCTCTACTAAAAATACAAAAAAAAATTAGCCAGGCGTCATGGTGGGCGCCTGTAGTCCCAGCTACTTGGGAGGCTGAGGCAGGAGAATGGGATGAACCTGGGAGGTGGAGGTTGCAGTGAGCCGAGACTGCACCACTGCACTCCAGCCTGGGTGACAGCGCGAGACTGCGTCTCAAAACAAACAAACAAACAAACAAAAACTCCTAACCTCAAACAATCCTCCCACCTTAGCCTCTCAAAGTACTGGGATTACAGGCATGAACCACCACACCCAGCCCATCTGGCGAAATTTTTCGTTTCACGTAATTTCTTAAACATACTAGCCACAGTTACTTTTTAAAAATCTGGCTAAAAACTCAAGATGTTTGTCACCTACAAGTATATTTTCATGGTCTCCTTTGTCTCTTGATTTTCAGTCATTTGATCCAGTTTTTTGGCATTACCGTTTTTTTTTAACTGAATGCCAGATCTTGCCTACGAACAATTATAAGACTCTGGATGATGGTATCATCCTGCATGGAAGAGTTTGCTTTTTTCTGGCAGTGAGATAGACTTTGGGCACATCATCTTCATCCACGTAAGACTAGCTTGCTCTTATTTTTATAACATAGTCCTTTGAGGAGTCACCATTTAAAACCTTGTTTGTTCACAAGAGTGCTTTCTTCTTGATGGATGCTCAACTCCAATTTATGTCTCCTTAGGACCATGAAACTGCAGACATCTCTGCTTAGCTTTTTAGCCTTGTAGTAGCTGCTTTTTAAATTTCTTGGTGTCTCTTCCTACACATGTGCAACTTAGGAGTCACCAAATGCTTAGATGTATTTGCAAATCAGAAAGTCAGGCTCACTCCTCTGCTATTATTCCCTTTTCTTAAGGATTTTATGATCCTGAAGTTCTGACTACCTTGCTTACTCTCTGAAAGAGCTATGGTTTTGTGTTTTAACCAAGTTTTATTGCTGTTCTCAACAAGAAGAGTTACTCATAACCAGAAGCAGAAGTAAAGCTATCAATTTAGAAATAGGGAAAATCTTAGCTCCCTTAATTAATTTAAAAAATCTCTCTCTCTCTCTTTCTGGTATATGTTGACAACCTATTTCTGAAATGAATGGAAAGACGATGGAACTAGAATAGCCAAAACAATTCTGAAAAATAATAACAAAATTAGAATATTCATACTACTTGATTTTAAAATTTAATATAAAGTCACAGTGTTCAACATAGTATGGTACTGGTGAAAGGATAGAAACATAGATCAATGGAACACAATAAGAAGTCCAGAATAGACCCACACATATGTGGCCAATTGACTTTTGACCAAGGTACAAAAGCAATTCAATAGAGAAAGGGATCATAAAGAACTCTCACAACTCAACAATAAGAAAACCAATAGTTTGCTTTAAAAGAGTGGGCAAACATTTGAGTAGGCATTTTACCAAAGAAGATATACAGATGGCAAATGAGCATCCTTTCATATATTTAACACATGAAAGTCATTAAGGAAGTACAAATTAAAACTATGATAACATACCACTACACATGTATTAGAATGGCTTTAAAATGACAATACCAAGTGCTGGTGAAGACATAGAGCAATGGGAACTCATATATTGCCTGTAAGAATGCAAAATAGTATGGTCACTTTGGAATATAGTTTGACAATTTCTCATATAGTTAAACGTGCACTTAACCTATAAACCAGCAATTTCACTTCTAGGTATCTATTCAAGAGAAATGAAATCTTATTTTCACATTGTATACAAATGTTTATAGCAGCTTTGTTCATTCACAATGGCCAAAACTGGAAACAACCCAAATGTCCTTTTGTTAAATGGATAAGCACATTGAGCTGCATCCATACAACAGAATACTACTTAGCAGTAAAAAGGAACTTTGATAAGTTTTCTAACTTTGATGAACCTCAAAGCATTATGCCAAGTGAAACAAACCAGACTCAAAAGGCTACATACATATCTTATGTTTCCATTTTTATGATGTTCTGGAAAACTGAAAGTATAGGAACAGAAAATGGTATGTTTAGTGGTTGCCATGGTTTGGAATGGAGGGAGGAGTTGACTAAAAGGGGCAAAAGGGAATGTTTTGAAGTGATGAAACTGTTTTATATCTTGATTGTGGTTTTGATTATATGACTATATATGTTTGTGAAAACTCAGAATTGTACATCAAAAGAGTTTTGTTGTCAATTTTGAAAATAAATAAAAAAAATACAAAGCTTGATCCTTGTCTTCTCAAAAACATCTTTCTGATATAAAATAAAATAAAGATACATAAAATCACATAAAATATACAGTAAAATGAGTTTTTATACAGCAAATATCCTTGAAACCCCACTAAGATCAAGAAATAGAACTTTATCCCCTACTCCAGAATCCCCTTCCATGTGTCCAGTTTGAGTCACAAGCCCCACTCTCCTCTCATAAGTAACCATTGTCCTGACTTTTATAGAAATCACCTTCTTGCACTGTCATAATTGTTTTTACTCAAATGTGCATTCCTAGACACTGTAGTTTAGTCTTGTCCATTAAAAAAAAAAAGTGATATGTTTTTAAACTCTCTTTTAAGCTATTTATTCTCCTCTATCCCTTTCTTTTCCTTACAACTTACCAGGCTCTTTTGTCTGGAGAGTTTCCCACAGTCTGAATTTTGCTGATTGTGCACTTGTGGTGAGATTTAGCATGTTCCTCTGTTCTCTGCATTTCCTGAAATTTGGCTGCTAGATCCAGAGACTGGAGCAGACTCAAGTTCTATTTCTTTCCAAAGTGACTGTCAAAACTATAGTAGTTACATGGTGTTTGATATTTCTCTTTTAGGGACGTTGCCAAGGAATTGGTGTCTGGCAAGGCAATAGAAAGCACCTCATGTCTGGTTATTTATCTTCCATGACATTAGCAGCTGTTGAAGCTTAATACTTATATCTTTTAATTCACTGGGATTACAAAATGGTGATATTATAATCCTATCTTTTTTATTTTTTATTTGGAAAACTATTATAAGGAGGCACTTCTCCTTATCTATTATTTGGTTACCCAGTGATAATAGGAAAGGCAAGACAAATGTGTGATTCTTTCCCCTTGTTTACCAGATTTCAAAATAATGAATTAGTTCTCCATTATCCCCGAAGGTAAGCATTTTCTCTTTGGAAATCTCATTCTGAACTCAGTGGTTTAAACATATTTGATGGCTTTTAATTTATTGAAATTATTATTATTTCATGAAACTCAAATTGCTCTGTCTTTGGCCAGTAGGAACTGCTTAATCTTGGCTCCTTCATACTTTTGACACAATTCTGGTCACCTTTGATAACTTCCTTGCTATCTAGTTTGACAAAAGATTCATTTTGTAAATTTCCCACCCTAGTCCTGGAATCAGCCATCTCTCCAAGATGCACTGATTTCTTTTAAGGAGAAATGATATTTCAAGAACACATTCTGGGGATTAGGGATATTTCTTGGTGCTGGATTGGGCATTGTTTTCAATGATTGGCCATTGTTTTCAATAGACAGAATGGACAGTATTTTCAATGGACAGAAAAAGGAAATGCACATACACACACACAAATATATATATTTAAAGATAAAATACCTCATGAGTTTATATTGATAATTCCAATTCAAATTCAAGACCACAGAGCTTTCCTCTCTTCTTTTTCTTTTTAGAGGCAGGGTCTTGCTATGTTGCCCAGGCTGGTCTGGAACTCTGAGCTCAAACAGTCCTCCTACCTCAGCTTCTCAAAGTGCTGGGATTACAGGTATGAGCCACCGTGCCCTGCCTCATGGAGCTTTCTCTTAATCTCTTCTCTATTCTATCTGTATCCCCTTTCTTCCACACCAAGAAGCCCTATCTCAAGGAGATAGAGGTTTATAGAATGAGAATACCCCACAATTACTCATTGTCTCATTTCCTGTTAAATATACAACAATCTCAGAATAAAAATACTATTACCAAAATTACTAATGAAAACATTTTTAAAATTTTTGTATATGCTCCCCTTCATTTTTTTTTTTTTTTGAGATGGAGTCTCACTCTGTCGCCCAGGCTCACTGCAACCTCTGCCTCCCAGGTTCAAGCGATTCTCCTGCCTCAGCCTCCCGAGTAGCTGGGATTACAGGTGTCTGCTACCATGCCCAGCTAATATTTTGTATTTTTAGTAGAGACGAGGTTTCACCATGTTGACCAGGCTGGTCTTGAACTCCTGACCTCGGGTGATCCGCCCACCTTGGCCTCCCAAAGCGCTGGGATTACAGGCATGAGCCACCACACCCGGTCTATTTATTTATTTTGAGAAGAGTCTCACTCTGTTGCCCAGGCTGGAGTGTAGTGGCAACAATCTCGGCTCACTGCAACCTCTGCCTCCCGGGTTCAAGTGATTCTTGTGCCTCCCGAGTAGCTGAGACTACAGGCATGCACCACCACGCCTGGCTAATTTTTTGTATTCTGTTGCTTCTTTTCATGTAAAATTAGTTTTTCTGAACTTTTGTTGTAAAATTGCATTGAAAAAACTTCTCTTAGTTCACAGAACTCCCTCTCTTGATTTGGAGGAGTGTTAAAACATAAGGCAGCTTGCTTTATGATATTTCACTATTTTGGCGTGGAGCTTTTCTTTCCCTCATCTTTTGTCCATGTCCTGTTCAATTTTTATTCCACCCCAAGCAACTTATCTTTAGTGTGAGTCTCTGTCTGGCAAAGGGGACCTGGCAGGTTGATTTTGAGAGTTCAGAGGAGCTAGGCATCTACAGCCCCTTCAGACTTAGTCCCCATGGGCTTGACATTGGTATTGGACCAAAGCCCTACCAGTTTCAGCTGCTGTTCTCTCAGATGGGCCTGACGTCTCTCCAGTGAATGCCTGTTGGCTATTTTGGGGTCCTCCTGTTCTCAGGCCTGTCAGATGCAGCTCCTTTATTCTTTTTCCCACACAGACACTGATACCCTGCATGTCTTGTAACTGTTGGTGGTTTATCTCTGCCCACTTGTATTTTGCGGGGCTCACTTGTCACCTAGTTTTGCAGTAAACGCTGCTCATGGATTTTTGGTTTTTCTATCTAATTGATCTCTCTTTTTTTTATGCAAGGATTTAGAAAGAATGAAAAACTATGCTGCTGATGCTGTCAGCTTCCCAGAATCCTCTCCCAAGTTAATTCAATTGTAAGTGTATTTTGTATTACAGTCCCTTGGGGAGACTGCTTGTAACTTATGGGTGTTGACATCCTGCTTCTGTTGAAGCCCAGGAAGGTGAAGGGCCTTAAATCTTAGCTGTTTATGATACCGCTCTTAATGACCAAACATAAGGAAACTAAAATATGAACATAGTAAATTACCAACTCCCATGAATTTTTAAAAAAACATTTAAATTTAATTACAACAGAAATATTTCTGAGCATTTGGAGATGGTTTTTAACAATAAATAAAAGAAACCATTTGTGCATATATTCTCAGAATTAACACAATGCAGCTTTCTTTTATGTGGTACATATGCATACATTACTCATGTACAATCTTCATAGGATATGATATATTTGCATATATTGCTATAAATTTTACTTTAATTTTACTGCTCTTGTTGTTGTCAGGAAATTGTAACAACTGGCAAAAACAAAAAAACAAAACAAAAAAAAAACAGATTTTCAGTAGGCAGGCAGTCAATTGATAGTATCATTAGCTCTGACAGAGCCCACCCAGCATGGACTGGCAGAACTAGAAAAAGTCTCAAGGGGTCATCTCATTCAGACCACGGCCTCAAGAATCTTTCTAACACAACGTGTTTAAGTACAGACAATTGGGCAGGAGCAGTGGCTCACGCCTGTAATCCCAGCACTTTGGGAGGTCAAGGCAGGCGGATCACTTGAGGTCAGGAGTTCGAGACTAGACTGGCCAACATGGTGAAAACCCCTCTCTACAAAAAATAGAAAAATTAGCTTGGCATGATGGTGGGCGCCTGTAATCCCAGCTACTCGGGAGGCTGAGGCAGGAGAATCGCTTGAACTGCTTGAACCTGGGAGGCAGAGGTTGCAGTGAGCTGAGATCGCGCCACTGCATTCCAGCCTGGGCAACAGAGCAAGACTCTGTCTCAAAAAAAAAAAAAAAATGCAGACAATTGTTAACAACCAACAGTATCTGTAAGAAATGGGTTTTGGGTTTGCTATCTACTTGTGCTATCAGATGAACTAAGGTGCAGTGACAACAAGCATAGCAGACAGAAACAATACTTGAGCACGACTTCAAAAAAAAAATCTAACATAGCGATGGTAGCTAGGAAACAGCAGCACAGATAGTGCATTGAAGAGGAATAGTTGAGGAGCCAGGGGTAACTCTCGGGCCGTGTTATGAGGCTACACGAGTGGCATTGCACACGGTTGCCATAGCTACAGAATTGCACAAGCTGTAGACACATGGAGCCTATGTACCCACCCACCCTGCTGCCGCTGCTTTCCACACCTGCCCCTGTGAGTTTCCTACAGCTCCAGTGGAAGGAGGAAAAGACCATATGGCTTAAATCAAAATATTTTTTCCACTTCTAAAAATCAGAATACCAAAGATTCAGAGCAAAAAGCAATAGAATACCGGAAAATGCTTATTTCCTAAGGGTCATGAGGCTTCAGAACATCTATTCAAGGAGGAAGGGCTGGCGACCCTCAGACACCCATGTCCATATCTACTGTCCTGTGCCTTTCTACCCTCTCGAGTCTCCTCCTTGCTGCACCAATCCTGTCTCTCTCTGCCTTCTCCATCCCCAACTCCCTGCCCTGACAGCATCACCAGGGAGAGTGGTAACATTGTTCAAAGGAATCCATGTGCACTGAAGTAGCGGAGCAGGGATCAGATATTTTGGTATTCGGTTTTCTTCCAGTGGGATTAAAGGAATGCTTTTTGATGCCACTGCCAGATTTAAGGCAAAACCACGGAAAACTTGAAGAAACACAGTAGCGGTAAGTTGGAGTTGGGGAAGAGGAGAAGAAAAAAGAACAGAAGAGGAAAGCATCTTGCGTATAATTAGGGAGGTGCCTAGGTATCAGCCTAAATTGGGGATTGGGAGGAAGGCAGTAACAAACACCTGTTGAGGAGGCGTCTGGGGGAATAGCTCATTTTCTCTGGTGTCCTCTACCTGGTGAGCCAGCTTGTCCCAAGACAATTGAGGGACTTAACTTCTTCATATTCACTGATATCAATGTGAATAAGATGGTTTAGGCACTTCCTGGTTCTGTTTTTGGTATTTCAGATGAAGTGAAGTCTGCAGACCCTTTTGGCATGCATTCCTTCTCAGCTCATGCCATATAAGTCAACTCTGTCCCAAAGTTGGAAGATGGTGTGGCACAGAGGAAAGATGGCTTCACCACCTGCAGTGGTTTCCTAGGGCTGCTGTAACAAGGCACCACAAACTGGGTAGTTTCGAATGACACAAATTTATGTCTGTTCTGGAGGCTGGAAGTTTGGCCATACCCCCTGTGACACCTGTTGGTGAATCCTTCCTTGCCTTTTCCTGGCTTCTGGGGGTTTGCCTGCCATCCTTGGTGCTTCTGGGCCTCTCATCCTCTATTATCACGTGGTACTCGCCATGCGTCCCTGTCACTTCACTTAGTGTTCTTTTCTTTTTTCCTTTTTTTTTTGAGACAGAGTCTCGCTCTGTTGCCCAGGCTGGAGTGCAGTGATGTGATCTCAGCTCACTGCAACTTCCACCTCCCAGGTTCAAGCAATTCTCCTGTCTCAGCCTCCTAAGTAGCTGGGATTACAGGCACCCACCATCATGCCTGACTAACTTTTGTATTTTTAGTAGAGATGGGGTTTCAGTATATTGGTCAGGCTTGTCTTGAACTCCTGACCTTAGGTGATCTGCCCGCCTCGGCCTCCCAAAGTGATGGGATTACAGGTGTGAGCCACCGCGCCCAGCCATAGTGTTCTTTTTGTAAGGACACCATCATATTGGATTAGGGACTGACCCTGCTCCAGTATAACCTCACCTTTACTAATTACATCAGCAACTACCCTATTTCTATTCCATGACTGGATCACATTCCATCACATTCTGGGGTATTGGATGGTTAGGATTTCACCATATCTTTTGGGGGGAAAACAACCCATAACACCATCCATCCTAAGTTCAAATCCAAGCTTGGGCTCCTAACAGCTGTGTGATCTTGGATAAATCCCTTAGCTTCTCTGAGCTGAGGTTTTCTCATCTATGAAATGAAGCCAGGGAGAGGTCATAATATCTACCTCACAGAGTTGTTGCTGCATGGAAGAGTAGAAAAGGAAAGAAAAGGAGAAAATATAGGTGTACACATGGTGGAGAATGACAGAGCAGCCCTTTGTGGACTCACCCTCTCATAGGAAGAAGTACTGTTGACCCAGTGAGTGAATACTAAGGTATTAGGGGAAAAGGATCAGACTGTAAAGTCAAAGGTGGGTAAGGTAAACCAATCTCTTCATATGACCATGTGTGGGGCATTTAAAGTAAAGGGCAGGCCGGGCACAGTGGCTCACACCCTGTAATCCCAGCACTTTGGGAGGCTGAGGCAGGCAAATCACTTGAAGTCAGAAGTTCAAGACCAGCCTGGCCAACAGGGTGAAACCCCGTCTCTACTAAAAATACAAAAATTAGCAGGGCATGGTGACAGGCACCTGTAATCCCAGCTACTCAGGAGGCTGAGGCAGGAGAATCACTTAAACCTGGGAGGCGGAGGTTGCAGTGAGCCGACATCGTGCCACAGCACTCCAGCCTGGGTGATAGAGTGAGACTCAGTCTCAAAAAAATAAAAGGGCCAGGCACGGTGGCTCACGCCTGTAATCCCAGCACTTTGGGAGGCTGAGGTGGGTGGATCACCTGAGGTCAGGAGTTCGAGACCAGCCTGGCCAACATGGGGAAATCCCGTCTCTACTAAAAATACAAAAATTAGCTGGGCATGGTGGCGTGTGCCTATAATCCCAGCTACGCAGGAGGCTGAGGCAGGAGAATCACTTGAACCCAGGAGGCAGAGGTTGCAGTGAGCTGAAATCTTGCCACTGCACTCCAGCCTGGGCGACAGGGTGAGACTCCGTCTCAAAAAATAAACACATAAAAATAAAAAATAAAATAAAGAGCATTAGGTGTTCTTTGAATGAAAAGGCTGGGGTGTAGATAATGCCTTGCCTTTGCTGCTAGGCTGCCTCATGTCTAGCCCTGCTTTGTGATGAGGTCTGCTCTCCCATGTGTCCCAGGGTCTTTATTTCCTGTTATTCTTATGAGGTTCAGTAGTGCTAAGAGCAGACACTCTGTGGCTAATTTGTTCATTCATTCATCCAACAAATATTTATTGAGCAATTGAGGAAATATAACAAAATAAAGAATCCACTCTCAAGCAGCTTTTACTAGAGAGGGAGAGACAGACAATAAGCACATAAATATGTTGATTGATAATGCTGGATAAATATACTACCTATGAAGAAAATAAAGCAGGGTAAGATGATGGAACATTAGGGATGAAGGTGGTCAGGGAAGGCCAGCCTATCAAGATAGAATTTAGCCAGGTAATCCCAGCACTTTGGGAGGCTGAGGCAGGAGGATCACTTGAGCTCAGGAGTTTAAGACCAGTCTAGGCAACATGGTGAAAACCTGGCTCTACAAAAAAATACCAAAAAAAAAAAAAAATTAGCCAGGCATGGTGGTGTGCACCTATAGTCCCAGCTACTCAGGAGGCTGAGGTGGGAGAATTGCTTGAGGCCAGGAGGTCAAGACTGCAGTGAGCCATGATTGTGCTACTGCACTCCAGCCTGGGTGACAGAGTGAGACCCTGTGTCAAAAACAAAACAAAACAAAACAAAAAGAATTTGAACTGAAACCTGAATGGAGAGTCATTGTGCTGTCTGGGAAATGAACATTCTAGGCAGAAGAATAGCAAAGGCAGACTTCAGGCTAAAGCATACCTGGTGTGTTCTAGGAGGAGCAGGAAGACCACTGTGGTTGGAGAGTAAACGTGGAAAATTTAATGATAACAATATGTAAGCTAAATTCTAGAGAAATTATGGAAGGCAGTATGACATAGAAAAAAAAAAAAGTCTGGGCTTCGAAGCCAACAAGACTTGAGTTCAAACCTCAGCCCCACCATTTATGGTTTTATGTGCTTGGACAAGTCATCTAACATTGATGAGCCTCAGTTTTCTTATCTATAAAGTGGGAAAATAAGTCATTTTACAGGAATGTTGTAAAGTGAAAATGAAATTTCAAATGAGATTTGGGAAAGGATGGGCTTTGGGAGACAGATTTAAGTTTGAATTCTGCTTCTATACCTTCCTCTCTCTGCAGCCATAAAACAGACTTATTTGGCTTCTTCACATATAATATGTGAGTGGTAATATGATGTAATAGAGTTATGATGAGGATTTAACTAGATGAAGTATGCTTTTATGTTTGGCAGTTTCAATATGTTGCGTCTGATTGTGGATTTGTTTTTGTCTTACTCAGGACTCAATATTTTCATTTAATCCAAAGACTCGTATCATTTTTTAATTCTGAAAAGTGTATTAGCTCTTTGATGTCTGTCATCTCTGCTTGCCATTTTCCCTATATCAGTCAAGATGGACTATCTTATACTGCAGAACAAACAATCTCACTATCTTTATAGTTTAAAACAATAAGATTTATTCCTCACATTTGCTACATGTCTATTAGGGGTGGACTCTGCCCTGTGTTGCCTTTAGTCTGAAATTCAGTTGACAGAACCACCACCACCTGGAATGCTGCTGGTTGCCTTGGCAGAAGTAAAAAATTAATTAATTAATTAATTAATTAATAATAAAATAAAATAAGAGTGTTATGAATTGTGCATTGAGTCTTTCTATTTTTTATTTTTTTAGAGGCATGCTCACTCTCTGTCACCCAGGCTGGAGTGCAGTGGTGCAAGATCATAACTCATTGCAGCCTCGAACTCCTGGACTCAGGCAATCCTCCTGCCTCAGCTTCCTGTGTGCATGAGTCTTCAATCACCTGCCCAGAAGAGACATGTATCACTTCCGCTCACATTGCATTGACTAAAGTAAGTCACATGACCACACCTAAGTTCCAGGTGGTGAGGAAGTACACAAATATCCCATGTGTCCAGAGGGATAGCAGAAAATATTTGAAAGTCAGCAATAAGGATATCACACTCTCCTTCTGGAACTCAATGAGATGCACCTTGAACCCTTTCATTCTGTCCTCCATGACCCCCAACTGCTCCTTCACATTATTCCTTTATCTTTTTCTGAGCTGCATTTCTTAGATAATTGATGGCTTTTCTTTTCAGCTATGTCCAGACTACTATTAACCAACCACTGAGTTTTAATTTTCAAAAACTAGTTTTCATTTCTAGAGTTTTTTTTCAGATTCACCTGCTCTTCTTTAATACTGTCCCTTTGTTGCCTAATAGACACTATTTTTCCTTTATATTTCTATTATATTTTTAAACATTTGAAAGTTTCTTTCAGATTGGGCTATTATTTCTAGTTCTGAGTGTGAATCTCGAGGCCAGCCTGGTCAACACGGTGAAACCGCCGTTTCTACTAAAAATACAAAAATCAGCTGAGTGTGGTGGCAGGCACCTGTAATCCCAGCTACTTGGGAGGCTGAGGCAGGAGAATCACTTGAATCTGGAAGGCAGAGATTGCAGTGAGCCAAGATCATGCCACTGCACTCCAGCCTGGGCAACAGAGTGAGCCTCTGTCTCAAAAAAAAAAAAGAGTGCAAATCCTCTTCTGAATGGTTCATGCTAACTCTTGAAATGATTTTTTTTCTTGCCTAGTTTACAAATTTTTATTCTAAGCTTATCTTCAATGAGGATGGTCCCATATGCCCTGGGTTATAGGAATGTCCCTACAGGGCAGTTTTGCATTTGCCTCTGCAGAAGGCCCTTGGGTATCACTTGTTCTGGATAAGTGTTCATGTTAATGCCTCAGCTAGGATCACAGCACCACATGGGAGGTGTGAGTTCAGGTCCAACACTCCATTGATGGGTAGGGTGGCCTTGAGTTTTGCTTTCTCATTGATAAATCTTTTCCCATATGTTGCCTCAAGTTGATATCCAGCTTGGCTAACACTTTCAGAGGCTGGTTAGAGGAATTTTTGTAGCTCCCATTTTGTACATGCTGCAGATCTTTGAGATTGGAGCTGGATGTTGGTCGCTGAGGCTCACTCTCCCTCAACATGGGTTCTGAAACCTACACTCTGCTCCTCATGCTGCTGTTGGAACCCCAGCTTCCAACCAGTAAGACCTATTTCAGACTCCAACATCCCAACAGCCATTTGCTTTTGGTTCTCTCTCATTCTGGTTTTTAAAACTTCTTTCATTTCTAGGACCTGGAGACACCTGTTACTCAATTTGAACTCCATTATTTATTTAAAATTTAAAAGCTTGTTATATTTTAAGCAGCATTTCTATGTACTTGAACTGGGAGATGGGGTTCTCTTAAATCACTTCAGTTCTCCATATTAAATTTCCAGAATTTTCTATACCTTTTAAGATGAGCAGCTTTAAAATGAATGAGTTCAGTAAGATGCTAGCTAGTAGGTTATAAAGGGTCAAAAAAGGGCATTTTAAAGAGGAGGATGAACTTGTACATAATCTGAAGGAAAGAAAGCATGGACCAGGAAGAAATGGCAGATGTAAGAATGAGAGGGAATAACTGCATGGGAACAAGGTTGGAATCAAGAATAGATCTTGGAATCTAGAGCGCAGCTGGAAGGATTAGCTTTGAACAGAAGAAGCAGTACCTTTTCCTTAGAAACAGGAAAGCAGGAAAGAAAGGGTACAGGTTTCTATAAGTTGCTGGAGGGAGTCCGGAAATTGAGGATTCAGTTCTCTGAGATCGGATTCGAGGTAAGCCATGAAAATGGAAGCCTGGTCAGGGTTGATGGCTCACACCTGTAATCCCAGCACTTTGGGAGGCAGGGGCGGGCAGATCACTTGAGGCCAGGAGTTCAAGACCACCTGGCCAACGTAGCAAAACACCATCTCTACTAAAAATACAACAAATTAACTGGGCATGGTGGTGCATGCTTGTAATCCCAGTCACTCAGGAGGCTGAGGCACGAGAATCTCTTGAACCTGGGAGGCGGAGGTTGCAGTGGGCCAAGACGGAAGCCTGGAGAGTGCTGAAACTTTACAATACCAGCCGTGAGGAATAGTAGAGGGAGCCAAATACAGACACATAAAGGAACTTCCAAATAGACAAGCAGGTCCCGCTGAGGTTAGAAGCCATGCACTCACAATGCCACCCACACAGTGGGTGGGTAATATGTTTTCCTGCAGCCCTAAACCACCCACATGTAGAAGAAGAGAAATACATGGCGGGGTTGGTTGAAGGTTAGAGTTTGTAAGGCACCTGCAGATAAAAGACAGAGAGTTACGGGAACAGAGGATGGGAAGAGCATGGCTGAAGTGATAAAAGAGGAAAACTTAGCTGACTATGAACTAAACCCATCCCTGAACAGCAGCAAAAATAGAATAGACCAGGCTTGGTGGCTCTTGCCTATAATCTCAGCACTTTGGAAGGCTGAGGTGAGAGGATCACTTGAGCCCAGGAGTTTGAGACCAGCCTGGGTAACATAGTGAGACCTTGTCTCTACAAAAAATTTAAAATTAGCTGGGTGTAGTGGCACGTGACTGTGGTCCCAGTTACTTGGGAGGCTGAGGCAGGAGGATCACTTGAGCCCCGGGGGTTGAGGCTGCAGTAAGCCATGATCATGCCACCGCACTCCAGGCTTGGCAATAGACTGAGACCCTGTCTCAAAGAAAGGAACAAACTGGGTCGTGATTAATGATACAGCCCCCATGGCAAGGTCAGACCTCTGGAAACGGCAGCATCATGCAGGACACAATGTCACTTTTATGACCAGGTTTTCTACTTATCCTCTTAGGTAACAATTGCCCTGTCATTGTAGTGACAACTACTCTGTTTCTGCTTTTGCTAATCTTGATATATAATATTTGCAAATCTTGATATATATTATATATCAATATATTATTATCACTTAATGTGAAACATTCTTGAAATATAATATACATAGATTTGCTGATGTCTCCATAGGCTTCTAGTTCAAACTCCCCAGGAGAAAACATGTGGTTGGTGTGGCCAGTATCCACTCCTACTGGGCAGAGCCCTTGTACCAGGTTTTCCACAGGCCTTTGACCTTTGGATCAAGCATCCAGCTTTGGCCCAATCAGTTGAGGCCTGGGTGATGGGATCACATGGCAGCATGTACCTGATGCAAGGTACTGCTCAGGAAGGTCTAAGACTTTCCACAATACCTTCCAGAAGGAAAAAAACTGCAGGCAGCACTTTTCTCATAAACATTTCTCCTCCCGGACTTCATAATAGGTCTCTATCCATTTCTCCAGCTCTCGCTTCTTTCCAATTTGGGTAACTGGACACAGTTCAAAACATTTCCTATATAGAGCACCTAATTGTGTAAGTTGCATATGTTATGTTTTTGCTTGGAATTTACTCCACCTACACCTTCCTATTCACATATACACATAAATAAGCTCTCACACTCTTTTATTTCTAACCCCTGCCTCCCATTCTGAGGAAGAAATACATTATTTTCTACACATAATTTTCTTTTTGGCACGTCTACATTAACGCTAGTAGTGTAGAATCTTCTAATGTGTGATAAAATGGGTGGTTTCAGTTTCAAAGTGGGATCTTTATCACTTAATGTGAAACATTCTGGCAATATCTACTAATTTAAATCATCTAGAGCAGGGCTCAGCAAACTTTATCTGTAAGGGGCTTGATGGTAAATAGTTTAGGCTTTATAGGCTCCAGCACATCCACTGTTCATCACAACCATTCAGCTCTCTCACTGCAGCACTAAAGCAGCCATAGACAGTATGTAAATTACTGAGCATGGTTGTGTTTTAGTAAAACTTTATTTACAAAAACAGGCTGTAGGCTGGGCTTGGCCAGAGGTCCGTAGTTTACCAAAGCCTGCCCTAGAGGATAACTACTTATGGCTCCTGCTATTTGGCTGGGTGAGTAAGAGCTGAATCTCCCAACGGTAGTGGTTTTTCTAACAGATGGCATGGTGGTTCACTGTACTGTTGATTTTCTTTATGTAGATCAAGTTATACAGTGACAAATAATTGAAGGTCACCTCATTGCACAACTCTAGAATCATGCAGTGCCTAGCCTGTGTGGCCATATGCAGTAGCACTGAATAGATTTAAAGTAATTTGGCCAGGAGCGGCCACACCTGTAATCCCAGCATTTTGGAGGCTGAGGCAGGCAGATCACCTGAGGTCAGGAGTTCGAGATCAACCTGGCCAACACAGTGAAACCCCGTCTCTACTAAAAATACAAAAATTAGCTGGGTATGATAGCAGGTGCCTGTAATCCCAGCTACTTGGGAGGCTAAGGCAGGAGAATCACTTGAATCTGGGAGGCAGAGGTTGCAATGAGCCACTGCACTGCAGCCTAGGCGACAGAGCAAGACTCCATCTCAAAAAAAAGGAAAGAAAAAAGATTTAAAGTAATTTTTTGGCAGTTCCAATTTAAGACCAGGTTAAGGCAAAAGAACAGGTTCCGTGTTCATTCATTTATCCATTCAGCCAGGTTTGCCGATCCCTCTTACTGGTTCAGACACTGCAACAACTGCCAAGACCACATAAATAAATCAAACAAGGTCTTTGTTTCTAAGGAACTTATGGTCTAGTTAGGTGTATTGGTTTCCTAGGACTGCCTTAACAACGTACCACAAACTGGGTGGCTTAAAAAAACAGAAATTCATTGTCTCAAGGTTCTAGAGGCAAGAATTCTGACATCAAGGTGTCCCCAGGGCCATGCTCCCTCTGAAACCTGGAAGTGAGAATCCTTTCTCGCATCTTCCTAGCTTCTGGTGCTTTCTCTGCAATTCTTGGCATTCCCTAGCTTACAGTTGCAGCTCTTCCATTTCTGCCTCCATTGTCACATGGCATTCTCCCCTTGTGCATCCATGTGTGTGACTCTTCTCTTCTTATAAGGACACCAGTCATATCGGATTAAGGGCCAACCCTGCTCCAGTATTACAGGTATCATTAACCCTACTGCAGTATTACTGGTGTCATTAACTACATAATTATATCTGCAAAGACTCTATTTCCAAATAAGGTCCCATTCTGAGGTTTTTGGAGTTAAGACTTCAGCATGTCTTTCTGGGGGACACAACGCTATCCATAACATAAGGTAAGAATAAATACGAAAAATTACGGCAGCTGTGATGGAAGCCTATGTAAGATACAGGGTGAAGGCAAGCATAGAGGAGATCCATTTTATCTTGGAGGGTCAGGAAAGATTCTGTAGATGAGGGGAAGCTTGAGCAGATTCTGAAAAATAATGCAGGGTGTTTGCCAGTCAGAAAGTGGGGTTGTAAATTGGGCCTGGGGAGTGGAAGAGCAACCCCACAGGAGCAGAAGCAGAGGGGACAGTGTAACAGCCTGTTTCATACTGTTCCCCCACAGCCTGAAGGGGATTTAGGCTTCCTGCTTTCCAGACAAATCAAGATGAGGTCCTAAATGCCCTGGCTGTTCAATGCATCTATGACAGTTATCTGAGATCAGAAGCAGCTCACTGGAGGTGGTGGGTAGGGGGTAATCTAATAGGAAGGCAGAAGGCTACGTGGCAAGTGACTAATGGAAACTACATTTGCATGGTAAACACACTCTTTTTATTTAGTTTACCTGTTATAGATTAATCAAAATTGCAACACTATCTAAAGAGGCCTTTAATAACACTTCAGATAAGCTGGAGAAAACGTCAATCATGTATTTCAAAAAATAAGCATGCCCAGGAGTGGCTTGAGGAAGCAGTAATGGAAACTTTGATGAGGACAGACCCTCCCCCAGGCCCATCACCCATTTGCAACACTGGAGGTTGTGTGCTGTTCCTGTCCAGGCACTATGCTAAGTGATTAAATGTGTTATATCTCGTCATCCCCAATTTACAGATAAAAGCTCGGAGGGTTAGAAAGGTTAAATACATTGCCCTACTCACACAGCTGGTGATTTTATTTCAACGAGCATCTAAAAAAAAACATAATAAATGTATGAACTAGGATTCTGCACTATCCAGCACAGTAGCCATTAGTCACAAAGTGGCTACTTAAATGGAAATTAACTAAAAATTCTGTTCCTGTTTGCAGTTGTCCCCTTTAAGTGCTCAACAGCCATGTCGGTGAAGGGCTACCATAGAACATTTCATTAAGAACAAGATGACAGGCCGTGCACGGTGGCTCACGCCTATAATCCCAGCACTTTGGGAGGCCGAGGCGGTTGGATCATTTGAGGTCAGGAGTTCAAGACGAGCCTGGCCCAACGTGGTGAAACCCCGTCTCTACTAAAAATGCAAAAATTAGCTGGGCATGGTCGTGGGCGCCTGTGATCCCAGCTACTCCGGAGGCTGAGGCAGGAGAATCGCATGAACCCAGGAGGCAGAGCTTGCAGTGAGCCGAGATCGTGCCACTGCACTCCAGCCTGGGTGACAGAGCGAGACTCCATCTCAAAAAACAAAACAAAAACAAGATGACTACTTCATAACTGAGCACTGCCTCATGAGTTAACTCACATTTGCATTGTGTTTGTGATCAAATTGGCATAGCATAGCATTCCCCAGTTGTCCCTGGCAAATGAGAAAAGAGCAGAGTTGGCCACCGTATGTGAATGATGCATTGCTACCATATTAATTAAGGTAATCTCAAAGTTCAAATTAAAAAAAGTTGAGAGAAGTCGTTTTATAAATGCACCAAAATCAAAAGAACTTGCCCTGTGGCAATCAGTAGTACCATGTTTATGTTGTAATCAGTTACTTAGTTCAGCAAAATAACATCATCCATCTCCTTAAATTAGTATTGTCAATTTAAATATCACTGGCTCCATAATTCTGTTTAAATTTAATCTGAAACAAAAAAGCCTTTGGTTGATAAGAACTGTAAATACTAGGATTTTGTACCTGGTTTTATTTCTTAAATAAATTTCTTAAATAAATTTCTTAAATAAATTTAAGATAATATTTCTCATTATCTTAAAATAGCATTTTAAGATAATGTTAAATTCAAAATATTGGGAGTCTGAGGTGGGCGGGTCACCTGAGGTCACGAGTTTGAGGCCAGCCTGGCAACATGGTGAAACCCCGTCTCTACTAAAAATACAAAAATTAGCTGGGCGTGGCGGCAGGCGCCTGTAATCCCAGCTACTCGGGAGACTGAGGCAAGAGAATCGCTTGAACCCAGGAGGCGGAGGTTGCAGTGAGCCAAGACTGCACCATTGCATTCCAGCCTGGATGGCAGATTGAGACCCTGTCTCAAAAAAAAAAAAAAAAAAAATTATACTCAAAATAATTTCCGCAAACGTTAAGCATCAATAGAGAATTTTTATTCACCTTTAGAAGGGGTTGTTATAGTATTAAAGACAGAAATACTGTGTGATAACCATTAGGACAAAGGAATCTGAACACATAGTCACAGGCCCACCAAGCTTGCACGGTTGTCCAATATCCTAACAGATCTGATTAACTGGGACACTCCTGGCACCAGAATGCCGTAATTCTACCAAGGCATGTGTTACGACACCAATGCAGCAGCTGGCAAGGCTTCACACTGATGAAGCATTTTCCTCCATAATTTTCTAATCACCCCGTTGTTTTAGAATTCAATTAATAAGATTTGATTTACACGATTCATAAATACAGAATGTTCCACCAACCCTTCGTTGCTCTTAGTACTCAGAAAATTTTTGCAGCGAGCAAAGAGACCACAAAGCAAGATTTCCACTTTTTATTTTCTGGCACATTTTTTCTCTGTCTTAATCAGACCCACTATTCTCAAGCACCTCACTGGTGGGAAATGAGACTCGAGAGCATTATTGCTGTATTACCACTTCACAATGTTTTGCCGAAAGATTTTTGTCTTCTCACTTAATCTTCGGCCTCCAGCTTTCCCCTCGAAATCGACAGATGAATTTCACACTCACCAAGGCAAACGCTGCATTCCTCACAATAAATGGGAAATAGAGGCCAATCTAGGCTGGGCCATCTCACTGGGTACACCCCAGGGCTCCTGACAGCTCAAGCTGGTCTTGTCACTATGATTGCAATAATCAGAGAAGCCCATTCAGGCACCTTCTATGCCACTGGGGAAGTAAACTATTATTTTTAGTGGTATTGTATATTACATGGAGACCCCTTATTTATGTTGTTGTGCTGTATATGTATCCCCAGAACCTTGCCTGAATTTCTTACTGCTTAACTTATTTCTGAAAAGTACGTGGTAAATAGCCCCACTATTTCCTGCAAAATGGGACTTAAAGAAGACACAGCTTCTTATGTAAGTGGCAAATAAGCTACAAAAATCCTATGAACCAGAAGGATACTGTAAAGTGCTAACAAATACTGTTTAGCACCTTTTAAAATACCCCAAAGATATGCAAACTAACACTGAGAAAAGTTCTAAAAACCACCTCCCTCCCTTGGAGAAGGTGTTTCAGGTTGTTGCGATAACTAAAGCAATCTTTCACTCGGATTTCACAAGTGTAGTTAATTATAATGGTTGAAGTTCAATTATGCTGGGCAAATAATAGTACTCACCATTTATTTGGCTCTTACTCTATACCAGATGCTATGCCAAGCTACTTATATACATTATCTTATTTATTCCTTATAACCACTTAGAGAAGGTAGGTAGTAGTATTATCTTCATTTTAGAGATTTTCTTTTTTTTAATGGGGAAATTTAGAAATTAGCCCAAGGTCACATAGCTACTAATGTTGGAGTCAGGATTTGAATTCAGAACTTCCTGAATTCCCAAGCCCATAATCTTAGCCCTCAAGCAGTAATACTATAAATAAGGTATAATAAGTATATGTATAATGAGCTATAGTCCAGTTAATTTGTTGCTACTCCTCAAACTAAGCATGCTCATTTTCAATATCTGCTTCCAGCTTCCAGGAGAATATCAAGACAAGATTTCACTATGTAGACTGGATAAAGAAAATGTGCTACATATACACCATGGAATACTATGCAGCCATTAAAAAGCACAAAATCGTGTCTTTTGCAGCAACATGGATGCATCTGAAGGCCATTATCCTAAGCAAACTAATGCAGAAACAGAAAGCCAAATACTGCATGTTCTCACTTATAGGTAGGAGCTAAACACTGGGTATGTGGGGACACAGAGATGGGAACAATGGATACTGGGGACTACTAGAGGGGGAAGCAAGGGAGGTAGGTAAGGGCTGAAAAGCTAGCTATTGGGTACTGTGCTCACTACCCAGTGGGTGACAGATTCATTTCTATTCTAAACCTCAGCATCATGCAATATACCTTTGTAACAAACCTTCACATGTACCCCTTGATTCTAAAATAAAAACTGGAAAATAAATTTTAAGAAGAAAAATATTTCACTATGATGAGTTATAGATTTATTTTTTTATTTTTTTATTTTGAGGTGGAGTTTTGCTCTTGTTGCCCAGGCTGGAGAACAATGGCACGATCTCTGCTCACTGCAAACTCCACCTCCTGGGTTCAAGCAATTTTCCTGCCTCAGCCTCCCGAGAAGCTGGGATTACAGGCATGCGCCACCACACCCAGCTAATTTTTGTATTTTTAGGGGTTTCTCCATTTTGGTCAGGCTGGTCTCAAACTCCCAACCTCAGGTGATCCGCCCACCTCAGCCTCCTAATGCGCTGGGATTACAGGCATGAGCCACCGCGCCCAGCCAGTTATAGATCATTCTTAAGTTATATCTCAGGATGTTGGCAAGTCAAATACCCTTCATGAAGTACCATCTTCCTGCTCTTAGTTGAAAAGGTTTGGCCCCATGTTCCCAAAGCACTTTCATCTCCAGTCAGAGAGTTCTTATAATAAGAACCAATGCCCCTGCACCTCCCAAGGGGAGTTCTCAGCCATGCTCAGTCACGATGACTTCACTTTTACAGTGGGGTCACCTTTGTGGGAGAGTTCAGCCACCAACAGCTGGGCAGCCACAGAAACCATGACTTATCAGGACAGGAGCAGAATAATGAATTACCCACTTGCAAATTCCAAGGGAAGTTTGAAAGCCTGGATTTTTTCCAGGTCTCTTGGTAAGCATCCTAATTTCTGTCAATAAAAAAATTCACTGATCTTTAAAAAAACACAAGCCAGGTTTGTGTTCTACTTTCAGAAGATCTTAGCATTTATGCTGAGCATTATTAGGTAAGCTTTGATAGTTAACTATAAACTCCAAGCTAAACTGTTTGTAGCGAAAGCAGCTATCCCCCCTAGCTCTAATATGGAATTTGTGATGTTTGTGATGAACTTGTCTAAAGCTTATTAGGAACCAAATTGTATACCCCCGAATTCACACATTGAAGCTCTAACCCCCAACGTGACAGTATTTGGAGATGGGGCTTTTGGGAGGTAAGTAGGTTTAAATGAGCTCATAAGGGTAGGACCCTCATGTTGGGATTAGCGCTCCACCCCTTTTTGTTTTGAGACAGGGACTCATTCTGTCACCCAGGATGGAGTGCAGTAGCACAATCATAGCTTGCTGCAGCCTCGACCTCCCAGGCTCAATGGATCCTCCCATCTCAGTCTCCCAAGTAGCTGGGACTACAGGTGCACCACCACAACTGGCTAATTTTTGAATTTTTATTAGAGACAGAGTTTGGCTATGTTGCCCAGGCTGGTCTTGAACTCCTAAGCTCAAGTGATCTGCCCACCTCAGCCCTGCAAAGTGCCGGGATTACAGGTGTGAGCCATTGTGCCTGGCCATTTGCATCCTTATAAGACGAGACATCAGAGAGCTTGCTCTCTCTCTGCCTTGTAAGGACACAGTGACAAGGTGGCTGTCTGTAACCCAAGAAGAGAGCTCCCACTAGAATCTGACCCTGCTGGCACCCTGATCTCAGACTTCCAGTCTCCAGAACTGTGAAAAAAATACATCTCTGTTGTTTAAGCCACACAGTCTATGGTATTTCGTTATGGCAGCCCAAGCTGATTAATATATCTTTAATTATTTAGAAGCACCTATTTGCATGCAAAGATAATTCATAATGTTATAGTTACCATTTGTGTGTTTATTAAGGCAAATCTGACAGAAACTCTCCTTGGCAATACTTTTATGATATTATCATTTGGAAGTGATAAAATTGCCTTTTAAAAAGTTGTATAAGGCTGGGTGCAGTGGCTCACACCTGTAACCCCAGCACTTTGGGAGGCCAAGGTGGGCAGATCGCCTGAGGTCAGGAGTTCAAGACCAGCTTGGCTCACATGGTGAAACCTCATCTCTACTAAAAATACAAAAATTAGCCGGGCATGGTGGTGCACACCTGTAATCCCAGCTACTTGGAACACTGAGGCAGGAGAATCGCTTGAACCTGGCAGGCAGAGGCTACAGTGAGCTGAGATCACGCCACTGCACTCCAAGCTGGGCGACAGAGCAAGACACTATCTCAAAAATTAATAAATAAATAATAAAAAGTCATATAAGGCAACTTTTTCAACAGTTTGGACAGGGTTGTAGCTAATTAGTCAGAATTTGTGAAGTTTTACTCTTTTGACCAAAAACTCCACAGAAATTAATATGTATTATAAAAAATTAAATGTTGTACATGGATACATTCTCATGGCAAGCTTTTGTGTGCATATATATTTTTTTAAACCCAGGAGCATAGATTTAAGTTGCCCTGAATATGTGCTCTGAGATTTTGTGTTTAATCAGAAGAACATTAAAATGGAATGAATTTACATTGATAATCATTGAAGCTGGGTGTTGAGTCTGTATTATATTCAATGTACAAGTCTCTCTACCTTTGTGGATGTTTTAAAATGTTGATAAAACAGAGTTTTAAATGAATACATACATACAAACATATAAGCTACGTAAGAGCTAATGAGGAGACAAATTCACTTTGTAATATATGTGGTTGCTTAGTTGTGTTTTAGTCCATAACTTTTTTAAAAGTGGAAAAGAACAACCTCCTGGCCCCATTTTTTTTAAAGTGCAAACTGTGCCCGCTGATTTGAATGGGAGAGAATGTTTTACGTCTATTTTTACAGCTGCTTATCAGTTTCCTGAGCTGAGTTAGGGTGGAGCACAGGGTTCAAGAATTTCAGGATGGGGGGCCTAGGGGATTGGTTGTTGTGGCTTGAAGATAATGATATCTTCCTAGGCTAACCTCTTGGAGTGAAGACATTTCTCCAGGGGGAAAAATGTAGGGCCTTAAAGATGTCTTCATAGAGTTTACAAAGCAGTTGAAACTTGATAGTCTATGAAGAACTCTGCCAGCCTCGTGGGAAAATGATTTGGTGTTCAATTGTTTTCACTTGGGCACTTTCCCAAACTATGAATGGTTCAGACTAGATAAAGCCTCTCCGTCCCATCCCACCCCTCTTCCACCTAAAATTCCCCAAACCTTTCAATGTGGCAGACTTGCTTCATTCAGGTCTAAGTGGGGCAGGAACCAATCAGGTAATTAATCAAAGTCCACTTTCAGTCTTCTTGCCTGCTGACATCACATCCCGGCTGTGTTCCCTTGGCTTTAGTGTGGAAATGAGAATTTCCACAATTTCAAAGGGAGTGTCTATTACTGTTTGGTTACGAGTGGAATAATTATTCAGGTTCTTGACCTCTTTGCACAATCTGGATTTCCATGCCTGTGAGGTATGCAACGAGCTGAGGACTTTATGGGAAGTTGAAAATTGAAGAGTTTTTTTTTTTTTTTTTTTTTTTTGCAGTTTTCATTTTACTCATAACCTAGTTTTAGGCTGGAGATGTGGGTGGTGAGCATCCAGGACCTTTGTAAGGAATTACGCAATCTATTAGAATTACACAGAGTGGTTAGAAAAGCACCTATAGCCCACTTTTAAAAGGCGTTTTATCATATTGACTCTAAAACCCTGGAAATTTCTTCAGGGGATGGAATTATTAACACTGTTCCTTGATGGAAAGGAAGAATTTTCAAAACCATTAAATACTCATTGCCCCGAGAGTTCAGAGGGTAAAAGGGGAAAGGGAGACCAGGGTGATTGACTAAGGGGGTGAGGAAATGCTTTGGCTTTGGGTCTTGTCAACCACTATTGGTTCAAAGATTTGGACCCCAGACCCAGGAAAGATTCCAAGATTTGGGGGATTGAGTTGGTGTAACTGTTAGATTTATCACAACAAATTTTTCATCAGAAACTTTCGTTAAAATAAAAGCATACATTAAGGTCATCTCAGGACACCCTGTCTCAGAGGACAGGGTGATAAAGAGTAGTTCGGTTAAATTTGGTGGTGCAGGAAGGCCAAGAATGTGGCATTTGAGGCCCAAATATTGGGAAGAAGCCCACTGTGGCAGATCCAGGGAATTCATAATCCAAGGAGAGGGAGGGAACAGTTAGAACAGTCCCTTTGTCTTCCCAGATTTTTGTCTTTTTGTTTTGTTTTTCTAAACAGGATCTCACTCTGCCACCCAGGCTAAAGTGCAGTGGTGTAATCACGGCTCACTGCAGCCTTGAACTCCTGGGCCCAAGTAATCCTCCCACGTCAGCCTCCCCAGTAGCCGCGACCACAGGCATGTACCACCATGCCCGGCTAATTTTTTATTTTTTGTAGAGACAAGGTCCCACTATGTTGCCCAGGCTGGTCTCAAACCCCTGGGCTCAAGCAATCCTCCTGCCTCAGCCTCCCAAAATGCTGAGATTACAAGTGTGAGCCACCGTACCTAGCTCTTCCTAGATTTTTAAGGTAAATTTGTTGTCTATGGCTTCATCATCAAGAACCGTATTTTGAGAACTCATAAGATAATGTGGCAATGTGATGAGGTAGTTGGGAAAAGTTATACAGAAATTTATGAGTCATAATGGTCCCAGACTTCAAGGAGCTTATCTTTCATGAATTTATTTCACTATTTTTTTTTTTTGAGACGGAGTCTCACTCTGTCGCCCAGGCTGGAGTGCAGTGGCGCGATCTCGGCTCACTGCAAGCTCCGTCTCCCGGGTTCACACCATTCTCCTTCCTCAGCCTCCCTAGTAGCTGGGACTACAGGCACCCGCCACTACGCCCGGCTAATTTTTTTGTTTGTATTTTTAGTAGAGACAGCGTTTCGCCGTGTTAGCCAGGATGGTCTTGATCTCCTGACCTCGTGATCCACCCGCCTCAGCCTCCCAAAGTGTTGGGATTACAGGCGTGAGCCACCGCGCCTGGCATATTTCATTAATTTTTAAAACAAACGTTTATTGAGTACCTACCGTGTACTAGGCACCCTGCTAGGTACAGGGCATGTGGCAAAAAACAAAAAAGACGAGGTTCTGGTTCTCACAGAGCTTACATTCTATGATGAACACACTCACACAAAACAATGGCACATCAGGTAGTAATAAGTGTTAATTGGAAAATAAAAGAGGACAGGGTAATCGAGAGTAGTTCAGTTAAATTGGCTAGTGAGGGAAGGCTGAGAAGGTGATATTTGAGGCCCAAATATTGGGAAGAAGCCACCTGTGGAAGATCCAAGGAATTCATAATCCAGGAAGTGGGAGAGAACAGTTAGAACAGCAGCTTCAAAGCTTGCCGTGCTCATTGAACAGAAGGATCTCAAGGCTGGGTGCAGTGGCTCACGCCTGTAATCCTAGCACCTTGGGAGGCCAAGGTGGGAGGATCACTTGAGCCCAGGAGTTTGAGATCAGCCTGAACAACATGCTGAAACCCCATCTCTACAAAAAATACAAAAATTAGGTGGGCTTAATGGCATACGCCTGTGGTCCCAGCTACTGAGGAGGCTGAGGTGGGAGGATTGATTGAAAGTATGGCCGGGACTTGGTGAGCAGGGGAGGGGTCATCCGGTCAGAGAGAGGACCAGAAACCTGATCATGTAGAACCCTGAAGGACAGATTTTATGCTAAACGCAAAGGAAAGATATGGAAGGATTTTACGCAGAGGAGTGATATTATCTGATTTGCATTTTAAAATATTACTCTGGCTACCATGTGGAGAATGGATTATATAAGGAGGCTATAACTGTAATTCCAGTAAGAGGTGATAGCATCTTGGATGAAGACAGAGATGGAGAGAAGCAGACAGATTTGGGATATTCTGGAGGTGGGGTGGATCCCACCTGGTGGATTCAGTGTTGGGGGCTGAGGGAATGGGTGGTCTGCAGACTCCCAGCTTAGGCCCGTCGCAGAGCTACTTGCCAGATAAGGAGAATCTGGAGAGTAGTAGGTTGGGCTGGGGAAGCAAAGATTTGCCTTGGGGCATGTTCACTTGGAAATGCATATTAAATGTCCAAATTCGATGTGAAGGAGGCAGCTGGTTAAGAAGGAAGGTTGGGACTAGAAGTATAAATTTGGAAGATATCAGCATAGAGTGGGACAGGAGCCAGTTGAAGTGGGAAGAAGAGAGAATGAGAGGTGAGAAATGAAGACAGTGGCTACAGACTTTTTATAAGATGACTTGCTATAAATGGAGAATAGAGAAATAGGGTTGCAGGAACATGTGGGATCAAGGACAGGTTTTTTTAAAAATAGCTACTTTTTTCTATAAGATGAGAGTACTGAGCTATATTTTTAAGCTGATGGGAATGATACAGTACTGAGGGCAAAATCATAGTCTGAGAAGAGTCTTAAGGGTTTACATATTCTGTTTCCTCCAAACATGGATGCAAAGAAAGAAGACAATTTGGAAAACTAAAAGCATAGCTTACTATCTGAATATATGTTATCGCAGGCTTTGGGAAAGACTGGGACAGAAAGAGAAGACAGGCATGAAGAGAGGAATTAGGGAGGGCAGGAGAAGAAGGAAATGTGGTTTAAAAAAATAGTAGAGTCAAAAAATATACCTGTGGCACCTGGGAAGGGGGGCTGAGGAATGAATTATGCCTCTTTTCTAGAGACAAATATTTCCAGGAGACTTCATCACTTCCATTGTCCACTGAAATCTCTCAGGCCTGGCAAGGGCAACAGTTAAGAATGGTGCTACTTCTGCCCCTTGCTGCAGGGGAGCAAGTTACAGAACTGCTCTGTGTTCAGTTTCTTCCCCTGAAACATGGGCTTAGGAGAGCTGACCTCACCGGGTTAGTGTGTGAATTAAATAAGAGCATCCTTGTAAAGCGCATGGCTCACTGAGTACCATTGTGAGTTTTTTTTTTTTGGTTTTTTTTTTTTTAAGACCGTATTGCTCTGTCACCCAGGATGGAGTGCAGTGGCACAATCTTGGCCCACTGCAACCTCTGCCTCTCAGTTCAAGCATTCCCCCTGCCTCAGCCTCCTGAGTAGCTGAGACTACAGGCATGTGCCACCATGCCTGGCTAACTTTTTTGTATTTTTAATAGAGATGGGGTTTGGTCATGTTGGCCAGGGTAGTCTTGAACCCCTGACCTCAGCCTGACTGACTCCTCCTTGGCCTCCCAAAGTGCTGGGATTACAGGCATGAACCACTGCACCCAGCCTATTATGAGCATTCTGAGCCTTCGGGCAAATGCTTCTCTAAGTTCCTTGAGGTCAGGGGACATGTCTTATTGTTTTTGAACTCTCCATGACACCTAATGTATAGTCTTAATTTTAAGTGAATTTTGAATCCTTGTCTTTTCCTCCCCTTTTCTTTCCCCTTCTTTTTACTGTTCTAAACCCTACATCTCATTTCCAGCTTCCTGCCCAATGGAAGCCTGCCTCAAAACCAACCTGCCCTTTACCTCATGCTGCTCACTACCTTATCTCATTTCCCTTCACACTTGCATCTGCAGTCTATAGAGTGTTCTGTTGGATATAGAATTATTGAAAGTCAGCATGAGGTGGAGCATTAACTTTATTCTGTCTTCCCTTGCAAAACAAGAAAGACGTTAAGTATCATCAATGTCTTAATCTGTTTTGTGGTGCTGTAACAGAATACCAAAGACTCAGTAGTTTATAATGAAAATAAATTGATTTGGCTCATGGTTCTAGAGGTTGAGAAGTCCAAGATCAAGGCACTGAATCTGGTGAGGGCCTTCTTGCTGAGTCATCCCACGGCAGAAGGTGGAAGGGCAGGAGCACACACGAGAGAGAGAGAAAGAGTGAGAGAGAGAGAGATAGAAAGTTAGAGAGAGTCAGAGAGAGAGAGAGTCGAACTCACTTTTATAATAAACCCACTCTTAAAATAATGACATATTCATGAGGGCAGAGACCTCATGACCTAAGCACCTCCCATTAGGCTTCACCTCCAAACACTGTTGCTTTGGGGATTATGTTTCAACACATGAACTTCGGGGGGCATATTCAATTACCTTGATTAAAGATGAAAGTCTACACCAACATTAAATTTACCTTTTTAACAGAATTCATATATAATTTCTCTTCTGATCTCATTGATGAACTCCATAAAGATGGGTTCCCAGGATGCTCTTCTACCCAAGACAGCAGCTCGATGCTATATCTTTGCCCATTTCTTGTGTGTGTGTGTGTGTGTGTGTGTGTGTGTGTGTGTGTGTGTGTGTTTGTGTGTGTGTGTGAGAGAGAGAGAGAGACAGAGAGAGAGAGACCTCTCTCATCAAAATGTAAACTCCCTAAGGACAGAGACCCTGCCTAGTTCTTTAAAAAAAAAGTTTTATTATGAAATATTTTGGCCAGAGGAAAAAATATAAATAAAAATAAAATACACAAATGTGTACACTCCATCCAGTTTAAAATATGACTTACACAATTGTAGCTGCCTGTGTTCCTTCCCTCCCTATTGGTAATCTCTATGTTGAATTTGGTTGTTATCATTCCTATGCAGATTTTTGTCTCTCGACTGTATGAGTCCATATCAGTCTGCTTTCCTAGGGTTTCCGATGTGAGCACACAGTAGGGTCTCCGTGAAAGCTTTTTAGTAAGTGACACTTGGTTTCTTAACAATAGGAACTCTATCTTTTCCCTTTTGTGTTACTCTTCCCTAAGTCTTCCACAAAGTAGGCAATGTGGAGGATAAAATAGGTGCTTAATTGTTGTTGATCTATATAAAACCTGTAACATAAATTATGTAATATATGCCCCTAATAGAGACAGAATGAAATATTACAAAGTTGGGTAATAAAATCATGTTTGTAAGCAGGGAGAGGGAGATTGTTACTGGGAACCCTGCCAGTTGCCATTTGTGGGTACTCAGTACCACATCTGCCTTTCTGGACTCTTGTCTTTTTCTACAGGACGACAAACTTGGAAACTACATTTCCCTGATCTTGCCAACAGTATTCAGCCCGGACTCCACCAATGAGAGGCACTTGCATGAGATTTGGTTGGGAAGAAAAGGAGAAGCCATTGTTTTCTTGAGGCAGCAGCAGATGGCTGACATGGAATTTTGCCTAAAACTTTTGGGTGTTCTCCTGAAAATACTCCAACTGGCTCTACAGGCAGCTGAGAGCAATGGCAGTGGCTTCCTTGTGATTCCTGCACTACCAGATTTCCTGAAAGAGGTGTCCCGATCACTATCACTCTTGCAGCTTTCCTAGAGTTATTTAAGCCTCTAATTCCCTGTATAAGCCTCCTTCTATCTGAGATACCTAGAGGGGTATCTGTTTTTCTGACTGTACCATAGCAGATAAAAGGACCTAGTCTGCAAGCTTCCACTGGAAATTCTAGGAGAGTGAAACTTGAGGTAGAGGTCCCCTAAGTCCCTTAGAGCAGTTGCAATGGTACCTTTGGAATTGATGGTTCTTGACTTTAGGGATTGTGAGCTTTTTCCAAGTAGTCACCCAAACCTGTGCTTGTTGGATCTAAGAAAATAGAGTTCATGTATGAAATGAAAACAATTAACATTGAATCTATAAAGCTGTATAATCTACTGAGACGAAAGAAATGGGATAGAAAAAGTTTAATGTTTTACTACACACATGTAACTGCATAAAATGTATCTGAAGAGCACACAAGAAACAGACAACAGAACAGAGAACTAAGTGGTGGTTATGGTTTGAATGATGGTGTTCCCTCCAAATTTCATGTTGAAACTTGATCCTTATCGTGGTGACTTTAAAGGCATGGGGACTTTTAGGAGGTAATCAGGTCATGAGGGTTCTTCCCTCATGAATGGGATTAAGGTCTTTATAAAAGAGGCTTCACACAGAGCTTGACCCTTTCTTGCCCTCTGTCTCTGTCTCACACGAGGACACACTGTTCCTCCTCTCCAGAGGATGCAGCAACAAGGCACCAGCTTGGAAGCAGAGATCAAACCCTTATCAGATGCCAAACCTGCTTATGCCTTGATCTGGGACTTCCCAGCCTCCAGAACCATGAGAAATAAATTTCTATTGTTTGTGAATTACCCGGTCTATGGTATTTTGCACAAACGAACTAAGACAGGGGCTAGAGGGCAGGGGCTGAGGGAGGACTTGCTTTCCATTGTATATGCTCCTGTAGCTTCTGAATTTTATACTGTGTGCATGTATTATCTACTCCAAAATTATATTAATGTTTAATAACATGAGTTGCATACCATTTTATAATCATCACATTTTCAAAAACCACAAACTCTGACAATATAAAATGTTGAACACGGAACAAGGAAATGAGAATTTACACCTACTGTTTGTGGGAGTCTGTAGAACTACTTACCAGGGTCTATGGATGAATGTCAATCTGGTAATATCTAGTAAAGTTTAAATGCACAAACCCCATGATCAGCAATTTCTCTTCTGTGTATAGATGGTGGAGAAACACTCATACATCAGGAGAAAGGTATAGAGATTTTTATTGCAGCATTGTTTATAATAGTGGAAAATTGGAATTATAAAAATATTCATTAATAGGAGAACAAATAAATAAAATAAGATATAATAAAACATACTATACAACAGTTAAAACAAATGGCCTAGCTCTGTAAATACCAACATGGATAGTTCTCAAAAGTGTAGTTCTGGCCAGGTGCAGTGGCTCATGCCTGTAATCCCAGCACTTTGGGAGGCCGAGGAAGGTGGATCACTTGAGGCCAGGAATTCGAGACCAGCCTGGCCAACATGGTGAAATCCCATCTTTACTAAAAATACAAAAATTAGCTGGGCACAGTGGCGCACACCTGTAATACCAGCTACTCAGGAGGCTGAGGCATGAGAATTTCTTGAACCTGGGAGGTGGTGGTTGCAGTGAGTGGAGATTGCGCCACTGCACTCCAGCCTGGGTGACAGAGTGAGACGTGATCTCAAAAAAAAAAAAAAGACAAAAACAAAAAAGTGTAGTTAAAAAAAAAGCAGGGGCCAGGTGCTGTGGCTCACACCTGTAATCCCAGCACTTTGGGAGGCCGAGGCAGGCGGATCACTTGAGGTCATGAGTTTGAGACCAGTCTGGCCAACACAGCAAAACCCTGTCTCTACTAAAAGTACAAAAAATTAGCTGGGTGTGGTGGTGCGCGCCTGCAGTCTCTGCTACTTGGGAGGCTGAGGTGAGAGAATCGCTTGAACTTGGGAGGTAGAGATTGCAGTTAGTTGAGATCATGCCACTGCACTCCAGCCTGGGAGACAGAGCGAGATTCTGTCTAAAAAAAAAAGGGTTTGAGGGAGCTGCTGAATGATATATACAGTATGGAAGCATTTAGATAAATTCGAAAACACATACTAACAGTAAATTATCAAAAATGGACTAGAAGGGTTCATACCTAATGAGGTTCATACCTAATTCACTCTCTGTTGAGAGATAGAGGAGACAGACGTTGTGACAGAAACCAAAAGAAACCTCATCTTTAGTATTCTGTCTTTCCAAAAAAAAAAAAATCTGAAGCAAAATGATAAAATCTCCTTTTTTAAATTCTGGTGTAGATTTCTATTACTGTCTGTACTTTTCTATGGTACTCTTCAAAATAACGTTTTATATTCCCTACTCTCCCACTCCTTCCCCAACCCACTTCAGTTTGGACTGAGCCCTGTATCAGTCTGGATCCCAGCAGGAAACAAAAGGCACACTTAAATTGGGTTTTTTTTTTTAGACAGGATCTCACTCTGTCACCCAGACTAAAGTGCAGTGGCACCATCACGGCTCACTGCAGTCTTGGTCTCCCAGGCTCCAGCAATCTTCCCACCTCAGCCTCCCGAATAGCTGAGACTGTTATAGGTGCATGCCACCACACCTGGCTAATTTTTTTTTTTTAATTTTTTTAGAGATGGCGTCTCCCTATCTTGTCCAGGCTGCTTTCAAACTCCTGGGCTCAAGCGATCCTCTCACCTTGGTCTCCCAAAGTGCTGGGATTACAGGCATGAACCACGGTGCCCAGACTACATTGAGTAATTTGAGGAGGGTTTAGTAGAAGGTCTATTTACAAAGATGCTGACAAGATAGAGAAAAGTCAAAAGAATAGTGTGGCATTGCAGGGGCTGGTAAGAGGAGGAAGCTGCACTACCCCAGGTCTGCAGGAAAAGGGGGAAGAGTCTTTACAGGTGGCACTGTGTGGAGAGAGCCACCCAACAGGAATGGTGGCCTTCATCAAGGAATGCAGCCAGCCCGGGGAACCCTCACCTCAAGGAAGCAAGGCGAATCGATACTTCACCCTTTCCTTCCTCCTTCCCTCTCACGTCCTGCCAGTATTCTCCATTGGCCAAGCCCAGCCCAGAATCCAGAAAACCAGGGAATCTGCTGACACTGCCCATCCAGGTCAGCATCCTAGAGCTCAGAGCAGGAACAGACTCAGGTTATCCAGCTCAGGCCACCACCTCTCACAATGGTTGCCAGTGCCCTGTAATTGTCAAATCCAGGAGATGCTTCAGATTTTTAAAAATTTAGCTTCTTGGTTACTTTATTTATTTATTTATTGAGACAGAGTTTCGCTCTATCGCCCAGACTGCGGTGCAGTGGCACAATCTTGGCTCACTGCAACCTCCGTGTCCCAGGTTCAAGCAATTCTCCTGCCTCAGCCTCCCAAGTAGCTGGGTTTACAGGTATGTGCCACCACACCCAGCCAATTTTTGTACATTTAGTAGAGACGAGGTTTCACCATATTGGTGAGGCTAGTCTCAAACTCCTGACTTCAGGTGATCCGCCAACCTCAACGTCCCAAAGTGCTGGGATTACAGGCTTGAGCCACTGTGCCTGACCCTTGGTTACATTTTACCACTGACCTCTTCCTCCTTTATACCCATTCCTCTAGTTTCCCACTAACTCAAATGGCTGCTTTTAGTCATAGTCACTGGAAATTCTTTTTCTCCTCCTCTCTTAAGTGCTAGAATTCTCCAGGTTTCCATTTTTGCCCCTATTTTCCCAGTAATTCATTCCCATGCATTTAACTTCCAACTCTTTGCTGATAAAGACTAAAATCTTTATTTCTAGGCAAGATTCCTTCTCTCAATTCCAGACTTGCTTATTGATAACAATGTGCACCTGTCTCAGAGGCAGCTCAGTCATCATCACACAGGCAATCACATCACCTTCACCTGTAGACCTGCTCCTGCCTATGGAATGGCCCTGCCACCAGCCAAGTAGAAACCTGGAAATCTCCTTTCTCCTGCTGTTCCTTCTACATATCATCCAGTTCTCCTTCCCTTGAAGTGGGGGCTGGCCAAAAGAGTTCAACCAAGCATGGAAATGGCAAGCTATTAACTGCATTTTTGTCCTGGAAGAATGACAGAGCTGAGTTAATAAGACCAGAGCCAGAATATCAACTGGTTACCAGTCCTTCTCAAACATGCTGAGCATTAGAATTTTCTGGGCAGCTTTTATTAAAAAAAAAAAAAAAAAAAAAAAAAAAAAAGTCAGTACCTTGGCTCCCCCTGAGACCAATGAATCCAAAAACCTGGTGTTATGGGCTAAACTGTATTTTCCCAAAATTCATATGTGGAAGCTCTAATTTCCAATGTGACTATAATTGGAAATAGGCTGTTAAAGAGATAATGAAAGTTAAATGAGATTATAAGGGTAGCACCCTAATTTGATGGGACTGATGTCATTATTAGAAGAGGGAGGGACACCAGAGCACTCTCTTGTTCTCTTTCTTTGCACATGCACAGAGAAAAGGCCACTTAAAGACACAGAGAGAGGCCAGGTGCGGTGGCTCATACCTGTAATCCCAGCACTTTGGGAGGCCGAGGCAGGCGGATCACAAGGTCAAGAGATTGAGACCACCCTGGCCAACATGGTGAAACCCTGTCTCTACTAAAAATACAAAAATTAGCTAGGCACGGTGGCATGTGCCTGAAATCCCAGCTACTCGGGAGGCTTAGGGAGAATGGCTTGAACCCGGGAGGCAGAGGTTGCAGTGAGCCATGATCGCACCACTGTACTCCAGCCTGGTGAAAGAGTGAGACTCTGTCTCAAAAAAAAAAAAAAAAAAGACACAGAGAGAAAGTGGCCATTTGCAAACCAAAGAGAGAGGCCGCACCAGAAACCAGCCTTGACAGCATCTTCATTTTGGGCTTGTAACCTCCAGAACAGTAGGGAAAGAAATCTGTTGTTTAAGCCACCCAGTCTGCAGTATTTTGCTACAGCAGCCCTAGCCGACTAATACACGGGTCTTGGCAGGGACATTTTAAATAAACACCCTGGGTGATTCTAGTGCACAGCCAGGCTGTAGAAGCACTGAGAAAGCCAGAAATCTGGAGACACCTATAGTAAGACAAACATGAGCAGGGGTGACAAACCAGGGAAGCCAGGAAGGAGGAACAGCCACCCAGATGAAGGAGGGCAAGGCTTGAGGATGCTTTGGCATCTCCGGGCAGTTTCAGCTCAGGCTTCTGCTGGTATGCTGCAATAACTAAGGGGCATCCACTCCTGATAATTCCACCTCCTAAATATTTTCAACTCTGCCTTCTCCTCCTCATTAGCAGGATCCCTCTCCTCTTATGCTCTAGTACAGTGGTTGCCAAACTATGGCCCATGTGCCAAATCTGGCCTGCCACCTTTTTTTTTTTTTTTTTTTAGAGAAAAGGTCTCTTTCTGTGTTACTCAGGCTAGAGTGCAGTGGTGCAATCGCAGCTCACGACAGCCTCAAACTCCTAGGCTCAAGTAATCTTCCCTCCTCAGCTTCCTGAGTAGTTGGAACTACAGGCGCACGCCACCACATCCAGCTATTTATTTGTTTGTTTATTTATTTATTTTTGTAGAGATGAGCTCTCACTATGTTGCCCAGGCTGGTCTCAAATTCCCGGGCTCAAGCAGTCCTCCTATCTTGGCCTCCCAAAGTGCTGGGATTACAGACATGAGCCATCGAGCCTGGCCCCACTTGTGTTTTAAATAAAGTTTTGTTGGAACACAGACATGCTTATTTGTTAATGTATTGTCTATGGCTGCTTCTGCACTACAATAGCAGAGCTGAGTATTTACAACAGAAATCATATGGCCCACCAAACCAAAACTATTTATCACTATCTGGCCCTTTACAGAAAAAGTTGACTGACCCCTGCTTTACTAGATGGCTATATTTTAATGGCGATTAGGCCAGAGAGCAGTCATTTATGACTTAGTGCCTCATTGGTCAAAATAATAAAAATTCTTCATTGTGCCCAAGTCAGCATGTATTGAGCACCTACTGTGTGCCAGACTCTATGGTAAGCAGGAGGGATACAATAGTGGACAGGAGAGGAGTACTGCCCTCCCACCCACCCAAAAGAGGTCTCTACCATGGCCCCTCACTTTAGAGGATGCTGCATTTGACAAATACACACAAAAATAAACTTATTAAAGAAGATAGCCAGGCGCGGTGGCTCATGCCTGTAATCCCAGCACCATGGAAGGCTGAGGCAGGCAGATCACTTGAGGTCAGGAGTTTGAGACCAGCCTGGCGAAAATGGTGAAACCCTGTCTCTACTAAAAATACAACAATTAGTTGGGCGTGGTGACGGTCGCCTGTAATCCCAGCTACTCGGGAGGCCGAGGCAGGAGAATTGCTTGAATCTGGGAGGTTCAATGAGCCAAGATCCGTGCCATTGCACTCCAGCCTGGGTGACAGAGGGAGACTCTGTCTCAAAAAAAAAAAGAAGACAGGGTGCCTCTGTCACTTGGGCACCATGCTCAGCATTGGCACAGCATAACCTGTAACTCAAAACAACTACTTTTGTGGCTAACACCGTTCAGGAGTCAGGAAAATGCTTCCCTCTGTCCCTTGCAGTGTGTCCTCAAACAAAAGATGGCCATGTCAGAATACCACAAAGGCTTGTGGACTGTGCCGCTGCTGATGTTGGAAGAAGACGTTTCTTTGGCAAGCAAGGAGGATTTGAGCAGACGAACGACTTAGGTAAGAGAAAAGACAAATAAGTTGTCCAACCTTTCCTCTTGACATGAATGTAATAGATTGTCACGAAACGAGGTATGATTTCCCATCAGGGCTAAGCGTCCATTTTCTTGCTTCTCTTAGTATTCTTTCAATTTGTAGTTCCGAGGGTGCTTATCAAGTAGCATGATGTTAACTATATTAAACAAATCATATTATATTTGTGCCTATGTAGGTCTAGATGGAGCATATGAAATGATACCAATTCTTTACATTGCCAACTAATAGATATTGCATAGTAGAACTGGAATCCTTTTATTTACATATATTTTTAATAAGGTTTCATTAAATGTTCACGAAGTTAAAAATTTAGCTTGAATCATTTTGATTTAAAATTTTGACCTTAATTATATATTTTTTGCCTTTTAATTTTAATATAGAGTTTTGATTAATTTAGGAGAAAAAACATATAAAGTAAATATTCATATTTTGCTTTTACTTTGATTTACTTTTTTGAAAATATATCCAAATTTTGTACACTTTTAATGCAATTAATTTTATTTCTAATCCTTTAGATTACTAGCAATTGAACACACATTATGTGAAAATCTAGATTACAATAACAAAGTGATTTTTGCCAAAATAAAGAGAAGAGTAAATGTTATAAAACAAACATAAGAATATAAAATATTAGAACACCTGGACATTCATAACGATTAAATTATCTTAAATAGTTTGCCAACTTTTAATCACATACAAATCATAGCTTTACATGTATTTTTCACTACATATGAAGGAATACTTCTTAGGCTGAGAGTATAAAGGTATTTCATTGAACTGTTTGTTAGCTTGTTTTAAAACATTTAAATATTTAGACAAATGGAAATTCCTTGTGGACAAAGGACAGACAGAATGTAAAGTCACCCCTCTGAGGTTCACCTGAGACAATGCATATCGGATGGCTCCCTCTGCCCTATTGTTTATGTAAAAATGAAGATTCACTGAGCATTCACAAAAAAATGCAACCTTTTGTCTCTTACCTGCTGCTAACTGGGAAGCCCCCACTTCGAGTTGTCCCACTTTACTGAACCGAACCAATGTACATCTTACACACATTGATTGATGTCCTGTGTCTCCCTAAAATGTGTAAAAGCAAGCTGTACCCCAACCACCTTGGGCACACGTGGCCAGGATCTCCTGAGGCTGTGTCATGGGTACATCCTTAACCATGGCAAAACAAACTTTCTAAATTCACTGAGACCCATCTCAGATATTTTGGGTTTACAACCCAGCCTCTGTCCTCAAGGAACATACAATCTAGTGGGGATACAGACTTGTCTAAGTAAGCAGGCCATTGTAATTACTGCTGTGATTCAACAATGGAGTGCTATGGGAACATATACAGGGGATAGGGTGTGGTCAGGGAGGACTTCCTGGAAGAAGTTATTTCCAGTCTAAGGCCTGAAGGGTAAGTAGGCATTAACCAAGTGAAGGGAAGGAAGGTGTGAACACGGAGAAAGGACATAAGAAGAGGAGAGGCAGAAGAAATTGTATATGGAGGGTCGGCAAAGTTTTCTACTCAACTTTGTTGTTGTAGCACAAAAGCAGCCACAGATAACCTATCAATGAATGGGGTTGGATGGGTGCCAGTAAAACTTAATTTACAAAACAAAGCAGGGCTGAAGTTGGCAATCTGTCAACTCTTTGAGATATGGGAAGGCCCAGAGTTGAGAGAGAGCACACTTGAGGGGCTAATGGCCAATGAATACGGCTGATGTATAGAGGATGAGGTGGGAGCAGGAAGTGATGAGTCCGGGGAGCTCAGAACAAGGCTGCAGGGAGAAGAGCAGAGGAGTCTGGACACTGAGGCCTGAGAGGTCGCTGCTGTAGGCATCTTGGACTAGGAGAGCAGTGGGCAGGGGAGAAAAGTGAGTGGTTTGGAGATATTCAGTAAATGCCAGTACGGAGGAAGAGAGAGATCAAGGCTAACTCTTTTTTTTTTTTCATTGAGATGGAGTCTCACCCTGTTGCCCAGGCTGGAGTGCAGTGGCACGATCTCGGCTCACTGCAACCTCTGCCTCCCAGCTTCAAGCCATTCTCCTGCCTCAGCCTCCAGAGTAGCTGGGATTACAGGTGCCTGCCACCATGCCTGGCTAACTTTTGTATTTTTAGTAGAGACGGGGTTTCACCGTGTCGGCCAGGCTAGTTTCAAACTTCCGACCTCAAGTGATCCACCCACCTCGACCTCTAAAAGTGCTGGGATTACAGACGTGAGCCACCGCCCTGGCCAAAGGTTAACTCTTTTTTTTTTTTTTTTTGAGATGGAGTCTCGTTCTGTCGCCCAGGCTAGAGTGCAATGGCGCAATCTCGGCTCACTGCAAGCTCTGCCTCCCGGGTTCAAGTGATTCTTTTGCCTCAGCCTCCCAAGTCGCTGGGATTACAGATGCCCACCACCACGCCTGGCTAATTTTTGTATTTTTTAGTAGAGACAGGGTTTCACCATGTTAATCACACTGGTCTCGAACTCCTGACTTCAAGAGATCTGCCCAACTCAGCCTCCCAAAATGCTGGGATTACAGGCGTGAGCCACCATGCCCAGCCTAACTCTTAAATTCACAGCAGGGAGTAGCTAGATGGTGCTGGGGGAAACAGATTTAAGGTGAGGTTTGTGAGTAGGTAGGTGATGGGATCTATTCCCCAACGTGCTCAGTTCAGTGCCTGCCACACACATTTGGCTACGTACATGCAGATATTTTTGTCAGAAATGTGCCTGGCAGTTCCTATGAACGAACAATCTATAAATCCGGTGAAAGTCAGAGGGGAACTGAACATGCAGAGCTAATACCTTTGTAATGACCATCCTAGGAAACGATTGCTATCGACAGATTTTCTCTAGCCTATGGGAACCGCAGGCTTTAGTTGCTCTGGTTTCCTTTTATTCACAACTAATTTAACAACAGCACAAGGACCCAGTATCTGTTGGTAACAACAGCCAACTTGGTCAGGAAAGACAGCTTCATCAAGGCAGCAAATCTGGTCAACCAGATGGGTTGGCACTTCAGACATCACATGTCCCAGTATACAGGATTTGCTGCTGGCTCGGGGTGGGGGTGGGCGGGCGATATTCCTACAGCCCTTCACCCACAGCCACCTCTGGAGCGGCATCCTGTGTGAGATGAGGGTGCACCGGAGTGGGGTCGGGAGCAGGCTCTGAGCACCCCTTGACACACACCTCGCGGGGTTGAGTGAGCTGTAGGCATTGTTGATCTATCAAGCCAGAACCGGGATAGTGTGTGCATGGCAGAAACAACGGAGAGATTCTCGGGATGTGACTATGGGCCTACAGCATTTGTCATCAGTCACTAGTACACTTCGTAGAAGACCTGCCTTAGCACAAATGCTGCTGGAACCGTCTGAGGTGCAGCAGGAAGCAGGTGCTGTGTGGTGCCTCCCAGGGTTCCACCTGCAGCTTCAGACACCTCGTCACCTCACCTGGATGGCGGCCTCCCTCATCCCCTTCTTGCCCCTTCCAATCTGTTATCCTCCAGGCTGTCTGAGTGACCTTTTTAAAATGTAAATTGGATCATGTCACTCCCCTGCTAAAAGCCTTAAATAGCTTCCCATTGCATTTAGGAGAAAATCCAAACCCCACACCATGGCCTACAAGCCTACTGCTCATGTCCAGTTCTTCCTCTCTGGCCTCTCTCCCCTAGATCCCTCTACTCCATCATCATGGCTTTCTCTGGGTCCTCCCAATATCCCAAGCCTCTTCCCACTTTAGGGTCTTTATTGTTCCTTTATTCTAGAAAGCTTTCTGCATTCTCCACCCCTAATGTAGCTGGCTCCTTCTTGCGTTTCAGATTCCACTTAAAAGTCAGCTCCTCAGAGGGGCCTTAACTGATTATTAGGTGTATTAGTTCATTCTCGCAATGCTATAAAGACCTACCTGAGACTGGGTAATTTATAAAGAAAAAAAGGCTTAATTGGTTCTGTGGTTCCACAGGCTGTACAGGAAGCATGACTGGGAAGTCCTCAGGAAACTTACAATCATGGCAAAAGCAGGAAGAAGAAAGCGAAATGAAAGGTGCCACACACTTTTAAAAAACCAGATCTCAGGAGGACTCGCTATTATGAGAACAGCAAGGGAGAAATCCGCCCCCATGATCCCATCACCTCCTACCAGGCCTCTCCTCCAACAATGGGGATTACAATTCATTATGGAGGAGGACACAAATCCAAACCATATTACCAGGCTAGGCTGGATTTTCCTTTCTTATTCTGGCATAGCGCCATGTTCTTTTTTTTCAAATTAAAAAAATGACATGATTTATAAGTTCGCAATTATTTGTGTGTTTGCTTGTTTATTGTCATCTTCCCTTACTAGACTGTAGGTTCCTCAGAGGCAAGACCATAATTAATTTGTTCACTACTATATTCCCAGAGATTAGCATAGTACCTGACATGTATGCTCAATAGATGTTGAGTCAATGAATACATGAGCAAATGAAAATCATTCAACTGATCCATCATTGATGGATCCATTCAAAAGCATATATATATATACACACATAGCTGTGTGCAAATATATAATTTCTGTTCTAGTTATCTAGTGGCTTAAAATAATTTATTATCTCTTATCATTCTGTGTGTTCAGGCTTGCAATTTGGGCAGTTTTCTTGTGATATCTCATATGGTTGTGGACAATGGCTGCTGGGGTTTGGGGCTGGAGGCATCTGAAGTAACAGTCGATGCTGGCTGTCAACCAGGAGCACAGCTGGGCTGTCAACTAGAACGCCTACATATGGACTCTCCGTGTAGCTTGGACTGTGCACAGGCTGGTGGCTAGGTTCTAGTGGGCGTGTCCCAAGAGCAAGAAGTTGTGTCTAGGAGACCCAGACAGAGGCTTCAAGACTTCCTATAATCTAGCCTCACAAGTCACACAATGTCATTTAAGCCTTATTCTATTAGTCACAAGTAAGTCACAAGGCAGCCCAGACTCAAAGGGAGGAAGTTTTGAGAGGTGACGCCAGCTGGACTTCCTGGGTCGAGTGGGGACTTGGAGAACTCTTCTTAGAAGAGGTTTGCAAAATGCACCAATCAGTGCTCTGTAAAAATACACCAATCAGCACCCTGTAGCTAGAGGTTTGTAAAATGGACCAATCAGCAGGACATGGGCAGGGACAAATAAGGGAATAAAAGCTGGCCACACCCCGCCCAGCCAGCGGCCTTAACTGGCTGGGGTCCTCTTCCGCACTGTGGAAGCTTTGTTCTTTCACTCTTTGCAATAAATCTTGCTGCTTCTGCTCACTCTTTGAGTCCGTCCCATCTTTAAGAGCTGTAACACTCACTGCGAAGGTCTGCAGCTCCATTCTTGAAGTCAGCAAGACCACGAACCCACCAGAAGGAACCAACCCTGGACACAGTTGGCAAGGCACAAATACTAACCCTGGAAGGCGTGGTTCACTGGGGCCCGTGATCTTGGACACTAGCTATCAACTATCTCTTAAAGCATGGTTTTGTAGATGGTTCTATTCCTAGTTGAAATTCTTTTGTTTATTTCTTAGGCCAGTGCCCAAACCTATAATTTGTGTCCTTTACTGCAATGACACTTGTGGGTAAAGGTGGAACATGTCTTCCCCAAGTCTTCAGAGGGCTGAAATTTAGTTATTCGATTACCAGTGACTCCAGGGAACTGGTCCACATTTTGGATGGTGACTTTTTGTGGGAGGAGCAGTGGTGAAACTGGGCCGGTGTGTCTGGTCATCATCCAGGAGTCGTGGCGCTCAGCGTTCATTACCGAGAGCAAGTGCTGACCCTGGCCGACACTCACGGCTCTGAAATAACTGGCTTTAAGAGCCAAGCCCGAGGAGAATTTAATTTGGGATAGTTTCAAGGGTAGAAGATGCCAGCCCTGTCTCCGTTTTGCCTTGTAGCTAGTGTTTTTATCCAAATGTGAAAGCTCTCTCTGTCTCCACCTCTCCTGCACTCCCACAAACCGCCCCCACCCCCCAAACCTCTTTCCAAATGTCCTTCCAGCTGCTATTTTCAATTCCGGCCTGAAGGCAAATGTTTCACTGTAGCAGAATTACTGTAAAATTCCTTCCTGTGCTCTCACAGATAATGGAACTCTGGCTCCAGAGAACCTAGGACAATTCCCTAGAGAACTCCAGAAACCTACCACTTCAGAAATCGCCCAAAGGCAATCCCAAAAGACAGATCTAAGGAAACAGAACTATCATGAAAGGTTATCATCAGAGGGACAGGTCAAACAATATGATTATTTTTAATGGCACTGGCGGAATCTAGATATGTTTTGTTTTTTATGTATCAAGTCAGTTTCAAACCACCAAAGACAACTATGGGGCAGAAAATAATGTATGAAATTGGCTGATGGGCCTGTAAACGTACAAACCTGGGATATAAAAAGCACTTCAGTGGGCATTGTATAAACAAGGAGAAAATTGTATCCAAAAACAACCTGCAAAACTGCAGAGGAAGCAGCATCTTTGGAAAACAATGAGTCATAAATCTTTTTTTTCTCCTCTGATGGACAGACAATACAAAATGGGACTAGCATCAATATTGATAAGTGTTTCTACTACACTGCCATTTCAGCATGTCTCAGGAAGTCCTGAGCATGGTCTGTGTGGAGTTTAAGAAGTAAGGAATCCTCAAATTAAACACTTCTGGAAATCTGTGTGTTGTCTGGAAGCAGTGTTCCTGATTTCCAATTCGGTCCCTTCATAAGTCAGCTATCGAAATACACATTTCACTGCAAATTCATTAGTTCAGTACTAAGACAAGTTCAGATGGCCATCTTTATTGGATTCATGGAAAATTATATAAAAAGTTTATTGCATTAGAGAAAAAATAATGCGTCCTTTCTAAGAAAAAGAAGCAAGCTAGAATTAATTTCCTTGAGAATCTAGTTATAAAAGCTGATGACAGCCAAGTGTTCCCTGCAGAATCTCCCAGGGGTAGATGAGCAGAATGGTAGAGACTTAGGACAGCAGATGTATAGGTGTAGGGTAGATTTGGCCTCAGTTCTTCATCTCTCCTTCTTTCCATATCCCTTGCCACGTGACTGCCGCTCATCCCCAAAAGGGAAAAAGTGCATTTTCCTACCCTTTGACTCTGAATTTGGCCATCTGATTTACTTGAGCCAAAGGAACATTCACATATGTAATGCAAATAGAGACTTAAAAAACATTTGCTCAATTGAACATGTACCCTTCCACCTCTGCCACTGCAAAGAGAAGAATGTGTCCAGGTTGGCTGGCTGGTCACAGGAGGGGAAGAGAGACACACAGAGTAGAGTTGCCCGGCCAGACTCAGTATAGAAGAGAGCTCCAGCTGACAATAGATGCATGGAGCAATCCTAGCCTAGATCAGCCAAACCCCTTGTTATACAATAATTAACCAATAGAGGTGTTATGGGATCATGTTGACTCCCCAGATCATTCCATAACCTCAGAATAGCTCTAATATAAGGGTTAATAACCACATGAATCTACAGAGACATTAGTGGACATTTGCATTATGGGTCCACTGTTCCTATCCAAAAACCGCAGAAAGCCTTCTCCATTCTAAGGAAAGATCCTGAGATTTTTTCCTGAAAACTCTCACCGTGGTTTGAGTTACTCCAGAAGTTAACTCAGATGAGGGCTGGGTGCAGTGGCTCACGCCTGTAATCCCAGCACTTTGGGAGGCTGAGGTGGGTGGACCACTTGAGGTCAGGAGTTCAAGACCAGCCTGCCCGACATGTGAAACCCTGTCTCTATTAAAAATACAAAAACGGGCAGGGCGTGGTGACTCAAGCCTGTAATTCTAGCACTTTGGGAGGCCAAGGCGAGCAGATCACAAGGTCAGGAGTTCAAGACCAGCCTGACCAATATGGTGAAACCCCATCTCTACTAAAAATACAAAAATTAGCCAGACGTGGTGGTGCGCACATGTAGTCCCAGCTACCCGGGAGGCTGAGGCAGGAGAATTGCTTGAACTCAGGAGGCAGAGGTTGCAGTGAGCCGAGATCGCACCATTGCACTCCAACCTGGGCGACAGAGCGAGACTCCATCTCAAAAAAAAAAAAAACAAAAACAAAAATCAGTCGTGCATGGTGGCACGTTCCCGTAGTCCCAGCTACTCAGAATGCTGAGGCAGGAGAATCACTTGAACCTGGGAGGTAGCGGCTGCAGTAAGTCAAGATCACATCATTGCATTCCAGCCTGGGTGACACAGCAAGGCTCTGTCTCAAAAAAAAAAAAAAAAAAAAAGAAGTTAACTCAGATGAGGAATCAAGTGCAAGTAGTTTAAGTGATGTAAGTACGGAAGCACATGATAGAAGGGAAGGAAAGCAGACGGTACAGGAGGTGCTACCAAGCTAGCCACAGCTATGGACAACTGGAGATCAATCCCACTGCGGGAGTCTGAGCACCAGTGTGGAATATACTCAGAACAGGCTCCTCTGAGGGATGGGGAGCTCTGGTATTTCTTTAATCCTGCCAGTCATTGACTAAGGGCTGCCCTAGGGGGAATGATCTCCGGGCATTTCCAGGGTGCCACACTAGCAGCGGCCAGAGAGCACCCTCAGGCAGGGAAATGCAGGTTCTTGCAATGGGAAGTCTCACATTCTACAGCAGAAGTGGTAAGGCAAAGGGATACGTGCAGAGCACTGGCAGCACTTGCTACAACCCTGCTGTGGTGTAACCTCAGCTTGGGGAGCATGAAATCCTGGCAGCTTGGATGCCAGGCAGGACACGCACATACAGGTCAGATCTTTGGATCAGTGGGATACTATGTGTCCTGACAAGAGCCATGAGCTCTTCCATGCCAACTTCCTTTTATACATTTGCACATTTTCCTGTAGCTTCCCCAGTCCTTTCTCATATCCTCATACCACTGTTTATGGTGTCCACCCCACTGGGGTGAAAATGGGTGACAACAGCCATGACTGGCTCTTGTTGCAGCTGCCCACCATCTGACAATTTAGTTCCATCTGGTCCGTGAAGCAAGTAATGCTCTCCGTGAAATTAGAGACACAGGGCCTGCAATCTCACACACAAACGCAGGTCAGGCTTCCCTCTGAAAGGTACAACATCCAGTGTGAGTACAGTCAGACCTAACTCCACACAGTAGCTGTGGGTTTAAAAAGCTATGTATTTTCATCAGTGCTCCTCAAACTTTTTCATCAAACTTCCATTATCAGTGGGAGAAGGTAGATCATGTATTCCTGCTTGTAGCTCAAAGTGGGATTATTTGAGTATAAAAATGTTTTATTCAACATGGACATGGAGTTTTTGTCTACCAGCATCCTTTTCTAGAAGGAAAACACAGTCCCCCTCACTGCATCCTTGCTGTGGGGCTGTCATTTATAATTGCTTTGGATCCTTGGTCACAGGGCTGGGCTGTAGATAGGCAAGGTCAAGCATGGTATTCCATGGGCACCTGCCTCCAGCAGGGCCAACTGAAGTCTCGTATTATATTATATTATATTATATTATATTAATTTAGAGACAGAGTCTTGCTCTGTGACCCAGGCTGGCGTGCAATAGTGGGATCTCGGCTTACTGCAACCTCCATCTCCCAGGTTCAAGCCATTCTCCTGCCTCGCCTCCTGAGTAGCTGGGATTACAGACACCCGCCACCACACCTGGATAATTTTTGTATTTTTAGTAGAGATGGGGTTTCACCATGTTGGCCAGGCTGGTCTCAAACTCCTGACCTCAGGTGATCTGCCCTCCTCGGCCTCCCAAAGTGCTGGGATTACAAGTGTGAGCCACCACACTCAACCTGAAGTATCTTTTTTAAAATTGGTGTATAAATATGAAGAGAAAGAAGTTATTTCTCTTCTGTGGGTGGCTAAGCAAAGAGAATAAGGACTGGAGTTGCCAGCAGTCAGTTTAACTGTAACTTGGAGAAAGCCTCCACACAGAATGAGGCCAAGCAGAGCAGAAAGATGGAAAGAGCTACAGCTCTGACAACATCATTGGAACACCTAGATCCAGCCATACCTGAAGCTTCATGGGCTTCCCAGACAAGTGAACCCCTCCAAAAAGATGGGTGGTGGGGGGTGGTGGGCGGCAGTTGCTTAAGTTAATTCATTTGTAATTGGAAGCTTTATAAAGTGGTTGATAAGGCTGACATTCCAGAAAAAAAGGACCTTGTTTACCCTGTGGCTTCATATTTCCCCAGCACATATACCCTAGGAAAATATGAGGCTGGATTTAGAATCACGACCTCACATCTTTATTTCAGAGATGCTTTAATTGCACCTTTGACTATTCTTCATATCAGCATAGATTCTGAATACTTTTGGTCTAAATTTCCCTGGCCCCTCCCCAACCTGAGCCTCCCCAGCTACCTGCTCCTCCACTGTTCCCTGTGGTACCTAAAGGTCTGCTCCCATCCTCCTTGGGTCCCCTGCTCTCCACTTGACGTGGCTCTGTGCTCAGGCACCCTTCTTCCCCGCCTCCCCCATCCCTACCTTGGAAAGTAAAACCCATGAGATGTTAGCCACTGAGGAGAGAAGCTTGGAACAGATTTCTGGGGTCAAACCAGAGAGGACTATACCAAGGTGGCATGCCATTGCCAGAGTGGACTGGGAAGACTCCCTGCTGTTGAAGCAGTGAGTTTGGCTTTTAGGAACAGAGGGCAAAGGCAGGGTCCCAAGCCTAACACAACAACCACAGAATACTCCTCTCTTATTAAGAAACTATGTGCCGGGCGCAGTGGCTCACACTTGTAATCCTAGTAGCATTTTGGGAGACCAAGGCGGGTGGATCACCTGAGGTCAGGAGTTCGAGACCAGCCTGAGCAACATGGTGAAAACCTGTCTCTATTATAAATACAAAAAAAATTAGCTGGGCATGGTGGTGGGCACCTGTAATCCCAGCTACTCGGGAGGCTGAGGCTGGAGAATCGCTTGAACCTGGGAGGCGAAGGTTGCAGTGAGCCAAGATTGTACCATTGCACTCCAACCTGGGCAACAGGAACGAAACTGCATCTAAAAAAAAAAAAAAAAGAAAGAGAAAAGAAAAAGACACTATGGTACGTGTAGCACTAACATGCTCCCTAAGCACACAAAAGAAGTAGCAGACAGGCCCTACTTTCCAGGCAATTTTAATTTAGCCAAAGGATAAAGTAAAAATGTAGAGAACCGTCACAAGGTAAAATAGAACCGAGTGCCTGGCAGAGCAGGAAAAAGGGTATGAGTAATCAGCAGATGAGGTAGAAGGGCTGAGTGAGGTGAGTTAGCAGGAGAGGGACTCTCGGAGGAAATGAATCTTGAGCCAGGCCCTGAAGGAAGTCATTGACAAATGTAAACTCTCCAGCGGGCCACAGAGGAAGAGGCTGGGCTGTCTGCAGGAGTTGTGTAACTCACATATGCTCTGACCTGTTTGTCTGTGAAGACTCAGACCAGCTCTGAAGCTATTTAGCCTTGATCTCTAAGTCTACACAAAACCACTGTCTTGGTTAAAGAAATGTAGTATGTTTGGCACAAGGCACACCCTATAGATGATGTCATGTCTATAGATCAAAGCCAGGCTAATGTCACCAGGCAAGGGAAGAAGACTTGGAAAACACAGTCTGTATTATGCTTTTTCTTTTTTTAGCCTTCTGTTTCCAAGGTTAGTTTTTAGGGTGAAGATTTTCATCTTGATTACAGCTCTTGGTAAATGAAGGTCATTTTTAAAGTCTGATTCCTGGAAGTGAAATGTAGAATTTATGGAAACACAAATTCTTGATATGTTAATTGTGCTAATTGAAATAGAGGGCCTCTTTAAAACAACAACAACAAAAAAGAAAACAACACAAAAATCTTTTTGCCTTAGGAGCAGAAAGTGAATGAGAGACATAATAATGGAGTTTGCAGATTGTTCTTTCCTTGCAAGAGACATCAGCTGAAACACAGTCTTTAGCCATAATGAAAACACATTTTTAAGTTCCTTGCTTATTCTGGCAAGATAAAAACAAGTTGTCATGAAACCACTTCTGTCAAGACTAGAAGCTTTGGCCTTATCGCCATTGTTAAAGGCAATCCAAGAAATACTATTTAAGGCTAATTTTGTTGCCCTTTTGAAGAGACTTTTGAAATCATAAAAAAAGAGTCCAGACAATAAGCTGGATAGGAAGGACAAGTTCCTCCTTGGCAGCCAGTGTCGAATTACACTGTCCCCTGTCTGTGGATAAAACAGAATTGTGCTCTTCAGACTGCCAACCCCTTACTTGACAACCACTACAAAAAGTTAACAATAAATGAAACTGACAGCCCACTTCACCAGATTGGGAGTACATCTGAACTTCTACGGCAAGACAGCTGGACTTGAGTTCATTTCCCTGGAGGCTGGGCTACAGCAATACCTAATGAAAACAATGATGGACATATATTTATTTCCAAGGCATTTGTAGCCTGCACCCTGGTTCCAGTCTTATCGCAGAAGCTGGATCAATTTTCACATCTTTTCACTAAATGGATGGGATGTGAAATTACTCCTATTGACAATAAGCATTCTCAAGGGCTGTGGTAATTGTGTAGCCCAGCACAGCAGAAAAGAGGTGCTAACAAAAGCACATAGACAATTGGTTACCATCAATTTCCTGTGGCATTGGTACATGTGAGTAAGGCAGTTAAAAAAAAAAAATGCGGTCCTGGGTAAAGCCTATACCTTCTCCATCAGTAGCAAATCCAACCAGCAGAATGCAGGTGGCAGGTGATTTCTCCCCCAGCAATCTCTGAAAAGTGTGCGGTACCAAATCTAATCACAGCCAGGATTTGTAGACTGAGAAACCAAGGGCCTAACCTTCTGCCTGGTCATTTCTGCATATCGCCTCCCCCTGCCCCCATCGCACTCCATTCCTCCCATCTTTTATGCTACCCCATTTGTGAGATGAGTGCCAAATGACCTCTTTGACAATGGACCAGAGTGGACAGCTTCATTTTCATTCCCATCTTTAAAGGTTTGACCTATGTGAGATGCTTGGATTAGAAACAGCTCCTGGCTCCTGCCTTCTTATTGGTTTTGTCTCAAATGCACTGGCCTATATATATATCAGGAACAAAGAATGAAGACAAAAGTAAGCCCATTGGTGAGGTGAGTTAGGACCCAGGCAGAGAGCCTGATGGAGTATGTAAATGAAATATACTGCCCTTGGTCTCCAGATCTCAGATTGTCTTGCAGATACCAAAAGCTGATCCAGCACTAATGAAACATCATTCTTAGGAAGGTGCCCATAAGGTCAATTTCTTCACCATTATACAAATGATTTATTTCCTCTAAAATAGTCCATCTAATTCAACCAAAAGTAAATTTAATAAAAAGCACTTTATATGCTTGCATAAATATAACTTAAGTAGGAAGTTGCTATTTTGACAGCTTGACAATAAAGGTAGAAGCAATGGGAAAACAATTTTCATGAACCGTATAGATACTGAATTTACAATGTTACGAGATCAGGTCCACCTTTTGAAAATTCTGGTTCGGTTTGGAGCTGTCAATCAGTCAACAAAAGGGCACATTTCTTTCATGCCTTTGTCTGCCTGAAGTTAAAAAATAAAATAAAATGTTTCTGTCCAGGTTTTCTATCAAAGAATTTCCTTTTTGCAGTCCTGGAAAAACCAGATAGAAGAAGGAAACCATTTACTGAGTGTCAGCCATTATGTTAGGTATTTTATATACAGTATATATTTCACAAATGTTATCTAATTTAATTTTTATAATACTGAGGAATTATTCAACCCCAGGGTATCTGGCCTCTGAGCTTGGGCCCCTCCCTCTCTATGCTATTATGATACACTGTTTGCCAATTTTCAGAGAAATAGAGTACAATAAAATTTACTTGGCAGTAATGAAAACAATTTATTCTATTGTGATCAAAAAGACACTTTACCTCAAGTTTTATTTATCTAAATAGCAACTATCATGGCTTAGTTTTATTACTTGTACATCCATTGTAGTTAAAAGATGGGTGTTAGGCTGAATCTTTACTGATCCTGTTATTTTCTAATATCAAATTATTTATTTAATACCTTTTCTAATAAAATGAGAGGGTAGGGCCAGGCGCAATGGCTCATGCCTCTAATCCCAGCACTTTGGGAGGCCGAGGTGGGCAGATCACCTGAGGTCAGGATTTTGAGACCAGCCTGGCCAACATGGTGAAGCCCTGTCTCTACTAAAAATACAAAAATTAGCCAGCCATGGTGGCATGCATCTGTAATCCTAGCTACTTGGGAGGCTGAGGCAGAAGAATCACTTGAACCCAGGAGGTGGAGGTTGCAGTGAGCCGAGATCGCACCACTGTACTCCAGCCTGGGCAACAGAGTGAGACTCTTGTCTCAAAAAATAAATAAATACATAAATAAATAAATAAATAAATAAAATGAGAGGGCAGAAAAAAATGGTGGTTACTTGAATCTTTTTGGTTGTATGGATTGTGTGTAGTATTTGGTATTATTTACTTATTTGTGTAGGTCCATTGTAGCATATTCCCAACCTTTGGGCTTGGGACTTTAAGCAAAATAAAATTAAAGGCCTTAATTCTCCTAAACAAATATTTTGGTTTTTATTTAATGGTAAAATTAGATAACATTAACAATATGAACAGGCTCAAGAAGGGTTGAGATAAATTTATATACCAACCCCGTCATTGTGTGAGGGCTGCTTCAGAGCTGAGTTGGGTGGTCATGTCCCAGCGCTTCTGCCTTCCACATGGGTAGGTTCAAGAAGGGTTGAAATAAATGTATGGAACTCGACTGCCTAATAATAGATTAAGAGAAATTAAGGAATTGGGAATGTATTCTAATTTCAGAGAGCAATGCCGTAGAAAACCACCACCCTTCTCCATAGAATATTACTTGAAGAGTATTAAGAGAAACACTGCATTTTTCATGCATTTCTCAAGTTTATTTCCAACAGCTTTCCTTCAAAACTCATTTTGCTTCATCACTATCTAATCTCCTAATTTTATCAGCATTTTCTAAACCTCCCAGGAGAAAAATCTGAGAATAGCACTTTCCAATAATGGGTTCTTTAAAATACTAAGGTCTGTGATATGCTAATAAGGTTCTGCCAAATAAAGAATCTCTTTAGGGAATACTAGATTAAAGAAAATCACACAGGTTTCACTTCTAGTAAAGGCCAAGTAACTCATGTTAGACCAACCCTTCTGTAGACAAAGACTAAATTCTTGAGAAAATATACTCTCAAAAAATACAGACAACTATTTGAAGTTACTAAAAAATGATCAAAAATGGGCTGTAATACTGAAGAAGGGAATGGCATTGGATGAATTTCCCATTTTTACAGCTTTTGGTCCTAGAACAGGCTCTACAGAGAGCTGTTCCAGGAAGAATGGTTAAAACTCAAATAGAAGCTCAGTGTTACTTGGAGAACTAGAAACACAGCTCTGGATAACTACAGCAGCTAGCAAGTGGGGGACATCTCAGAAAGGAGAGAACCAGAAAGGAGGAGGCCCAAATTCTATGCATAAATCTCTGGCTGACATCTGAACCATGCATGCATGGAACAGATTCCAAGAAGCCCAGCTAAAAATAAATTAACTGAGATTTTAGTGATGTCTTTCTCCAGGAAGACAGAGTTTGCAGTGTGAGTTCAGCCAGGTTAACTTTCTGCTAAAACAAAAACGGAAATCTCTTTAAAGGAACATCATAAAATTCAGAATGTCTATACCATATCATTCACATTGTCCAGAATGCAATCCAAAATTACTCAGCATACAAAGAAATCAGAAAATGTGACTCCTACAAGAGAAAAGATAATCAACAAAGACCGACACCTAGAGGACCCCAATATTGGAATTAGCCGACAAGGATTTTAAAGTAGCTATTATAACTATGCTCAACAATGTAAAGGAAAATATGCTTATAATGAATTTGACCACAGAACATTAAAGAACATCTCTATGGAACACAGTTTGAGAAATGCCACCCTAGAGATTCAAATGAAGCTACCTGCAATTAGACTACAAACAAAAGACCCATAGTTTTGGGTTGACTCTGATATTGAGTCAATATTCAGTAGGGCAAATACAATTCTCAGTTATGAGTCAGAGAAAAAACATACATTATTTGCTTTGTGCCAGATAACATCATTTCACAAAATAGGCTTTGTTATTTTTGATTTAATATAAAGTCTGGGTTTAGAAAAGTTAAATTAATTATTTGCTCAAGGTTACTCAATTAGTAAGTATAGACTGGGATTCAAACTCAGTTTTGTCAGACTACAAAGCCCACACTCTTCATTCTGTTCTATTCCCTTGCTGCTGAAAGTGTGGTGTGTGGACAAGCAGCAGCAGAATTGGCCTGAGAACTTGTTAAGAATGCAGAATCTCAGATCCTGGTGAAGACCTACTAAATCAGAACCTGCATTTAACCATGTGTGTAATTGCCATGCACATTGTATTAGTCTGTCTTCATGCTGCTGATAGAGAGATACCCGAAACTGGGCAATTTACAAAAGAAAGATGTTTAATGGACTCACAGTTCCACGTGGCTGGGGAGGCCTCACAATCATGTTGGAAGGTGAAAGGCTTGTCTCACATGGCGGCAGACAAGAGAAGAGAGCTTGTGCAGGAAAACTACGGTTTATAAAACCATCAGATCTCGTGAGACTTACTATCACAAGAACAGCACAGGAAAGATCCATTTCCATGATTCAATTACCTCCCACCAAGTCCTTCCCACAACGTGTGGGAATTGTGGGAGCTACAATTCACAATGAGATTTGGGTGGGGACACAGCCAAACCATATCACACATTAACGTTTGATAAGAATGAGTTTATTTTAATCAGATAAGAGTTATTAATCAGCTAAAATTAATCAGATAAGTTATTAATCAGATATTAATCAGATAAGATTATTTAATAAGAGTTTATTAAATAATCAGAGTTTGAGAAGCATTGGTCTATACCAGTGGTTTGCAGTGTAATCCCTGGGACCAGCTTCAGCATCACCTGGGACTTGTTAGAAATGCAAATTCTTGGGCCTAATCCCAGAACTATGGAATCAGAAAAATCTGTGTTTTAACAGGCACTTCAGGTGATGCTAATGCCTATTAAAGTCTGAGAACCACTGGCCTACTCCATGCGGCCTCACATGAAAAAGTAACTGAACCTAGCTAGAAGAGGAAGTGAGTGAAAGGCAAAAGTGAGTGAAAATTGGATTTTGACAAAAATAAACCAAGACCCAATAGGGTAAAGTTTCAAGTAATAGCCTATGTGAAGAAAAGCATACAATTTGACTAAGAGACATAAAAGATGACAAATCTAAAATGGCAATGCTTTACAAATTAACATACCCACTTAATGTAAGTTGAATTACTATCCAAGTGAGGAGCTTGATAAAGAAATCGTAAAGTTCATACAAAAGAATAAATAAGCAAAAACAACCAATAATTTTTTTAAAAAGAAGGTAAGTGGGGGAGGCTAACTCTACTAGAAAAGTATGCTAAAAGAGCTACAATAAACAAAGCACGAGAATCTGTAACTAGATTAACAAAATAGATTATGTGTCTTCTAACATAGTAATTTTCAAAAAGAAGGGCTTTTTTCAACAATGCACGCCATCCGCTGGAAATTTTGTTAAGCCTCCCTTTAGGATCAAACTCTCCAGTTACAAATCCTTGCATATTGTTATTTTGAGTTTTGTGGAGGTAGCAAAAATAGTAAGATCCACTTCCCCACAGTATATAAGAATTTAGCATATGATTAAAAGGACATCTCAAATTAATAGAAGTATAGAATATTTAATAATTCATACTGAGGGAAATGATTATTCTGGGAAAAATTAAGTTAGTGTCTCCCATCAGAATTTTTACCACATACATTTCAGAACATTTTAAAGTAGTATAAAAACACACAACAGGGCCGGGCACGGTGGCTGACGCCTGTAATCCCAGCACTTTGGGAGGCCGAGGCAGGCGGATCACGAGGTCAGGAGATCGAGACCACGGTGAAACCTCCTCTCTACTAAAAATACAAAAAATTAGCCGGGCACGGTGGCGAGTGCCTGTAGTCCCAGCTACTCAGGAGGCTGAGGGAGGAGAATGGCGTGAACCTGGGAGGCGGAGCTTGCAGTGAGCTGAGATCGCGCCACTGCACTACACTCCAACCTGGGTGACAGAGCGAGACTCCGTCTCAAAAAAAAAAAAAAACAAAAGGAAATACAGATTTAACCACATACAATTTTTACTTCTTCTTCTTTTTTTTTTTCTTTGAGACTGAGTCTCACTCTGTCGCCCAGGCTGGAGTGCAGTGGCACAATCTCGGCTCATTGCAACCTCCACCTCCTGAGTTCGAGCAGTTCTCCTGTCTCAACCTCCTGAGTAGCTGGGACTACAGGCGCACACCACCACGCCCGGCTAATTTTTGTATTTTTAGCAGAGACGAGGTTTTACCATATTGGTCAGTCTGGCCTCGAACTCCTGACCTCAGGTGATCCACCTGCCTCGGCCTCCCAAATTGCTGGGATTACAGGCATGAGCCACTGCTCCCAGCCTAAAATTTTAACTTCTATCTTTCAAAAAATGACAACATTTAAAAGGCAATAATAAATTATACAAAAAAGTGACAATTATGATAGAGAAAAAGTTAACAACCTTAATGTTTAAAGCAGTTTTACAAATCAATGACAAAATCACTGAAGTCCCAATTTTAAAAGTGAGCAAAGAACACAAACAAATTGTGGAATAAGAATACAAATGTTAATATTCATATTTTAAAGTACAAACTTATTGATAATTGCAAATTAAAATACATGCTTTTAATTCAAATTTGGTGGTTTAAATTTGGTTAAGATTTTACCAGGCAATATATGCATACTGGTATGCTTGTATATGGAGTGGCAAAGTAGAAGAACTATTCTAGAAAGCTAGCTGGCAATGACTTCATCCAGTAATTCCACCCACAGAAATTAATCCTAAACAAATAATCAGAGTTTATTGAATAAAATCAAGCAAAAAATTAGAAATAATATAATGATCATAACTGGAAAAATAACTAAATATATGATGGCAGATTCAGTATATATATAGATGTATTTGATTTTTTTGAGACAGGTTCTTGCTGTGTCATCCAGGCTGGAGTGCAGTGGAGCAATCATGGCTCACTGCAGCCTCAACCTCCTGGGTTCAGGTGATCCTCCCACCTCAACTTTCTGAGTAGCTGGCACTACAGGTACATGCCACCCTGCCCAGCTAAATTTTTAAAAATTTTTTGTAGAGATGAGGTCTCCCTATGCTGCCCAGGCTGATCTTGAATTCCTAGGCTCAAGTGATCCTCCTGCCTTGGCCTCCCAAAGTGCTGAGATTACAGGAATGTATTCTCATACTGTTATAAAAGTACTACCCGAGACTGGGTAATTTATTGTAAGGAAAAGAGATTTAATTGACTCACAGTTCCACATGGCCATGGAAGCCTCAGGAAACTTACCAGCATGGCAGAAGGGGAAGGGGAACAATGACCTCTTTCACATGACAGCAGGAGAGAGATGAGTGAGGAGCAAAGAGGGAAGATCCCCTTATAAAACCATCAGATCTCGTGAGAACTCATTTTCTATCACGAGAAAAGCCTGGGGAAAACTGCCCCCATGATCCAATCACCTCCCACCTGGTCCCTCACTCGACTCGTAGGGATTATGGAGATTACAATTTGAAATGAGATTTGAGGGGAGGACACAGAGTCAAACCATATCAAGGCATGAACCACCATGCCCAGCCTAAATATAATATATGGTTATTAAAGTTATGCTTCCAAAGAAAATTTAATGATATAAAACCATTTCAGTATAATAGAAAAGGTTTAAAAGGCAAGATACAAAATTACATACAATAGAGTTTCAGGGGCTGGGTGCGGTGGCTCAAGCCTGTAATCCCAGCACTTTGGGAGGCTAAGGTGGGTGGCCCACCCCAGGTCAGGAGTTCGAGATCAGCCTGTCCAACGTGGTGAAAGCCTGCCTCTACTAAAAATACAAAAATTAGCCGGACGTGGTGGTGGACGCCTGTAATCCCAGCTACTCAGGAGGCTGAGACAGGAGAATCACTTGAACCTGGGAGGCAGAGGTTGCAGTGAGCCGGGATCACGTCACTGCACTCCAGGCTGGGTGACAGAGCAAGACTCTGTCTCAAAAAAAAAAAAAAAAAAAAAGAAAAGAAAAGAAAAGAAAAAAACAACCAAAAAGAAGAATTTCAATTTTGTACCAAGTAAAAATAAGCTAAAATATTAAAGGTGATTTTCTCTGAATAGTGAGATCAGGATGATCTTAATTTTGTTCTTTAAAATTTCCTGTTTATTCCAGTAAACATTAATTACATTTATAATGAGGATTAAAAAGCTTTTTCTTTTTTTTTAGTGAAATAGTATGAAGGGTGTGTTAGTCTGTTTGGGCTGCTATAACAAAAGACTGTAGATGAGGTGGCTTGTAAGCCACAGACCTTTATTTCTCACAGTTCTGGAGGCTGGGAAGTCTAAGATCAAAGTACTGGAAGATTCCCTGTCTGATGAAGCCCCACTTTCTCTAGGCAGCTGTCTTCTCACTTTAACCTCATATGGCAGAAGGGACGGTGGGTTTCTCTGAGACCTCTTTTGTAAGGGCACTCATCCCACTTGTGAAGGGTCTTCCCTCATGACCTTATCACCTTCCAAAGGCTCCAACCCCTTAATTCCATTACCTTGGAGGTGAGGATTTCAATATATAAATTTGGAGGAAACATAATAATTCAGATCATAGCAAAAGGGGTTCATGAAAACTCATTTTCTCTCTACCACGAATGCCAGCACAAAAATAGTGCTATTTCTTATGGAAACAATCGATTAAAAGGCATTTATTATGCCAACCACTGTGTCATATGCTACTAAGAGCAAAAAAAATAAAAAATAAAAAATAAAAAGTAGGTCCACATTCTCTGGCACCAATTAGCTAACAACCCAGATGAATAACATCTCTTGGGTCTCTATTTTATGTATGCATATGTGATGAGAACTACACAAACAAGCAAGCCCCCAAAATCCCCCAGAAAATGAATTTGTCACTAATGTAATTGGTGCCATAGTCTTGCTCCCATTATTGCAAATCTCAGAATTCTTATCTTAATCACCACTCCCTCTTGACTGTTAAGCCCCTGTTGTACCCTCCTCATTTTTTTCTGTTGTTTGACATCAATTCTGTCTACTCCCTCCAGACAGATCTCTAGCCACACTATTCCCAAATATATGGGCAATTCCCAAATACATGAGCAATCATCAAACTGTGAAGGGGCTGAGACTTCTTCATACTTGTAAGCAAGTTAGTCTGTTACAGTTTCAGGGATGCTGGCAGAGGACACAAGACTCTTGGGTTGGAGACAACGGACTTTATTACTCATGACACGTTAAGTTTCATGAGCTTAGTGATTGCATCAGTTCCTTTTGCATCTGAAGTCTCACAGGAGTAACACCGAGGGGTTCTGGTGGATGCTGTGCACAAAGTAGAGTTTCATCAAAGCTGAGGCGCCTTGAGTTTAGGGAACACAAATTTTCTGTAATGGGCTGCAAGCAAACCTACCCAACCTTTGCCCTGGAGGGAGACAGTATATTATTATACTCAACAGTAAACAAATCTCCAGCAGGGGATTCAAACTCTATCTTTCAAGGCTCTTGACTATACAAATATCTTTGAAAAGACAATCTGGGACAACTATATGTGGCTCTGCTCACAAGATAGACAGAAACATGGGAGACCCACAGGGAATTATCTCACAGCACCTTTCCCAACATTTTTGGTAACTTTGTATTTTGATACAATTTTAAACTTACAGAAACGTTGCAGGAATAGTGCAAGGAACTCGCTTATACCCTTGTGTTTGCCAGTTACATTTTGCCCCGTTTGCTTCTCTCTCCTTCTTCCTCTTTCTCCCCTTCCTCCCTCTCTCTGACTGCATTTATGCAATATGTCCTCACGATTAGATTCAGGTTCTGCATTTTTGGCAGAATGCCACTGAAGTGATGCTGCGCCCTTGTCAGTGCACTGTATCATGACACACATGATGGAGGTTTGTCCCAATGTTGGTGATGTTACATTTGATCACATGGTTATAGCGGTGTCTGCCCAGTTTCTCCACTGTAGAGTTACTATTTTTCTCTTTGTAATTAATACGTAATTTATTAGGAGATATTTTGAGAGTATTTAAATATGCTATTCCCCATCAAAAATTCACCCATGAGTTTTAACATCCATTGATGATTATCTAACTCCACCATTCCTTCTATACTATCGGTTGGCTTGCTACTATAAAGAAGAGCTTTCTCTTCTCCCTATTTATTTATTCCTTTATTTACATCAGTATCAACTCATAGAGCCTTATTTTATTGAATAGATTATAACCTATTAGTATTATTATTTATTATGATGCTCAAATTGTCCCATATTTGGCCACTGGGAGCTCCTTCAAGCACTCTCTGGTGTACAAGATGTTCCAGGCTCATTTGTATATTCCTTATTCTAGCCCTGGAGTCAGTCTTTTCTCCAGTGGTTGGTTCCTTTTGGTGGAAAATAGTATTTGGAACCGAAGATCTTAGCTCTAAATGTGCTCATGGCCTCTGGCGTGTATTGTTTATAGGCTCTCACAGCAAACACACACGTGCTTGCACACGTATACACAAAATCATGAGTTCATATTGATGTTTCCAGTGTGAAATTCCGAACCAACACTGCAGGGTGCATCTTTTCCATATTAATTCTGCCCTCTATAGTGAGAAACCTGGATCCCATTATCCTGAATATCTTTACTCATTTACAATACATAGAAAAAAGTTTCAGAACTTCTGATCAGTACCACTGTGAAAAGCAAACCTTCAAAATTGTTTCTTTTATAAGGTAACATTTATATGCAGTGAAATACACAAATCTTAACTACACAATTCAATGAGTTTTGAAAAATGTACACATCTATGAGATTTAGAACACTTCCATCATCTTGGAAAGTTCCAGTAGGTCTCTTCCCAGTCCATCCTATTGCCTTTCAGATTACTACCTTCTCATTTTTGCACCATAGATTACTTGTGCATGTTTTAGAGTTTCACATAAATGGAGCCATATAATATATAGTCTTTTGTGTCAGGCTTATGTGCCCAGAATGTGTGAAAGATGCATCCGTGATTTTGCATGTATCAGTAATTTGTTCCATTTTATTGTTCAGTGTTCTTCCATTGCGTGAATATACCAAAGTATTAAAAATCCATTCTCCTATTGATGGATAATTGGACTGTGCTATGATTTGAATGTCCCCTTCAAAATTCATTTTGAAATGTAATTGCCATTGTGATGGTATTAAGAAGTGGGACTGTTAAGAGGTGATTAGGCCATGAGGGCAGAGGGTGGACATGATGGATTAATGCCATTATCTCAGCAGTGGGTTCGTTATCACAAGGGTGGGTTGCTACAAAAGTGAGTTTAGCCCTCTCTTGCTCGCTTGCTCTCTTTCCCTTCTGCTTCTGCCATAGGATGATGGAGCACAAAGGCCCTTGTCAGATACTGGCACCATGCTCTGGGATTTCTCAGCCTCCAGAATCATGAGCCAAATAAATTTCTGTTCATAATCAATTACCCAGTCTCAGGTATTCTATTATAGCAGCATAAAACAGACTAAGAGTCTGGTTCCAGCTCTTGGCTATTAGGAATAAAGCTGCTATAAATATCCTTGTGCAAGACTTTTGTGGACATCCACTTTCATTTCTGTTGGGCAAATACCTAGGTGTGGAATTGGAAACTAAGGCCATAGGGCAGGTGCACGTTCAAATTTATGAGAAACTACTACTGTTTTCCAAAGTGGTTGTACCATTTCACACTTCTATCAACAATGTATGAGAGTTCCAGTTGCTTCTGCAGGAGCAGAAAATCTCTACCCCCATCCTCTTAGGGTCCCTGTTGGGTCTGAGAATTAAACTGACTTAAGATGGATAAAGAGGAGAAAGGCATAATAAAAGTTTTATGTGGCACAAGAGTCCTCAGAAAGAAACAAAGACCTGAGGAAGAAGTTAGAGTCAGTTACTTATCTACTGAACTGGACAATAGTTAGTTGTGAAGAAGCAACTAAATTATGTGGGGAGGGTTAAATGATAAGAGTTATTTTGACAAGGTCTGTACAGAATTCTCTTGGTCTCTACTTCTTGTCCTTGAAGATAAGGCTGTTGCCTCTTCTCCTAGAATAGGGAGGGCATCTTCACACAGGAATTTCATCTTCTGCTTTTAAGAAACAGCATGAAGGTCAAAGTGATTTTTTTTCTTTTTTGCATCTGCTATTTTTCAAGTGCCTTTAGCTTAAATAGTTAATATGCCAGGGTAATATATTTTTAACTCTTTCACTCCATATCCTTGCCAAAATTTTGTGTTTGTAATTTTAGCCATCCTAGTAGTTGTGTAGAGATAGCCTGCTGTGGTTCTAATTTGTGTTTCCCTGATAATTAATGATGTTGAACACTTTAAAAAAATATCCTTATGGCCATCTGGATGGCTTCCTTTTGGAAGTGCCTGTTCAAATCTTTTAAAGATTTTTTTTTTAAAAACAGCTTTATTGAGATATAATTCAATTACCACACAATTCACCCATTTAAAGTGTACACTTCGAAGGCTTTTGGTATATTCACAGAGTTGTATATCCATTATTACAATCAACGTTGGAACATTTTCATCACTCCAAAAGAAACCCTGTACTCCGTAGCCATTGCCCCACAAACCCTTCATCATCCTCACCCCTAAGCAACCACAATTCTATTTTCTGTCTCTATATACTTGCCCATTCTGGACATTTCAAAAAATAGAATCGTACAATATGTGGTCCTTTGTGGCTGGCTTCTTTCATTTAGCATAAAGTTTCCAAGGTTCATCCAGATTGTAGTATGTATCAGCATTTAATTTCTTTCTTGCCAAATATTTAATTAAACAGATATAATTTTATTTATCCATTCATCAGTCGATGGAAATTTTGGTTTCCACTTGGTTTTATGGATAATGCTGCTATTAATGTTCATGTACCTTTTTGTGTGTAGATATGTTATCATTTCTCTGTGTATATATCTAGAGCAGAATTGCTGGATCATATGATAACTCTGTTTAGTTGTTTGAGGAACTGAAAGATTGTTTTCCAAAGTGGCTGCACCATTTTACATTCCTACCAGCAGTGTACGAGGGTTCCAATTTCTCCACATCATCACCAACTACCGACACTTGTTATTATGTCTTTTTTATTATAATCACCACCCGTCTAGTGGGTGTCAAGTGCCATCTTACTGTGATTTTGATTTGCATGTTTTCTAATGGACGTTTCTTCCTTCAAATCTTCAGTCTATTTTTAAAAATTGGGTGGCTTGTCTTTTGATGAATGAGCTTCAGTTTCCTCATCGATAAATTGGTGGTAATAATAACTGTGTAGCAGGGTTGTTGTGAGGATTAAATGCAATTAAATGTTAGTGACTTGTGGTTAGGAATCAGGCTTTCACTCATTACCATGGCCAGGGATGTCGGTCTTCTTTCCTGCCTCCAGCCATCCTTAGTAGGGATAGTGTGATCTCAAAAGGCATGAGGTTTGACGTTAGATTCCAGGTAGGAATTTTGGCTTTACTACTTAAAAACTTGTAATCTCAGGCAAGTTATTTAATGTCTCTAAGCCTCAAAGGTAAGGATACCTTACCTCTACCACACTCGACTAATGTGCAGATTAAATCACATGGCTTCTATTTAGTTCTTACCACATCAACTAGCAGATTGGAGATATTCAATATAAACTGTTGTTGCTACAAATGTTTCTTATATATGAGCGACCTCACAAGCCATGAGTAAACAGGGGAATTGGTATAACACAGATGTCATGTGGGTTCCTATGCACTTTTTTCCCCCAGCATGTAAATGTTTTGAAGCCAGGAGCCAGCTTTCTCACAATAACTACCTCTTTAATAAGAGGAAACCTTAGCACTCTATGGAGGCCTTAAGAAAAAGCTGAGAATACACACAGCTGCCTTCTTTAGCTGCAGGGACTGACTGATTTAGTGACTTGGGAACCACTATGCTGTTCTCTTGTCAAGTTTCTGGAAAAACTGAGGGTGCTGTTGAAGAAGCAGTGAAAACGTTTCTCTTTGTATTAGAAGGATGGGTTAGCGAAGAACACCGCTCTTTAAATCAAATGTTTAATTTTGATAAAACTGGTCCCTATTAGAAGCAAATGCCCTCCAGGGCCTATATCTCAAAGCAGCAGGAGGAGCCCTAGGGTTCAAGGCTGGGATGCGGTGTGCAAATGTTTGTGAAAGCTGAGGCTTACTGGGGTAATGTTTCATTAGTTTTGACATTGTTTTTGTGAGTGCTCTGGTTACAATTGCATAGTTTTTTTGTTGTTGTTTTTGTTTTTCATTTTGTTTTGTTTTTGAGACAGGGCCTTGCTCTGTCATCCAGGCTGAAGCGTAGTAGTGTAATCACAGCTCACTGCAGCCTCAACCTCCCCTGGCTCAAGCAATCTTCCTGCCTTAGCCTCCTGGGTAGCTGGGACTGCAAGTGTGTGCCACCATGCCTGGCTAATTGTGTGTGTGTCTGTGTGTGTGTGTGTGTGTGTGTGTGTGTGTGTGTGTGTGTGTGTGTAGACAGGGTCTCATGATGTTGCCCAGGCTGGTCTTGAACTCCTGGGCCCAAGAAATCTTCTGGCCTCACCCTCCCAAGGTGCTGGGATTATAGGCGTAAGCCACTGCACCCAGCCAGGTTTTGAGTAGACTGTCCCAACCCTATTTTTTTTTCCCCACCAACCCTGTTATTTTGGGGCTTGTGGCCATTTTTAGACCATGGAAGCTTTTCAGTAACACACAGATGGTGTTATAGCGAGACATCTATATACATTCCATTTCTCTCTAATGTTTTTTACATACTGTAAAAAATCCAAGCGATCATTGTCAAAGTATAATCTGTAGATACAAGTAGAATAATGAAAACAATGGCTCACATTGATTGTGCACTCTTTCCACATGTTAACTCATTTGATTGTCACAGCAGTCCTCTGAACTAGGGGCTATTACACCCATTTTCTGAATGTGGAAACTGACATCTCTCTGTAAGTAACACGAGTAAATTGAGCTTATGTAACACAGCCAAGGGCACACAGCTAGAAAATGGTGGAGTGAGAATTAAAACCTGTGCTTTTTCTATGATTTAAATTCATACGTCATATTGTTTTGTCATCTAAAAAATATGAATGGGATTATACTTCCATTGTTTCTTTAATGTAACAGGGCTATGCCTTGGTAGAATGCCTAAGTAAAGGAAAGCTGTTAGTGATTCACAGCTATTTACATTTCATAAGTCTCATGTTTCATTCCAAGAAATCAGGCTCATCAATTGTTTGCATTTGGTAACATCTTAATTATACAAATAATTAGCCTTGAGACTAGACATGAACATGAAAGTATAATGAATACTTTTGCTAATTGCTCTGTTCTGTTAGAGGACAGTCATTGGTCTGTAGCATTAACAGCTCCCACATTCAGCTTACTAAATTCTCCTAACTTTCACTTTGGCAAAAGGTCTAAATCAGGGATAACAGATTTCCTCTCTCATGCCTTTTCTAACCCATTGATCATGACTGCTGGGAGCACTGTGTTGAGAAGCTCCTGGGGCCTTCTCTGATGAGTCTGTGCCATTAGTGAGAGAGTACAGGTTGGCAGCAGGTGAGCCAGGTATTTGCCAACTCTGGCCTGAATGTTGAGAAGAGAACTTACCCCAACCTCAGAAGTTTTGGCATCATATTTTCTGCTCCCACTAACAATCCTACAAATATGCTGTGTTCTGTTGGTAGGGGGGTGGGTACAAAAGTGAGACGTGGATTCTGTTTGAATAAAAAAGGCATAAATGGCCTTATACAAAGTAAAACATGTGAAGTGCCCTGACAGTAACAGATACCAGGACAGAAGGGATCAGAGGCGGCAAAGGATTATTTATAGGAACAGGAAGGCAGGAGCAGAGATGGGGCAGAGAATGAATCCAGGGCTCCTTTTGAGGTGGGTCTCAAAAGATAGACAGACATGAGGGTGACAGTGAGGTGAAGTGAGCAGGGCTCAGCTTTTTTCCCATTTTTGGGCAGATGATGAATCACCTGCTATAGCAAGAAAGAAGGAAATGTGCAACAGGAGCGTGTGCAAGGGAAGAGCTTAATGTGGCTGGAATGTCAGAAAATAAAGGAAGGAAAAGTTGGGAAACAAGGGCAGGCCCAGGCTGTGAAGGGCCTGGGAACACCAGATTAGGAATGTTCTAGAACAATGTTTCTCAAGGTGTGTCCACAGAATGTTCAGGGTTGTTATATAGCAAAAGGATCCTGTTGGACCCGGGTGTCAACTACATTTGAGAAACATTAAATTAAAAACAATGAAACAGATTTCTATACCTCAGGAGTTGGCAGAGTGTTTAAAATGCACGCTGTACACATTCAGAGCTAATGTACACTGTGAATCCCCAAGAAGGACCTGTAGTTTGCAAAAATCCCAAACACAGTCACCACAGAAATGTTTTCCTTGGAGCACTCACGAGCTGAGCATTGTGCAGGAGCTTTATGAAGGTGATGGCCATCTACTGGTGTGATACCCACAACCAGCATTAGCTGCTAATGGACCAAATGACTGATCTAGGAACCTGCGCTATTGTTGCAGGAATAGGGAGAGAATCGTTTGCCCCAAAGAAAGCATCAAACCCTCTTTTCCTGTTTCCACCCTGGTTCATTATCATAAGGATCTGTCTTCAACTTGCTGACCCTGTGCCCCCTTTTCAGCCATGGCCAGTTGTCCTGTTCTTTCTCCAGAGCTCAGTTCCTACCCTGATAAAACCTTGCCTTCCTTTCAGGCTTCTAGTGGTGCCCTGTTTTGAATCTCCCATCTGTCATCCTGGCTCCCAGACGTGCTGCCTGATGCCCCTTGACCCCTCCCCAGCCCGCCTGGACTCCTTCTTTGCCACTGCTCTGACCTCCACATACTTTGAGTGCTTTTGGTCCTCCTGGTAAACCTCACAATGTCCCGTCTCAAGCCACTCAGAACCCCAGTGTGACTGTGGCTCCAGCTCCTGCCACTTGTTCAGAGACAAAGGCACCTGTGTCTATCTTCTGAGAAGCTGGGCTCATACGTGCCTGATAAACATCCTCCTGCCACCTTTCCAGGTTGTGGTGGTTTCCAGGTGAGTTTCCATAAATCTGCTTGGGAGGGATGAGCAAGTCGCTTCTATATTTGACATGATTTAATTATCCCCTGTGGAAGGAAAAAATTTTAGCAATGACATATTTAGAGCCGCACTTCCAAAGAGCTTCAGTCAACTGGGTAAAATCGGGTGGGATCACACAACAATTTAGGAGTGTAATCTCTAGGCTTTTAGATGTCTGTTCAACAAGAAGCCGACTGTGAGGCCAGGCGCAGTGGCTCACACCTGTAATCCCAGCACTTTGGGGGCCCGAGGCAGGTGGATCATTTGAGGTCAGGAGTTCGAGACCAGCCTGGCCAACATGGTGAAACCCCGTCTCTATTAAAAATACAGAAATTAGCTGGGCATGGTGGTGCACAGCTGTAATGACAGCTACTCGGGAGGCTGAGTCAGGAGACTCACCTGAACCCAGGAAGCAGAGGTTGCAGTGAGCCGAGATCGTGCCACTGCACTTCAGCCTGGACGACCAAGTGAGTGAGACTCTGTCTAAAAAAAAACGAAAAACAAAAAACAAACAAAAAAATACAGACAGAAGCCAACTGGTGAGGTGCAATGAGGTTGGGTGAGTGGGCACAACTTTGGCAGATATACTTCAGTGGGAAATAAGAGTGACAAGGAGAAAAAGTACAAACTATAGAGGACGAGCTGCTGCCACTATGAACCAACGATTGTGACCCAGGAAAGGGACTTGGGACTCATTGCAGAGTGCTCAGGAAAGTGCTCTGGCGCCCAAAGGCGAACCAAGTTTGGGAAATTGTTAGAAAAAGTAAGGGGGTGAGGTAGGGGGGGTTGTAGGGAAAGAAAACATCACTTTACCTTTGTTTCTTTTTTTTTTTTTTTTTGAGACGGACTCTTGCACTGTCGCCCAGGCTGGAGTGCAGTGGCACAATCTCGGCTCAGTGCAACCTCCGCCTCCCGGGTTCAAGCAATTCTCCTGTCTCAGCCTCCCCAGTAGCTGGGACTACAGGTGCCTGCCACCATGCCCGGCTAACCTTTGTTTCTAACACAGACTGGAATGTGCAGTTCTGGTTGATACATTTCAAGAAAGAAAGCAGGGAGTTCACAAAGCATTTCAAGTGATTAAGGGGCTGGAGGGGCTTCTGTATGAGGTCAGGGTGAAGGCTGGAGGTTGACAGGATATACTGCAGTTTCAAGAATTATGAAAAGTACAGATAATGTGAAAATAGACCAAACCCCAGCTTATTAGAATGAAGACGCTGCATGGTCTCACTCATATGTGGAAGCTAAAAAAAAGTTGATCTCACAGAAGTAAAAAGTAGAACAGAGAATACTAGAGGACAGGAAGGGGAGGAGGAAGGGAGGGGTAGGGAGAGATTTGATAAAGGATACAAAATTACAGCTAGGTAGGAGGAGTAAGTTCTATTGTTCTACATCATTGTAAGATGGCTATAGTTAACAATAATATATTATACAGTTTCAAATAGGGAGAGGGAGGATACTGAATGTTACCAACATAGAGAAATGATAAATGTTTGAGATTATGAATATGTTAATTACCCTGATCTGATCATTATACATCATGTGTATCAAAACATCACTAGCTACCCCATGAATACGAACAACTACTATTTGTCAATTTAAACAATTTTTTTAAAGAAGAGGTTTCTTGAGATTTTCTCAAGATTTCAAGCAAGTTAAAAATGGTTGCTAAATGTATGGAACTCATTACCCCCCAAGAGGTAGAATAGGCTAAAAACAGAAATAGCTTCAAAAATTACTTACATAACGTTGTGATGGCTGGCACTAGCATATCATACTGAGGGAAATCTGTTTTAGATGGGATAAGGGAGGACATTCTTCCTAATACACAGCCCTTAGCCTCACTGTCAGCACCAGTGAAGATGTGGGGTTGGACGACGCACGACAGTTTTACTTAAAAAAAAAACAAGCAGGCCAGGTGCAGTGACTCACGCCTGTAATCCCAGCACTTTGGGAAGCCGACGTGGGCAGATCACTTGAGGTCAGGAGCTTGAGACCAACCTGGCCAACATGGTAAAACCCCGTCTCTACTAAAAATACAAAAAAAAAAGGCCGGGCACGGTGGCTCATGCCTGTAATCCCAGCACTTTGGGAGGGTGAGGAGGGAGGATCATGAGGTCAGGAGATTGAAACCATCCTGGCTAACATGGTGAAACCCCATCCCTACTAAAAATACGAAAAACTAGCCAGGCGTGTGGCGGGCACCTGTAGCCCCAGCTACTCAGGAGGCTGAGGCAGGAGAACTGGTTGAACCCAGGAGGCAGAGGTTGAAGTGAGCAGAGATCATGCCACTGTACTCCAGCCTGGGTGACAGAGCAAGACTCCATCTCAAAAAAAAAAAAAAATTAGCCAGGCGTGGTGGCAAACGCCTGTAATCCCAGCTACTCAGGAGGCTGAGGCAGGAGAATCGTTTGAACCCAGGAGGTGGAGGTTGCAGTGAGCTGAGATTGCACTACTGCACTCTAGCATGGCAACAGAGTGTGACTCTATCTCAAAAGAAAAAAAAAAGGAAGATTGTTTATATGAATATGCATGCTATCAGTTATCAGGTGCCTACCTAATATTAGGCACCAGGCTAGGCACTTTTATATACATTATCTTTTATCTTTACATAGTACTAGACGATATAATAATAACCCCATTTCATAGATGAGAAAGTGAAGCTCAGCCAAGTCACTCGCTTGAGGTCACACACAGCCAGTAAATGGGGAGCTGGACTTGAAACCTGTGCCCAGGCTGGAGCGCAATGGCATGATCACGGCTCATTGCAGCCTGGACTTCCCAGGCTCAGGTGATTCTCCCACCTCAGCCTCCTGAGTTACTGGGACTACAGGCATGTGCCACCACGCCTGGCTAATTTTTTGCATTTTCAGTAGAGTCGAGGTTTCGTCACGTTGCCCAGGCTGGTCTCAAACTCTTGGACTCAGGCAATCCACTTGCCTTGGCCTCCCAAAGTGCCGCATTTAACAGGCATGAGCCATCAGGCACGGCCATGTGCATTCTCTTTTTATTATTATTATTATTATCATCATTATTATTGAGACAGAGTCTTGCTCTGTCACCCAGGCTGGAGTGCAGTGGCACAATCTCAGCTCACTGCAACCTCCACCTCCCGGTTTCAAGTGATTCTCCTCCCTCAGCCTCCTGAGTAGCTGGGATTACAGGCGTTTGCCACCACGCCCAGCTAATTTTTGTATTTTTAGTACAGATGGGGTTTCACCATGTTGGCCAGGCTGGTCTCGAACTCCTGACCTCAGGTGATCCACATACCTCTGCCTCCCAAAGTGCTGCGATTACAGGCATGAGCCACCGCACCTGGCCTGCCATACTTTTGATCAATGCAATACTGCCTCTCATCTCACCCGTTTCTTGGGTTTTTCTGTCCCTCATGCCTAAATTTAGTCTAAGGCTACCAGCCAAAATTCCAAAAATGGTGCTTTTGTCCTTTGCTCGTTGCTGAATAAACTGACCTCAGTCATTTATAGGACCAGTACATTTGTTCATATTCCTCAAAAGTCCAAAGTACCCAGCAATGGAGAGGGGGCAGCTGGGTTCCTGAGGCTGAAACAAGAGGGGAAATGGGAGGAGCTAATATCCAGGGCCCAATAGGGGTCAGGCATTTCACACGTTCCGCCATGTAATTCTCATAATACTCACTTAGATTCCCATTCTAGAGTTGAGAAGACCGAGTCCCAGAGAGATTATGTGAAATACCTAAGAACCCATAGTGCATAGACAGCAGACCCAGAATGTGAAGCTGGATCTGTCTCATGCCAAAGTCCCTTGGAAGCCAGGACAGAGCATTCCAACTCTGCTCTCCTTCCTTCTAGGAAGGTCGGCTTACAAATTCCTTCCATTGCCACAACTCCAAAGGGTGCTCTGCCCAACACTTTTGCTGGTGGGGGCCCAGGAGTTCCTTGCTATACAGAAATTTCGGTTGGAATGATATCTGTTGAATGGGTTTTGATCTGTCCCACCCTTTACCTTGTGAAAATTTTTTCTCGTCAGCTGTCATGCTAGCTTTTTTTTTTTTTTTTTTTTAACAAGACAGATATTCTGATTTCTCTAACTTGGGATTTCTCCACTTTGGGATATTGACATCAGGGGCAAGACACTTCTCTGTTGTTGGAGGCCACACTTTGCATTGTAGGATGTTTAGCAACATCCCCGGGTCTCTGCCCACTAGACAGATATTGGTAACATCCCCCTCCCCATCAGTTGTGACAACCAAAAATGTCTGCAGGCCTTGCCAAAGGTCACCTGGGGGGCAAAATCACCTCTAGTTGAAAACCACTGCTGTAACAGTAGAGGGGGTGCTGCATGATCTTTGTGCCCTTGTACCTAAAACTCAACAAGCCAATTCACCCCATCCCGGCCTCCCCAACCCCCTAAGGAATGGAAGCCGAGGAGAGATGACACCTGTGGGTGGAGTCTGGATTTTCTGGTTTGGGAAGGGATGTAGCACACAGATTGCTGGCCCTGTACTTACTTGATGCCCCCACGAGACGTTAAAAATGTAGAGCTTTCCACGTGCAGATGGCTCGAGCTGCTTAATTACCAACCGAAAGCATGCTAACATTTTCCTCTCTCTCTCCTTGCCTAAAACAGCCCGCCAGGAACAGCAGAGGCTTTAACAACAGGGAGCAGTTGCCCTTTCTGCATCCTTATCACACACTAATTATTTTATTCTAAAGAGACAAAGTAGAGAGAATGTAACATATGATTCTGATGACAAACACTTTCTTAAAAAAAAAAAACTGTCGGCTTTTTCTAGTGACTAGAGCATAGGAGCTGGTTGCTAAGCAACTGGGAAACGGCAGACTCCTGTACTGGCCATGCTGGTTTCGGAAATGAGCCATAAAAGGAATTCCCCAGTGAGAAGGGATCCCATACCATTGCCTGGTTGCCATGGACACCATACATAAGTGATGGATCCTGGGTTACAGGCCCTGCTTAAGAAAAATATGTTGCCTCTGTTTAAGGCTTGAATGGTATGAGAACAGCATAGAAGCCCTCTTCCCCTGTGTTATCCATGGGGGCATGTCCCGGTCCCTTCCCCATGGGCTTCCCCCAGAGAGGTCTGAATCTAAGTGGCTGAAACATTCCATCCAATTTCAGCTCTGCTTTTATTTAATGTGTTCCAGGCTTTGCTGGAGTTGGAAAGGAGTCTGCAATCTGGAAAGCAAATTTTTAAGCAAGAAAAGATGCTTCGGGTGGCAGACAGGCTGTCTGTCTATCATCCACCCCTGTTTGGGGGCCACACAGAGCCAAGATCAGGCACAAGGGCAACTCTCTATGTTCACACGTTCTATTGGAGTTTTGCAAAACAAGAGAGATTAGCAGAGAAAAAGACAATAGCCGTGACTCCAAAATGAAATTGGCATGTCATGCAGAGCAAGGCACACAATAAGCCATTACAATTCTGTCAGAAATTAGAAACAGACTTCAGATAATAGGAGTGAAAAATGTGAGGCAAATATAAAGATACGGAACTTAAAATACGAAGTACAGGTTTCACTAGGCTTCCTATGGGAAACAGAACAGGACAGATACGCCTTAACATTATCGACCCTATGCTATGAATAGGACACTTGGGACACTAGACTCCTACCCTAGGTGTCATGAGGATACGGGGGCCCAAAGAATGACAGTAATTTGCTCAAGGCCATAGAAGATAAAATGTTGCTGAATGGTGGTCCATAGAGGACAATTCTGTGTTTTATTTTTTATTTTTGGAGATGGAGTCTCATGCTGTCACCCAGGCTGGAGTGCAGTGGCACAATCTCACCTCACTGCAACCTCTGCCTCCCGGTTCAAGTGATTCTCCTGCCTCAGCCTCCCGAGTAGCTGCGATTACAGGTGCCTGTCACCACGCCTAGCTAATTTTTTGTATTTTTAGTAGAGACAGGGTTTCATCATATTGGTCAGGCTGGTCTCGAACTCCTGACCTCATGATCCGCCCAACTCAGCCTCCCAAGGTGCTGGGATTACAAATGTGAGCCACCGTGCCTGGCCCAATTCTGCCTTTTAAATATCACTGCACAACAAATGACCCCAAAACTTAGCAGCTTAAAACAGCAAACATTTATTATCTCACAGTTTCTGTGGGTCGGGAATCCAGGAGCCTCTTAGCTAGGTGCCTCTGACTTGGGTGTCGGAAGGGCCACAGCATCCCAAGGCTCCTCTGGGGGAGGGTCTGCTCCCAGCCCTGTGCCTGTGGCTGCTGGTGGGCCTCAGATCCTCCCTGGCTGTTGGCTGGAGACTTCAGTTCCTTGCTCTGTTGCTCTCTCAGTCAGAGAGTTTACAACAACATGGCAGCTGGCTTTCCTCAGAGGCAAAAAGCAGCCAAGACAGAAACAGCAGTCTTTTAAAATCTAAGCTAAAAGTGACATCCCATCATTTTTGCTGTATTTGTCGAGTCACTAGGTGCAGCCCACACTGAAGGGGAGTGGATTCCATGGGGGCATGAGAACATGAAAGCCAGGAGGGGGGACCACATCAGTGGCCATCTAAGAGGCTGCCTACTGCAGCGGGCAAGTGCACTTCCAGGATAAAAACCACGAAGGGAAGAGGTCAGGGATGGAGGTTGAGTTCCTTGGGCATGGAAGATGGGAGACAGCAGAGTAGGGGGGGCCTAGGAAGGGGCAGCTAGGGGATGCAAAAGGGGGAAGAGAGGGGAGGAAAGATAAATGTGAGAAGGAAATAGTAGCAGAGAAGAAAGAGAACCTCCTGGTAGCGTGGGAACAGGAAAATGGCTGGGGGTGGGAACTGGGGAGCTGGGATGAAAGACATAAATTGCAAGAAAACAGAGAAAATAGGAAACGGAATGAGAAATGAACAGGAGGTGTAAGAAGGTATAGAGACCAGTGGGAGGAGTAGGAATAGGGGGAGAAAGAGAGCCAGAAGCAAGAGGCAAAGAGCGTAAGCAGACAGTGCAAGAGAATGGGGAGAAAATTGTTAGTGAGTGGCAAGCTGGGGGGAAAGTGATGATAGGAAAACTCTATAGGAGAGATGGAGAAATGCGAGCTATTTTAGGGCCGGGGGCGAAGGTGGCAACTGGGTAAAAATGACAATAATAAGAAGGATTTTTTGAGTACTAAGAATTTCATGTGTTACCTCATTTAGTCTTCATCACCAGCCAACACTGTAGATGCTGTTATTTATAGTATTTTAGAGATGAAGACATTGAATTTTAAAAGGATTAAGTACCTGCCTGAGGCTGTGCAACCAGAATGTGGCTGCAGGTGTATGGAAGCAAGGCCAGGCATCTTCTTGCCAGGCAACCAGGCTCAGCTTGCAAAGTCAGGTTGGCCAAGGCAGACGGGACTGCACAGTGGGGCGGTTTACTCCCTTATCCTAACCATACATGGATGTCAGCTCCTGTCTCATCTGCGAACCCCTGAGTCCTAGCACAGATTAGGAAGGATAGATTCCTCACCTGTGGCAGCAAGCTTATCAGGGCATGAGGGCCAGGGTGAGTGCCTCAGTTTATCACATGGACCCACATATTAAAATAAAATATCTCTGCTATACTGTGTAATGGTTTCTTCACGTTTGCATTGCTCAGAGCCATGAGGGCACTTGTTCTTCAAATCCCCTACAGTGCCTTGCACTGCCTTAAGCAGGCATTTAAAAAATAAAAAACTTTGTGAAACGAAACATTTGCTTCTACCAAATTCAATGAGAAATGCTGCTGCAGCGAAGTGGAAAAGTCTGGCTCTGTCCCCCAGGCTCAGTTCTTCAGCTGCTGTTGAACTCTCGGTAAATTACCTAACTACACTAGAATGCAATATTCTTACTAGTAAAACAAGTTGGCTAAATGATCTTTAAGGTTTTTTCTAGCTCTGAAATGTCACAAATTACATAGCCAGGACAAGAATTAGGAATCAAAATGGAAATGGTCAATGGATCTGATAACGGATGCAGGCTACCATTTAGGCAGACCTGATATACAACTGTTCTGGGTTCCACGTTGCCCAGATGCCAACTCATTAATATGGATCTCAAGAAGTTCAGCTCAACTCTCTTGTGGCATCTGTGTGCAATAGAGACTCCATGAGCTTAATTTTCTTCATTACCAAGATCCCTTTCCGATGCTATGTTAGGAACCTAGAGAGACTTAAAAACTCTCAAAGCAATAGGAGCTTGAGTAGGGTATGATTGGTTCAGCTGCCAGAGTGCCATTAGGGATAAATAGAGCAGCAGGACTCACTGGGGACAAGAAGATCCAGAACTTCCAAGAGATGTTGATGGAATTAAGATGGCTGGATTGAATCACACTTTCAGTTGTGAGTGTGTTTGGAGGTGGTGCCTAGGAATAAAAGACACAGCTCAGAGTTACACCATCTGAGGGCGAGGGAGCTGGGGTATTTATATACCAACTCCCTCAGTCATTGGTCGAGGGCTGCTCAGGGGTGAGGGTGGGTGGTCATTTCTCAGCACTTCTGCCTGCATGGGCAGAGACTACCAAAACCCAAGAAAGCTATCAGGGGAAGATATATAAGTGCTGGCAGTTGGAAGCCAAGCCAGTGTGTGCTGAAATGTAGAGGCTGAGAGGCTGTGGGCAGGACACCAGCAACATCTGCTGCACTTAGCTCCCTGGAGCACGTGAGAGGAAGTCGACTCTCTCTGTTGCTCCTGAGAATCACCACCAGCTTTTATTGGTAAATGTCTTCTATGTGCATTTTCTACAAACCAAAAAAAAAAAAAGAAAGAAAGAAAGAAAGAAAAATGGCTTTTAGAGACTTGTCATTAGGGAAATGAAGTATTTTCCCTCAAAAACAGGCATCACATACCCCCATTTGGCCCCTGCCCACTTGGGCACTTTACAGATGGTTTCCCTGCCACACCATAGTCCATGAGGTACCCAGGGATATGTAGACACTTTCAAAAAGCATCTAAGGGGCGAGCCTATGCCAAACATGAGAAGCCACTGCTGGTGGTTTAAAGACCATATTGAAAATAAAGGCTGTACATGTTAGCATCTATATCCTCTATCCACTGAAAATGATGGGTGGGGACATTTTGAAAAGGATTTTTATTAATCTATTTATTGTGGTCACTGGCTCCATTTCCTCATATTTCTACATAAAGAAATATTTTGAGGGAAAACACTTCACTTTTCTAATAAGTCTTTACAACCCTTTTTAGGTTTGCAGAAAATGCACATAGAAGACAATGTGTGTCTTAAGCACAATAAAATGCTGGTGGTGATTCTCGGGAGCAATGGAGAGTTGACTTCTCACATGCTCCGGGGAGCTAAGGGTAGCAGATGTTGGGTGTCCTGGCCACAGCCTCCCAGCCTCTACATTTCAGCATACACTGGCTTGGCTTCCAACTATCAGCACTTAACATCTCTGCCTGAGAGCTTTCTTGGGTTTTGGTAGTCCCTGCCCATGTAGAAGGCAGAAGTGCTGGGAAATGGCAACTCACTCCCACCCCTGAGCAGCCCTTGACTAATGACTGAAGGAGTTGGTATATAAATACCCCAGCTCCCTCGCCCTTAGGTGGTATAACTCTGAGGTGTGTCTTCTATGCTGCCTCCCAGGGATCCTTGGCAGGATTTAGCCCCACTTACCCACAGTAGTAACCTATTTGATGTTGTATCTCTTATTGATGTCCTTCCCTTCCCTGTACCACTTCCTCACATCCCACTGGTGTTTCCTGACATTACTCCCGAGTAAACCATTTGCACTTAAACTCTTATCTCAGGGTGTGCTATGGGGGAACTCAAACTTCTACTAGGGCAATGGGAAGGAACAGAGAAAATAATTGTTATTTAAAGAAGGATTTCTGTAAGCAATGTGTTCCCATGGTACATTTCAAAATTTATTTATAGCTCATTACCTTCCTTTACAAAAATGCTACGGGATAGATTAGGTAAGAAGTGCTGCCAACTAAAGGCCAGTCAGAAATGAAGATAAAACAGCTGGGCACGGTGGCTCATGCCTGTAATCCCAGCACTTTGGGAGGCCGGGGTGGGCAGATCATGAGGTCAGGAGATCGAGACCATCTCGGCTAACACCATGAAACCCTGTCTCTACTAAAAATACAAAAAATTAGCCGGGTGGGGTGGCAGGCGCCTGTAGTCCCAGCTACTCAGGAGGCTGAGGCAGGGAGAATGGGGTGAACCCAGGAGGCAGAGTTTGCAGCGAGCCGAGATCGCACCACTGCACTCCAGCCTGGGTGACAGAGCGAGACTCTGTCTCAAAAAAAAAAGAAAGAAAGAAAGAAAGAAAGAAAGAAAGAAAGAAAGAAAGAAAGAAAGAAAGAAAGAAAGAAAGAAAGGAAGGAAGGAAGATAAAACATCTCCGAAATAGTCACGAAGGCTACTAAGAACATTGGCTTGATGTACAAAAATTCTGTTGACTTATGACTTCCCTTTGTTGTGAGCAATGCAACATACCTTTAGTAATAACCATTTGCAGCATCCCTTGAGACCCATGTCCATGTAGTCACCTGGAAATAACATATGACAGGGGACAGGGCCTCTTCAGAGCAGACAATGCTGTGGCTTGGTAGTGCCCACAGTGGATCGTCTGGTTTGCCTCCAAGCAGCATCTGGCCCCAAGGCTGCCCAAGTGCAAATGAATGGGGGATAGAGGAGCATAGATGTTGTAACTTGAAGGGCAACTGAAGAGGAAGCAGCTTACAGCATGTGGGCTCAATTTTCCCCAAAAAGCTCATAATATAACTGTCAAAAATGACACTATGAACCCAAATTATAAGATAATTGCGTTCGGTCCCAAATTCAACACAATAAAGGTTATTTGCTCTCATGCCTTAGCAACCATCTCATAGAGGAGAGAAAAATACCATACAAAAACAAAATGTAAACTCGCAAAGCAGTAATAAAACCAGCACACAACTATTCATTTCAAGTCTATTTTGAAAAGCCTTTGATAATACCAGTAATTCCCCGTAAAGCTTCTATTCTCTTGCCACAATTCCCTTCTGGAAATAGAAGAAGGTTTTGCTGTTCTACAGCCATTCCTTTTAGGGAGATAAAGTCTAAAGTCCACTTTATTTCCCAATTTTAATGTTTTCCATTCTTTAAAAAGAAAGAAAGAGAGAGAGAAAGAAATCCCTGATCACCTATATCCAGCTAAGCCTCCCATATAGGTAGGGCTTAGTGGCAATATTAACGTGAATCTTCCTTGTCTTGCACCACAAAATTCATTTAATGGTCTTAACAAGGTGCTTAAGCTAGCCAGAGAGCCTTGTCCAAAAGATGCTGAAACATTCCACTAAAAAATAGAAAATTCAACCAACATCCACCCATTTCCAGATATTCTGATGCTTCATAGCATGCAGGCTGGGTGATAGCCCTTTGACGTCCTGGCTGAGCAGTTCCTCCAGGTGCCACTGGCAGGCCTATCCTACAGCAGAGGCCAGAAGGAAAGGGCTTGGGGTAACTTTGGTTGCAAGAACAGAAATCTACTTAGACAAATTAAAGTATGAGGAGGACGGTGGACTCCAAGGAACCTCATGGACTCCAAGGAAAAGCTGAGCGATCAGGCCTCAGGAAGAGTGGGAACCAGCAGCTGTCACTCTTGGGGAGGGATGTGGTAGAGAAAAGAGACAGAAACACCTAGAAGGGTGTGCATGCATGGGCAATGATTAGATTCTTTGATACAGGAAGACAAAGAGGAAAATATAGAAGAGGAATAGAAGGTGGGGAAAGAAGTACAATAATAGGAATCAAAGAGAAATGGAAGAGATGCATAACCTGAGGAGTCATGACATGTCATCACAATGGCTTCAGCAAGCAGTCAGCAGCTCACTGGTGCTAGGCATTTGCTGTCCCTGACATAGAACCAACCTGCATAATACACAGAGGTTGCAAATACCAAGCCCTTCTGATTTACCTGAATTGGTCATTCTGGTTTACATGGAATTATGGACTATTTTCAAAAAGACAAAGTTGTATTGGTTGACAGGATGTGCATGGTCTCAATGAAGATCTTGATGAAAAAGTCTGGGTGACTTTTTATACTTAAGCTTTAACAGAAATAATTCATAATTGTATTTTGGGGGCTTGGATATGGACATCAGTTTGTTTCACCAGGCTTATTTTTACATTTGTGGTAGACATTCTTCGTCCCAAGATATATGTCTTAAACTTTAATAAACTCATTCTGAAATTCCACTTCAATTTTTGTCAGAAATGTTTCTTCAATATGCATGACTTTTGGCCAGCCGTGGTGGCTCACACCTGTAATCCCAGCACTTTGGGAGGCCAAGGCAGGTGGATCACTTGAGACCAGGAGTTCAAGACCAGCCTGGCCAATATGGTGAAACCCCATCTCTACTAAAAGCACACAAATTAGCCAGGTGTGGTGGCAGGTGCCTGTAATCCCAGCTACTTGGGAGGCTGAGGCATGAGAATCACTTGAACCCAGGAGGCAGAGGTCACAGTGAGCTGAGATTGCGCCACTGCACCCCAGCCTGGGCAACAGAGTGAGACTCCATCTAAAAAAAAAAAAAAAAAAAAAAAAAAAAATATATATATATATATATATATATATATATATATATATATATATATAGATACACACACGTGTATCTATCTATCTATCTATATATACACACACATATATATACACATATGTGTATATATATTTTAATATATGTTTATATATGTATACATATATGTATGATTTATACATATTCACACATATATGTATGATTTTTGTTTTGTTTTGTTTTTCAAAGACAAAGTCTCATTCTGTTGCCAGGCTGGAGTTGCAGAGGTGTGATCATGACTCACTGCAGCCTCAACCTCCTGGGCTCCAGCAATTCTCCTCCTTCAGTTCCCAAGTAGCTGGGACTACAGGTACATGCCACTATGCCCAGCTAATTAAAAAAATTTTTTGTAGAGATGTGGTCTCGCTGTGTTAACTAGGCTGGTCTTGAACTCCTGAACTCAGATGATCCTCCCCACTTGACTTCCCAGAGCACTGGGATTATAGGTGTGAGCCACCACGCCCAGCCTGTATGATGTTAAAGGCACTCTGCTAAGCACTTAACATAGATACACAGTTGAATAAGACACAGCCCTGTCTTCATGGAGCTTGTAAATTGAAAGTGGAGGGGATGGGTGGAAGACGAATTAGACATAATAGACATATACATCAGTAACCGTAAAGCAATAAAGACTATTATCTATGTCAAAGCAGGCTGTTCTTGAACCTTTCCCACCTCTCTGAATGGAACCCTTGACTCCCTCCTCTTCCACATCCCCCCAGTCTCCTTCTATCTAAGTCCTAACCTTTCCTCCTACCCATTCCATAACCTTACAGCCTCGTCAGATCCTTCTGTAGCAGGTGATCTCTTTGGAACCTCTCCAGTCTTTGTTCTCTCCAGTATGTTGGAAGTTATTACTAGAAGCTGAATATATCTTCACAACACCCTGACTGTCCTAGCCCAGTGGAAATTGTTCAGGGAGATCCTGAACTGTGGGAATTTGCCGGAACTAATGGGCACCTGGACTCCTTTTCCTGCTCAGACACTTACTCACTAAGATTTCACTTGTGGACTCAGTCAGGACTTCACATTTCTGTTTCCTCTCATAAGAGTTCACAATGCTTTAATCAGGGTGGAATGTACATAAATGTGCATGTACGTGTGTGTGTGTGTGTGTGTGTGTGTGCACGTGCGTGCGCACACACCAGAGGGGGAAGGTAACTCTGATGGACTTTCCAACCTTTCATTCCCACTCTTGCCTTCCTGTCCACAGCCACCTCTCAAAATCCAGGTGGGAGACTGCCCCACACCACCCAGGTGTTGACAGGATCTCATGTCTTTAGCACTTCCTCCAGCAGCCCTGTCTTGGGAGGGAGGCTGAGCCAGGTGACTGGGGAGATGCTCCATGGCTGGCCGCATGGGAGGGAGTGTTGTCCTAGAAACCCAGTCCCTGGAGGTAGATTTGGATACAAAAGTTTCTGCCCCCATTCCCTCTGCCCTGATTCCAGGAGTGGCAGGGATTGAATCTCAGCATTTTCTAGTCTGCCTGTTATCAGTGTCAATGCTTTCCTGTCACCCAAAGGTCCTCACCAGATACCTCTGGCCTGCAGCCCCGGTGCCATGGGGGTAGTGATAAACCCTTATTGCCTTCAGCCTACAGACCCTGGCCAAAAGATTCTGATTCTTATCAGAGGCTGAAGGACAGGTTTTACCAGAAGTTCCTATCCCCCAGCTTGAAAAACAAGTTCATCCACTCCTTTACTCCACACGCTGGAGTTCTACCCTATTCTTGAGAAAAGGTCAACACCCCACCTCCACAATGACTCTGGAACTCACAGTGGGGTCCCAATGTGGATGCTGGTCTCTACAGTGATTTTTTGTGTGTGTGAGACTGAATCTCACTCTGTCACCCAGGCCGGAGTGCAGTGGTGCGATCTCGGCTCACTGCAACCTCTGCCTCCTGGGTTCAAGCACCTAAAGTGATTCTGACCAGCTGTGACAGTGTGCCTGGGACTGAAGGTTTCCTGGGACTTGAGATTTTCAGTGCTAAAAGTAGGAAAGCCCCAAGCAAACTGAGATGAGTTGATCCTACGACCTAGAACAGATCCCTGGACCTTGTAAACCAGTTACCCACCCTCCATGGGACCTACAGCTTTGCAAAAGCCTATAAGGGGACAAAGAAAAAGTGAGACCTGGAACAGCAGGCTGCAGCTGTCCTTTGCCTTATTCAGAACTTTTGCTGTGTTCAGAACTGTCGTGTGCACATAGGATAGTCTTTGCTCCCCTAAACTTGGATGGGAAGGAGTGAGGAGGAACAGGAACCGCTGGCATCCAAAAAGAGGCTGTGGCTGCATCTCTGGGCCATGTTTTATTTTTCTGGAATCCTTAGTGGCACAGTATCTAAAGAGAGATCATGCATGTGCTCTGGGACCCTTAACTGTTTTAAAACCTCTATCTTGGCCAGGCGCAGTGGCTCATGCCTGTAATCCCAGCACTTTGGGAGGCCGAGGTGGGTGGATCACCTGAGGTCAGGAGTTCGAGACTAGCCTGGCCAACATGGTGAAACCCCATCTCTACTAAAAATACAAAATTAGCCAGGTGTGGTGGCACATGCCTGTAATCCCAGCTACTTAGGAAGCTGAAGCAGGAGAATCGCTTGAACCTGGGAGGTGGAGGTTACAGTGAGCCGAGACCACGCCATTGCACTCCAGCCTGGGCAACAAGAGCGAAACTCCATCACAAAAAAACAAACAAACACACAAAAACCCCTCTATCTCTATGTAGAGTGGCGCTAGAATATGCCCTGATTTGGATCAAATCATTGGGCTTGCCTCTTCTGGAGAGATGTGAGTTTCCTCTGTCTTAGAAGCCTCTGCTGTGTAAGTATCCACGGGATTTGTGGTCAAGAGATCTGAGCTTTAATCTTTTTAAAGATCTCTGTGATTGATTCATGGGAAAACACTTAATTTCTCAGCTCTGCACCTGTAAAATTGATTGAACTAAGCTTCTGTGATTAAGATTTCTTCTGGCTTTGTGGTTCATCTCTTTCCCTCTACACACACACACACACACACACACACACACACACACACACGCCATATTCCACTGTATTTCTGGCCATTAACTCTCAGTGCCATACCAAGCCATATTGGAACCTGAGGCCAAAAGAAAAAATTAGTAATGCGAGTCCTCTCTTTATTTAAAATGTTCACATTTTGTTCATCGTGGGTTTTTTTTTTTTTTGCATTAACTCAGATTTTTAAAATATTTCATTAAAATGTTCCTCTTAATCTCCAGACATAGAAAAAGACCCTGAAGTCCCTGGATATGCTGGCTGCCAACATTATGAAATACAGTGTGGCGAGCTGGAACACAAGGTCCTTGTTGACATTGAATTACCGAAGAAAACTCCCCTATCTCTGGCCACTATGCGGCTTGCAAAGCATAAAATATGTACTATCTGGCACTTTACAGAAAAAGTTTGCTAACCTCTTATGCCAAGCAATTCTGAGTCAAATTTCCTGTTACTTGCAACCATAAAAAATCTGAGTATTACACTCCCCTGAACTCTGGCAGCACCAAAGTACTTGATGATACTCAAAGAGGAAATGTATAAGGGCCCCCATCAATTTATTCATGCTGTTTCCTTGGCCTAAAATGCAACACCCTCCATGTGACTATACAGTTGCCCCTCAGTATCCAGCAGGCATTAGTTTCACGACCCCTCACAGATACCAAAATCCACATACGCTCAAGTCTATTCTGTAAAATGGTATAGTACTCACATATAACCTATGCACGCCCTCTCATGTACTTTAAATCATCCTTAGGTCACTAAAGTATCTAATATGATGTAAATGCTATGTAAATAGTTGCTATACTGTACTGCTTTCTTATTTTTTTTTTTTTTTTAGATGGAGTCTCGCTCTTGTCACCCAGGCTAGAGTACAATGGCGCAATCTCAGCTCACTGCAACCTCTGCCTCCTAGGTTCAAGGAATTCTCCTGCCCCAGTTTCCTGAGTAGCTGAGATTACAGGTGCCTGCGACCATGCCTGGCTAATTTTTGTATTTTTAGTAGAGACAGGGCTTCACCATGTTGGCCAGGCTGGTCTTGACTTCCTGACCTCAGGTGATCTGCCTGCCTCGATCTCCCAAAGTGTTGGGATTACAGGTGTGAGCCACTGTGCCTGGCCTTATTTGTATTATTTGTTCTTATTGGGTTTTTTCCTGAATATTTTTGGTCTGCAGTACTGAACTTTTGGAGTCCCCTTAAGTTGTGTGCTCACTGGCCTCACCCTACTTCCAGCCCTGTTAACCTTCCTCTGCATCTGGGTGAGTTGCTTGATGACAGAAGGAGGGAAAACACAGACAGAAAGAAGAGACTAAATACCAGCCACTTTATAAGATCCCCTGGGGTTAGGGCTAGCCATAATGGTTATTTTATTTATTTATTTATTTATTTATTTATTTTTTCCTTCGAGATGGAGTCTCGCTCTGTCACCAGGCTGGAGTGCAGTGGTGTGATCTCGGCTCACTGCAACCTCCGCTTCCCAGATTCAAGCAATTCCCCTGCCTCAGCCTCCCGAGTAGCTGGGACTACGGGTACGCGCCACCATACCCAGCTAATTTTTGTCTTATTAGTAGAGACGAGGTTTTACCAAGTTGGCCAGGCTGGTCTCCAACTCTGTGATCCACTTGCCTCAGCCTCCCAAAGTGCTAGGATTACAGGTGTGAGCCACTGCGCCCAGCCCAAAACCTTATTTTTTAAAGTTAAGAAAATAAAAACACAACCAGATTGAAAACCAGAAAACAAAAAAACAATTATTTTGGCAAAATGTTACCAGATAATAAAAAAGAAATTCGGGTTTCATTTCTTGCGTTTTCCTCGCAGAGTCAAAAAGAGCAGAAAGAGTTAAGACTTAGACAAATGAGCCTCCTGGGACCCAGAAGATTCCAGAACATCCCTACCCTGGGGAGGGCCACATGCCAGACTCACCCATTCCTTGACCTAACAAACCAAAGGCTGTGGGCAACCTGCTGCCTTGCAGTGGGACCTGCAGGTCATCTTCAAATTGTACTAAGCTGGGCTCGGGAGGAGCAGAGGGCATGGAACTGAAGCATTCTTCCTGATCATGCTGCATTAGAGGACATCACAAAAAAATGCATTGCTTTCAACGAGTGCATTAATAAAGACGAAGCTATGAAATGGATTTGTGCTGAAGCCCTCCCTGGCAAGCATTTATCAAATAAATAAGCAAGAATTGGTGTTCAGGGCCAGGCACGGTGTCTCACGCCTGTAATCCCAGCATTTTGGGAGTCCAAGGCAGGTGAATCACTTGAGGTCAGGGGTTTGAGACCAGCTTGGCCAACATGGCAAAAACCTGTCTCTACTAAAAATACAAAAATTAGCTGGGTGTGATGGCGTGCACCTGTAATCCCAGCTACTTGGGAGAATTGCTTAAACCCAGGAGGTGGAGGTTGCTCACTGCACTCCAGCCTGGGCAACAGAGTGAGACTCTGTCTCAAAATAAATAAATAAATACATAATTTAAAAAAAGAAAAGAACTGGTATTTGGGTGCTATAGTTCAGGAAAGACCCAGATAGGATTGTCTTCTTTGGCCACTAACTGGCTGTGTGCCCTTGGACAAACCATTCACCCTCTCTGTACTTCATTTTCTTCAACTGTAAAAGAGGCTATGGATGAGATCACTGCTACAGTCTCTTCTACCCCTGATGTTATATAGAAGGTGCTGTATGAAAAGGGCGGGGGGAAATTTTGTTTGCTGAACCTTCCCTCCTGCTGTCTTTGTGCCCTACTGGGCATTTTTTCGCAGAAAATGTCAAATTCTTAATCAGTAGGTTTCAAAACGTGAAGCCTCCAAAGCTTTACTGTACATCTGGGAAGAATGAAGTTTTACCTTTTAAAGCAGAGAAATGGAGTTTGCTTAGGATTCTAACTGAAACAAGTCACGCCCCCACAGAAATGAAATGGAAGCATGAAAGATTGTGAAAATCTGGGACTCTGCACAAGCAAAGAACAAGTACTGTGTTGGTATTTTTTAAAAAAGATTTTCATTTCATATGCAACACCTTTGTGCTTCCTTTATGTATTTCTCCCTCTCTTTTCCAGCTCTACAATGAGCTATTTTAAGACTATGTTTTCCTGCTGTACAGTACTCCTGTTCAGATAGGCAATTTAATTGTCATCAGACTTTTTCTTAGTCTTTCAAGACCTTTTGTTATGGTGAAATAATTTTAGGCACACCAAGCACAAATCCATTAAATACTTTCCTTATTTCACTAATGAACTATTGTGGGTGGTGGAAATTAATTTTATTCCACTCACATATCTGTTAAATTTTTAAAGGTGAAAAATGAAGGTTGCAAATAACTGAAGTCGAATGAGAGACTCCTCTTAAAACATTGTCTGTTGTTTCATTTGTGCCGAGATGTGTCAAAAAAATCTACAAAAATAGTTCACAAAATGAAAAGGGTTCAACAGGTCCAATCTCAGGGTTGAATATTGCAAAACTTTTTACAGGCTGGATATGCTTAGGAATTGAAAGGCCCCTCTGTTAATGGATCTGAAGAGAGTTTTCTGAGTGGGTGTGTTTAAGCTCATCCCCGTGGGCAGATCAGATATTAGCACACTTGTTTAAAGCCTGGTAGTGATGATACGAAGGTCCTGGACTGACCTGCTGTACAACTCAGCCGTTGTTGCTCCACATCACGGCTCAGGCTCTAGCCCTAACACCTCTCTGCCATTTTACTTTATTATTTTTATTTTTTTGAGACAGAGTCTCACTCTGTCACCAAGGCTGGAGTGCAGTGGGGCAATCTCAGCTCACTGCAACCTCTGCCTCCCGAGTTCAAGCGATTCTTGCACCTCAGCCTCCTGAGTAGCTGGTTTACAGGCATCTGCCACCATACCCAGGTAGGTGATTTTTGTAGTTTTAGTAGAGACAGCGTTTCACCATGTTGGCCAGGCTGGTCTTGAACTCCTGACCTCAAATGATCCGCCTGCCTTGGCCTCCCAAAGTGTTGGGATTACAGGCGTGAGTCACTGAGCCCAGCCTCTCTGCCATTTTAAACATTTCTATCAAAGGCCACAAAGGAGAAGGGGAGAGGATGTGGAGGCAGTCAGGTAAATCCTTCCCCAAAGCATGGAAAGGGTCTCCAAGCCCAGGCTGTACTAACTGAGGACCAGGAACGCCACTTTGACAAGCAGGGGGCAATACATTATAATCACGACAGGTCAGACCCATTAACTCTGCTTGAAAGGTATTTTGAAAACAGAATTTATCCCCATCACATGGGGGAAGTTGGGGGAGGACGTGCCTTCAGAGAAAAAGGGCAAACACCACAGCTCAAAAGACAAAGTTCTCTTCCAGGAGACAGACCCAGTGCCACAAGGCAAGGAGGGTCAGAGTCCTGTCCCTGAAGATAAATGTCTCCAGAACGAAGGAGGACCTTGATAAATGTGCAGTTGGAATAGACTGTTAAGTGCTTCCTTATTTATAATCTGTCCCTTTCAGAGCCAACTCAGATTCATGTCAGCGCCTTAGGTAGAAGCAGCAGCTTGCTGATTTTTCTTTAGTCAGATTTAATTCCAATTTCGGCTTCTAAATGTGTGCCACCTGCTCCATGGGCTTCCATGAGCCTGCGCTTTAACCCTCTACTCTTTTTTCCTTTCTCTCTTCTTCCTGACTCCTTTTAATTTGTCTCCTTTTTTTTTTTTTTGAGATGGAGTCTCGCTCTGTCTCTGTCACCCAGACTGGAATGCAGTGGCACCATCTCAGCTCACTGTAACCTCTGCCTCCTGGGTTCAAGTAATCTTCCAGCCTCAGCCTCCCAAGTAGCTGGCCCAAACTCCATCAAGTGGTCCTCCTGCTTTGGCCTCCCAAAGTGCTGGGATTACAGGCATGAGCCACCACGCACAGCTCTCCTCCTTTCTTTCTAAACCCAAATAGCAGGTTGCTGAGAAGGCACACTAAATAAGTAAAAAGAATCCAGTCTCAAATAAAACAGACCAAAAAAAAAAAATCCCCAAATTCATGTTTTGTGGCCCTGAAGTAATTACTAAAAAGAATCTGGTGGAGTTCACACTGATTCTGAATTTAAGGTTTAACGACGTAACCAGTGACAGCTCAAAAAAATAAATGAATAAAAGGGGAATGATAAGGCAGTTGTCTTTTTTTTCAGTCTATGAAACTTATTGTTTCATTGTGCTTCCATACACACACTTACACGTACAATCAATCTGATGCCTTCTTTTTTTTATATTAAATGGCAGTGAGCCATGAAAGACTACAGAGAATTATAAGCAGAGTCTGCCTTAAAAAAAAAACCTCCTCCAGTGACAGTAAATTGGATAAATGCTATTTTTAGATGAAATATATCTAACTGATGTCCAGATGTGATTCTACCACATGAAGAGAAAAACAAATCTATCTAAAGCGCTGAACTGTACTTGAAAACATTTTTTAAATTTTCTGGTAATAATGACTTATAATGGAAAGACTGAGACGTTTGGAACTGACCAACAGCCTCTGCAGAGGGTCCCTCTGGAGCAACATCGGCACACATGGCTCCAATATGTAGATGATCCTGAGGTTTGCATTTCTGATTTAATTGTTACTAACTCTTAGGGATTGCAACTTGCAGTATATTTTCACATGAGCATAAGGAATAAAGCAGGAATGTATTAATCCATTCTCATACTGCTATAAAGAATGACCTGAGACTGCGTAATTTATGAAGAGGTTGAATTGACTCACAGTTCTGCAGGCTTAACAGGAAGCTTGACTGGAGGGCCTCAGGAAACTTACAATCGTAGTGGAAGGCGAAGGAGAAGCAAGCACCTTCTTTACAGGGTGGGCAGGAGAGCGAGCGAGCAAAGGGGGAAGACTTAAACCATCAGATTTCATGAGAACTCACTCACTATCACGAGAACAGCAAGGGGGAATTCTGCCCCTCCTCCAATTTGACATGAGATTTGGGTGGGGACACAAATCCAAACCGTATCAAAGAAGAACAGGTATCATGACTTCTGTGCTAAGCCAGTGGGTTAAAGAACTGATATGGTTCAGCTATGTCCCCACCCAAAATTGCATCTTGAATTGTAATCCTTATAATCCCCATCATCCTGTGTTGAGGGGAAGACCAGGTGGAGGTAATTGAATCATGGGGGCTGGTTCCCCATGCTCTTCTCATGGTAGTGAGTGGGTTCTCATGAGAACTAATGGTTTTACAAGGGGCTCTTCTCCCTTCGCTCGGCGCTTCTACTTCCTGCCACCTTGTGAAGAAAGTGCCTTGCGTCCCCTTTGCCTTCTGCTATGACTGTAAGTTTCCTGGGGCCTCCGCAGCCATCTGGAATTGTGAACCAATTAAACCTTTTTTTTTTTTTTTAATAAATTACCCAGTCTCAGGCAGTTCTTACAGCAGTGTGAAAATGGACGAATACAAGAACTTTTATTTATTTATGTATTTTGAGACAGAGTCTTGCTCTGTGGCCCAGGCTGGAGTGCAGTGGTGCAATCTTGGCTCACTGCAACCTCTGCCTCCCAGGTTCAAGCAATTCTCCTGCCTCAGCCTCCTGAGTAGCTAGGACTACAGGTGCACGCCACCATGCCTGGCTAATTTTTCTATTTTTAGTAGAGACGGGGTTTCACCAATAACTTTTAGATGGTGGATATTACCAGGTCATCTGCTTGTCTGAATGATACTGTTTCTGCTCCAGACATTCTTTGAAATCCTTCTACTCATTCACTCAACAAACATCGGTCAAGCACTTACAACTTTTCAACTTCTCTTTTTGGTGCTGAGCATAAAGTGATGAGCAGAACAAACACAGCCCCTGCCCTCATGCTTACAGTCTAGTGGAATTTCTTTTGGAGCCCAGTTTGCAAATTACAAAAGAAAATCCATTTTATTACTTTAGTGACACGAATAGTGGTGTTGTGTTTGATCACAGCCTTAATCACTGAGCCCTTCCCTGAACAATGTCTGGCCATTTAAAAACAGTCAATCCCTGACATATAGATACTGAAGATAATCAAAATATAATGTGATACAGGATCTAAGAGAAGAGTTGTGAAGAAATTATTGGGCAATGATATCCTCACCTAAATAAAGGCATGGCCTGTCGAAGTGACTGTTTCTGGAGTTTATGTTCCTACCTGGGAATAAGGGTATCCCACTCAGGAATTGCAGCCAGGTGGCAGGGAGGAAGCAGGGGTGAGAGGAGTGGCAGGGAACTAGATGGAACAAGTCCAATCCAAGTCCGGGCAGGTGATAAAAGCCCTCAGTAGAAGAAGGAATGGCACTCTTATGGGGGAGTGAGACCTCAAATGAGTGTAGCTTCAGAAGAGTTGAGCCCAGAAGGTTGAATAATCTTAGCCAAGCTATGTAAGAGAATCTATCCAAAAACTAGATGGAGAAGAGTGGGAACTAGGCCTGCAAGCTGGGCACCAAACCTCAAGAGAATGGAAACATCCAAGTTACCCAAAAGAACCTGTCTGTTAGCAACTGGATAGGTTAGTTAGCCTCTCCAAGGGCCAGGGAAGGAAGGGGTCAGGCCGCATGTCTTCATGGTGCCTTGAAGCATTGGGCACTTCTGCTCTTAGTCGGAGTAGCCACAACTACTTTATTTTTATTTTTATTTTTTTGAGATACAGTCCAACTCTGTCCTCCAGGCTGGAGTGCAGTGGCACAATCTCAGCTCACTGCAGCCTCTACCTCCCAGGTTAAAGCGATTCTCCTGCCTCAGCCTCCTCAGTAGCTGGGATTACAGGCACGTGCCATCACACCCGGCTAATTTTTGTATTTTTAGTAGAGACAGGTTTTACCATGTTGGCCAGGCTGGTCTCGAACTCCTGACCTCAAGTGATCCCCTAGACTCAGCCTCCCAAAGTGCCGGGATTACAGTCATGAGCCACCGCACCCAGCCACCACCATTACTTTAAAATCTTCAAGACTACAGATGACATACTGTCTAGATGGCCCCTTCTTTGTCCCAAGAAGAAGATGAAGAAGGCAATGGATACCCATGTACTCATTATGGACAGTCAAAAAGGAATTAAGCTAGAACAGGGACTAATGACTTTATTTGACATAATTTCATAATCATTTCTCAAATATCCAGTAGCCATTTGAAGATGCATGAATATGAAAAGGGATCTTTTCATATACACTGTTCTGCAGTTTAAATTGAGTTTTTGTTTTTTGGTTTTTTTCAGCCCTAGAGATGATTTGCAGGTAGCCCTACAAACTCTTCTACTCTAGATCATTCACAAATGGCCACCTTGGACAGAAGTTTCATTACAACCTGGAGTGTATAGGCATGAATAGAGGTGATCAAACTGATGAAAACATTGGGCTTGCAACATCGGGTTCACCCACATTCTATAACTGACAAGGCTAGCCAGAGCCCCTCAAGCTGCCCCGTCAGGATAGGCTTTTAAACCTCGCAGGTCAGAAATATACTAACCATGTGGCTCCTCGAGGACTTGGGTGCTCCTCCCTTGGGGAACTCTCTGGAATTACTCTCTGGATTTCTGCCCCAACACCTGGCTTTAGACCAGTAGTTTTCAAACCTGGGATTCCACAGAACTCTGGGGGTCCCTCAGGGTCCGTGGAATGGCCTGGTGGGTGGGGCCCAGACTTCCCCCTCTGCATACATAACTGCTCCTTTTATTTTGTTAAGTTGGTTTTCTATAAAGATCCATTCAAAATTTTCTTTCATAAAACAAACAGGTCAGAGGAAGTTCTATTATACATGCATTTTTAAAGATTGGAAAGCACCATTCTAGACCAGGAGTCAGCAGTCACTTTAGCCATATGTGGGATGATCAGGGCGAGACAGTGGAGTAAGCAAATTCCTCCCATGGCTTATTAAACACAAGGCATACAGGCAAGAAAGAAGAAAAAACGGGAAATAGGAAGGTGGAAAAAGAAAGAGAAAGAAAAGGATCAGTGGCTGCGGTCATGATTTGGGGGCCTTTCGCCCCAGAAAATGCACACATGCATCTAATATCATGCAACTGAGCAATCTGAGAGGATCCATGGATGATGAGGAATCCTCTCCTCTAGGGACCCAGGTTGGAAACCATGGGAAGGCATCCATTCGTCCACAGAAAAGAGCCCCATTTGCCCCATTAGTGACATAGAGCTCGGTGCCTATTGAAAAGGAAAAGTCTGGCTTCTTGAATTTTTTTTTTTTTTTTTTTTTTTTTTTTTTGAGACAGAGTCTCGCTCTGTCGCCAGGCTGGAGTGCAGTGGCGCGATCTCAGCTCACTGCAACCTCCGCCTCCCGGGTTCAAGCGATTCTCCTGCCTCAGCCTCCCGAGTAGCTGGGACTACAGGTGCGTGCCACCATGCCCAGATAATTTTTGTATTTTTAGTGGAGACAGGGTTTCACTATGTTGGCCAGGATGGTCTCAATCTCTTGACCTTGTGATCTGCCTGCTGTCATGTTACTAGTTCCCCTTGAAAGCACAAACAATTCAGGCTTTTGCTGGAGACATTCAAAATCATCTGGCTACTGGCCAGGTGTGGTGGCTCATGCCGGTAATCCCAGCACTTGGGGAGGCCAAGCACCAGGATCGCTTGAGGCCAGGAATTCGAGACCAGCCTGGCCAACATGTTGAAACCCTGTCTCTACTAAAAATAGAAAAATTAGCTGGGCGTGGTGGTGTGTACCTGTAATCCCAGCTACTTAGGAGGCTGAGCGGGGAGAATCTCTTGAACCTGGGAGGCGGAGATTGCAGTGAGCTGAGATTGCGCCACTGCACTCCAGCCTGGGCAACAGAGCAAGACTCCATCTCAAAAAAAAAAAAAAAATCTGGTCATTTTTGTGTTCCTAACTCTGAGCAAAGCCCTCCTGGTGTCATCCTGAAGCTTCTAACACACCCTTATGTCTTGATTGTTGCTGACACTGACACTTGCGATCAGCCTTCTATTTAGAATCTTAAGACTTAGTCATCTACCAGGTGTCTTAACCCTGGCATGCTTGACCATTACCCAAAATAACCACGGCCTTTCTGGCCATCCATCCTCTCAAGCACTAACAAAGTAGTGTTTAATGCCAGCACAGGCTTTTCCCTTTAAGTACAAGCCTCACAGATCTAGCAGCTTACCACATCACCAGTTATAGGATTCAAAGACTTAAGGCCAGGCATAGTAGCTCATGCCTGTAATCCTAGCATTTTGGGAAGGCCGAGGCAGGAAGATTGCTTGAGGCCAGGAGTTCGAGACCAGCCTGGGCAACATAGTGAAACCCTGTGTCTACAAAAATAAAAAAATTAGCTGCACTTGGTAGAGCACACCTGTAGTCCCAGCTACTGGGGAGGCTGAGGCAAAAGAATTGCTTGAGCCAGGGAGTTCGAGGCTGCAGTGAGCTATGATCTTGCCACTGCACTCCAGCCTGCGCAACAGAGCAAGACTGTCTCTAAAAACAAAAAAAAAAAATTGGGCCGGGTGCAGTGGCTCATGCTTGTCATCCCAACACTTTGGGAGGCCGAGACGGGTGGATCACAAGGTCAGGAGTTCGAGACCAGCCTGGCCAACATGGTGAAATCCCATCTCTACTAAAAACACAAAAATTAGCTGGGACCAGGCGTGATGGCTCATGCCTGTAATCCCAGAACTTTGGGAGGCCAAGACAGGTGGATCACGAGGTCAGGAGATCAAGACAATCCTGGCTAACATGGTGAAACCCCATCTCTACTAAAAATACAAAAAATTAGCCGGGCGTGGTGGCACTTGCCTGTAGTCTCAGCTACTTGGGAGGCTGAGGCAAGAGAATCGCTTGAACCAAGAGGCAAGAGAATCGCTTGAACCAAGAGAATCGCTTGGGAGGCAGAGGTTGCAGTGAGCCGAGATCGCGCCACTGCACTTCAGCCTGGGGGACAGAGCAAGACTCCATCTCAAAGAAAAAAAAAATAGCTGGGCATGGTGGTGGGCGCCTGTAATCCCAGCTACTCTGGAGGCTGAGGCAGGAGAATCACTTGAAACCAGAAGGCAGAGGTTGCAATGAGCCGAGATCACGCCATGCACTCCAGCCTGGGCAACGAGCGAAACTCTGTCTCAAAAAAACAAAAAATGAAAAACCCCAAAGACACATTAAACTCAATATACCTGAAACTGGACTCTTCTTTCCTCCTGATCCATTCCTCTATCTGTCTATCTGCACTCACCACCATACACACAGTTGCTTCAGACAAAAGTTCTCTGGTTTTTTCCTTCTTTCCCCTTGACTGTTGCATCCAACAGGTGTTAGGTCTTAATGGTTTCCACGTCCTTCATAGCTAAATGCTTTAGTTCAGGTCGTCTTCATCTGCCTTCCAGATTACTACAATTTTCTAATTGGCTTACCTAATTTCACTTTTAACCCTCCACCCTGGCCCTCAATTTGCGGCCCATAACCTATCAAAATTACAAATCTGACCTTGTAACAACTTCTACTTAAAATCCTTCAGTAGATGCCCTTTGCCTTCAAAATACAACCAAACTTCTTAGCGTGGGATTTAATGCTTGTCATAAGCTGTCCTTGTGTCTCTCTACACTTGCCCCAGGCCAACACCCACAGCTCGGGCCCAGCACACTACGTGCTGTTCCCTTCTTGGACCCCCTTCTTCTTTTTGTTGCCACCTCCTCATCTTTCAAAAATATATTAGATGTTTACACCAGTACTTCTTCAGTGCCCTTCACAGATACTATCTTTTTGTTTTTTGGTTTTTTTTTTTTTTGAGACAGAGTCTCGCTCTGTCACCGAGGCTGGAATGCAGTGATGTAATCTTGGCTCTGTGCAACCTTCACCTCCTGGGTTCAAGCAATTCTCCTGCCTCGGCCTCCCCAGTAACTGGGATTACAGGCGCCCACGACCACGCCTGGCTAATTTTTGTATTTTTAGTAGTGATGGGGTTTCATCATGTTGGCCAGGCTGGTCTCAAACTCCCGACCTTGGGTAATCCACCAGCCTCTGCCTCCCGAAGTGTTGGGATTACAGGCGTGAACCATCATGCCCAGCCACAGATATGATCAGTTCTAATCCTCCCAGCAATCCCGTAGGACTTGCAGAAGCTCATAAGTTTGCCCAAGTTCACAGAGGGAGTGAGTAGCTAGCCTCAAATTTGGGCTTGCCTAACATCAGTGCTTACATGCTTTCCACGAAGCTGAGACACCTCACTTTGGAACTTCACTCAGATGTCCTCCTCTGTCAGGGGCCTCCCCTGGCCCCGCATCTCACCTGCTTATGTGGCATCCAGCCTGGAATTAACTCTAACAGCCTCGGGTACCACATGGCCGTGCAAGTGTCTGTATCTGTCAAAGGCTGTGAGCAGGCAAACATCAGGCGTTTGAATTGTCTAAGTAAAACCTGTTCACAGATGTTAAAGTTCCAGTAATATACAAAGCTAGAAATAGACCTCTACCCCCCAGCCACCTTCTTAGAGTAACCAATGTTAACCCACTTCTTGTGTGACCTTCCAGAAATTTTTATGACTATGAAAGTAGAGGTACACATATCCTTTTCCCCTCATGGATGGGCTTATTTTACACACACTTTCCTGCAACTTTTCCCCTTAAGATCACATTTTAGATATTTTTCTACTTGAACATATGTAAATCTACTTTTTTGCATAAAAAATCCATATATATTATTTTCACAACACATATACATGAAAAACTTACTGTTTTAAGATTAGAAAGTCAATCTGAGGCTGGGTGCAGTGGCTCACACCTGTAATCCCAGCACTTTGGGAGGCCGAGATGGGAGGATCACTTGAGGTCAGGAGGCGGAGGTTGCAATGAGCCGAAATCACGCCACTGCACTCCAGCCTGGGTGACAGAGTAAGACCCTGTCTAAAAAAAAAAAAAAAAAGAAAAAGAAAAAAAGTCAATCTGGAAAAAATTTATCTATATGTTGTTTGTAAGAGAAACACCTAAAACATAATAACACGATGCAGAATGATGGAAAGTCAAGGGATTCATTGAATAAAATGAGAATACATGTCCCCCCGCCGCCACTCTCTCTCTCTCTGTGCATATTTAAGTAAATAAGTGGGGGAGAAGGGAAAGTTCTGCTTTACAGAAGAAAGCCAGCTGATAAATATAGAAGGAATGACAGATGTAGAAAATTGCCAACTTGGCAACCATGATAGTATTAAATGATTCAGGCAAGAATCATAAAGTCTTCCTAAAACTAGAGGGTAAAAATTTGAGGAGTAACGGGATATTTACAATTGTCTCAAAATATCGCTCCACAAGGAAGATAATGAATTTATAATTGCAAAGAGAAAAATAATTACTTTGCAATAAAGGTATTTGACAAGTCACCAACTTAACTGAGTGATCTAAATGCCACAATGAATGGAAGCTGTCATCCGATATGATGTGTGGGGAAGGACACCGCATTATTTCTCGGTATTTGTGTCAGAAGGCATAAGCGGAATCTGATCGTGAAGAAACCTCAGACCAACCCAAATCGAGGAACATTCTTCAAAATAACCAGCCAGACCCTTAAAAATGTCAAGTTCATGAAGGACGACGAAAACACTGAGGAAGCATTTCAGATTAAAGGGAGAAGTGACAACAGAGCACGACCCGCGATTCAGGACTTTCTTTTGCTATTAAGGACGCCACTGGGACAAAACCCAATGACCTTTCAAAATTACAAATCTGATCTTGTAACTATTTCTACTTAGAATCCTTCAATAGATGCCCTTTGCCTGCAAAATACAAACCAAACTCCTTAGCATGGAATCCAGCATTTCTCATCAGCTGTCCCACCTGTATATTCTTCAGTATCTCTAAGACATAGATTGTTTGTTGTTGTTTTGTTAACGTTGCCAAAATTTCATACCAGGCTGGATGTGGGAGCCACAGAACACTCAGATGAAGCCTGTATAACAGCCGCCCCCATCATCTACGGTGTTAGGTCCATGCCTTTTTTTTTTTTTTTTTTTTTGAGGCTGAGTCTCCTCTGTTGCCCAGGCTGGAGTGCAGTGGCGCGATCTCGGCTCACTGCAAGCTCCGCCTCCCAGGTTCACGCCATTCTCCTGCCTCAGCCTCCCCAGTAGCTGGGACTACAGGCACCCGCCACCACGCCCAGCTAATTTTTTTGTATTTTTAGTAGAGACGAGGTTTCACCATGTTGGCCAGGCTGGTCTCAAACTTCTGACCTTGTGATCTGCCTGCCTTGGCCTCCCTAAGTGCTGGGATTACAGGTGTGCGCCACCACACCCGGCCCTGGGCCATGACTTTTTGAGTGAGCCTCCCTACCGCTGGGAGAGTCCTTGCTGCAGACCAGCTGAAATCTGGACTCAAAGGATACATTTCTATCACCGTAAGGATCCCCCATGTTACCCTCTTATGACCGTGTCTACTTCCCTCCCATTCCCCACTCCTTAACCCCTGGCAACCATGAGTCTATTTCTATAATTTTGTCATTTCAGGAATGTCATGTAAATAAAACTATACAGTATATAGACTTCTGCAATTGACTTTATTATTCACTCAGCATAATTCTCTCAAGAGTCATCCAGGGGTGGTTGTGTTTATCAATCGTTTGTTCCTTTTTATTGCTCAGAAGTATTCCAGATGGACCATCGTTTGTTTCACTGTTCACCTACTGAAGGACATCTGGGTGTCTAGTTTTTACTATAATGAATACAAGTAGGGTTAGTATTCATGTACATGTTTTTGTGTGAATATAGTCTTCATTTTGGGGAAATAAATGTCCAAGAGTGTGATTGCTGGATTGTATGGTAGTTGCATGTTTAATTTTTTTTTTTTTTTTTTTTTTTTTTTTTTTGGAGATGGAGTCTCCCCCTGTCGCCCAGGCTGGAGTGCAGTGGCGCAATCTTAGCTCACTGCAAACTCCACCTTCCCGGTTCAAGCGATTCTCCTGCCTCAGCCTCTGGGGTAGCTGGGATTACAGGCATGTACCACCATACCCGGCTAATTTTTGTATTTTTAGTAGCGATGGGGTTTCACTGTGTTGGCCAGGCTGGTCTTGAACTCCTGACCTCAAGTGATCCACCAACCTCAGCCTCCCAAGCTGCTGGGATTACAGGCGTGAGCCACTGTGCTTGGCTGCATGTTTAATTTTTTTTCTTTTTTTTTTTTTAATTTGAGATGGAGTCTCGCCTTGTTGCCCAGGCTGGAGTGCAGTGGCGCAATCTCAGCTCACTGCAACCTCTCCTCCTGGGTTCAAGGGATTCTCCTGCCTCAGCCTCCCGAGTAGCCGGGATTACAGGCATCTGCCACCACACCCGGCTAATTTTTTTTGTATTTTTAGTAGAGACGGGGTTTTACCATGTTGGCCAGGCTGGTCTTGAACTCCTGACCTCTCAGGTGATCCACCTGCCTCAGCCTCCCAAAGTGCTGGGATTACAAGCGTGAGCCACCGTGCCCAGCCTGCATGTTTAATTTTTAAAGAAATTGGCAAACTGTTTTCCAGAGTGGCTGTACCATTTTACATTTCCACCAGCAATGTATGAGTGATCCAGTGTCCTTGCTAGCATCTGGTGTTTTCACTGTTTTGCATTTTAGCTACTCTGATGGGCATGTAGTGGTATCTCATTGTGGCCTTAATTTGCATTTCCCTAATGGCTAATGATATTAAACATCTTTTCATGTGTTTATTTGCCATCTGTATTATCTTCTTCATGTCTTTTCTCTACCTTCTAATTGGATTTTTGCTTTTTTGACTGTTGAGTTTTGAGAGTTCTTTATATATTCCAGTACTAGTCCTTTGTCAGATATGTAGCTTACAAATATTTTCTCTACAGAAATTTGCACATAACTTGTCTTTTTATCCTCTTTAAAAAAAACTTTTATGTTAGGTTTGGGGGTACACGTGCAGGTTGGTTATATAGGTAAACTTATGTCACAGAGGCTTGTTGTACTGATTATTTTGTCACCCAGGTATTAAGCCTAGTACCCATAGTGATTTTTCTGCTCCTCCCCCCTCCTCCCACCCTCCACCCTTCACCATCAAGTAGGCCCCAGTATCTGTTGTTCCCATCTTTGTGTTCATAAGTTTTCATCATTTAGCTCCCCAACTTATACGCGAGAACATGCGATATTTGGTTTTCCGTTCCTGCATTAGTTTGCTGAGGATAATAGCACCCAGCCCCATCCACGTTCCCGCAAAAGACATGATTTCGTTCTTTTTTATGGTGGTATAGTATTCCATGGTGTATATGTATCACATTTGCTGTATCCAATCTGTCATTGATGGGCATTTAGGTTGATTCCATGTATTTGCTATTTTGAATAGTGCCGCAATGAACATATACGCATGTGTCTTTTTTTTTTTTCTTTTTTTTTGAGACGGAGTCTCACTCTGTGGCCCAGGCTGGAGCACAGTGGTGCGATCTCGGCTCACTGCAACCTCTGCCTCCCGGGTTCACGCCATTCTTCTGCCCCGAGTAGCTGGGACTACAGGCGCCCACCACCACGCCCGGCTAATTTTTTGTATTTTTAGTAGAGATGGGGTTTCACCGTGTTAGCCAGGATGGTCTCGATCTCTTGACCTCGTGATCTGCCCGCCTCGGCCTCCCAAAGTGCTAGGATCACAGGTGTAAGCCACCGCGCCTGGCCTCACATGTGTCTTTATGGTAGAATGATTTATATTTCTCTGGATATATGCCCAGTAATGGGATTGTTGAGTTGAATGGTAGTTCTGCTTTTAGCTCTTTAAGGAATTGCCATACTGCTTTACACAATGGTTGAACACTCTCACCAACAGTGTATAAGTGTTCCCTTTTCTTTCCAACCTCACCAGCATCTGTTACTTTTTGACTTTTTAATAATAGCCATTCTGACTGGTGTAAGATGGTATCTCATTTTGGTTTTGATTTGCATTTCTCTAACGATCAGCGATATTGAGCTTTTTTCATATGCTTGTTGGCTGCAGGTATGTCTTCTTTTGAACATTGTCTGTTCATATCCTTTGCCCACTTTTTAATGAGGTTGTTTTATTCTTGTAAATTTGTTTAAATTCCTTATAGATGCTGGATATTGGACCTTTGTCAGATGCATGGATTGCAAATATCTTATCCCATTCTGTAGGTTGTCTGTTAACTCTGTTGATAGTTTCTTTTGCTGTGCAGAAGCTGTTAAGTTTAATTAGATCCTATTTGTCAAGTTCTGCGTTTGTTGTGATTGCTTTTGATGTCTTTGTCATGAAATCTTTGCCAGTTCCTATGTCCAGGATGGTATTGCCTAGGTAGTCTTCCAGGGTTTTTATAATTTTGGGTTTTACATTTAAGTCTTTAATTCATCTTAAAGTTGGATTAAAGACTTTGATTTTTGTACATGGTATAAAGAAGGGGTTCAGCTTCAATCTTCTGCCTATGGCTAGCCAGTTATCCCAGCACCATTTATTGAATAGGGAGCTTTTATCCTCTTAATGAGGTCTTTTCAGAGCAAATTTTTTTATTTTGATGACATCAAGTATATCAATTTTTCCTCTTCTGGATCCCGTTTGTGGGTCAAATCTAAAATCTCTTTGCATAAGCTTAGATTCCAAATATTTTCTCCTATTTTTTCTAAACAATCTTATAGTTTTACATTTCCCATTTAAGTTCACAATCTTTTGAGTTAATTTTTGTATAAGGTGTGTGAGTTAGGCCAAGTTCCTTTTTTTTTTTTCTCCTATGAATATCCAGTTGCTCCAACACCATTTGTTGAAAAGTCTATCTTTCCTGTATTGAACTGTTCTTACATCTTGGTCAAAAATCCACTGGACATATCTGTAGGGGTCTATTTCTAGATTCTTTAATCTATTACATTAATATATGTGTCTAATGTGTCTCTCTCTTCGCCAGCACTACACAGTCTTGATTACTGTAGCTTCAGAGTAAGCCTTGAAATTGGGTAGACTGATTACTCCCCCATTACTCTTCTTATTCAAAATTGTTTTAGCTTTTCTTTTTAAAAATTTCTAATGATCACTTTTATTTAGAAGCCCTGCATCTCTTTGTTTTGATCAAAAGTCACATAGCCTTACATCAGCATATTTTAAAAAAATTCTACCTAAAAGATAGTTCTATTTTTAAAATAACAAATAAATATATAGTTAGCTTGGAGAGACCTGGGGTAACTGACGTTGTCTAACAACTTTCATGATTATTTCTCTGCAAATGCTCTGCTGCTGCCATCGGAGTCCCTATGCTTCCTCTTGCAGAGGCCAACAGTTCTTCAATCTCAGCATTTAATTTGTGTATTACCCATTCCATTGCTTCTCAGCCTTGCCATCAGTCCTTCAAGGTAACTGCTGAGGCTGACTCCTTTCACAGTGATTATGGCTTCTTGAGTCAAAATAGTTTTTTTTCTGTCCCGAGGATGTGGCTTTTCTATAAGTCTCTCATCTACTGAAACCTTATTTGTAAATGAAATGTTAGTAGATTTAAGTTCCATTGTTTTCTCTACATGATCAACTACAGAATGTTCTTGCACATATGTTTTGGTTCTTGCTGCACCAATTAGAGACTTCACAATGGAAGCAGCCCCCTCTCTGTGCTGAGAAGGGAACCAGAGGGATCTATATGTCTGTCCAACACATCAACTCCAACCACACTCAGGCTCATAGAGTTTGGATATTTCTGCATTGCAACTGTTGTAACAATTTCCCACAGGTGGTCAAAGACGTGTGCCAAAGTCCATAACTTCATGGTGCTGGCAGCCTGTGGTGCTAGGGGACAATGAGGCAAAGAGGCTACACCTGCCCCTGACCCACCCCAAGCATCCCAGCCAGCCACACAGTGACAGACACCGTTGAGCCTGATGCAAGGGATGTCCCAACGCACTGCCTCATGCCCTATCCCAGCCCGGGTTTTGCCCCTTAGCTTTTTGTTTGGACTTTCCATATAAATTCCAGAATAATCTTGTCTACAGCTACCAAAAGATCTTGCTGAGTTTTTAATGGGAATTACATTAAACCACTATATCTATTTGGGGAGAACTGATATCTTTACTATGTTGAGTCTCCAATCCACCAACACGGACTATTATTCCCTTTATTTAGATCTTGTTATTTTTCATCACATTACATAATTTACAGCATAAATGTCCTGTACTTGTCTTGTTAGATTTATACCTATTTCATATTTTTGAGCGATTGTTAATATTACATTTTTAATTTAGATGTCCACGTGTTCATTGCTAGTTTGTAGAAATATAATTTTTTTCATATGTTCATCTCATGTCATGCAACCTTGTTGATCTCACTTATTGGTTCCATGAGGTGTTTTTTTTTTTTTTTTTGGCAGATTCTTCTGGATTTTCGATGTGGTCAATTACATCATCTGCAAATGGGGATAGTTTTATTTCTTTCTTCCCAAACTGTATGCCATTTACTTTCTTTTCTTACCTTATTGCACTGGCTAGGACTTCCAGCACTATGTTCAATAAAAGTGATAAAAGCAGCGTCCTTTCCGTGTTCCCAACTTTAGGGGGAAAGCTTCAGTCTTTCATGATTAAGTAAAATGTTAGCTGTAGGTCTTAAATCTGTAGGTCTTAAATCTGTGATTTTATTTTTTGTTTTCTGTTTGTTCTATTTTTTCATATAGATGCTCTTTATCAAGTAAGGTGGTCTCTTTCTAATCCTGTTTTTCTGGGAGTTTTTATCATGAATAACTGTTGAATTTTGTTAAATGCTTTTTCTGAATCTATTGATATTATTATGTGATCTTTCTTCTTTAGCCTGTTAATATAGTGGAGGTCACTGACTGATTTTTGAATGATGAACCAGGCTTGCATCCCTGAAAAAAACTCTGCTTAGTCTTAGTGTGTACATTTTTTACAATATAGCTGAATTCTACTTGCTAATATTTTATTAAGGAATTTTGTATCTATATTCACTAATGATTTTGGTCTGTAGTTTTCTTTTCTGTGTTGTCTTTGTCTGGTTTTGGTATTAAGGTAATATCGGCATTATAAAATATTGCCAATATTGGGAAGTGCTCGCTCCTCTTGTATTTTCTGAAAGAGAGAATGTAGAATTGGTTTAATTATGAGACAGGGTCTTGCTCTGTTACCCAGGTTGGAGTGCAGTGGTGTGACCTTAGCTCACTGCAACCATTGCCTCCCCGGTTCAGGTGATTCTTCTGCTTCAGCCTCCTGAGTAGCTGGGACCACAGGCTCATGCCACCATGCCCGGCTAATTTTATATATGTATATTTTGTAGAGATGTGGTTTTGCCATGTTGCGCAGGCTGTTCTCGAACTCCTGGGCTCAAGTGATCCGCCTGCCTCAGCCTCTCAAAGTGCTGGGAGTACAGGCGTGAGCCACTGCACCCAGGCAAGAATTGGTTTAGTAATTCTTTAAGTGTTTGGTAGAAATCTCCAGTGAAACAACTTGGGCCTGGAGATTTCCTTTTAGGGAGTTTTAAAATTATAAGTTCAATTTCTTTTTAGTTGTAGGGTTACTCAAATTATCTATTTCCTATTGAAGAGTTGTGGTACTTTGTGTTTTTCCAGGAATTGGTCCATTTCATCTAGATTGTCATATTTATAATATTTAGAGTTGTTCGTAGTATTCCCTTATTATCCTTTTGATGTCTGCAGTGTCTATAGTGATTTCACCTATTTCCTTCCTGATATTGACAATTTGTGTCTTTCTTTCCTACTTTGTCAGTCTTGCTAGAGGTTTGTCAATTTTATTGATCTTTTCAAAAAATCAGATCTTTGGTTAATTGATTTTTCCATTTGTGTGTGTGTTCAATGTCATTGATTTTTGTTCATTATTATTTTCTTCTCACTTTGGATTTATTTTGCTCATCTTTTACTACGTTCTTACAGGGGGATCATAGATTGATTTTGGACTTTTCCTCTTTTCTAACATATGCATTTAGTGCTATATATTTCCTTCTCGGTATTACTTTGGCTGCGTTCCACAAATTTGGACACATGGTATGTTTATTTTCACCCAGTTCAATGTATTTTTTAATTTCCCTTGAGATCTCTTTTTTGACTCCTTTGTTATTTAGATGTGTGTTCTTTAGTTTGAAGATTTTCCTGTTATCTTTCTCCAGTTTTAACTGGATATGTGTATATCTCCTTTCAGTTCTATCAGTTTTACTTCATGTGATTTGCAGCTCTGTTGTTTGGTGCATACACATTTAAGATTGCTATGTCTTTTTGGTGGATTGACCCTTTTATCATTATATAATGGCTCTCTCTGTCTCTGGAAATTTTCTTTGCTCTGAAGTCTGCTTTATCTGATATTAATACAGCCACCCTTGCTTTCTTTTGATTAATGTTTGCATGACATATTTTTCTATCCTTTTGCTTTTAACCTTCCTATATCATTATATTTGAAGTGAGTTTCTCATAGACAGTATACAGTTGGGTTGTGTTTTAAAATCCACTCTGCCAATCTCTCTCTTTTAAAGTTGACCTGCTTCTACCACTTACATTTAATGTAATTATTGATGTGTTAGGCCTTAAATCTCTGATTTTATTTTTTCCTTTCTGTTTGTTCTATTTTTCATTTCTCTGTTTTCTTTCTTCTGCTTTCCTGTGGGTTACTCATACTTCTGTTAAAATTTCATTTTATCTACAGCATTTTGGATAACTTTTGAAAAGCTTTGTATAGCTTTTTAGGTAGTGCTGTAGGTATTACATTATATATACATAACCCATTATAGTCTACTAGTGTCATTATTTTGCCAGTTTAAATGAAATATAGAAATTGTGTTTCCCTTTAAATCCTGTTGCCCTCCACTATTTATAATACAATTGTCTTAATATTTCCTCTGCATACTTTTAGAACCATATAAAACATGTCATTTTTACTTCAACTATTAAATATATTTTTAAAAAACTGAAGAATAGGTTGGGCACGGTGGCTCACGCCTGTAATCCTAGCACCTTGGGAGGCCGAGGCAGGCAGATCACTTGAGGTCAGGAGTTCGAGACCAGCCTGACCAACATGGTGAAACCCCATCTCTACTAAAAAAAACAAAAATTAGCCTGGCATGGTGGTGGGCACCTGTAATCCCAGCTACTTGGGAGGCTGAGGCAGGGGGAATTGCTTGAATTCGGGAGGGAGAGGTTGCAGTGAGCCAAGATTGTGCCATTGCACTTCAGCCTGGGTGACAGAGCGTCTCAAAACAAAACAAAACAAAACAAAAACTGAAGAATAGAAGGAAAAACTATTGTGTTTACTCTCCCCCTTTTTTGCTTATTGTATTCTTTCTGATGCTCCAAGTTTTCTTTTATCACTTCCTTTTCTGATGCTCCAAATTTCCCTCTTCTGTTTTTTCATTTGTTTAGAGAACTTCCTTTAGCCATTCTTTTAGAGTAATTCTGCTGGTGAAAAATTTAGTTTTTCTTCATCTGAGAATATCTTGGTTTCCTCTTCATTTCTGAAGAATATTTTTACTAACTATAGGATTCTGGATTGACAGTTCTTTTCTTTCAGCACTTGAAAAACACTGTACCACTTACTTATGGCCCCCATGGTTTCTGATAAGAAATCCACTGTCATTCAAATAGGTTTTTTCCCTGGGTGTTTTTTTTTTTTTTTTCCTGGCTGCTTTTAAGATTTTTCTCTTGGTCTCTGGGTTTCAGAAGTTTCATTATAATGTGTCTTGGTATAGATTTATTTGGGCTTTGTCTTCTTTGAGGTTTGCCCATCTTCTTGTCTCTTACCAAATTTGAGACGTTTTCAGCCATTATTCCTTTGGGTACTTTGTTGTTAAGATTGAGTACTTTTTATTATTCTATCTTCCTTCCACTGATTTTTTTCTCTGTTCCCTCTCTATCCTGGTATTATGTCCAACCACTGACTTTTTAATTTCAGTTATTGTGTTTAAGTTTTAAAATTTTCATTTGGTTCATCTTTATATATTATATTTGTTTCCTGAGGCTGTCTACTTTCTAATTTGTTTCAAGTGTGTTCAGAATTGCTTTTGAAGCATTTTTGTAATGGCTGCTTTGACATCTTTGTCATATAATTCTAACATCTCTGTCATCTTGGTATTGGCATTTATTGATTGGCTTTTCTTCATTTCATTTGAGAACTTCCTGGCTCTTGGTATGATTAGTGATTTTCAGTTGAAACTTGGACATTTTTGGGCCAGGCACGGTGGTGCATACCTGTAACCCCAGCACTTTGGGAAGCCAAGGCGCATGTATCACCTGAGGTCGGGAGTTTGCGACCACCCTGACCACCATGGAGAAACCCCGTCTCTACTAAAAATACAAAAAATTAGCCAGGCACAGTGATGCATGCCTGTAATCCCAGCTACTCGGGAAGCTGGGGTAGGAGAATCACTTGAACTCAGGAGGCGGAGGTTGCGGTGAGCCGAGATCGCGCCAGCCTGGGCAACAATAGCAAAACTCCGTATCACAAAAAAAAAAAAAGAAAGAAAGAAACTTGGACATTTTTATAAGGCTATTAATTTTACGTTAACTCTTTATTTTAGCTGGCTTTTTTTGACATTACTCCAGCAGAGGAGGAAAGACACCAACCCATTACTGACAGGTGCAGGTAGAAGACTAGGTTCACTCAGCCTCTGTTGGCATCTTAGTTACACTTCTCATTATGGCTGGGCAGATGTTGGCATTCTGGCTCCCCAGGTGGTCTCCACTGACACTGAGATGGGGGTTGCCTTATTACCATTGGATGATGGTAAAAGTCTAGACTCTCCGCTAGTCCTACTCTGATACCACTGAGCAGGAATGAAGAGGAGCACTTCATTACTGCCTTTTGGGGGTGCAAGTGTAGGCTTCCCACATGGTCTCCACTGATACCATGGGGGCCAGGTGGAGAGTGGACTTATTATTGACTCTCTACTTGGCCTTCTCTGACACAACCCTGGTGGGTGAGGTGCCGCATTATAGCCTCATAAGGGTGGAATCGTAGGCTCCCCACTCAGCCTTTGTTGGCATGGGTGGGGGCCAAAGCGTTTGCTGTGGTGTTTGGCTGAGTAGAGCAGTTATTGTCTGTATTAGTCTTCTCAGGCTGCTACAACAAAATATAGACTGGTGGCTTCAACAACAGACATTTATGTTTCTCAGTTTTGGAAGTTAGGGAGTCTAAGGTCAAGATGCTAACCAATTTGGTTCCTGGCAAGGGCTCTCTTTCTGGGTTGCAGATGATCAGCTTCTTACTGTGTCTTCACATGGCAGAGAGAATGATCTCTCTCCACTCCTCTTTTTTTTTTTTTCTTGATAGGGTCTCATTCTGTCTCCCAGGCTGGAGTGCAGCAGGCCACAATCTTGGCTCACTGTAACCTTCACCTCCTGTGTTCAAGCGATTCTCATGCCTCAACCTCATCCCAACGAGTAGCTGGGATTACAGACGTGCACCACCATGCCCGGCTAATTTTTGTATTTTCTGGTAGAGACGGGGTCTCACCATGTTGGCCAGGCTGGTCTTGAACTCCTGACCTCAAGTGATCTTCCCACCTCGGCCTTCCAAAGCGCTGGGATTACAGATGTGAGCCACTGCACCCAACCCCATCATTCTTCTTATAAAGCTGCTGATTCCATCATGAGGGCCTTATTCTCATTACTTCATCTAACCCTAATTATCTCCCAAAGGCCCCATCTCCAAATACAATTACACTGGGAGTTAAGGCTTCGACATGAATTTTGGGGAGACACAATGCAATCCATAGTGATGTTTAAAACTTCTCTATCTTGCTAGGCTGCCTCTTCCATGGTTCTTTGGCTAAAGACAGCAGGCTTTGGTTGGGCTTTTTCGACTACTCCTGTTGGCATTTCCAGGTTGCTACCTTTTTCAACTCCAAGTCTGGTGTATATGAGTCAAAAATAAAAACAAAGTAAGTCACTGCAATGTTGTTCTTCAGGTCCTGCAGTCCATAGACATTCTGCCCTCCTTTTCTTCCCCCCCTTTCAGAGTCTTCTCATGTTTGTTTAATATATAATATTCAGGGTTTTGGGTTGTACTTAATGGAAGGAATAGGGAAAAGTACATCTACCAGAAGGAAAGAAAATATGCTTTTTCTTTCTAGGAGAAAAAGGAAAAAGTTTGGGGTACTATATGTTTGTCTATATAGACAAATATATCATAAACCCGTTACTAGGCATTATCTACCTATTATTTGCCATTAAGAGACATTTAGGGCCAGGCACGGTGGCTGACACCTGTAATCCCAGCACTTTAGGAGGCTGCGGCAGGAGGATTGCTTGAGCCCAGGAGTTCAAGACCAATCTGGGCAACATAGACTCTATCTCTACAAAAATTTTAAAGTTAGCTGGGTGTGGTGGTGCACGCCTGTCATCCCAGCTACTCAGGAGGCTGAAGTGGAAGTATCACTTGAGCCCAGGAGTTTGAGGCTGTAGTGAGCCATGATTATGCCACTGCACTCCAGAAAAAAAAGAGAGAGACATTCATTGGCCCATACACTCTACTTGATATATTTACACACAGACACACATACACATACAAAGTATTTCTTTAAAAATAAAAATTATAGGCCAGGCGCAGTGGCTCATGCCTGTAATCCCAGCACTCTGGGAGGCAGGCAGATCACGAGGTCAGGAGATTGAGACCATCCTGAGCAACCTGGTGAAACCCTGTCTCTACTAAAAAAACAAAAATTAGTTGGGCGTGGTGGTGCGTGCCTGTAATCCCAGCTACTCAGGAGGCTGAGGCAGGAGACTCGCTTGAACCAGGGAGTTGGAGGTTGCAGTGAGCTGAGATCACACCACTGCACTCCAGCCTGGCAACAGAATGAGACTCCGTCTCAAAAAATAAATAAATAAATAAATAAATAAATAAATAATAAATAAATAAAAATTATATTCTCTCAAAAATCACCAGCAAAAAATATGTAAACAAAATGGGCTCTTCCTAATGAATTAGAACACCAAGTTCAATGAATTATATATCTTATGTGTCTTCCAAACCTCTTTTTGCAGAAAAGTAAATTAACATTACATATTTGTAAAATTCAAATTTCTTATTCTATTTGGTCTTACTGAGGCCTGAACTAAAGAGTAGTACAGGCTATCCTTGTTTGCTTTAGGCCAGTAGTTCTCAAAGTATGGTCCATGGGCCTTGATCGTATGTCCGCAAAATTAAAACTATTTTCACAATAATACTAAGATGTCTTTTGCCTTTCCTTTGTATTAAAATTTGCACTGATGTTACACAAACAATGATGTGTTTGTTGTGACGTTACACAATTTGCACTGATATTACACAAACAACAGTGTGATGTTACACAAACACTGATGGTTTAGCAGGCATCAGGGTAGTGGCACCAAACGGTCGTAGTGTGAAAGATCCAGTGGTTTAAGAGAATGGAAAGACAAGCCACATATTTTCTCTGCAGATTGGGAGAAAATATTTGCAAAACACATATCTGATAAAGAAAAAAAACATAACAAGGCAGGAGGATTTCTTGGGGCCAGAAATTTGAGACCAGTCCGGGCAACATAGTAAGACTTATCTCTACAGAAAAATTTGAAAATAAAAAATAAAATAAAATAAAAATTAGCCAGGCATGGTAGTGCACATCTATAGTCCTAGATACTCAGGAGGCCAAGGCAGAAGGATGGCTTGAGCCTAGGAGTTCACAGCTGCAGCGAGCTATGATTTCACCACTGCACTCCAGCCTGGGCAACAGAGTGAGACTGTCTCAAAAAAGAAAAGAAAACAAAAATTAAATAGCACACTTATCTGATAAAAGACCAGTATCCAATATACACAAAGAACTCTTAAAACCTTAAATCTCAGCAGTAGCAAACAACCAAATTTTAAAAATGGGCAAAAGAGTTGAAAAGCTACCTCCCCCAAGAAAATACAGATGGTAGGCTGGACATGGTGGCTCACGCCTGTAATCCCAGCACTTTGGGAGTCCAAGGCGGGCAGATCATTTGAGGTCAGAAGTCCAAGACCAGCCTGGCCAACATGGTGAAACCCTGTCTCTACTAAAAATAAAAATTAGCCCTTTGTGGTGGTGCGCACCTGTAGTCCCAGCTACTTGGGAGGCTGAGGCAGAAGAATCACTTTTACCTGGGAGGCGGAGGTTGCAGTGAGCTGAGATTGTGCCATTGCACTCCAGCCTGGGCAACAGAGTGAGACCCTGTCTCAAAAAAAAAAAAAAAAAAGAAAGAAAGAAAATACACAGATGGCAAATAAACATGAAAAGATACTCAGCATCATATGTCACTGGAGAATTGCAAATTAAAACAACAATGAGATACTACTATACTCATATTAGAATGGCTAAAATCCAAAAACCTATTAATACCTAATGCTGGCAAAGATGTGGAGCAATAGAAACTCTCATTCATTGCTAGTGGGGATGCAAAATAGTGCAGCCACTTTTGAAGACAGTTTGGCAGTTTACATTTCTTTTAAAGCTAAATGTATTCTTACCATCTGACCCAGCAATCATACTCCTAGGGTTTTACCAAAAAGAGTTGGAAACTTAGCCCACACAAAAATCTGCACACAAATGTTTATAGTAACTTTATTCATAATTGCTAAAAACTAGAAGCAACCAAGATATTTTTCAAAAGGTGAATGAATAAACTGTAGTATATTCATACAGTGGAATAGTCAGTGAGCAAAATTAATGAGCATTCAATCCACAAAAAGGAACATTAAATGCATATTGCTTAGTGAAAGAAGCCCATCTGAAAAGTCTATGTGTTGTATGATTCCAATTACAGCTGACCCTGGAACAACACAGGGGGGTAGGTGTGCAGTTGAAAATCTGAGTATAACTTTTAAGTCCCCAGTAACATAACTACTAATCGTCTTGTGTTGACCAGAAGCCCTACTGGTAACATAAGCAGTCAATTAACATGTATTTTCTAATATATATATATATATAATATACTGTATTCTTAAAATAAAGAAAAAATATTAAGAAAATCATAAGGAAAGGCCGGCTGGGGGCAGTGGCTCACACCTGGAATCCCAACGTTTTGGGAGGCCAAGGAAGGAAGATTGCTTGAAGCCAGGAGTTCAAAACCCACCTGGGCAATATGGTGAGACCCCTTCTCTACAAAAAAAAAAAAAAAAAAATTGTCCAGGTGGACTGGCACGCACCTGTAGTCCTAGCTACTCGGGAGGCTAAGGCAGGAGGATTGCTTGAGCCCAGAAGGTTGAGGCTGTAGTGAGACAAGATTGTACAATTGCACTCCGGCCTCAGCAACAGAGTTAGATCCCGTCTTTTAAAAAATAAGAAAAAAGAAAATCAAAAGGAACAGAAAATATATTTACTATTTATTAAGTGGAACTGGATCATCACAAGGTTTTTATCCTTGGCCTAGAGGGTAGTGCATACCTGCAGTCCCAGCTACTCAGGAGGCTGAGGTGGGAGAATTCCTTGAGCCCAGGAGTTTGAGGCTGCAGTGAGCTACGATCATGCCACTGCACTCCAGCCTGGGCAACATAGCAAGACTTCCACCTTAAAAAAAAATGAATAAATAAAATAAAGGTCTTTATCCTTGTCTTCACGCTGTGTAGGCTGAGAAGGAAGAGGAAGAAGAGGGTTGGTCTTGCTGTCTCAAGGGTTGCAGGGGCAGAAGAGGTAGAGGAAGTGGGAGCGGTGACAGGAGAGGCAAGCACATTCTGTGTAACTTTCATTGAAAAAAATCTTGGCCAGGTGCAGTGGCTCACGCCTATAATCCCAGCACTTTGGGAGGCCGAGATGGGCGGATCACCTGAGGTCAGGAGTTCAAGACCAGCCTGGCCAACATGGTGAAACCCCATCTCCACTAAAAATATTAGCTGGGCATGGTGGCACGCCTGTAGTCCCAGCTACTCGGGAGGCTGAGGCAGGAGAATCACTTGAACCCAGGAGGCGGAGGTTGCAGTGAGCCGAGATCACGCCACTGCACTCCAGCCTGGAGATAGAGCGAGACTCTGTCTCAACACAAAAAAAAATCTTGTGAAAGAGGACCTGTGCAGTTAAAACTCCTGCTGTTTAAAGGTCAAGTGTATATGATGTTCTAGAAAAGGCAACCTATAAAGATAGTCAAAAGATCAGTGGTTGCCAAGGGTTCAGGGGAAGAAGAGAAGGGCTGAATAGGAGGAGCACAGGGAGGGTTTAGGGCAGTAAAATTATTCTATAGGTTACTGTAATAGTGGACACATATCATTATACATTTGTCCAAACCCATGGAACTGTATATCACAAATAATTAATCCTAATGTAAACTATGAGCTTTAGTTTAATAATCATGTACAGTATTATTGATTCATCAATTGTTAACAAATGTGCCACATTAATGCATGATGTTAATATAGGAAAATGTGGCGAAAGGGGGCACATAAGAACCCTCCAAATGGTCTCATTTTCTTTAAACCTAAAATTGCTCTAAAAAAAAATAAAATCTATTAGTTTAAAAAAAAATCCACTGAAAGGATTTTAATTTCCACATTGCAACTAACCTTTAAGAAACTAACACTTAATTGCTGGGCGTGGTGGCTCACACCCATAATCCCAGCACTTTGGATTGAGGCGGGTGGATCATCTGAGGTCTGGAGTTCAAGACCAGCCTGGCCAACATGGTGAAACCTTGCCTCTGCTTTAAAAAAGCATAAAATAAAATAAAATAAAAAGAAAGAAAGAAAGGAAAAAAAAGAAAAATTAGCCAGGAGTGGTGGCGCATTCCTGTAATCCAGCTACTTGGGAGGCTGAGGCACAAGAATCACTTGAACCATTGTACTCCAGCCAGGGTGATAGAGGGAAACCCTGTCCAAAAAAAAAAAAAAAAAAAAACAGAAATGTTTATTTTGGCTGGGAGTGGTGGCTCACACCAGTAATCCCAGCACTTTGGGAGGCTGAGGCAGGTGGACCACTTGAGGTCAGGAGTTCAAGACCAGCCTGGCCAACATGGCAAAACCCCATCTCTACTAAAAATACAAAATTTATCCGGGCGTGGTGGCACACACCTGTAGTCCCAGCTACTCGGGGGGCTGAGGCAGGAGAATCACTTGAACCTGGGAGGTGGAAGTTGCAGTGACCTGAGATCCTACCACTGTACTCCAGCCTAGGTGACAGAGCAAGACTTCATCTCAAAAAAAAAAAAAACTCCACTTGTCAAGTTTTGGTCTGGGATCAAAGCAGAATATCCATAATTATTTGAAAAGGCTGTTAAAATATTCCCTTTTACAACTACATATCTGTGTAGGGGCAGGTTTTTTTCATATATTTCAACCAAAGCAACATATTACAGCAGACTGAAGAAGCAGATATGAGACTCCAGCTGTCTTCTAAAGTCAAACAGAATCCAAAACAATCTCTCTCTTCTTATTAAACTTTTTTTTTTTTGCTACAGAAAATAGTTATTTTTCATTAAAAATGGTATTTATGTTAACATATAATGATTTATTGGTTTGGGGTTTTTTCATTTGTTTGTTTTTTGAGACAGGTCTCACTCTGTTGCTCAGGCCGGATCGCAGTGGTGTGACCACAGCTCACTGCAGCCTCGACCCCCGCCAAGCTCAGGTTTTCCTCCCACCTCAGCCTCCTGAGTAGTGGGACCACAGGGGCATGCCAAGACACCCGGCTAATTTTTTTTTTGAGACCGAGTCTCGCTCTGTCGCCCAGGCTGGAGCGCAGTGGCATGATCTCTGCTCACTGCCAAGCTCCACCTCCCGGGTTCACGCCATTCTCCTGCCTCAGCCTCCTGAGTAGCTGGGACTACAGGCGCCTGCCACCATGCCCGGCTAATTTTTTGTATTTTTAGTAGAGACAGAGTTTCACCGTGTTAGCCAGGATGGTCTCGATCTCATGACCTCATGATCCACCCGCCTTGGCCTCCCAAAGTGCTGTGATTACAGGCGTGAGCCACCGTGCCCGGCCGACACCTGGCTAATTTTAAAAATTTTTTTGTAGAGACGGGATTTTGCCATGTTGCCCAGGCTGGTCTCAAATTCCTGGGCTCAAGTGATTCTCCCACCTCGGCCTCCTAAAGTGCTGGGATTACAGGAATGAGCCACCATCGTGCCTGGCCCTATTGTTATTTTTAAACGAATAAATAAATAAGCATTTTTAAATGTCTCAGCTCTAATTTCTTATGCAGTAAGTATTGATAAATATAATCACACAAACAAAAGCTCTTTGGGGTCTTCGAATAAGGGTGTTCATGAGATGCAAAAGTTTGAGAATCACTGCCCTCAGCCCATGTGGTCTGCTTAAACTTTCATTTTTAGGCTACTTTCAGGACCATTTAACAAGTGATACACTTATAGCAACTACCTCTAATAGTTACAGAGAAGCTGCCAATATTCAGAAAGTGGCCATCAGAGGTCTGGGTGTATGCAAAAAGTATGTGTGTTAAGCATATCTTTATTCAAGCGTGAATTTGGAATTTGTTCAATTTTCATTCTCCCGTTATCTTCCTTTAAAATGAAACATTCCAAAGAATATAATAAAACATGAAGGTAAATAAAAAAACACTGCAAGTCAAATTTATGGTGTGGGAACATAAGGCTTGCTATTACAGCTTTTAATGGCAGATAGTTTACAATAAACATTGGGCTTAGCCTGGTAGAAAATAGTCACAGACAGGAGGTAATTACTTGTCCATCTCCAAGCATCAGAAACTAGGGAGTCCCTCCAGTTGAATAACGCAGATCTGCCAACTGTCCCTCATTTGGACTAACGCCTTTTTTGTTGTTTTAATTAAATTGGGGGGTAGCGGGGGAAGAACAGAAGATAAACCTCCCTCTGAATGCGCTAAAATTCCATGGATGGATAAATCCATGACCCATCCTTCTACACGGTCTTTATTAGTCTTGAGTAAATCACATAGACTCCCATAAATAGAGTCACTGAGGGAGCGGAATGTATATGTGCTGGAAAAGGCTGGGTGCCAGCAAATCTGAATGTTACAGTGAGAGTTCTAGAAACAGCGAGAGAAAAGCAGCTAGATCCCCATGCAGATAACCAGGATATAAATGGACCTTTCAATGAGCCTTGCATCACCACATATGAAGTAATAAATACACCCAAACAGAGATAAAAACAGGAAGAGCAAAATTATGCATAAATTCTGTCGTTAAGATATGTGGGCAGCATGGCCCAAAATAGAAACCAAGCAGCTTTCCAGAGACTTGAAGGTTTTAGATAAAATATAATCGCTGTAATTATCATTTAATCCTGTTCCCTCAAGCTTTTGTCAGAAACTGTTACCTACCTCTGGTTATTTGGGGACAGTGGAGCTTCTCACAGAAATATACTTGAAACTGATTGTCACAAGCACACAATCTAATTAAGTTTTTTACATGTAGAAAAACGAACTGTGGCAAAAATCAAGGTTATGTATGTGTAGGGAGAATAACTAAAATACAAATGACATGCATATTTTCTGTTCATCTCTTATATGCTTCACAAATAACTTACATTTATGTTTGCTTTATAAATACTTCCAATTAAAGGGTAAATTAGCATCAACTCTTAAATCATTATCTAAGCATTCACCTGTTATTATTAATACCTTAGATTAGTTCAAATCAAGGACTCTCACTCTATGTACTTATCCAAGGGTGTTTTCTTAAAATGAAGAATGTGGGTAAGAGTAATTTTGCTTTTTATTTGCAATATCATTTCATTGGCTAAGAGGTTGCCCCAGTGCTACAATGTAAGCTTCCGTCTCATTTTGCAGTGAATGAAAACATTTTTCCTTACATAGTTGTGTATAGCAGAACTAGTATCTATCCCATGGTGATGCTAGTAAGCCTGACTCACAACTTCAAAAAGAACTTTGAAATAAATTATATGGATCTTATGAACTGTAATAATCTTTAATTTCAACTTCATTATGAAAATTTATGGCTGGGAGTCGTGGAATCGTGCCTATACTTTGGGAGGCTGAGGTGGGTGGATCACTAGAGCCCAGGAGTTCGAAACCAGCCTGGGCAGCCTGGTGAAACCCTGTCTTAAAAAAAAAAAATACAAAAATTAGCCGGGTGTGGTGGTGCATGCCTGCAGTCTCAGCTACTCGGGAGCTGAGGTGGGAGGATCACCTGAGCTTGACTGGGAAGGTCAAGGCTGCAGAGAGCCATGATCGTGTCACTGTACTCCAGCCTGGGTGACAGAGTGAGACCCTGTCTCAAAAAAAAAAAAAAAAAATCACAAGTGCCTCACCCAAAATAAATAATAAAGTGGAAAGTGAGAAAATGAGTAACATTTAAAAGGGGAACAGAGGTGGGACTTCTGAATTACTTTTCCTTCTGGTACCAGTGTTGACTGTCATCAGTTTCACAATGTCTAAGGCAAGGTAAGGACAGGTTGAGTATCCCTTATCTGAAATGCTTGGGATCAGAAGTGTTTCGAATTTCAGATATTTTTCAGATTTGGGAATATTTCTGTATACAAAATGAGCTATCTTGAGAATAGAATTAAGTCTCAACACGAAATTCATTTATGTTTCATATACACCTTATTCACATACCCTGAAGGTAATTTTATTCAATATTTTTAATGATTCTGTTCATGGAACAATGTTTTGACTGAACCCATCACATGACGTCGAGTGTGGAACGTTCCCCTAGTGGTGTCATGCTGGCGCTCAAAAAGTTTCGGATTTTGGGCCGGGCGCGGTGGCTCACGCCTGTTATCCCAGCACTTTGGGAGGCCGAGGCGGGCGGATCACGAGGCCAGGAGATCAAGACCATCCTGGCTAACACGGTGAAAACTCATCTCTGCTAAAAATACAAAAAAATTAGCCGGGCGTGGTGGCGGGCTCCTGTAGTCCCAGCTACTGAAGAGGCTGAGGCAGGAGAATGGCGTGAACCTGGGAGGCAGAGCTTGCAGTGAACTGAGATCGTGCCACTGCCCTCCAGCCTGGGCGACAGAGCAAGACTCTGTCTCAAAAAAAGAAAAAAAAAAAAAGTTTCGGATTTTGAATTTTTGGATTAGGGATGCTCAACCTACATGATGGTATTAGGCCAACATTTTAGAAACCAGTAAAACTCGATATTGAATATGATGAAGTCATATTCCTTGGTGGTGTATGTCTGTAATCCCAGCTACTCGGGAGGCTGAAATGGGAGGATGGCTTGAGCCCAGGAGGTCAAGGCTATAGTGATCTGTGTGTCACTGCCCTTCAGCCTGGGCAACAGAGCGAGACCATCTGAAAAAAAAAAAAGTCTTGGACTTATCTAAAAGATGTATTCTGAAGCCTCACAAGCAGAATATAGCTCACGAGTGGGTTTTATTTGACTCTTACAGTGTTTTTCTAAAAATCAAACTAGTTGCCAACATTCACAAAACAGGGTTTTTCACAAAAACCAAAACAAACAAAAACCCAAATTTGCGACTTCTTTGAGAAATTGGAAGGACTGGACTTGCATTGCATCCTCCCCGCATAGCTAGGAGGAGCTTGGGCCAGAGCCCCCACCTAACCCACACTACTCACATGCATTACCTGCTCTGAACTCAGATATATCTGAGTGTGAGACCCTGTTAATGGGTCACTCTGGCTTAGGCTGTGCATCAATGAGACTCATCAGACTCAAGTGTTTGCTTCTTTGGGGCCCCTCCCTGTACCCTCTAATTAAACTCTATATTCAGTATAGGGTGTCAGGTCCCAGTTGGGTCTAAAATGGGAGGCATTTACAGCCATGGTCCCGGACCAGAATCACTTCAATGTTTTCACTGATCTGAAGATTTTCTTGGCAAGTAAGGGTTCAGAGAAGTTTGTTGAAGTTTGTGTCTAAGCTAGGTTAAGCGGAGGAATGTGTCTCAATTCAAAATGAGAGCAACTCTGGGGTTAAGCAAGAGAATGACCCATGATGAAGGTATTATGGAAATGTCCTCTGTGTGAGCTGGGTAGAGAAGAATATCCGGATTCCGGGCTTCACTCTGCCTCTAACAAGCTGTAAGATGAGTCACTGACCTCAGTTAGCCCCTGTCTCTTCACCTATAAAACAAAAGGGATGTTTCTGCATTTAGAGCCCAGCCCCTACGTTAGAATCACCTAGGGGACGTCTAAAAATGTTGATACTTAGACCCCTCCCTAGGCCAGTTGAATCTGATTCCTTGCAATGAGGGTCCAGGACACAGTTAACAAGATCTCCAAGGTCCCTTCCCATCCTCTAATTCTGTGGTCTCAGTGGCTTGGGAGCAGATGCCAGAATAGCCATTAACTCTGTTAATTTCTCCTGTATGTCAGATTGCCAGCAAAGAACATTCATTTCTCACACACACACACACACACAAACACACACACACACACACACATATAGAGGTGTGGTCATTGTTTTTCATTTTCTTTCTTTTTCTTTTTAATTTTTGAGACAATGTTTTACTCTGTTGTCCTGGCTGGAGTATAGTGGCGCAATCAGAGCTCACTGCAGCCTCACCCTCTCAGACTCAAGCTATCCTCCCGTCTCAGCCTCCCAAGTAGCTGGAACCATCTCTACTAAAAGTACAAAAATTAGCTGGGCATGGTAGCACACACCTGTAATCCCAGCTACTTGAGAGGCTGAGGCAGGAGAATTGCTTTAGCCTGGGAGGTAGAGGTTGCAGTGAGCTGAGATCGTGCCACTGCACTCCAGCCTGGGTGGCAAGACTCTGTCTCAAAAAAAAAAAAAAAAAGTGTTGGCCGGGCGTGGTGGCTCAAGCCTGTAATCCTAGCACTTTGGGAGGCCAGGACAGGTGGATTGCCCAAGCTCAGGAGTTCGAGACCAGCCTGGGCAACATGGTGAAACTCTGTCTCTACTAAAATACAAAAAATCAGCCGGGCATGGTAGCGGGTGCCTGTAATCCCAGCTACTTGGGAGGCTGAGGTAGAATTGCTTGAACCCAGGAGGCAGAGGTTGCAGTGAGCCAAGATCATGCCACTGCACTCCAACCTGGGTGACAGAGCAAGACTCTGTCTCCATTAAAAAAAAAAAAATGTTTTAATTAGCTGAGCAAGGTGGCATGCACCTGTAGTCCAGAGGCTGAGGCAGGAGGACTGCTTGATCCTAGGAGTCCCAGACCAGCCTGGGCAACCTAGCGAGACCCCATCTCTACAATAAATAAAAATAAAAATAAATCACTGGGTGTGGTGGTGCACAGGCCTGTAGTCCCAACTATTCAAGAGGCTAAGGTGGGAGGATGGCTTGAGCCCAGGAGTTCAAGGTTGACTGAGCCATGATTGCATCACAGTACTCTAGCCTGGGCAACAGAGTGAGGCTCTGATTCTAAAAATAAAAAATATTCATTACATGTTGAAACGACAATGTTTCAATTTAGTGGGTTTAGTAAAATATGTTATTAAAATGAATTTCACCCATTTCCTTTTACTTTTCTGAATATTATTCCTAGGAAATTTGAAATTACTTATATGACTCATATTTCTATTAGATAGTGCTAAAAGGTGTCCACTTTCTGAACCTCTTTTTTTTTTTTTTGAGACAGAGTCTTGCTCTGTCACCCAGGCTGGAGTGCAGTGGTGTAATCTCGGCTCACCGTGAGCTCTGCTTCCTGGGTGATTCAAGTGATTCTCATGCCTTCCAAGTAGCTGGAATTACAGGCGAGCACCACCCCATGCCCAGCTAATTTTTGTACTTTTGGTAGATACAGGGTGTCGCCATGTTGGCCAGGCTGGCCTTGAATTCCCGACTTCAAGTGATCTGCCTGCCTTGGCCTCCCAAAGTGCTGGGGTTACAGGCATAAGCCTCTGTGCCTGGCCTCTGAACCTTTAATTGAAGACTGTAGTTTGTTGTTCGCTTGTTTGTTTGTTTTTTTAGACAGCTTCTCATAATGAACTAAGTTGAAGGTCTGAAAAACATCCAATTGCCAGTCTTTACTGCACAGGGCACTGACTGTAACTATACAACCCTGATGGTTGGGGAAACAAATGTGGTACTTTCTGTGAATATGACAATTTTGTACACTGAAATATGGTCCATGGGAGAATCCTAGTGGAACGCTATGACTGGGAATAAGGTGGAGGTTCCTGGTCAGTTCCCCCTGCTTTCTATCTCACATTAGAGGTAGAATTTCAATGTATGTGCCACACCAGTTCTGCCCTCATGCAGTAAACATACGAGTGGTAAACCATGAACCAAAATAGTGAGTGCATTTAAAAGAGACATTTAAACGTCCAGTCCCATTCACTGCAACTTTGTTTTACTTTTGCTTTCTTTCTTGCTCTGTCACCCAGGCTGGAGTGTGTGGCACCATCTCGGCTTACTGCAACCTCCTGGGCTCAAGTGATTGTCCTGCCTCTGCCTCCCAAGTAGCTGGGATTACAGGCATGCACCACCATTCCCAGCTAATTTCTGTATTTTTAGTAGAGACAGGGTTTCGCCATGTTGGCCAGGCTGGTCTTGAATCCTGACCTCAAGTGATCCGCCCGCCTTGACCTCCCAAAGTCCTGGGATTACAGGCATGAGCCACTGTGCCTGGCCGCAACTTTGTTTTTCATCACTGGTCTCTCCCAGGCTTCAAAGCAGTTGTTGCTGTAGTCTTGTGGCATTTCTAGCCAAAAGGTCTGAGACTAGCAGTTATCGGCCCTCATCCTGCCTTATCATATAGCCACAATAGTGGGCAGGGAAGGGAAAACATGTAAGGCTGGGCGCTTGGAAGTAGGGCCAGCTTAAAGTACAGAAAAAGTGGGCAACCATCCAGAAAATGTGCACTCGGGTGTAGGAGCCTCCAACATACTATGAAGCTCTCCTGCTGAGCTGGCAAAAGCTCTTTTAGCTTGAGGCTTCCAGGTACATGTGCCCAGGTGTACCCTGTATGAGCCATTTATACCGTAGTGCGAATACTTTTCAGATCAATTTGATTCAATAAATATTGATTATGCATAGCTGCCCTAAGCAGATTTTGAAAAGGCTGTTGGGAGCTTCCTTCCAGACAGGGAGGGAAAGGGCGCAGACAGGAAGGCTGGGAGAGTTGACAACAAACGTCATCTAGCTCAAGGTCTAGCCAGTGTTTGGTGCTGCTGAGAAATGCTTCCTCTCAGAGGGAACTGACGCGCCAGCACCCACCACTGAATGGGGCCTCCAGCAATTCTTGGAGGCCTTTCACCATCCCTCACCGTGAGAACCTTCCTTTTCCTCTCCTTCATCTCCCCTGTGCCCCCACCACCACCCAGGCCCACATCTACCTCTATCGTAGAGCTTACTCTATGGCCTTGTTTACTTTCCTACCTCCCCGCTAGCACAAAGACCGAATATTATTCCTCTGTGAATCCGCAGAACCTCGAACAGTACTTAGCACTTAAGTGCTTGATCAGCGTTTGATGAATGAATACATGATTTTGCCTTCCCACCTCATGCAGCACGAGGAGGGGGATGCTAAGAGAGCCTAGCATCCCCACCACCATGGCATTTGGGGTGAAGGAGGTTGCAAACACCTGCATCAAACTGTGCCAGCATTTTTCAACGCTGGACACAACATTTTGAAACAAAGGTGAAGGGGAAGAGGCATAGGACAGGTCAGGGCATGCGGTATTACCACCCATGTGCACACATACCCATTCATATGCTGCCAAAATGTTGCTCTACCCTTTCCCAAGCACCCCTGTTACTGTTTAACCCAACCTCAGTAGCCTTCTAAGAGAAAGACCATTATAATGACTTGATCTGCATTAAAATAAAAAACAAAGTATGTCAAAACTTTTTCCCACAATCATAGGGCTATCACACTTTTTAACAAACTAAACCTCCACCATATCCCAGCGTTCGATATACTGCAAGTAAGTGCCTGGCACTCAGAAAGCTCAAGGTTCCAGCAACAGTTGTGTGGCCTTGGATAAGGAACACAGGGAGACTCTTTGTCCTCTTGTTTCTTCAGTGTATTAAAGGGAGATAGTGGTATATTCAAAGGGCATGAAAAAAGCTTAACATGAGTCTGCATGGAGCTCTTTGAAATGCATGAAGGGCACTACAGTGGATAAATTCAACACTTGTCCTAGTGTTCACTCAGAACCCTTGTCCGGACATTTATAAAATCCCTCTGTGGACATGTACACACACACACACACACACACACACACACACACACACACACACGCGCATGCATGCACGCACGCACATACACAAATATATCTAAAAGTGCTTAATTGTTTTTAAAATGTTTAAGTAAATACATTGTAATGATTATAAGGCCTCTGTACAATGTATCTAAGGCAAGCCTGCCAGGATAAGAGCTATTTGAGAAACTAAATCACATCATTGAAAGAATAGCAATGAGGCAATTGATGAAATATTGCATTAGCAGTGGCCTCTGACCCCATGTAATGCCAACCAAATGCTTTTTCCTCTCTTTGTAATTTAATCATTTTTCAATTAAATTAATTTCTTAAAATCACTCAGATAAGCCGCCTGTATTAAACACACACACGCACAAACACACACACAACTTCAGGTGTAGGTGAAATAAAGGACACTCTGCAATCACAATCACTGTGTTGTGATTCTGCTCCATTCTGGAAATGAATGATATCCTGTTTCCTTTTTTCTATATCTGACGAGAATTTTGCATAACTTCTTCCTGCTACAGTGTGAAGTCAAAGGCCCCCAAATACCCCCCAAGACAGAGACCCAGTCGCCACAATATAAAATTATGAAAGTACAGCCATAAGAGGCCCATAGCATGTTTGCTGGACAGACTGACTGGTTATTTTTAAAAGTTTACTTTAATACAAATGAACTGGCTGGGAAGGTGGCTTTGTAAAGGGAGCAACTCAGAAGAGTGCTAACAAGCCCGCCCCGCACGTCTGTGCTCAGGCTTGCTGGGAGAGCTTACTCCACACACATCCAGGAATTTGTTTGAGGACAGAGCGTGGTTAGGTCATGTTTTAAGAATGTTCTCTCATTATCCTGACTCAGAGGGCGCCGTGAGCCACAGAAGGGACGTTGCACAGTGATACCTTCTGTTCTGTCTGGTTTTCAAGAACTGCCTCACTGTACTGATGGCTGGAGACTGATGTCGCTCGAGGTTAACTCCTTCACGTCTTCTTTTTTACAGGGCTACAGGAAGAGCCCTTTTTCCTGTTGACATTTTTCAAACTTTGTAACCTAGGGGTTAGGCTTGTTAAGGGAGGGGAGGAGAGTGTCTAGGAGCAGTGACTGGAAACAGAGAAGAGACTACATGGAAGCAGAAGAGAGAACCAATTGAAAAGTCTGTAAAACCAGCCAAGAAATCTGTTCGGGAAAATAGAAACCTAAGAGCTGTGGTTTGGCAAGGAACTTTGACTCTTAATGAGAAAGGCAGAGAGAAGAGAAGGAGAGGAAGGATGGAGAGGGGAGGGGAAAGGAGAGAAGAGGAAGGACAGGCGGAGATCAAAAGAGAAAGAAAAGAGAGGGGAGTAAAAGGAGCAAGACCCAGGATGCAACAAAGAGGGACATCAGTAAGGGACATTATGAGGATTGCATTGGAACAAGAGGCTGGAAGTTAAAAATCAGGATATGCGGCCGGGTGCGGTGGCTCACACCTGTAATCCCAGCACTTTGGGAGGCCGAGACGGGCAGATCACCTGAGGTCAGCAGCCTGACAAATATGATGAAACCCTGTCTCTACTAAAAATACAAAAATTAGCCAGGCATGGTGGCATGCACCTGTAATCCCAGCTACTTGGGAGGCTGAGGCAGGGAGAATCACCTGAATCCGGGAGGCGGAGGTTGCAGTGAGCCAGATCGCGCCCGTTGCACTCCAGCCTGGGCGACAAGAGCAAAACTCAGCATCAGAAAAAAAAAAATCAGGCTATGCTACCCAACATGGAACATCTGGTCATGTGTGTGTCCCAGAACTGGGGAAAATTTCTTTGATAATTCATATTTGATCATGTCTCATGCTGATGGACAAGCTCATGCTTGAGTGACATTTTGATGTTTCATCAAAGGCTGTAGTAGGGATCACGAGGTCATAACTACCAATTCTAGTGGGGAACCTTCTCATGGGTCTCTACAATATGCTCCAGACGATATATCAGATGCACACACACACGCGCATATACGTGCATGCACATACGTACGCACAGAGGAATGCACATACACTTTAAAGCCATTCCATGGCTTTCCATTGTGCTTAGAATAAAACCTGACTCCAACTCTCACAACCTCACCAGGCTTCCCTCACAATAGTCTTCCAGCCACACCTTAAGCTTTCTTGAATCCCCTGAGCTTTCTCTCACCTTACAATCATCTCAGTCCTGTTTTCTCCACCCCCGGAGGCTGGCTTCTCTTCATCCTTCAGGTCTCACACAGAGAGGTCATCTTTGACCACCTGTGTAAATAGGGTCTCCCTGCTCCTCCCAATATTCTCTGTTGTGGCACTCTATTAGTGTCCTGGCACTCATTAGCATTTGTCAGTCAGTGTTTATTTATTTTTTAAATTTTTTTAATTTTTAATTTTTGTGGGTACATATTAGGTATATATATTTATGGGGTACGTGAAATGTTTTGACACAGGCATGCGATGTGTAATAATCACATCATGGAGAATGGCAAATCCAGCCCCTCAAGCATTTATCCCTTGTGTTACAAACAATCTAGTTATACTCTTTCAGTTATTTTTATTTATTTATTTATTTATTTGAGACGGAGTCTTGCTCTGTCTCCCAGGCTGGAGTGCAGTGACGCGATCTCGGCTCACTGCAAGCTTCGCCTCCCGGGTTCATGCCATTCTCCTGCCTCAGCCTCCTGAGTAGCTGGGACTACAGGCACCCACCATCACGCCCAGCTAATTTTTTGTATTTTTAGTAGAGACAGGTTTTCACCGTGTTAGCCAGGATGGTCTCGATCTCCTGACCTCGTGATCCACCTGTCTCGGCCTCCCAAAGTGCTGGGATTATAGGCATAAGCCACCATGCCCGGCCCTTTTTTAGTTATTTTAAAATGTACAATTAAGTTATTATTAATTGACAAGTTATTATAGTCACCTTGTTGTGCTATCAGATGGTAGGTCTTATTCCTTCTATTTTTTGTACCCATTAACATGATCCTCCTTCCTTCCACCCCCTCCCCACTATCCTTCCCAGCCTCTGGTAACCATCCTTCTACACTTAATGTACATGAGTTTAATTGTTTTGATTTTTAGATCCCACAAATACGTGAGAACATGCAATGTTTGTCTTTCTGTGCCTGGCTTATTTCACCTAACATGATCTCCAGTTCCATCCATGTTGCTGAAAATGACAGAATCTTATTCTTTTTTTATGGCTGAATAGCACTCCGTTGTGTATATGTACCACATTTTCTTTATTTATTCATCTGTTGATAGACACTTAGACTGCTTCCAAATCTTAGCTTTGTCAGAGGCCTGGCACAGTGGCTCACACCTGTAATTCCAACACTTCGGGAGGCCGAGGCAGGTGGATCCCTAGAGGCCAGGAGTTCGAGACCAGCCTAGCCAACATGGTGAAACCCCGCGTCTACTAAAAATACAAAAATTAGCCAAGTGTGGTGCTGGGTGCCTGTAGTCCCAGGTACAGGAGGCTAGGGCACGAGAATTGCTTGAACCCAGGAGGCGGAGGTTGCAGTGAGCCGAGATTGTGCCACTGCACTCCAGCCTGGGTGACAGAGTAAGGCTCTGTCTCAAAACAAAACAAAACAAAATCCTAGCTATTGTGAACAGTGGTGCAATAAACATGGAGTGCACATATCTCTTCAATATACTGATTTCCTTTCTTTTGGATATATACCCAGCAGTGGGATTGCTGGATCATATGTCCTATTTTTAGTTTTTTGAGGAACCTCCAAACTGTTCTCCACAGTGGTTATACTAATTTACATTCCCACCAACAGTGTATGGGGGTCCCCTTTTCTCTACTAAAAATACAAAATTAGCTGGGCATAGTGGCGCATGCCTGTAATCCCAGCTACTTGGGAGGCTAAGGCAGAAGAATTGCTTGAACCCGGGAGGCGGAGGTTGCAGTGAGCCAAGATCGCACCATTGCATTCCAGCCTGGGCAACAGAGCAAGACTGTCTCAAAACAAAAACAAAAACAAAAACAAAATGTTGTGGAGTAGCGTCCACTTCCTGAAGGTTCAGAAGTTGCTCAGTGCTTATGTTCCTCTGCCCTCTTGATGAGATGGATTTTTTTTTTTTTGGCTCGAGTGTTTATCTGTCCAGAAGCATATTTAATGTTCATGTGGGATTCTTGACACTGACATCGCTTTCTGAAGCCTGAGTCTTGCCCACGGCTCGATGATCAGTCCACAAATCAAACTCTTGGCCAAATATGCACAGCTCGAGTTTATCCAGAGTCCAAACAAATCAGATACTCCTTCTGGACAGAAGTCAAATTCTTCCTTTTGGTAAGAATTTTTCAGAAATGCAAAAAAGCAGTATGTTTTATGTTCTCAAAGTTCCTATAATCACATCCAATCTTGTATCAGATGCATTAACGGCCATAATGGTTTGAAAAGTCTGAAGCTTCCAAAACAGATAAATAAATCAAAGCCCATTTGAACTTTTGAGTAATATTTCAGTACTATAGGATCCAAAAACTTTAATGAGTTTGCCCCCTCTTTGTAAAACAGCACAATAGATCAGCTACAGTTACAAGTGAGGAAAATTCTAAGGGATCTCCCAGAGGACATGCTTTTTTTAAAAAATTGTAATTAATTATAGGGAATTTGCCAGTCTCTAATGGAGTCTACTTCATTCTACAAAAGAACTGGATCTCAAATATCTGCCCTATGAAAGCCCAACAGACATTACTAAATTTCACACAGTTCATGGATGGCTGCAAGCCCTAAACTGGATACGCTCTCAGTTTCATGAAATTAGATGATCTCTAACAAAAATCAGAGATGCGATCATAAAATGTCACTTTCTGAAATTCAGCATAAAAAGTAATCAATATAAAATTAACCACAAAGGTATCAGTAGCATTTTAAAGAAGTAACAGCTTTTATTTATTTATTATTATTATTTTTTGAGACAGAGTCTCACTCTGTCTCCCAGGCTGGAGTGCAATGGCACAATCTCGGCTCACTGCCACCCCCACCTCCCGAATTCAAGCAATTCTCCCTGCCTCAGCCTCCCAGGTAGCTGAGACTATAGGCTCCCGCCACCACACCCAGCTAATTTTTGTATTTTTAGTAGAAACAGGGTTTCTCTATGTTGGCCAGGCTGGCCTTGAACTCCTGAACTCAAATGATCCACCCGCCTCGGCCTCCCAAAGTGCTGGGATTACAGGTGTGAGCCACTGTGCCCGGCCAAAGTAACAGCTTTTAGAGATGCTTTATAAATGCATGGGTGATGTACTTTAGGGTGTCTCATCTCAGCAAGGAGAATGAAATCTATGTACATGATGTAAGCAATAATGATAGCTACCGTTTGTTGAGCAGCTACTGTGTCAGGCACAATGCCAGAAACTTTACATACACTATTTCATTAATCCTCATGACAATCCATTGAGAAGGCTCTGATTATTTCCACTTTTAACTACAGGGATCTCGAAATTCAAAGGGTGATGAGAATTGTTCGCTATGATACAACAAATCCCACTGCTAGGATTTTAACCTAGGTCTTCTCAACTCCAAACTATGCTGTTAATGGCATAAGAGAAATGGTCCCTTGAAGTTCAGCAAAACGGCAGTTACCTGAGAGAAAGATGTGGTAAAAGTCTCCAAAAACTTTGACATAAATAATCCAAATCAGTCATCCAGACTGAAATGTCCTTTGAGGGGAGGAAGGTCATTCGTTAAGGCCTCGTCAATCTGCTAGATGTATCCCTTAAGAACAGGCCGAGTGCAGTGGCTGACACCTGTAATCCTAGCACTTTGTGAGGCCGAGGTGGGGGGATCACCTGAGGTCAGGAGTTCGAGACCAGCCTGGCCGACATGGTGAAGCCCCGTCTCTACTAAAAATACAAAAATTAGCCAGGCATGCTAATTACAGGGCAGGCACCTGTAATCCCAGCTACTTGGGAAGCTGAGGCAGGAGAATTGCTTGAACCCGGGTTGGAGGTTGCAGTGAGCTGAGATGGCGCCATTGTACTCCAGCCTGGGCTAAAGAGCAAGAGTCTGTTTCGGGGAAAAAAAAAAAAAAAAAAAGGACATTCAATTCCCTTTAATGTAATTTAATATTCACCAAATCTTCAGATCTTTAATTTGATCTCCTAGGAATGCCTTTCCACCAGGAGGAAGTACCTCAAGCATATGACCAGGGTCAGCCTGCCAGCTTCATTCTCTGAGATAAAATAATAACTTGGTCAGGTGGATAACAAATGGTCTCTTCTGAGTGGGGTTATTAAGAATCAATTTCTAAAGAGGTCAGTTCTGAATTAAATAAAGTGAATTTTCTGATCCTACAAATCAAGGACCAAATCCTGGGTCTTCAATAACCTCCATCGGAATATGTACATATTTGTGTGTGTGTGTGTGTGTGTCTGTGTGTACTAATTCTTCCAGTCTGTGAACATGGGATGTCTTTGGACATCTCACAGGACATCCCATGTTTATAGACTAGAAGAGTTAATATTGTGAAAATGACCATATTACCAAAAGTGATCTATAGAATCAATGCAATTGCTATCAAAACACCAATGACATTCCTCACAGAAATAGAAAAAACAATACTAAAATTCATATGGAACTACAAAAGACCCCAACAGCCAAAGCAAACCTGTGCAAAAAGAACAAAGCTGGAGGCATCACACTACCTGACTTCAAAATATACTTCAAGGCTATAGTAACCAAAGCACATGGTACTGGCATAAAAAGAGACACATAGACCAACGGAATAGAACAGAAAACCCAGAAATAAATCTACATATTTACAGCCAACTGATTTTCAACAAAGGTACCAAGAATATACATTGTGGAAAGGACAGTCTCTTCAATAAATGGTGCTAGAAAAACTGGTTACTTACATGCAGAAGAATGAAACTAGAGCCCTACCTCACACCATATACAAAAATAAACTCAAGATGGATTAAAGACTTAAGTATAAGACCTGAAGCTGTGAAACTACTAGAAGAAAACATAGAGGAAACACTTGAAGCCATTGGTCTTGGCAAAGATTTTATGAATATGCCTCAAAAGCACAGGCAACAAAAATAAGAATAGACAAATGGGATTATATCAAACTAAAAACGTTCTGTGCAGCAAACGAAACAATCAGCAGGGTGAAGATACAATCTGAAGAATGAGAGAAAATACCTGCAAACTATTCATCTGACAAGGAATTAATACTCAGAATATACTAGGAATTCAAACAACAGCCATATATATATATATATATATATATATATATATATATATATATATATACACACACACACATTTAAGTTGGATATATATATATATATACACACACACATTTAAGTTGGATATATATATATATACACACACACATTTAAGTTGGAGATATATCTCCAACTTAAAAATGGGCAAATGAGCTGAATAGCCATCTCTGATGACATAAAAATGGCCAACAGGTATATAAAAAGTCCTCAACATCACTATTATCAAAGAAATGCAAATCAAAACCACAATGAAATATTATCTCTCCCTATTTAGAATGGCTATTATTGGGCTGGGTGTGGTGGCTCATGCCTGTAATCCCAGCATTTTGGGAGGCCTAGGCGACAGGATCGCTTGAGCTGAGGATTCTCAGACAAGCCTGGGCAATACAGGGAGACCACATCTCTAAAAAAAAAAAAAAAAAAAAAAATTAGGCAGGCATGGTGATGCACGTGTGTTCCCAGCTATTTGGGAGGCTGAAGTGGGAGGATGACTTGAGCCTGGGGGGTGGAGGTTGCAGTGGGCTGAGATCGTACCACTGCACTCCAGCCTGGGCAACAAAGCAAGACCCTGTCAAAAAAAATCATAAGGAAGAGAAAATATATTTACTATTCATTAAGTGGAGGTGGATCATCATAAAAGCCTTCATCCTCATTGTCTTTATGCTGAGCAGGCTGAGGAGGAGGACGAAAAGGAGGAGTGGGTCTTGCTGCCTCAGGGGTGGCAGAGGTGGAAGAAAACCAATGTATAAGTAGACCTGGGCAGTTCAAATTCATGCTGTTTAAGGGCCAACTGTATGTACATAATCCAGAAGGCTCACCTTGAAAGCCTACCAAGCTCTCTAACCATCTGATGACATCAATAAAGGATGACTTTTAATGAGTGACACTGAGAGATTATCACATTGCATACCCACAGTCTGGCCAAATACAGCTACAAGATGAATGCAGAATGTCACAGCGGCCCCTGGTATACCCAATAAGTCATTAGCCAGTTTTGAAAATGAATCAGGGAAAGCCCCTGCACAATGGCATGCTGGAGGAGAACCCATGGAGCTCTAAAGGACTCACATGTCCACAGTTCCCTTCTCAGGAAAGCTATTCCTAGAGATTCTTTTTGCAAACAAACTGCCGCAGTTCATGCTGTGTGCATGGATGAAGGCAACACCACACTGGCCTCAATGATGAGAACAGGAACCCATTAGTCATGGCGAGATCCCATGACCAAGGCAAAAATGACCAAGTTTAAGTTGTATCTGAGGGAGGCCATCTGCTTCTGAAGTCACTTGGCATAAAACTCTATGCCCAATAGGAGAGCTTCTGAATAGTTAGTTACAAAGAGACTCTTTTAGTTAGACTCTCTCTCTCTCTTAGGAAGAGAAAATATTAGGCAGATAGAGGGTGGGGTGCTCCAGCTCAAGTGAGTAGCTGGGCCAGGTGTCCATGAAGCTGTTGGATATCCCTGTCTCAAAAACCTTGGGAGACTTAGAATGTATGCCTATTCCTCTGCACAGCTTACTCTTTGCATTAAATATTTCCCTCAAAAGTGTTATTTCTGAAACTTAATACACAGTCTACTTTTGAAACTTTATACTTGAAGTTGTTCTTTGCAGAACTCTTAGATATAATTAAAGAACTTTTTCATGCTTGCTATGGTCTGAATGCTTAGGTCCTTCCAAAATTCATGTTGACTCTTAATTCCCATTGTAGTGGTATTAAGAGGCGGGCCATTTGGGAGGTGACTAGGTCATGAGGACTTCACCATGATGAATGGTATTAGGGCCCTTATAAAAGAGGCTTGAGGGAGTTTGTCCCTTCCACCATATGAGGATGCAAAGGGAAGATGCTATATACAAAACACAGTGAGCCCTCACCAGACACCAAATCTGCAGATGACCTGATCTTGGACTTCCCAGCCTCCAGAACTGTAAGCAATACACTTCTGTTGTTTACAAATTAGCTAGTCTAAGGTATTTTGTTAGATCAGCAGGAGGGAGCATTAGAATCTACCATCCACTTAAGTCTTAAGTTTTTTTGTTTACTTATTCATCTCTACCAGGAACATTGTGCAGGAAATAATGAAGAGTAGGATCCTTTCCCCAACCAGGAGAAGTTTTTCTTCTTCATTTTAATATTTCTCCTCCTAAGGACTTTGCTTTTTAATGCCAGAACTAATCTTATTTGTAATTTACATGCCTAGCTTAAATTTACTCATTAAACACTAAAGTTGGAGTTGCTCTATAGCTTTTTATGAGCTGACCTTGGGCACTATTACCCTCTTTCAAAGGCACCATGATTTTTTCATATAACTTAATTTTCAAGAACACTTGACATGTGGAAGAGTTTAAAGCTGAGATATGAAGTGACTTCTCCAGACCTTGTTATTTAAAAATCTTTAGGCTGGGCACAGTGGCTCACACCTATAATCCCAGCACTTTGTGGGGGCCGAAGAGGGTGGATCACCTGATGTCAGGAGTTTGAGACTGGCCTGGTCAACCTGGCAAAACTCTGTATCTACTAAAAATACAAAAATTAGCTGGGCATGGTGGCACGTGCTTGTAGTCCCAGCTACTCAGGAGGCTGAGGCAGGAGAATCGCTTGAACCTGGGATGCGGCAGTTACAGTGAGCCAAGATCGCGCTATAACACTCCAGCCTGGGTGACAGACTCTGGCTCAAAAAAAAAAAAAATTAAAAAATTAAAAATAAATAAAAATCTTTAAATATTTACGGTTAACATTCACATGCAATAAAATCTTAAGTTATGCCTTATAAAGCAAAGCTACCAATTATTGAGTGCTATGTGCCAAGCATGATGTGAAATGCTTTGCTTGTCCTCTCTCATTTAATTCCCACAGCAAGCTTTTGAGATAGATAGTATTATTTTAATAGATCTTGTCTGGGTACAGGAAGTACCAAGGTGCTTTTCTTAGTAGTGGGCAACATCAAGTTACTGGAGATGGAAAGCCCTGTTTTTGAACCCTGGTTCTGGTACTTACCATATGTTCTGGTCATGTCCCTTACCTTCAACAAGGTGAGAACCTGGGCTTCAACTTCCTCCTCTGTTATTTTTATTTGAGGTGGGTCCTCGCGCCAACAGAACAAGCTCCCTACCTATCATTTCACTATTATAGTTTCAACCCAGTGTGCGCATCCAAACTTTTTTTTTTTTTTTTGAGACAGAGTTTCTTGTCGCCCAGGCTGGAGTGCAACCTCCGCCTCCTGGGTTCAAGCAATTCTCCTGCCTCAGCTTCCTGAGTAGCTGGGTTTACAGGTGGCTGCCAGCACACCTGGCTAATTTTTGTATTTCTAGTTGAGATGGGGTTTCACCATGTTGGCCAGGCTGGTCTCAAAACTCCTGACCTCAGGTGATCCCCCTGCCTCGGCCTCCCAAAGTGCTGGGATTACAAGCGTGAGCCACCATGCCTGGCCCAAAGCATATCCTTTTGAAAGGCAAAAACCATGAGGCAAGTTCTTAGGTTACATCCTTATCAGTTAATACTTCAATTATCAGTTAATGCTTTACTAAGGAATACTTGATAATCAGCTGAGAACAAGAACAGAATATGGACTGGGCTACTAGAGATGAAAAGATCCTAGGGTCTGCTGGAGGACCAGCGAAGTTCAGATGGGAAAGTGCCCAGTGGAAAGACTTCAGCTAAGTACATTTGTCTAGACTCTGCCCAGCTCATGATATGTCTTTGAAGCTGGTGTGAAGGCAAGGAAAAATGTTCAGTGTGTAACACATAGTCCCATCTGGCTGAAGTATGAGTGAAGAAGTGATGAAGGGGAAAAACCAAGAAAGGAAACTGTGGGGGAGGGCACAGGGAAAGTCATAGTGACGAGTTTGGACTTCATTCCACAGGCGGTGAGGAACCTTTCAGGGCTTTTTAAGCAGGGGGCCAGCAACATTAGATGTAGGCTGCTTATAGGATGGGGGAAATGGTGAAGATAGGGTGTGGAGGACAGGCGCCCAGGGTGTGACCAGGAGGCCCTCAGAATAATCCATGGAGCCCAAAACTAGGTCATGGAGCCCAAAACTAGAGTGATAAGAATAGAAAGAAGAATGTGACGCTGCCAAGGACTTGGCACCAACTGAATGGGGGGAAGGGGAGGTGTTGAGAAGACGGTCAAACCACAGACACCTAGGGATTCCGGGCACTGATGAAAGTTCCAAGAATTTCTATTCTTCCTTTACCTTACTCTCCACTCAATCAAAAATACCCTAACTTGACATCAGTTGACAAGTTGAGAGCCTAAATATGCAAAGTAAATAGGGGAGTCATCTTTGCCCATGAGAACCACAGACAGACATCAACCCGGCAAAGCCGGGCAAGGTGGCTCATGCCTGTAATCCCAGCACTTTCGGAGGCCCAGGCGGGCGGATCACTTGAGGTCAGGAGTTCGAGACCAGCCTGGCCAACATGGAGAAACCCCGTCTCTACTTAAAAAAAAAAAAAAAATACAAAAACTAGCCGGGTGTGGTGGCGCATGCCTGTAATCCCAGCTACTCGGACGGCTGAAGCATGAAAATCGCTTGAGCCCCGGAGGCAGAGGTTGCAGTGAGCCAAGATCGTGCCACTGCACTGTCCAGCCTGAGCTACAGAGCAAGACTCTGTCTAAAAAAAAAAAAAAGAAAGAAAGAAAAAAAAGAAAAGAAAAGAAAAGAAAAAGAAAGAAATCAACCTGGCACAGAGAAGGTGAGGGTAGTAGCGGTTCTGGTGCCCTGGCTCCAAAGCTGTAGGGCCTGGTCTAGGCCTCTAAGCACCTCTCTCCTTGGAAAGGGGGTGAAGACGACTGATTACGAAGAGGCCTGGGCTCTAATGTCGGTTCTGCCACTGACTGGGTGCCTGGCTTCATCGCTTATTTCTTCTTTTTCGTGTTGGACCAGAGCATTCCAGATGTCCTCTGCAGAGGTCGAACTCCAGGACTGCAGTATCTTTTCCTCTTCGCATGTACCGCTTTTCACATTCCCTGATTCCATTAAAAATATTTTCCTCTCTCGTTTTCTAATCTCATTTTTTATGAAGCACAGCACCCTTTCAGGGAAGGGAGCAGAGGCCTGGATATCTGGGTCTGGGCTTGGGCACCCAGACAAAGCCAACCGCCTCCTCCTTGGGCATCTCTTCTCTGCCCACCAGCGTGGCTCTGACTCCCCGACTGCAGCCCGCCTCGTTCCCACGGCAACCGGCGGGCGCCCACGACTGGCTTGGGACCCCGGGGCCACAGCCCCGCCCCGCCCCGCCCCGTGCTCTCGGCGGCTGCACCTGGTCGCGCGGGGGCGGGGAGGCGCGGTTGCTAGGGAAACCGGAGGACGCCCGGTAGCCGCCCCCACCGCCTCCGCCCCAGGCAAGGCCGGCCGGCGCCGCGGAAAGCAGCCTCGGGGAAGGAGGAGGAAGAGGGGCAGGTGTAGGGAGTGAAGAAGCAAAAAGAGGAGGAGGAAGAGGAGCTCAGGGCCGTCCCCGCGCAATTAATGGGCGGCTCCTGCGCCCTGGACCGGCCCGCCCGCCCAGCCCCTCGACCCCTGTAGCCCCGGCAGGGGAGGAAGGGCAGACCCACAGGTAACGGCCCCCTCGCCCCCGCCGCTCCGCTCCAGTTCTCCCAGGATGGGGGACAACCTTCCCTTTCGACTTACAAGATTCTGGAGGGAAACCGGGCCTGACATCCGGTGGCCTGGCCGTCCCCTCCCCTCGGCTGACCCCAGCCCCAGCATTTTTCTGTCTCAGAGGGACAGGTTTGGGGGAGACCGTGAACCTTTGCTCACTGGCACCCACATTCTTTCCTGCAGACGCCACTGGTCAGAAAAGGTATACACAGACCATGGCCCACTGGGCTTCTGAATGCGAAATGGTCGATATTGATTTTGTTTATTTTTGAGAAGGAGTCTCGCTCTGTCTCCCAGGTTGGAGTGCAGCGGTGCAGTCAGGGCTCACTGCAGCCTCGACCTCCCAGGCTCAAGCGATCCTCCCGCCTCAGCCTCCCGGTGGTAGCTGGGACCACAGGCCAACACCATGTCTGGCTAATGTTTTAAATTATTTGTAAAGAAGGGGTCTCGTTATGTTTCTCTGGCTGGATATTGTTATTAATGATGGCACTGAATTGCTTGTCAAACCTGTGACGTTTCCTCCCCCAGAGTTTCCCAATTACACGTTGAGTTTCTCCTCTCTTCTGGGCTTGATGGTCGAAATGTGACCACCTATCTCTCCTAGTTTCACAGTAAAATGAAGAGTCACCGCCAAACACAAGTCTGTTCCCCACCCTCCACCCCGCCCCCAACTCTTAAGCCAAATTGGCTGGAAGAGTTGAAAGATCTCCTTACCTTTCCCAACCAATTCCCCCTTTTTCTCTGCAGTCACAGTATTCTTAAATTGGGCCCAAATCGTAAACTTTGTTGCTTATACTCAAGACATGTTTATAAGCTAAGACTTTAAAATGCAAAGTTTTTTTTAGAGCTAAGATTTAAACAAATCCTATAATGTCTGACATTACAAATTAATCAATTGGGGAAAAGGTTGAATAAGGTCTCCTGAAATCCTTCTCCAATCACCTAATTGTGGAAAGGGAGTAATTTTCGAGCCTGATTGTCCGGTATTAACAATAGCCATTTAGATTTTATTTCAAAGCAACCTTCCGTCTAAGGAGGAGGTTAGATTGTTTACATTTCCTTTATTGCTTAACAGCATATTAACTTTAGTGATGTCTTTCTCTTATGAGAACATAGTAAGAAACCAATAAGACTTTGATTGTTATTAAGAACAGGCTCCTTCAAATCAGTTCTTTTGACAAATGTGGTCATAAAACAGAGGGATGGTACGTATGCATGACTTTTAGAGCACTGAAAAACATTCTGCAATCAGATTCTGTTCCCCTCAGTCAGGAAAACTTGGTTGGAATTCACTGGAAAATTACACTAGAGAAGAACGTGTATGTCACAAAGTTCTTAGAATATTCCCCCATTAAAATTTCACAGATATGTAGAATTTTGAGGCCAAGAAGAATTACTCGCTCTTGCTTTCAGCAAGGCAGGACCCCCTCCTTCCTTCTCCACCTGCCTCCAACTCCCTCCTCCTTTCTCTCTCCCTACTTAATATGGCTTCTTATGTTGATTTCTAAAGCACAGATTTGGCACAAGACATTATCACCAGAAAGACTTAAAACAGAAGTGTGCATAACCATGAGTGGGTTTTAAATTAAGAAGCAGTTCAAAGGTGAGCGATAGAAGAGAATACAGAGTGCTATTTTAGAAACATGCGCCTTGCTCACATTTTATTATCACCCCCACCCCAACCCTCTGTGTTTGCTGGGGAAAAATTCTTGGCTTCAAGTGGCCATCTGGTTGAGTAGGCCCACAAAGCTGAGATCCATGAATTAAGCATTATCTCATGTAGTTTTATTTCCATACTGTTATTTCTGTTTCTTGTTCATCCTGGTCAGTTTTTCAAACTGACTGAGTGCAGTATGAACTTCAAGCAAACACAGAGAATGTTTGCTTATACTGAGGTAACCCACCATCTTCTTGGTCTGACACTAATACCGTTTTCTTGGTTCCCGTAATATTTGTTTAATCTCATGAAGACTTGATGTATTTAAATAAAAAATTACATGTGGCACCACGATGTTTCTAAATATTGTAAAATACAATGTAATAGAGAGTTTATGGGAAGGAAGAGAGACTTTTGTAGGCAATTTTATTTTTATTATTTTATTATTATTATTATTATTTTTTTTTATTTTTGAGGGGATGGAGTCTCTCTCTGGAGTGCAGTGGTGCGATCTTGGCTCACTGCAACCTCCGCCTTCCAGGTTCAAGTGATTCTTCTGTCTCAGCCTCCCAAGTAGCTGGGACTACAGGAGTGCACCACCACGCCCAGCAAATTTTTGTATTTTTAGTAAAGATGGGGTTTTGCCACGTTGGCCAGGCCGATCTCGAACTCCTGACCTCAAGTGATCCACCTGCCTTGGCCTCTGTAAGTGCTGGGATTACAGGCATTTTAAAGTCCTTTATTTGGTAGGTGATTGTGAAGTCAGAGGTAACTTAGCAAGTAATTCAAAGGGTGCTACTTCCTATTTAGACAAAGTTATTTCATGCCTCTTGACTTAGAAGCCTCCTTAAATTAACCCTGCTCTAAAGCCGTGATAGATTAACCGGCTTTCTATATTAACTTTGGCAACCAAAATGTATCATCCAAGTGGACTCTGGGATGCTCCCCTTTAGTGACCATTAACATATTTTTATTATGAGTCTTTATGGTCTCTGCCTGAATAAGATTCAGACAGGCTTCTCTTTCCCACAGTAGCAGCAGGAGCTTATCCTTCTGCCTGTTTTAACACCATCGTTTTCTGAAAAGAGTGCAAAGGTAACTTCATTCTATGCAGGTACACATTCAGATGAAAAGCTAAAAGTGATCTTTTAAAACATAGTCCCATAAGTGATTATTAAAATGCTTAGAGACAAAATGTATGTTTTGTGTGTAGACTGGAAATACACATTGGATTGTAGTTTCAGATTCTGACTGTCAAAAGACCAACTTTCCATACTCCAGAGAAAATAGCCCCCAAGAGACGAGCACAAGTTTTCCCCATTGTTCAGGGCCAGATGATAAACCATGTGAGATTTCATAACTACCAGACCAGACGCTGGGTCACCATGAGTCCGGGGCGGCCTGACTCTGCCAATATCTGCACAACTGAATAAACAGGAGGAGCGAGGGAATGCCGCAGAACGTATACACCTGAAGGTAGAGATGTCGCCTGTCCCATCCTGATGTTTCCCCAGAGCCTAGCAGCCCTTGTCACACACAGCAGTTGTAAAAAATATGTGTGTGTGTGTGTGTGTAGAAATAAATGAAAGAGCTTCAGTAGACAACAAACAGGAATAGTGTGGGGGCTTTGATGACCCCATAGATGAGGGGTCGTTATTAACAGTGCCATTTTATCCCTTTGTGAGCTTAGATATCTTGGCCATAAATTTGGGCCATGCCAGTCAAAGCCAAACTTCTTGAAAGCATGATCTCCACGCCTTTGCCTCCCATTTACGCAACCTTCTGCAGCCCTCCCAGCCCCGTCACTCCAATGAATGCTCTCACCAAGGTTATTAATAGCCTCCTTTTTGAAACCCTCTCTTCTGGGCATCTCTGAAACGGCACCCACCTGGTTTCTTCCTGCCTCTCTGGCTTTTTCTTTTTTTTCCGCAGAGTTTCTCTTCAGCGGCTTGTTCTCTAAATATTCGTGTTCTTCACGAGGTTTTGTCCCTGTGTCCTCTTTCTCTTTTCGTTCCCATTCTTCCTTCAACTTCAGTTATCACAGAATGCCAGCAGTGCCCAAATCTGTACCTCTCCGGTCAGCTCCAGAGCCCTGCGTCTGACAGCACACTTGACATCTCCGTTTGCCGCACCGCAGACACTTGTGACGCCATGCTGTCTCCTCACAAAGCAGCTCCTCCTGTGTTTTCTGAAGCGAATGCTGGCACCAACCCACTGGCTGCTCAAGCCAGTAACCTGGGCATCCCTGAGACTTCCACCCCTGGTCCATTCATATAATCGCAAGCCCTGATGACTTTCTGTCCTGAGCATCCCTTGAATCCCTTGGTTAAGAGTGTGGGTACTGGAGCGAGTCTCCGGGTTCACATCCCGACTCTTCCCCTCACTAGCTCCGTAACTTTAGGGAAGTTACTTAATCCCTTTGGTCCTCAGTTTCCTCACCTGCGAAATAGAGATCTAGTGCTGGCCTCACTGCGTTGTTGAGAAGATTGAATGAGTTAATTGATGTAACTGCTTAGAACAAGGCCTATCCCTTCCAGAGGGTCGGTAAAGAGTAACTATGGGCCGGGCGCAGTAGCTTATGCCTGTAATCCCAGCACTTTGGGAGGCCAAGGTGGGCAGATCACCTGACGTCAGGAGCTCAAGATCAGTCTGGCCGATATGGTGAAACCTCGCCTCTACTAATAAAAAATTAGCCGGGTGTGGTGGCACGTGCCTGTAATCCCAGCTACTTGGGAGGCTGAAGCAGGAGAATAGCTGGAACCTGGGAGGCGGAGGTTGTGGTGAGCCGAGATAGCCCCACGGCACTCCAGCCTGGGCGACAGAGCAGGACTCCATCTCAAAAAAAAATAAAAAAGAGTAGCTATGATCCCCTCTCCCTCCCCACTGTCCTCCACCTCCTCCTCCTTTTTCTCTCCACTGTTGCTACCCGATGCTGGTTGCCATCTTATCACATCTAGATTACTATGAAATATTCCCAATGGTCTTCCCACTTCTTTGTTTTACTCTACCACCATCACCCCCACCCCATCCATTCTCATACTGCAACTGGAGGGATCTTTTTAAAATACAATTTTTTTTTTTTTAAATACAGACAGGGTCTTGCTCTGTTGCCCAGGTTAGAGTGCAGTGGCATGACCATGGCTCATTCCAGCCTCTAACTCCTGGGCTGAAGCGATCCTCCCACCTCAGCCTCTGAGTAGGTAGGACTATAGGCATGCATCACAATACCTGGCTAATTTTCAATTTTCTTTTAAATAGAAATGGTCTTGCTATATTGCCAAGGCTGATCTCAAACTCCTGGGCTCAAGTGATTCACCTCGGGAGGCGTGAGCCACTATACCCAGTGAGTTATGATCACACCACTACACTCCAGCCTGGATGGCGGAGCAAGATCTTGTCTCTAAGAAAAAGAATTAACAAATAAATAAAAACACGAATCTAATCATTTACTTCCCAGACTGGAAGCTTTCAGGAGTTTCCCATGACTCTTTGAATCATGACCTTTGAGGCCCCATGGGAGCTGGCCCCTGCCTCCCCTGCAGCCCTTCCGGGGCTGTTCCTTCCTCATCTCTGCTCCAGCTGCACTGCTTCCCTCCCGTCTGCCTCATCTGCACCTGCTCCTTCATGCCTGAAGCCTCTGCACCTGCTGTCCTCTCTGTCCCACTTCTCAGCTAGCTCACTCTGTCAAACCCAGTGTCATTGCCTAAGGAAAACCTTGCCTGACCCCTCCAGACCAGGTTATGCCCTCCCATAATAACGCTCTCAAAGAGCCGCATAGTTCTGCTTCAGAGGGCCTATCATAGTTAGGATTCACTTGCTCAAAGTCAGTCTCGCACCCTGGATTATAAGCAACACAGGCCAGGTGCGGTGGCTCACACCTATAATCCCAGCACTTCGGGAGGCTGAGGCGAGTGAATCACCTGAGGTCAGGAACTCGAGACCAGCCCGGCCAACACGATGAAACCCTGTCTCTACTAAAAATACAAAAATTAGCCAGGCGTGGTGGCAGGTGCCTGTAATCCCAGCTACTAGGGAGGCTGAGGCAAGAGAATCGCTTGAACCCGGGAGGCGGAGGTTGCAGTGAGCTGAGACTGGCCATTGCACTCCAGCCTGAGCAACAAATGCAAAACTCCGTCTCAGAAAAAAGAAAAAAAGAGCAAAGATGAGGGTCGTGTCTGCTTTGCTGCTTGCTATACTCCAGTGTCCAGCACAGTCCCTGGATGGAAATAACGGTGCAATCATTGTTGCATAAATGAATTTAAGTAACCAGGGGCCTGTAACTTTGGTCACTGCTTATTTAGCTAGGCTCTCAGGTTTTCCTTTTTGTCATGCTCTAGAACCGAATCAGGTGTCTGTCAATCTAACTCCCTCTGAGTAACCAGGACAGGATCACTGAAGTGCTTGATGAAGGTGGCTGCATTATTTATGCCTGGAACAGGAGGACTGTAAGGGCATCAACAGCAACACAAGAAGTCCCTTCAGCTTGAAAGGAGCATCTGTGCCTTTCAAACAAGGGAAATTAGATGAATACACAAATAAAAGCAATTAGATGAAAATAAATCCAAATACGGCATCACGACAAAGGACTCTAACACAGCACATTTGTTTATCTTTTCTGTGCAGGTCAGGGATTAGGAATCATGTTGCATGACGCAAGGGACAGGCAGAAGTTCTTCAGCGATGTTCAGTATCTGCGGGACATGCAGCATAAGGTGGACTCTGAGTATCAGGTAATTGCAGAAAGCAAGAATGGTCTTCTGCCTTCTCTTGCAGTATTTAGAGAGAATTCAGAATACAGCATCAACGTATGATAAGCAGTAAAAGTTTTCTAAAATCCAAACCCACCGATTAGGTATGTAACTAGCAAAAGCCACTTCACCTCTCTGTATCCTCGTCTGTAAAAAAAAAAAAAAAAACGGGGATAGCTGGGCACGGTGGCTCATGCCTGTAATCCCAGCACTTTGGGAGGCCGAGGCGGGCGGATCATGAGGTCAGGAGATCGAGACCATCCTGGCTAACACAGTGAAACCCTGTCTCTACAAAAAATACAAAAAATTAGCCAGGCGTGGTGGCACTGTAGTCCCAGCTACTCGGGAGGCTGAGGCAGGAGAATCGCTTGAACCCGGGAGGCAGAGGTTGCAGTAAGCCGAGATCGCGCCACTGCACTTTAGCCTGGGCAACACAGCGAGACTCCTCCGTCTCAAAAACAAACAAACAAAAACAAAAAAACGAGGATAATGGTTGTATCCACTTCTAGTATTATCATGAAAATGAAATGAAATAAACACTGTAAAAGTACTTCCCTCAGTTTTCGGCATGGAGCCCTTGTCCACCAGTGGCATTAGGGCTTAAATTTGACAAACCAACTGAGAAGGAAAGAAAACATGAAAGAGTTAACTGGGTCGCCCTACCATTTGTAAAATAACACGCCCTTCGTTGTCATCCCCACCAGAAGAAAGGTGGTTTGCACATTTTACAATGAGCTAACTGCTGGTCCCCCTAGTTACAGTGTTTACGTGCAAAACCAAAACACACAGGGAGCCTGAGGAATCCTGAGGTTGCAGTCACCCGGAGCTGGCATAGGACAAACTTGCCAGACTAGGTTGTGGGATCCTGGGAGCAGGTAAAAAGTGTCAGTCATCCCACCAGAGGTGGGACCTCAGCCCTTGCCAATCAGGAAGGCACGTCCTCAGCCTGGGCTGAGGATTGAAAAGCGCTCCTTCCCTGAGGAAAACACAGAACTGCTGTTATCAGGTTTTTCCCCTTCTTAGCAATTTCAAATATAACTAAAGCTCCCAGGTCACCAAGGAAACCAGACCTGTCTCAGTAACCTGATTTCACCTGTATAATACGGCTTAGCTTTAGGGCTGGAAACAGAGTCAGCAATTTCCTCCCACAACGTGCCAACCCACGTATAAGAAGACGAGAAAATCGAGGGCATTTCTGCAAAATAAATAAGAACATAAACATCCACACTGGTCGCCCTGGGAGTCTAACTGCTTTTCACAAAGATGCCTCTGCCACCCGGCTCCTGTTTGAAATTGTCTCCAGAACAGGCATGTAGGAAAAAATCAATCTTATAGTTTTATGGTCCTTGTTGAAGAAAATCACACAACTGTGTGGCTTTGAGCCGTTGCCGTTTTATTTTCTAATCTCCATTGGGCTCTTAACACTGCCTTTTCATTCATTCATTCAGCCAATATCTATTTGGTGCCTACTATGTGCTGAACAAAGCCTCTGTTCTCCTGGAATTCTTATTCTAAGATTAAGAGGGGGAAGGACTTACACAAGTAGAAATGTGTAAGGTAGTTTCAGTTATTGATAAATACAATGAGGAAAATAAAACAGGTTAAGGGGTTGGAGGCGGTGATCCCTTAGAAGCAGGGGAGGTCTCTTTGAGGAAGTGACACTTGACTGTTGAGGTGAATTATGGGAAAGATCCCCCCAGAGCTTCCCAATCGGAAGGAAAGAGACAGTGCAAAGGCCCTGAGGCAGGAACCAGCCCGGATGAAACCAAAGTTAGCCAGAGGGGCTGGAACACATGAACCCAGGGAAAGTACGGAAGTGTCACACTGGGTCTCACAGAACATAGCTTGGCATTTAGGTTTTATTCTTTTTTTTTTTTTTTTGAGACAGAGTTGTGCTCTTGTTGCCCAGGCTGGAGTGCAGTGGCACGATCTTGGCTCATCGCAACCTCTGCCTCCTGGGTTCAAGCGATTCTCCTGCCTCCGCGTCCCAAGTAGCTGGGATTCAGGCATGCGCCAACACACCTGGCTAATTTTGTATTTTTAGTAGAGACGGGGTTTCTCCATGTTGGTCAGGCTGGTCTCAAACTCCCGACCTCAGGTGATCTGCCCGCCTCGGCCTCCCAAAGTGCTGGGATCACATGCATAAGCCACTGTGTCTGGCCCAATTTTATTCTTATCACTGTGAGAATTATTGGATGGTTTAAGTGGGGGAATAGTATGATCTGATTTATGTTGTATTAAGGGTCACTCTGGCTGCGGTATATGGAAAGGACTAGAAGGGGCAAGAGAAGAAGCGGGAAAACTTGTAAGGAAACTATGATAGAAATTCAGGAGAGAGATTCTGGTGACTTGGCCCGGGGTGGTAGGAGTGGAGGTGGTGAGAAGTGGCCCGGCCCAGGAAATAGAAGCAGAACAGACATCTTGCTGATAGATGGAGAGGCGGAGTGAGGGAAAGAAAAGAATGAAGGATGACTCACGTCAACACATTTACTTGTCCATCAGCTCCCTCTGTTATCATCACGATTTTAAACCTTTTCACTCTTTTCAAACCTCCAACCTCCATAGTTTCAACAAAGAACTCCCTGCCGGGTTTCACACACTCACACAAAACAAAATGAAGACCCCAAGGCCGGCAGGTGAGAACCCACTCAGCCTCCTCCCATTCGCTCCAGGCTACACACCATCTAGTCCCCACATCTTGGAGGATGAAGTGACCCTCTTCCTGCTGGTACCCAGCCTGAGATCCTGATTTGAGGCCCTCTGCTCTCCAGCCCCTGCCATCCACAGGCCTCTCATTGGTAGCTTTGACATTTCCTTTCTTGTTGGCTCAGTCCACGAACGTGCTTAAGTCTCTCCCATCTTAAGAACAAAAGAGCAAAGCTTTCTGTAGACATCGTGTCCTTCTCTAGCTGCAGCGCTGGCTTCTTCCTGCCTCATCCCAGATGTCCCCAAACAGCCAGCTCCATTTCTGTCTCTGCTTCCTGCCCTCCCATGGATTCCCTGGCCTGCTTCAGCCCGACCATCACCTCCGCTCTCCTCTCCTGAAATTCTTCTGCTAACGTCAGTAACCAAATTCACCGGGCTCCTTCCCAGTCTTTATTTTCTGCAGTCTTAACTACCTTTGACGTTATTACTCCTTTCTTCTCAAACATGACTCTTTGGCTTTCTTTTTTTTTTTTTTTTTTAATGTTTCCCAGGCTGGTCTCGAACTCCTGGCCTCAGGTCATCCTCCTGTCTCAGCCTCCCAAAGTGCTGGGATTATAGGCATGAGCCTCCATATCCAGCCTCCTTTGGCTCTCTGACATCACACTCTCTTGATTTTCTTCCTGTTTCTCTCACATTTTTCTCCATTTTCTTTTCTATGTACTCTTCATCTCCCTGGCTCTCAAATGTTAATTTCCCTAGGGTTCCATCTCAGCCCAATTTTTTTCTAGTTCACAAGGTCACTGTGACTCATCTCATCCTCTGCTATGGTTCAACCACCACTTTATACTAAGACTTGTAATCCTGGGTCTCCCCAGAGCATCAGAGTCATATGTGTATTTCCCAGTTGGCTATGTCTACCTGGATGTCACACAGGCAGCTGAAATCAAATATGTCCATGGTTGTATCCCCATGTCCATCTCCCTGCTGCCCCTCCTATGGTCTAAGCCTTCCCTGTCTCTTCCTCTCCCTCCTCATCCCCATCCCACCAGTTACCAAGTCCTGCCAAGTATACCTAAGAACTCACGCACTTGTGCCTTCCTTTTTACCCTGTTGCCACCCCATGGTTCCAACTTCCCTAATTTCTGTCCAAGACCATTATAATATCCTTATAACTGGCCTCCTAGCATCCAGTCCTGCCATCTGTCAGACTGTTTCCTTGAAACCTATCTAAAATGTAAATGTGGCGATACCATTGGAATATAGGATACTCCTCTGTGCTTTCCCTCACTTAAAGGCAGGCCCAAGACTCAAAACCTAAGCAAAACCAACCTACACTTCACCACTTTGCCAACGTCTTCTTCCCCCTTCTTCACCTTGCTCCCCTGGGCAAAGGTGGTGAGGATCATAGTTTTAATTTAGAACTAAAGGGAATCTCTGTGCTCATACACATAGTAGCTGTTTTTAAAAACAACTTTACTGGTCAGGTGTGGTGGCTCACGCCTGTAATCCCAGCACTTTGGGAGGCCAAGGCAGGCAGATCACAAGGTCAGGAGTTCAAAACCAGCCTGGCCAACATCGTGAAACCCCGTCTCTACTAAAAATACAAAAAATTAGCTGGGCGTGGTGTCAGGCACCTGTAATCCCAGCTACTCAGGAGGCTGAGGCAGGAGAATCGCTTGAACCCGGGAGGCGGAGGTTGCAGTGAGCCAAGATAGTGCCACTCTACTCCAGCCTGGGCAACAAGAGTGAAACTCGGTCTCAAAAAAAAAATTATATATCATAAAATTCAACCTGTTTTAAGTGTACAGTTTAAAGACTTTTAGTAAATTTACCAAGTTTGCAGCCATAACTATCATAACTTTAGAATATTTCCACCACTCTAGTACTGCAGCACTCTTTTCATGCTTCCTGCACAGAGCTTATGAAACTGCATTGCAAATTGTCTTTTTTTCTCCCTCTTTTTTTTGAGACATGGTCTTGCTCTGTTGTCCAGGTGGGGGTGCAGTGGTTGCCCAGGTCGGGGTGCAGTGGTGCAGTCACAACTGACTGCAGCCTCAACCTCTCAGCCTCAAGTTATCCTCCCACCTCAGCCTCCTGAGTGGCTGGAACCACAAGCATGTGCTACCACACCCAGCTACATTTTTTGTATTTTTATAGAGACACGGGGGTCTCACCATGTTGGCCAGGCTGGTATCGAACTCCTGGGCTCAAGTGATCCACCCACCTTGGCCTCTCAAAGTGCTGGGATTACAGGCGTGAGCCACCGCACCCGGCTGCACATTGTCTTTTGTGTGACATCCTCTCAACCTGGACCACGACTTCTTAAGGGCAGGGGCTGAGTCTCCCTCTTCAATGTTGAACCAATTGCCTTGACATTCATGAAAGCCTGTGTTGCCTAACTTGGCTATCAACTAAGCTTGTCAGACTTAGAGCCAGCTGACTTGTGACTATTCCTAAAAGTCAAATCCACTCTCATTGAGCATTTTCAAAACCACTTACCACAAGGTCTGCAAAAAATAAATCTGGTTGTCTTTAAGATGTTCTAAATATCATTGAAGTAAGTAAATGGCAACCCACAGTAACTGCTTTGCAGGGAGCAGCAAATTTTTTTTGTTATATTATTAATCTATCCCTTGCCTGGTTCCAGAAAGAATTTAAAGTAGTGGTTTAAGAATCAATTGCATGATGTAGGCCGGGCGCAGTGGCTCATGCCTGTAATCCCAGCACTTGGGGAGGCAGAGGCGGGTGGATCATTTGAGGCCAGGAGTTTGAGATCAGCCTGGCTAAATGTCTCTACTAAAAATACAAAAACTAGACGGGTGTGGTGGTGCACACCTGTAATCCAGCTACTCGGGAGACTGAGGCAGGAGAATAGCTTGAACTCAGGAGGCGGAGGTTGCGGTGAGCCGAGATGACGCCACTGCACTCCAGCCTCAGCGACAGAGTAAGACTCTGTCTCAAAAAAAAAAAAAAGGATCAATTGCATGACGTTAGTGACCCCTCAGTAACTCAGCTCATAGACAGCCCATGTGTATTTAGATAATTGGCTATGGTGACTTTGTGGTGGGTGGATATTGGCACTCTGGATCATCAATGAGTTTGGCCAGTGACTTCCTATGGAAATCCCAGCTTTCACTCCAGGTCCAGTGTGACCAGGGATTCCCCATTTCAGGGCATACAAACAGGCTAAGACCTAATAACTAGACACGAATCCCAAATCATCTGCATTTGGTGTGTGTCCCTTCCTGTACTCCACTCACCTTTAATGAACTGGCTCCAGTTGAAGGCTTTAGAAACCTCTTGTGTAAACCATTCCTGCTACAGCCTAAAATACGCTAAGTGTTGGTATGCAGCAAATTCTCAGTGTCTTTGCAGGTCTCTGTGCTAGCAGCAAGAGAGGAGGGCTAACCTCGCCCTGAGTTATTTTGATACTACTCCTTTCAGTGGTTGGGTGGGACCCTTTTGAGAAAACAAGAGGAAATAAACATCTATTTGGCATATTGCATGCTATTTCAGAATCTGGTAACTAGTATATAATTATATGCCATCTCAGAATTTGGCTTTATTGCTTCAAGGATTTTCATGCTGCCTAGCTTCTTTTTTTTTTTTTTTTTTTTTTTTTTTTGATCAAATGATTTATGTAACTGGAGGCAGAATTTAGCCATTAATGTCCACTGGAAAGCTGAAGGCAAAGATTACACTTGGCATTTCAGAGTGATTTTCTATACTCTATTAAATGTGTTCAAACTGGTTTCATTTCATGTCACTTATTCATCTTGATTCTTTAAAGTGCAAATCAACTAAATATCTCAATATACATGTGTTCAAGGACACGATAGGCGACTTTATAGCGGGTGGCAAGGGTTTGGAGTTGTCCACTCAGGGAGCTGGAATGGGGATAAATCAACTTTTCTTCCCATAGGGACGGAGGTGAGGGATTCTCCTCCTGGCTCACCTTTGAGGTATGTGTTGCTCTACTCTTCACAGCCAAAACAGGAAAAAAAACTAGCTGGAGGGGAATACTATCTCAAACTGTTTTTATGCCTTTGATTTCTTGACCTCTTAAAATTAATGAACTTTAATAATGTCACCGAGGACAATTAAAATGCCAGACTCTGGGGTATGCAAGTCAGATCGCAAGAACAACAACAAAAAGAAACCAACTGAAGGAAGTGGCAACTCCCACTTCTCAAAGTGCATCCTGAGATAGAGGAACAGATGCCATTCTGGCTGGAGATGTAAAGTCGGGTCGTGGTTCTGATGGCTTTATACCAGAATTATGAGGCTGGGAAGTGTTCCTGGGGCACATGGCTTCTGAAGTCACATGATGACTGGAGGGATCAGATTGATAATGAAAGAAACAAAAGGAACTTTGAGCACAACTATGGACTCAGAGAGCTGTAATGTCGAAGAGAAGCGGCTTCATTGTGACCCTGAATGACTGAGAGCAGGAGCTGCTCAGTTGGCTGGCTGGGGTATAGGAAACAGACCTCTACTTACAGGGCAGAAAAACAAGGATGAACCTCAGGACTAGACAGAAAGATTCTCTCTTCTTCTGCAACCAACATCAGAGTCATATGCTTTGGCAAAGGCTGACTTTAGAAATATAGAAGTAAACCAGGAAATGGGATTGAGAACAGCAGTTAAAAGGCTGTGACAGCTGCTGGTGGTGATGGGAGTGGCAGTGGTGGTGGAGGCAGCAGTGGTAATGGTGGGGAGGTGAGATGGGTGGTGGGGTTTGGTGGTGATGTGGTGGTGGTGGAGGTGGTAGTGGTGGTGGTGGTGATGGTTGTGATGGTGTTTGTGGTGGTGGTGGTGATGGAGGTGGTGGTGGTGACTGTTTTGGTGGTGGTGATGGAGGTGGTGGTGGTGGTTGATGGGGGTGGTGGCGATGGTTGTGGTGGTGGTGGTGATGGAGGTGGTGATGGTGGTTATGGAGATGTGATGGAAATGGTAGTGATGGTGGTGATGGTGGTCATGATGGAGGTGGTGGTGGTGGTGATGGAAGTGGTGGTGGTGGTTGATGGATGTAGTGGTGGTTGTGGTTGATAGAGGTGGTGGTGGTGGTGATGATGGAGGTGGTGGTTGATGGATGTGGTGGTGGTGGTGGTTGATGGACGTGGTAGTGGTGGTGATGGAGGTGTTGGTGGTGATGGAGGTGTTGGTGGTGGTCGATGGAGGTGGTGGTAATGGTTGTGGTGCTGATGGAGGTGGTGGTGGTGATGGAGGTGGTGGTGGTTGATGGAGGCGGTGGTGGTGATGGAGATGATGGTGGTGGTGGTAATGGTTGTGGTGGTGGTGATGGAGGTGGTGGTGGTTGATGGAGGTGTGATGGTGGTGGTTGATGGGGTTGTGGTGGTGGAGGTGGTGGTGGTGATAGAGGTGGTGGTGGGTGGTGATGGTTGTGGTGGTGGTGGAGGTGGTGGTGGCAGTGGAGGTGGTGGTGGTGGTGATGGAGGTGGTGGTGGTGGTGATGGAGGTGGTGGTGGTGATGGAGGTGGTGGTGATGGTGGTGGTGATGGTGGTGGTGATGGTGGTGATGGTTGTGGTGGTAGTGATGGAGGTGATGGTGGTGGTGATGGAGGTCGTGGTGGTAATGGAGGTGGTGGTGGTTGATGGAGGTGTGATGGTGGTGGTTGATGGTGTTTGTGGTGGTGGTGGAGGTGGTGGTGGTGATGGAGGTGGTGGTGGTGGGTGGTGATGGTTGTGGTGGTGGTGGGTGGTGATAGTTGTGGTGGTGGTGGAGGTGGTGGTGGCAGTGGAGGTGGTGGTGGTGGTGGTGGTGATGGAGGTGGTGGTGGTAGTGATGGAGGTGGTGGTGGTGATGGTGGTGGTGATGGTGGTGATGGTTGTGGTGATAGTGATGGAGGTGATGGTGGTGGTGGTAATGGAGGTGGTGGTGGTGATGGAGGTGTTGGTAGTGATGGAGGCGTTGGTGGTAGTTGATGGAGGTGGTGGTGATGGTTGTGGTGGTGGTGATGGAGGTGGTGGTAGTGATGGAGGTGGTGGTGGTTGATGGAGGCAGCAGTGGTGAGGGAGATGATGGTGGTGGTGGTAATGGTTGTGGTGGTGGTGATGGAGGTGGTGGTGGTTGATGGAGGGGATGGTGATGGGTGGTGATGGTTGTGGTGGTGGTGGAGGTGGTGGTGGCAGTGGAGGTGGTGGTGGTGGTGATGGAGGTGGTGGTGGTGATGGAGGTGGTGGTGGTAGTGATGGAGGTGGTGGTGGTGATGGAGGTGGTGGTGGTGATGGTGGTGGTGGTGGTGATGGTTGTAGTGATGGAGGTGATGGTGGTGATGGAGGTGGTGGTGGTGGTGGTTGATGGTTGTGTTGGTGATGGTTGTGGTGGTGGTGATGGAGGCGTTGGTGGTTGATGGAGGTGGTGGTGGTGGGTGGTGATGGTTGTGGTGGTGATGGAGGTGGTGGTGGTGGTGCAGGTGGTGGTGGTGATGGAGATGGTGATGGAAATGGTAGTCATGGTGGTGGTGGTGATGGTGATGGTGTTAGTAGGCACCCTTGATTGAACACTCCCCAAGGGCCAGCCATTATTAACATATCACCAACTGTATGCCTTGTTGATGTTAACATATCAACAATCTGCAACTTCCTCTTACAGATGAGGAAAGCAAGAATCAATGGCATTAGTCAGCTCGCCCAAGGTCACTATGTTAGAAAGTGGCAGAGCTGGGGATTGTCGTGTTTACCAGGATTGAGTTACAATGAGTCACAAAACCCACGTCATCCCCACAGACATTGATGCACATTCTGCATTTTGCCCCCACAGTGGTACCTTCTGTACAAAAGGCAGCCCGACTACGTATGCTGTAGTCAGGGGGACGCACTAGGGGGGTGGGGGGTCAACACCAATGGAGGAGGGAAGGAAGAAGCCCTGATCTTCCCAGAAGGAAGAAATAAAAAGTTACCTGAAGCCTTCAATTTCAAGACTGCCCTCGGCCAGTTTTGCCACATGATCAGAGACTTATTTATAGCCATCCGAATCCTGACACGTGCAATTGAAAGGGGAGAATGTTCTTAAAGTCTAGGGTAAGGGAAGCCGCTATTGGTTATGAATTACAAATACATTCCTCTCCTGACCCATGGATTCTGTCCTCCCCTGCCCAGTCACCTTAGGCTCCCCCCACCCGCCCCGCACAAAAACAACATCAACAGCTGACAGAAAATCATTTACAATTACAAATACAAAGAAAACCAGCCCTTGCAGGGAATAAGGCAAAGGTTCTTGCTGCTTCTACGACTGTGAGTCTGGATATTTGCTCTGCCCCTGTGTTCCTTCTCAGCAAAGCTATAACTTTGAGAGGATTCATGTTTGATTTACGTAGAAAGATTGCTTGGCTCTGTCAAGATAAAAGTTTAAGTACCTGCCTTGCCACTGGTTTGTTCTGCTCCTCTGTAAAAAGAGGAACAAGGAACTAGAGGGAAAAAATTTTTTTCAACTTTGCAAACCAATCTATTCTTCCTCCCCTTTTGGTAAAGAAATATTTAAGTCGTATGCATTCTTGGAGAGAATTTTCAAAAAACACTCAGCCCACAAGAATTCTGTTCATCCCACAAAATCTGCCTTGGTCCTGGTGCATTTGCTAACACTGCCTCCTCCACTTTCAGCCCATCAGCATTTTCTTCTTTTGCCTTTAATACCAGTAGGTTAGGACGGCACAGACATCTGCCCCTTTCGGAAACAACACTCCACGCCAGTGCTCTTTCCAAACACAAGCTCCCATTTGAAGTCCTTGTAAAAGGATTGGAACAACAAAGGCACACGTTTAGCTGAACTTCGTTACACTTTCCAGCCGACTCCCTTTAGGATTACCTGGGTTTCTCTATGATTGGGTGTTTTTTGTTTGTTTTGTTTAACTTATTATGGTTACTGCCTAGTGTTCTTTGGTTTTTCTTGCTTAAATTATTAAAACAAACAGAGTCCAGTGTTTATTATGATGACTTACTATCTATGTGGCATAGTTTTTGAAAAGAAGATTAACTGTGGGACAGATGTTGTCCCTTCCCAAGCAAGTTGGAGTGAAGCTGCATCTCTCTCCCCAGAATCTAGGATTCCACTTCCTGCAGGTGACCACTTGGCTGCTGTGATGAGCCCGGAGGCTAGAGTGTCACCTGCAATTCAGACATAAAGCACGATGTGAATAACTGTCCCAATTCCAAGGAGTAAATGTTTTGTTAGTATCGGGTCATTTCTATTCTTAACCTTACAGCATAATGTCAGGCTTACTCATGGCGTGAAATTCTGGTAAGTCCTACTGCATCACGGAAGGAGATGCTTTTTCTAACAGAGGGCGTGAAACGTGCTGAAGGAATCTTTCCTTTCTCAACCCAGCCAGGAAGGGCAGTTGTCAGGCCTAGTTTACAAACAATATTGTTGGTCTTTACTTCAAATTCATTTTCTATGACAGTGGATAATTTGGCCCTGGCAAGGCAAAGTTGAATTGGGCTACTGGATCTGCAAGTATAGAAACATTCCAAAAAAGTTTTACTGGGCTGGGTGTGGCGGCTCATGCCTGTAATCTCAGCACTTTGGGAGGCTGAGGCAGGCCGATCACCTGAGGTCAGGAGTTCAAGACCAGCCTGGCCAACATGGCAAAACCCTGTCTCTACTAAAAATACAAAAATTGGCTGGGCGTGGTGGCACACTCCTGTAACCCCAGCTACTTGGGAGGCTAAGGCAGGAGAATCGCTTGAACCAGGGCGGTGGAGGTTGCAGTGAGCCAAGATCGTGCCACTGCACTGCAGCCTGGGTGACAGAGCGAGACTCCATCTTGGGGGGAAAAAAAAAACTTTTACTATTTTGAGGTACTTAAAATCAGTTGAAATTTCCATAGTACATGATATCCTCAGGTTTGTTCAGTCCTAGTACTACAGGAGAAATATTTTGGTACCAGATTTTATTTTAATTTTGTTAAGAAACATGGGGAATTATTTTCATTGGTAATTTTATTTTTCTTATTTTGCACTTAGGGATTGATATTTTCCTCCAAAGCAAAAATGCAATTCAACTAAAATTATTATTATTAATTTTTTGAGACAGACTCTTGCTCTGTCACCCAGGCTGGAATGCAGTGGCACTATCTTGGCTCACTGCAACCTCTGCCTCCCAGGTTCAAGCAATTCTCATGCCTCAGCCTCCTGAGTAGCTGGGATTACAGGCATGTGCCACCACAACTAATTTTTATATTTTTAGTAGAAACAGGGTTTCACTATGTTGGCCAGGTTGGTCTCGAACTCTTGGCATCAAGTGATCAACCTGCCTCAGCCTCCCAAAGTGCTGGGATTACAGGCATGAGCCTCTGGGCACCTGGCCAGCTGCAATTCAGCTAAAATTAAATGCTGGATGCTGGGGGATTCAAAGATAAGAAGTTGTCCTTACTCTCAGGGTTCTCAATGATCAGCAGGAGAAACAGGCTCAAAACCACAAACAACTACCTACAATAGGAAAAAAATATGTATAATTCAAGCTTAAATTAATATACATTGCAACTCTGACAATTAATTCGGCCTGGAGAAGAGAGGGCAGAGGAAACTAAAGAGAGGCAAGGCCACAGCAGCAGGCTTTTTAGTAGATCAGTCGGTTTTGCCAAGAGAGCTTCTAACAGAGGAGATTCCAAGTGCAGGAAACACACATGCTCTGATGTTGACAATTCTCATCCCGCAACTAGGGTGTCATCTCCAGGGTCACAGTATAGTGAAGGTAGGAAGAGGGAGGGGCCATGAAGAGAATGACCAGAAAGAGAAATTCACAAGGTGTAACAGGTGCTGCCCTCCTTGAGAAGGCAACAGTTGGGTACATTCTTGACAAAATGCCTCTCAGTATGTTTATTGTTTGAATTTATTAAAGTAATGGCTATTACGTCTGACCTGCGTTTTTTTTTTTTTTTTTTTTTTTTTGAGACGGAGTCTCGCTCTGTCGCCCAGGCCGGACTGCGGACTGCAGTGGCGCAATCTCGGCTCACTGCAAGCTCCGCTTCCCGGGTTCACGCCATTCTCCTGCCTCAGCCTCCCGAGTAGCTGGGACTACAGGCGCCCGCCACCGCGCCCGGCTAATTTTTTGTATTTTTAGTAGAGACGGGGTTTCACCTTGTTAGCCAGGATGGTCTTGATCTCCTGACCTCATGATCCACCCGCCTCGGCCTCCCAAAGTGCTGGGATTACAGGCGTGAGCCACCGCGCCCGGCCTGACCTGCGTTTTAAGCAAAGGGAAGAGTGATACCTGGTCTTTATACTTGGTGAGAGGTATTTGATGAACACCTGGAGATGCATATCATTTATTTCATGCTCCTCACCATTGGAGTTAAGCATAAAGTTACCCAAGCTTGCCATGGTCCTAAGACAAACATTTTATTGTTGTTGTTCTTCAGGCTTGTCTGAGACGACAGGAATATAGAAGAGACCCAAATGAGAAGAAACGCGATCAGTTTTGGGGGCAAGAGACAAGTTTTGAGAGATCCCGGTTTTCTAGCAGGTCATCTTCCAAACAGGTATGAAGAATTCTGGGAGACAGTCTCCTGGGGCTGCTGCTGCTGCTGGTGGTGGTGGTGTGTGTGTGTGTGTGATGTAGGAAAAAGCCAACTCAAAAAGGAGATGTTGCAGATTCCCAAAGGTCAAGGCAGGGAGAGCCAGGGGCAGGAAGGAGCCTAGGGCTGGGAACTCCCTTCCTGGGGACACCACCCCTGTGGCTCCCAGCTCTGCAGTCTTCACACCTCACTATGGTTGGGCTCACTCTTCTTTCCTGTAGATAAAGGTCCTGACACAGATGGTCTATGGGACACCATCCAGATGAGAAATGCTGCAACTCTATAAGAGTTGGAGGCACTGGGCCTTCTTAAGCACAGCATCATCTCTGTGGCATATGGTCTAACTTGATGCAAGGTTGGGCCTAGTTTTTATTTCTGATGAAGGAAGAGAGTAAAATGTGGTAATAACTGTATCATGTAATAATTGGCAATTGTTTAAATATTTTTGCCTAGATATAGCAATATGATGATAAAATATTTTTGCTTAGAATGATATAACAATGTGATAATAACAATATGATAATATGATTAATAATAGTATCATGATAATAATAATTAAGCAGTTACCATTATTTCAGTGCTTGCAACATTCCAGGCACTATACGAAGCACTTTATACATATTAGCTTATTTAATTCTCATAAATGTATATATCTATCACCTATCCTTATCTATCTATCTATCTATCTATCTATCCATCCATCTTTGCCCCACTTTACTGATGAGAAAACTGGACCTTAGAGAAGTCACAAAACTTTACCTAAGATTTCACAGCCAGTGCGTGGTAGAGATTCCATTCTAGGCAGTCTGACCCCAGAGAAGGTGCTCTGAATTGCTAAGCTCTATGATCATATTTCATGTTTAAGATCTTATCTAATAATTTAACTTACCCTATGTAAGAGCTCAATACCACAAGCTGTATTCAACACTGACTGTTAGCATGGTGAATTGATTTAAGATGAGTAATATGCCTTTTATGAATTCCTATTTAATATTTTATGCCTGAAATATACTCTAGAGGAGAGACTCCTTCTTTCCTATCAATGGCATGGATCCTGAGATAGATCCTGAATACGTGATATCAATCAAGTTCTTGTTGAGATTTCTTTTTTAATCTAGGATGTTCACACTGTGGTTATTTAATGTTCAAAGGACACCTTAAAAACATCAGTGATTGATGTTTATAGATGTAGATGTATACCTAGGAGAGAGATATGCTCTCTATTAAGGAATATAAAATCGTACAATAAAATATTTCACTTAGAGTCTGAAGGTGAAAGAGACTATCTCACAATATTGGCAGCACCAAGAACACGTTGCCTGGATCTTTTCCTGTTAGTCTAAGACTAAATATAATGCCTGCTGCTGATTAAACTTAAGGAGTGAGATTTATCCAAAAATTAAATCTAGTTTGACTAGAACAACATATTTTTAGCATTAAGATAAATTCTCACATTTTTACACTCAGAAATAAGATCAAGGACAGATAAGAAAATATAATTCAAGTCAAACAGTAGCATGTAGCAGTCTTCCCAGATTGGAATTGCTAAACAAGTGGGCATCTGGGTGCCTCTGCAGGGAACTTTCATGCAGAGGCTCACGTGCACAGTCACGGCCATTTTATGTGCAATACTCATGCATTTGGGATATGCAGGATTTGAAGTTTTATGTTCCTTTTCACACTTAAGCTTATGGAACAAGCTGGTGTCAGATTCCTATAGTTTTCTTCTTCCTGCTATACAAATTATGCATTCTTTAAACCATCACTGCAAAACACTCAGACCACTTCTGAAAAAGGTCATGGTTGTATACATAATAGTAATTATGTGAAATAGCTTCTATAATACAGTTTATATGGCTCTTATTTCCCAATAATTTTATTATTCACCCCACTCAACACAACATTTTTTAAAATTATACTTTAAGTACTAGGGTACATGTGCACAACGTGCAGGTTTGTTACATAGATATACTTGTGCCACGTTGGTTTGCTGCACCCATTAACTCCTCATCTACATTAGGTATTTATCCTAATGCTATCCCTCCCCCAGCCCCCCACCCCATGACATGCCCCAGTGTGTGATATTCCCCACCCTGTGTCCATGTGTTCTCATTGTTCAATTCCCACCTATGAGTGAGAACATGTGGTGTTTGGTTTTCTGTCCTTGTGATAGTTTGCTCAGAATGATGGTTTCCAGCTTCATCCATGTCCCTGCAAAGGACATGAACTCATCCTTTTTTATGGCTGCATAGTATTCCATGGTATATATGTGCCACATTTTCTTAATCCAGTCTATCATTGATGGACATTTGGGTTGGTTCCAAGTCTTTGCTATTGTGAATAGTGCCACAATAAACATAAGTGTGTATGTGTCTTTATAGTAGCATGATTTATAATCCTTTGGGTATATACCCAGTAACGGGATCACTGGGTCAAATGGTATTTCTAGTTCTAGATCCTTGAGGAATTGCCACACTATCTTCAGTTCAACAATGGTTGAACTAATTTACACTCTCACCAACAGTGTAAAAGTGTTCCTATTTCTCCACTTCCTCTCTAGCATCTGTTGTTTCCTGACATTTTAATGATTGCCATTCTAACTGGTGTGAGATGGTATCTTATTGTGGTTTTGATTTGCATTTCTCTGATGACCAGTGATGATGAGCATTTTTTCATGTGTCTGTTGGCTGCATAGATGTCTTCTTTTGAAAAGTGTCTGTTCATATCCTTTGCCCACTTTTTGATGGGGTTGTTTGTTTTTTTCTGGTAGATTTGTTTAAGTTCTTTGTAGATTCTGGATATTAGCCCTTTGTCAGATGGGTAGATTGCAAAAATTTTCTCCCATTCTGTAGGTTGCCTGTTCACTCTAATGGTAGTTTCTTTTGCTGTGCAGAAGTTCTTTAGTTTAATTAGATCCCATTTGTCTATTTTGGCTTTTGTTGCCATTGCTTTTGGTGTTTTAGACATGAAGTCCTTGCCCATGCCTATGTCCTAAATGGTATTGCCTAGATTTTCTTCTAGGATTTTTATGGTTTTAGGTCTAACATTTTAGTCTTTAATCCATCTTGAGTTAATTTTTATATAAGGTGTAAGGAAGGGATTCAGTTTCAGCTTTCTACATATGGCTAGCCAGTTTCCCCAGCACCATTTATTAAATAGGGAATTATTTCCCCATTTCTTATTTTTGTCAGGTTTGTCAAAGATCAGATGGTTGTAGATGTGTGGTGTTATTTCTGAGGCCTCTTTTCTGTTCCATTGGTCTATATATCTGTTTTGGTACCAGTACCATGCTGTTTTGGTTACCGTAGCCTTGTGGTATAGTTTGAAGTCAGGTAGCATGATGCCTCCAGCTTTGTTCTTTTTGCTTAGGATTGTCTTGGCAATGAGGGTTCTTTTTTTGGTTCCATATGAACTTTAAAGGAGTTTTTCCAATTCTGTGAAGAAAATCACTGGTAGCTTGATGGGGATGGCATTGAATCTATAAATTACCTTGGGCAATATGGCCAATTTTCATGATATTGATTCTTCCTATCCATGAGCATGGAATGTTCTTCCATTTGTTTTTGTCCTCTTTTATTTCGTTGAACAGTGGTTTGTAGTTCTCCTTGAAGAGGTCCTTCACATCCCTTGTAAGTTGGATTCCTAGGTATTTTATTCTCTTTGTAGCAATTGTGAATGAGAGTTCACTCATGATTTGGCTGTCTGTTTGTCTGTTATTGGTGCATAGGAATGCTTGTGATTTTTGCACATTGATTTTGTATCCTGAGACTTTGCTGAAGTTGCTTATCAGCTCAAGGAGATTTTGGGCTGAGACAATGGGGTTTTCTAAATATACAATCATGTCATCTGCAAACAGGGACAGTTTGACTTCCTCTTTTCCTAATTGAATACCCTTTATTTCTTTCTCTTGCCTGATTGCCCTGGCCAGAACTTCCAACACTATGTTCAATAAGAGTGGTGAGAGAGGGCATCCCTGTCTTGTGCCAGTTTTCAAAGGGAATGCTTCCAGTTTTTGCCCATTCAGTATGATGTTGGCTGTGGGTTTGTCATAAATAGCTCTTATTATTTTGAGATATGTTCCATCAATACCTAGTTTACTGAGAGTTTTTAGCATGAGGGGTTGTTGAATTTTGTCAAAGGCCTTTTCTGCATCTATTGAGATAATCATGTGGTTTTTGTCATTGGTTCTGTTTATGTGATGGATTACATTTATTGATTTGCTATGTTGAACCAGCCTTGCATCCCAGGGATGAAGCGGACTTGATCATGGTGGATAAGCTTTTTGATGTGCTACTGGATTCGCTTTGCCAGTATTTTATTGAGGATTTTCGCATCGATGTTCATCAGGGATACTGGTCTAAAATTCTCTTTTTTTGTTGTGTCTCTGCCAGGCTTTGGTATCAGGATGATGTTGGCCTCATAAAATGAGTTAGGGAGGATTCCCTCTTTTTCTATTGATTGGAATAGATTCAGAAGGAATGGTACCAGCTCCTCTTTGTACCTCTGGTAGAATTCGGCTGTGAATCCATCTGGTCCTGGACTTTTTTTGGTTGGTAGGCTATTAATTATTGCCTCAATTTCAGAGCCTGTTATTGGTCTATTCAGAGATTCAACTTATTCCTGGTTTAATCTTGGGAGGGTGTATGTGTCCAGGAGTTTATCCATTTCTTCTAGATTTTCTAGTTTATTTGCATAGAGGTGTTTATAGTATTCTCTGATGGTAGTTTGTATTTCTGTGGGATCGGTGGTGATATCCCCTTTATCATTTTTTATTGCGTCTATTTGATTCTTCTCTCTTCCTCTTTATTAGTCTTGTTAGCAGTCTATCAATTTTGTTGATCTTTTCAAAAAAACAGCTCCAGGATTCATTGATTTTTTGAAGGGTTTTTTGTATGTCTGTCTCCTTCAGTTCTGCTCTCATCTTAGTTATTTCTTGCCTTCTGCTAGCTTTTGAATTTGTTTGCTCTTGCTTTTCTAGTTCTTTTAATTGTGATGTTAGGGTGTCGATTTTAGATCTTTCCTGCTTTCTCTTGTGGGCATTTAGTGCTATAAATTTCCCTCTACACACTGCTTTAATGTGTCCCAGAGATTCTGGTACGGTGTGTCTTTGTTCTCATTGGTTTCAAAGAGCACCTTTATTTCTGCCTTCATTTTGTTATTTACCCAGTAGTCATTCAGGAGCAGCCAATACAACATTTTTTTAAGAAAAACATAGTAAAATGCAAAAAAAAAAAAAAAAAAAAAAAAAACTGGCAATTTTTCCTCTAAAATATGAGGACAGGATATTTTATGTTTGCACTATGACACTGTCCCTCAGTGTGTCAGAGAATAAGAAACATTGCTTACATAATCTCAGTTTTCTCCAGATAATGATCTCCCAAGTGTTTGAGCCCTGATTGCACAAGTGTCATCAAGGCCTCATCTTCTCTACTGAGAAAAGTGACACAATCAAAATTTTCCACAGTGAAATTCACCTCTGCTTTGCTCTCTGCATTAGAGATATTCTTTGGGGGATACTGGAGGATTTGCCCCTGGACACAAAAGCAGAGGAAGGGCAGGGTGAGAGGAAGTGTCACTGAATGCATCATTCTTAACAGCCATTCAACTTGTGCTCTCATAACGTCCATCCTGCCTGGCTCAATCCTTTGGGTTTTGCTTGATATAAATGAAGCCAGAGATCTCTTATGAAACTCAAGCCAGATCCAAGAAATCTTCAACCCCCAAAATCATGGATTGGTTTGGAGATTCCCCTCCCAGATTTGAACCCCTAGCCCAATTTTTATTAAAATACAGTCGTTTGGCCAGGCGCGGTAGCTCACACCTGTAATCCCAGCACTTTGGGAGTCCAAGGCCGGCGATCACAAGGTCAGGAATTCAAGACCAGCCTGGCCAATATGGTGAAACCCCATCTCTACTAAAAATACGAAAATTAACTGGGCGTGGTGGCATGCGCCTGTAGTCCCAGCTACTTGGGAGGCTGAGGCAGATGAATTGCTTGAACCTGGGAGGCGGAGATTGCAGTAAGCTGAGATCGTGCCACTGTACTCCACCCTGGGCGACAGAGCGAGACTCCATCTCAAAAAAAAAAAAAAAAAAAAGAACAGTTGTTTGCAAACCTTCAGAGTATAGGCTGCCCATCCTGAGGGGATGCAGAACTTATTCAGCCTCTTCCCACAGGGTCCACAACTCCAGGGAGGTCCTGGAGCTAGTCTCTCAAGGGAAGCTGTGAATAAGAAGGCTGGCATGTCTCAAAAGAGAACCAAGGTCAGACAGATCCAATGTCCACAGCTCAGTGTATTGAATGTTGCATCAGGCACTAGAGTTGCAAAAGATTCTCCGTCAATCAGAAAGGGGCAGGAGAATGATATATAGCTCAGTGAGATGATGTAAACTCAAACAAAGCCTTCCTCCCTAGGTGGAAATATCCCAAGTCATTTCCTCCTAGAGATTGCAGCACCTGAAAACTCGAAATAGCATTTGCCTCTGATTTGTAAAGGCAGGTTCCTTCTCTGATTGAGTGGCTGTTATGAAAGTGAATTGCTTAATCCATGGAAATTTTTCCACCATTCAGTCACTATGTGCTTCTTACCACTACCAAATTTTGACACTTATATTGCAGTTTTCATCACTTGTTCATTCCTTAACCCAGACTCCAATTGTCACAATTCTGATGAGCCTGGAACGAACGAGGCATTTACCATCAAATAATGGCTTCAGTGTCAAGGTATCCTTCCAGACAACTGCCTTGAGGTGGGCAGATCCCCAAACACACAGTTAACCTGCTGGCTGCTTCATCCTGGCATAACCTCCTCACCACAACCAGTGGCTCTAACTGCTGGTTATGCAGCAGTTGGATTTCATCTAAGTCCAAGATGAAGCAATACCTATCAAGCCTGCGCTGAGAAGTTCTTTAGAGTGGTACTTCCTAAATACATTTACAGTCGTGGCTTGGCATAGTAGAAAGCATTTATGAAAGGCCAGCTCTGCCTCTCATTACAATGTGAATTCAGGCAAACCACTTGCAAGCACTTCAGTTTCCCATCAAGGAGATACTTATTATGCATATCTCGTGGGATCATTGTGAAAACGAAGGAGACTTCTAAGTGGCACACTGACATTACAGTACATTATAAACTGCCTTGGTGTCCAAATATACTTGCAAGTGATGCTCCAACAGGTATTGGTGGAGGAGAAGGTTCTGAGGCTTCTAGAATCCCTCAGCCCAGTCCCAGGCCACATTTTTAAAAGCCAACCTAATATGGCAACTTAATTTTAGAGCCTTTTCAGAGTTACGTACAACCCTGTGAACTGTTTCATCAGATTGGAATTTAACAGGGAAATAAATAGTGGCTCTGCATAACCCACTAGAAAGTGGGTAATTTAGTAGACTAAAAAGCAAAGAGGCTTCTGGATATACGGAGAAAGCAACGCCCCTCCTTCCCAGGCACCGGCGAGACCGCTGCTGGCCCAGAGGAGCTTGCTGTGATTGACAGAGGCACGGAAGGAATTTTGTCCCCACGAACCTTCACAGAGAGGGGACAGGAGCCCCGATTTCCCCATAGAAGATGATGAAAATGATTAATTGGCGCAGGACATGGTAAGCCGCAAGCTTCTAGAAAGCAACACATCACGGGCCCTTCTCATCTTTCCAAGATCCTGTATCCTCACTGGAAAGGACGTCGTTCCAAATGCACAAGCCTCAAGGACTGAGAACACGTTCTCACTGCATTTACTTCATGGGGAAGAAAGGTAGAGATCACTGTCAGTTTTTTAAGTGCACCATTTGCTCTGCTAATAAAAATAAGATTCTAGTCCTTTCACTGGTGGCAACCGAGTGCTAAATATTTAGATTCCAGGTCACCAGGACTCAAGGTTACATCGGAAGGAGGCGTAGGCAGTGAACCTGATACCGAGAAGCAGCTGGCAGTGCCCCAGGCCTGGCCCAGTGTGCTGTTCACATCAATGAAGTCACTTGACTGTACCAGCAAGCAAGGTGCGCCTCCAGAGGAAGGCTGTTACCCAACGTAAACACTGTAATTGTTTTGTTCATAAGAATCCACACGAATTTTAGAGATTAACATAAAAAATAAAGTCTTTTCAAGTAGCCTGCAATGGCTTAAAAAGTCAGAATGTCCAGCCATGCATGAGAGCAGCAAAGGTCTAAAACTGTGCCTTTCAATACAGTGGCCACTAGGCACATGTGGCCATTAAACTTTAAGTTTAAATTAATTAAAATTAAATGTACTGTGTAGATCCCTAGTGGCACTAGCCACATGTTACACACTCAAGAGCACGTCTGGTCAGTGGCTGCCATATTATTTTTTGTTTTTTGGTTTGTTTTTTTTTTTAGACCGAGTCTCGCTCTGTCACCCAGGCTGGAGTGCAACGGTGAGATCTCAGCTCACTGCCACCTCCACCTCCCAGGTTCAAGCAATTCTCCTGCCTCAGCCTCCCGCATAGCTGGGATTACTGGCACCCGCCACCACGCCCAGCTAGTTTTTGTATTTTTAGTAGAGACAGGGTCTTGCCATGTTGGCCAGGCTGGTTTCAAACTACTGACCTCAGGTGATCCACCCGCCTCGGCCTCCCAAAGTGCTGGGATTACGGGTGTGAGCCACTGCACTCAGCCATCCGGCTGCCATATTGGACCATGCAGATCTAGGACACTTCTGTCACTGCAGAAAGTTCTGTGGCACAGCACAGCTCCAGATTATAGTCAAGCTCAAAAACAAAACAAGACCCCATGAGCCAGGGAAGGGTTTTGTTTCCCAGAATCCAGCCCTGCATAATCCATAGCACAATGCTTTGCATACTGCGGCTCCTAGCAAATATTAGCTCTCGGGTGACTCAGCTGTCCGTGGAGGCTGGCTCGATTTGCATTTTGTGTTTTTCTATGACCTGGGTATATCTGCATGACTCCTTTCATTCCCTATTGATTCATCCTATCGTGTCCGTGAAACCTTCAGCTTCTCCACTTTCAAACGGCTCTTGGGGAGACATCCTCCCATTAATCTGTCAATGTCAACCCACTGACACCCTTTACAGTGTCATGAAAGCAGCCACGGCTTAGGATGTGGCATATGTGTTCCATGAATCATGCTTTTAATTTTCTCTAATTTCTGCTTGCCCATTCTCAGATTCCTTGTGGGTCGGGCCTCTTCTTTCTGGCCCTAGGCCTGTGTGCTGATGAGGCAGGTCGCGCATGCACACGCTGGTTCTAGCTGCCAGGGGGCCCCACCCTGGGAGGCTGTGAGTCACCCTTAACACCTGGCGTGGTGTTCTTCACAGCCGCCCTCTTGACTCTAGCTCAGATTCTGCGCCCTCGAGGTGCACTGGGTAAGAACGCAGCTCTGCACGCAGCATCTGGAGCCTGAAACGCACGTCATGGAGAGAGAATGTGCAGCCCACGGTTTGACAAGTGCAGATCTGTGGGAATTTTCCTTTGAGTTTGTTTTCCATTTTAGCCGTTGCTCTGTTCACCGTGGCAGGTCCCACAAGCCCCTCAGGCTCATGGTGCTGAATACATCATCATCTCCCCTCAAATTGTTTCCTCTTCCTGAAGTTCTTATTTCTGCCCAAGCCAGAATCCTGGAAATTATCTTAGACTCTGCCTTCTCTTTCTTCTGCTCCTCCTCCTACTTCCAGCAATCAAACACTGAAACCTGACTGTCTCCTCTCCTCTCCCTCAAATCTGTCCACTTTTACCTGCCTTTGTAGGGCCCTCTCTTTTCTTGTCTGGATTTTTTTTTTTTTTTTTTTTTGAGACAGAGTCGTGTTCTCTCACCCAGGCTGGAGTGCAGTGGCGTGATCCTCACCCTTCTGAGTAGCTGGGACTACAGGCGTGCGCCATGATGCCCGGCTAATTTTGTGTTTTTAGTAAAGACAGAGTTTCACCATATTAGCCAGGCTGGTCTTGAACTCCTGACCTCAAGTGATCCACCCGCCTCAGCCTCCCAAAGTGCTTGGATTTGTCTGGATTATTGTCATTTCCCTAATGATTTTGTCTTTACTTTTCCCCTTACAGGCAGTCTTCCAGGCTGCTATAAGAGAGATAGATACCTCTAGGATCAAATTGGATCACAACACTCCTTTATTAAACATTCTTCAGTGGTTTCCCATTGTCTTTGGGATCAAATTCAGATACCTTCGCAAGGTACCCAAGGCCCTTGTGTGCCTGACCCCTGCCTACCTCCCGAGCTCATCTGCCCAGCCTCTGTGCACCCTCAACTCTGAGGGCACCTCCTCTGAAAAAAGTTTCTGGAGCTTCTCCTGGGGGTTGAATGGTTTTGCTCGTCCTGTCTTTGTATTCTTAGAACACCCTCTGGGCTCATGCCCACCATGGGGTACATCTTTCTGTCTGCCTCCTCCCTTAGGCTGGGAGCTAGTCAAAAGAGGAGGCACTGTTTGTGGTTATATTTCCAATGCCTAGCACATAATAGGAGCTCCATGCATATTTGATGACTGACAGTTGTGATGCAGGGCAGGTGAGCCCCAGCCTTGGGACTTAGCCCAGGAGGGTTGTTGGCTTTGCCCAGGAAGGTATTCAAGGGGAAGCCGGTGGTGTTAGGCAGCAATTTTTATTGAAGTGGTGGTGCACAGCAGCAGCAGACAGACTGCTCCTTGTGGAGTAGGACTACCCCATAGGCAGTGTGCCCAGAGTGGCAGCTCAGGGCCATTCTCAAATCATATTTATACCTACTTTTCTTTTTTTTTTTCTTTTTTTTTTTTTTGAGATGGAGTCTCACTTTGTAACCCAGGCTGGAGTGCAGTGGCAGGATCTCGGTTCACTGCAAGCGATTCAGGTTCAAGTGATTCTCGTGCCTCAGCCTCCCTAGTATCTGGGATTACAGGCACCCACCACCATACCTGGCTAATTTTTTGTATTTTTAGTAGAGATGGGATTTCACCATGTTGCCTGGTCTCAAACTCCTGAGCTCAGGTGATCCACCCACCTTGGCCTCCCAAAGTGCTAGGATTACAGGCATGAGCCACTTCGCCCAGGCTATACCTACTTTTAATAGCATGCAGATTATGCAGAAATTTCTAGGAAAAGGTATTAACTTCTGGGTCGTTAGGTCATTGCCATGTAAAGGAGTGTTAACTCCCAGGTGTTGCCATGGCAATGGTAAACTGACATGGCACATTGTTGGGCATGTCTTATGGAAAGCTGCTTGCAGCCCATCCCCGTTTTATCTAGTCCTCAATTTGGTCCAGTGTCTGAGCTCCACCTCTTACCTTGATTGCAAGAATGTTTTAGGAATGTGCACCTATCAAAAGTTGTAACCATATCGCCGTAATAGCCAGAATAGGGATCCTTACTGTGGGCAAGAGAAGAAAGGGGATAATGTGACTTGGAGTGGAGAATGCTCCATGACCTGGCTTGAAATGATTGACGGGAGAATGGTTTGGTAAGGCTGCCAATCTGCAGTGGCCATTTGGGCTAGAAGATTAGTCAGTTATGATCAGACCCTCTTGAAACCCCGGAACAAGTGGTGACCAGAGTAGCCAGCCAGCTAAATAAAGCATTCTTTTCCTGGCATACCACTCTACAGAGGGACAGATGGCTTCTTTAAAACACCAGGTTCCTTTGGTCACAGGTAGGCAAGGATGCAAAGGCATAAGAATGGCAGGGTTGTAGCTCTGAGTAGATGGAGGAAACTCAGAACGGCCTGAAGTTGACCCAGGACTCACTTGTACATTATAAGGGAGGTCATCTTGTTGTGGTTGAAGATTCCGCCAGATAACTCACCAGACTGAACTGGCTATTTCTTTTATGATCAGGTTATAGAGTAATTGGAATACTGGTGTGCAAACCCCTCTGTAGGCAGACCAGGGTGCTGGAGATCTTCAGCAGCATTAATGCAGCAAACAAGTACTAGCTATCTTGGGCAAAGCCAGCAGCGCTTAATTTCTCCTTCATTTCTGTGCTTCGTCTGAGTTCCTCTAGGTAATTTTAAAATAGGGCATGACATTAAAATGGGAGAACCGTCCGTTTGAATTGCAGATGCTTCCAGAAAGTTGTCCTGCCTTTTTCAACGCACAGGCAAGACAGCCTCGTCCTTGCACGAGGGTGATCCTGCCATGTGGCCGGGTTGATAGAAGCACCAATTGTTATCCCAGCTCAGTGAATTGTTGGTGCAGAGGATTGGTGACCTCTGACCCAAAGGGTTCCCTGTGTTGATTGGTCTTAGCAGCGCAGACATTGTGTGAGAGGAGATTATAATAAAATGTCTTTTTTTCCTTTGTAAGTAGCGCTATGTGTTTGTTTACTACATTTTCTTTAAATTCTCTATTTTGAAAAATGTTTCCAGTTTTTAAAACCACAGTACTTATTAAAAACCATTTAAGGGCCAGCGCAGTGACTCATGCCTGTAATCCCACACTTTGGGAGTCTAAGTTGGGAAGATCACTTGAGCCCAGGAGTTCAAGACCAGTCTGGGCAACACAGCAACACCTCATCATTACAAAAGATTTAAAAATTAGCCTGTAATTCCCGCTACTTGGAAGGCTGAGGTGGGAGGATCACTTGAGCCCAGGGGTTCAAGGCTGCAGTGAGCTATGATCACACCACTGCATTTCAGCCTGGGAGACAGAATGAGATCCTGTCTCTAAATAAATAAATAAATAATTGAAAAGACGTTAAAATTCAGATATCAAAATTTTAAAATTTTTAAATTGTGAGATAAAATTATTCAGGTTCATACCTGCATTCCACATATTTTATAACATATAGCATTTCATCCTAAAACTCTTTTATTTTGTTTTTATATTGCTTTATTCATTCAGAAATTATAATACAATTATTATTTGTCAATTAAAAATAAAATAAAATTTTTTAAATTTAAAAATAAAAAATAAGGAAACTAAAGTCACTTGTGTACAAGACACCGTGTTGGGTACCATGGGGATGGTAATTAATAAGCCACGCCCCCCCCCGAGTGGCTGACAGTGTTGGTAAACTAAGGCATTATACAAATGTCTGTAGTTCAAAACTGTGTCTGATGAGCATAATAAAAAGACTATGGGGGCCGGGCTCATGCCTGTAATCCCAGCACTTTGGGAGGCCCAGGTGGGCTGATCACCTGAGGTCGGGAGTTCAAGGCCAGCCTGGGCAACATGGTGAAACCCCGTCTCTACTAAAAATACAAAAATAAGCTGGGCGTGGTGGTGGGTGCCTATAATCCCAGCTACTCGGGAGGCTAAAGCAGGAGAATTGCCTGAACCCGAGAGGCAGAGGTTGCAGTGAGTGGAGATCACACCACTGCACTCCAGCCTGGGCGAGAGAGTGAGACTTCATCTGAAAAAAAAAAAGGAAGGCCAGGGGGAGACCTGGGAAAGCTTCATAGAGGATGCAGTTTTTTTGTTTGTTTTTGTTTTTTCTTTTTTGTGGAGATGGGAGTCTTGCTCTGTTGCCCAGGCTAGAGTGCAGTGGCAAGATCTCAGCTCACTGCAACCTCCGCCTCCGAGGTTCAAGTGATTCTCTTGCCTCAGGCTCCCGAGTAGCTGGGATTACAGGCACAAGCTACCACACCCGGCTAATTTTTGTATTTTTAGTAGAGGCAGGAGTTCACCATCTTGGCCAGGCTGGTCTCGAACTCCTGACCTCGTGATCCACTCACCTCAGCCTCCCAAAGTGCTGAGATTACAGGCGTGAGCCACCATGCCCGGCCTTTGAGGATGCAGATTTTTAAGCTGGATCTTAAGTCACTGACAAGATTTGGGAATCTGGAGGTGAGGCTGGGGAGCTGTGGTAGAGAGGACGTTACAGGAGGAAGGAAGACTCTGAGTCAAGGAGGGGTGGCAGGTCTGGGAAACGGTGAGCAGTGCATCCTCCCTGCAGCGCAGGAAATGCACCTCAGACCCCTTCTCAGAGCTCCCTCCCCTCCCTGCCGCAGTGAAGCTGGCTTTTCCTTGAGGCTGTCCTACTCCCACTGCTGCTCCAGACCACTGCCCACCAGGCTCTGGTGGAAACACTGTCCACCGAGGCTTGTGCTGTTTCATTCTACCATCCTCTCCCCCTTGTCATTCCTGCCACTGTTAGTCCCCTGGCAGTGCAGACTTTGGCAGGCAGTTCAGTCTCTGTCCCCACCACATCTCCTGATCTGCCACCACAATCCTTGACTCCAGCATCCTCCAGGCTAAGCCAGCCACATCCTGGCATCTCAGATCCCGAGTTCCTCAAGTGCCCTCCTCCGTCCCACTCTGCCACCCCCATCCCCAATAGCACATCCCAGGTGGTGTCATCGCCCAAAAGAATTTCATCTCCAAAATCGCTGGATCATCACAGGTCTCCAGACCTTCCGGCTCTGCTGTTTAACCATTTCCCAGTGACACTTCCTCCACCTCTGGGGAACCTCTCGCCCGTGGATTCCTCTTTCCTTGCCCTGTGATTGTCCGCTCCACACTGACGTGTCCTCCCTACACAGCCTAGGTCCTGTGCTTGACCCTCTTAATAATTCTCTTGTCCTTTTGTCTTCTTTTACACCTGTCTGGTGAAATCCCACCCATCCATCATCTTCTGCCTCATATCCAGGCCACTGACCACTGCTGGAGAAAAGTCACTCAACTTTCAAAAGTGATGCCGCTGAAAGGCCACAGCCTCTGGAATTCCTCAGTGCTGCCCCGCTTCTTTGGTCAACGCTGTCTTCCTCCTCAAACCGTCTTCCTTCTCCCTAATCTTCACGCCCTCCTCTCTTCCACCTCACGCCATAGTGTCCCTCAGCTAGAAATTTCCTGAGCTTACTGTTACTCCAGCCGCTGTCTCCCACCATCACCGCCCTCTCCACCTGTGCCTGGGATCCCGTGAGCCTGGGTCTCATCCCTTTCCCATCTGGATCCCCTGCTCTGTGCCAGAGCCTTCCCATCCGCATTTAATTGTGATCTGAGATCTCTCAGCAAAAAAGAACAGAACAGCCCTTCCTTATCCCACATCCCCCTCCACTTATTTCTTCCCCTTCACAGCCAAAGTTCTCAAAAGAATTATTTACACTGACTGACTCCATTTCCCCACCTCCTACTCACTCCTCAGCCCACTCCAATCTGGCTTCCATGCTCATCATTCCACAGAAATGGCTCTTCAGCAAATGACTTCCCCGTCTCTGCACGCAGCGGGTCTCTTTCTGTCCTCACTGTGCTTGACCTCACAGCAGCTGTCCATTTGCTTGGTCACCAGCCCCTCCTGGACACACTGTCCTTCTGAGCTTCTGCAAAGCCACCTGCTCCTCTTGGTTTCCCATTGTCTCCAGGGGCGGTTTCTCATTCTCCACTTCTCATCGTCCTCCACCCAGGCTCTGAACCTTGGGATTCCTCGAGGATGGGCTCTCTTCTCATCTCTTCCTTGGTGTTTTATCTCATTTTTGTGCCGCAAACCTCTTTGGCCGCATGGTGAACTCCCTAGATCCCCTTCTCAGAGTAATATTTTCAAAAACATAAAATGAGATACACGGGCTTTCAAAGGAACCCACTTTTATTGAAATAGTCATCAAAATATTTTTAGAAAGTTGTGATTGAGTAATATACATGCTTCTTTATTAGCACATTAAATAACAAGCGATGGGTGTAAAGGGTATTTTGAGACATCTGCAACCAATTTAATGAGATGTGAAAATATCTGTGATTTCTAATGGTGACAAAAATCACAGGTCCTGCTAATGCTGCTGTGGCTTGTTGCCTGCATTCGTAGATGAAAAATATGCTGAGATTTCATTAGAGGTTGGAGAAAATAAAGGTGTAATTTTTTTCCCATGCAAGTGAATGCCCTGCCCCCAAGAAACTCTGTTTCTTGAACATTTTAGCAGCCAAAGTCAAGATGTCAACTGCCAATGACTCCCAGGCCTACATTTCCCACCCAAACCTCACTTTGATCCCCAAATCAGAATATCAAGCTGTTTACTCACTGTCTCACTCAGGCATTTCAAAAGACACCTCAAGCCCAACAGGCCCATGCTAGAGGTCCCAGTGTGGCCCTTCCTTTTTCCTTTTGTGCATTGTAATTAGTCCATTTTCACATTGCTGATAAAGACATACCCAAGACTGGGTAATTTATAAAGAAAAAGAGGTTTAATGGACTCACAGTTCCACATGGTTGGGGAGGCCTCACAATCATGGCAGAAGGCGAAAGGCACTTCTTACATGGCGACAGACAAAGAGAGAACTTGTGCAGGGAAACTCCCCTTTATAAAACCATCAGATCTCATGAGACTTATTCACTATCACAAGAACAACACAGGAAAGACCCACCCCCATGATTTAATTACCTCCCACCGGGTCCCTCCCATGACACATGGGAATTGTGGGAGCTACAATTCAAGATGAGATTTGGGTGGGGACACAGCCAAACCATATTATGCATCAGAATGGGACATTTTCTCTCCATCTCCCCCCGCACTGAATTCGTCACCAAGTCCTTTCCATTTCACTTCCTCAATACCTTTGAATCCATCTGGATCATCTTGTCTGCCACCATCTCATTGAGTTACTGCAGTGGCCTCCTAACCAGTGTTCACACTCACACTCCTGCTCCCAGATCCCATTTTCTATAACACAGGTAGAGAGATATTGACAAGCAGGCTGGGGGTGGTGGCTTGCGCCTGTAATCCCAGCACTTTGGGAGGCCGAGGCTGGCAGATCAGTTGAGGTCAGGAGTTTGAGACCAGCCTGGCCAACATAGCAAAACTCCGTCTCTAATAAAAATACAAAAATTAGCTGGGCATGGTGGTGTGCGCCTGTAATCCCAGCTAGTCAGGAGGCTGAGGCATGAAAATTGCTGGAACTCTGGAGGCAGAGCTTGCAGTGAGCCGAGATCACACCACTGTGCTCCAGCCTGGGCAACAGAGTGAGACTCTGTCTCAGAAAAAAAAAAAAAAAAAATAGATATTGACAAGCAGAGCTCAGTCCATTTTATTTGCCTGCTTAAAATCCCTCCATGGCATTCTGTGGCTTTTAGCTTGAGGATGTAACCAACGAGGCCCTGCGAGATCTAGCTCTCCTTACAGCTCTGCATTTCACCCCCACTGGCTTTGTGTCCTCTGAAGTACCCGGCCACCTCCTGATAGAGCACCTTTGCACGTGCTGTTCCCTCCCCTTGCAGCACTCACCCCCTCCCGCCATGCCTGAGATTGCAGCTGAGGTCACTTCCATAGGGAGGTCTCTCTCAGCTCACTAGTTACACCCCCAAACTAGATTAGGACACCTCCATCCCCCATTCCATGTTCTTATGGGTGTTCATATTTCCTTTTTTTAAAAAAAGTCTGTGACTCTACTAATTTTACATTTGTTTAATAATTATTAGATTACATGATCTACAGCCACATAGGTGTGGCTAGGAATTGGGAGGCTTGGGCGGCTGGATCATGAGGTCAGGAGATCAAGACCATCCTGGCTAACACAATGAAACCTCGCCTCTACTAAAAATACAAAAAATTAGCCAGGCATGGTGGCGGGCGCCTGTAGTCCCAGCTACTAGTCAGGCTGAGGCAGAAGAATCACTTGAACCTGGGAGGCAGAGGTTGCAGTGAGCCAAGATCATGCCACTGCATTCTAGCCTGGGAGACAGAGTGAGACTCTGTCTCAAAAAAAAAAAAAAAAAAAAAAGTCAAAATACAGACCAGGTGCGGTGGCTCACGCCTGTAATCCCAGCACTGTGGGAGGCCAAGGCGGGTGAATCACCTGAGGTCAGGAGTTTGAGACCAGCCTGACCAACATAGTGAAACCCTGTCTCTACTAAAAATACAAAAATTAGCTGGGTGTGGTGGTCCACGCCTGTAATCCCAGCTACTCAGGAGGCTGAGGCATGAGAACAGTTTGAATCCAGCAGGCCGAGGTTTCAGTGAGTCAAGATCGTGCACTGCACTCCAGCCTGAGAGACAGAGCAAGACTCTGTCTCAAAAAAAAAAAAAAAAGTCAAAATACAATAGATGCTGGCAAGGCTGTGGAGAATAGGGAACACTTACATACTGTTGCTGGGAATGTAAATTAGTTCAGCCACTGTGGAAAGCAGTTTAGAGATTTCTCTAATTACTTAAAACAAAGCTTCCATTCAACCCAACAATCCCATTGCTGGGTATATACCCAGAGGAAAATAGATCATTATACCAAAAAGACACATGTATATGTATGTTTATTGCCATGCTGTTTGCAATAGCAAAGACATGGAATCAGTGTAGGTGCCTATCAATGGTAGATTGGATAAAGAAGATGTAGTACATATACACTATGGAGTACTACACAGTCATAAAAAAGAAAGAAACCATGTTCTTTGGAGCAATATGGATGGAGCTGGAGGCCATAGTCCTAAGGGAATTAACGCAGGAACAAAAACCCAAATACCACACGTTCTCACTTATAAGTGGGAGCTAAATATTGAGCACACATGGATATAAACAAGGGAACAACAGATACTGTGGACTACTAAGTGCACTAAGGAGGGGGATGTGGATTGAAAAACTATCTATTGGGTACTATGCTCATGACCTGGTGCAATATACCCATGTAACAAACCTGCATATGTACCCCCTGTATCTAAAACAAACATTGAAAAAAATTTTTAAAAGCCAACTTGAATGAACTGCCACTCACCATTTTTGGCACAATTTGAGGAACAAAAAAAATTGAATAAAACATATCCTTGAGAATGCAATGATAATAAAAAGAAAAAAGAAAGGGGAAGGGGAAGAAAATACTTCTTTAGAGAAGAATGCTAGCTAATAATTGTAAAAGGAATGTGGAATTAGGCTGGGCGTGGTGGCTGACGCCTACAATCCCAGCACTTTGGGAGGCCGAGGTGGGGAGATCACTTGAGCTCAGGAGTTCGAGACCAGCCTGCCCAACATGGTGAAACCCTGTCTCTACTAAAAATACAAAAATTAGCCAGGCATGTTGGCGTGCACCTATAGTACCTGCTACTCAGAAGATTGAGGCACAAGAATTGAACCTGCAGGGCGGAGGTTACAGTAAGCCGAGATCACGCCACTGCACTTCAGCCTAGGTGACAGAGCGAGACTCTGTCTCAAACAAACAAACAAACAAACAAATGTAGGATTAGAAAATCATCAATTTTGCTACCCCAATGTAATTATCAATATAGGCAAAGCACATTAAAAGGTGCTAAAATCATTGGGTAAAATACTACTTAGGGACAGGCTATTCAATCAGTGCCAAAGAACCATCCCACTGATTACCTGCTAGTTACAAAGGGAAAAAATGTACCTTTACATTGGAGAAATCTGGTGGTCACCACCTTATCCTATAGATCAAACACAGCATTTACCAATATTGGGACAACCTAACAAGGCACCTGCTGATAGGATATTATAAAGAAGGACACCACACCACCTATAAAATAATCACACCCAAAACAATTGAACTGAATTTTATTATGAGGAGCAATCAAATTTAGAGCGTAAGACATTCTATGAGACAGCTGACTGGATCACTTCAAAATGGGAAAAATAATTAAAAAGCCAAAAGACCAGAGAATTGTTCTAGATTAAAAAACTAAAGAGACATTGTGCCTTGACTGAATCATTGATCCAAATGTATACCCAAAAAGACATCTTGGGGACAATTGGGTTGGAATCTGCTCTGCATATTAGAAAATATGATGGAACGATTAAATTTTCTTAGGTAAAATAATGGTATTGTGGCATTGCAGGAGAATGTCTATTTTGATAGGAGATGCCTGCTGAAGTATTTAGGGGTAAAGTATCTTGAAGTGTGGTCATTTTGAAAATGTTCAGAAAAAGACTATATATAAAAAGAGAAAGCAAATTGCCAAGGTAAAGAATAAAGGGTGTGATTTGTACTATTCTTTCAATTTCTCCGTAGATTTGAAACTTTTCAAAATAAAGTTGAAAACAGTTCTAGAAAGGTATCTATTGCTGCAAGGTATTGTTAAGTAAAACAGTATAAATGGTACAATTCTTTTGAGACGGAATTTTGCCCTGTCACCCAGACTGGAGTGCAATGGCGTGATCTTGGCTCACTGCAACCTCTACCTCCCAGGTTCAAGCGATTCTCCTGCCTCAGCCTCCCAAGTAGCTGGGACTACAGGTGCCCATGCCACCATGCCCGGCTAATTTTTGGTATCTTTAGTAGACACAGGCTTTCACCATGTTGGCCAGGCTGGTCTCAAACTTCTGACCTCTTGATCCACCCACCTCCGCTTCCCAAAGTACTGGGACTACAGGCATGAGCCACTGCACCTGGCCCATATGAATGGTACAATTCTATGTTAGAGTAATGTTAGCTGCTGTAACAAAGGGACCAAGAATGCAGTGGCTCAGTCGACAAGATAAAAGTGTATCTCTTGCACACGTGACAGTCCTGGTGAGATGTGCAGGTCAGCAGGCAGCACTTCTCAGACTTTCAGGGACTCAGGCTGATGCTGGTTCTGCCGTCTTCAACATATGACTTTCAAAGTTGTTGTTCTCCAGCTCACAGGAAGGTGATAGGCAGAGGTGCAGGGCCAGATATTTTCTCTGTGGAGGCTGCACACATTGCTTCTGCTCATACTCCCCTGGGTGAGACCTTTCTCCTGAGTTGCAGTGGGGCAGTAGGTGCAGGGGCTGAACGATTCAGTTCAAGATGGGCAACCACACATCCCGACTTCAACTCTTAGCGATTTAGAAGGGATTTTGCTAGAAAGGTAGTAGTCTCCATCAGTCATTAAAAAGTGTCTAAAAGAATACAGGGCCGGGCATTACAGGTGGCTCACACCTGTAATCCCAGCACTTTGGGAGGCTGAGGCAGGTGGATCACTTGAGGTCAGTAGTTCAAGACCAGTCTGGCCAACATGGTGAAACTCCATCTCTACTAAAAATACAAAAATTAGCCAGACGTGGTGGTGCATGCCTGTAATCCCAGCTACTTGGGAGGCTGAGGCAGGAGAATCACTTGAACCTGGGAGGTGGAGGTTGCAGTGAGCCGAGATCATGCCACTGCACTCCGGCCTGGGCGACAGAGGGAGACTCCATCTCAAAAAAAAAAAAAAAAAAGAATACAGACCCACCAATTCAAAGCTTTTATTTCAAGGTTAATTGGTTTTTGAATGTTTTAAATATCTTTATGCTTGTTTTTGTTTTTCCATTCTGAGCATGCATTTCTTTTGTAATAAAGAAAAGAATTATGCTTTACAAAAATAAACCATTGAAACCACAAAGAGATTATTTGACTGGCAAATTTGCAGGATGTTTTGTTTTCTCTCTCTAAAAGAAACATATAGCTAAATTGTAAGTACTACTTTAAGCATTCTTCTACTCAGAAACCTTCAGTGGGACCCCACTCTCTATCACATTTGCTTGAATCTCAGGGCTCCCCACAATCTGGCCCACACCCTCCTCCTCACCCCATGCTCAAGCCACCTGCCTGGCTGTCCTAGAATCACGCCTGCTCTTTTCACTCCATCCATCCTGCGGCTCATGTGCTACCTCCAGCCTAGCCAGACCCCACCCATTCTTCAAGTCCCAGCACACACCACCACCTTCCCTTGACCTTTCACCTTTTCCCAGGGGTTTTCCATGACATTTAGAATGGGTGCAACAGAACGTATCCCTTGATTAAACATTGTTTTCCGTTTTGCTGGTAAGTCATTAATCTTATCTCTCTCCTTGTCAGCTTATTTCTGTATCCTTCACAGAGCCTAGCACGGTGTTAAAGACATAATAGGCGCGTATGATACATCTCAATTGACTTCCATGTTTAATGACCTGTTATTCCGAATAGGAAGCATTTTCATCGATGATCTCCATTTGATGGCCAAGCCCCCTGGTGTTGCTCAGATGCTCCTCTCAGCTAAAAGAATATGAATTCAAATAAAGGATGAAGGGGAAACACATTGTAGCAAAACCATATCTGAAAGACACCTACGTCAAGGGCAATCTCAATGTGCTGTTAAACTATTAAACACCGCATTTTAACGTTCTTTTTTTCTTTTCTTTTCTTTTTTGAGACGGAGTTTCGCTCTTGTTGCCCAGACTGGAGTGCAATGGTGCTATCTCAACTCACTGCAACCTCCACCTCCCAGGTTCAAGTGATTCTCCTGCCTCAGCCTCCTGAGTAGCTGGGATTACAGGCATGCACCACCATGCCCAGCTAATTTTGTATTTTTAGTAGATACAGGGTTTCTCCATGTTGGTTGGGCTGGTCTTGAACTCCCAACCTCAGGTGATCTGCCTGCCTCGGCCTCCCAAAGTGCTGGGATTACAGGCGTGAGCCACCGCGTCCGGCCCCAATTATTTATTTATTTATTTTGAGACAGGGTCTTGCTCTGTCCCCCAGGCTGGAGTGCAGTGGCACAATCACAGCTCACTGCAGCCTCAACCTCCTAGGCGTGGGCAATCCTTCTGCCTCAGCCTCCTGAGTAGCTGGGAATATGAGTGCACACCACCATGCCTGGCTAATTTTTTTTTATTTTTTGTAGAGACAAGGTCTCGCTATGTTGCCCAGGCTGGTCTCAAACTCCTGGGCTCAAGTGCCTCAGCCTCCTACCGTGCTGGGATTACAGGCGTGAGCTGCCATACCCAGCTGCATTCCGGTTTTTAAAATCTATCAATTTCCTGGCCACATACTGCTTCCTTTTCGTCCTCGCACCACACAGAACCCTGCTCCTGCTACAGCCAGATAATACTACAGACAGGTGTCCCTAGTATTTGGAAGCGGGAAAAATGTGTGGTCACCAACCAAGTAAACTGAACAGTGATTTCTGCAGCACACAAAGGATTGCCTGGCATCATAAGAAGTACCTAGCACGTCCTGCTTGCCATGTCAGTAACTTGCAGCGCGAAGTTTCACTCTGGCCGTTCCATAGTGGGCTGAATAGTAATCGCAAAGCAAGCAGACCCACATGCCTCTCCTTCAGAGGGCACCCCCGTAGTGATGGAATGTTATGAAGACTTAAATCACCGAGGCCACTCTCCAGCCAGGGCCACAGGCTGGGTCGTTTCAACTTGCTGGACTGAAAATCCGAGAGAAGCCTGTAGGCAGGAGGGTGTTCTCTGTGGAACTCGATGGTAGACAGGTGCCTGTGATATTTAGGCAATCTGGCAGCCCAGCTGACTCCAAAAGGCATCTTTTTTTTTTTTTTTTTTTTTTTTTTGAGACAGAGTCCTGCTCTGTTGCCCAGGCTGGAGTGCAGTGGCACAATCTCAGCTCACTACAACCTCTGCCTCCCGGGTTCAAGCAATTCTCGTGCCTCAGCTTCCCGAGTAGCTGGAATTACAGGCGCATGCCACTACGCCCAGCTAATTTTTTTTTTGTATTTTCAGTGGAGACGGGGCTTCACCATGTTGGCCAGGCTGGTCTTGAACTCCTGGCCTCAAGTGATCCGCCTGCCTTGGCCTCCCAAAGTGCTGGGATTACAAGCGTGAACCACAGCACCTGGCCTCCAAAAAGCATGTTCAGGCAAAATGGAGACCAAGGGCATGTAGTGCCTAGTCTTACCCAGCTCCACCTGGCAGCCACGTCTTCAGATAGGGGAGACAGATGAGAGTCAGCAGCAGTTTGATTCAGGTGGGTGGTACCTGAGTCCAGAAAGACCAAAAAGCCTACTGAGCCTCGTTCTTTATTGTCCAAGCGTACAATTCTGGCACACTCAAAATTGTCTTGAACGCACAGGAGGGATTTTGCTGCTGTAAGAGTTTTTTTCTAGACAAGAGAAAGTTTTGCTTGCTTCGTGCTACAACAGCACTTTGTGCAGGACATATTTTACATTTCATGACTACGTAAAGGTAGCCGTCCTATCCAGAATGCTATTTATACAAGCTGCCCTCAATTCCCTAAGGTGGTTTTTGTGTTTGAAGCACAATTTGAGTGTGGGCTTTGGGGACAGTGCTCTTGAAGGTGGCACACACAGTCCCTTGATCGACCTTCCCATGTTGTCACTGTTTAAAGGTTGAGGTTCACTGCCTTGATCACACTCCTTTATAATCTCACGAGACCAAGTTCATTTCAAATGTACTCAACACAGTCTGGCGCCAGCTTGACACTACTCTTTGCCTTTTCCCTCCCATCCACAGCAAGCTGTGCCCTGCACTATATCATAGATCCACTTAGCTCAGCCTCCATCACGTGACTCACGGCAAAGATGGGTTCGGTACACATCAATCAGAATTCAGTAGCACCTCTCGGGGAGGGACAGAAATGGCATATCAGTTAAGAACCAGTTTGCCGGTTCTTGGAAAGGAGCCATCAGGCAATAGTTGGAAAATAACTTGAAGTCTTTTCTGTCCCCGACTGCCTTAGTCTACTTGCTCTTCGGGTCATCTCTGTTCACTGTCGCCTTATCATTTCAGACACCATATTGTTAGGTCCTAGTTGTTAAGAATTGAATCATTCTCACATTCCCGAGGAGATTCATCCCCCTTCTCAACCCATGCGTTTTCACCTTCCAGGACATCTACTTGAACCATGATGTCATTACCTCACTGCCCAATGCTACTTACCCAGTTAAGTTCCTTCTCTCCTCAGTGTGGGCCTTTCTGTGAACTTTTGAAAGCGCGTAGCCCTGGGCAGAGTGATAACTCTACTTTATTAGACATGAGGCCAGTAGAGCAAGTTCGGGATCTTTGGAAAACCTTAAGTACAAAAATGACGATTCTCAAGAAAATACTGATTTCGTCAACTTATTTTAGTTAACATGGCTTTGTTAGAACTTTCATCAGATTCTCAGCAGAGAATGTGAAGTATACTTAAGTGTCACGTAGGTTGGGTTTTGTTTTATTTTGGTTTTTGGTTTGTTTTTAATGTCGTGGGCTTTGATTTTTAAAGATAGAGCTGGCTTTCGTCCCCCAAAGGAATAGCAGTGTGCTGTTGCCTCCACCTCCAAGTGACATTTCAACTTGGGGACACATGAGGAAGGAATGAAAATTGTAATTATTTTTCAAAATTACAAGAGGAAAAGATGCAATTTAAAAATCAACTTTAAAATTAAAATTTTAATTATTATTGTTTGATTATCTCTAATGTTGTCAAATATTTGCCATTAGAGCTTTACTGTCTCAAAAACCATTGCACCATATTTTCTTAAAACTAGATAAATTTCAACTGGCCATTTATAAGATTGTCATACTATTATAGATTATATTCCCTGGAGAAGAAACCAAGAGTCTGGTGTGGAACTAACCCACGTCTCCATTCATACCACCCTTTTGGAATAGGTGAAATCCAATAGGATTTTTCACTGGGGACTTTGACTTTAGTTTCAACCATAGGTAGTAAATGTTCAGTAGTTAGCTAGTTAATTTTATAAATGGCTGAACATGAATTAATGGCTAATTATAAAAGCCAATACTTGCATGGCGCTTGCTGGGTTACATGTATATGGTGCTGTTCTAAGTGCTATGCGTACATATATATATTATGTAATCCTCACAAAACCACCAAAAGGTAGATACTATTGTTCACAAATGAAATCTGAGATCCAGAGAAATGAACTAACCCAATGTCACACAATTACTATGTGCAAGAGCTGGGATTCACTCCCGTGGAGCTGGGCTCCAGGGCCTTAAGTACCACACTTTAGTGCCAGGATGATTTACTACAACTTCTCCCACTCAAGGACGATCCTCCCTGCGTGATACGATGGGGTTTCATGAAAGAGGATAGGCCGGGCGTGGTGGCTTACGCCTGTAATCCCAGCACTTTAGGAGGCCAAGGCGGGCGGCTTGCCTGAGCTCAGGGGTTCGAGACCAGCCTGGGCAACATGGTGAAACCCCATCTCTACTAAAATACAGAAAATTAGCCAGGCATGGTGCGTGTGCCTGTAGTCCCAGCTACTCAGGAGGCTGAGGCCGGAGAATTGCTTGAACCGGGGAGGTCGAGGTTGCAGTGAACCGAGATCGCGCTATTGCACTCCAGCCTGGGTGACAGAGCAAGACTCTGTCTCCAGAAAAAAGAAAGAAAGAGGATAGATGGGAATGGCTGAGAACGTAAGAAGACAGAATAAAGACCAAAAGGTGGACGTGATTTATTTAAGATTTCTCAATGAGGCAAGCAGGAAAAAAGTCCATTAACACATTTGTAAGTATTACACTTCTTGCCATTGTACCTTCGGTTTACAACTGATAAAACACCAACTTCTAGCTGCAATTTCTAGACTCTTAATGATTACTACCTAGAAATAAGGTTGATTGAACCAGAGAAGGATGTATTCACAATGTAGGCTCACAATCCCGTAGGTAACAGGATGATTTAATTGGCCAAGCTTTCACCTCTTCAGTGCACTAAAGGCTTGAGGTTTAATGAATGGGTGGAGGAAGGATAAACGTGGCTTAACAGCTCAACCAATAAAGGTCTCCTCCCTATTCACCACAGCCTGGGGCAAGCCAAGAATTCCGGCCCTGGCTGGGGGTAATGGAAATGGATCCGCGAAGATGAGCTGAGCGGACACCTGCTGCTGCTGCTGCTGCTACTGCTGCTGACACAGGTGTTGGTCATCCTCGCCTGGAGCATTTTTCCTGCCTTTCTGCTGGCTGGAAATAAAGGGCTCACTTGCAGGGCCCTGTGGGAGTTGACTTAACCCACTGCAGTGAGCTGATTTTGTTGGGCAGTTTATGGAAGAAATTCTGTCCCTTATTCATTGATGCTCTTCTTGGGACCCAGTTCCAGGACTGTGACTTCCAGGACCCAATTACAATGACATTCTTAGGTGTCATACTTAAAATGTGCCCGCATTTTCTTTTCTGAGAATAGAGAACCTATCTCATGTTCAGAAATGACCTAATGTTTTAGCCAGGCACAGTGGCTCACGCCTATAATCCCAGAACTTTGGGAGGCTGAGATGGGTTGATCACCTAAGGTCAGGAGTTCGAGACCAGCCTGGCCAACATAACGAAACCCCGTCTCTACTAAAAATACAAAAATTAGCCGGGTATGATGGTGGGTGCCTGTAATCCCAGCTACTCAGGAGGCTGAGGCAGGAGAATTGCTTGAACCCGAGAGGCGGAGGTTGCAGTGAGCCAAGGTGGCACCATTTCACTCCAGCCTGGGCAATAAGAGTGAAACTTTGTCTCAAAAAAAAGAAAAAAAGAAAAAAGAAATGACCTAATGTTTCATCTTTGACATTTCAGAGTTATTTGCAAGGATTTCAATTAAATAGCAAAATCGAAAAGGAAAGGGGAGAACAGTCAGTTTGTTGTGTCTTGTGCTTTTCTGGTTCTTTTATCTGAGGGTGGTCTGTTTTCTGAAATTGTGCGGAGAAACAAGAATTATTTGTTTGAAGGCTGTATCCAAACTCTAAATTTAAAATATGATTCATCATCTTGGAGCATAATGATGTGTCCACCTGTAGATTTATGTAGACTTCTTTACAGAAGACTGACAAGTAGAGGACTTTTTTAGAATTTAGTTTGTCTTACATCACACCCAATAATTCAAAGCTACTCAGAGTATTTTCCTGAGTCAGGAGCCTGTGAAATGAAAATGCCACAACTGACAGGGAGAACGGTGAGCAAGATCAATACAAATTGCAACAGTTGGGGAGGTACCAGGGATGTTAATTTAGCATTCTATGCCTGCAAAAGACCACATTTTCACAGGACTTTCCAACACTGGACTAATGTGCAATGGAGGAGAGAGCTTAGTGCCCCCCTCCACCCCCACCGCAACGACCCCCCAGGGTCGGGGAAGGGGGAACCTAGTGATTTATTTGTTGCAGAATGGATAGCCTAGCAAGTCATACCAACACCAGGACCTAAAGCCATCAGGCTGTACTTAAATCACCTTTAAGACCAGGTTTCTGATATTTATATTGTTTTCATCCTTTCTTTGGTGGGTGTAAGTGTGGCCAAGTATAAAGCTGTTCCATGCCTGGATAATTTTTATTGCGTCGGCATGGCTGTGTTGAGATATTCTGACACAGCAGGAATCATGATTTGTCCATGCATAGATTTATACTGACTTCTTTATAGAAGAGTGACAAGGAGGGGACTTTTTAAAAGATTAGTCTGTCTCGTGTTGCACCCAGTAACGCAGAGTATTGAAACTGAGGTCTGATTTAATCTGCCTCCGTCACACTATCTACATTTCCTTTTCATTGTCAAATGTATGATTAACATAAGGAACATTTTTTCTTCTAGCCTATCTCCAAAGTAGTTCAAATAACAAACAATAAGAAGTTTAAAAGCACATGCGCTATTTATCTGTCATCAAATTACTTAAGGGTCAGAAATGCATTCTTTTCATAACGTTCTACAAAACACACTCACAGAAAAATGCATTCTTTCATAATGTTCTACAAAACAGACTCACTAACTCTGCCATTATTTCTAAGTTGCTCTGCCCAGTCCATCTGAATCTCTCTGGTGAACGGGCGTGTTGACCTGGCAGAAGACTCTAGGATTATTGCTGGAGAGGGTCACTGCATTTGCCTCATTTCTGTTTTCTCTGCCTAACAAAGTTGACCTACTTGGCCACTGAGACTCAGACGTATTTCATTTTTGGTAGAGTTCTAGTGAGGAGGATGCTCTAACTGAACCAAGGTCATCTATCAAGATATCTGCATTTAAGTGTGACTCCAAACTTCCAGCAATTGACCAAACATCAGTCAAGCAGAAACATAAAAGTACCATGACTGTAAGGAAAGCAGAGAAAGTGGACCCCAGCGAACCCTCTCCAGGTGAGTGGCTGGCTTATTGAAATTCATCAGATCTAAAATCCCGGTATTAAAAATAACAACAACAGGCCGAGCACGGTGGCTCACGCCTGTAATCCCAGCACTTTGAGAGGCTGAGGCCGGCGGATCACTTGAGGTCAGGAGTCCAAGACCAGCCTGGCCAGCGTGGTGAAATCCTGTCTCTACTAAAAATACAAAAATTAAACAGGTATAATCCTGTAATCCCAGCTACTCGGGAGGCTGAGGCAGGAGAATCGCTTGAACCCGGGAGGTGGAGGTTGCAGTAAGCCAAGATGGCACCACTGCACTTCAGCCTGGGCAACAGAGCAAGACCCCGCCTCAAAAATAAATAAGTATAACAACAACAATCAAATTGATGGTATTGGTTAAACCTAGTGTTTTCTGAATGGCTAATTCAGGTTTCGAAAGGCCAGTGATCCTATGCAAACAGTAACATTAATTTCAGAGTAGAATATAAGGTCAAAGAGGCATGAATCGTGCAATGTAACTTTCTCCACCGCCCGCATTTTCTGCCCAGTCATTTGTGTGGCTTCCGCCTAGAGCTGCTGCCTTTTCATCTTCTTCACCCTTCTTGGGGATAAAGGCATTTGGCCCCAGGTATCAAGTTTTATGGCTCAAGCAAGAGCATAAAGAGAAGCTTTCAAATACATCTGAATAGCATAATTTATAGCCAAGAGAGAAAGTAATAAAGTTTTCCTGTTCTGGGTTTGTCCTCTCTGAGAGAAAAGGTGCTTGATAAATTCTCCCTTTTGTGCAATTTGGAAAAATAGTCACTCTTTAGCTGCCTTAGAGTAAAGACCAGTCTTCTGCCTGGGGCAGGAGTGATTTAATAGTATCCAGAAAGGGGATAAAATTCACTGAAACTTTAATGTCTCTCGGGCTCATCTCCATCAAAGACAACAGCTATAAGACAAACTTGATTCCTCCAGGAACTGAGGTTTAAGTTGGAGTAACTAGGCAGAAAGGTCTAAGTTGAGTGGAAAGGATCCAGGCTAACTGCTGAAGAATTCGTCAACAGTGTGCAATTCATTAAAATCCAAATCACAGCTACTTTCCAATCCTAAATAGCTTCTGCGGTGCAACCACCCATCCAGTTAAGTCTTCACGCATTTTTAGAACATGGCAGCTTTCACTCAGATTAACCACCCACATTTTATTGCTTTAACGAAGTCAAAACCAAATTGACTTCTGAAATGATGTCCTCTCAGGCAAAGCCCCAGCTCTTGCTTCTTATTTAATCAGGGGAAAGTATCATCACAGTTAATTTCTCATTTTAAAGACTTTTGGTAGGAATTAGGCTTTTAATTCAGCTGTTTAAGGTTGAAATAGAGCAGGTAAGGTCATTCCACCAATATTTCAAAATACAAGTTGTAATTTATCGAATTGAGGATGTTTTTAATGGCAAAAGTTTGAATTTCAGGGTTTTTTTGTTTTTTGTTGTTGTTGTTTTTGTTTGTTTGTTTCTGTTGAGACAGAGTCTCGCTCTGTTGCCCAGGCTGGAGTGCAGTGGCACGATCTCAGCTCACTGCAACCTCCGCCTCCCCGGTTCAAGCGATTTCCGGGTAATTTTTGTATTTTTAGTAGAGACAGGGTTTCACCATGTTGTCCAGGCTGGTCTCGAACTTCTGATCTCAAGGATCCGCCTGCCTCTGCCTCCCAAAGTGCTAGGATTACAGGCGTGAGCCACCGCACCTGGCCTGAATTTAAGTTTAAATAATGCAACTCCATTTATGCAATATAATTTTTAGCCCTCTTGCTAAAATCAGGTGGTTGTTTGTATAGTGTGCCTTGTCATCGTGGAGAAAAATCATTAAAAGGAACCGTTTAGATCCACCCAATGCTTTAGTTTGTCTAATTAATACAGATGTACTTCAGACTGAGCAAACTCTGTATGGAACTTATAGCACTGACAAAAAGGAGGAATTAATTCACTTAACATTCTTTAAAACATCAAATTTGAAGAATTACCAGACAAAAACACCAGGTTTCAGTGACAGAGCCAAGTTGGCAGAAAGATATCTATTTCATCAAATGAGGGATGTTACTTGTAGTAAAAGCCTCTACAAACCACCAGCTTCATCACTGCGTTCTGGCCCTAGACCACGTCCAAGACCCATGCAGACGTCAGCAGGGCTGTGGCCTGGCTGTCCCCAGGCAGAGCAGTCCTGGTGATGGATGGCAGTTGCTGCAGAAGTGGAATCAGTTGTGCAGCAATCTGGCTAAAAACAAAGCATCGATGTGTTAAGATCCATCCATTTTACATGTGTAGACTCACCCTCTGGGCTCCCTAATTAGCATAGTGAAATGAGAACTGAGACATGGCAAGGATTTTAGCTGAGTCTGTTCAGGAAAAGTTGAGCTCAGTGGCAGTCGTGACAGTTTTCTGCTGTTACAGAAAAATAGGATTTGGTACCTGAATTAGCTGGACACGTTGATCCAATTCACTAGTTAAAGTCACAGTTCCTTGCTTTCCTCTGTAGAGAGATATTTCTCTAAAGCATTTTGGGGGTGATACAAAGTTGGCAGTAAGTCATCAAAACTTCTTCCATGTCAGACCTGAGATTCTGTACGAAATTGAAGCATCAAACACAGTGAAATTCCTTCGCAACATCTGCCTAATAGGCTACAGAAGTAGAATCTGGTATAACTTCCTGTGTTATACCAGACTTTTACTGAAAAAAAAATATATAGCTGGGGAACATGGCTCGACTCACTGCAAATCTATGTAATGATAATCCATGTCATCAAAAAAGCATTTTTCTTTGTATGTAATCTGCCATCTAGAACCTCCAAAACAACTATTTAAAATATAGGAACTATCAATGCCCTCTACAAACAGATTTGTAACTGAGAAGGCATCAGATTGCTCTTCATCCTGTTAGAAGGAATTCACACGTTTAAATTAAGTTTGTATAGTCCATGAAACTGCTTCTGGATGAGTGACTTGTGGTGGTCCTTGTTATATCTCTCCATGCAGTGGCGCATGCGGTTTATGGGCAAGTGTTTTGGAGTCAAAATGTTTGCATTTGCATCTGGGCCCCATTTATTTGCTGTCTACCTTTGGCCAAGTAAAGCATTTCTGTGCCTCAGTTTCCTCATCTGTACAATGGGGAGAAACAGATCCTGCCTGCTGGGATTGCTGTGAGAACTCAATGATAAAACATACATCCAGCCTTTAGGACAGTCCCTGCCGCTGTGGCAACTCAATTAATTATTGCATTATTATTCCTAGCACATGACAGCAGCAGGTAATGAGGAGATGGGACTAGAAAACTTTGTTTTCTTTGTCTTAAGGTTGTCCTCCCAAAACATCTTTTTTTCTTTACAAAATCAGAGTTGTATTTTATTGATTGACTGATTGATTGATTATAGAGATGGGGTCTTACTGTGTTGCCCAGGCTGAAGTGTACTGGTGCAATCATAGGTCACTGCAACCTCAAACTCCTGGGCTCAAGTGATCCTCTGACCCCGGCCTCCCAAGTAGCTGTGACTACAGGCACACGCCACTATGCCTGGCTAATTTTTTACTTGTTTTGTTTTTGTTTTGTTTTGTTGTTGTTGTTGTTTTGAGACAGAGTTTCACTCTTGTTGCCCAGGCTGAAGTGCAATGGCGCGATCTCGGCTTACGGCAACCTCCGCCTCCCGGACTCAAGCAATTATCCTGCCTCAGCCTCCCGAGTAGCTGGGATTACAGACATGCGCCACCATGCCCAGCTAATTTTGTATTTTTAGTAGAGACAGGGTTTCTCCATGTTGGTCAGGCTGGTCTTGAACTCCCGACCTCAGGTGATCCACCCACCTTGGCCTCCCAGAGTACTGGGGTTACAGGCATGAGCCACCACACCTAGCCATTTTTTTTACTTTTTATGGAGACGAGGTCTTGCTTTGTTGCCCAGGCTGGTCTTGAACTCCTGGGCTCAAGTGATCCTCCCGCCTTGGCCTCCCAGAGTGCTAGGATTACAGACATGAGCCACAGCACCCAGCTCAGAGTTGTATTTTTTAGAATCTCTAACATAAATGCAGGTACAACTACTTTTACAACACTCTGAGTTTCAAAGCAAAATGCCAAATGGAAAAAGATGAAGAATCAGACAGCATTCACCAAGCCAGAGAAAGGCTTTATCTCCAGAAAGACGTGGAAAATTCAGGCAGTGAGTCAAGACCTGGCCGGGTCTCACGTGCAGTCAGCTCAGAAATCCCACATCATGAACGCTGGTGTAGGGTGAGATATGAGCCTAGTGGAGTTACATGTTCTTAGTTACATGTTCAGAATTGTATATATACCCTTGAGACCCAGAACAGCTAGCAGGCCCAGCGAGTGCAGAGGCACAGGGACATTTGGGGAGCTGCGGTGGCCTCCAAGGCCTGCCTGCTGTCAAGACCTCTCCCAGCCCCACCCTGAGTTGGAGAGGAGCCGCCTCTCCTTTCCAGGACACGAAGGGGCATCCAGAGGCCACTGTGCTGTGGGATTCTGGCACCTGGAGTCCTAACGAGCTCCCTACCCTAGGGCCAGACATGTGGGAAGCAAGCGTCCCCTCTCCTGCCCTCTGCTGTCACCTGGAGCTTGGGCATGGTCCCCTGAGCTGTGTGCCAGGAAGACAGATCTGGATGGAGTCCTGTGAACCTGCTTCCAAAATCTTGCCCTTTAAAGCAAAGCCAAGTGTTCTGAAATTATCCTCACTTCTTATTGGGTGCAATGTTAGTCATTACTGGGTTCAGATTTGCAGGAGTAAGAAGACTTTTCAGCTGTAGAGTGGATTATTGTGAGGACAGGTTCTTGTAAAGCTAAGAAAAAGCAGTGCATTCAGATGTTAAGAGACAAACATCTAAAATAACTGTGGTCTCTTTTGGATGGGGAAATATTTATTTGAAGAGCAGCCTGAAAGAGAAATTTGAGGGCAAATCCTAAATCCTCATAATTCACCTTGCAAATACATTCTTCTGAAGATTTTCTCTGAAAGGCCAGATTAATGGTTTTCGCGGCAAGTCCAACTGGTGTCCAGGAACTTTCCAAGCTATCTGCCAAGTTAGAAAAAAACAAACAATTTAAGTGGATACTCCCACTTTTTAATAGAGAATCATATTCTCTATTATGATACATGCTCTCAAGACAGGGGGGCTCGGGGTTGTCGCAGAGCCCAGAATGAAGTCTTGGCTCCAAATCCTGGTGCTATCACTTTATAACCCCATAAATGTGAGCGGACAACTTCTCTGAACTCAGTTTCCTCATCAGTAAAATGGAATCCTTGCCAGTCTCACCAGGTAGATAGGTGGGTGGAAACCCTGGATGTAGACCAGGCTTTAGGCAAAGGTTAATCCCCAGGCCTTCCGCTGCTTATGAACCCTCCTCCCAACACCGCCAACTACTCCAGGGCTAATGTCTCCATAAGAACACTGCTTGACCAAAGACACTTGTATTTGAGATGTAAGAGTGGTTAGAATTTGGCCGGGCGCAGTGGCTCATGCCTGTAATCCGAGCACTCTGGGAGGCCAAGGCAAGCGGATCACCTGAGGTTGGGAGTTAGAAACCAGCCTGGCCAACATGGTGAAACCCTGTCTCTACTAAAAATACAAAAATTAGCTGAGTGTGGTGGCATATGCCTGTAATCCCAGCTACTTGGGAAGCTGAGGTACGAGAATCGCTTGAACCCGGGAGGAGGAGGTTGCAGTGAGCCGAGATTGTGTCACTGCACTCCAGCCTGGGCGACAGAGTGAAACCATGTCTCGACAACAACAACAAAAAAAGTGGTTATAATTTGATTATTAAAAATTTTAACGATTTGATCATCAGTGAAGTCATCCGTTTATCCAGTACCTATGGGGATGTTAGCAAATACATCCAACTGTCCCCCACGTCCCAGGGTGTATGATACCAGGGCGAACTGGTGTACTCATCCACTGCTCATTCATTCAGCACTTCATTTATACGTATTTACCTGCCGGGTAATGGGGAACCAGAACACAAAACACACGGGGCCTGCCCTCCAGGGCTCCCAGCCTGGTGGGTGAGCAGGATTCCAATAAGGGCAGATAGTGCAAGGCGCACCCTGACCAAGGTAAGTTCTAAGAGCTTGTGGGCAGGGCCAGGTGGAGTGAAAATCCTGAAGGACAGGGGTTTAACCAGGTGAAGAGGGCAAGAAAGATGTGCCTGGCAGCAGGTACTGAGTGTGCAAAGGAACGGAGGAGAGGGAGCAAGGAAGACAGGGAGAGACACATATCGAGGAGCTACAGATAATCTAGGGCCTTGTGCTCCAAGTGTCCCCAGGCAAGTAGCAGAAACCATCATCTGAGAGCTTCTTAGAAATGCAGAACCTCAGGCCCCAGTCCAGACTGACTGGCTCAGAACCTGCATTGAAGAAGATCTCAGGGATATTCCTATGTACATTTGAGTTTCAGAAGTTGTGGTTTAGGGCCAGGCGTGGTGGCTCACGCCTGTAATCCCAGCGCTTTGGGAGGCTAAGGTGGGTGGATCACTTGAGGTCAGGAGTTCAAGACCAGCCTGGTCAACATGATGAAACCCCATCTCTACTAAAAATACAAAAATTAGCCAGATGTAGTGGTGCGCACCTGTAATCTCATCTACTCGGGAGACTGAGGCAGGAGAATCGCTTGAACCCAGAAGGCAGAGGTTGCAGTGAGCTGAGATCACGTGACTGCACTCCACACTCCAGCCTGGGCGACAGAGCAAGGCTCCATCTCAAAAAGAGAGAGAGAGAGAGAGAAGCTCTGGTTTCTGGTTTAGGGTCAGGCTACAAATTAGGAAATATAAAGTTGAGGCCCCACCGGTAGGCAAGGATCAGGCCTCCAAGGGCCTTAAATGTCATGCTGGAGGCGACGGGGCATCAGTCCTGGAAGGGCTCTGCATAGGAAAGTGATGCAATCAGATTGGATTTTTAAAAGCTGACTCTGACTGCAGCATGGAGAAGGGCCAGCTGAGAGTGTGAGGGTGGCCAGACACAGCCAAGAGACCAGACAAGTAGCAGTTGCAGGGGATGGGGGAGAAATGAGAAGGGCTTGAGCGGGAGCAAAAGCAAAAGGAAGAGGGCCAGATGCAGTGGTTCACACCTGTAAGGAATCCTAGCACTTTGGGAGGCTGAGATGGGAGGATTGCTTGAGGCCAGGAGTTCAAGACCAGTCTGGTCAACATAGCAAGACCCCATCTCTATTAAAAAAAAAAAAAGCAGAGGGAATAGGAAGAGGGAGTGGGCTTGAGGGCCATTTAAGAAGTAAAGCTGGCAGAACTTGGTGACTTGGATGTAGGGATAAGGAAGAAAGAGGAATCAAAGAGAACTCAGGAATCTGGCCCAGGAAACTAGGTCAGTGGAGGTTGCCTCTGCCAAGGCTGAGGAAGCAAGGAGAGGGTGGGTCCCCTTTTGCGGTGTTGCCTTTGAGCTGCAGGCAGGGCAGCCAGGTGGCAATGCCAGGAAGCACCTGGGGACCCAGGTCTCCTGCCCAACAGAGCACTCCCCTTCCTCCCAGAGCACTTGCTGGTAGGACCCAAGGGCCTGCAGTGAGTAAGAGGTGGCTGAAATGGCAAGAATGTCTCCCCTGAGTGGATGGAGTAAGAAGAGAGATGTTGGGGGGACTTTGGGAGATAACAACTGTAAAGAGAAGAATGAGTGAAGACAGCTAGAGAGAGAAAAATGATCCCGAGAAATAGGAGCCACTCCAGAGGCCATTTAGGAAGAAAGAAGTGGATAATATTTACTCGAATCCTCTGTAGCATGGCACTAAGGACTGAGACCCCTCCACGATAGGTAATGGTTTTCTTTTCTTCTTTTTTTTTTTTTCTTTTTTGAGATGGAGTCTTGCTCTGTCACCCAGGCTGGAGTGCAATAGCCCGATCGCGGCTCACTGAAACCTCTGCCTCCCAGGTTCAAGCGATTCTCCTGCCTCAGCCTCCCAAATAGCTGAGATTACAGGCATGCGCCACCATGCCCGGCTAATTTTGTATTTTTAGTAGAGATGGGGTTTCTCCCTGTTGGCCAGGCTGGTATCGAACTCCTGACCTCAAGTAATCCGCCTGCTTCGGTCTCCCAAAGTGCTGGGATTACAGGCGTGAGCCACCACGCCCAGCCTTAGGTGATAGTTTTCAACTGGATGGCTACAACTGTGGATTTTAGACTTGGAACTGATTTTAGCTGCAGCATCTCCCAAACTTTTTTGACAATAAAAATCACCAGGGAGGTTCTTCATAAAAATAAAAATTCCTGCTTCCTGTCCCTGACCCACAGCATCAGAATCTCCAGTAAAGGGGCCTGCGAAACTATTTTTGAACAAGAACAACAGGTGATTCTCATCACCAGGGTTTGGGCAGCTGTCTCAGATCCTTGCTTTTCCAAACATTAACATTCATGAGAAACACCTGGGGCTCTTGAGCAACTACAGATTCTGATTCAGAAGGTCTGGGTGGGCTGAGATCCTGCATTGCTAAGAAGTCCCAGGTGACATCGATGTGGCTGGTCTGTGAACCACCTTTGAAGGAGCAAGGCTAGAAAAAACACCCGTCTCGTTTTGCAGGTGAGGAAACAGGTTCCGGGCAGGTAAGCCGTCGATTCAAGGTGACCCAGCTGGTTAGTGGCAAAGCTGAGATTTGTCAGGCGTGAGGGGGTAGCTCTGACTCATGACTCCATCAGGCACCCGTATTCTGCCTCCAGCGAGGTTAGCAGTTTGAGCGTGAGGTTAGTGAACAGATCATCAGCTTCAACGAGACATCTCTCTTGTTTACCTGCTTTTCACCCAGCTTGATTTTTCTCCCTTCGCATGATCCCGCCGGGATCTCTCTCCTTTCTTTCTCTTTTTCCCAAGCTTCCCCTCCGCAGCAGAAAGGCCAGATCAGGGCATGACTACAGCCTGCTAGCGGGGGCAGCTGGAGGATTGAGGGAGAGAGCCTTACCCAAGTGAGACCCTGCGGGGCGCCATCTGTTGCTACCAGCACAGCTCATTAAGCTGGCAGTGGGAGACGAGAAAGGCCCCAGAGCTTCCACACGGCAGCCTCAGGACATTCTCCGGGATCTTACGGGGAAAAGAACTTCCCGACATCTGTCAGGGACGCTGGAGACTGTTGGCTGGAACAGGGTGTGATGCTGGTGCCGCTTCCCTTGGTTAACTCCGCAGTGACGCTGAGATCTAGGCCAGGTGCCTCCTGGGCAGGAGCCAGGCCTGCTGCTCCTATGACATTGGAGAACAATTTTTGAGTTTGGATTCATTCGCAGACGTTTCTATGTCCTTCCCCCCACCGCCAGTGCTGCTTCCTGACTGCTCTTTTTCTTTTGTGCAGGTGGCAGCAGCAAGCACCCCCTGTTCTGTGTTGAATACACCCCTTACTGCTCCGTCTTTGCTTTCTCCCCTGTCCTGCAGCCCAATACCAATTACTGCTGCCTCCTCCTGCCACTAGTGCCACCTGCCTCCCCAGTGGCCCAGGAACCTCCTGACTGTCCTCTCCCTCTGGTTACCGTTCCCTCCTTCACAAGCACCGCTTCCACCTCCCCGGACCCCGTGCCCGAGTCCCCCGCCGTGCTGTGCTACTTCCCCATCTCCTGCCCCACTCCGGCTGAGACCCCTGTGCTGTGCCTTCAGGGCCCCAGAAGGCCCAGTAGGATTTACCTCATGTGGTAAGTCACTCTTGCAAGGCACACAGCACAGCGCAGTCGGGGAGAGGGGACTTCGGGCTTCCGGAAGGCAGGTGGACAGGAGAGGGGCCAGAGGCCACACCAAGAACAATACCAGGCGGCGTGGTGTTCGGGGGAGCAGGAAGATGGGACAGCGTGGCCACTGCACTGGGGCTGCACCTTCTAGCGCCAAAGGAGCGAGCGACCAATAAAATCCCATCCTCTCTGGAGACTCATTTGATTTCTTACCTCCTGTAGCTGGCACGCTGTGCAATGTCACCCCCAGAAACCAAACAGGCTCTCCTAATGCGTCTGATCATACCCTTGGCTATGTGAATGTGCACACGCCGAGGCCGCCCTGAGCGGTGGCACCGGGGGCAGGCCGTTCTGAAGGCACACACTGGAACCAAAACCCATTCAGAACCACTCGGAGGAGGGACAAATGAAAAGGCTCAGCCGATGTTTACATTCCCTTTCCTGCCTACTTATTAGGCATCACATTTCCTAAAATCAAAAATCCCACCCCTGAGTTCCAAAATAAAACATATTTATGGTACATAATTAAGCTTTAATTAAGATCTCCTCTGGGTACATGAGACAACACACATTTCTCGCACACTCAAATAGGCAAATAGACGCGACCTATTATTTGTGACTGCACAGAAAGCTGCCTATTACCCCAAGGCAACATTGGCTCCTGCGATTAAGCTGTAATTCTTCCCAGGATCCAAAGAAAGCACACTTTTTTTTTCAAAGAGTTGTCTCTCCATTGGGATCTTGGCACCTCCTAGGCACCAGAGATCCCAGTCAAAGTAATGTGGGGCGGGATAAGGGTTCCGGAACTGTATTTCCCTTTTATGCTTCCTTTTTGACTTTGTCTATAAAGAACTATCTGTGGATGACAAGTGTTGGGAAGAGCCGAACGTGAACAGCTGAATGGACTTGGTTCTCACTTGTCAGGGTCTTGTACAAATATAAGATTTCTACCTTTTTTTTCCCTTTCCTGGTCAAATTAAGAAGTCTTCAGTCGACAATCACAGTTTCCCAACATTGTCAAGAGAACAGAGGCAGATGCCTTTAATCTAAACAGCTGTTTGGTTTCTTTAAAACTGGAGGCATCACCTTTCTCAGATCCTGGAAGTAGGGGGTCTGTATGTTGTCCAAAGCAAACCAAAGTCTTCCCAAAATTCATTGATAAACAGGATATTGAGTTACCTGGCAGTGAAACTCCTGAACACAAACCCCTTCCTTTTCTGTAAGGCAAAGGGCTTGTCCTGCTACCTGAAAAGGAAGGTAATTTCATCGTCCAGGGTAAATAGGACTTGGTCTTCCTGCAGATTATGAATCCATGGACATGGTAAAGACCCATCCTAGCCCCCAAAGGTCTGAAATTTGATTCACTTTTCATGCAAGTGAAGTGATGGGAACTTGGTATACAAATTGAGGGTTCGAAACTCTTTTTCTAGACAATGTCGTGCTCTTGCCCAGGCTGGAGTGCAGTGGTGCAAACACAGCTCACTGCAGCCTCGACCTCCTGGGGCTCAAATGGTCCTCTTGCCTCAGCCTCCCATGTAGCCAGGACCACAGGTATGTGCCAGCACACCCAGCTAATATTTTTTATTTCTTTTTTTGTAGAGACAGGAGTCTCACTTTGTTGCCCAGGCTGGTCTCAAACTCCTGGGCTCAAGTGATCTTCCTGCCTCGGCCTCCCAAAGTGTTAGGATTACAGACATGAGCCACCATGCCTGGCTGAATGTTAGAATCTCTTTTTTGTTTGTTTGTTTGTTTGTTTGTTTGTTTTTGAGATGGAGCCTTGCACTGTCGCCCGGCCTGGAGGCTGGAGTGCAGTGGTGTGATCTCGGCTCACTGCAACCTCCGCCTCCCAGGTTCAAGTGATTCTCCTGCCTCAGCCTCCGTAGTAGCTGGGATTACAGGTGCGTGCCACCATGCCCAACTAATATTTTGTATTTTTAGTAGAGACGGGGTTTCACTATTTTGTCCAGGCTGGGCTTGAACTCCTGACCTCGTGATCCACCCACCTTGGCCTCCTAAAGTGCTGGGATTACAGGCGTGAGCCACCGTGCCTGGACCTAGAAACTCTTAAACCCATGTACACACAAACTGTGCAATCTAGGTCACCTCATTTGTGACTGCACTTACAGACAGAGAAGAGAAAATATTTTGCAAGAGTTTTGTTTTCCATGGAACCAAAAGGGTATCACAGGGAAGAAGTCAGCAGTGCAGCCAAATTAGATTATAATAATCTTTAAGGTCATGAGGCAACATCTTGTTCATCTTTGTGAACCCTCAAATTATAGCATAGCAAAGGCACACAGGTATTTGTTGAACAAATCATAATATAAAGAGTTGCTATTTGCCTTTTGGATTTTATAAAAGAAGGATTGAGGGAGAGAATCAACAAGAACTACACCGGAATGAAGGCTATTGAATAAGTTATTGCCAACCTGTGAAGTCTGCATAACAATGAGTTTCTGGTCAAATTCAGTTGTCTCATGGGAATGACTTCAGATTTCCCATTATTATTCTCAGTAGTAGTGGTAGTATTCTTTACAGTAGAAGAAGCAGCTACCATTATTAGCACCTAGCATGAACCAGTTAGGCCATTTATGTACATTTTTGCTAAACTTCACAGTAACAAGATGGACCATTTTACAGTTGCAGAAACTGAGGTTAAAGTTGCCAAAGGTCAGAGGATCCTGCCTACACTAATAGCAGCGATTTCTTCACTGCCAGGCCTAGTACAACAATCTCCAGTTGTTCAGCTTTATTATTTTAGTTTGCTGAGAACTTGATTAGAGGACACATGGTAATGGTTTTGGCAATCATTTAAGAGATCTGATGCTTTGAAGAAAGCAGTTTTTTTGAACAAGAAAACAAATTAAATAACCTTTTATCTTAAGCCATCTTGGGCGTTCTGCACAACAAAAAAATGTGTTCTAGTTTTGAAGTTCCCCTGTAGTTGGGCTGAATGCATCTTCTCAAGCCTCACAAATCATACTAATATTTGTCCTGCACGACAAGGCAATTAATACTTGTCCTGCACAGCAGTATGAGGCAACGTGTAGACTGGCTGAGAGACGATCCTCATTCTTAAGGAGCGTGCAGGCTAGTTGGAGAGAAAAGACATACTCATTAAGCAATTTTAGAATATTTAAACACTAAAGGCCATTTTTTAAAAACGCTGAAAGTAAGGGTTTTTTCCAAAGCAGAGTCAGAGCCGACTTGGTGGAATAAACCGGAAACAGACCTCGGAGGACCTTCTGGCTGGTGCAGTCTGGGGAAGAAAGGTCCCATGAGCAGAAGCATCCCTCCCTGTGAAGGTGAATGCAGTGGCGGGGCTCAGTGGCCTCTGGGCAGTGTGAAGTTCTGCTGCCTGGGGTGCGTGGGAACTTTGAATATTCTGCTGGGATTCCTGCTGGAAATCAAAGTGAAATTCTTATCCTCAGGACCTTGGGGCCAGGTCCTGACCTTCTAGACTTGGCCTGAGCCCCACGCCTGCCCCTTCCCTGGCCCTTCTTCTGTTTCTTCCTCTTCTCTCCATGAGTTGGAAAGCAGGAGGCAGGACTTCTGAGAACTGAGGGGGTCTGAGGTCTCAGGTGATAAGGGAGAAGCTTCTATGTTCAAGGAATGCAACTTTTGGTAGTGGGAAAATGCTTCCCTCCTTCCCTCAGTGATGGATCCCTTAGTGTAAAACACCTGATCCCTCTCTCTCTCTCTGTCTTTCTGTCTCTCACTCTCTCACCTTCCTCCTCTCACCCCCTTTTTGATCAGCAAAATCATGTCTAATCAACATCCTACGCCATCCCAAGACTATCTTCTCATTTTCCAGAGAACTTTCACTCTCTCCTTTCACACCTACAACTTCTCTGGGCTCCACCAACTTGCCCCAAGTTGCTCCGACACCACCAGCAGCTTCCCTCTTCTAGTAAGTTCCCTGCGGGGCATGATCCTCTCTGTCTTGGCCTGCAGGACCCACTGCCATGCCCTCCTGGGGCCCGTCAGAAGTAAGTAGACCTAGTCATTGTATTAAATTAGGTTTCATGGGCTGCCAGAAAGAACTTTAATTCCCTTCCTGAATCTGGAGGAAAACTATTCACACGACTACAACTTACACTCTGGAACATGACTCCAGTTGCCTCATGTGCCAAAAAAGGCTGTGCTCTCACACACAAGTCGGGGGCTTTCCCCGGCTTTATCCCTATGTTACCAGCTGGCTACATCTATTTGTGAAATTTCCAAACTGTCTAAAGAAGATGAGCCAGACAAATGATCTTGGGGAATTTCGTCCAGATATTCACGATGTAACTGCCTTGTAAACCCAAGAACTTGTAGAGATGCATGGTATATACTAGAACTTTTCCTCCACATTCACGTGCACTGACGCTAAATACATGTGAAGAGGAAACTCAAAACTGTATCAATTAGCAACCCAATTCAAAATGTAGATTAAAAAGATAATGTTCATTGGAAACTAGGTCCACAATAGCACCCCAGCTACTGTCTTCCTATGAATATCGTCCCAACACAGTGGAGGGTAGGGGACAGGAAAGAGAAAGGCATACGGTTCCCAGATGCTTGCAACCTTTCTGTACGGGCATGTTTGCTAATAAACCTGAGGATATAAATATGCAGGTATTATACAAAATATGTTGTGATTCAAACCTGGATGAGCACTTGGGAGGCAGGGCCATTGCGTGTCCCAACTGTAGAAGGCTCTTGACAGTGTTGCTAGCGGGCATATCCCAACACCTATGGATTGGAACCTAGAAACTTCTTAGCAAGGCTGGGCGCAGTGGCTCATGCCTGTAATCCCAGCACTTTGGGAGGCCAAGCTGAGTAGATCACTTGAGGTCAGGACTTTGAGACCAGCATGGCCAACATGGTGAAACCCTGTCTCTACTAAAAATACGAAAATTAGCTGGGCATGGTGGCAGGCACCTATAATCCCAGCTACTGAGGAGGCTGAGGCAGGAGAATCGCTTGCACCTGGGAGGCAGAGACTGCAGTGAGCCAAGATCATGCCACTGCACTCCACTCTAGGCAACAAGAGCAAGACTCCATCTTAAAAAAAAAAAAAGAAAAAAAGACAAAACTTCTTAGCAAAAGGAAAGATCCCTACCTTCGGCCTCTGCATCGCAGGCATCATGGGTGCTTATGAAGGAGGCTTTTTTTTTTTTTTTTGAGATGGAGTCTTGCTGTGTTGCCCAGGCTGGAGTGCAGTGGCACCATCTCGGCTCACTGCAAGCTCCGCCTCCCAGGTTCAAGCAATTCTCCTGCCTCAGCCTCCGGGACTACAGGCATGCGCCACCATGCCCAGCTAATTTTTGTATTTTTGTAGAGATGGGGTTTCACCATGTTGGCCATGCTGGTCTCAAACTCCTGACCTCAGGTGATCCTATGAAGGAGGCATGATTATTTCCATGTAGCAGGTAGGGAAACTGAGGCTTGGAGAGGTGAAGTGATTTTCCCAAGCTCACATGGTTACATGAAACCAGATTTCAAATCCAGCTCTTCTGTGACCTCCTGGGTCCCTTCTCTTGACTGCCCTTCCACCTAACCCCACCCCCAAACATTGCTGGGCCCTTTGAACGTTCTTTATATGGAAGACATTTTCCTGTAAACAAAATAATTATTGAAAAGACTTTGCATCTTTCAGCAGACCAAGCACCAATGGTTTTATTAAGAAAGAGGAAGCCAAACCTGAGGAGATTTACAGTCAGCCCAGAATCGCACAGCCCGAGAGCATCTGGGGACAGAAGCAGACAGAAACAGCAGTGGCCTGCAAAGGTGCCGGTTCCCAGGGGAGCAGGTAAGGACCCGGGGCTCCCGAACCTTTGTCCTTGGAGAGGAGGACTGATTTTTGCTGTTACCCGGTGAATTCTTTATGGTTTTTAGATACTTGTACTTTTAAGTAAATGAGGTGCATGTACCTTAAAATGAAACAGCTTTAAAAGCAAATTGTATGATCCTAGGGCTTTTGGCGTTTTTTTTCCTCCAAGAGAGGCTGGTGGGAAAAGGGGAAGGCGGGGTCGGGGGGGATATCTTTTTCTCTCCCATAACTCCATGAGTGTAACTGGTTTTGAGTGGACACCAGCTGTACAGCTGCTCCAGAGGGCATTTGGATGGTGGATGGCATTTGGGTGGTAGATGGCAGGGGTTGGGGAAGGCAGAGAAGCGGATCTGCAACTCTGGGGCATGTCCCACCTGGCAGTTGTTCTCACTTAGTTCCTGGGATAGGGAGGATGTGTGTCTGTGGGTGACAGGCTGCTCACCTCCCAGCAGAGATCTTCTCCCCTCTGACCCAGGGCACTCAACTCAGAGAGATCATGATGTGTGAGAAATACACAATATTGGAACGAATCTATGCTTTATTCCCAAAGACTGGTTTGGTGTATCACCCCCTTGGAACTCATGGAAAGCATCACCTCACAGTCAACCTGGCCATAGACCCATTCTTTCTCTTAGGAAACCACTGAGCATCCCATTATGTCATGACCAATGAACACAGTTGCCTTTATTTTTTTATTGTATTTATTTATTTTGAGGTAGAGTCTCCCTCTGTTGCCCAGGCTGGAGTGCAGTGGCACCAGCTCGACTCACTGCAACCTCCACCTCCCGGATTCAAGCAATTCACATGCCTCAGCCTCCCAAGTAGCTGGGACCACAGGCGCGCACCACCATGCCCGGCTAATTTTTTGTATCTTGGTAGAGACAGGGTTTCACCATGTTGGCCCGTCTCAAACTCCTGGCCTCAAGTGATCTGCTTGCCTTGGCCTCCCAAAGTGCTGGGATTACAGGCGTGAGCCATGGCACCCGGCCTGCCTTTGTTTTTAAATGTGATATAGATGGTGGTGGACATATATACATATTGAAGAATGTGTTAGTATTTTGATGGCTTGGAATCTGCATATATGAGTCTGCAGCAAGGAGATGTCCACAGGGTCCCAGTGATCAATGCCTTCTGCCGGGAAGGGCATGAGCTTTAAGGCAGCCTTCAGCTCCAATGCCAGCTCTTCCTCCCAGCAATGGCATCTTGGGTGCTAAAGTAGCCACTCTGGGCACCAGTTCCTTTATCTTAAAATAAGGATAATGAAATCTACCTCATTGCATTGTTATAATAACTAAGTAAAATAATACACTGACCAGCACCCAGCACAGAATAAGTCCACACAGTGGGCACTGAACTTTTTATAGTTTCTCTCCTGCCAACAACCCTTAATGAACTGTTGAATATTATTTGAAAGGTGAGGTTCACCAGACAGGGTGGCTCACCCCTGTAATCCCAGCACTATAGGAGGCGGAGGTGGAAGATCACTTGAGTCCAGGAGTTTGAGACCAGCCTGGCCAACATGGTGAAACCCCATATCTCCAAAAAAAATAAATAAATTAGCTCAGGACATCGAGGCTGCAGTGCACTGTGAACATGCCACTGCACTCCAACCTGGGCAATGGAGTGAGACACTTTCTCAAAAAAAAAAAAGAAAAAAGAAAAAAGAAAGGAAGGAAGGAAGGAAGGAGAAAGGTAAGCGTCTCCATGTGTGAAATGTTCCTGGACCCACGGATGGGACTCATACAATTCTGTCTGCACCCAGGAGTCATCGCCCATCATCCTGTGACCTGATGAGAATTCATCCTAATGTCCCATTATACCCGTGGCTCCTTATCTCCCCAAATTATTTCCTCACAAGTCTCCCTTTAGCTTCTTTTCTCACATTCTAAAGTGGTTTGCACAAAATGGAGTAGGAGCCAGGTATTTGAATTGTATCAGTGAAAGAGTTGAAGCAAATATGACAGAGATAATATGCAGAAAGCTCTCACAAATCAATAAGAAAAACACAAATACCTAATAGAAAAATAAGGAAGGAGGCTGGGCATGGTGGCTCATGCCTGTAATCCCAGCACTTTGGGAGGCTGAGGTGGGCGGATCATTTGAGGTCAGGAGTTCAAGACCAGCCTGGCCAACATGGTGAAACCCTGTCTCTACAGAAAATACAAAAATTAGCTGGGCGTGGTGGCACATGCCTGTAATCCTAGCTACTCCGGAGGCTGAGGCAAGAGAATCGCTTGAACCTGGGAGGTGGAGGTTGCAGTGAGCCAAGATCATGCCTACTGCATTCCAGCTTGAGTGACACAGTGAGACTCCATCTCAAAAAAAAAAAAGAAAAAAAGAAAAAAAAACAGTTTCCAGGCTGGGCGCGGTGGCTCATGCCTGTAATCCCAGCACTCTGGGAGGCCGAGGCAGGTGGATCACAAGGTCAGGAGATCGAGACCATCCTGGCTAACATGGTGAAACCCCATCTCTACTAAAAATACAAAAAAAAAATTAGCCAGGCGTGGTGGCGGGCACCTGTAGTCCCAGCTACTCGGGAGGCTGAGGCAGGAGAATGGTGTGAACCCGGGAGGCAGAGCTTGCAGTGAGCCAAGATAACCACTGCAGTCCAGCCTGGGTGACAGAGTGAGACTCTGTCTCACAAAAAAAATAAAAATAAAAATACAGATGGCTAATAAACATTTTTTTAAAGTTCATCTGGAGACAATATAGGTCATATTTTTTAAAAAGTTCAACCTCAGAAGGTAATAAATGTAAATCTACATGACGTAAATTTGGCCTACCCATTTGACTAAGGTTTTAAAAATGATACGTAATACTAGTAGTGAAACTAACAACGAACATTCCTGGGCACTGTTGTGTCTATGCTACTGACATGGATTGCTGGTGACAGTTATGAGAGAGATGCTTTCATAGCCTACCTGTTGGGTCATTTGGTAAAAACTCTCTGGAAAGGAATTTGGTAACGTGTCAAAGCCTCTTAGAAAGTTCATACCTTTTGACCTAGCAATTTCACTCCCATAGATCTAGTCTAAGAAAATATATAGTCAAAAATGTATGAGCAAGGACATTTATCACATTGTAATCGCTGACAGTCAAACCTCAAAACAACCTATATACCCAACAATAGGGGAAGAGTTAACAAATTATAATATATACCTTTATACTATAATTAATATCATGTTCTTAAAGAATAGCTAATGGCATGGCATAATGCTCATAATAAGATACTTAATTTCTTCACTTCAGTTTTGTTTGTTAAGAAATATCTCTTGATAAGAGAGCCCTGGGTTATAAATTCAAATGCCTTCAGGGAGCAGGTGGATATAGCAGGACAGATGCATAACGGGTTATGGAGCCTGTGGTAAGCTACAATATACATGTTCCACCTAAAGGTAATAAATTCATTGTTCAAATACTGAGCCATGGCCAGACACGGTGGGTCATGCCTGTAATCCCAGCACTTTGGGAGGCCAAGGCAGGAGGATTGCTTGAAGCCAGAGGTTCAAGACCAGACTGGGCAACAAAGTGAGACCCCATCTCTAGAAAAAAATTTTAAAATGAGCCAGGTGTGGTGGCATGCACCTGTAGTCCCAGCTACTCAGGAGGCTGAGGCAGGAGGATTGTTTGAGCCTACAACTGTACTCCAGCCTGGGTGACAGAGCAAGACCCTGTTTCTAAAATTAAAAAAAAAAAGTAAGAAAAAAAGAAGCTGAGCCAAAGCACAATTGCAGGATGAAAACAGCCCTGGGGTCTTGAGTATGCAACCCACTCTGAATTCCAGAACAATAGCAATGATCATCCGAGTTTTGGATTATGGGGGATTTTTATTTTATTCTTCATCTTCTTCTATAGTTTCCAAATTTTCTCCAATGATGATAAACCACTTTTATAACCAGAGGGAAAAAAGTTAAAAGTGTGTGGCTGTTGGAATGTAGGAAACTATTGGTCAAGCACACCAAGAAGTCGAAGGCATAGTCTTAAGGCAGACAGATGCTTGTTCTGGTTTCATTCTGTTGCCCTAGAACTCCTGGAGATGGCAGGCACTTCACTCACAGCTGGAGCCCAGGGCCTCAGAGAAGCATTTGCAGCATCTGCAGGGCCTGGTCTATGAATAGCACATCCCTGGCATACCAGTGTGCCTGTCTATTCCCAGCCCTAGAGCTCCTGAAATCTGCTCTCTATTTGATAGACATAAAAAAATAGGGTTAAAATAGCATAAATCGAGAATGGCACAGTCTGCCACCTTTAGGGGAAACACACACACACACGCACACACACACACACACACACACACACACACACTGCAGAGAAGCTCTGATTGAATTTTTAAAGAGGAAGACCATTGTGGTGACGAGACAGGGGTGAAGATGCATGTTTCAGGAATCTGCAGGAGCCGCAACACCGCGCATACCCTGGGACTTCTTCTGTCCCCCAGGCCAGCATCACTCTGTGGCAACTCAGTGGCCTCTATGAGATGAGCTAATGGCTCCCGTTGAGCTTCCAGTTTCTGTTTTTCAAAAGCGGCCCTTGCTGATTCTTTTGCCCATTGGGTGTTTCTCCTCACAGGGATGGGTCATGTGCGTTCAGGGAATGACCGGAAGATTCCGGTTCCAGCGCTGTGAGCTCACCTCCAAGGCCCTCCAACAAATTCAAAACAAAAAGTCATCAGCCGGCCGGGCACGGTGGCTCACACTTGTAATCCCAGCACTTTGGGAGGCCAAGGCAGGCGGATCACTTGAGGTCGGGAGTTGGAGACCAGCCTGACCAACATGGAGAAACCCTGTCTCTACTAAAAATACAAAATTAGCCGGGCTTGGTGGAGCATGCCTGTAATCCCAGCTACTCAGGAGGGTGAGGCAGGAGAATTGCTTGAACCCAGGAGGTGGAGGTTTCTGTGAGCCGAGCCGAGATCGCACCATTGCACTCCAGCAAAAAGAGTGAAACTCTGTCTCAAAAAAAAAAAAAAAGTCATCAGCCAAAGCCTGCACTGCCAACTCCTCTGGATCCCTTTTCTATTTTATTGATTTATGTATTTATGTATTTATTTATTTTTAAGACAGAGTCTCACTCTGTTGCCCAGGCTGGAGTGCAGTGGTACTATCTGGGCTCACTGCAACCTCTGCCTCCTGGGTTCAAGCGATTCTCCTGCCTCAGTCTCCCAAATAGCTGGGATTACAGGTACACACCACAGCACCCGGCTAATTTTTGTATTTTTAGTAGAGATGGGGTTTCACCATGTTGTCTAGGCTGGTCTTGAACTCCTGACCTTAAGTGATCTGCCCACCTCGGCCTTTCAAAGTGCTGGGATTACAGGCGTGAGCCACAGCCCCCAGCCCCCTTTTCTATTTTAAAAAATTTTCAGGAGAATTCAGTTGCTTACGTAGAAGCATTTGTTCCCAAAATGGGGGTCGGCCCAGTCTGGAGTGGCCTCGCCACCAGCTCCAGCGCTGTAGTTCCACAGCCAGATGCTCAAAGCATCCTTGAATTGCTGCTGCATCTCTAACTGGGGTTTATAAAACCCAGGAGGGGCCTGAGAGGAGAGCTTAACTGATTTCTAGAAGAGCTGATGAGTCAAGATTCATACTGCGTTGCTGAGTGTCCCATGCAGTTAACAATAAAAGAAGCTGCCCGAGTGTTAGGACATTAGAGACTCACACTGGTGTCCCCCTGTGAGGAGCCCCAATTAAAGTGAGCCAGAATTGACTTGGCCCTTGGTGGTGCCCGATGCTCTGAGGATTTGCATTTCACCAGCCCGAGCTGTTATCAACACAGACCTTCCAGGGCCCGTGGAGTCCCGTCCACTCTACAGGGTGAACCGCTTTAGAAATGGAATGATAAAAAGAGCAGCATCTCATCAGATCCCACACAATAGCAGAGAGGAGAACAAAGCGGGGGGAGGCCGATGTCAGGAGGGAATAAAGGTAAGTGGCATCAGAGAAGTACTGTCAGTTTCCTTCTCACATCAAGAGGGTAAAAGACCCTCAACAGCACACACACACCACGATGAATTCAATGGATTCTCATTTTCACAAGGAAATCGGAAGGCCAGCCAGTTTCTTAAGGGCTAACACAGGGTGGTGGTTAAGAACACAAACCCTAGTATCGAGCAGGCGTGGGTTCAAATGTTCATTCCATCACTTACTGGAAATAGGATCTTGGGCTAGTTATGTGACTGCCCTAAGCCTTGGTACTCTCAAGTTATAATGTCGTATGATTGTGTTACCTATTTCACAGGGTTGTGAGGCTTAAGTTGTGTGTGTGTGTGTGTGTGTGTGTGTGTGTGTGTGTGTGACAGAGAGAGACAGAGAGAGACAGTTAGCATGCTTCTGGCCAGTTCAGTGATTCTGTGTAGGAATTCATAGTAGGGATTCTAGGGCAGCCAGAAGTTACAGAATTGACCTGGGGCTAGTGACAAAGAGAAGATAACGATTTCATGAGCGATTTATAATTTTTATTTTCACTAAATAGTAAACATGACCAAAATCCCCAGTGTTCCCCGGGCGCCAGCTCCTATAGCCTTCCTCCTGATCTGCCAAGACATGTTATACTTCTCTTAAGTTCTTGTAAAGCTGCGTGGGAGGCAGGGTGTCATAAATGTACATTGAATGAACGTGGATGAGAAAGGGCTGGTGGTTTTTGTAGAAGTCATTCCCAGAGTGGTGGTTTTCCCTTTCAGTACGTATGGAACAAAAGCCAGTATTTAGTGTGAGGTTTGCGCATCATCAGTCCTGACTGGCTGGGGCTGGGCCAGTCTTCCGGGAGCTTCTGCAGAAAGAATCTGTATCCTCAGGGTCCCCCCATTTCCCTAGGACCACAGGGGTACAAAGGAGAATACGGGGCAGTAAAATGAAGCCTGCTGGGCTCTGCTCCTCTTGTACCTCCAGCCATTTTGACCGTGTCTGTTTTCTTCTCTAGGTCTTGTCTGTTGCATTTAAAGGGCAATTTTGCACTTGGTGCTAGAGGCCTTTCATCCATGGGCCCTTTTACTGGAACGATAAATGTGTCTTTTCTCAATGCAGATCAAGTAGTTCAACAAGAAGGCCTGATGTGTAACACTAAGCTGAAGAGGCCAAATCAAGAGAGAAGAAACTTGGTCCCATCGTCACAGCCAATGACTGAGAACGCCCCTGATAGAGCCAAAAAAGGAGACCCGAGTGCTCCTTCCCAGAGTGAGCTGCATCCAGCCCTGTCCCAGGCCTTCCAAGGAAAAAATAGTCCTCAAGTATTGAGTGAGTTCTCGGGGCCACCACTCACACCCACCACTGTAGGAGGGCCAAGAAAGGCATCATTTAGGTTCCGAGATGAAGACTTTTATTCCATTTTGTCATTGAACAGCAGAAGAGAAAGCGATGACACTGAAGAGGAAACCCAGTCTGAAGAATGTCTGTGGGTTGGTGTGCGCTCACCCTGTTCTCCTTCCCATCACAAAAGAAGTAGATTTGGGGGGACATCGACCCCTCAGGCCAAAAATAAAAATTTTGAAGAAAATGCTGAAAATTGCAGAGGTCATTCTTCAAGAAGAAGTGAGCCCAGTCATGGCTCATTGAGAATAAGCAATGCAATGGAGCCAGCAACAGAGCGGCCTTCTGCTGGGCAAAGGTTGTCCCAAGACCCCGGGCTGCCTGATAGGGAATCTGCTACAGAGAAGGACAGAGGTGGCAGTGAAAATGCGAAAAAGAGCCCTCTTTCGTGGGACACCAAATCCGAGCCCAGACAAGAGGTTGGTGTCAATGCTGAAAATGTATGGAGTGATTGTATTTCTGTGGAACATAGGCCTGGCACCCATGATTCTGAAGGATACTGGAAAGACTATTTAAACAGTTCTCAAAATTCTCTTGACTACTTTATTTCTGGCAGACCAATATCTCCAAGATCATCAGTGAATTCATCCTATAACCCTCCTGCATCATTCATGCATTCTGCTCTGAGAGATGATATTCCAGTAGACTTGTCAATGTCATCGACTTCAGTTCACAGCTCAGACTCAGAGGGAAACTCAGGGTTTCATGTTTGCCAACCACTGTCTCCCATTAGAAATAGGACTCCATTTGCCAGTGCCGAAAACCATAATTATTTCCCAGTAAACAGTGCACACGAATTTGCTGTCAGGGAAGCAGAAGATACTACTTTAACAAGCCAGCCTCAGGGGGCTCCACTATATACAGATCTCTTACTAAATCCACAGGGCAATTTGTCCTTAGTGGATTCTTCCAGCTCCTCTCCATCAAGAATGAACTCAGAAGGCCATTTGCATGTGTCTGGGTCTCTGCAAGAAAATACACCATTTACTTTCTTTGCAGTGTCTCATTTCCCAAATCAAAATGATAATGGGAGCAGGATGGCAGCCTCTGGTTTCACAGATGAAAAGGAAACCAGTAAGATAAAGGCAGACCCTGAGAAACTCAAGAAATTGCAAGAAAGGTGAGGACTTTTCATAATTATATATTTTTTCCACTTTCCCAAGGCCAAAATTAGCATTGCTTTCGTTAGAGAGCCATGGGAATTTTAAGTCATAAATGGGTCCTTCCTTGACATTTTAGTGGTTGCTTATTTTGAGAAAATTGTCTCTGTTTTGTTGCTCTTAAAATATACGTATTTATAAAGAAAAGTCTGGTGTTCCTGATCAGTTTCTTCTCTATTTCCCAAAGTGTTTTTTTCCTTGAATACCACACCCTTAAGTCTGCTGGGTATAAGGATCTCTGACTGCTTCACAGGGCTTGTTCTTCTCTCCAGCAATGAAGAACCAAGATTTTTTAGGAAAAGGTTGCTATCTCCCTAGAGAATGAACCAGTCCACACTTGAAGTTCGCAGCTCTCCCTTATGGGACTTACCCCAAATCCAACCAACAGTTCTAGAATTCGAACCTTGCGAACTAAAAGACCGTTCTTAGTTACCATAGTTACCTCGGTTCTCTGAAGGGCCACGCTGGGGTAACCACTGCTTCTATTTTATGTGCTCTTTTTCATGCAAGAGAGAGAGAGAAATAAGATCTTTTCTGAATTGCCCTTTTCTTTGATCTTTCCTTTTTTGTGAGATGATTTGGGGATAGTTCACAGCTATGAAATGTGATACTTTGTAAAGCCATCATTAAACACCATGTCAGGATTCTACCATTTCATTTATGATAGGTGTTTACCATGCTCTGATCTTGGCTTACTGATCTGGAAATTGATTCTTGGAATTTGAGCCCTCTTTGTGTATATTAGCATGACTCATGTGGGCTGTGAATTAGAAAGGTAAAAACGAGAGGAAAATGGAACATAGAATGCATACCTGTTCCTATTAATAAATATCATTTATCCAACTCCAGTAATGAAGTAACTTTCTAGTTAGCAGTACCTTTTCTTTTCCACATTAAGCTACCAGAAGACCGACCCACGGTTAAGGGGCAAGAGACCTTACACCCACCAATCCTCACCTCCCCAGAAATACAGCTTCAGACCTACTTGTCAGAAGTCTAAATTTCTACCATCCCAAAGTGATGCCCTTGAGCTAAAAATAATTTCTTTGAAAATGCATTCACTTCCAGGCATGGTCTTGCATTAAACAGCTATTATTCGTGTACCTATTAATAGTTTATCCAGACACTCTCTTTTTTCTGTATATAATAAACTTTATGCTTTTCTTATTATTTCAAATTTGTTCCTTTTGGGAAATATTAAAAATACAGATTTAAAAGAAAAATCACCTGTAACCCTATCATCCAAAGATAAACAGTTAAAAACATTGTTTCTAGTCTTTTATCTTTGCATATAAATGCAATTTTTAGTGAGTATCTGTTGATATTATTTTCCAATATGCCTTAATTTAATATCTAATCCTATTTCTCAATCACATGTTTTTAAAAGTTCACCTCAGTTATCTTAATACATATAAATTAATACATGACATACGTACACTTCAGAGAATTTTTAAAGCGCACACATCACACACAAACCCAGACACCCCTGTGCCCACCGTCCAGCTAACAGAACATTCCTTACACACTGGAGCCCTCCTGAGCCCCTCACCCACCCTATCTTCTCATCTTCCCACCTTCAGCTCCCCACACCCACCCTGACCATTCCTGTATTGCGTTTATCATCCTTTTGCATTTCGTTGTGTTGTGTTTTGGGGTTTTTTGCTTTGAGCTTTTACCATATGTTTATATGTTTTTTGTTTTTTTTTCTTGAGGGAGTCTTACTCTGTCTCCCAGGCTGGAGCGCAGTGGCATGATCGCGACTCACTGCAACCTCCACCTCTAGGGTTCAAGCAATTCTCGTGCCTCAGCCTCCCATGTAGCTGGGATTACAGGCCCACACCACCATGCCCAGCTAATTTTTGTATTTTTAAGTAGAGGCAGGGTTTCACCATGTTGGCCAGGCTGGTCTCGAACTCTTGATCTCAAGCAATCCACCCGTCTTGGCCTCCCAAAGTCCTGGATTACAGGCATGAGCCACCGACCCAGCCAGTTTTTCTAAACAATATGTTGTGTATATTTATGAACTCTGAGCAAGTGTTTGACTCTGTAGAAATAGAATCTCTAGTCTTCTGTGACTTGCTTTTTCCTCTTACATCCTTAGTGAGATGCATCCTTATTGATATATTTGGCTTTGGTTTATTCTTTTCACACTACAAAGTATTCTCTCATATGGATATACCACAATTTAGCCATTCTGTCAATGGACATTCGTGTCCTTTATTGTTTGCTGCAAATGGCGCTGCATGAACATTCTTGTAAATGTCTCCTGGCTCGTGTGGAAGAGTTCTCTGGGATCTTGTCTAGGAGTGGAAGAGCTGGGCTGGTGGGCTGGTGGGCTGGTGGTGAACACATTTTCCACTGTACTAAATAATGCCAATTTAGTGTCAAACCAGTCATGTCTAATGTTATACATCCTTGACAACATTCGTATTGATTGGCTTTTCAAATTTGCCAGTCTGATGGGAATAAAATGATATTGTAGCTTGAGTTTGCATTTTCATGACTTAATGAAGTTAGGCATTTTATATGCTCTTTAAATATTAAATGACCATTTGTGTTTTCCATTCTGTGAAATATTGATGTCTTTATTTTTTTGTAGAGATGGGGTCTCACTACGTTGCCCAGGCTGGTCTCAAACTTTTGGCCTCAAGCAATCCTCCCACCTCAGCATCCCAAAATGCTGCGATTACAAGCATGAGCCACTTTGCCTAGCCAAATATCTATGTCTTTAGCTCATTTTTCTTTTAGAGTATTTGTATTTTATTTTAAAATACCTTTATATCTCTGGCCTATTAATTTAATCTTTCAACAGTTGTGTGTTGGAAATATCTTTTCCCAATTTGTAGTTTGTCTAGTTTGTCTTTTTCTTTATGTTGTCTTTTTTTTTTTTTTTTTTTTGAGACTGAGTCTTGCTCTATTGCCCAGGCTGAAGTGCAGTGGTGTGATCTTAGCTCACTGCAACTTCCGCCTCCCAGGTTCAATTGATTCTCCTGCCTCAGCCTCCCCAGTAGCTGGGATTACAGGCGTGCACCACCACGCCCAGCTAATTTTTGTATTTTTATTAGAGACGGGGTTTCACCGGGTTGGCCAGGCTGGTCTCAAACTCCTGACCTCAAACAATCAGCCCGCCTCATCCCCTCAAAGTGCTGGAATTACAGGCTTGAACCACCGTGCCCGGCCCCATCTTCTTTTTGGATTGCAATTTGTATCTTGTCTTGCTTAAGAAATCCTTCTCTTAACCTGATATCGTTATGCTATTCTTCCTATTTTCTTGTAAAATCTCTAGCTTTATATTTAGGATTTAATGTGAAATGGATTTGGACTTAAATGTGAAGTGGTTCTTAATCTGTGATGTGAAGTAAGCTTTATTTTTTCCCACTTATGAATATGAAATATCCGAGCGTTTGGGATAGTTCCCTGTTGATCTGCACAGCCACCTCTCCTTTGGAACATGCCTCAACAGGCCCCAGTTTCAGGGCTCTCTATTCTGTTGCATTGGTCTTTTGTTGTCTTTCCCTAATCTAATGCCATTCCGTCTTAATGCCTGCAGCTTTCATAACTTTTGATATGCGATGATGTAAGCCTCCTTCCCTACTTTTTTGAAGAGTCCTTGACTGTATACTTAAGAATCCACTTGTTGGGATTTTTATTGGAATTGCATTTAATCTATAGAATATTCTGGGAGAATTGACATATTTGCGATATTGACTTTTTCTTTGATAAACATGCTGTATCTCTCTCCTTTTGTTTGTGTCTTCTTTAATGTCTTTCAGTATAGTTTTGTGGTTTTCTTCATAAAAGTCATTTATTTAATTTATCCCTTGGTTCTTTTATTTGTTGTTATTTGCTATTGAAACAGTATTTTAAATTCTAATTTTAACTCTTTGTTGCTAAGATGTAGAAATCCAACTGACTATATGTTTTCTCTGTATTTTTGCCAAAATACAAAATAATTTCAACTGTAAAAAATATTAGTAGTTTGATTTCTTTCTTTCCAAACTCTATGCTTTTTAATCCTTTTCTCATCTTACAGTGTTATGTCAATTTTTTTGAGGGCTGCTTATATTAAATGTGTCTATTATGATTTGATCGGTCTCCTTTTATAACACATGCATAACTAATTACTTAGAAAAACTTCCTAAATGTGTAACTGCTGATGAAAGGAATGCAGAGTCTTAAGGTTCTTAATGTATATTGTCAAATTGTGCTTCAGGAAAGTTCTACACGTTAGCGATCTCACCACCCCTTATGAGGGTCCTCTTTCTCCACGCCCTTTCCAGTTCCAGGAATTTCTATGCTTTTTAATGTTTGTCATTAGTAATTCTTGGCTGGGCACAGTGGCTCACTCCTGTAATCCCAGCACTTTGGGAGGCCAAAGTGGGTGAATCACTTGAGGTCAGGAGTTTGAGACCAGCACCTGGCCACCGTGATGAAACCCCATCTCTACTAAAAATACAAAAATTAGCAGGGCATGGTGGCGCACACCAGTAGTCACAGCTATTTGGGAGGCTGAAGTGGGAGAATCTCTTGAACCCAGGAGGCAGAGGTTGCAGTGAGCTGAGATGGCCCTACTGGACTCCAGCCTGGGCAACAGAGCAAGACTCCATCTCAAAAAAAACAAAAAGTAATTCTTTGTCAAATATTTTACAGATATGTTTTTACTTTTCCCATTTTATTTACTTTACATTTTATGTATATATTTTTGGTGTAGTAGAATTTTAACATTACTTACAATCAAATCTGTCAGTATTTTCCTGTATCACTTTCACATTTGGTGCCATGCTTAGAAACTCCAATGCTCACTCAAGCATCCATAATTATTTTTGTCTAGTATTGTTATATTCTCCTTTCATATATCATAGTGGTTAGAAATATGGGCTTTGCTGTCTTATGGTTCTAGATTTCATTCCTGATTCTACCAACTTTTAGCTCTATGATTCTGGCAGTTTCCTTCACTGCTTTTTTGTTGTTGTCGTTGTTGTTGTTGTTGTTGTTGTTGAGATGGAGTCTCGCTCTGTTGCCCAGGCTGGAGTCAGTGGCACGATCCTGGCTCACTGCAAGCTCCGCCTCCCGGGTTCAAGTGATTCTCCTGCCTCAGCCTCCCGAGTAGCTGGGAATACAGGTGCCCACCACCATGCACGGCTAATTTTTGTATTTTTAGTAGAGACAGGGTTTCACCACATTGGGCAGGCTGGTCTCGAACTCCTGACCTTGTGATCCACCCGCCTCAGCCTCCCAAAGTGCTGGGATTATAGGCATGAGCCACCACGCCCAGCCAGGTTCCTTCATTTCTAAAAACCTGTTTTTTGATCCAGAAAATAGAAATAACAATACATACTCCTCAAAGAACAGTGACAACTAAATGAGGTTTTAAACATTTATGTGTGTCATAGACTATCTAGCATACAGTAAGCGCTTAATACATGGTAGCTATACTTAAATTCATATGGAATATATTTTGATGTATGGTATTAGATGAGGTTCTAAGGTCTTTTTAAAAATGTTTATCCCATTAATCCACAATCATTCTATCCTTTCCTTACTAATTTGAAATGCTTTCTTTGGCATACACTATCCTTATCAGTCTGTTTTCGGACTTTCACTGCGTGAAATGCTCCATCAATTATACACATTTATTGTTGATTTATGGTTTTGTTTTTGTTTTTTGGGGTTTTGTTGTGTGGTTTTTTTTTCATTTTCTTTTTGAGACGAAGTCTCACTCTGTTGCTCAGGCTGGAGTGTAGTGGTGCAATCTCGGCTCACTGCAACCTCCACCACTCACTCAGGTTCAAGCGATTCTCCTGCCTCAGCCTCCTGAGTAGCTGGGATTACAGGCAGGCGCCACCTCACCCGGCTAATTTTTGCATTTTTAGTAGAGACGGGGCTTCACCATGTTGGTCAGGCTGGTCTCGAACCCCTGACTTCATGATCTGCCCACCTTGGCCTCCCAAAGTGCTGGGATTACAGGCGTGAGCCACTGCACCCGGCTGATTTATGGTTTTTTAAAAATATTTGAGGGCTGAGCATGGTGGCTCATGCCATTAACTCCAGTGCTTTGAGAGGCCAAGGTGGGAGGATCACCTGGGGCCAGGAGTTCAAGACCAGTCTGGACAACATGGCGATACCCTGTCTCTACAAAAAATATATATGTTCTCTGGGTGTAATGACACATGTCTGTAGTCCCAGCTACTCTAGAGGCTGAGGCAGGAGTATCCCTTGAGCCCAGAAGGTCGAGTCTACAGTGAGCTGTGATCACTGCACTCCAGCCTGGGTGACAAAGTGAGGCCCTGTCTCTAAAAATATATATATATTTATATATTTATACATTTATATTTGTATATTTATACATATATATGTATATATATACACACATAGATTAAATATATTTTTAGTATATTTATATAATAAATATATATCATCTACATATAAATATATATATAATCTCTCTTTGTTACCCTCTTTTCAAAATTTTTTATTGCCCATCCTAATTTAATTACATTGTGATCTCAGAAAATACGAACAGTATTTTTTGTGCCCTAATACATATTCAATACTTATAAATATGCTATGGCATTAGAAAAGGTTGTACATTCTTTCTTCTCTCTTTGTTGGCATACATATATAAAATACATATGTTAAAATCCTTCAGGCCAGGCACAGTGGCTCACACCTATAATCCCAGCACTTTTAGAGGCCAAGGTGGGCAGATTCCTTGAGCTCAGGAATTCAAGACCAGCCTGGGCAACATGGCAAAACCCCGTCTCTACAAAAAAAAAATAAATAAATAACCTGGGGTGGTGGCGTGTGCCTGTGGTCCCAGCTACTTGAGAGGCTGAGGCAGGAGGATCACTTTGAGCCCAGGAGGTGGCAGAGGCTGCAGTGAGCCAAGATCTTGCCACTGCACTCCGGCCTGGACAATAGAGTGAGACCCCTGTCTTAAAAACAAACAAAAAAACCCTTCATACTTTATTCTTTTCCATTGAGTTTGTCAATTTCTGAAAGACATTGATTAAAATCCTTCACTCTGATTTGGATTTGCCCATTCTCCTTTGCATGTATAAGAATTTTGCTTTTATTTAGTGCATTAAAGCTCATGGCTGATCTCTTCTTGGTGGATCAATCAATATTTAGCTTTAGACTTTTAGCCTGAATTATATTTTGTCCATTAATATTGTTTCACCTGGAATTTTTTATTTCGTTAATCACATTTTTTTAAATCTCCAGAAATCCTCCTTATCTCTTGCTGTTCCTTTTACATAGCAGCTGCCAATATTCTCTGAATCCTCCTGAGAATTACCTCCTCCCTTCGTTAAACAATTCATTTCCTCTAGAGTCAGCTGACTTATTTTCCTTGTCCCCTCTCATTCATGCTGGTGGTTTCCACATGTGACAGGTGGCCCCCAGTTGTTTCATGAAGGAAGGAATGGGTGGTTTAGTAGAGAGAGGTGGCCAGCACGCTGTCCCCGGCAATTGTGTGCTTTTTCTCCTCTGAGATCCAGTTTCCTGAATGGGAGGTTTTGTGTAATTGAATGTCATTCGTGAACTTTTTGAAAAACTTTGACCTGTGGCCAGGCACAGTGGCTCACTCCCCACAGTCCCAGTACTTTGGGAGGCTGAGGCAGGATTGGTTGAGGCCAAAACTTTGAAACCAGTCCTGGCAACAATGGAGACCCTGTTTCTAAGAAAAAAAAAATTAAAATTAGCTGGGCATGGTGGCGTGCACCTGTGGTCACAGCTACTTGGGAGGCTGGAGTGGGAGGATCAGCTGAGCACAGGAGCTTGAGGTTGCAGTGAGCTATGATTGCCACTGGGCGACAGAGTGAGACCTGTCTCTAGCAAGACAAAAAACTTTGACCTTTATGGAGAGTTCCCTTTCTTTGGAATACAATGACAGAATGTTCCCCTGGGAGAGGCACTATGCCACCTGCTGCCTGCATCACAGGGTATCTGAAAGGGGGCAGCAGCTGGTCCCCTCGTGCTGAAGCAGTTCTTGAGCTCGTACCCTCATAATTGCCCCATCCCCTGCATTGGTGCAGCCCAAGCCTGGCATTTCCCTGGGTCTGCCCTTCCCTTCTCCATGCTTCTGTGAGAATGCCTTGGGTTGCCATTTCCTTTCCTCTCGTCAATATCATCATATCTTCATCGACTTTCCAAGAATTCCTCATTATTTCTGGCCTGCTTGTTTTCCAGCACTATTGTGGATTCATTCTATTTAATTTTCTTTTTTGGTCTTTTAAGAGATTTGTGTGGGAAAGGAGACTGATGGGGGTGCTTAGCCTGCTATCTTGAGCTAATCCTAAAAGCAGTCTCAATTCTATAAAACAGTATGTGCACAGGAGTAATACCAAAGGCTAGTACACCAAGCTATATATTTTTTTCTTTTTTTTTGAGACAAGGTCTCGCTGTGTTGCCCAGGCTGGGCTTGAACTCCTGAGCTCAAGCCATCCTCCTGCCTCGGCTTCCCAAAGTGCTAGGATTACAGGTGTGAGCCACTGCACCCGGCCAGACTCAACTATTAACAAGCAGTTACTTTGGGGTAATGATTTTATGCTTGATTCTCCTTTTCTTTTCTGTGCTTTTCTGTCTCTTCTTCACTTTTATTTGTTAAAAAAAATTTTTTTGCAAAGTAGGGTAGCCAGTGGATCCCCACCTATACCTTTGAGAAGATGGAGGACCTTAAGTTAAGAGTCAGATATTTATCAACCATAACAAGTTCACCACAGAGCCCTTCGTCCTCCTGTTGAGATCAGTGATCTTCAGACCTGCATGACCATCTTAACGTTCAGGTTCCTGGGCCCCAGATACTGAACCAGAACCTCTAAGGGTGGAGCCCAGGAATCTGTTTGTAAAATCTCTACCGGTGAACCTGATGGTCATTTATTTTCTATTGGAAACCACTGATTTAGAGCACTTGTTTCCAAATGCAAATCCCGTGTAGTTGCCTAAATTAAAAATCTTCTAGGCCAGGTGTGGTGGCTCACACCTGTAATCCCAGCACTTTTGAGAGACCAAGGCAGGCGGATCACCTGAGGTCAAGGGTTCGAGACCAGCCTGGCCAACATGGTGAAACCCTATCTCTACTAAAAATACAAAAATTAGCCAGGTGTGGTGGTGCACGCCTATAATCCCAGCTACTCGGGAGGCTGAGGCAGGAGAATCGCTTGAATCCGGCAGAGGTTGCAGAGAGCTGAGATCGAGCCACTGCACTCCAGCCTGGGTGACAGAGCAAGACTCCATCTCAAAACAAACAACAACAACAAAAAATAATCTTCTACCACTTTTCTGCCTACCTTCTCAAACTTGCAAGATCTCTCTCTAGTTTATCTTCACCAGTTGGAGCACTCACTCCCATGTACACATGTTCTTCCTGATTACTTACGAAAATATGGAAATTATGTTGAAATGTATTGAAGTCTGAATGTTGAAAATGTCTTTAAGTTATTGAGAATGTCCATAATGGAAAACTGTAATTCTGCTTCTTTACACTGAGCTGCCCTTTCATGGGGAAAAAAGTCTTTCAAGAAATTGAGCATATATTTCTCCATCCAGAGCAATGTCCATTTCTTCCTCTTTTGATTTTAGTCTCTAGCCAGTTTCCTTTCCTTGACCAGATGGCCCCCAGTCCCGTGAGGACTCTAAAGAAAAGAAAATAGCCTTAGGCTTCTTAAAACCTCCCAACATGAACATCGACCAGCTATTCTTCACTCACCATTTATTAGACACAAATATCTTTACTTACATTTTCGTTAGTTCTTATCTTCATCAGATTCCAGCCGCTTACATTCTGGAATGCTGATGTCATTTGTTGGCATGTGTGGTGTTATTCGGGAGATTGTGTCCAGGTTTATTGGTTCATCATCCACCTAAACCAACATCTATTAAGTGAACTCTGTGCACAACACCTTGCCAGACACTAGATGTACTTTACAGTTTGCAGAACAGGTTCCTCATTGTCACACGTAGCCAGCCTGGCCACAGCCCTAGGAAGTAGGTGGCAGTGGTGTTATCACCATGACCCTCATTGTACAGATGAGGAAACAGGGTCTTGGGAAGATTAAGGAACTTATCCAAAGTCACACAACTCACAAGTTTCAGAGGCTGGCCTCAAACCCAGGCCCCCTGACCACGAATCCCATGCACTCACCAGTATGCCACCCCCACCAACTTCCTGGCAGGGAGAGGGGCTCCTGGCCTTGACTCCAGTTTGAAAATGATTCTGTAGCCATTTCCCTTTACCTCTTGATTTATGGTGGCAGTGCTGGTCCTCCATGTCAGCTCACACGTATTGACAATTGCAAAGAAGCCTGTTACAAGAATTTGTGCCTCAGCCAGGCCCAGGGGCTCACACCTGTAATCCCAGCACTTTGGGAGGCCAAGGCATGTGGATCGCTTCAGCCCAGGAGTTCAAGACCAGTCTGGGCAACATCGTGAGACTCCATCTCTACAAAATAATTTTTAAAATAGCCAGGTGTGGTGGCATGCACCTGTAATCCAGCTACTTGGGAGGCTGAAGTGGGAGGATCACCAGAGCCTGAGGAGGTTGAGGCTGCAGTGGGCCAATATTGTGCCACTGCACTCCGGCCTGGGCAACGGAGTGAGACTCTGTTTCAAAAAAAAAGAGAGAATTTGTGCCTGTGTTATCAAAAATCATCTCACTAGGGTCAGAGGGGGCAGCGGGTGAGTACCAGGAGCCCTCTTCCTTCTCTGTCAATGCTCTGGGAACTGGTATTTGTAGAAACTGCAAACGTGTAGCCTCCTGGTCACGAGGGCTTGTTTTCACATTTAGTCTCCTGGAGGAGGACTCCGAGGAGGAGGGAGACTTGTGTCGCATCTGTCAGATAGCCGGGGGTTCCCCAAGCAACCCCCTCCTGGAGCCTTGCGGCTGTGTGGGAAGCCTGCAGTTTGTTCATCAAGAGTGCCTGAAAAAGTGGCTGAAAGTGAAAATAACATCAGGTAGGTGGGGAAGGAAGTGCAGTGAACGTGCCACGACATGTAATTAACATGAGGCACCACGGTGTGGGCCCCGGAGCCTTGTCATCAGCTCACTCTCCTCCGCAGAACAGCGACTCAGGGACACGTGGCTGAGCTCCAGATCCTTGCTCATAAAAGCTGTCTTTAAACTATGGGAGGGAGTTGGGGGTTTTTTGTTTGTTTTTGTTTTGGTTTGTTTTTTGTTTTTTGCTTTTATCTGAGAGAAGACTCCTGGGAACAAATGCTATTGAATTCTACCTCTGCTTGAGGCCTGAGCAGAGATGCTAAGATCGCCTCTCAGGAGGAAGGAAATAGAAGTGGGTCAGCGGTGGAAGCTCAGCAGACACACAGTAGCCGTGCCCAGCTAGCAGACACCCAGCAAAATACTTCAGAAGGTCCCTCATGAGAGACCCCCAGCACACACATCCTACTTCCTTTTATTTGGGGGTCACCTAAGAAACTAAACAAAGCTGCCTTTTAGCAATAGGGATAAGAGTGCTGATCTGATTGTCTAGAACCATATTAGATAAAGAAATTTCCATGTGCTGATTTTGTCAGCTCCCTAGCATCTTATAACTGGGTGTGCGGCACCTTCTCAACTCCCTGAGCAGGTTATAACCTAAATACAACCACATCGGTAGGTCGGCTGTAGTTTTCTGGGCAGAGAACAGAAGGTTTCTTTAAAGCATGGCTTTAGGAATGAGATCAACTTTAAGCAAAAAAAAAAAAAAAATGCATGGAACATCAGTGCAAAGAGCAACTTGATCAGAAAATAGCTGCGGCTTCTTTCAGACACACATCTCTGAAAACATATCCCCCCACAGCCAGATCCTATTTCTCCCCGTCTTCCATATCCTTCTCCTTAGCCGTCACTATCCAGGCTGCAGGGAGACTTAGAGCTTTACCCTGTCCCCATGAGGTGTTGCCACGCCCCCTCACCAAGGACAGCACACCATGGAATCAGAGAATGAACACGTGGGGTAATCATATTACTGTGTCATCCATGGAGCCCGTTTTATGCAACTTCCCTAGCATAAGAAATATAAGTCCACTGATCAAGATGCTTAAACGCATATCCATATAACGAGCAAAATATTCAGTCCTTCAGAGAGGGAAGAAAACGAGTAGATTTTGGTTGCTAACGACTCTGCCATGCAATCCTTTATCTTCCTAGAAATTTGGGCCAATTAAACATCTAACACAGAAAAAGTTACCTGTGAAACATGTCATGAAAATGCTGCTATGCTCATAAATGTCAACGCTTGTATGGGTGTGTTCAGTAGGATTCGATCGGAAGACTCATGGGACATTTGGTAGCCTAAAGCGTTACTGAATGACGCTAAAAAAAAAAAAAAAAAAAGTCAAGCGAACAAAATGCAGATAAGGGATTACTTCCTGTTCATCCTTGCCCTTTGAAAGTCTCTATTATTTACTGTTTCTTTATATCCCCAGTGGGGAAATAGAATGGAGGTATGAAACTGCACAAGCCCTATTTTTACCAAATACATGCAGGTAACTAATAGGTCTTTTATTTTCTAATGCATAAAATAAACACCAGTACATCATTAGTCAAAAGCCGCAACTAAGGGGGAGAAACTGTCTGGCAGAATGTTTGCTTAGACATAACAGCCCAGCTCTGCATCCTCCACTTTTGCATTGGGGAATAGGATAAAAATGCTGATCTAGAATGCCTGTTTTTATAAAAACAGCAACAAAGGAAGCCTTCTCATATTCCTTTTCCCCGATGAGTCTGAGCTCAGGCTGATGAGCTGGCCCTGGGTACTACTGTAACTAGTACCCACACCTGGCCCCTCGCTCCCTCACTGTTCTCAGGTGGCAATGTTACCTGGGCAGGAGTAAAGGCAGATTTTTAAGCCATTGATCGAGAATAGCTTCTGCCATCTATTTTGGTCCTCACTAATTTATTTACTTGGACCTGTGTTGGGTCTACAATAAAAAAAAAAAAAGCTGAATAGTCACTCTTTTTACAAACACCTGTGTTACAGACTCTTAGCCTCTGTGCAGCAATTCCAAGTTTATGAACCATCCTGTTTATATTTAAATAGAAAGCAAGATCTGCTATTTAAAAGTCGTGGGAATTTCACTTCTATGAAGCTTGCATAATAGATGACTACAAAGGAAATTTTTCAGCTCTCAGATTCAAGGTCATTTTCTACAGAAGATGGCTGGCTTTAAAGGAAGGTCACTGAAGCTCAGAATTCATAACACACACAAGTTCACTCCCCAAATATCACCTGTCCAAAGTGCTAACACAAACAGACCCATGGTTATATGTACATATAATTCTTTATCCAATTTAAGGAGCAGATCTTGGTGCCGTGAAGACCTGTGAGATGTGTAAGCAAGGCCTGCTGGTTGACCTGGGTGACTTTAACATGATTGAGTTCTACCAGAAGCACCAGCAATCTCAGGTAAGAAATGTGGCCACTCTGCCTCCACAGGTTAAAGTATGTTAGAGGGGCAGGGCGAGAAGACATTCCCCTTCCCTGATCTAAGAAATGTAGAAGGTCTCTGCTGGCAGGAGTCTGACAATATCCATTTAGCTTACTTCTCTGAGAAGACCTGCCACTAAATTAGAGTATTAGAGAGTTGAAAAGCCTTTTTTTTTTTTTTTTTTTTTTGAGACAGAGTCTCACTCTGTCGCCCAGGCGGGAATGCAGTGGCACAATCTCACTGCAAACTCTGCCTCACAGGTTCAAGCGATCCTCCCACCTCAGCCTCCTGAGTAGCTGGGATTACAGGCGTGTGCCACCACACCCACCTAATTTTTGTATTTTTAGTAGAGATGGGGTTTCTCCATGTTGGCCAGCTTGGTCTCGAACTCCTGATCTCAAGTGATCTGTCTGCCTCCACCTCCCAGAGTGCTACAATTACAGGTGTGAGCCACTACACCTGGCCGAGAGTTGGAAGTCTTATTTGTCCTGGGTTGAGTTTGCCCTGCTGTTGGGAACAAAAGTAAGAAGCTTCAGTGGGCAACTGGACACAGAAAAATACCAAAAAATTCTGGCAAGCTCCACACCCACGTTTGCAGAAGTAATTTAATAACAAGAGAAAAAAAAATCAGGGTCTTGGAGGAAATGGTCCCTAATTTAAATACCAAGTAACCCTGGGATAAGAAGGAACTGCTTTACCTACATACAGCTAATGAACATGAGGTAAATGCCTACTGGCTGATCTTTATCACCTAGTGAATTAACTCTCCTAGGGTATTTGGACTGCATTTCTAATATTGTAAAAAAGTTAGTTACCCTCAAGTGGGAAGTTGATTTGTGCCTGAGATAACAGTTAATCACCCAATTCTCAGGCAAACAGTCTTCCATTTAGAACTATTAGGTTGGTGCAAAAGTAATTGCAGTTTTGCCACTTTTGTTGGCAATATCCACAATTACTTTTGCACCAACCTAATACTATTTTGTTCAATATAGAAGTCACAAGCCACTTGTGGCTAATGAACAGGTGGCTTGTTCTAATCAACATATCCTGTAAGTGTCACATACACACCAAATTTCAAAGACACAGTACCAAAAAAAAAAAGGGGGGTAATATATCACCTAATTTTAAACACCAAGTTTCAAAGACTTAGTACACTTTCCAGTTCAGTATGTAAAGAGTTTGAAGTTGTCACTTCGTTTTAACAACAAGTAAAAAGCTTTAAAAAGTGCAAAATCAACAACCCTTCTTAGATCCATAAGAGAAGTGAAGTCACAGAGCAAATCACTGCCCCTAAAATTGGAAAGACAGGCAGATAGAATCACTAATCCCAGCACTTTGGGAGGCCAAGGTGGGCGGATCACTTGAAGTCAGGAGTTTGAGACCAGCGTGGCCAACACAGCGAAACCCCCATCTCTACTAAAAATACAAAAATTAGCTGGGCGTGGTGGCGCATGCCTGTAATCTCAGCTACTCAGGAGGCTGAGGCTTGAGAATCGCTTGAACCTGGGAGCCAGAGGTTGCAGTGAGCCGAGATCGCACCACTGCACTCCAGCCTGGGCGACAGAGTGAGACTCCATCTCAAAAAAAAAAAAAAAAAAAAAAAAATCACAACTTACCGGAGCAGAGACTCCTGAGCAGAAAGCTCTATGGAAACCAGTGCTGGACAAGCAATCTTAAGCTGTAATTAATGAACTGCTGGATGCTCAGTGTAGACAAGTCTGAGAGTCAAAAATTCCAGGGGGACCCTGTCATAAGGGTATCCCCACACTTCAGTGAGTTTTCTGTCCAGGAGTGCAACCAGGTGCTTACAGTGAATAGCAGAGAAAAATTCCTTCATGCTTCCAGCAGGGGGAGGGGGAAAGTAACCATTTTGGTATAAGCCAGAGCTTTCTGTTCTTACTAACAGTTTGCCCTCAGGAGAAACTATTTAACCAGAGCCTAACCTTTGGAGGTTTTATCAGAGCGCCATACCTAACTGGAAGAAGGGAAATACTCAACTCCAGCCCTCTCTAGCCATCTTGTCCCACCTAAGGTGGGAGGGGGAGGATAGAGAAACTGAGAAGCACTTGTGAAGTTCACAGTCCAGAGGCACAAGCTCACTCAGACTGGGACCTAGAGTCTCAAAGGACTGTAGAATACTTCCCCTCTCCCCACACCTCACCACCACATGGCTAACAACCCATTTATAGCAGTTCCTTTTACCCAGTACATCACGTCTGGCTACCAAGAAAAAATTACAAGACATACTCAAAGGTGAAAAGCACAGTTTGAAGAGACAGAGCAAACACCAGAACCAGACTCAGATATGGCAGGGATGTTGGAATTACCAGACCAGGAATGTAAAACACTATGATTAATATGCTAAGGACTCTAACAGGTAAAGTAGACAGCACTTAAGAACAGATGGGCAGTGTACACAGAGGAATGGAAATTCTAAGAAAGAAAAAGAAATGATAGAGGTGAAAAACTCTAACAAATGAAGAATGCCTTTGATGGGCTTATTAGTAGACTGGATACAGCTGAGGAAAGAATCTTTGAGTTGAGCATATCCCAATAGAAACTGCCCAAAATGGAAAAACAAAGAGAACAAAGATTGGAAAAAAAGAAAAGAAAACAGAGCAGGATATCCAAGAACTTGTGAGACAATTATCCAAAAGGTGTAATAGACACATCATGGGAATACCCAGAAGGAGAATAAAGAGAGAAAGGAACAGAGAAATATTTGAAGCAATAATGACTGAGAATTTCCCCCAAATTAATGTCAGACACCAAATCACAAATCCAGAAAGCTCAGAGAACACCGAACAAGATAAATGCCAAAAGCAAAACAAAACAAAACAAACAAAAAACCCACCACCATGACACATCATATTTAAAATGGAAAAAAAAATCAAAGATAAAGAAAAAATCCTGTAAGAGGCCAAAGGGGAAAAACACCTTCCCTAAAGGGGAGTAAAGATAAGAATGACATCTGACTTCCCAGAAAGCATGCAAGCAAGAAGACAGAGAAACAAAATATTTACAGTGTTAAGAGAAAAAACTGGCCAACCTAGATTTCTGTACCCTGCAAAATTATCCTTCAAGAGCAAAGGAGAAATAAAGATTTTCTTAGGCAAATACTTAATGCCAAAAAAGTAAAATATCAAAAAAAAAGTAAAAATTACATACAGAAATGATCATTTGAAAATATTAGGTTAATAAATTATATTGTTAAAATTAATTTCACCAGTTTCTTTTTACTTCTTTAATGTGGCTACTAGAAATTTTAAATTACATCTGTGATTTGTGTTTGTATCTCTGAGTGTATTCTATTGGATGGGGCTGATCTAGAAGGTGATTTCCACTTTATAAGCAGTCAATTAATATTTACCAGACCTTTTTTTGGCCAACGTTTTGACAGCTAAGTCAAAATGATTTGTGTGAGTCTAGGCAATTCTGCAGTTTCCTTGTTTAAAATTTTAAGGGTGTAGACCAAAGAACAAAATATTGACAAGAATGAAGGATATTTGAAGAGTTCAGTGAATAAGGGCATAATGCCACAGCAGCATTACAGAGGTTAGGCATCAGGAGGTTAGAGAAAGAAAAGGAAAAAAGAGAAAAGAAGAGAGGAAGAGAAGGGAGGGCAGGGGAGGGGAGAGGAGAAGGACTTCTTGAGAAATAAATAGTGTTTTGAGGCCTGAAGGTCTCACATCACTGCATCATAACCACCAGGCACTAAGATCTGAGACGATAAACAGCGCGACTCACATTCCTGGACGCTGAGCATGTGGGAGGCGAAATACTGAAAGAAACCAGAACCTCTCAGTGCCTGAGGTCAGGTGCCAGTCAGGGTGCCGACAGGTTCATCTCAAGAAATAGATCATTTTGGGCAACGGAGCCTGCCGAATCTCCTAAGGAGGACGTGTCCACGTGAGGATGGGTTGCCCAGAATACTATCTATCAGAGCAATCTACTGACACCACAAACACCGTGCAGCCCAGGGGAATGCCTTGTCTAGAAAAGATCCCTTTTGGCCCCAAGCCTTTCCACATGGTTCTCCCTCTGCCAAGCTGCTGCCACCATCTAATGTCCTTTATCAATGGCATTTATAGAACTGACCCAACAGCAGCACATTTTTCCATTTGTACTAAGATGTTTGCACTCATGTAGTCTGAGGCCGCAGGTCCCACTGAAAAGCCTACCAGCTTTGATTAAGATCTCAGTCTAAACCCTACTCTCTTCCCCAGAGTGGCCCCGTGACCTTGAGGAGACTATGGCAATTCTCTGCACCTCAGTTCTCTTATCTGTAGAAGGTGAGAGATGTTAACTCACACCTCACAGGTCTGGATGTAGGAAAAGACTCGAGTACATCACCTCATAGACAGAGTGTGGGCAGAGGAGGCTCCACGCATGAGAACTGTCAGATTACAGCCACAGAGACGCTCGACTGACTTGGCACTCAGGGGAGAAAGCTACGTGCACCAATGACTGGCCTAGAGTCCATCAGTGAACTAACAAAACAAACCAGCCCCACTGGGTCACATCCATATCCTCGGCCCCACCGCACCCTCCATGTTAAGACAACTGGCTACAAGCACCTTCTAGAAAGAACTATGACAGTAATTGTATCAGCCAGGATCTGGGTGGGAAGAGATGGTGGCACACTCAAAGGGGGCAAGTGAAGAACGCAGAAGGGAGGAGGGAAATCTGGGCAGCAAAAGAAAGCAGCAAGGAACGAGGAGGCGTCCTGGGACTAGCAGTGTGGCCAGGGTCATGAGCGCTGTAGCTAAGGATCAGCCACCAGCAGCCTGTGGCCTTCAGGAGAAGACAGCAACCACTGTCACACCACGCCCAGCAGAGAGGGATTGGGAAGAGACACCCAGCTTCTCCCTCCTCCGCCCTCGGGTCTCCTGCCGGGGCCTCCCATGGGCCAAACCCAACGGGAAGCCAGAGGGCAAGGAAGCCCGGCTGGGGAAAGCCATGGGGCCGGCCCCTGGGCCACAGAGCAGGAGGGGTGCGGATCTGCAGGAGAGACAGAAAGCATCCAGCACAGTCATTGCTCCACGTGGAAGCAGGAATGATTTTAAATTCGTTTCAGTGAGAACTTCACAAGCCATCAGAGCCTTTGGGAAATGCCCGCATTATCATCCCAGGTGACAGCTAGGCTGCCAGGCCCGCCCTGTGGGGAGAGCCAGGTCATAGCATGGGCGGCTGCTGTCTGGAGGCGGCTGAGGGCTCACACCTCACTGCAGCCCTGACTGTCCCCATGACCTGCTGGGAATTCATAGTGCCTGTCTGCTCACAGCCTGGGCGAAACCCCAGGCCCCAGGGAGCCTGACTTGGGCGAATTCTGAAGCTCGCCATAGATAAAGACTGAAGCAACTGTTGTTGAACACAAAGATATCTACAACGTCACTGAAACTCAGCTCGTCCCCGAGGCGCGGTGAGCCCACTGAGGGGACAAGCCCAGCTGAGGAGGCCACCAGCCTGGCCGTGGAGGTGACATGGACACCTGTGCCTTGTGGGCCTGGTCCCTTCCCCTCGCTTCCAAACCTGGCTCACCTGGGCCTCCTGGCCACCCTCCTGCTGCTTGTCCTTGGCAAATGGGTTCCTTTCTGGAGAAGTGGCACCACTTCTAGACGTGTACAAGTCTAGACATGTACCAAAAAAGGGGCAAAACCAAAAGAAACCTAGAACGGGCTTCAGCTTAGCCTGGTTCTCACTTAACCTCAAACTAACTGACTAGTGAACTGTTTTTCTTATATATTTTCCCACTTAGAATTTTTTTTTTTTTGCTTTTGTTTAATTACAAAAACCATACAAAAATTTCTTATAATTTACCACCCAAAATGATAACTTATAACATTTAGCTGCAGGTCTTCTTTTTTTCTATTAAAATGGTGATACACAGGCCCAACCCAGGTCTAACCCCAGCTCTGGGATGGGGCCAGGGTCCCTCCTGGGTTCAAGGGATCCTCCTGCCTCAGCCTCCTAAGTAGCTGGGTCCACAGGTGTGTGCCACCACACCCTGCTTTTTTTCTTTTTTTTTTTTTTTGAGAGATGGGGTCTGTCTCACTTTGTTGCCCAGGCTGGTCTCAAAATCTTGGGCTCAAGTGATCTTCCCACCTTGGCCTCCCAAAGTGCTAGGGTTACAGGTGTGAGCTACCACACCCAGCCAGTTTAACTAAATTTTCAAATACTTATTGAGCACCTGCTGCCTGTGAGATACTGTGCCGAAAATGCTGCCGTACCCAAGACCCGCAGGGCCCTACCGACCAGCAGCGAAGACTGAAGCCAGCAATTCCTGCAGGTGGAGGTCAAAACAAGGACCATGCAGGCCGCTGCGGGAACAGCTGTGGGACTCCGACTTGCTCTCTGAACCAGAGAAGGCCTTTCTGAAGAAGAGATGTTTAACAGCGGAAGGAAAGAGAGGAGCGGGCCTTCTATCAACCGGGCCTTGGAGTGAAGTCTGTGACATCTGGGACGGACGCCTCCCCTGGGACCTGAGCACAGATCAGGGCGTGTCCTCTAGGTGCCGGGTCAGCACTGTCGGTGGCCTTTGAGAGTGTGGAGGGGCTCCCGTCAGAGCACGTTTTCCTACCTTAGTTCTGTACTTCTGGTGGGAGCAGGGCAGATGCTGCTCACAGGTGCTAACAGGGCACTGAACTCGGATTATTCTAGTATGAGGCCCAAGGTCAAGGTCTGTTACCAGGCCTCAAGCGGCTAGATCAGGAACTCCTACAAGCATCTGGAGAGGGGATCATTAGACAAGAGCAGCTGTGGGACCCCAGGGACCTGGCGGTTTCATCTTAGGTCTGTCAGGGCCTGTGGCAGTACAGCCCTCCTTTCTCCTGACTCTTTCGGTAGTGCTGTGTGTGAGGCAAGCCTACATTTGCTCCTGTGAGCGTTGGCTGTCGCCTGGAAGCAGGACTCATATTGGATGCTGGTTGGGCACTCGGTTTTGCGGTGGAGGGCAGAACTCCTGGACAGCAGCATGCGGCGAGCCAAATAACATTCTAGCCTCCAAAATGGATGAGGTGAAAACAGGTTTAAGGAAAGCTTAGGTCACAGGTTACACACTCAAATACCACAGAGGCCAGGCAGACAACAAATGATGGTAATCTTCTAGGTATCCTGCCATTGGGCGTGGTGGCATTTGTGGCAAAATGGAAAGTGCTCTCCCCAACTAAAGATGGTCATGCTCTTCTTTTCTACCTTCCTTCTTGCTTCCTTCCATCCAACCAGAGCACATCCACAGGCCAGATTCAGCTTAGCAGCTACCACGTGCTCACCCTTAGTTTAGATCAGTGGTTCTCAAAAATGGGTGGTCCCCAAACCAGGAGCGTTAGCATCATCTGGGAACTTGTTAGAAGTACACATTCTTGGGCCCACTCCAGTCCAGCTGAATCAGAAATGCAGGGAGGAAAGGAGGAGCAGTGAGGCCAGGCGCGGTGACTCACGCCTGTAATCGCAACACTTTGAAAGGCCGAGGTGGGTGGATCATTTGAGGTCAGGAGTTGGAGACCAGCCTGGCCAAATGTGGTGAAACCCCGTCTCTACTAAAAATACAAAAATTAGCTGGGAGTGGTGGCACACACCTGAAATCCCAGCTACTCGGGAGGCTGAGGCAGGAGAATCACTTAAACCTGGGAGGCGGAGGTTGCAGTGAGCCGAGATCACACCATTGCACTCCAGCCTGGGCAACAGAGTGAGACTGTCTCAAAAAAAGAGGAGAAGGGGGAGGGGAGGGGACGGGACTGCCTGGCAACTGTGTTTGAAAAGGCCTGCTCAGTATTTCTGATGCATGTTAAACCTGGAGCCACTAGATTCAAAAGTTGTGGCTGAATGGGTCACTGTCTGATCCATCACAATTATGCATTTTTTTCTCATTGCTTCATCTGTGCATATATTTATAAAGCATGCACAGTATACCAGGCACTGGGCCAGGCACTAGGAGTCAGGAGCAAACAAGACAGATGCAGGTCTTGCCCTCACAGATCTTAACGCCCAGACAATTTACCTGGAATCCTGTCTTTAAATCTTGTCTCTTGTAGGATGTGTTGGTGTTGCGAGATCCCATATATTAGCTCACTTTACTATCATGCTTTGAGGAAACAGGCAGAACAGAGGTTACTTCCCTTCCATTACAAATTGAGTCCCTTTGGTCCTGCACAGTTAAAACTCTGCCTAAAGTCACAGTGTCCGGTGGCCCTGCACTGCCCACCTTAGCCGGCAGCGCTTTCCAGGTAAGATGCACTCCAGGGGCCCCTGCTCACTGAATTGGAACACACCCCTGCCATCCTTGCTCTGCCGCACAGGAGAGTCTCAGTGGGCCTCAGGCTGTCATTGCTGTGAAGCACAGGCCTGGCCTGGCTCCATCTCAGCCAAGGACAGATGTCCTCAGACACACGCAGTCACCTAATCACCCTTATACCTAGGAGCACTCTTGAATATATTTGAAGACTTGATAGAACATTCAGCCAGGCTGTCAGCTTCTTTAAGTGGAATATATTGAGAATTTCCGTCAGTAGCAAGTCTCTTGGCCTAAATGAATATTAGCAAAATGGAGAAAACAGCTGGCAGGTGGGCTGAGATCTCCGGAGCCCTTTTGCGCTGTTTCACATGCCTTCTCCTTTTTAATGTCCCCGCCCCCTCCTATTAATGCCACCCCCATTCCCTTCAGTCTGGCACACAAAGGGAACTCCACGTGGGAGTCAAAGTGTGATGTGATTGGGACAAGGAAGGGGTGGATGGGCCGTAGCTCCAGTAAGCCCTGCTCCAAAACCTCGTTCATTTGGCCCTGGCCAGCCAAGTGCGGTGGAACTCTTTGAGTTAACAAATCCCTCCCACTTGTAGCTCAGGAGTGTAAAGGCTGATTCGGAGTTGACTATCACACGCCTGCTCTGATTGGTGGGCTGAGCCCCTTTGTCGAGCATCACCAGCTCTGCAAAGGGCGCACATAAAGGAACCGAGCCGGCGAGATTGATGGCACTGTGTGGCAGGTTCCCTCCCACAGATCAGAGAAGAGACACAATCTGCTAGAAGTGACTTTTCAAATTATCTGCAGAAAACATTAGTGGATATTCTCCCATCTGCATGCCTCTGGGCCTTATTGAGTCATAAAAAGTAAATGATTTTCCTGAATGCTTTGACAAACCTGATAGTTCCAAACCATTTTCTAGCTGATTGATTTGTCATCATGCATCCCGGTGTCTCAAGCATAAAAGCTGGCTGGCAAAGAGCACTGGTGAGAGAACCACTGGCAGCTTTTGCAGGAGGAAGCCGGGGATGAGGTAAACAAATAAGGACCAAGGCTTTGTTGGTGAGGAGGAGCTAAAAGCCAGGTGAGGAAGGCTTCTCAGAAGAGGTGGTTGGCGAGACAGTCGGAGGCAGGCACAGACTCACGGGGAGGGCAGGAGGAGGCAATTAAAACAGAAAAAGTGGCTAGGCAGGGTGGCTTACACCTGTAATCCCAGCACTTTGGGAGGCCAAGGCAGGTGGATCACCTGAGGCCAGGAGTTCGAGACCAGCCTGGCCAACATGATGAAACCCCATCTCTACTAAAAATACAAAAATTAGCTGGGCGTGGTGGTGCACACCTGTAATCCCAGCTACTCAGGAGGCTGAGGCAGGAGAATTGCTTGAACCTGGGAGGTGGAGGTTGCAGTGAGCCGAGATCACGCCATTGCACTCCAGCCTGGGCAAGACTGTGTCTGTCTCAAAAATAAAATTAAATAAATAAAACAGAAATAATGCAAACAAGCAACTTCTTCTCTACTCACTCTAGGCCAAGGTCAGCAGAGCACAAAAAACACGACCAAAGGCTAAAAATAGGAGGCTAACTGCTAAGGACAGAGGACTGGGGCCTTCGAAGATGGATCTGTAGAATGGTGGAGAGGCCTGCAGCAGTGATCTCAGGGCCGGCTGTCACCAAGATCCAGAGTTGGCCCTGATTCAGAAGGAAGAGCATATCAATCCTTGCTCAACTTCTGTGCCTTTTCTGGCAGCTGCTTGGTCCTGGGAGAGGTGGGTTCTGTGCCAACCTCCTGAGCTGCCCTGGATCTAATGAGAACAGGAAGATGTGGCACCCGCGCTGCTGCAGGAAGAAGGCAGATGAGACACTGAGTGCTCACTGTGTCATTCATGCCCACGCATCGTTATCCTGGGCCGACAGAGTCACAGTTGCAAGCTTTCCCAAGGGTGACGGAAGGGGCCATGCCCTCTGCTGGGGACTCTATTCCCCGGGGGCTGGGTGGCTTTGTGAGCACAGCCTGGCCCATCCCAAGACCCCCACTCAAGGGAAAGATGGGGACTGAAAGGGCCTTCCCCTCCTTCCCCTATAGAGGGATAGGAGTAGTTGTTACTAATACCACTGATTTATGGAAGGTCTGTGAAAGGTCTAGAGTGAGCACAGCCACTCTTGGCAGCAAAGCCCAAGTGCTAAGGACAGAGAAGTGCCATGGGCAGCCAGACCATCACATCCTCCCTGTGTAGCGCCTGTTCTGAGCACCAGCGAGAAAAAAAGCACAGCCCACTCCTCAAGAGAAAGCGGAAACGTTAACAAGTGCAAAAGGTGATATGCAAGATCAAGACGAATGCTTAGGGACTGGGAAGCAAAGGAATGATGGGGGCAAAGGAGGCTCCTCAGGAAGCCTTTCACAAGGGGACATCTGTGACTGCTGAGAACGTTATGGACAAGGCCTGGTGCATCTCTGTTGTAGCACCCGACACATCCAGCTTGTACTGGAGCTGTTTACCGATGAAGCTCTCTCCCCCACACCAGGTGATCGGTTCCCAGCAGGGAGTTCTGAGGCTTTTTGCCCTGTGTTCCCCACAACATCCAGCTCAAGGCTTTGCATATGTAACTGCTCAATAAATGTGGAATGGGATTGAGCCTGGAAAATGGAACTTTCTCCGAGCATCCTCCACTAGCTAGTAAAAAATCCCAGGGGAGTGGCTGCCCTGGCCTCTACCCTGGATCTCCTCCTGCTCTGTCTTCTGGTCCCCAAGAGCAGGCCTTGCCTTGGAGCTTGGGCTCTTCTCCCAGTTCTTGTCACCTCTTAGCCTTGTTACCCTGCATCCCACAATTTAGACCATGACTATTTTACAGATGAACTGAAGAGCTTTCTTTTCCATTTGTAGGCACAAAACGAGCTGATGAATTCAGGCTTGTACCTGGTGCTGCTGCTTCACCTCTATGAGCAGAGGTTTGCAGAACTCATGAGGCTCAACCACAACCAGGTGGAAAGAGAGAGGGTAAGTCTGGCTGTGACCCAGAGCTGTCCGGTGGCAGCCCTGAAAACCCTGCAGTGCTGTTTATTAGATGTGCAAGCTGTTGAGGTCCTCACGGTCGCTTGGGAGGATATGGGACTATCATTGTTAGGACTAAGATTTAGCAGCTGCTAAGTGTACACATGGTGACCCTCTGGCTGAAAAGTAAGTGACGATCACATAATTGCTTATTATTAAACATGAGTAGTAATTAAATGGTCATCAATGGTCATATAACCGAATGAGCCTCTAGGATATTTGCCCCCCAAAAATAGAGGAGAGCAAGGATGCAGGGGCTGGTTGTGTATTACGTGTGGGCACCCGAACATGGAGGACCTGCGAAAAAGAGGAACCTGGCTGGGTGTGATGGCTCATGCCTGTAATCCCAGCGCTTTGGGAGGCCGAGGCTAGAGGATCACTTGAGCTCAGGAATTTGAGGCCAACCTGGCCAACATGGTGAAACCCTGTCTCTACTAAAATTACAAAAAAATTAGCTGGGTGTGGTGGCACACGCCTGTAATCCCAGCTACTTGGGAGGTTGAGGCAGGAGAATCGCTGGAACCCAGAAGACAGAGGTTGCAATGAGCTGAGATTGTGCCACTGCACTCCAGCCTGGGTGACAGAATGAGACTCCGTCTCAAAAAAAAAAAAAAAAAAAAAAAAAAGCTGGGTTCAAACTGTTAGTCATAAGAAACCTAGATTTTTTTTTTTCTGGCTCACATTCTCTCCTTAGACCCTGAGCTCTCAATTAAGACAACAGGCTGGGGCTCTGCCAAGATATCTCCTCAAGAATCTCACCCTCCTTTTGACCCAGGCCTGTCCTTCCTAAACTCTTCCATGGTTTAAATGCTGACATAAATTTCTCAAAGAAATACATTTTTTAAAAAAGAAAAGTACCAGAAGCAGGATATGATCCTTTGTTAACATTTCTGTAACCTTATTTTCATGATTCCACATCTTTTTAATGAACTTTTTATTGCACACTGAACTTCAAAGCATCCGGGGTTGATACAGGTTACAGATGGCCCCAAGAGCAGTGAGCCAATGCAAGCAACATTAGCCACCAGGCTTGCAAAGCAAACATGACAAACGACAAACAGTACAACCCAACAGATGAAGACCAAAGCCCTAAAGCACTGCCTCTAAAGAAACTTCCAGTAAATCTGTCCTGGACTAGGAAGAAGTTGCAAGGAGCAAGCTGGGAACCAGAGCAAAAAGCAGCAGGAGGGACCAGGGACACTCTTCTCTCACCACAAGCTCACATTGAACTGGAGAAACCCTGAAATTGATCTCACCCACTTAGACCACCGAGCAGTAACAGGTACAGATAACCAGTTAAGAGGCACCCAGGCCCGGTGCCGTTGATGCTGCCGGGAGGCTGACGCTGCAGTGAGCCATGATTGGTGCCACCGCACTCCAGCCTGTGTGACAGAGTGAGACCCTGTTTAAAACAAAAAACAAAAAAAGGCACCCAAATGAAAGTAGGAAACCAACTGGCTCTTGTTAAATTCACACTTCTTGATTTGCATCTCAGTAATTTCTCGTAGAAAACATTCAGAATCTGATGGTAACATTGAGCAAAAGAGAGGCACTAAGTCAGCAGAGAAGCCCTCCTTCCCTCTCCTTCATCTACCAGAACTGGAGAATTCACTCACATTGTGTTTCTTGGTTGTGTCTCATGAAGAGACCCAGTGATGGATGCCTCGTTTTTTTTGTTTTGTTTTTTTGTTTTATTTTTTTGAGACAAGAGTCTTGCTCTGTCACCCAGGCTGGAGTGCAGTGGCTCAATCTCAGCTCACTGCAACCTCTGCCTCCCGGGTTCCAGTGATTCTCCTGCCTCCACCTCCTGAGTAGCTGGGATTATCGGTGTATTGTGCCCGGCTAATTTGTGTATTTTTAGTAGAGGCAGGGTTTCACCATGTTGGTCAGGCTGGTCTCGAACTCCTGACCTCAGGTGATCCACCTGCCTTGGCCTCCCAAAGTGCTGGGATTACAGGTGTGAGCCCCCGTGCCCGGCTGACAAATGCCTGTTAATGGTGGTGATCATTTGTCATCCATTCATGCACTGCCCTGTACCAGGTGCGGAGATGAGGATCAGGGAAAGAAGCTACTAGACGCTAGACATGACGCCCTGATGTCCCTTTCCGTAAAGAGCTTGTCAAGGAGTTGAAAGAGGAGACACATATTTATAAAACCAGGAAATAACTGGAAAGTAGCACCTGTGCAAGAGAACTAGTGGACCCAGTGAATTCCTACAGGCTGTGAATTTGACAACATAAGCTCTTCCCTGGCTGGGGCTTCCTGGGGTTTCCTGCAATCCCATAAACAACTGGTCTCCTCAGTGAAGTTGTGAGCTATATGAATGCAAAGCCAGGCCTTCTATGCCTGCCTCTTATGATGCTGGGCCCACAGTGAGTCACATCTGACTGCTGACCATGTCCCTGGCACTATGGATACCAGGAACATTGAGTGTTTACTGACGTCCCAAATGATTTTGCCAGATAAGGAAGTGGCCTGCATGGGTTGGGGGCACTCATTAACAACTTGGGCACGGGAACCTTTATCTCTTTTATATCTCACAGGCCTCCAGTGCCTAGAAAATGCCTAGTACCTAATAGGTGCTTAGTAACATTCTGATGCACAGTCAACTACTGAATCAGAACCTACTTTTTGGCCAGGTGCGGTGGCTCACACCTTTAATCCCAGCACTTTGGGAGGCCGAGACAGGTGGATCACAAGGTCAGGAGATCGAGACCATCCTGGCTAACACGGTGAAACCCTGTCTCTACTAAAAATACAAAAATTAGCCGGGCGTGGCAGCGTGCACCTGTAGCCCCAGCTGCTGGGGAGGCTGAGGCAGGAGAATGGCGTGAACCCGGGAGGCAGAGCTTGCAGTGAGCCGAGACGGCGCCACTGCGCTCCAGCCTGGGCAACAGAGCAAGACTCTGTCTCAAAAAGAAAAAAAAAAAAAAGAACCTACTTTTTCCAGGAGGCGAGTCCTGAGTTATGTTTTGGAGAAAGTGATAGTACAAAATTTGCAGAGAACAATATTCTAGGTAAAGGAATACTTCCAAGTTCAACATATATTTATTTACTCAAAGATTTTCTTTCTCTTTTTGAGACAGGGTCTCACTCTGTTGCCCAGGCTGGAGTGCACTGGCGGGATGACAGCTCATTGCAGCTTTGAATGCCTGGGCTCAAGTGATCCTCCCACCTCAGCCTCCTGAGGAGCTGGGATGCATCCACCACTACACCTGGCTAATTTTTTATTTTTTGTAGAGATGGGGGTCTTGCTAGTTTACCCAGGCTGGTCTTGAATTCCTAGTCTCAAGAAATCTTCCCACCTCAGCCGCTATTCAAAGATTTTCTGCGAACCTACTACATACTAGCCTCTAAACTAGCTTCTGGGAATACAAAGATGATTAAGACACTCCTTTCCTAGAAGAGACTCAGAATCTAAGGAGAGAACACACATGTAACCAAGAGTATCCACAAATGTGCCTGTGTTGTAACGGAAGGTTGGGTCAGATGTGAGGAACACAGAGCAGTCGGATGAAATGGAGCGCTGCCATTCTCGCCCCTCCTTCAGCCCCTCCTCTAGGACAGACCTCCAGCTAGGCTCTTCGCGGACACGTGCCAATGCTTCTGAGGCCTCGCTTTTCATCCAATCAGATTGTGCCCTTTGCAGTCAGTGTTCCCACTTCTTTGGGAGCCTGGTGGCAAACCTGCTTCATTATTGCTCTCACCAATGGATCCACCGTGGGGATGATGTTGACCCAGAATCCTGGAGGGTTTGGCAGATGGGCAAGGGTAGGTGTGATGGGAAAGAGTGTTCCATGCAGAGGGAAATGGAAACGCACAGAGACATGGAAAGACCTGCATGTTTGGGGAAAGTCAGGGAGGTGTGTGGCCAGGGAGGGCAGAGAATGAGCCTAAGGTGCAGGCAGGGAGTGGGGCGGGAAGGGTTTGTGAGCGGCTCTGGAGGCCATGGAACAGTTTCCAGCCTGGGATTGGCAGGCCAGGAGATGTGGGTTTTGGGAGGAGAACTTGGGCAGCCACATTGCAGGGGAAAGAAACCAGCCGGGAGGCTGCTGCAATGGCACGGGGTAATAAGGGGGCCCGTGTGGGAGCATCAGACATGGGAAGGACAGGGCTGGGTCTGGGGTGAGGGACAGGCTGGCGGAAGCACTGGATGCTCGCTTCTGCAAGTGGCCGGCAGGAAGCTGGCCTTTCCTCCCATCGGGGAGCATCTCCAGAGAAGACAGGACCCACCAGCCTCACTTTACCCCACCTTTGAGGTGAAGCTAAATGGCCCTGCCTTCCCTCTCCTCCTTCCCTTTCAGCCCCCACACGGAGCACTCCGTTTGTCAGGGCCTGGTCCCCCATCCCCCGTGTCCTGGCTTCCTCCCAGCTCAGGTCTTGTCTCTATCTGATTATTACAACGATCTCCTGGAGCAAGGACCCTACTCTGTCTTCTGCCCCAGGTGTGCCGTTAATGGTGGAAAACTTCAGGCTAGGTGCAGGGGAAGGGAGCCCCGGGGCTGGCCGGAGGGGCAGGTACGATCTAGAAGCCATTCTCAAATCCCCGTTGGTTCATTCACGTGTGAGACTGGATGGACTGTGCCTACCCCAGTTCCTATCCACATCATTTCTACAAAACCGAAAGCTCTTCCCTCCAAGGCCCAGATCAACCCAAAATATGGGAAGCCCAGGTTTGGTCCACAGTCACAAAAACTTCCCACTCACCAAGATGCAGTTTCCTGATGGAACAAGAGTTGATGAGATAGATAACGATCAGCTGGCACAGAATCTAGAGGCAGGTGGAGGTTATCTCAGGAGCCCAGAGAAAACGGAGGCAGTGGCTAGCCCAGTCCTGATGCATAATTTACCAGGCAACCAGGACCTGCTACTCTAGATGAAATTCCATCCTTCCCCTGCCCTCCCTCTCCTTGGGCACAGAAACGGTCCCAGGGACTAAAGCTGCCTCCACACTGGCCAGGCAGTTGCCTCAGTAACAGTGTCCAGCACCCCTTGTTTTGTCCCCCAGCCTGTCACAAAGCCCCTCTTCTTCCTGGGGAAGAGCACCAGGCCCTCTGCACCGGAGCCCACATCCTTGCAGCCTGGCACAATGGGCTCCCACGGAGTACACAGTGTTTCTTATTGTGGCATAAAATGCCATAAAGTCAGAACAAAGAGTGAGCCCAGGGCCTTGATGGGTCTGCTGCTTCCTGCCGCGCAGAGAATACAAGCGATTGTTTCAAAGCCAGTGGTGAGGCAAGTGGCCAATTAGCACGGCCTTCACCCCCACAGCCTGTAAATGTGATTCGGACCATCAGAATGGGATTCTGCTATTCAGATCAATTGCTCAAAGGAAGCGAGTCTGTTCTCGCTGCCAAATTTAGAAGCCCGAGACAGCAAAGGTGACCCAGGTTATGGCTGCAGCTCTCGTCAGGATGAGGCTGAGCCCTGCCAATGCTTAGCACTCACCCAGCCCTCAGCACCTCTGCCCATTTTCCTGCCCCTTTAAAGTGGTGTAAGGGATTCCTAGAACGTTGCTGCGACTAGGAGGTTATACATCTGTTCACAATCGTATTGGAAAAAACAATTCATTTCTCATTGTCTTCTTTCTTGTAGTTGTCAAGAAATTACCCACAACCCAGAACAGAGGAAAATGAAAGTAGGTTTTGGGGGCCAGTCCTGCCATTTTGAGGGTGTTTGCTAAATTACTCTTTTTCTGTGACTGTGTGGAACCAAATGCCATGGAAGGAAGGAATGACCACCACCCAGAGGCAAAAATAACCCCGCAAAGCTTGGGAAAGTCAGCCGCAGCAAACAATCAGGAAGGCGAGGCCAAGTTCACTGGATGCAGAGCAGATAAGAATTTTAATTCATCCTGAACGCAAGGAAAGGCGCCAACAAAGGGAAGAGGTTATCTTCCGGCATGAGATAAGATTTGTTCCTTTTCCTTGCTGGGATTCTCCAGCGTCCAGCACTTGGAGAGTTTGGGGGTTGGTTTTTTTACTGCCAGGATTCCTCTAGGAAAACCCTCCCCAAGCCCTGGCAGGGGCTGTCTGGCCCTTACCTGAAGGGACCACATTCACTCACAAGCTAGTGGCCTTGGTGGATTTGGGGTCTGCTGAATTCAGAGGTTGAACAAAGCAAACAGGTCTCCCAAGAAAGGGCCCTCAAAGCGGGCAAGACGGCTCTCTGCAAACAGGTTCGAGAAAAGCCTTCTCCCTGTTCCTTTTTCCATTAAAAAAAAAAAAAAACGACTGGAGAAAAACGTGCTTAATAAAGCAGGCGGGCTCGAAGTCAGACTCGGGAAGAACTTCATCAGGAGGCAGAATCAACACCGCAGTGAATCCAGCGGTGTGTGACAACTGGGTCCCCAGAGATTCTTCTGGGGGAAAATTTCACAACTGCCTGTCCAAAAGCCCTTAGAACAGTGGCTCCCACATGGGCTTTGCCATCAGAATCACCCGGGAACTCACCAAAAACTCGGTTTCCTGGGCCCCGCCCAGAGATTCCGCTTCAGGCGATGGGGTGGGGCCCTGGAATCGTGTTCACACCGGACCCAGGTGATCCTGACACAGCCGACTGCGGGGGTGCTTTTGAGAACTCCCAGTAGTCCTGCCTGGAAGGCGCGAACCAGCTCAAAGCTGCTCGGGGTGGGGCCCAGATTACGACCCTAGAGAAGCCAATTTATTATTCCGGGCACGCAGCCCTGCGAAGCCGAACTGACCATTTTCAGAGACCCGGAGAGGGCCCTGCTTTCCGCTCTTTTCCACAAAAGGAGCCCGGGAGCCCCAGCCCGGGCGCAACCGCGGGGTCTGGCCGATCCCAGCGCCCCCTCGCGCGGCCACCCCCGACCCCGGCCTCGCCCCCCCGGGCCTCCAGCCTCCGCAGCCGGGAAGGGCGCTGCGAGGTCTTTAAAAGACCTTTGTGTCGCGGGCGCACGCCGCACCTCCGGGGAAAACGCCCTGCGCCTCGGCCCCGCGGCTCCCCGCCGCCGCCCGCCCCGCGCGTCCCAGCCTCCGCCTCGGCGAGGGCCTCCCGCTCCGGAAGGGGCGCGACGGGGAGCCCGGCCTGGTTGCTGCGGCCCCGCGCTCCGTCCAGCCGCGGCCGGGAGGACAGGGCAGCAGGGTCCCGGCGCCGCGCCCAGGCGCCCCCTCCCCAGCCCCGCCCCGGAGACGCCTCGCTTTTCCCGGTCCGGGGAAACCTGCGGCGACCGGGCGCGCCCGCGTGGCTTCCGCTGGGCAGGGGCGACCCCTAGTGCCCAGGGCGAGCCGCGCCGAGCAGGACCGAGCCTTTCCCCGCACACCCTGGAGCCTGGGCTTGGGGCACCCTGGCCTTGAGCCCCGGCCCCAGGGAAGACCGACGTCTCCGGAGGGCAGAAGAACATCCCTAGGGTGGTGCTCCGAAAAGAGTCGCCACGGGAGGCAGGGAACCTGCCGCCCTTCCCTGCTGCTCCGAGGCAAATGGTCCCACAGAGGGAGCGACCCACACTCATTTGTCATCCTTCCTCCGGGAACTGGGACCCGCTGGAGGATCCACCCCATCACCAACCCTCCCCTGCCGCTCTCGGCCCCAAGGTGGAGACAGCCAGTTCTCCCCTGGAGGCCCAGGCCATCTCCACCTGCCCCCAGCTCAGCACACACCCCAGACACGGGTGGGCACAGCCGAGGCCGAGGAGAACCCAGCACAGAGGGACCATCCTGGGGTGCTGACCAGTCGCAGCCTTGGCCTGGCTTCCCGCCAGAGCCGTTCTCAAGACAAGAGCCAGGGTAGCCATTGGCAGAGCCATGGGCACCCAGCCTCCCCCATAGGCCACACTCCCTTGGTCCCCTGGCATCCTGGCATGACTCGCCTGGTTGGCAGCACTTTGTTAATATGGGTTGCCGGAGGTGAGTCACAGCTGTGACCTGCTGCCCTAGCTCGGTTGAGGTACACAGGAGGAAAAGAGGCAAAACATCAGGGCACACCAGGTAGCACAGAGAGGTGCCAGCCTCTTTGTGACTCTGTGGTGCCCATGCCAGCCTGCTGACCAGGCCCCCCTCCCTTGCACGTGAGAACCAAAGCCTCACACAAATGCCACAAGTGAAACCGAGGTTAGGGCAGCTGGGGAGAGTCCCTGGGTGTGCCCAGGAACCAGCACCAGGACAGCTGCTTCCCAGTGGCACAAATAACTTCCCAGTGTCACCAAGACAAGGGGTGGTGGGTCGGTAGTGGGGGCAATACCTCCTGCAGATATGCAAACAGATGAGGACAGGGGCAGGAACAGGGGCGGGTGTGAGGGCCCTTGGCCAAAGGCTGGGCCAGAGCACCTCCCCAAACACCCAGTCAAGGCTACTGGCTTTTGGAGAAAGCGCAGGATGGACGAGGGGATGGGGGCAGCTCAGGGGCTTGGGCTTCCTTGGGTAGAACTGAGAGGGTGAGAGGGTCCAGGTAGGATTGAGGGGATGTCAGTTGCTCCTGCTCCGTGCAACAGTTTCTTCCACAACAGGCAGAAACTTTCTTTCTTTTCTTTTTTCTTTTTTTATTTTTCTTTTTGAGATGGAGTCTCGCTCTGTCACCCAGGCTGAAGTGCAGTGGCACGATCTCGGCTCACTGCAGCCTCTGCCTCCCAAGTTCAAGCGATTCTCCTGCCTCAACCTCCTAAGCAGCTGGGATTACAGACACCCGCCACCACCCCTGGCTAATTTTTTGTATTTTAAGTAGAGATGGGGTTTTGCTATGTTGGCCAGGCTGGTCTCGAACTCCTGACCTCAAGTGATTCGCCGCCCCCCGCCCCCCGCCCCTTGGCCTTCCAAAGCGCTGGGATTACAGGCGTGAGCCACCACGCCTGGCTTAAACTGTTTCTAAATTGTCAGAGAGCATTCACTCAAGCCAAGGGGGAAAGAAACATATTGAGACAAGAGTTTCCCCGAAGAATAAAGGAGACCACCCACCCCCACCAACTCCACCTCCTCCACTGGGACTGCACTGCGTCCCAGTGCCTCTTGCTCTCCCTCCCTTTCCCCGTCCTATCACTTGTCCCTCTGCATCCAGCCATTGATTTCTGAAAGACTCCTGAAACACCTGGGTCCGTTCCCCCTTCCCTGCCAAATTAGGAAGCGGGGGTTCAAGTGGGGCCTTACCCTGAGAGGAAGCAATGGCCCCTGCAGCTATTCAGCCTGAAAACAAGTTCTGCACCAGGCTATGTGGGGACGTGGAGATGACCAAGATGCTGTCTTTGGGGGAAGCTGGTGTGGCTGAAACCCCAATGGGGCAGTCTGTGGATTCCCCGGCCCCAGACTGCAGGTCTCTGTTCCCCACACGGTTCCAGGCACTGTGGCCATGTGGGTGGCTGGGCCTCAGGGATGGGGTGGGAGAAGATGAAGCAGCAGTGCCGTGCCCCCTGTAACAGACCCACGGTCTGCTGCGGCCCTCCAGCCTGAAACACCTTCTTGCCTTCCAGATTCGGAGTTGGGAGATGGAAATGAAGGCAGCATTTCTCAAAGCCAGGTCGTCTAGCAAGGAAGCCAACTGTGGAGCTCGGCGGAGACCTCTCCCGCCAGCCCTTCTTTCTACGTCCCCAAGTGCCTCCCTCCCTCCTCCTCTTTACTGAAACTGAAACCAAAGCGTTCACAGTTAGATTTTCACCTCGTGCCACTCTCTTTTGGGGTCTGGCTTGAGCATCTATGGGCAGCCACAGCGACCAGTCTAGTCCCAGACAGCACAGGTCAAGCAGCGTGGGACTGTGGAGCCCCTGGCAGGCTGGCCTGGTGCTGCCCCCTTAGCCCAGAAGCCCTGCCAGGTCCAGTGGCCTGGGGTCCCACTGCTGAGGGCACCTGCCAGGCCTCACTCCACCCTGAATGGACTCGAGCCATGTATTCATTCAGTAAACTGACATTATTCTCCCAGCTTCGTTCATGTTTATTTCACTTGCCTTGGTCAGAGGCCAAGGGTCTCAAGCTGGAGGGAGAGGGAAGCACATGTCACAGCCCACATCTCACCTCTACTTCTCCCTTGCTCCCACCATCACTGGGGATGCTACATCCTGGGCCCCCATGGGCTGGGGCAGGCTGGATGGTGGCTGCCCCTGTAGGTACCCACTTAGGACCCAACTGGGGTGTGGACTCCACACTTTTTTTCCTGATTGCATCTTAGGGCCCAAAGACCAAGTCAGGACTTGGGGTGGAAGGTCAGAGGGTTAGTGAGAAAATTGTGTGTGCGAGTGTGTTTGAGTACGTGTGTGTGTGTGTGTGTTTTTGTTTAAAAAAAATTGTTTTTTAAGCCAAAAAACAATAAAAGAGCTGGACATGGTGGCTCACACCTGTAATCCCAGCACTTTGGGAAGCCGAGGAGGATGGATCACTTGAGGTCAGGAATTGGAGGCCAGCCTGGCCAACGTGGCAAAACCCTGTCTCTACTAAAAATACCAAAAAAAAAAAAAAAATTAGCTGGGCGTGGTGGTGGACATCTGTAGTCCCAGCTACTTGGGAGGCTGAGGCATGAGATTCACTTGAACCCCTGCAGTAAGCTGAGATCGCACCACTGCACTCCAGCCTGGGCAACAAAGCAAGACTCCACCTCAAAAATAAATAAATAAAAATAAAAGGGCCAGTTATGGTGGCTCATGCCTATAAGCTCAGCACTTTGGGAGGCCAAGGCAGGTAGACCGCTTGAGCCCAGAAGTTTGAAATCAGCCTGGGCCATAGCGAGACCCTGTCTCTACAAAAAAAATTTAAAAATTTGCCATGTGTAGTGGCATACCCTCGTGGGCCCAGCTACTCGGGAGGCTGAGGTAGGAGGATCGCACGAGCCTAGGGGGTCAAGGTTGCAGTGAGCCATGATCGCACCACTGTACTGCAGCCTTGTAGACAAGGCTACAAGACCCTGTCACAAATAATAATAATAATAATAAAAGATGGAGGGGACAAACTACGGTACATGCAAAAATGTTATGCTAAGTGAGAAAAGCCAGACACCAAACACTACATAGTATATGATTCATTTTACACAATTTCTAGAAAAGGCAAAACTAGAGAGACAGCAAGCAGATCAGTAGTTGCTGGGGGCTGGGAAAGGAGCAGGGATTGACTGCAAATAGGGTCCAGGGGACTATTGGGGGTGAGTGAGGTGTTATAAAGCTGCTTTGTGGCAATATTTACACAACTGGATAAATTTGCTAAAGCTCATTGCCTCTATAGATTTTCTAAAAAATGGAGGGAGGGACAGAGAAAGGGCAGAGAGAGGAGAACGAGAGAGAAAGATGAAATGAGGAGGCGGCACTTCTCCCCCCTGCCTTTAAGACTTCTCAGACTAGGAGAGGCCCCTGCTTCCCCGACTCACCCTCTCCTAGGGGTCTCAAAGGATGAGATTTTTGCGGCAAAGGGGTGCCCTGAGCTGAATTAAGGAGTCAATAGGGTTTTAGGAAGGCCAGGCTTGACTCACCTTAAAATCTGGTCCCACTCTTCCGATATGTTCCAGTTAAAGTGATGCAACTCTTGAAAACCAACCAGTAGGTTCGCTGGGCACAGTGGCTCACGCCTGTAATCCCAGCACTGGGAGGCAGAGGTGGGTGGATCACCTGAGGTCGGGAGTTCTAGACCAGCCTGACCAACATGGCGAAAACCCAACTCTACTAAACACAAAAAGAATTAGCCAGGCATAGTGGCACATGCCTGTAAACCCAGCTACTTGGGAGGCCGAGGCAAGAGAATTGCTTGAACCCAGGAGGCGGAGGTTGCAGTGAGCCGAGATTGCGCCATCGCACTCCAGCTTGGGCAACACAGCGAAACTCCATCTCAAAAAAAAAAAAAGAAAGAAAACCAGTAGTAGTTTCAACCAGGCAGCCTAGACCCAAGATCAAAGTTAAGAGCCATTCGAGTCGAAAATATCTCCATGATTTAAATAAAATTCCTAAAACCTCAAGTTCCTCCACTCACAAAAATGGCCTCAAACTCTATGAGAAAATGAGCCTTTTGAACTAAACTTTAAGGTTGACTAAAGATTTGTCCAGGATCCAGTACTGAGGAATGTATAAGAAGGGACAGTGCACGTCTAAAAATAAGTTTTTGTAGAGAGCGGAATGGAATTTGAGGTGGCCGTGTAAACATCCTGACAGCTTGAATCCACAGTAGGATGTGACAGTGTTTGAGGCAGCTGAGGAGACCATCACAGGTTTACATCAGAAAATCAGGTTTTTGAAAAACTGTACTCTTTTTTTTTTTTTTTTTTTTTTTTGAGATGGAGTCTCGCTCTGTCATCAGGCTGGAGTGCAGTGGCATGATCTCAGCTCACTGCAACCTCTGTCTCCTGGGTTCAAGCGATTCTCATGCCTCAGCCACCCGAGTAGCTGGGATTACAGGCATTCGCCACCATACCCAGCTAATTTTTGTGTTTTTAGTAGAGACAGGGTTTCACCATGTTGGCCAGGATGGTCTCGATCTCCTGACCTCATGATCCGCCCACCTCAGCCTCCCAAAGTGCTGGGATTACAGGCGTAAACCACGGCGCCCGGCCAAAACTGTTTCAGGGATTTACCCAACCAGGAATGCTTCCCATGAGGTCCAGGGTGGGGTAGACATTGAGGAGCTGGGGACTACCCACACTATCAATTTGATTTCCTGGCAGGAGTCTGCCTGCCATATGGGGCTTTTCATGGCTTGAGATTCCAAGAGGACAGCCTCATTTATTAAAAGGCAGTGATGAGGCCAGGTGCGGTGGCTCACGCCTATAGTCCTAGCACTTTGGGAGGCCGAGGTGGGCGGATCACTTGAGGTCAGGAGTTCATGACCAGCCTGGCCAACATGGTCAAACCTGGTCTCTACTAAAAATAAAAAAATAATTAGCCAAGCCTGGTGGAGGGTGCCTGTAGTCTCAGCTACTCAGGAGGCTGACGCAGGAGAATCGCTGAAGCCCGGGAGGCAGTGAGCTGAGATCGCGCCACTGCACTCCAGCCTGGGTGACAGAGCAAGACTCCGTCTCAGAAAAATAAAAAATAAAAATAAATAATGCTAAAATATAAAATAAAGCATCCCCAATGGTATAAATGTCTAATACGTCAACCGAGCCCCACTTTATTTCTATGCATTGTACCCCACAGCCCAGGAGACCCAGGTGTCCCTCCGCCACTGCTTTGGGAAGGGAGGCCGTGGAGGCTCAGAAGGAAAGAGGTCATTCTTAGCCCTCAAGTCTCAAAATAGCCCTAAAACTCTCCAGAGATGAGAGGTTGGGACAAAGTTCTTTAGTCCCCAGGCCTGACTACAAGATCTCGAGGGGCTCTCTGTAGCCCTGTTGCCCACCCCACAACACGTTTTCCAGTGCAGGGAGGAGAGGTGGCATGGCAAGTTCTTCACCTTTGTGCCTTAGCTTTCTCATCTGTAAGAGGGGGACAGTAGCACCTACCTTATGTTGTATTGGGAAGATTAAGTGAGTTAATACGTGTTAAGCAGTTAGAACAGGGCGTGTACATAGTAAATAATACCTATTTTGTTATTATCATTGTCATGGAGGAATAGTGGGTCAGAGGCAGTGTTCTGAGCCCCCTGCAGCCCCAGTATGAGGAAAGACACCATCCAAGGTTCCCCAAGTCCCTGAGGGAGATGCAGAAGGGCAGGACACCCCTGCATAAGCCAGCGGGGACATAAATGACCGGGAACCAGATGTCCCTCCCCCAGCTGTGAAACCTGGACGCTCCATAGGACCTTAGAGGCACCTGGAAATATAGGCGAAAATCCCAACTGCACTAGAAAACCTTAACTGACCAGGATTTCCCTGAAATGGCTATAACTAAAGCTCTGCCATCAGCCGATGCAAGGAGACAGTTAAGGTTCTGCACTCCTCACTGTGTGGCCTTGAACCTCAGCGCCCCCAGCGTGTCCACCTCCAGCAGGAAAGGCCTGCCCACCGCTCCTCCTCCTCCCCTTTCTCCAGCGCTGGCATCCCGCCTGCTTGTCTGGCCAAGGAAGGATTGAAATCTGTCCCTCAAATGGTGCTGGTTCTGGTGGGAGTGAAGCCTGCAGGCTTTCCCCGGGGCCTCTTGGCAGTCCCAGCCCCGAAGATAAAGAAAATCAGGCCTGTCCGGAACATCTCGGTACTTTCATCTGGTGCTGGTCTTTCACAGCCCCCTTCATTTCCCTGCTGTCCTTTGCCCGCCCTCCCTCCCTCCAGCCTGCCTTCCTCCGGGTCCTCCCTCAAGTCGCAATTCTTTGCCTTGTGCCTGCAATGGACTCAAGCCCTGGTGCTCGAGGCGGCTTGGCCGGGCTCAGGTGGCTCCGTTCCAGGAGAGCCATGTGGTGTGGCTGGCGGCTCCTCACCCCTGCGGCCTCACAGGGCTGCCCACTGGGCCAGGCCAGCTCTGCCAGCACACCTTCGAGGAGGCCATCTCTGGCGCGACAAGAAGCGGTTGAGAGAATGCTGTTCTCTGGAGAGCAGCCGCATTCTCCCATTCATTCACGGATCCAGGTGGCCAGAGCGGGGCGGGTTAACCCTGCAAGTGAAGGCTGGGCCTAGCGCCTGGCATACAGTGCTGATTGCCCAGGCCTGCCAGGATAGGCTTGGGGGCATCTGCCACCCAGCAAAGAGCCTGGTATGTAGAGGAGGTACTTGATGTATTGAAATGAAATGAGCAGAAAGGAAGGAGACTGCCACCAGGGCTATCCTGAGCCAGAGGGTGAGTGGCCGGCATCCAGAGCCTGCCTCCTGCCCCTTCAGAGAGATGCAGGAGCCTCCCTTAGTCATCTCTGGGCAGGCTTAGAACGAGGTCTAGGGGTAGCCTCCAGGCACCCGTGACGCTGTCTGAAATGCTTGCAGGTGGGTGCAGGGCCCTGGGGAGACTCGTCACCTGAGCAAGGCAGAGAGACGTGAGGAGAGCAGGCACCAGCCACTGACGAGGGCAGCTCTGGCCACTGGGGTCCTCCGTCCCTCCGCTGCTCCCTCCCACCCCTCAAGCTAGTGATCCGGACCTCACTCCTTGACCTTTCTTCTCTCCCGAGGTTAGAGTCACTAGGGTCTTGGGGGGCCTCTCCCCCAATGTTTCTTGTGGTGTTGTGTCTGGAGTTGGTTCCTTCCAGTGGGTTCGTGGTCTCACTGACCTCAAGAATGAAGCCTCGGACCTTCACGGTGAGTGTTACAGCTCTTTTTTTTTGTTTTTGAGACAGAGTCTCGCTCTGTCGCCCAGGCTGGAGTGCAGTGGCACAATCTCGGCTCACTGCAAGCTCCGCCTCCTGGGTTCACGCCATTCTCCTGCCTCAGCCTCCCGAGTAGCTGGGACTACAGACGCCTGTCACCACGCCCAGTTAATTTTTTGTATTTTTAATAGAGATGGGGTTTCACCATGTTAGCCAGGATAGTCTTGATCTCCTGACCTCATGATCTGCCTGTCTCGGCCTCCCAAAGTGCTGGGATTACAGGCGTGAGCCACCATGCCTGGCCTAGTGTTACAGCTCTTAAAAGTGGCACGGACCCAAAGAGTGAGGAGCAGCAGCAAGATTTATTGTGAAGAGTGAAAGAACAAAGCTTCCACAGTATGGAAGAGGACCTGAGCGGGTTGCTGCTAGGGGTGGGGTGGGTGGGGAGGACACAGCTTTTATTCCCTTATTTGTCCCCGCCCATGTCCTGCTGATTGGTCCATTTTACAGAGTGCTGATTGGTCCATTTTACAAACCTCTAGCCAGGTACAGAGTGCTGATTAGTGCATTTTTACAGAGCACTGATTGGTGCATTTTACAAACCTCTAGCTAGCTACAGAGCACCAATTGGTGCATTTTTACAGAGCACTGATTTTACAAACCTCTTGTAAGAAAAGTTCTCCAAGTCCCCACTCAACCTAGGAAGTCCAGCTGGCTTCACCTCTCACTGTGGGCAGTGGCAGGGCACTTAACTCACAAAGGGAGCTGTTTGGGCTGCAGGGCTAGATAGCAACTCACTCCAGGGTGAACCTCCCACAGGACTGGGACTCCCTCCCCTGAGTGATTAGGCGCCTTCCATGGGTCCTGCTGTTGCTGGGGCGGCACAGAGAGGATTGCTGGAGGGGGTCCCCTGGGCTCCACCGTAGTCCTGGACTCAGGCCAGCAGCTCATGGGCTCTCCCTAGGGCTCCTGTCTCAGGAAACAGCACCCCATTCACCCTGCAGTCCAGGCGGGAAGCTTGGAGTGCTTCCTGACTCCCACTGCCTTTCCCCAGGCAGATCCCATCCCCAGCAAGGGCATCCGCCATCCCTTCAGTCCAATCTGGCGTTCATTTGCTTTCACAAAGAAACACTGGAAAGACAGGAAACTGACAGGGCAGGAGGGTATAGGCTGGAGGGCGACGGGCAGGGGCAGGACTTGCGCAACATCTATCTTGGGATATCATTTAGGTATCCCACGCAATGCAGACTGCGTGACTGCATTGTCTATTCATAAAAGTGGAAACTTATTTTAAATATCATGAACAGGGCAAAACACACACACACGCACGCGCGCGCACACACACACACACACACACACACACACACACAGAATCTGACCACTACTGCAGTCCTGATCCCAACAAACCACCGTCTTGTTGTGCCTGAATTATTACAAGAGCTTCCGCACCAGCCTTCCTGCTTTCACTCCCCCGTTTCCCATCCATTGTCTATTTCTCAACTCCTAGCCAGAATGATCTTGTTAAAAGGTCAGCCTGATTAGCCATTCCCATTGACTTCCCACTATCCTGAAAATAATGCTACATTCTACCACTGCCTTCAGGGCCTTGGACAATCTGGCCCTGCCTGACTCATCTCAGCCTCAGCCCACCTCGCCTCCCTGCTGGTCCCCTAAAGCACCAGGGATGCCCCCCTAGCCCTGGCCCAGATATTTGCATTGCTCACTCCGCCACCTCCTTCAGGCTGCAGTCAATCTCACTCCCTCTAGTGAGACCCTCCCCAGACACACAGGCCACATTAGCAGCTTCCCCCTGCCTCGCCCGATTGGCGTTGGTTAACCTTCCTTTGTTGGCATCTCCAGCTCAAATACCGGCTGAATGAACAAGCAGGTGAGTAAAGGTCCTGCCGTCCATTCTGCCTTCTGTGGTTTCAGAGCCCAGGCTCCCTAAGGACACATGTGAACTTTCAGGCTGTTAGAGGGCAGGTATGATGGCTGCCTTGGAAGGACGGTGATGTGGAGCCCCCACCCAGGGCCGGCCTGGACACATCAAGTGCTCCCCTGGAGCCGCAGCCCAGAAACGGCAGTAACGCCTAGCGCTTGCAGAGCCCAGAGGCACTGTTCTAAGTGCTCTGCACAGATGAGCTCCCTTGATCCTCACATATCCTTAAAACAACCCTAGGAGGTGGGTCCGGTTCTCCCCACTGTGCACATGTTGAGAGGTGTGCTAAGTTGCCCAAGCTTGCACGGCTGGCTGCTCAGCAGCAGATGGCCTGGCTCCTGAGTTCTCACCCACATTCAAGCCCCCAGGAACAGAGAGAGGGAGGCGCAGGCCCAGAGGGGTGAGCTCCTAAAGATCGGGGGTGAGAGTGTCCCCTAGAGGCCCAGAGACAGACGCAAAATGGCCAGCTGCAGAAAACACCTGTGGTGCAAGCTCCAAAACAACAGTTATCTCCGAAGGGACAGACGTGAAGAAGCAGGCTCACCACAGGACAAGGCAGAACCTTCTCTTTCAAGCCTCTTAAAGGTGTTTTATTTGTTTGCTTTTCTTTTTTCCTTTTTTTTTAAAAACAATAATGGCACATTTAAAAAATCAACTACAGAGAAAGGGCCATGTCTTCGAGTCCATGTTCACATTGTCCCACGCTGTCGCACCAGGATGGGCCGCATACTTTGTCCTGGCTGGGACTGTGGCCTCTTGGAAGGGTACTGGGCCACTCCAGGGCTCGGGTGCTGCTCCTCCTGGATCCACTAGAGGGTGAACTCTGGGCCCTCCCAGACTCCTGCTCCTCTGGGGCCCCCAGGACTCTGGCAACCCTTCCCCTTGCTCCAAACCAGAGCCAGGAGCTGGAGATGTTAGGGAACTTATTTTGGTCCCCACAGGGGACTCTTCCAGGGGCAGAGCCCTCCCCCGCCCGGCAGGAGATGACATCCCAGCCCGGCCCAGCTCCCACCCTGGGAGGTTGGGGTGTCTCTCCCCAGTCTTATCTCCAGCCCAGCAGACACCACACCCGTGCCCTGGTTCTCAGGCCCAACCCACCTAGGCCCCTCCTGCCACGCCCCACAGCCACCCCAGCAGGCACAGGAGTGATGGATGCTCAGCCCCCTCAGCTGACCCTCATCAGGAACAAGAGGGCTCCCCAATCCCCAGGGCCCGGCTCAGAAGGAAGGGGTGGGAGAGAAGGGGCGAGAGGGAGCAGGGTGAGGGGCACAGAGCTGAGGCTGCCAGGTGGGAAGAGAGACACAACAGATCTGCCCGAGGGGACAGGGGAGGCTCCTCGGGCTCTGCAAAGAAGGGGGTCCTGGGGCGCGGATCAACAGGCCTGGGCCGGGGGCTCTGGGGAGAAAGAGGCTCTCGTTCCCCCTCCCATCCTACCTCTGGTTCCTGTGGGGGCACAGGACCAGGTGACAAGACCTCAGGCCCCCCCAGAAAGGGAAACGCCACGCTGCACTCAGCTGGGTCTCAGCCCAGCCCTTGTGGGAGGGTGGCACCCCACCAGCCCAGGCTCTGCCCAGCTCCGGCTCCCAACAGCGACTCCCAAGGGCACCCTTCCATAGGCCAACTGGACAGGCAGCTGGTGGGGGGCCAGACTGACCCAGGGCCCCAGCTCCCCAGCTCCTCCCGCCCTGGCCCTGCCCACGCGCCTGGCTCTATTCTTGTTGCTCATTCATTTCCATGTCTGACACCAGGATGTTCTTCTCAGTGGCCTCGGTGGGGCTGGAGCTGCTGCGGCTGTAGCGGGCACCCTCAAAGGCCCCGCGCTCGATGCTCTGGCGCCTCCGGTAAAGGATGAGGGCTGCGGTCAGCAAGGCCAGGAGCAGCAGCACCGCCATCAGCACCACCACCAGGGCCGCTGGGTTCTCTGGAAGCGCTGCCAAGGCGAGTGGGCGTGAAAGGCCAAGTGGGCGTTAGGCCCAGCAGTGCTTCCTGCCTGCCCACCTGGGGGCATTGCCTTTCACTCACCTGATGGGGAGAAGCTGCTCTGCTCAGCTGTGGGCAAGAGGAGGGGGCCAGTTAATAATAGCAGTGATCATCGTAATAATCACTTAAGTAAACATACAAAGCACACAGGCCTGGGCCGGGAGGTCTGGGGAGAAAGAGGCTCTAGTTCCCCCTCCCATCCTACCTCTGGTTACTGTGGGGGCACAGGCCCAAGAGACAAGACTTCAGGTTCCCCCAGAAAGGGAAAACGCCATGCTGCACTCAGCTAGGTCTCAGCCCAGCCCTCGTGGGAGGCCTGGGTGTCAGCCCCTTCCCTAACTCACCTCATCTTTACTAGCTTCACTAGCACTCTAGGAGGTCGGGACTTTTTTTTTTTTTTTTTTTTTTTGGAGACAGGGTCTTGCTGTGTTGCCCAGGCTGGAATGCAGTGGTGCGATCTCGGCTCACTGCAGCCTCCACCTCCACGGTTGAAGCAATTCACATGCCTCAGCCTCCTAAGTAGCTGGGACTACAGGCATGTGCTACCACGCCCAGCTAATTTTTGTACTTTTTGGTAGAGACGGGGTTTCACCATGTTGGCCAGGCTGGTCTTGAACCCCTGACCTCAAGTGATCCGCCCACCTCAGCCTCCCAAAGTGCTGGGATTACAGGCATGAGCCACCACATCAGTCTGGAACTACTATTATTCCCATTTTACATACGAGGAAACTGAGGCCACAGACTCTGCCCAAGGTCACACCACTGATAAGTGACATGGCCAGGACTTGAACTCTGTCCATGCCCTTGACCACTACAAAGTGACAGGGGGTTGCTGACCCCCGAGCCTTGTGGTCTAGTTTGGATGATAAGTTTCAGGTCCAGTCCATCCCACTGACTAATTTATCCCGGGGGTCCCAGCTGCCCGCAGTCCGTTCTGTTCAGGCCTTCCCATCGGCTGTGCCCCCTGCAGTTGTGAAGCAGCCCCCAGCCCCAGCCCAGGACCAGCGGCACGGGGTGGAAGGAGGCTGAGCGTGGGCCTGCCCGGCGCTCACCACGAGGAAGCTTGCAGACGACACCCATGGTGATGTTGGTGCAAGCGCCGGGGCGCCATAGCCCGCTGTTGCTCTGAATCCAGTAGCAGCTGTTGTGGCTCAGCATGCTGGGGCCCAAGCCCGGGGGCCCCCAGTTGGAGTAGTTCACAGCTGTGTTGTCCTGCCAGACCAGAGTGCCTCCTGCAGGAAAGAAGGCACTGAGGGAGCAGGGACAAGGTGGGGCAGGAGTAGGTGGAGGAGAGCAGGTGTGTTCTAGAACCGACTCCCTGTCCCCCGACAAGCCCCAGGACAAGGCTCAGGGCAAAGTGGAGGGCAGCCCCTTACAGCCTGAGGCTTGACCTCTCCACCCCACACACAGGGCACCCACCTTTGGGGTTGAAGTTCATGCCCAGCCAGGCGCCCCGACTCTGGCCCTCATAGCTCTGCAGGTGCTCCCAGACAAACACATTCTCCATCTCATCCAGGATAGACAGGACGGCCCCACCCGCTGGATGCAAAGAAGGCCCACGTCAGGGCGGATGGGTCTCCGGGGGGGGCAGAGTCCCCCAGAGCTGCTCCAGCCCTCTTCTCTGCAGCCTGAGTAGAGGATGGTGTGGAGTCTGTGGATTCATGTGTGTGTGTGTGCACATGTGCAAGTGTGTGGGGGGGCAGCATATGCACATATAGTGTCATGTATGGTCTCCACATGTGAGAGCACGAGGGCATCTTGTGTAAGTGCTGCCTATGGGTAGAGAGCAGTGTGGGGATGTACTCATGGGTCTGAGTGCCCACGAGAGGAGGTGCCACCTGCCCGCCATGTGTGGGCTCTGGCCTGGTCACCCACCTCTCTGGCAGCGCTGTCGCGCCTCCTTGTGGCCCAGCAGCAGCTCCATGTGGAAAGAATAGCAGTGCTCCCGGAAGGGAATCCACGCGGAGTCTGCCAGTCCCTGGGGACAGCTGCCATGGTAGCTTATTCTTCGGGGAGGAGGGGGCCCTGTGGGGGTACAGGATTAAGAAGTGGCTCAGCACCCTCCCCGGGGCCACCGACAGCTTGCCCATGCCCCCGCCCTGGCAGGTGGGCACTCACCACTGCTAACCCCACACACAGCCCCCTGCAGCTTGGTGTCACAGCTGGTGGTGCGCCAGGCCCCGTCCACATCTACGTAGGTACAGCCCCCCGGCTGCTGCGGCTCCCCGTCCTGCCAGCCCACGTAGTTCAGCGGCTCCTCTGAGACCCAGGAGTACCGCCGAGAGCCCTGGGCATGGGGGGCCATGGGGTGGGAGGAAGGGAATAGTCAGGATAGGGTGCGGATAAGGCGGGGGCAGGAAGGGGCAGGGAGGGGAACCCGGGCAAGGCTGGGGCCCAGGGCAAAAGTGTCGGGAGCCCACCTCCTCGCCAGCCAGCCCAATCCAGAGCGGCGTGCGCAGCCCTCGGGCAGCCTGCGTGAGGAAGGCCTGGGTGTAGGGGTCGGGCACGTAGGCCAGGCTGGCATTGCGGCTCTCACACAGCAGGAGGGCATCGTGCCAGCGCAGCGGCTTCTGAAGCAGCCGGAAGGTGCCGTTGAGGTAGGAGAGCTCAGTGCCCGGGGCGGGGGGCAGCGCTGCTGGGGACGGGCTCAGGGAGGGGTCTACAGGGAAGGGGTCAGGGTTCAGGCTGGGCTCTGCTTCCCTCACCCCGTTCCCAGGCACAAGGCCAGGAGAAGGCCGCACACCAGGCAAAGACCCGGTCTCCACCAGACTCGGCGCTTGGCCCAGACCAAGGCTTGGTAGGTGTCAGCCCTGTTGTTATTAATAATACATGTTTGCTAACAAATGGACAGGGAGGTGAGGGCCTTGACCTCCTCCTACCCAAGGAACCCGGCGCAGAGGCCACCTACGCATGGAGCTGGAGGTGTCTTGGACCTGGAACCTCAGGGTCCTTGACGCCACACGTGCCAGCACTTCATGCAGCCCAGCGTCTAGCTCTCCCCCCGACCCAACGAGCCCTCCATACCCCCAAATCTTCCTCCTGAGACCTGTGGGTGCTATTGCTTTTCCATCTTATTGGCACCTTGCCTTTCTGCCCATCTGCTTCCCAAGCAGAGCCCTGCTCTGCCAGGGACCATGATTCCTTCCTCCTGGCATGGTCCCAGCATCCAGCCCGGTGCCAGGGCCCCACTGGGGTTTCCCAGGTGACTGGTGACACATACCCGTGCCCTTCTGGCAGATGAAGCCATGGGTCTCCTCCGTGCAGCTCCGATCGTCCCAGCGGCCAGTGAAGTGGGCTGAGGGGCTGTGCAGGACCACTGCACAGCTGGTCTGGGGGGAGGGAGCTGCTCAGGGGAGCCCCAGCAGCTGCCTCCCTGTGCTACTGTCCCCAGAAGGCTGCAATGTGAGCAAAGAGGCTGGAAGAAGGGAGACCCTGGGGCAAGAGATGCTGGGGCAAAGGCAGCCCCACAGGCTTAGGGCAGCGCGGTGCGGAGGGGAACAGGGAGGGCATCCTCACCGGTTTGTTGCCACTGGGAGCAGGGCTAGGGCCAGAGGGCTCCCCAGGTGCCCAGTTGGCATACATCAAAGGCTCCTGCTCCACCCACTGGAAGTCCCTCTGCGAGGCATGGAGGCCAATCCAAAGGTCAAAGGTCACATTGGGCAGGCTGGCTGTGATGAATGCTATGGTCCCCAGAAGACAGTTGTGAGTGACTCTGCTATAGCTATTTGGGGGGACAGTGTCAGAGGATACTGGGGGCTCCCCATAGGCTGGCCCTACCTTGCTCTAAGGGGTTTGTGATGGTGACCAGCTGGGCCTCTTGCTGTTCACAGGAGAACTGTGCCTCTGACCACTTCACCCGGCTCTGGGGTTCCTGGCCCTGGACCTGAAAACACTGTGGGGCAGAGGTGGGGATGTAATGGCCAGCCCCACCACCCCATCCACAAACCCAGAAAGGCCACTGTGCGCCCCTCAGCAGCAGGTCCTGGGGGGCCTTTGAGGGCCGGGAGAGAACAGTATCTGAGAACCAGGACAGCTGGGTCTGCTTGGCAGCCTCCAGCACCTCCCAGCTTGGCACTGCAGATTCACACACACCTGCCCACACTCCAGGGGATCTTCAAATGGGAGGATTTCTTTGGGCCGTCAAAGGCTATGACAACAGTGCCTAGGCCAAGCACTAGGAAGATGGGGACAAGGATCTATCTTGCTTTCTGCTAAACACCCTTCCGAATGTTGTCTGACATCCATTATCTTGCCCTTTGAACTTACATGATCATCTCTAGGACACTTTTTTTTTTTTCAAGACAGAGTCTCGCTCTGTCTCCCAGGCTGGAGTGCAGTGGCGCCATCTCGGCTCACTGCAAGCTCCACCTCCAGGGTTCACACCATTCTCCTGCCTCAGCCTCCCCAGTAGCTGGGACTGCAGGCGCCCACCACCATGCCCAGCTAATTTTTTGTATTTTTAGTAGAGACGGGGTTTCACCGCGCCCAGCCCTAGGACACTTTTATCTCTATTGTTGAATGATCTATTAGCAGCAGCTTCTAACTCTGTAATTTTACATTTCTCTTTTCCCACTTTCATTAGCTCTATAAGGTTTCCAAACAAACAAACAAACAAAAGCCCTGGGTAGGAAATCTCTCATCAAGTGAAGACTCTTTCTTAGGAAAATGAATATCTAATGATTTTCTGCTCAGAGGCAGTGTGATGGAAAATAAAGGGTGTTGGCCAGGCACGGTGGCTCACACCTGTAATCCCAGCACTTTGGGAGGCCAAGGCGGGTGGATCACCTGAGGTCTGGAGTTCGAGACCAGCCTGACCAACATGGAGAAACCCCATCTCTACTAAAAATATAAAATTAGCCAGGCGTGGTGGCACATGCCTGTAATCCCAGCTACTTGGGAGGCTGAGGCAGGAGAATCGCTTGAACCCAGGAGGCGGAGGTTGCAGTGAGCTGAGATCACGCCATTACACTCCAGCCTGGGCAACAAGAGCGAAACTCTGTCTCAAAAGAAAAAAAAAGAAAGGGTGTAGGGAAGCTTTGGAGTCATAAAGACAGGGGTGGGATTCAGGTAAGGGGGAGATGTCAGATTCCAGCTCTGACAACCTTATGGCCTCAATTTACTCTTCTGTAAAGTGGTAATACAAAGCCTGTCTTTGGGGATCATTTTAAGGATTAAAGATAACAGTACATGACACAGTAGGCACTTAACCAGTGAGAGCTGTGACTATTAATAATTAGCTCCAGCACCATCCTTACTGATGCAGATGGCAGATTTGGGGTAAAAAATTGTAAGCCCAGAAATAATGCAGATTTTTGGAGGTCTGTCACAAAGTTCAAGGATTTGGTTTCACAGAAGTAGTTTCAGAGCCATGCTGAGGCCCAACTTAAATCATGAGTAGAATTCATCATAAACTTGGAAGCAGCAAGGTCACACCAGTACCAGCAAGAAGTGACAGCTAAAGGGGGAGGGTATTCAGCTCAGTCCAGCCGACACTGAGGGCATCCCTGCCATGTGCAAGTGTATTAAGGGGTATGGCAGGTGCTAGTGGCCCTGCCCTCCAGGAGCTTAAAGCTAGTGGAAGAGGCTGTCCCACAAACCAGGGGTCCCCGGCCTCTTAGGAGGTGAGCAGCGGGGCGAAGGGGCATTACAGCCTGAGCTCCACCTCCTGTTGGATCAGCAGGGCATTAGATTCTTTGTTGTTGTTGTTGTTGTTGTTGTTGTTGTTGTTGAGATGGAGTCTTGCTTTGTTGCCCAGGCTGGAGTGCAATGGCGCAATCTCAGCTCACTGCAACCTCCGCCTCCCAGGTTCAAGCTATTCTCCTGCCTCAGCCTCCCGAGTAGCTGGGATTACAGGCGCCCACCACCACACCTGGCTAATTTTTGTATTTTTAGTAGAGACAGGGTTTCACCATGTTGGCCAGGCTGGTTTCAAACTCCTGACCTCAGGTAATCTGCCCACCTAGGCCTCCCAAAGTGCTGGGATTATAGGCTGAGCCACCGCGCCCAGCCAAGATTCTCATAGGAGTGCGAACCCTACCGTGAATTGCACATGCAAGGGATCTAGGTTGCGTGCTCCTTATGAGAATCTAATGCCTGATGATCTGAGGTGGAACAGTTTCATCCCAAAACCATCCCTCCCCTCCCCTAGTACATGGAAAAATTGTCTTCCAAGAAACCAGTCCCTGGTGCCAAAAAGGTTGGGGACAGCTGCCATAAATGCTTTACCTACATCCAAATGCTATAGGGACACAAAGAAGGGCACAGAACTAGTAAAGCAAGATGTGTGAGGGCAGGCAGTGAAGGAGTGAACACCCTAGCATACTTCCAGAGCTTTCCACAGGCCAGGCACAGTGGCGCACACCTGTAATCCCTGCCCTTTGGAAGGCCAAGGCAGGAGGATCGCTTGAGCCCAGAAGTTCAAAACCAGCCTGGACAACATGGCAAAACCCCATTTCTACAAAAAAAATAGAAAAATTAGCTGGGCATGGTGGCATAAGCCTGTAGTGCCAGCTACTCAGGAGGCTGAGGCAGGAGGATCACTTAAGCCTAGGAGGTCGAGGCTGCAGTAAGTAAGCCATGATGGTACCACCATACTCCAGCAGTTTTTGAGACAGAGCAAGACCCTGTCTCAAAAACAAAAACAAACAGAACTTTCCACAGGGCAGGAGAGTAACTGGTATCTTGACAATGATGATTAAGAATGGGACCTATTACATATATAAAATACATTCTGTTTAAAAAGTGGATGGAAAAAGAACAAGTTTTTGGAAAAACTTTATAACATGAGAGATGCTCAAAATATGATACAGAGAAAGAAGAGTTGGGTAGGAAATTATATTATTTAGTATGAGCTCAATTCCATGGAAAAAGGCAGGAAGGAGAATAACAAATATTGATAGCTGTGATCTCTAGAGAGTGTTGGGTGAGTTTTGGTTTCTCTTCTGTATTTTCCAAAGTTTTAATAATATACATGCCTTAATTTTTTAAGGTAGAAGAGGTGTAATTTTTTTTTTGTGTGGTTTTTGTTTTGTTTTGTTTTGAGAGAGAGTCTCAATCTCTCGCCCAGGCTGGAGTGCAGTGGCTCGATCTCAGCTCACTGCAACCTCTGCCTCCCAGGTTCAAGCGATTCTGCTGCCTCAGCCTCCCGAGTAGGTGAGATTACAGGCGTCCACCACCATGCCCAGATAATTTTTTGTATTTTTAGTAGAGACAGGGTTTTGCGATGTTGCCCTGGTTGGTCTCAAACTCCTGATCTCAGGTGATCCACCCGCCTCGGCCTCCCAAAGTGCTGGGATTACAGGCATGAGCCACAGCGCCTGGCCGTGTAATGTTCTTTTGAATATTCTGAGGAGGGCAGGAGATCCATGACACTAAGAGGCTGGCTGCCTTCCTGTGTATGACAAGGATTTGTGGATTATATTATTCAGTGTTAACTAATCTAATCTTCACAACAGGGCTAAGTGTTCTTAAAATGTCCTGCAAAGAAGCCATGGCTTGAGATTAATGCCAATTACCCTGGCACATAACAAGGAAAATGACAACCTTCTCTTCCTGGTATGAACTCGTTGTCAATCGCCAGGTAAAAACAATGAAGGACTAATCAGGTCTAATAAATCAGCCTGTGCATGGAAAAATAACGACTGTGGGGAAGAAACTCACACTATGGAGGGGGTGTTGTAAAAACGTGTTGAGAAATGCATCCATAGTGATTAATGTCAGTGCCCCAAACTTTCCTACCTGCACACTCAAAACACTTGGAAAAAGAATTTTCTAGATAGGGTCTTGCTACATTGCCCAGGCTGGTCTCGAACTCCTGGCTTCAAGTGATCCTCCCAGTGCTCAGCGTCCCAGCCTACTAGCCAATTTTTAAACAAAAATGTTTGTTTAATTGGTAGAAGGACTAAAAATGGGGAGAATTATTTAGAAATGATGGATGAACTTTTTTCACTTCAATCTATTTGTCTTTGTGAGGCATATTTAATCTATAGCCACCATGAAATGCATGTTTTGAAATAACTTTGATTTTCAACACGTTAGACCTGTGAGTCATGAGTCATAAAGTGTCAGACTAAAATTTTTTAAAAACGTGAAGTACATGTAATCACATTGCTCTTATTAAAATTATTTAGACAATTTTTTTGTTGAACAACCTTCAACTTTCATGAACTACGCAAAATATGGACCCTTCAGGAATTTGCATAGCATCCTTGTGCAGGGCCATGCTAATCTTCTCTGTATTGTTTCACTTTTTGTACATGTGCTGCCAAAGTGAGCATATTAAACAATAATTATTATAATTGATCTTTTTTTTTTTTGGAGAAAGGGTCTCACTCCATTACCCAGGGTGGTATACAGTGGCATGACCATGGCTCATTGAAGCCTCTACCTCCTGGGTTCAGGAGATCCTCCCACTTCCCACCTCCTGGGTAGCTGGAACTACAAGTGTGCACCATCACACCTGGTTAATTTTCCTATTTTTTGTAGAGACATGGTCTCTCCATGTTGTCCAGACTGGTCTCGAACTCCTGGGCTCAAGTCATCCTCCTGCCTCAGCCTCCCAAAGTGCTGGGATTACAGGTGTGAGCCACCTCTCCCAGCCAATTAATCACTTTTGAGTGAGCACAAAAAAATGTTTTCATACCACTAGTAAAAAAAAAAAAAAAAAAAAAAGGTGTTTTTTTTGTTGTTTTTTTTTTCTTTGTTTATTTTTTTGAGACGGAGTTTCGCTTTTGTTGCCCAGGCTGGAGTGCAATGGCACGATCTTGACTCACCGCAACTTCCGCCTCCAGGATTCAAGCAATTCTCCTGCCTCATCCTCCCGAGTAGCTGGGATTACAGGCATGTGCCACCACACTCAGCTAATTTTGTATTTTTAGTAGAGATGGGGTTTCTCCATGTTGGTCAGGCTGGTCTCGAACTCCTAATCTCAGGTGATTCACCCGCCTCAGCCTCCCAAAGGGCTGGGATTACAGGCATGACCCACCACGCGCAGCCAAAAAAATGTTTTAAACTTAAAAGTATTTAAAAATCTTTAGCTAATGTTTTATACTCTTTTGTTCTTATACATATTTTACTATATATAATATTAGTCATATTAGTATGGAAGTAGGTTTTATTTACACACACATATACATATATAAGTTAAATGTACACACACATAGTTTGGTCATGTAAGCTCAATATTTTGTTTTACTAATAGGAGTTCATTATCAAAATCTTTGATAATCAGGCCGGCAATCAGGCCGGGCGCGGTGGCTCACATCTGTAATCCCAGCACTTTGGGAGGCCAAGGCAGGTGATCACCTGAGTTCAGGGGTTCGAGACTAGCCTGGCCAACATGGTGAAACCCCATCTCTACTAAAAATACAAAAATTAGCCAGGGGTGGTGGCAGGTGCCTGTAATCCCAGCTACTCGGGAGGCTGAGGCAAGAGAATTGGTTGAACCCAGGAAGCAGAGGTTGCAGTGAGCCGAGATCGCGCCACTGCACTCCAGCCTGGGTGACAAGAGTGAAACTCCTTCTCAAAAAAAAAAAAAAAAAATCTTTGGCAATCACTGATCTAGAACACTCACCAAATTATTTGGACAACCTTGCTTCCCGGAGGATTGGAAGGTGCTACTACAGTGAGTCATTTTCCAAGGAGTCTGGCCCTGGTACTGGAGCCAGGTGAAAGAGAAGTTGGTGGGTACAGGCAAGAGGCCATGAGTTTGGTGCTGCCAAAAGGCCAGGACTCCTGAGGCTCAGCCTTTCCCTGTTCACGTCCTCTCCCCTGACTCCCTTGGGTGCCCCATTGCCACCTCCTACCTTGTTGAGGAACTGGATCCAGTCAGAGGGGCAGCCCCCCAGGGCTGTAGTTGGCAGGTCTGGGGGCTGCGTTTCTTTGGTGACGTTGCTGCGCTTGCAGATGTAGGGCAAGGCTGTCAGGCACCTCTGGTCCCCCCAGTCCTCTGCGGAAAGGGGAGGGGAGGGCAGTCACCCCCAGGGCAGAGCAGGGCAGGGCATGGCTGGCAGCACACTCAGCCTCATGCCCTGAGAGGAGTCTGGGCAGAGGCTCAGGGCCTGTGTCCAGCTCCGAATTCAAGTCTTCTGGACCATGGAGACAGGTCCACCCCTCGCTGAGTCTAGCCTTTATTGGGTTGTGGGAACAAAGAGAATGAGAACAGACTGATGACTTCTGCCCAGGCTCGCCCAGCATTAACCCTTTGCACAGCTGACTGCGCACTCTGCCCCCACCTTGCCCTCACCTCGGCTGGCTGTCATGTACACGCACTTCTTGTCCTTGCCGACAGGCCGAGGTTTGCCTGGTGCCCAGGAGATGAAGTTTATAATGGAACCATCTGTCCATCTGCAATGGCATGGAGCAGAGGTAACTCCAGCACCGGCCCCCAGCTGGGCCTCCACCGGATGCAGCAATGAAGGCCGCAGGAATGGGGGCAGGGAAGGGCCCAGGTTCTGGGGTTTAGTGGCTGTAGGCTGAGGGGTGGAGCTACTGAGCTCAGGGCAGTCAAAGACCCAAGGACCTGGTGCCTCTAGATAAGGCCCCAGCTGTCCCTGGACACTTGCTGCTCCAGAAAAGAAGCCTGAGGACTCCAGGGCAGGAAGCCCAAGGGCAAAAAGACAAGCTCAAATTCTGAGTCCCAGGTGCTCCTGGTCCTTCCTGCCTCAAGCCCCCCAGTACATGGTAAGTAGGCACCAAATACAAAGAGGCCCCCGGATCATCATATGTTCTGCCCACTTCCCCGAGAGGGCCTTAGTCATGATGAATGACACCAGACGTAACAGGAGCTGCCATTATTTAGTAACTAATGTGCTGGATGCTGCGTAAGCACTTCGCATATGTTATTTCTAATCTTCACAAAAATCTTACCAGGCAGGCCTCATATTCCCATTTTCAGATGAGAAAACCAAGGCCCAGAAAGGTTAAGTATCTTGCTCAAGGCCACACAGCCAGCAAGGAAGGGGCAGGGCTGGATTCAAATGCAAGTCTGCCTCTGTGCTCCGTGTGTGGACAGCCAGCCCCCTTCCACATCTGCTGCCTGCCTGGGTTCCTACCTGAAGCGCCCATCGCTCTCAGAGGTGTGCAGGCCGATCCACCAGTGCTGCTCCTGGGCCCGGGAGAACTGGAGAAGCCAGGCGGGCAGGTGTGGGTAGGCAGCCCCCTGCCCTCATCCCGGGCCTGCCCTCCCCCAGCCTGCAGCCCCCTGCTCAATCCAATGCCCACCTTCTGCAAGTTGTGGCTCAGGAAGTCTAGCTCCGCCTGGCTGTGCACCGAGGTCAGCTCGGCCTGGAACCACGTGCAGATGCGCTGCGCCTGCGCCCACGTGGAGTGGTGCTCAAAGAACTTGTACTCGGCCTCCTGGAAGCGCAGCCATTCCCGTCGGCCTGCAGGAGCAGCGCGGGCGTGGGAGCGGCGGCCAGGCAGAGGCTGCACGCCAGGCCCCGGAGGCGGGCGCGGCAGGGCCGGGGCAGAGCCAGGCGGCAGCAGGCGAGCCTGCAGGCACACCGGACCCAGGCAGGCACCGTGCCAGGCCCCAGGCCCCAGGCTTGCCTCGCCTCCCACACGGAAGCAAACAGGGCTGTGGCTGCCTCCGTCCGAGCCAACCCCGTCCCCCTTCTCTCGACCGGAACTCCTCATCCCCTCCATTTCATTCAGGCCTCTCGGGACTTACCCCAGAGTTGACGCCCTCTCCCACGCGATGGGTAGCGGGATGGGCTGGGGGGTGCTCACCTTGAGGGCTGTCGTCGGGCTCCCGCACGTCCGTACCTAGGGGAACAAGGACAAAGACGTTGTGAGGAAAGGAGACCCTCCCTGGAATTCCTGGCCCCGCCACCCTTCGCTCCATCCCGCGTCCCCCAGCGCCACTCCGGCCAACCTCTGGGGATCTTGCAGATCCAGTCCAGCTGTGTGTCGCACTGCATGGCCACCCACTGCAGGGAGGCCAGGTCCAGCACCGCACAGCCTCGGATGTCGTCGTCGTCGTGCCGGCTCCGGTCGAAATTGTGGTAAGAGAACTGGAGGAGGCGGGTGGAGGGAAGAGGAACGTGAGGCGCAAGGTGCAGGCCGCCCCCATGCCCGGAACAGGTGAACAAGAGGCCTGGCCTGAGCTGCGAATTCTCACCGGGGGCCGGGTGACCCCTCTCGGACCTGCTTTCCTGAAGCCGGCTCCGACTGGGGGCCCGGCCCTCAAGAAAACCCGCCCACCTCCAGGCCCCGCCCCAAACAGGCCCCGCCCACCAAGCTCCCGGCCTCGCAGTCCCAAGTACCCCAGGCCCCCTCACCCCTACGCCGTCGCTCCAGCGCCAACTCTGACCCCCTCTGGGATCCCGACGGTTCAGGCCGATCCAGAACCAGTGCTGCTCGTGGATCTCGGGTTCTGATTCACTTCAGCACAACCCAGGAGTGGGGACGGAAGAGATGGGAAGTGAGAGGGGCAGGAACCCAAACGTGCCCCCTGTCCCTTGCAGCTGTGACCGGGGCAGCCCCCAGGGCCTGGGGCCTCTCCATCTGGGCTTCACATTGACCCATCGATACAGCGTTGAGGTCACTTCGGTAAAGTTCTCCCCACAAGACAGAGCTGGGGAGAGCTGGACCAAGCCATCCACTCAAGGGGCAGTGGCCCCTCCCCTTTGTTTGGGTTCCTTTTGGGTGGGGGTGCCCTGTCCAGCAAGATTCTGCAGGCTTTTACTTTACGGAGTTTAGGAAGTTCAGATGAGGAGGTGGCAGGGATCTACGGCTCTGGAGTTAAATAAACCTGGATTCAAGTATCCGTTCACCCATGAACTTGGGCAAATAACCTCTCTATCAACCCACAAGGGTCAGGGGTTAACGTCTGCTCCATAGGGTTGTCGGGAGGCTTGAGTGAGGACTATATGTTTAGCACAGTGCCTGGTACGTGGTGAGAAGTGATGACCATGAGCTATTGTAATTATGAGACAAATAATGTAATTTCAATGTTTGCTGAGAGGAGAGATCCCTTCAATTAAGCTATCAGGAAGCCCAGATCCATCTCGATTTTCCCAGTGCTAGGGGATTCCACGTGCTAATGCTCAGAGCCCAGGACAGAGGTGGTGTCTCAGAGGGAGGCCCATGGGCAAATCCTCATAGCTGCGGCCTTTCTCCTCCTATCTCTCAGGAAAAACTGTGGATTGAGGAGTGTGGGTCATTGTAGGATGGTGTAAGGTGAGGGGAAACACTTGCCAGGACCAGCATGTGGGAGATTTTGCAATGGGGTGGGGGGTACATATGTAAGTTTGTGGGTCTGTTGGAGCATTGCTGGGGGGATGATGGTGAGCAAAACACAGTCTCCTATGAGTGCATGGATCACACCAGCCTGTTCTCCCAAGATGCCAGGGCACCATGGCTACTTGAGTGAGGACAAGATGGTCCTGGCACCAGCAGCAGATGCAGGCCTCCCTGGGGTCACCCACATTCTGCCATCCCCCTGCTCGCCCAACAAAACCAAGGGTCTGTCGGCCATGCCTGCTCCTACACGTGTGCGGGTGCCCTCCTAACACGCCTCAGCCCGGCTCAGTACCCGAAGATCTTGTTGAGCATGTTGGCCACAAAGTGCTCCTCCTCGTAGCTGGCCAGGCTCAGCAGCTGGGCCCCCAGCTCCTGGCAGGCCCCCTGGGCCTGGACCCAGCTCTTCTTGTCCTGCAGCCGCTCTGAGCTGAACACCTGCAGGGGCAGAGTCCAGCTGTCTAAGCTGTCCCCACTGGCCCACCCCTCAGGGGGCACCTACTGCCTTTCCCACCATGGCAGAGGAGGGGCCTGGAGCCTTACTGGACAGGGGGCTAAGGCTAGCTAAGGACAATCCTGTTCATCTGCAGAGGTCTGGGGAGGGGAGCTGGCACAGTCACCTTCTGGAGAGGGCCCCTGAGCCCCATCCCCTGACCAGCAGGGAGATCTGGGCTCTAATCCCAGCAGAGCCACAGCTTAACGTGGGTAAGTCCCTTCTTCTCCCTAGACTTCAGTTTCTGTGCATAATAAAAGACCTCGGACTCTGCCAGTGGCTCCCAAACCTAGCGTGATTAAAAATACAGATTACCAGGCCCAATCCAGACCTAATGAATCTAAATCTCCATTGTGACAGCCTAGATTTTTATCTTTATTTATTTATTTATTTATTTTTGAGACGGAGTCTCGCTCTGTCACCCAGGCTGGCGTGCAGTGGCACGATCTCGGCTCACTGCAAGCTCCGCCTCCTGGGTTCATGCCATTCTCCTGCCTCAGCCTCCCGAGTAGCTGGGACAACAGGCGCCTGCCACCACACCTGGCTAATTTTTTGTATTTTAGTAGAGATGGGGTTTCACCATGTTAGCCAGGATGGTCTCGATCTCCTGACCTCGTGATCCACCCGCCTTGACCTCCCAAAGTGCTGGGATTACAGGTGTGAGCCACTGCGCCCGGCCAAGATTTTATTTTTATCAGGTTCCCCAAGCAATTCTGAAGAACAGCTAGGCTGGCCCCAACATTTGGGAACCTCTGAAATCAATGATCTGTGGTTCCCTCAATTCCTCAAATGATTACTGAGCACCAGGCCTCCAGATTCCATGGACAAGTCTCACCAGAAATCACCCGTCTGCAGCCTGGTGTGTCTCTGGATTGTGGCTGGTCCCACTGGGACCTCCATCCAAACTGTCTCTTTGCTCCTGTCCTCCCCCTGCCCCCTACCCGGCCAACAGGCTGCCCTACCTTATAGCAATACCGGAGTTTGGTGTCCGAGGCCCAGCCCTGGGGACAGGAGCCAGTGAGGCTGGGCGTGGGATCTGGCCCCGGCAGCTCCGGCGTCACTGGAGTGCCCAGGCTCTGCCGGCAGATGTAGCGGGCCCGGAACGAGGTACAGTTCTTCACCTCCCACAGCCCCATGGCGCTGCCAGTGGCCAGCGCCACGCAGCCCCCACGGCTGTACCCTGAAGGAGAGGGAAGGGAGACCCAGGCTCTGAGAAGGATTCATAGTCTGGTCCTCCCTCACATCCCGGCAGGGCACTAGCACGGCCCTCACACTGGGAACCAGCTTGGCCACCTCTTCAGAGACATGCTCTCTGGGGTTGGAGCCAGGAGGGAGGAAGGGAATGGAGGCAGAGCCCTGGCTCTGGGTTCACCCACTGTGAGGGCTCAGGCAAGCTGCTTAACCTCACCGAGCCTGCTTCATCATCTACCTCATCAGGTTATTGAAGGGGTTAGAAAGATAATGAATGTGAAATGGTAATAATAGTAATAACAAGCACTTGTATTGCGCTCAGTATTCTGAACACATTTTTTAAATGAGTCCAGATAGAGAAGAGATTATTTGTTTCTTTTTTGTGAGCCCAGATAGAGAAGTAATCTAGACACTTTACACACATTAACTCTTTACACATATTAGCACTTTACACATATTTAAGACTCATGTCATCCCTATGAGGAAAGGATCATTATTCCCACTGGACAGATGAGAAAACTGAGGCTCAGAGGATGCACAGCTAAAAGATGGCAGAGTCATGATCGGAGCCAGGCAGTTTGGTTTCAGAGCTTGTGCTCATAGACACTACACCACAGTGCACCAATGATCTGTTTATGGGGAAGCCCTGGGGCTCGGTGCTGGCAGGGCCAGTCCACCCTGGCCTCCCTCCTCGCTTCACCAAGGCAAGTCAAATAAGGGGCTCACCGGGCTGGTCCCGGTTCCAGTGGGTGTACATGACTTCATCCCCACTGAGCCAGAAGAAGGAGCCGGTGCTGTTGAGGTCCTGCAGGGCCGTCCAGAAGTACTCGCCCTCCCAGTTGTAGATGAGGCTGCTGACGAAGGCCTGCTCGAACCTTCAGGAGACAGGCTGGTCAGGGCAGGGATCTCCCTGCTTCCCAATCCCCCAGTCACAGGCCAGACGCCCTACCGTGGGAGCTCGGGTGCTGCACCCGACCAATAACTTGCTCAAGAAAGCAGGGACGCCTGGGAGCCCTGCAGCTGATTTATGGAACCCCCAGCTGCCCCTTCTATTCTCTGCACCCCTTGCTTTGCTGAGAAGAAAGTAGAGAAAATCAGACACAACCAAGGCCTCTCTTTCTCAAGTATCCAGCCCACACCTGTGCCTGCCCGGGCCCTGCCCTACACTGGGGTCACTTAACAAGTGAGAGTCATTCTTCTGACAAGATTTTAAAATGCCCTGGAGCCCACTGAGGTTCACAGGACTCCAGGTCCCTCTGGGCATGATGGCAGATGCTACCCTGTTTGCTGAAGGGACCACAATAGGCCCAGACATGGGCAAGGGCTAGTCAGGGCACCCGCCCCTGCTGTACCTGTTGGTGATGGTGACCAGCTGAGAGCCATGGTCAGTGCACAGGCGCCGGGCCTCACTGTAGGTCACTTGGTCTTCTCCCAGCCAGTAGCAGGATGGGCTGTGCCACGTCCAACCCTGGCTCAAGAGTGGACAGAAGAGGGGTGTCTGTAGGGAAGATGACTCTCCACCCTCACCCATAAATCCTGTGGTGGGAGATGCCATCAGGGACATCACTGAACGTGCTCAGGACGGAGGGGACTGGTTTGAGTACTGGGCTGTGTTCTGCACCTCGTTTCTCCACATTCCCCCTCCACCATCACCCACAGCTGTGGAAGCTGGGGTGGAGGCCCAGCCCCAGCGTGGCTGATTGGCAGGCCACCAGCGACCGGCCAGTGACCCGGCTCGGGAAGATGAATGGCCCTTCAGGCTCCTCTCTTGGGCATTTAAACCAAGAGACACAGTGGGGAAATTACTGTTGGCTGGGAAACCACAGCTAAAGGCTGGGGAGAGCTGCCAGGATGGAGAGGGGATGGGCAGTCCTCGAGGGCCTGGCAAAGCTGGAGTCGGCGCAGGATGCTCCTGGCCCGGGGATGGCAGGAGGGGCTCAGAGACGAGACCCTGGCAGGCGAGGCTGGCAGGAGCCAAGGCAGAAGAGAAGCAGATGTGGTATGTGTGGTGGGGGCCTCATCTGCTGGCAGGGGCTGTGCCAAGACCCCTGGTGATCCTGGGCTGTTAACCATGGACCCTCAACACTCCCCACACAAATTCCAGGCTGGCCTTGGTGCCAGAGAAGTTGGTAATTCCTCTCTACTCCTCCCTTCACCTCTTCGCAGCCATGACACAGCCCCTGGGCCAGGCACTGTCCTTGCCAGTCCACAGACTCCGCAGCTGGGCTCTGCTCTCCCCTCTGCTTCCTCGCCCATGGGGCCATGCCTGTTAGTGTTTCCTGCTCATTTTCTGGGGGAGGCTTTGGGGTCCAGGTGGGTGTGGTAGGGGCTTAATCCAAAGGAAAACAGAGTGAGGAGCCAGCCTGGCTGCAAGGGGCTGCTGGGGGGGGCCAAGGGCCAAGCAGTGTCTTTTAGAAGCAAGCTCCCCGCACCCATCACAGCATTTGCACCCCTGCTCCACTCCCTGGAGGAGGAGAGGGTCTGTCACCCCCTCACACCCTCAGTCACTCACCCCCCACTCACTTACACAGCTTTCATTCCTTGACACCCCCCCCCTCAACCTCCCTAAACATCCTCTAGAAGCCCACTGGGGCTGGGAACACAAGGAGGGGGAAGGTGCAGCCCCACCCTGAGTGGCCTCACTCCTCCAGGGGAGACAGACCAGCACACGCCCTGTGTCAGACGGCAGAGGAGGGGGAAGTCAGGACTGGCGGTGCACAGGGGCCACACTTCACTTCGGCAGCCACTGCTTGACATGACTAGGCTGGACTCTGAGGGGGCACTCGGGGGTAGACCAGCCCCCACCTCCCTGTTCTCTGCTGTCTCGAGGAAGTGGCTTCCCCCATGGGGAGGGACTCAGGACTGGGCTGGGGGTGGGGAGCTCTGCTTCCTCCCAACAGCGCCCACCCGTCCCATCCCATCCAGTATCACTCCTTCAATAAAGGAGCAGTTTGGAGAGCTCAGGGAAGGGGGTGCCGACGAGAGGGCGATGCCATGCGAGGCAGCAGGAGTTCATCCACCTCTCCCTCCCCTGGTAGCCCCTCTGACAGGTGGCCCCACTCAGGGCAGCTCCAGAAACACCCTCACCTTCCGGCAGCCATGGTCCTCCTCGGCGGCCCCCTGGCTCAGCTGGCCTGCCTTCTTGCAGATGGATGGCAAGGACTGGTTACAGGGACTGTCGTTCCAGCGGCCTTCCTACGGACACAGGGTGAGGAAGAATCTCAACCCCCACCTCCCCATAAATCTCCCAAATCCTTCTTGGAATCTGGTTCCTAGAGCTGGCCCTGTCTCTGACTTACTGTGTGATTCTGACATGTCTGTGTCCCAGCTGTGCAATGGGGAAGGCGGGATGAACCCATAAGCCTCACAGGGTGGATGAGAGCACAAGCAGTTCATGTGCAAACGCCTTGAAACTTAACAAGCATTGTCTAAATGGGAAAGGCATCCTGGCCCGGCGCGGTGGCTCATGCCTGTAATCCCAGCATTTTGGGAGGCCGAGGTGGGCGGATCACTTGAGGTCAAGAGTTCAAGACCAGCCTGGCCAACATGGTGAAACCCCATCTCTACTGAAAATACAAAAAGTTAGCCGGTTGTGGTGGTGCATGCCTGTAATCCCAGCTATTTGGGAGGCTCAGGCAGAAGAATCGCTTGAACCTGGGAGGCAGAGGTTCCAGTGAGCCAAGATCGTGCCATTGCACTCCAGCCTGGGCGACAGGGTGAAACTCCATCTCAAAAAAAAAAAAAAAAAAAGGAAAGGCGTCCTTTTACATTATTGATAACTCGTTTTATAAATATCAAAAACAAACTGGCTAAGATTGTTAGAGTAACTGATGGCAGGATAGACAGCTTGGATTCCCAAGGCGTCTAGCTAGTGCCTGCAGGGCCAGAGTGTGCAGAGGCCAGTGTGCCCAGACCAGAATCTCAGCTGATGAAGCTGAGGAGGAATTTAGTCCTCGGCCCCTGCTTCTGTCTTCGCCCTCCCCAGTATCCACAGGCCCCCAGCCAGCAGTATGTCTGTCTCTAAGCTCCATTCTGAGGGCAGGCGTGTTTGTGTATCCTAGCACCCAGAAAAATGACTGGCACATGGTAGATACTCAATACATAATTGTTTTAAAATTCTTAAATAGCATCCCCTAAGGCAAATGACTGCCACTACAGTCCACAGCACTGTTTGCAGTATGTGACAGCAGAACATCCTGTCTGTCCCTAGGAAGGGTGGTCTGTGTCCCTACGGCTTTCTCCTTTTTATTTTATTTTTTTTTTTTTGAGACAGGGTCTTGCTCTGTCACCCAGGCTGGAGTGCAGTGGTGCAATCTCAGCTCACTGCAGCCTCTGCCTTCCAGGTTCAAGCGATTCTCTTGCCTCAGCCTCTGGAGTAGCTGGGATTACAGGCATCTGCCACCACGCCTGGCTAATTTTTGTATTTTTAGTAGAGATGGGGTTTCACCATGTTGGCCAGGCTGGTCTCGAACTCCTCACCTCAAGTGATCCGCCTGCCTCAGCCTCCCAATGTGCTGGGATTATAGGCATGAGCCACCACACTCAGCTGGCTTTGTCCCTTTTTTAAGGGTCTTTCATCTCTGCTTGAAGCCCTCCATCAATTCCTTCACTTACACCACATCTAAGCCCAAACCATGGCAAATTGTCATAAAACCCAACAATCTCTTGAGATGACAGGACCCTGGACTGGGTAGAGCACTGGGGGCGAGGGCTGGCAGAGTGCAGCCCTGCTTGCAAAGTATCTGCACATAATGTGGGTTCTGATGCCACCTTCTGGCAGGGAAGGGCAGCTGGGAGGAGACCAAGAATGCGCCAGGCACTGTGCCTAAGGTTTCACGAGAATTAACTCCTCTGATCTCCCCAGTGACCCTCTAGTAACTTGCCCAAGGTGACTTGGCTACTTGGAGGTGGAGGTGGAGGTAGGATTCAAGCCCCGGCAGTCTCTCACATGGAAGGGAAGGCATTGGTGGGGAGGAGGGGGACTGCTGAGAGGTAAGAGGTTCCAGGCAGGTTCTGATAGTAACTAGGATGTCCTTCAGCTGGGGTGGCACCTGGAGGTTGGGGGTGTATTTTGTGGCCCTGTGATAGGGAGAGGGAGATCTCACCGGGCCCCAGATGGTGACACAGTCCTCCAGACTGTCCCGGAAGTTGTTGGGCTCAAAGGGGTGCCAGTGGGTGAAGCTCACAAGGCTCCCGTCAGACCACTCAAAATTCATCTGCAGTTTCAAATCGTTGAGGCCGATCCACAGCTCCTCCACCTCTGGGGGTGCAGCAGGAGAGGAGGGGAGAGAAAACATTGAGAGGTCAGCCTCAGCCACCAGTAGGGAGGAAGGAACATTCTCTGAGGCTCCTGGACAGGATGGGTGGGGCAGTGGGAGGCCCTGCCCTCCACCCAGACACGTGGGCGGGCAGCTCCTCACCTTGCTTGATCTGCTTGGTGATGAATTCCAGCTCCGCCATGCTGTGGATGCTGACCAGGTCGCCACCGCCCCGTAGACATGCCTTCTTGGACTCCTGCCAGCTGCGCTTCTCGGCCTGCAGGCGGTAGCAGTGGCCCTGGAAGGGCTGCCAGCTCGGCTCGCACTCCACCTTCACATTGGCCCACCTGTCTGCAGAGACCCATGAGGCTGCTGCTCAGGGACTGAGCCGCCCAGTCTGGGAACCAACCCACTGGGTTGACGTCAACACAGGCGAGGCCTCCCAGTCACCTCCTCTCCAAACTCTCCCAGATCAATCCCGGTCCCCACCACAGGTCTTGGAAATGCTAAAAAAACACAAAACTTTACAGGGCTGCTGGAGCCCCGGGACAGAGACCCAAGTCGTGGTGGCAGATTCCACCCAGGACAGAACACTTCCTCTGGCTGTGGCTCTCAGAATACGATGGGTGGGCCAGGCATGGTGGCTCAGGCCTGTAATCCCAGCACTTTGGAAGGCTAAGGCTGGAGGATTGCTTGAGCCCAGTAGTTCAAGAACAGACTGGGCAACAAAGGGGAGACCCCATCTCTATAAAAAATAAAAAATTAGCCAGGCATGGTGATGTGCGCCTGTGGTCCCGCTACTCAGGAGGCTGAGGTGGGAGGATCACTTGACCCGGGGAGGTCAAGGCTGCAGTGAGCCATGATTGCACCACTAAACTCCAGCCTGGGCGACACAGCAAGACCTTATCTCAATCAATGCATCAATCAATCAGTCAATAAACGATGGGTAGAAAGGACAAACCAGCCCCATGAACCTCAGTTTCTCCCTCTGTAAATGGGGTTTCCTGCTATGAGATTCAAGCTTGGCTTATGGCCCCCTGCCTAGTAAATGGAATCACTGTTATTCTCTCAAATAACATTTATTGAGCACCCACTCTGTGCAGGTCTGGGAAGCCCAGGAGGGAGAAAACTGGGAAACGGGACCTTGAGCCACTAATGGGGCCCAGGCAAGCCCACCAGGAATCTGAGGTCTTGGTGGACGGGCAACCGAGAACATTAGGAGGTGCTCAAAGTCACTACAGATCGGCCCCATCCCCCAGCTGGGACTCCTTCCCCGCTCCTAACTCCTAACCCTGAACCCCAGGGCTGAGAAATCCACCCGTCCCAGGCCCTCCCTTGCCCCGATTTCCATGCCTTTCAGGTTCACCTTCTAGGGGTTGGGATCCGAGGGCAGCTGAGGCAAACAAGCCCTTACTTGGTCTTGGCAAGAGAAAACAGGACTTCACCAAACCACCCACAGTGTCATGCTCGGGCAGGATTCTGCCTAGTCGGGCAGGAAACTGCGCGCCCACTAGAACACGGCCTCAGACTGGGATTCCAGTGGTCCAGCCACACCTGCTCCTGGAGACCCGGCAAAGCTGGGCGGACTGAGAGCCCGGTGGGCTCGCTCTCTGGCTCAGGACCTGTCAATCATCTCTTGTTAGCCAATGAGCTAAGACCTGAGGCTGCCGCCCCAGACAAGCGGATTTTAGTGGCTGCTGAGACCCGAGGGGCCTCAAGGACCGGAAGGGAGCTTGGGAAATGTGGATGCTTTGGGGACACGACGGGGCGCCTGCCTTCGAAATGACAGGACTTAAGTGATGAGACCGGGAAAGCAGAACCTGCCTAGAATATGCCTCGTGCAGAGAGATATGGGCTGGGCAGAGGGGCGGAAATCCGAGGCCTTACATCTGTCTGCAGGTCCGGGAAGACCCAGAGGACAGAGGACTTGGTAAGGGGCCACAGATAGGCTAGGCATGCCCACACCCGGGCCTCCCAGCGGGCCCCTTCCTTCAGAAAGGTGCTTGTGGGAGGACTGGACTAGGGCCCAAGGCTCCCTCCAGCTAGAGGTGGAGGTGCCCTAGATCGGGTTGCTGACGTTTCAAGCTTCTGCTCCTGGCCCCTTACGGAATGGGAGATAAAGCAGTGGTCAGCAGTCCTGAATCAGGCCAGAGCCGTGGCTCACGCCTGTAATTCCAGCACTTTGGGAGGCCGAGGCGGGTGAATCACTTGAAGACAGGAGTTCGAGACCAGCCTGGGCAACATGGTGAAACCCCATCTCTAAAAATACAAAAAAATTAGCCGGGCGTGGTGGCACACTCATGCCTATAATCCCAGCTACTCGGGAGGCTGGAGCATGAGAATCGCTTGAACCTGGAGATGAGAATCGCTTGAACCTGGGAGGCGGAGGTTGCAGTGAGTGGAGATTGTGCCACTGCACTCCAGCCTGGGCGACAGAGCGAGACTCTGTTTCAAAAAATAAATAAATAAAAATAAAAATAAAAAGGCGGGGTGCGGTGGCTCACGCCTGTAATCCCAGCACTTTGGGAGGCCGAGGTGGGCAGATCACCTGAGGTCAGGAGTTCAAGACCAGCCTGGCCAACATGGTGAAACCCCGTCTCTACTAAAAATACAAAAGTTAGCCGGGAAGTAGTGATGCCCGCCTGTAATCCCAGCTACTCAGGAGGCTGAGGCACGAGAATCTCTTGAGCCTAGGAGGCAGAGGTTGTGGTGAGCCAAGATCGCACCACTACACTCCAGCCTGGGTGACAGAGTGAGACCCTGTCTCAAACAAACAAACAAAAAAACCAGTCCTGAGTCGATCATTGGCAAGACTTCCATGGTCAGGAGCAGAAGTTTTGCTCTGTAAACTCTTTACTGTCTGTAGTTAGTGTTGTGTGTGTGTGTGTGTGTGTGTGTGTGTGTGTGTGTGTGTTGCCATATTTTCTTTGTAAAAGTCTCCTCACCACCCCACAGCTTCGCAGGAAACTGCACAGCCCCTCCAACCTACACCACAGTAAACATCCACAGCCAACTACAGAAAAACTCCTTCGTGCCAGGCCAGATCTCCAGCCTTCCTCACAACAACCTTGCAAGGGGGGTGGCTTCATTCTCCATTTGCAATGAGGACTCTGCACCCCAGAGACTAAGCTGCTTGCCCAGGGCCACACAGCAGTAAGGGGCAGAATCCCTAAAGCAGACCCTGTCCATTGCCCCAACTCCTCCACGAGGCCCCTAAAGCTGTCTCTATGATCACAAACGAGAACCAGACACTCCCTGGCTTAAACATCTTCAAAGGCTCCCCACAGCCTACCTGGCCCCACCCAAACTTGGCCCAGCAGCCAAGACCCTGCAGAGACTGGCTGCAACCTGCCTCTTCTTCACCATGCCCTTTAAGCCAGGGCTTCCCAAACTGTGTCTGCACATGAATCATCTGAGGATCTTGTTAAATGCAGGTTCTGATTCAATTACTCTGGGGCGGGCCTGACTGTGCATTTCTAACAAGCCCTCCGGGGATGCTGTGCTGCTGGTTGGATGACCATACTTGAAGTGGTTAGAATCTATACTCCACCCAAACTGCAACAGGCACCATCCATTTTTTTCTTTTTCTTTCTTTTTTCTTTTTTTTTTTAAATTTATTTATTTATTTATTTATTTATTTTTTGAGGCAGGGTCTCGTCTCGCTCTGTTGCCCAGGTTGGAGTGCAGTGGTGCAAGCGAGGCTCACTGCAGCCTCAACCTTGCAGGCTCAAGCAATCCTCCCACCTCGACCTCCCTAGTAGACAGGCGTGCATCACCACACTCAGCTAATTTTTTAAAAATATTTTGCAGAGACAGGGTCTCGCTATGTTGCCCAGGCTGGTCTTGAACTACTGAGCTCAAGCAATCCTCCTGCCTTGGCCTCCCAAAGTGCTGGGATTATAGGTGTGAGCCACGGTGCCCGGCCATCACTCACCACCCCTTAAAGCTGCAGTGTAGTTCTAGGCCTCCACACCTTTGCATATGCTCTTCCCTCTGCCAGGAATGCCCTTCCCCCACACCTCTTTATATCTTTTAAACTTAGACTCAATTTGAAAGGCCCAAATCAAATGTTATTTCCATAAACCCCTCCTTAACTCTCAGAAGCTGAATCAGTTTCTTCTCTATGCTCCTCTAACACTGATCCATATTTCTATAATCACTCATGACCTGGGATAGTCTAACTGCATTGAGATGTCTGTCACCTCCAGCAGACTGTGGTCTCTACGAGGTAACAGTGGGTATTGCCAGCATTTAACACAGATCTCAGCACATGTTCCCCAAATGAATTAATGACATATTCCAATTTGCTCAGACTTTAACTGAACAATGAAATAAGAGTCAGAGGATCCAGAGTCCCCTTGTGCTGTGGTGGTAACCGGAGGAGAGGCTGGGCCTGCCACGGCTCTGTGGCTGTGTCCCTGGCCCTGGGAGCCCCTCCCCACCCTGCGGCACAGTCCCTGGCTCACCTGGAGGGGTGGGCTCGGCCGTGGCGTTGGGCTTCTTCTTGCACACATAGGGCAGCGCGATGCTGCAGTCACGGTTCTGCCAGCCGCCCGAGGACTCAGTGCGGATCACTCCACAGTTCTCCTCACTGGGGTTGTCCGGCTGGTCTGTGGGGAGGGCAGGGCGCCAGCACCCCCGGAGAGAGAAGCTCACACCGTGGCTCCCGGGGCCCTGCTCAGAACCTCCTACCTCCCTCTGCTCCCTCGGAAGCCTGAGCCAGTTCGGGAAGCCTGGTGCTCAGCTCCAGCTCCGCCCCAGACCACGGGGTCCTCCGCGCTTTCTAACCTGGGTGCACGTCGCCTTGAACCTTCTACCCAGTAACCAGTACCAGCCCCGCCCCGGCCTCCCCGTCCAGGCTGCTGGGTGCGCTGGTGCCCGCTGCCCACAGGGGTGGCTGAAGAGGTGAGTGGAGGCTGGCACCCAGTCCATATGCACCAAGACCTTCGGCCTGGGGCAGCGCCGCCCTACATGGGCTAGGGGGGCGCAGTCTGGGGAGGGGGGTGGAGGTCGGTGCTTCCCCTACCCACACTGCCCCTCTGCAGGAGGACATGAGGAGAGGAGTCCATGGGAGGCCAAGAGCCCGCGGGGCCCCTATGCTGCCCTGCGCCCCCAACCTTGTGCCTCACCACTCTCCCAGTTGAGGTACTTGAGGGGCGAGTTGTCCGACCACTGCCAGCCTCCGCTCGTGTCCAAGTCATTCAAGCCGATCCACAGGGTGGAGCTGTACCCAGTGAGGAGGCCTGACAGCAAGGAGGGACACTGAACAGGGGATCCCCAGCCCCAGCCTCCCCCGCTCCCCATCGCCCTCTCCCCAACCCACAAGCGGAAAGGGCCCGGGCCCTCCAGAGGCACGAGCAGGCATCAGGCCCCGGCTCACCGTTGATGTAGGTCTGCTCGTGGATCTCCGTGATGCTCAGCAGATCCGCACCCTGCTGCTCGCAGCTGGCCCAGGCCTCCCTCCACGACAGCGTGGACTGGAAGTTAAACTGGTAGCAGCTGTCAGTCAGCTGGTCCTTGTCCCAGAAGGTCTCGCAGTCGTTACCTGCCACCACGACAGCCCTCTCCTTCAGGCCCCCTCCAGGGTCCCTCGGGAGTGCAGACCCTCCCCCACCAAAAGGCTACACTAGGTAGGGGAGGGGGCAGTATCTCACCCTGGGCCCCGGGGCCCCTCAGCACCAGCCTCCCTCCAGGAACACTGCCCCCGCCCCCACGGCTCCAACAGCTCTCACTCTTGATGGGGCAGAAGCCCCAGCGCTCGTCTTTGCCGTAGTCCTGGGTGGTGGCACACCACAGGTGACCATCCTCGCGGCCCGTGCTGGTGCAGCCGTGGAACCACTGGTTGTCATATTTGAAGGGGATGGTGCACGGCTTTCCGTGGGAGTTTCCCTGGATGGTGTAGACCTCTGCAGGGGGTGGACAGGGGCCAGGCCCTTGGCATCTGGACACCAGAGGCTGCCAAGCCCCTCGACCCTCAGGAGAAATCCCCTAAAACCCAGAGTGCTGGGTGTTCACAGGGATCAGCAGGTGGGAGAGGCAATGGCACCCCATAGTGGCTTTAAGGCTTCTTCTGCTGTTGAGTCAGCCCAGGAACCAGAGAGAGGTCTTGCTGCACACCTCATAGGGCTGGGAAGGGGCTCCCTAGTACCCCTAATCCCATCCAAACTCCAGCTGGGCAAGAGGGCCTCCAAGTCACCCACAGAGGGCTGAGCCCGGTGGAATCTCTGCTCAGCTACCCAGCCCATGGGCTCTGTGTCCCCACAAAGTTCTATCTCGGAACTCAGGGGGTCTCCCAGGAAAGGCCCCCCCAGGACGGGGCTGTCCACCACAAGAGGCCAGCCCCTCACATGGTGACTCTGGTCCCCATTCACCACATGCAAGACAGGCATTAAGACAACATGGGGGGCTACAATGGGGTTTCACCTGGAGAGTGGGCCTGGGGGAAGGGAATTTTCATTTAATTTTATGTTATATACTTGTATACTATTTGAAGACTTTACAAGCATGTATTTTGCAATTTTTACAAAAGTAAATTAAATGCTTTGAAGTTAATTTTTCTTTTTTCTTTTCTTTTCTTTTTTTTTTTGTGGGGGGGGGGACAGAGTCTTGCTCTGTCACCCAGGCTGCACAGTGCAGTGGCGCAATCTCAGCTCAGTGCAACCTCTGCCTCCTGGGTTCAAGCGATTCTCCTTCCTCAGCCTCCCAAGTAGCTGGGACTATGATGGGCATGCTCCACCACACCTGGCTAATTTTTGAATTTTTAGTAGAGATGGGGTTTTTCCATGTTGGCCAGGCTGGTCTTGAACTCCTGACCTCAAGTGATCCACCCACCTTGGCCTCCCAAAGTGCTGGGATTACAGGCGTGAGCCACCGCACCTGGCCTGAAGTTAATTTTCTTAATTATTAAAAAATGCTTCCTATTATAATTAAACATGTGACTGCCAAGGGTCCACAGAGGCCAAAGGCCTTGTCACTGGGAATCTGTCCCTCATGGCTCCAGTCCCCTGGACATCGGGGACCCCACCCTCCCGCCTGCAAGCGGCCCCTCACCGTGGTAGGGCAGAGCACATAGGTCCTCCTCGCTGCCGTAGATGCGCCACTGGCCACTGCGGGTCTGGTCACCACGCTCAAGGGTGCCAGGCTTGGATATGTTGCTGGTGCGGGCCCCCAGGAGCAAGGACAGCTGGTCACCCAGTGTACGACAATGCCAGCGAAGATTCAGTGCTTCCCGGTCACACTCATACATGCCCAGGGAGGCCGTGGTGTTGGTGCCTGGCCAGCCTGTGCCCAGGCACTGCATGGTACCCAGGTTGAATAGCCGGTTTCGGGAGACCCACTTCCAGCGCTGGGCAGGGAGGCTGGTATTGCAAGCCGGGGTGACTCTGACCTGCCCGCCCTGGGCCTCCAGGCAGCCCTGCAGTCCATGGCTGAAGATGAGGAAGACGTTGGGTTCTGGAAGGGAAGGCAAGACACGAAGGCATCACAGGGGCTCTCCTGGTTGGCCCTTGATGACCGGTGTGGCTGACAGGCACCTACCATGTGCCCAGTGCAGGATGGTGAGCCGTCACTCATACGTTAAATCACTCGGTACTCACTACCAACCCTCTGAGGTGGAAATGAGTGGCAGTGCTAAGCCCTTGTGCCCAGATGAGGCAGAGGCCTGCAGGACTACCTCTGTTCTAGCCCCTGCTCACCAGGAGGGAGGACTCAGTCCTCTGTACCACCCTCAAAAGCAAACCCAGGCCGGGCGCGGTGGCTCACGCCTGTAATCCCAGCACTTTGGGAGGCCGAGGCGGGCGGATCACGAGGTCAGGAGATCGAGACCATCCCGGCTAAAACGGTGAAACCCCGTCTCTACTAAAAATACAAAAAATTAGCCGGGCGTAGTGGCGGGCGCCTGTAGTCCCAGCTACTTGGGAGGCTGAGGCAGGAGAATGGCGTGAACCCGGGAGGCGGAGCTTGCAGTGAGCCGAGATCCCGCCACTGCACTCCAGCCTGGGCGACAGAGCGAGACTCCGTCTCAAAAAAAAAAAAAAAAAAAGCAAACCCAACTCCACCCGGCACATCACCTGTATACTTTTCTGAAGATTTTATGAGGAGGAGTGGAGGCATTTACACCACACACCACGTTGCAACCTCAATCTCAATCTCTATTACATGGCGTGGTTTTTCTGCCAAAATTCTCCTTTGATCCGGAGGCATTGTGTCTCACCCTTCCCCCTGCCCCTTGCACTGGTTCCATCCTTTCCTTCTTCTAGGATCTTCCCAGACCACTCATCCCACCCCTGAACTATTTCACGCCTTAATTTTTACGCAGCAATTTAATTCTTTGGCTTCCTCAACCTTTCCTCTTTCCACCTATCTCCTCGCTGAGCAGGCACCCTCTGTAGAAGTCACTGGGGGAAATCCAACCTGCCCCCCACCACAGCACACCCACTTTACAGAGTAAGAAATGAAGCTTCAATGCATAGAGACAGAAAGCAAATTAATGGTTGCCTGTGGGTGACGAGAAAGGGGAGTGGCTGCTAAAGGGCACGGTGCTTCTTTTGGGGATATGACGAAAATGTTCTAAAATTAGATTGTCATGATAGTTGCACAATGCTGTGAAAAAACTAAATCCCAATTAAATATATGTTTTAAATGGGTAAATTCTATATGTGAGTTATGTTTCAGTGAAGAAAAAGAAAGGAAGGAGCAAGGGAGGGTAGGAAGGAGGAAAGAGAAAGAAAGGAAGAAACTAGGGAGGAAGGAGGGAGGGAGGGATGGATGGTAGGAAGGAGGGAATGAGGGAGGGAGGGAGGGAGGGAAGGAAGGTAAGAAAAGACAGACAGAGTCTTAGAGACATGAAGTGACCTACTCCCAGTGTCCCACGCCCAGTAAGCAAACCCAGATCTCTGTGACATCCATCACCTTCCTCTTGTTCCCTGACTGCCACTTATGTACACAACACACATATGGAGTACATCCAATCTCCAAAGAACTTTTGCATCCACTAGCCACTAGCTCCCCAGGATACTTTTCATGTGTTGAAATGATGAATCCGACTGCTAGTGTTTATTTTCTTTTGTTTCTTTTTTTTGTTTCTTTTTTGAGACGGACTATTGCTCGTGTTGCCCAGGCTGGAGTGCAATGGCTCGATCTCGGCTCACTGCAACCTCTGCCTCCTGGGTTCAAGCAATTCTGCCTCAGCCTCCTGAGTAGCTGGGATTACAGGCATGCACCACCACACCTGGCTAATTTTTTTGTATTTTTAGTAGAGATGAGATTTCTCCATGTTGGTCAGGGTGGTCTCAAACTCCCAACCTCGGGTGATCCGCCCACCTTGGTCTCCCAAAGTGCTGGGATTACAGGCATGAGCCACCGTGCCCGGCAGCTAGTGCTTCGATTCTAGGTCTGCCACTGAATATGGGACTTGGGCAAAGTGCTTCATCTCTCTATGCCGTTTCCTCATCTTAAGACTCTGGTAACGATGAAATGAGATAATACATGTAAAGCATTTGGAACAGGATCTGGCACAGTAAGAAGACTATAAATCAGCATTATGCTATGTTATTGGTAAAGAAATTGGCTGAGGGTGGTGAAGCAATTTGATGACAAGAGTCGTAAGATTGTTAAGGGAAGGAGCTGAAATGTGGCCCTCATCTCCTGGGTCCAAATCTCAAGTTCTCTCTCTTCCCCGATGCTGATCTCATCATCCTATTATAGTCCATTCTCCAAAGACAGTCAGAATAATCTATTTTTTTTTTTTTTGAGACAGAGTCCCGCTCTGTCACCCAGGCTAGAGTGCAGTGGCGCAATCTTGGCTCACTGCAACTTCTGCCTCCCAGGTTCAAGCGATTCTTCTGTCTCAGCCTCCCGAGTAGCTGGGACTACAGGCACATGCCACCATGCCTGGCTAATTTTTTTGTATTTTTAGTAGAGACAGTGTTTCTCCATGTTGCCCAGTCTGATCTCAAACTCCTGAGCTCAGGGAATCTGCCCTCCTCAGACTCCCAAAGTGCTAGGATTACAGGCATGAGCCACCGCACCTGGCCTAGAATAATCTTTTAAAGATATAAATCAGTCCTAGAAAAAATTTAAAAATATTATTGGAATGTTGAAGGTCATAGACAACACTGATGAATTCAATAGCATAAGAACTTTTTTCCCATAAAAAGATTTTTTTAATGCCAACATATGATGCCATCAGCAAGGTCAAAATTCAAATAAATGACAAAAATATATGTGCCTTATTAGAGGCAAATAGTTAAGTCCACAATATTAAAAGAGCCTCTGGCTGGTCCAAAGATGGTGAGTTATCTCAATTGGTTGTTCATAGTCAGTTACAGACCAAAGTCTTTGTTCTACTCTTTCCTCCTTTCTGACTTTACTAGTCTTAAGAAAGAAGGAAGGAAGGAAGGAAGGAAGGAAGGAAGGAAGGAATGAAGGAAGGAAGGAGAAAGAAAGAAAGAGAAAGAAAGAAAAAGAAAGAGAAAGAAAGAAAGAAAAGAAAGAAAGGAAGGAAGGAAAGAAAAGAAAAGAAAGAAGAGCTTCTACCAAAAAAATAGATACATGAAACTTAGGGAAAGTATCAACAATGCAGTAGAAAATGAAGAAGAGATATGCATAGACAGCAAAAGAAGAAAATGCAATTGCCTCTTAAATATTTGAAATGACAGCCTCGCTCATAGTAAAAGGGAAAAAAACAACAACAACAGAAGGCAGGTAAGTCTTCCTCCTGCTTGAATTACTTCAAAGATAATTCATCATTCTTCAAATGAGATTCAGCCTCTTACTATGAGCCACAATTTAACATGATCTGGTCCTGTCTAACGGCCTGATCTCAAATCTTGTTACTCCACCTTGCTCAAGTCGCTTTGACCTCCTTGTTCTTCCTTGAACAAGCCTGGCTGTTTCCTATCTCTGGGCCTATGCATTATTTCCTCTACCTGGCATTTCACATTTCAAACAACAAAAAAGGGTAACATCTTTAGAGAGATCCTCCTGGCCTCCCAATCGTAAAGTGACCACAGTTACTCTCTATCATATCACTTGATTATAATGCTCTTCATGGCATTTATTATCTGATTTTTTTCACCATCTGGGTTGTCTGTGCATCTGCATCTATTGACTGTTTTTTCTTTTGATTATGGGTCATCTCCTGCTGCCTACTATCTGCAAATTTTTATTATATGCTGGACATTGTGGATAATGTCATAAGGAGTCTGGACTTTTTTGTTGTATACTGAACGTCAGGGATGCTATGTTAAAGGGAATCTGGATTTTAAAAAAATCTTCCTCTAAAGAATGCTGGATTTTGTTATGGCAGGCAGTTAAATTACCAGTGGATTACCTTGCTCTTGTGGAGGTTTGGTTTTAAGCTTTGCTAGGGTGGGGTTGTTTGAGTTTTGCCTTTAGTCTTCAGATGTGGCTCTTAACCTTGGATTTAATCATAAGGTGAGGCCCTTCTGGGATTTCAAAAGAAAACCTTAGGTGATTACTAAGCCCCTCAAACTTGGTGGAACTTAAATTTTAAACTCTGTTTCCTCAGCACCAGATAGCAACTGAAACCTCTACCTCCCAGCTGCTGTTTCTTGCTGGGCTGCTTAGAACCCTACCCTGCAAATGCACAGTTCAGGAGTCACCAAGGATTTAAGGAGAATCTGTAGAAGGAATTTCTATGGCTCCTTGCTTTCCTAACATTTCCTCTCAATGTTAGCCTTTCTAGTGGCCCCAAGCTCTAACCGGTAAAACTGCCACTTTCTGTATGAGCTCCTCAAACCAGGTAGTGTGTTCAGGGAAAAGCTGGTTAAATGTGCCAGGTTTACTTTTTACTTTCAAGGATTTTTTCCTCTCTACCTCTGTCTGGTTTTAATTGCTGTTCATTGCCTTCAAATCACCATAATCACCATATTTTATAATTTTCCCTTAGTCTAAAAGCATTCTTGGCCAGAGAGTTAGACTGACACAAGCTACTCTGCCACTTCCAGAACCAGAACTCGCTATCTGACACTCTTGTTTTCTGTCTTCTCCACCACTGTAACCCCAGCACCTACAGTTCTGCCTGACACACAGTGATGCTTAAATACTGAAGGAACAAATGAACACATGCATGAATGAACGAATTTCATGCCTAGATAATAATCACAAACAACCAGCCTATCTTTCTGCTCCTTGTTCCAACAGCCAGATTAATTTTCCTAAAACATAGTACCCACAGCTCCTGTCACTGATGCTCAAAACACCACCATGGGAATGTAGGTTGGGGCAGGGACCCTGCCCCTCTGTCCTCTAACAGCACTTGGATGGGGTTCCTCTCTGGGCAGGACAAAGTGAGCTTCCTAAAGTACCCCTAGGACAACTGCCACAGCTAATCTCTGGGTCCCCTGCCTTGAACCTGCTCCTTCCCTCCTGCCATGAACAGAATGTGTCAACCTCCAAAAATTCATGTGCTGAAAGCTTTTTTTTTTTTTTTGATACAGAGTCTCGCTCTGTTGCCCCAGCTGGAGTGCAGTGGCGCGATCTCTGCTCACTGCTGCAACCTCCGCCTCCCCGGTTCAAGCGATTCTTCTGCCTCAGCAGCCTCCCAAGTAGCTGGAACTACAGGCCTGCGTCACCATGCTCAGCTAATTTTTGTATTTTTAGTACAGACGCAGTTTCACCATGTTGGCCAGGCTGGTCTCAAACTCCTGACCTCAGGTGAGCCTCCCACCTTGGCCTCCCAGAGTACTAGGATTACAAGAGTGAGCCACCACGCCCGGCCTGTGTTGAAATCTTAAACCCCCATGGTGATGGCATTAGGATGTGAGACCTTTGGGAGGTGCTTAGGTCATTAGGGAAGAGCCTTCATGGATAGGATGAGCGTCCTAATAAAAGACACCCCAGAGAGACCCTCACCTATTCCACCATGTGAGGGTACAGTGAGAAGACAGCTGTCCACGAGGAAGTGGCCCTCACCAGACATTGAATCGGCAGGAACCTTGATCTTAGACTTCTCAGCCTCCAAAGCCATGAGAAATACATTTCTATTGTTTACAAGCCATCTGTTAACGGTATTGTGTTATAACAACCCAAACAGACTAGGTCACCTTTCAGCCACCCACCAGAAACCAGAAACCAGCTCCAGGACTTGATCCATGCCTGCCCAAGCTTCCTTTAAGGAGTAGGTATCTGGTTCTCAGAAACTCTACTCCAGGCAGTAGTAACAGAAAATGGCCTTGGCAGGAGGTAGCCAAAGGGGCCTGGGGCCGGAAAAGGAAAAAAATTATTGCTTGTTTTGTAGATGTTTCTCAGAGATACGACTGGAAAACGAAGCCCAAAACTTCACGTGAGCCCACAATAGCCCAAGAGGACGTTATCTTCCTCTCCTCCCCAGCCAGAAAATCCACAAGTGTGCTAAATCAATGCCAGGTGGGCTGTAGCAGTTGTAGCAAACGGTGAATGAAGGGTCTGAAAGAGGTCCAGGTTAGTCGGGAGGGGCTTTTCCCAGGGTCAGGCCAACCTCCCCTCACTTGACAGAGGAAACTGAAGTCCAGAAAGGGGACGGGATTAGAATGTCCAACAGAAGTACCTTTCAGGCCTCAGTTTCCTCCTTTGTCACATGAGGCACAGCTTCAAGGCCCCTCCTCCCTCTGACATCCTAGGCTCTGGGTTCAAATCCACCCAACTTTCTGCTAGGTGCATGGCATGTTCCAGGCAATGCTGGGACCACAAGGAAACTCGCAGCACCGTCCCTCCCCTCGCAGGATTTGTAATCCAGTTAGAGGAGAAATGCCGGGCATAAGAGCAAACAAACCTTTAAAATCCCAGGTGTCTGGGGGCGTTACAAGGAGCTCTGTGCCTCCCAAGGGCCGAGAGACTCCGCTGGGCAGAGATCTGAAGACTGCAATGTGGAGGAGGCACTGAAGAACACAGGTCACATTTTCTCATTTGGCAGCAAAAGAGGACAAAGGCAACCTCTTGCATTTTCTCATTTGGCAGCAAATGAGAAAAGGCTGAGGAATCAAAAAGCAGAGGAGAGGCGTGCAGGAGCTCTGCAAAGCAAAGGAGAAGCTGAGGGGGGATTCCTGTAGGTGGATCCGGGGGGACTCTGCCAAGCCGGGGTCAGGGGGTTCTTGAGAGCATTTTCCACCCGAAGTGGCCGGTGGGCCTGGGCCCTCAATGAAAAGAGGCTCTTTCTCCAAGGCCTAGTGGAGGGGGAGTGCACGCTCAGGCTGGGCTGGAACTGCTGGGGAAAGAGAAAAGGCGTCCTGAGAGCTGGCTCTGTGTTCTTTGTACCCGTGCTTCATCAAGCACATACAAAGCGGGCAGAGGGAGCTCAGAGTGCAGAGGCCTGATGCCCCCCACCCCCATCCAGAGAGGGCCCCTCCAGCCTCACCCACCCCCCAGCCTCATCCATATGCATGGGAGCATCAGGTGTCAGTGCAGGGAGCAAAAGTGCCCCCCACAGAAGGTGCAGGGCCCCTCACAAGGATCTTGGGATTCTCCTCCCCAAGGACAAAGACCACTTCTTGCATTTTGTAGGCAATCAACCCATGCCTAGCACAGTGCTACGCATCAAGCTGTGGCTCAATATGTTCTTACTGAGTAAATGGAGAAATGAATGAAGCTAGGCAGGGAGCTGTGCACTGAGCACTGGCTGGGTGTGATTCATTCATTTATTCATTCATTCATCCAACAATGATGTATTGAGAATTTCATAGATGCCAGCAGGGCATCAGGCACTGAGGGTATTGTGAACAATATAGACATGATCCCAGCCCTTATCACCATATGGTCTGGCAGGGCGCTGGGCTCTACAATGAAGACATGGCAACGATAACAATCTGTGACCTCATTGAGCTGCCTTTATCTGCCCAGGAAACTTCCCATCCCCTTCTTGTTCTCCTTGTATTGTGTACCTCTGGCTATGTGGATGTGTGGGTGGGCACAAGGCTCACTCTTGAGCTGATGACAGTGTCTATCCCCTTGGCCACAGTGATGGGGCACATAACTCAAACAGGGCTGATCAGAGAACTCCCCTGGAACACATAAAGCTTTCCCTTTTTGTTAAGATTGCTAGGCTGGGGCTGCCAATGGCCATGCTTCCTACGATGAGGGGATAATATATAAAGAGAAGCAGAGTGAAACGGGACAAAGAGATGGAAAGAGAGGAAGTGAGTCCCAAAGATGCTGGATGTCCTGTCCCTGAATCCCTGAGGCTCTTTCCTCCATTCTGTGAAACACTCAGGATCATCTGCAGCCAGCTGGGCTCCTGCATTCCTTTTTTAATTAGCTTGTCTGCATTGGGTTTCTGTCCCATTCTCCTTATTTCCTGGGAGGTTACTGCTCTAGGACCTCCTCTGACCTGTCAGACCAGCCTCTTGGGTCGGCTGCAGCACCAAGGCCATGTCAGAGGAGGTGCCTGGAGGCTGGACCCTCAGCCCATTCTCCTAATCATCCTTCTGGCTGCTCCCTTGGGGGCTTTCTTATCCCATACAGATGATAATCATTTATGAAGCACTGTAAGGGAAATTAAAAATGAACCAGATGCTGGGCACAGTGGCTCATGCCTGTAATCCCTGCACTTTGAAAGGCTAAGGTGGGAAGATCGTTTGAGCCCAGGAGTTCAAGACAAGCCTAGGTAACATGGTGAGATCCCGTCTCTACAAAAAAATTTAAAAATTAGCCAGGTGTAGGCTGGGCGTGGTGGCTCACACCTGTAATCCCAGCACTTTGGGAGGCCGAGGCGGGTGAATCACGAGGTCAGGAGTTTGAGACCAGCCTGGCCAACATGGTGAAACTCCATCTCTACTAAAAGTACAAAAATTAGCGGGGCATGGTGGCGCACACCTGTAATCCCAACTACTCAGGAGGCTGAGGTAGGAGAATCGCTTGAACCCAGGAGGCGGAGGTTGCAGTGAGCTGAGATTGCACCACTGTACTCCAACCTGGCAACAGAGTGATGTTCCATCTCAAAAAAAAATTAGCCAGGTGTGGTGGCATGTGCCTGTGGTCCCAGCTACTCGGGAGTCTGAGGCAGGAGGAATAACTGAGCCGAGGAGTCTGAGGCAGTAGTGAGCTATAATCACGCCACTGCATTCCAGCCTAGGAATCAAAAGAAGATACAGCCTCTGCCCTCATGCGTTTATAATGAAGCTGGAGAGGCTGAACTCATGAAGCAATCCATGGAAAAGTTTAAGTCTGCACGGTTGGGGGTGAAGGTGATAGATAGAAATGAACTTTCCAGATAAATGAAGTGTGATAGAAATATTTCTTTCTTTCTTTTTTTCTTTTCTTTTTCTTTTTTTTTTTTTTTTTAAAGAGACAGAGTTTCGTTCTGTTGTCCAGGCTGGAGTGCAGTGGCATGATCATAGCTCACTGCAGCCTTGAATTCCTGGGCTCAAGTGATCCTCCCACCTAAGCCCCCAGAATAACTGGGACTATAGGCATGCACCCCACCATGCCCAGCTAATTGTTGTTTGTTTGTTTGTTTGTTTTGAGATGGAGTCTCGCTCTGTTGCCCAGGCTGGAGTGCAGTGGCGCGATCTCGGCTCACTGCAAGCTCCTCCTCCAGGGTTCACACCATTCTCCTGCCTCAGCCTCCCGAGTAGCTGGGACTACAGGCGCCCGCCACCATGCCCGGCTAATTTTTTTGTATTTTTAGTAGAAACGGGGTTTCACCATGTTAGCCAGGATGGTCTCAATCTCCTGACCTCGTGATCTACCCACCTTGGCCTCCCAAAGTGTTTGTGTTTGAGACGGAGTCTGCTCTGTTGCCCAGCCTGGAGTGCAGTGGAGCGATCTCCACTCACTGCAGGCTCCACCCCTGGGGTTCATGCCATTCTCCTGCCTCAGCCTCCCGAGTAGCTGGGACTACAGGCGCCCGCCACCACGCCCGGCTAATTTTTTTGTATTTATAGTAGAGACAGGGTTTCACCGCATTAGCCAGGATGGTCTCGATCTCCTGACCTCGTGATCCGCCTGCCTCGGCCTCCCAAAGTGCTGGGATTACAGGTGTGAGCCACCGCACGCAGCCCCAGCTAATTGTTTTTACTTTTTGTAGAGACGGAGTCTTGCTTTGTTGCCCAAGCTGATCTTGAACTCCTGGCCCCAACCTCCTGATCCTCCTACCTTGGCCTTCCAAAGTGCAGGATTTCTAGGTGTGAGCCACCGTGTCTAGTTTGATAGGAATATTTCTGATGTAGTCCACACTTCTTGTTTCTCAGACATCCAGGTCATCACCTGGGAAACATGCCTGTGCTCATGGGCAACTGGGTTTTAAAGCAATTTGCCCTACATTGAGTAACCCATCTCCTTCCTCCTTGATGGTCACTGAGGCCTCCTCTCCCGTCCTGTCTGCTTCAAGGCACACAATGCTTTGGTGAAGTCGCGAGGCTGAGTGCAAAGGCTTGACAACAGTTTGTGTCTCTGGAGCAAAACCCTCAGCTGTTGCTGCAGTTTCCCCGGACTCAGCCCATCCACAGAGGCAGCCAGAGGTCTGACCTCAGATAAGACGGCTGCTCTCCACAAGACATCACAGATGAAGGAGGCAGATGAGAAGTTAATTCTAGCATGGTGCCTGGCATGCAGCGGACTCTCAACAAATATGTGTTGAATGAGAGGCATGTCACATAAAACCCTGAAAGGCACAAGCAGAGACAAGGACAAGGAAGGCATTCCAAGGACAAGGAAGGCGGTCCAAGCTGCCCAACCGCAGGAGCAAAGGCTGCAGGCAGGAACGCAGGGCCCAGCGACCACCTGGCTTAGCTCCTGGAAAGCTGGGGGCTGGAGGACAGCTGGCCAGCCCTGGAGGGGACTCAGTTCCATCCCTGAGGGCATGGCAGGGTGGCCTCCAGCCTCTGAGCCTCTCTCCCTTCACTGCCCCTCCCCAGGCCACGCAGAGGCGAGGGGTCATCCCAGGGAGAGCCAGAGGCCGCCTGAAAGGGCCGCCAGCCAAGAGGAGCAGCTGTTTTCAATGAGCTGCTTAACCTCCAGGCCAGGCCTGGAAATGTCCTTGAGTCAGCAGAAGCTGCCAGCCCCACCCTGCTAAGAGGCCAACCCTGGGGACCCAGCACCCCACCCTGCACCACCCCTGGCTAGAGACTGTGTCCACGTACATGCATGCACATTAGATCCTGGGCTGGACGAGGGGGGCATTGCTTCCATGGAGGACGGGGGTTACATGATATCGAAGCCCAATACCCCGCCCAACTGTGCAACATCCCCACCGACATCCTGAACCATGGTGGGTTTCCCTCTACCGGCCACCTTCCCCTTTTCACACCCTCCTCCCTCCTCCCCAACAGCCCCTCCATCCCAGCCAGGCCAAACTGCTTTCCTCCCACAGCTTAAAGTGCTTGTGCCTAAAACCTACACACACAGTCCCAGTGTTGCGCTGTTGCTGTCACAGGCCACCCTTTGTAGAGCAGTGGCGGGCTTCCCCCACCAGTCATTTCCAGAGATGCTTTTCTCCCCACTTCAAATCTCTGTGCTGCAGACTGTGATATCCTGTGTTCTAGGAAGACATTAAATCACACTCTGGCAGGGAATGGGTGGAGAGGTGGGACTGTCCCTCCACCTACTAAATGCAGGCGGTGGTGGGGAAGGCGACTGTCACCTTTCCCGCGGTTTTGCTGATCCTCCAGACCCCGCCCCGGGGGTGGGGGCGGGGGTGGGGGTAATGCGGGCTGAGTGGAAGCTAGCCCCGCCCCTGGGGTTCTCTGGGAAGGCAAATCCTCACCCGCGCTGGCCTTCCCCTTCGCAGTGTCATGGTGTTTGATCTCATCCCCTGCTGGCTTTTGTCTTAGACCAAAGCATCACAGTATTTTCGGCCAGTCCTCCCCCAGGCCCCCCTTGCCGGAGGAACTGGAGAGCGGCCGCGCTACAGCAAGCAGCAATCGCTCTCGCCTCCAGCCTCTGCTCCGGGCAGCGCCCGGCCCTTTCCTCCCACTGGCTCTTCCTCACCGGGGGTCACCAGGCCTGGATCCCCAGAGTCCGAGCATCCCGGGGGCGGGCACACCTTGACCCCTTTCTCCCCCAACCCAGTGCCCAGGATCTGGGGCTCCCAGATCCACCTGCTCTTGGAGTTCCGAGTCTTCTCTGCTTCTGCTCCCAAGGGGCACCCCTGCCCCCGCCATCGTGCGCCCCCAACTCCAAGGAGCGCCCCTCCCCAAGCCACCGTTCGCCCTCAATCTGCGGCACGCCCCTCCCCCCGCCACCGTGTGCCCCTCCCTCCACCGAGCACCCCTCCCCCTGCCATCGTGCACCCCCCCAAGCGGCGCCACTTCCTCTGTCACCGTGAGCCCCCTCTCCACTGGGCGCCCCTCCCTCCACCGCCGTGCGCCCCTCAATCTGTGGCACTTCCCGCTCCGCCGCCTCCCGCCCAGCTAGACAAATGCCCGGTCTGCGTGGCCGCTGCCCCTGGCGCCGTCTGCTAGCCCGCAGCCAAAATAAACAGCCCAAGAGCCACTTCCTTCCCCGTGGGGGGAATTTTCACAACGACGGCTGGCTCCAGTCGCGGCAGGAAGTGGCTTTCTGGGCCAACGATCCAACCTCATTGACCAGGCCGCTGAGGGCAGAATTCGGGAATGGGACCCGGAGCGCGGGGGCGGAGGCAGAGCCTCGCCGTGGCCACGCGATCACTTGTGCCCTCGCGGGGACCCCATCGCCGACAGCGGCCACCACTCCATAACGCAGGTGCGGAAGGCCTCTGCCGAGCCACACCTGTTCATTTCTCCGTGCGGGGGTGTTGTGCGCCTGCCCTTTCTTAAAATCATGGACAGGTTAGGACTCCACGCCTGGTTGATTGAGGACGAACCAGTGAGTGACTGCGTGACTTTATTAGGAGACATCCATACGAATTTGGGGGAAAGCATTTTTTTAAAATGTAGTTTTGACAAAGTGTCTACAAGGTGTGTGGGGTGGGGAGTAACCGAAAGCGGAAATATTACACGTGCCCCTCTGGTTCATTGAAGAGTCAGCAGAAATGAAGAAAATCTTTGGGCCTTTCTGTAATTTACAATTTTCCATAGTGAAAATTTATGTTTTCTGACTTAAAAGAAAAAAACAACTTAGATACCCCCCCACAAACAAAAGAAATGTGTAGCAAAATGTATTCAACCAGAATGATTAGTTCCTGAGAAACTGAGGTTTAAAATATTAACAGTCAGGCAGGGCGCGGTGGCTCACGCCTTTAATTCCAGCATTTTGGGAGGCCGAGGCAGGTGGATCACTTAAGGCCAGGAGTTTGAGACCAGCCTGGCCAACATGGTGAAACTCCATCTCTAATAAAAATACAAAAATTAGCTGGGTATGGTGGCAGATGTGGTGGTGTATGCCTGAGGAGACTGAGGCAGGAGAATTGCTTGAACCCGGGAGGAGGAGGTTACAGTGAGCCCAGATCGCACCACTGCACTCTAGCCTGGGGGACAGAGTGAAACTCGTCTCCGTAAAGAAGGAGAAAAAAATTAACTTTCAATTCAATTTCTTGGTAATGGTCTTTCAAGTAACACTTGACAAAAAAGGTAGAGATTCCCAACAACCTGCACTGGAGGTTTTCACTGGCCAAGTGCCCACTGAGGACCCAGGCTCTGCCCCTGGCTTCTCCATGCCCTGGACCTTTGCCTGGCATGAGTCTGAGCTTGTGAAAGATGTTTGTCGGCCGGGCGCAGTGGCTCACGCCTGTAATCCCAGCACTCTGGGAGGCCGAGGTGGGTGGATCACGAGGTCAAGAGATAGAGACCATTCTGGCCAACATGGTGAAACCCTGTCTCTACTAAAAGTACAAAAATTTGCTGGGCGTGGTGGCGTTCGCCTGTAGTCCCAGCTACTTGGGAGGCTGAGGCAGAAGAATTGCTTGAACCCAGGAGGCGGAGGTTGCAGTGAGCCGAGATCGCACTACTGCACTCCAGCCTGGCGACAGAGCGAGACTGCGTTTAAAAAAAAAAAAAAAAAGATGTTTGTCAAATGACAGAATGACTGTGAATGGAGGGATCTTAGAATTCATCTTGCCAATCGTTTAGAACGGGAAACTGAACACAGAAAGGTTAAGTGACTTGTCCAGGGATGTTCAAGGAACCTGGACCATGGCCTTTCTATTAGGTCTAAACCTCATCAGAGTCCTAAACAGCACTGTGCCAGTATTTGCTTCTCTAGGCAAATCATATCATTTACGTCAATACCGACAATGAAATGGCAAGTTAGTGATCATTACACCAGCACCACAAGCATGAACCAGGCCTGCCCCCGGCAAACTGGGACCTGTGGTCACCCTGCGCTTGTAAAAAGAGACACAAAGAATGCCAGGCATTAACCATGCGCGTCCAGGCACCAGACAGTGGGTTCCAAGGCTTTTCATTAATCCTTATAACAACCCTCAGATGTAGGCAAAATTCTGATCTGCACTTGACAGATGAGGAAACTGAGGTATTAAATAACTGAGAGATTAACATCTTGATAACACAGTTAATAAGGGGAAGAGCTGGGAAGGATGGCCAGGCAGACTTATTCCAGAGCGGACTCCAGCTAGCCTCCGAATTTTAGATGATAGCCCACAGGCAAGTTGTGTTTGGCTTCAGGATGTGTGAGAGAGATTACACATAAAAATGTAGATTTCCAGTCGAGGCAGCATGCCTGCAGGGTGCCAGCCACAAGAGCTGGTGCAGCTGCCCACCTGGGAGGGGTGTGGGCTCACCGGTTTGCCACAGTCTCCACCCATCCCTTTTGTGCCCCCACCATACACACACACTGAAGTGGAATGAGAGTGGCCATATAGTATCATGCTTGTACCCTTGTTTTTCTGAGTGGCAAAGCATTTTTCAGTATCCTGGTGTCTATTAAGAATGACGGCCAAGCATGGTGGCTCATGCCTGTGATCCCAGCATTTTGGGAGGCAGAGGCAGGCAGATCACTTGAGGCCAAGAGTTCGAGGCCAGCCTGGCCAACATGGTGAGACACCGTCTCTACTAAAAATACAAAACTTAGCCGGGTGTGGTGGCGGGTGCCTGTAGTCCCAGCTACTCAGGAGGCTGAGGCAGGAGAATCACTTGAACCCTGGAGGCGGAGGTTGCAGTGAGCCGAGATAGTGCCACTCCAACCTCAGCAATAGAGCGACACTCTTGTCTCAAAAAAATTTTAAAAAAAATTAAAAAAAAAAAAGAATGACAAGAAGGCTGTATCTATTTCAAAATAAAACAAAACAAAAAATGTATGTATCGGTGGGGCGGGGGGGGTCTGCTGCCCTGCCAACATGATTGATGTCAAATGACACTGTGACACGCTGCATAGGAGACATGAGACACATTTGAAGCACAGCACAATATGACTGAGAAATCAAGGCACGTTTCCTAATGAGCTGTTGCTCCACACATTGGCAATTCCCTGCCCTCCTGACATGGCAACATTCAAAGATCACTTGTTTGGTTCTAAAAGCAAGGCACGGCACTCTTTTTGAGACAGAGTCTCTCTCTGTCACGCAGGCTGGAGTGCAGTGATGAAATCTTGGCTCACTGCAGCCTTCACCTCCTGGGTTCAAGGGATTCTCCTGCCTCAGCCACCCAGGTAGCTGGGATTACAGGCGCCCACCACCATGCCTCGCTAATTTTTGTATTTTTAGTAGAGACGGGGTTTCGCCATGTTGGCCAGGTTGGTCTTGAACTCCCGACCTCAAGTGATCCATCTGCCTCAGCCTCCCAAAGTGCTGGGATTACAGGCATGAGCCACTGCGCCCAAATGGCACTCTTTAAAGTCAAGTGAATTTAGAATCCTTCTTGCTTGGGAACCTTCAAGATCTCCCTTTAAAATTCTAGCCAAAGATTGAGCACCTGCCAACTTCTGTGACGACAGATCAGCCGGGCCTGCCCCCACCTCCAGGAGGCACCATGGTGGAGGGCTTGGGAGGGCAGCTCTAGAATGTGGACCTACCCAGGTTCGCACCTCTGCTTGGGCCCTTGGGCCCTGGGATTGGCTGCCTCACTTCCGCAAGCCTCGATTTGGGAAGGACACGAATAAGACCTGTCTCCTGGGTTTCTGGGAGGACAAAGGGAGAGAAGGCTTCCTGTCCCTCTGTACCTGGGGAGCACAGAGTAATGGAAGGCCATTACTGCTTTTGATATTTAAGCAAGAACCTCTGCCCAGTTTTGGGCAGCGAGCTCAAGAATCTGTTTGTGTTTCACAGCGGAGAGCCTGGGAACCAGGCTTAGCAGACACTGCAATCTGGATAAGAAGAAACGATAAGAGGAAATACGGCCAAGGACTCCAGTGTTTAAGCTGCTCTTCAGAAGAATTAAAAGAAAAATAAACCCACGGTCCAGATGCAAAGTCCTCCCCCGACCCCAATTCCCATGGGTGCCCAGTCCCTTGCCACCACCATATGTTTCTGTCTTTGAACTCTGGACCCCTCCTCAGGTCTCCCAGGAGGGAGATGCAAGGAGAAGAGGAGGGTGTGTCAGGGAAAAGTAGGGGGCTCTCTGGAAGGGCTAGGGCAGGGCAGATAGGGTGTGCACTCTTTCAGCCACATTCCGGTTCTGCAGAAATAAACTCCAAGGGCAGCTGTAAAGGGAAAATGAGGTCACTCACAACGCAGCTGGAAGGGAAAGTGTGGAAAGAGGTGGGGCAGCGCCCACACCCCTTGGCCTGGCAGACACTGGGACGGGAGGAGTTGACCTGGGACCCTCACCAGGACCCTTGCGCAGTCACGCAACCTCCGCCTCCCGGGTTCAAGTGATTCTCCTGTCTCAGCCTCCTGAGTAGCTGGGATTACAGGCGTGTGCCATCACACCCAGCTTATTTTTGTATTTTTAGTAGAGATGGGGTTTCGCCATGTTGGCCAGGCTGGTCTCGAACTCCTGACCTCAAGTGATCCGCCCGCCTGGGCCTCTCAAAGTGCTGGGATAGCAGGCGTGAGCCACTATGCCCGGCCTGTTCTTCCCTCTCTAATATCAATTAAAAATTGATGGGGTGGTGAAGAGAACTCAGGCTCTAGATTCAAAGCTGGCTTTGAGTCCCAGTTCCTGAGCGAGTCACTTGACCCCTCCACTCTCAGTGTCCTCCTCTGGTCAGTGAAGAAAACACTCCTCCTGTCCACTGCGTAGACCAATTACTGAGCACTTAGCAGGTACCACTGAGCAGGTACCTCGTGCTGCCCGCTGGGTAGTTGGCAGGGATGGCTGAGATCATGGATGGGAAGATCTCACCTCACGGCTCCTCACAAAGGGAGCTCATGGGAGTAGCAGCCCCAGTGGGGCAACCTTTTTGCTGGAAAAATTGGCAGCATCTATCAAAAACCTTCAAAAGAATGAAAACTTTCACCCCAGAATTCATTTCCTAGGAATTTAACTTAAGGAAAGAACTAAGAATGTATACAAAGATTTAGCCACACAGCATTATTTACAATAGCAATGATGGGGGAGCAACTAATGTCCAACAATATAGTGTTGACTAAGTAAATGGAAATATATTCGTCTAATGGAATACTATGCACACAACAGAAATGTATAAAGGGTATTTAGACACAGAAGTTCACATTCTATTGCTGATTTTTTTTTTAAAGCAAAAATGGCAGGGCGCGGCAGCTCACACTTGTAATCTCAGCACTTCAGGAGGCCGAGGCGGGTGGATCACCTGAGGTCAGGAGTTCGAGACCAGCCTGACCAACATAGTGAAACCCCTTCTCAACTAAAATTACAAAAAATTAGCCAGGCATGGTGGCATGCACCTGTAATCCCAGCTACTCAGGAGGCTGAGGCAGGAGAATCACTTGAACCCAGGAGGCGGAGGTTGCAGTGAGCCAAGATCATGCCACTGTACTCCAGCATGGGCGATAGAGCAAGACTCTGTCTCAAAAAAAAAAAAAAAGAAAAAGAAAAAATGAATATATAGTATAACTTCATTTTTATTTTCTTTTAAATCAAGTAATGTCTAGAAAGACGCTTTTGCATTCTTGTTCTTAAAGTTGGGTGTCCAAATCGCCTGGGGAGCTTATTTGCAATGCCGGTGTGTGGGCCCTAGAGCAGTTCTACTGAATTAGAATCTCGGAGTGATGGAATATCTAGATTGTAAACAAGAGTCCCAAGCAATTCTGGGGTACATCAGGGTTCCAGAACAACTGTACATACCCAGGTGTTAACAGTGGTTATGACTGACTTATGAGATAGCTGTTGATTTTTATTTTCTTCTCTTTGTATTTGCTACAATTAATGTATTTGGTAATTAAAAAGAGATAGGGAATATATGGTGTGCATCTGTCCTTTGTTTCAAACTTAACCCTGCGGGACTTGAACTCATATATGCAGAGTTTGACACTAAACCCAGCACATTTGGAGAGGGTGAGCAAACAAGTAAACCAAAGAAGATCCTTCTGCGAGAGGCTCCAGATGGATGAGACCAACCATCCAATCCTGGTGCCAAGGAGCAGACACTGCTGACAGCAAAGAAGTGGGTGCCTTCAGAGGCATGAAGTTGACGTAGGTCAAGCACCTTTTCACCCTGACTGGGATCCACATCCGACTTCAGGTCTGAGCAAGGAGTCTGGTGTGCTACGATGTACACAGTGACACTTCTATCAGTGACAATGAGAAATGACCTGCCCAGCATGGTGGCATCACACCTATAAACACAGCACTTTGGGGCTGAGGCAGGAGGATAGCTTGAGCCCAGGAGTTCAAGACCAGCCTGGGCAACATAATGAGACCCTGTCTCTTAAAAAAAGAGAGAGAGGGGGCCGGGCGCGGTGGCTCACGCCTGTAATCCCAGCACTTTGGGAGGCTGAGGCAGGTGGATCACGAGGTCAGGAGATCAAGACAATCCTGGCCAACACGGTGAAACCCCGTCTCTACTAAAAATACAAAAAATTAGCTGGGCATGGTGGCAGGCGCCTGTAGTCCCAGCTACTTGGGAGGCTGAGGCAGGAGAATGGTGTGAACCTGGGAGGCAGAGCTTGCAGTGAGCCGAGATCGCACCACTGCACTCCAGCCTGGGCAACAGAGCAAGACTCCGTCTCAAAAAAAAAAAAAAAAAAATAGAAAAGGACAGAGAAATGACCTAAATGTCCAATAGGGGATAAGTTATGGTCCACTCACACAACAGAACCCTATGTAGCCAGTAGAAGTGTTGGGCAGAAATACATTGATGACATATTCCTGAATGAAAGAAGAACATTATGAAACAACATGAAAACATCTCTATAAAGTTTTTTACAGGGAAAGCCAGGTGCGGTGGCTCACACCTGTAATCCCAGCACTTTGGGAAGCTGAGGCAGGTGGATTGCTTGAGCTCAGGAGTTTGAGACCAGCCTGGGCAACATGGCAAAAACCCATCTCTACATAAAATACAGAAAAAAAAATTAGCTGCAGTTGGTGGTGCACACCTGTGGTCCTGCTTACTCAGGAGTCTGAGATGGGAGGATTGCTTGAGCCCAGAAGATTGAGGCTGCAGTGAGCCAAGATCATGCCACTGTACTCCAGCCTGGGCAACAGAGCAAGACTCCATCTCAAAAAAAAAAAAAAAAAAAAAAAATATATATATATATATATATATATATATATAATATATACACACACACATATTATGTGTATATATACACACACAATATGTATATTATATACGTGTGTATATATATCACATATATATATATTTTTGAGATGAATGTATATAATGTTTCTAGAGGACCATGCAAAGGAACCAGACCTGGATCACATTCCTTGCTCCTGTGATCCTGTCTCTTAGCCTCTCAGGCTCAATTTCTTTATCTGTGAAATGGAGGAATGTGAAGGTTTAAAATATGGGCTATACGGAATTATCTGATGCTGACCCTGGCTTACTTTATGTAAATTTACCGTTAGTAAATGATAATGGGGTCTCCCATTTCTCATTTGTTACACAAACATTATATGGAAACATTATAGTTTTTAAAAAGAAGGAAGCCTTCCAAAGGCCAATTCCCTAACTTACTGGCACCCTTCTGAGTTGCATTCGAGTCACGTACCAGGTACTGTCATTTCATGTTTATAAAATTTTGTGTCCTGTTGTTTTTCGAAAAGCAAACGTGTATGACAGCGTTTGAACCCTCCACCCCTCCCCTTCTGTGAACACTGGGCTAAGTCACAAAGATAAAGAAGAGAAAACTCGCGGTAGGGGGCTATTAATGGAGAGAGCACCAGGTGGTTCCCTGCAGACACAGAACCAGCTCCAGCTGGTGACCCTTGAGAGTCTCTCCCGCAGAATCTCGGAGGCTGACCCTCGACCACCAGCGTGGAGGAATCCTATGCCCTCACGTAAGTCCCAAATGAGGATCTGCGGGCTGTGCTGAAAAACACCACCTTCCAGGGAGGCTCTGACTGGCAGTGAGGAGTCACATGCTCATCCTCTGACCAATTACAGGACGGTACTGGGAACAGGACACAAATGCTGCTGGGGTCACGTGACTGACTGATCACAAGCAAAAGATGCCCGCTGCCACTCCATGGCCCAAGATACGAACATGTTTATTTCTTATTTTTATTTTTTGTAAAGATGGGGTCTTGCTATGTTGCCTAAGGTGGTCTTCAACTCCTGGCCTCCCAAAGTGCTGAGATTACAGGCGTGAGCCACGGCATCCCGCCTCCAGACATGTTTTTTTATTTTTCCAGACGGAGTCTTTCTCTTTTGCCCAGGGTGGAGTGCAGTGGTGTGATCTCGGCCCACTGCAACCTCCATCTTCTGGGTTCAAGCAATTCTCCTGCCTCAGCCTCTCGAGTAGCTGAGATTACAGGTGCCCATCACCACACCTTGCTAATTTTTGTATTTTTAGTAGAGACAGGGTTTCACCACGTCAGTCAGGCTGGTCTCAAACTCCCGACCTCAAGTGATCCACTTACCTCAGCCTCCCAAAGTGCTGGGATTACAGACAGGAGTCACCACACCCAGCCTCCAGACATGTTTAAAACAGAAAAATTTCATCTACAATCACCCCTGTTAAATAATATATTATGTAGTAGATAGCATAGTACAGTCTTTTAGTTTTACTGTGGTTTTTCTACCAATTTTATCTAGACATCCAAAATATTTCTATTCATATATATACACACACATGTAATACACATATATATACATAAATATACATGCACATATCCACACGCAAACATTTTTGGATCTTTTTTCACTTAACATTTCAGCAAAGGGATTTTTCTGTGTCCTTAAAAATATTCGTAAAAATCATCTTAATGGCTGTATATTATTCCATGATATAATATCACGTTTCATTTCATCATTTCCTAGCTATTACTTTAACTTATAAATAGAATTTCCTAATTATAATGTTACGTTGAACATATTATTATATCAATCTTTCCTGGCACTGTTGCGAGAGGTGAAATTGTTTTGCTAGTGATTTTAAACATTTTCCATTGGCTTATTAGCCACTGGCATTTCCTCTTGGTGAACTCCGTTCAGATCTTTTATAGTCTTATCTATTTTGATCTTTGTTGCCTTAAAACTATTGCAGGTTCCTGCGTTTTTCTCATAGTTTTATATGAGCTAGTTGCCATGTTTGTTACAGATCCCTTCCCTGTTTGTTGTTCTTTCTAAATTTTATTTGAAACCCTCCCTGGTTGCTGAGTACCCTTCTCCCGCACTAAAGGTAACCACTCTCCTGACTGCAAACAGCACAGATGAGTTGTGTCTTTTATTTTGGTATTTTCTTTTTTCTTTTCTTTTTCTTTTTTTTTTTTTTTTTTTTGACGGAGTTTCACTCTTTGTCACCCAGGCTGGAGTGCAGTGGTGTAATCTCAGCTCACTGCAACCTCCACCTCCCGGTTTCAAGTGATTCTCTTGCCTCAGCTTCCTGAGTAGCTGAGATTACAGGCACCTGCCGCCATGCCCAGCTAATTTTTGTATTTTTAGTAGAGACAGGGTTTCATCATGCTGGCCAGGCTGGTCTCGAACTCCTGACCTCAGGTGATCCACCTGCCTTGGACTCCCAAAGTGCTGGGATTACAGGCGAGAGCAACCGCGCCTGGCTATTTTGGTGTTTTCTATACATTGGGTCATATGGTATGAAGTAGCGTCTGGCTCAGTTTGTGAACTCCATCCATGCTGTGGCATGCAACTGGAGCTTGTTCATTCTCATCACTGTCTAATATTCAATTTTGTGAAGCTGCCACAATTCATCCATTCTATCGCTGATGGGCATTTGGGTGGTTTTCAGTTTGGCACTAGTTTTTAGTTTTTGGCTATTATGAATAATGCTACTATGAACAACTTTGCTTTTTTAAGACTATGGTTCAAATTCCTTAGGTTATCTACTAAATACAAAGGGGAGGCCAGCCATGGTGGTTCACACATGTAATCTCAGCACTTTGGGAGGCTGAGGCACATGGATCACTTGAGCTCAGGGGTTCACAACCAGCCTGGCCAACATGGTGAAACTCCATCTCTACTAAAAATACAAAAATTAGCCGGGCATGGTGTCAGGCACCTGTAATCCCAGCTACTTGGGAGGATGAGGCAGAATAATTGCTTGAACCTGGGAGGTGGAGGTTGCAGTGAGCTGAGATCGTGCTGCTGCACTCCAGCCTGGGTGACAGTGAGACTTCATCTCAGAAAAAGGGAAAAGGGACCTTTTTAGTGGAGAGATCTGGTAGACACCAGCTGAAACAAATGGTCAAAGTTAGCGTAAGGGAACAAATTGACATTGGTGTGACAGAATGGAAGGACACAACATCACCCATGAGTTCCCTTTCCAAAAACGTTTAATATGAATCCAGGAACGAGTAAACAATCAGACAAATTTAGACTGTGGGACGTTTTACAAAACAACTGGCCTGGGATCCTCAAAAATGCAATGCCGATAAAAGACAACAAGGCCAAGCAACTATTCTAGATTAAAGGAGATTAAAGAGACATGACACCTAATTGAATTCTGAATTTTAAAACAGCTATAAAGGACATTATTGGGACAAATGGAGAAATCCTAACACGGACTGCATATGAGAAAAAAAATTGCATCCGCTCTATTTCTTGGGTGTGATTAGATATTATGGTTACATAGTAGCATGTCTTTGTTTTTAGTTGTTACATGTTGAAGTATTTAGGTGTGAAATGTCATGTCTATAACTAACTTTCAAAGTTTCACCAAACAGACCCACCACACACACACACACACACACACAGAGAGTGAGATAAGCAAATGTGGCAAAATGTTAACAACTGGTGCTTCTAGGTGAAGAGTATATGGGTGCCCACTGTATTATTTTTTCAGTTTTTCCAGTGGTTTGAGAAAGAGTATTGTACCATATGCAGTCCTCTGGGATCTTTTCCCCCATTCAACATTAAGTCTCTAATATTCACCCATGTTGTTGCAAATAGCTGGAGTCCATTCGTCCACCTCTGTGTTACATTTCATTGTGTCTATTCTATAATTTATCCATATCTCTTTCCAAGTACATTTTTGTTTTTGCTACTATAAACAGTGCTTCCAAGCTCTTTGCAAACCATCAATGCCCTTACATACTTAGATCCTTCAGGAATGAGGTTAAATTTTTATGGGGTAATACCAGAATCCCCTTTCCTTGGGGACCAAGATGACTGCAAAGCTGCTTCCCGTTGAGTCCTTCCTATTCAGCCAGGCTAGTTTGTCTGGGAGTCGTTCTCCCCACTGTCAGACAGGTTCCTGTTTCTAGGTCTAAGGTTTTAGAGCAGTCGATTGCCTCCATCTTTCTTTTCTTTTCTTCTCTTTTTTTTTTTTTTTTTCTGAGACAGTCTCGGTCTGTTGGCCAGGCTGGAGTGCAATGGCGCCATCTCAGCTCACTGCAACCTCCACCTTCCGGATCCACCCACCTCGGCCTCCCAAAGTGCTGGGATTACGGGCATGAGCCATCGCACCCAGCCGATTTTTCTCTTAATGAACTTAAAAATTGCACCTACAGGCCAGGCACAGTGACTTATGCCTGTAACTCCAGCACTTTGAGAGGCTGAGGTAGATCACTTGAGGCCAGGAATTTGAGACCAGCCTGGGCAACATAGCAAGACCTTGTTTCTATTTAAAAAAAAAAAAATTAGGCCGGGCACAGTGGCTCACGCCTGTAATCTCAGCACTTTGGGAGGCTGAGGCTGAGGCGGGTGGATCATGAGGTCAGGAGATCGAGACCATCCTGGCTAACACAGTGAAACCCTGTCTCTACTAAAAAAAACACAAAAAACAAAAAACAAAAAAATTAGCCGGGCATGGTGGCGGGCACCTGTAGTCCCAGCTACTCAGGAGGCTGAGGCAGGAGAATGGCGTGAACCTGGGAGGCAGAGCTTGCAGTGAGCCGAGATCGTGCCACTGCACTCCAGCCTGGGCGACAGAGCGAGACTCTGTCTCAAAAAAAAAAAAAAAAATTAAATATTAGCCAGTGGTGGTGGTGTGCTTGTATTCTCAGCTACTGCGGAGGCTGAGGGGGGAAGATCACTTCAGCCCAGGAGGTCGAGGCTGCAGTGAATCCCACCATTGCATTCCAGCTTGTGCAACAGAGCGAGACAGTGTCTCAAAACAAAACAAAACAAAAAAGTGGACCTGCAAATGAAATCAGTGTACGTTTGAGATTATTTGTGGCACTCTATATTGGGAAGGGACTGCTTTCAAAACGCAAGCCTCAGGAAAGCAGGAATCATGCCTAGCCTGCTCACCACGGTGTTGGCAGCACCAAATACCATGCCTGGTACGTTTTCAATGTTCAGGAAAGAAAACAAAAACAAAGACACCAATTAACTGAATGAATGAACAAAGACACCAGTTAACTGAATGAATAAACGGACAGATGAATGTCAGGTATGCATCTTGTTTCCAGTATGTGCATATTAAATGTTGTAAGACTGTCTCACAGTCCTCAGAACTTTCCTTGTAAGAATCAGCTGGCCAGGCGTGGTGGCTCACACCTGTAATCCCAGCACTTTGGGAGGCCGAGGCAGGCAGATCACCTGAGGTCAGGAGTTCGAGACCAGCCTGACCAACATGAAGAAACCCCCGTCTCTACTAAAAATACAAAAAAAAAAAAAAAAAAAAAAAAGCTGGGCATGGTGGCAGGTGCCTGTAATCCCAGCTACTCGGGAGGCTGAGGCAGAAGAATTGCTTCAACCCAGGAGGCAGAGGTTGCAGTGAGCCAAGATCGAGCCATTGCACTCCAGCCTGGGCAACAAGTGCAAAACTCTGTCTCAAAAAAAAAGAATCATTAGCCATATATTTGTCACTTAAAGTTACGTAAATAATCCATCATGTGGTTTCCAATTTGTTTTGCTACTAAAGGCTGTGGCTCAAGCCTGTAGTCCCAACAACTCAGGAGGCTTAGGCGGGAGCATTGCTTAAGCCCAGGAGTTTGAGGCTGTAGTGAACTATGATTGTGCCACTGCACTCCAGCCCGGGCAACAGAGTGAGACCCAGTCTCTTAAAAACACTTCTAAGAACATTTTTTTTATCTTTGAGATTAATATCTTATAAATTACCAAAAGTAAAATTATGACATCAAAGGATAGGAATTCTTACATATCCAGTTTCTTACATATTGTCCGAAAGATTGAATCCTGAAAAACAGAACCAATTTACAGTCCCCCAGTCAGATATATTGGCTTCTTCACAGCTCTGCCAATACTAGCTTTTCTGTTTTTGCTAGTTTAAGTAGTTAAAGAAAGCTAATTTCCTTCATTTCCAGTGATCCTTGCACTTTGTTTGTTTATTTATTTATTTAAGACAAAGTCTCACTCTGTTGCCTAGGCTGGAGTGCAGTGGCACAATCTCGGCTCACCACAACCTCTGCCTCCTGGGTTCAAGTGATTCTCCTGCCTCAGCCCCCTCCCCAACTGAGTAGCTGGGATTACAGGAGTGTGCCACCACGCCCAGCTACTTTTTGTATTTTTGGTAGAGATGGGGTTTCACCATGTTGGCCAGGATGGTCTCAAAACTCCTGACCTCAGGTGATCCGCCTGCCTTGGCCTCCCAAAGTGCTGGGATTACAGGCATGAGCCACTGTGCCCGGCCCAATCCTTGCACTTTCTATGTGACAGCTTGCTATCTGAATTTCCTCAAGTGTGATCAACTATAAACTGAAATTAAAATTTCTAATTATAATCCAGGTGTCCTCATAACATTTATTTTTGTTTTATTTTGCTTTTGAGACAGAGTCTCGCTTTGTCACCCAGGCTGGAGTGCAGTGGCACGATCTCAGCTCACTGCAACCTCGGCCTCCAGGGTTAGGAGTTCAAGAGCAGCCTCAATCTCCCAAGTAGCTGGGATTACAGGCGCCCACCACCACGCCTGGCTAATTGTTTCTTTCTTTTTTTTTTTTTTTTTTTTGAGACAGGGTTTCACTCTGTCACCCAGGCTGGAGTGCAATGGCACCACCTCGGCTCACTGCAACCTCTGCCTCCCAGGTTCAAGCGATACTCCTACCTCACTCTCCTAAGCAGCTGGGATTACAGGCACACGTCGCCACACCTGGCTAATTTTTATATTTTTGGTAGAGACAGGGTTTCACCATGTTGTCCAGGCTGGTCTCGAACTCCTGACCTCGTGATCCGCCCACCTTGGCCTCCCAAAGGGCTGGGATTATAGGCATGAACCACCACGCCCGGCCATCCTCATAACATTTAAAAGTAAAAATTCCTTTTCCTATTAGTGTGTTTTTTCTGGTGTGTCTCACATTATTTTCTTATAACAGTTTAAATCCACTTCTGGAATTTTTTTCTAGTACATTGGACTTTTTTCTGTTTATTTTAATTTAAAACCATATGATGTTTTTCATGACCGTGGCATCATGTAAAATTCTAGAAGGGTAACTCTCATTGCCTTTCTATTAAAAAAAAAATTCTTTGGAACACTTGTCTTTCTTTTCTCATTTTCAACAAATATTTACTAAATAATACCAAATGCCAGCCTCATAGTTGCTCACGCCTGTAATCCCAACACCTTGGGAGGCTGGGGCAGGAGGAGCCCTTGAGCCCAGGAGTTCGAGACCAGCTTGGGCAACATAGGAAGACCCTCCCACTACTAAAAATAGGAGCAACAAAATAGAGTGGTGGCGCCGCCTGTCGTCCAGCTACTTGGGAAGCTAAGGCAGAAGAATCGCCTGAGCCCAGGAGGTCGAGGCTCCCGTGAGTGCCATTGCACTCCAGCCTGGGTGACAGAGCAAGACCCTGTTTCAAACAAACAAACAAAAACAAATGCCACCGTGGACAAGGTACTGTGCTGGAACCTGTGTAGTGACAAAAAGGCCTTGCTCTGGAGGTGTTTGAGGGACGACAGCAGTAAAATGCTAGAGCAGCCGTGGAGAGAAAGGCTTCTTCCAGCTGAGGGTAATCAGAAGGTCACAGGTGTGAGTTGGGACTCAGAAACAGCCCCCTGGGAAGCTGGTGCTCCTGGCAGGGAAAAAAAGCCTGAGCAGAGTCCGGGTTGGGCAGTACTGGGAGCTATGGGAACGGTAAGGAGCTCAGCTTGACCTGCACAAGCACTGAGAAGGCCGGGAATTCTTTCTTTTTCTTTTCTTTTTTTTTTTTTTTGAGACACAGTCTTCCTCTTTTACCCAGGCTGGAGTGCAATGGCGTGATCTCAGCTCACTGCAACCTCCACCTCCAGGGTTCAAGTGATTCTCCTGCCTCAGCCTCCCGAGCTGCTGGGATTACAGGCATGTGCCACCATGCCCAGCTAATTTTTGTATTTTCAGGAGAGACAGGGTTTCACCATGTTGGCCAGACTAGTCTCGAACCCCTGACCTCAAGTGATCCACCTGCCTCAGCCTCCCAAAGTGCTGGGATTACAGGCATGCACCATCACACATGGCTGATTTTTGTATTTTTAGTAGAGACAGGGTTTCACTATTTTGTATTTTTGTATTTTTAGTAGAGACGGGGGTTTTACCTGGCCAGGCTGGTCTTGAACTCCTGACTTCAGGTGATCCGCCTGCCTCGGCCTCCCAAAGTGCTGGGATTACAGGCATGAGTCACCGAGCCTAGCAGAAATTCTAAATTCAGAAAGTTTACATCGATTCAAGCTTCCCCTTAGCAGCGCTAACCTGGCAGCAATGCCAGCTCTGGACTGAGGGTGGAAGGGAAGACCCTAAGGGAGGAAACTGTGGATGTAAATTACACCACAAAGGCCGGGGGAAGAGAGTTTTCAAAAGTGTCCATTGGTCCAGGTGCAGTGGTTTGTGCCTGTAATCCCAGCACTTTGGGAGGCCAAGGCAGAAGAATCGCATGAGCCCAGAAGTTCAAAGCCAGGCCTGGGCAACATAGTGAGACTCTGTCTTTAGTTAAAAAACAACGACAGGCCAGGTGCTGTGACTCACGCCTGTAATCGCAGCACTTGGGAGGCTGAGGCGGGCGGATCACGAGGTCAGGAGGTTGAGACCATCCTGGCTAACACGGTGAAACCCCGTCTCTACTAAAAATTCAAAAACAAAATTAGCCAGGCGTGGTGGTGAGTGCCTGTAATCCCAGCTACTCGGGAGGCTGAGGTGGGAGAATGGCGTGAACCTGGGAGGTGGAGCTTGCAGTGAGCCGAGATCCCGCCGCTGCACTCCAGCCTGGGCGACAGAGCGAGACTCCGTCTCAAAAAAAAAAAAAAAAAAAAAAAAATCAGAAGATTACCCAATGAACTACTACTAATCTTCATTGGGGAATCTTGGTTGGGAAGATTACCCACAGAATCTACCAGTGGTAGACTGTGGCCTGTGCTAGTGTGTAATCAGTGTAGTGTAAGGGAGTGGACTTCACATTTTTTTGCACTTACTTGTGTATGGTTTGAATGTTTTCCACTGAGCATGCATTTTTACTTTTTTTTTTTTTTGCGACAGGGTCTCACTCTGTTGCCCAGGTTGTGCAGTGGTGCAATCATAGCTCACTGCAGCCTCCAACTCCTGGGCTCAAGTAATCCTCCTGCCTCAGCCTCCTGAGTAGCTGAGACTACAGGCACGCACCACTGTGCCCAGCTAATTTAAAAAAAAAAAAATTGGCCGGGCGCGGTGGCTCACGCCTGTAATCCTAGCACTTTGGGAGGCCGAGGCAGGTGGATCACGAGGTCAGGAGATTGAGACCATCCTGGCTAACACAGTGAAACCCTGTCTCTACTAAAAACACAAAAAATTAGCCGGGCGTGGTGGCGGGCGCCTGTAGTCCCAGCTACTCGGGAGGCTGAGGCAGGAGAATTGCGTGAACCGGGGAGGCAGAGCTTGCAGTGAGTGGAGATCGTGCCACTGCACTCCAGCCTGGGCAACAGAGCGAGACTCCGTCTCAGAAAAAAAAAAAAAAATTCTAGACACAGGGTCTTGTTATGTTGCCCCAGCTGGTCTCAAACTCCTGGCCTCAAGCAGTCTCTCCTCCCGTGGCCTCCAAACGCACTGGAGTAACAGGCATGAGCCACCATGCCTGGCCCATTCTTACAATTGAGGCCAATGAACAGCATGCATGCTGCAAGGTGAGGCCTAAGAAAGGTCACTTAATTTAGTAATTAGGGAGCCTCATCAGTATGACCCTTGGGAGGCAGTCCCTCAGACAGTAGGCTAAAGGCAACTAGAGGCAAAAAGGGGAGAGGTATGCCCAACCATCCCAGTGTTCCCTAGTCTGTCTTGGTTTTATTCCAGAGTCCCAGGAAGCTCCTTATCCTTCCCTAAATGAAGGTTAAATAGAGAAGTGTAAGGATGAAGAGGAAGGTGATAAAGAGGATGGTGATAAATTGAGGGGCTTTAGGGGGTAGGACCATTGAGGGTGGGATTTTTTTTCTTTGGTATTTCTTTTACTTTCAGAAAAACTATGATTACTTTTTGGCACTTACAGTAGTTAGCAAAGTGTCACGAAGAAGTAATGCCTCTGATTGAGGCTATTTCTGAAAAAAAAAAAAAAAAAAAAAGAGAAAAATAGCAATGAAGTAACAGGTTCAGACCTGCTTCAATTTAAAAAAAAAACAATGGGGCTGGGCATGGTGGTGCACTTCTGTAATCCCAGCACTTTGGGAGGCCAAGGCGGGTGGATCGCCTGAGGTCAGGAGTTCAAGACCCGTCTGGCCAACATGGTAAAACCCCGTCTCCACTAAAACTACAAAAATTAGCTGGGCGTGGTGGCACGTGCCTGTAGTCCCAGCTACTTGGGAAGCTGAGGCAAGAGAATCGCCTGAACTCGGAAGGTGGAAGTTGTGGTGAGCCAAGATTGTGCCACTGCACTCCAGCCTGGGTGACAGAGGGAGACTCCGTCCTAAAAAAAAAAAAAAAAAAGTTGTATCAGAGGTGTTCAAACCAGAGCAACTCCATCTTTAAAAGGGGCTGGGTAAAACGAGGCTGGGAACTCCTGGGCTGCGTTCCCAAGAGGTTAGGCATTCTAAGCCACAGGATGACACCGGAGGTCAACACAAGACACAGGTCACAAAGACCTTGCTGAAAAAACAGCACGCAGTATAGAAGCCACCCAAATCCCACCAAAACTAAAAGGTGACAAAAGTGATCTCTGGGCTAGGCGTGGTGGCTCACGCCTGTAATCCCAGCACTTTGGGAGGCTGAGGCAGGCAGATCATGAGGTCAGGAGTTCAAGACCAGCCTGGTCAACATGGTAAAATCCCATCTCTACTAAAAGTACAAACATTAGCCACGTGTAGTGGCACATGCCTACAGTCCCAGCTACTTGGGAGGCTGAGGCAGGAGAATTGCTTGAACCTGGGAGGCAGAGGTTGCAGTGAGCCAAGACCACGCCATCGCACTTCAGCCTGGGCAACAGAGTGAGACTCCATCTCAAAAAAAAAAAATGACTTGTGGTCATTCTCACTGCCCATTTTTTTATACACTAATTATAACGCATTGGCATGCTAAAAGATACTCCTATCAGCGCCACGACAGTTTACAAATGTCATGGCAACGTCAAGAAATTACCTTATAGGGTCTAAAAAGGGAAGACTCCCTCAGTTCCGGGAATTGCCCACCCCTTTCCCAGAAAACTCATGAATAATCCACCCCTTGTTTAGCATATCATCAAGAAGTAACAATTGTATAAGCAGCTGAGCCGTCAGTGCTACTCCTCTGCCTATGGAGTAGCCATTCTTTATTCCTTTACTTTCCTATTAAGCCTGCTTTCACTATTCCCTATGGATTCGCCTCAAATTCTTTCTTGCGTGAGTTCCCTCTCTTGGGGTCTGGATTGGACCTCCTTTCTGGTGACAGCTGTAGTTAGGATTTTTTTTTTTTTTTTTTTTTTTTTTTTTTTTTTTTTTTTTTGAGACAGGGTCTCACTCTGTCACTCAGGCTGGAATGCAATGATGCAATCGTGGCTCACTACAGCCTCAACCTCCTGTGCTCAAGCAATCCTCCCATCTCAGCCTGCCCAGTAGCTGGGACTACAGGAATGAGCCAGGACACCCAGCTTTTTTTTTTTTTTTTTCTGTAGTGACTGGGTTTCGTCATGTTGCCCAAGTTGGTCTTGAACTCCTGGGCTCAAGCCAGGATTACAGGCATGGGCCACCGTGTCCAGCAGGATTTTGTATATTGAAGACTGTGTTTTATCATATTTGGGAACCTTGATAGTCATGTTTTCTCTTTTTTTTTTTTTTTTTTTTGAGACGGAGTCCCGCTCTGTTGCCCAGGCTGCAGTGCAGTGGCATGATCTTGGCTCACTGCAATCTCCGCCTCCTGGGTTCAAGCAATTCCCCTGCCTCAGCCTCCTGAGTAGCTGGGACTACAGGCGCCCCCACATCACACCCAGCTAATTTTTTGTATTTTTAGTAGAGATGGGGTTTCACCGTGTTAGCCAGGATGATCTCGATCTCCTGACTTCATGATCCACCCGCCTCGGCCTCCCAAAGTGCTGGGATTACAGGCATGAGCCACCTCACCCACCCTTTCTCTTCTAATAAAAATAGCAATAATTTAGTATTGTTTGCTAAGAAATTATTCTGTGCCCAGTAGTGTACCAGGGACATATCTCATACGTTCATGATCTCATTTGTATGTAATCTTATAATACCTCTACAAGAGGTATTGATTTTTCCCATCTTATAAATGAAGACACTTGAGCCTCTGCCTGAGGTCACATAGCTGGTGAGTGCCATCAATCCTGGTCCCACCGACTCTGTCCCTATTTACATTTCCAGAGGACTGACGGGGGGAAACACTGCCAGCCATGCCCACACTCCTGCCTCATCTACAGGAGGAAGGGGCCACTGCTCAGCCTCGCACCCGGCTGCCTTCAGGGAAGGCTGGGGAAGGCTGAGGAAGGCTGGCTATAGTGTTCCCTACATGTGCCCTCCTGAGGTGATCCCTGGGAAGGAGATAAACAGAGAGGCCACCCATCCAATCTGGGATTTGTCACCATGGGCCATGTCTGTGTGCTTGTCTCTCGTCACCCCAGGTCAGCCCAAGAGGCAGGGACCAGGCTCCCTCAGCGTCCTCCCCAGGATCCTTGAGTCTCGAAGGAAGGGTCACTGGAAGGTGGGAAAGAAGAGGGGAGGGGAGGCACACCAGGCAAAGTGATCGTGCGTGGGCAGAAGCCTGGAGGTGGAGAAAGCTGGGGCAGGACAAGAGACCAGAGGCATGGGGGGCCGGGGAAACTAGGAAGAAGTTGGTCCTTCTTCTACAACAAAAACCAGAGCTGCGGAGGGCAGAATGCACAGTCAGAGAAAGAGAAATCAGGAGGAGTGGGAGGCTGAGGGGAGCAGAGCGCAGGTGGAAGGGTCTGCGCTGTGAGAGTGCAGAGCCAAGAGGCTGGTGCCCAGCGGCGGAAGGAGAGACGAGGGGCCAGGGGGAAGTGCAAGAAGGGAAACAACCGGTGGAATTCCACGAGGGGCCACAGTGTGCAGTTGAGGGGGTCGACCCAATCTGTTTCCTAAAGGGCTGCAGCTGGTGGACCCCGGCAGACCCCGGTGTCACAGGTGCCACTGGACAGCCCTCATCCAGCTGCCGTTTACTGGTACAACCCCTAGCTGAAGAGTGACAGATCTGCAGGGCCCAGGGTGAGCTCCAGGAGCGCGTCACCACCCCACTGGCCCACCCCACCCAGATTCACAGGACCCAGGCGTGGGAAAGCGGCCCCCTCCCATCTCACGTAGGCCTGAACAGGAAGACACGCTTCCTATCAGCAGTGCTCAGGCCTTCCAAGTCCAGGGACCCCCACTGGAGACACGGTGGGGAGGTCTCAAATAAAGAATAGGCCATGGCCATCTCTACTTCAGTTCTGCAGGAGCTCAGCAGACACCCACTGAAGGAATGAATGAATGAATGAACAACCATGTGAATCCTTGACCTCAGGGAAGCTGGAGTGCCATGCTGGGGCACCTTGAGTCACTCACTTATCAATGCCTTCTTGGAGGGGGTCCCTCAGAGATCCTGAGGACACTGCAGGCGGCTCGGTCCAGGCCTCCTGGACCCACAAGGAAGTGGCTGACCCAAGCGCCCAGACCGCTGACATGTGACAGAGGGCTGCTCGCTCCACCCTCCTCCTCAGGAGTCCTCCCGGTGGGACACATTGAGAGGTGTCCTAGAGGGCTTGGAGTTATGGGGGCGGGGAGAACACATAAGGCAGAATTTCCCAGGCTTTCCTAACACACACACACTGACAGTGCTTCATGCGATGGAAACGCTGTATGGTACTGGAGCGTTCAGGCTCCGTAACCACTCCTGGGTTCGAATCTCACTGGTAACACCTTCTAGTGGTGTGGTGGCACAGCCTTGAGTGACTCCCTTAACATCTTTAACATTTTCACGCCAGGTGTGTGCAAATCTCTGACACCTGCTCAGAGATGGGAGGTGCCGAAGAGCTACTGCCAGCACAGGACCCAGCACGGCGCCCACCACATGCACAGCGCAGCCGTGGGTGCCATCGCTCCATCCCTCTGGGGGTATGGACAGTGCAACAGGACTCCTCCTCGATGCTTAAACTGATGAGGAACTCAAATGAATATCTGCCTGAGAACTGCATGGCACTTCCGAAATCATCTCATTGAGCCAAGTCACGGTGCCCTACGTGCATCAGAAAGCCAGGATTTCTCTGGTGCGAAAAATGGGGGCCAAAACCCGGGGTTCTTCCTCCCCTCCATGTACCCTCACCTTGCCCAGGTGAACCCAGAAGAGAGCCAGGATCCCAGCACTAGCCACAGCTCGGCTGGGCACCTCCTGGGCCCTGATGACTCACAGAGAGCCAGAGGGTTGGAGCAAGGAAAACTGAGTTTTGCGTGGGGGAACAGTAAGAAGTTTCCGAACCCCACGACTCAGCAGAAGCTGGGCCAGAAGTGTAGGGAGCTGGTCTGGCTGACTCTGGTCAGAGCCCCAAGTACCCGATGCCACCCTCCCTGTCCTTTAGGCAGCACCGACCTTCCCCACAGGAAGATTTCCTGAGGTCTCCTCACCCCATGGCCTTGAGACTTGATCCCTGGAGCTCCCAGAAGCCCCTTTCCCAGCAACTATCCCCTCATTCCTCTGCTCGGAAACCTCCAAGGGTCCCCTGGGGTTCCCCACAGCCAGCTTGCAGGTCCCATCCCCATTCTGGCCTCCCAGGCACCTCTTTCACTCAACCTTCTCCCCGGCCCAGCCAGCAAGCTTCCACATCATCCCCAGAAGAGCCCAGCCTGGTGGCCCCTTCCTGCCTCTCTCCAGACAGCCTTGGCCACCCTTTGGCCCATACGGTCTCTCCTGCCTCCAATCTCCAGACGGGAAGCATCCACACTCCAGCCTTTCACTTACTAGGGGTGTGACCAATGTAAATGATCAGACCCCTCTTAGCCTTCATTTCCTGAACTGCAAAAATGGTCCAACAATAACCATCTCCTTGGGTTGTTATCAAAATGAAATGGGAACTTGCACATGAAGGGTTGAGCGTGGGTCTGGGCAGGCAGGCATCCCACCAATGGCATTCTGCCCCCTACGCAGTTCACTGTTCCACGTTTCATTCTCCCACACGATTTTCTTTTTCCAGAGGATGCATCTTACACTCTTCTCTACCTTCCCTCCTCCCCAAGAACTTGGCTCAAGGCTGAGCAAACTGCATGCTCCAGAAATGCGGTAATATGGCAACTAACAAAGAGGACTCCTTCCAGTGACAGTCTCCGCGGGCCACTCCACCAAGGTGGAGAAAAGATGGATTCCACCATCACGCACCAAGAAGGCACTGCCGCCTCGCTGCCCCTGCCCCGTGCTCTGGGCACACAGGGCTCCCCCATGGTGGTCAGGAAACTGCCCACACGCAGCCCCTGCCCTGCCTGGCATAAGCCTCGCCCCCAGCAGCACTGGCCTGCCACACCCTACCTCCCACATGCATTTCCTGGGCTATTTGGTCTCTGGTGCTGGTGAATTCCTCCCAACAACAACGTAATTCACCAGGTACTAGGGGCTGCCAGCTCTTCGGGCAAGGAATTCGGCCCAGAGGCTCTGAACAGGCTTCCCAGGGTAGGGCCCAGTGGAATTTGGCAGGGCAGGGGCAAGCGCACTCTGTGCAGAGGGCACGGTTCCGAGGGAAGGAACCTGCAGCAGCTCCATCCTCCTCCTGCTCAGCTGCTGCTGGAAGACCTCACACTGCCTGCCACCCAGATCCAAGCCTCCTCAGGGTGTGGTCAATGCAGTGCCAACGGGAAGGGGACCCTCTGAGGCTATTCATCCCTGGACACAGCCCCAGGGAGGGCCAGGCACAGAGACCAGGAGGAGGAGGGACACTCCAGGCGTCCTTGTCCTCCCTGACCGGGCCTCTCACCAGGCACTTCCAGCCCCCTCTATGAAAAGCTCCAGGGGGAAAGGCCGAGTCAGCACTCTGGCCACAACTCTCTCCCAGGGCCTGGCTTTAAAGTGTGCTCTGGAGCTCTGGGAATGGCCATCCTCCCCACCCCTTCCCACCGCCTGCCTCCTGAGGCCCTGCGCAGAGGAGCAGAGGAAGGCAGGAGTGCGAGGAGGTAGGGGAACTGCCTGTGAGGCCGCCCTGCAGTGGGTTAGGGGGTTACCCGGCCTGGTTTGTGTCTGTCCCACATTCAATGCCAGGTGGGCCCAGAATTGCCCCGGGGGTCTCCGGTTGGTGTGAATGTGGGTCACCGTGGCCCCCACCTTTCCCATCTGGCAGATATGTGTCTTGTGCCTACGTCACGCCAGGCCAACCCAGCAAGCACGGGCCAGGCTGGAGGCCCCAGACTCTCCAGGGGGCTGTCTGGTCCTTGCACAAAACTGCAGACACTGCACGGACTGTCCCCATCCCCCAATTAAACAGCCAGCAGGACCAAGCTGGGCCGGGCGATTCCCCCGGTCACTCCAGACACCCCCACCCCCACTCCCCCAGGAAGTGGATCTTTCCTTTCAACTCTTAGATTCTTGGCGAGGGATCTGTCTGTCCCCACACTTCACTGTTACCCCTGAATAAGGAGCAGGAAGAGAATGGCACAGTTTTGGGGTTTTCTGATTTTTGTTTTGTTTCCTGTTCGTTGGGTTTTAAAATCTTTAGCAGCTCTTTTGCCGCTCAAGGTCTGTCCCCTCTGGAGGGCCACTAGTGTGCCCAGAGCTGCCCACGCTACGCAACATCACAGCACGGCGGCGCCCAGCCTGTTGCTGCGTCCCAGTGGCAGGAGCCTCCTCACAGGGCTGCCGAGCTCACGCGGGGCGGATGCCGCGCGCCACAAGCCTCCTTGAAGACTAAGTGTGGAAAAGAAAATATCAACGCCCACGAGATGCAGGGGGCGGGGGGAAGGTGGGGGAAACGAACCCTCGCGGATAGTTGGAAAGCCGTCCTAACGCATCAGTCCTGGGGCAGAGCGAGGAGACTGGGCCCGGGAACTCCCGGACAGAGAGCCCTGGCTCCCCGGGCGCGCCCTGCAGGTCCCCTGCCGAGGACGGGCCGGCGCCGGGTGGTCCGGGAGCGCGGTGCGCGGGGGTCCTCAAGAGCCCACCCGCTTCCTCCTAGGCTGCTGGAGTCCCCCGGGCTCCCCTCCCCCGCCGCCCGCCACATCTGGTTCCACTCAGGTCCTCCCCCACCTCTAGGCGCGCTCCTCCTCCCCTCTCCTCCCCCGCTTTCAGAAAAGCGGAGACGAGTTTTAAAAACCCAGTCACACACACACGCACACACGCTTCTGGAGAAAAGAGGGGGGAAAAGGAGGGAAAAGTCGAGAGCGGCCCGCGCCTCGGCGCTCCCCCCGCCCGGGCCCTGAAGTTGGCCAAGTTGGCAGCGCCTTACCCGGGAGGGCGGCGTCCCCAGGGGCGCCGGGACGGCCGAGGTGCAGGCACCCGAGGAGCAGGACGCAGCGCAGCAGGTGACGAGGCCAGGGCGCGGGGGCCGGCCGGCCGGGCCCCATCCCCGAGCGCGGCGCTCAGTGGACGCGGGGACCGAGGGCGCACAGGCGCAACGCGCTGTGGCAGCCCCGAGGCTGGGCTGTGATGACCGCCCGCAAGGGGCTCGCGTCCTCCTCCGGGTCGGGACGAAGTGATGCCTCCCGGGGAGGAGGAGGGAGGAGGCAGCCCGGGCGGAGGGAGGGCGGAGGGAGGAGCGCAGAACCGGGGAGGAGGGTTCGAGGGGTAGAGGGGAAGGGAAGTGGGCAGCGTGGGAGGGGAAGGGGAGGAGGCGCGGGTCTGGGGCTAGAGCGTCGGGAGGGAGAGAAAGGGGTGGCGGAGAGGAGGACACGCCGGGTCCAGGAGGACCCCAGCGTGCGCCCTTTCTCTTGCTGCTCTGTTTCCCAGTCTCTCCCCGCCTCGCCTTCCCTCTCTTCTGTCCCGGCCAGGATCCCCAGACGCTGCGTCACAACTCCCCCGCTGGCGCGGGCGGGGAAGCAACTGCAAAACTTTCCGCAAACTTCACGGCGTGGTGGGACCTGGGCTACGAGGTCCGGCCAGCCCGGGGCGGGGGCGTGCAGCTGACCCAGGTGGCCAGACCCGGGCCGCCAGCATCCGCCCCGCCATCCCGCCTCTTTCTGCGGGCGTCTCCAGCAGCCTAGCATCCCCTACCTCCATGCCGAGGAGGACCCCTCCCCCGGTCTGGTGGGGAAGGGGCGGAGCCCAGGGCCTGGCCACCAGGGCGAAGATTGGGGGAGGGGGAGGCAGAGCCCTTGTTACGTGTGCGGAGCGCAACAATTCTTGCACGTCTTGTTTTAGCATTTTCGTGACCCCTGTGTCAGTGTTCCCGGTGCAGGAGTGTAGCACTTTTGCTTGTTGGGGCTGCATCCAGAAACCTGGGGAAAATCTGTCCACTGGACGTCTCAGAAGACCGGCATCATCACTCCCACCAACTGGACTGCTGGCCGGTAGCAAAAGACCAGCTGGAAATTTCATAAAAGGTTAGACAATCCACAGTTACTCAGTGTTACGCAACAGGTCTCTGCAGCACAGAGCACGAACTGGGGAGTCAGGATGCTGGAGTCCAGCCCTGCCTCTCTGCGGATTCCCTGCCTGACCTTGGGAAAGCCTCTTGGGGTCTCGGGGCATAGGGCAGGACTGAGACGTTGAGACCCCAAGTGCAAAGAAGACACATTTCTCCTACCACGAGTAATCAAAAACACTATGAAACTGTAATATGGGCCGGGTGCGGTGGCTCACGCCTGTAATCACACTTTCGGAGGCCGAGGAGATTGAGCCCAGGAGTTGAAGACCAGCCTGGGCAACATAGGCAGATCCCATCTCATTTTGTTAATATAAAATTTTTAAATAATAATAAAACTGTAATATAAATTGTATTGTTTCCTATCTTGTCCACCTTGGTATGTTTTTTGGAAATAAATTCAATTTTTTTCCTTTTTATTCCTCCTATCTTGGGTAAATGTTTCCCCAACTCTGCAGTGGGGGTGTTGGGTCAGAAATGCTCACTCGTCTCTTCCCATCTCTGTCAGGCTGAGGCTCTTGGTAAACAGTCCAGTGGTAATAGAGCCTCGAAGCAAGCCCCCACTGAAATCCCCTAGAGGCCCCTGGAAAGGGTCCCATTAGCCACCCTTTGGTTAGCAGCCAGACCAACAAAGCCCCTGCACTCCACGGCTAGCTTCAGCAGGTCCGACAGGGCCAGGTCCCTTCTGGTGGCTGTGGCTCCACTGCCCCTTGGGACATGTCTTCTTGGTGTGGCATGTTCTGGGATCTCAGTCCTCTGCACACAACAGGCCATGCTGGAGCTGCCTCAGAGGTCCCCCTCTTGGCCTTCCCTCTTGCACAATCCTGTAATCTCTGAAGGATTTAAGGATTTGCCGGCTAAGCTGCTCTCTCGCTCTCAGAACACAGGATACTCCTTCCCCTGAAACAGGGCTGGATTCCCCCTTCTCCAGCAGCTTGAGTAGGTTTCGGCGTTTCCTGCTGGCCTTCCCTCCTACTATCAGTGGCAGGACAGAAGCCCACCCCTTGACATCACCAGCGCAGAGCATGAGGCCAGAGAGCCCACCACTTGCCGGCACCAGGTCCCGCCATGCCGGGCACACAGGAGGTGTGCTCTCGTCTCTTCACCCACCGGCTCAACAAGCACCGACTGCTAGCCCTGTGCTAGCTGCTAGAGAAAGAGAGATGGGCAAACACAGTTGCAGCCCTAGAGGAGCCTCATTTAGTGGGGGAAAATAAACGTTTTGCCATATTCCAGGCAAAGAAGACGCAAGGGCTGAGGAGCACAAAAGTGTGCTGCTCTCGCAGGGACAGAGGTTGGTTCAAGCTTCTAAGGCCCAGTTCTAGTCTCTGTCAAGGGTGAGACTTCCTCCTCCAGCGCGAGACTTCCTCCTCCAGCGCGACATGGTTCCACACTGTGTTCCACTGACTTCTGCTGATGTCTGCAGCTGCCAACTGCTTTTGATCTTGACTTTGGGGCAGAAAGCGGGGAAACATCTGGGAGATTCTCCCTGTGGAGAATCCGGGCCGGTTCCCTACTGCATAAAGATCCTGTGCAGGCTCAGTTGTCAACAGAACATGGTCACAGTCTGTAGGAGTGTTGGGTGTTGTGAGCAGCATGGGACTTTCGAGGAACCCCTCATCAACACCCAGACCTTCATCTGCTTCCAAAGAAGGGCCAGCGTCCTCTGTGCCCACAGCCTCCTCACCATTCCTGTGCCCACAGTTGAACAGCCGTTTATTGAGGGTCAGTATGTGTCAGGCATCAGGCTAGATGCTGGAGACTTAGTGAGGTCTCTGACTTGTCCAGGGGATTTTTGCCAAGATGGTATTCGCTATCGTGGAACTGAAGCTGAGAATGGTTCTCCCCTAGACACTGACCAACTGTCAGCCAGCAACAGGTACTGAGGGTGATATGGTTTGGGATCTGTGTCCCCGCCCAAATCTCATGTCAAATTGTAATCCCCAGTGTTGGAGGTGGGCCCTGGTGGGAGGTGATTGGATCACGGGGGTGGATTTCTCATGAATGGTTTAGCACCATCCTCTTGATGCTGTTCTCATGACAGTGAGTTCTCACGAGAACTGGTCATTTAAAAGTGTGCAGCACCTCTCCACTCTCTGTCTCGCTCCTGCTCCAGCCATGTGAACTGCTGCATCCCTTCCGCCATGATTTTAAGTTTCCTGAGGCCTCCCTAGAAGCTGAGCAGATGCCAGCATCATGCTTCCTGTACAACCTGTGGAACCATGAGCAAATTAAACCTCTTTTCTTTATAATTACCCAGCCTCAGATATTTCTTTTCTTTTTTTTTTTTTTTGAGATCAAGTCTCACTCCATTGCCCAGGCTGGAGTGCAGTGGTGCAATCTTGGCTCACTGCAACCTCCACCTCCTAGGTCCAAGCGATTCTCCTGCCTCAGCCTCCTGAGTAGCTGGGATTACAGGCACGTGCCACCATGCCCAGCTAATTAGTAGAGAGGGGTTTCACCATGTTAGCCAGGCTGGTCTCAAACTCCTGACCTCAGGTGATCCACCTGCTTCAGCCTCCTAAAGTGCTGGGATTACAGGTGTGAGCCACCACACCCGGCCTGGTCTCAGGTATTTCTTTATAGCAATGAGAGAATGGTCTAATCCTGTATTAGCATCACCCCCTGTGGGTCTGCTAATTTCATCAAAACCAGTTTACGCCAGGTGTGGCGGTTCAGGTCTTGTAATCCCAGCTCTTTGGGAAGCCAAGGTGGGAGGATCACTTGAGGCCAGGAGTTAACAATCAGCCTGGGCAACATAGCAAGACCACACTTCTACAAAAATTTTTAAAATTAGCTGGGCGTGGTCATGGTGGTATGCACCTGTAGTCCTAGCTACTTGGGAGGCTAAGACAGGGGAAGTACTTGAGCCCCGGGATTTGAGACTGGAGTGAATCTATAATCACCACTGGACTCCAGCCTGAGCAACAGAGCGAGATCCTGTCTTTAATCAATCAATCAATCAAACAGTTTAGTGGAAGGAGTACAGACTTTGGATCCAGAGAAACCTGAGTTCAAATCCTGACTTCGCCATTTCCCAGCTTTGTAACCTGCAGCAAGTTATTAATGCTTTAACTCTGAGCTCACAATAATTCTTACTTGTAAATGGGGCAACTTGAGATGTTTCCTACCTTGGGAGTTAAATGTTAAGTGTAAAGCAATGGCATGGCCGCTGGATGAATGGGGATGTTCAGGGAATGTGGTCTCCTCCATCTCCCATCTTCCTTTGCCATTTGGACATCAGGGTCCTTACCCTTCACCCTGCCTGTCTCTCCCCTACCCTCCCACCCTACCCTGCCCATGAAATCTGCACATATCAGTTTTATCGGATTGTAACATTGAGTTTTACTTTGCCTGGGAAAACAATACAACATCCCTGCATTTTCTGAACATCTCCATATTTAATTGTGTACAAAAATGGTACCCTAAAGTGTAAAGTAATCTAATAAGAAGCATGCTCACTTTGGCTAATAAATGTGTGTCCATAAACAGCTCGGCATGGGGCAGTGGGGTGAGTCCAGGCCTGGGGAGTGGAGGTGAGTGGAGTTCCGGCTCTGCCATTCACTAGCCACATGTCCTCGAGCAAGTCATTTCCCTTCCCTGAGTCTCAGGTGCCCTGTGAGGTGTAAGTTTTGGTGTCATTACTCACTGTGCTTAGGGATCCTCTGGCATTACTCTCCTCTTCTCTGGTTCTGTGGCTCAGGAGCCTCTCCAGCCAGAGGGTTCCCAGGGGAGCAGAGCACTCCAGCAGGCCAGGTCTACAACAGAAGCTTAGGAAAGAAGAACTCAAGACAGGGAGGGAAAATGCAACTGGATGGCTTGGTAGGGTAGGAGGCTATAAAGAAAGACTTGGGCCGGGTGCGGTGGCTCACGCCTGTCATCCCAGCACTTTGGGAGGCTGAGACGGGCGGATCACAAGGTCAGGAGTTTGAGACCAGCCTGGCCAATATGGTGAAACCCCTTCTCTACTAAAAATACAAAAATTAGCCGGGTGTGGTGGCGGGCGCCTGTAGTCCCAACTACTCAGGAGGCTGAGGCAGAAGAATCACTTGAACCTGGGAGGCAGAGGTTGCAGTGAGCTGAGATTGCGCCACTGTATTCTAGCCTGGGTGACAGAGTGAGACTCTGTCTCAAAAAAAAAAAAAAAAAAAAAAAAGACTTGGCCAGTCCTTGCCTGAGGCAACTAGAAAAGAGGCAGTGACCCCAAAGGGTTCTGTATGACCTGCCCCACCCTGCACCTTCTCCAAGCCAGGGAAGAGGACTGGCCAAATGTGGGGCTGGCCCAAGTGGGTCTCACCCTCTCTTCTCCCTGGCTCCTGCATCTCAAATCCCCGGGGCTCCACTCAGGCAATCCACTCCAAGTCCATCTGGCTACACCCTCGTCTACACCACCAAGGATCCTAGAGGGGACTGGGCTAAAGAGGGAAGGAAGAAGGCAGGCTCAGGATTCAGAAAGACCCATAGTTCAATATCTAGTTCAACCTCTTCCAAGGGTAACTTAAAGGAACTATTTTTTCCCACGCCCACATGACTGGGGAACCTTATAGCTGGTCTGTCTTCTCTTGACTGGTCCACCCCAGCCCTCCTCACCATTCATCCAGCCACAGTTACAACCTGACAAAAATTCTGCCCACTTTCTCTAGGTTCTTTCCCTTCTCCCTTCTGTGGAGAACACCTAGAAGGGCTCCCCGATCCCAGGAAAGCCTCTGAGTTTATATCCACTCACTTCCAACCCAAGGCCTGTATTAGAAGAGGAATCCTTAGGCCAGGCGGGGTGCCTCACGCCTGTAATCCCAGCACTTTGGGAGGCTGAAGCGGGTGGATCACCTGAGGTCAGGAGTTTGAGACCAGCCTGGCCAACATGGTGAAACCCCATCTGTACTAAAAATACAAAAAATTAGCCAGGTGTGGTGGCGGATGCCTATAATCTCAGCTACTCAGGAGGCTGAGGCAGGAGGATCGCTTGAACCCAGGAGGTGGAGGTTGCAGTGAGCCGAGATGGTGCCATTGCACTCCAGCCTGGGCAACAAGAGCAAAACCCTGTCTAAAAAAGAAGAGGGATCCTTTAAAGGGACCCCAAATCCCAGCCTTTTCTCTACCAAGGGCTAAGAGATAGTTACCTCACAGTGTCTTCCAGGAAGCAGGAAGTACAGATTTCCTCTCCATGAACCTAGGAATCTGGACATCGACTCTCACTTGGAGGAGCCACCACGAAAACACTGTGAGCTGCCAGCGGAGTAAGCTCAAAGCGGGAGGGCTCAGGACTGCGAACCCCGGCTGCAGCAGGGGTCACAAAGCAAATGCCTCTCAGATCCTCGCTGGCTCCTGTCTCCACTGGGGAGGCTTGAGTGGGTCAGGAGCAAGCTGGCTAAGGGGAGCTCAGAGAGGGACAGAGGTTGCCCTGAGGCGCCGCAGTAAGGAAAAGAGGGCATCACAGAGCTGAGCTGAAGAACCAGTTGTGCATGAGTGAGATGGAGTCCCCAGAACTTTCTACTGCCCTCCCCAGCTGGGGAGGCGGGGAGGAAAGGGAGTCACTGAGATGGAGCAGGACGCCACTTAGGGCTCTGCTGGGCCTCCTAAGCATGGAAATAAAGGAAAAGTCTTCAGTCCCTTTTAAATGACATCCCAGGCACTTAGCTAGCCTTAAAAAGTCAATGAAGCCGGACACAGTGGCTCACACCTGTAATCCCAACACTTTGGAAGGCCAAGGTGGGGTGATTACTTGAGGTCAGGAGTTGGAGACCAGCCTGAGCAACATAGTGAGACCTGGTCTCTACAAAAATAAAATAGCAATCTGATAAATGTGAAGCTAAGTAACAATCGTCTCACAAGCAAGTCACTCACAAGGTGTTTTGATTCCCCATAGAAACTAAAAGATAACCTCTTAACATATCTTCTTGTGATGTTTCCAGAAACCTCCACCAGATGGAAAATGCCTCTATTACTATACAGACCTTAGATAAGGGGGAGCTGGGGACTGAACTCTGACCACTGTTCTTTGCCACGAGCCAGACCAGTGTATACCCTCCATGTATTTCTTGGTTTAAAATTTTGCCTGCAGCTTCTGCTATCCTGAAATGTAACCCCATCTTTAAAAACTCTTGCTTGTAAGCCACCAGGGAGTTCTGGTCTTTATTTTATTATTATTATTATTTTTGAGACAGCGTCTTGCACTGTTGCCCAGGCTGGAGTGCAATGGTGCAATCTTGGCTCACTGCAACCTCCACCTCCCAGGTTCAGGCAATTCTCCTGCCTCAGCCTCCCAAGTAGCTGGGATTATAGGCGTGCGCCACCACGCCCAGCTAATTTTTGCATTTTTAGTAGAGATGGGGTTTCACCATGTTGGCCAGGCTGGTCTTGAACTCTTGACCTCAGGTGATCCACCTGCCTCAGCCTCCCAAAGTGCTGGGATTCCAGGCATGAGCCACCACACCCAGCCTTAGGGAGTTTGGGTCTTAAGTGCTAGCTGCCTGTTCTTCTTGCTAGGCACCAAACAATAAATATGCTTTTTCCCGCTGCAAATCTCAGCATCAGTGCCTGATTTTACTGCAATGGGCAAGCAGACCCCAGTTCAATTCGGTAACAGTATCACCCTGACTACTCTACAAGGGCCTCCCCTGACCTGAAACCGCAATGCCTCTGAGCCTGTCCCTGCACTGAGGATGAGGCCGAGCCAGGAGTCCAGGCCTCCTCTGAGCCACAGCTGTAGTTGGGCTGGCAGCTCTGCATCTTCATGATGTCACCCGAGATGCTCCACGACCTTTCCCTCTGTCTCCCCAACTCAGGAAGGACAGGCAGGGTGAGGTTTCCTCTAGTCTCAGTACTTGAGCCTTCTAAGCAAGGCCCAGTCCCTGCCAACAGCCTTCTATGGCTCTCACTGATCCTGGCCCAGCGGAAGGCCAGGCTTTGCAGATGCAGAGCCTCCCCGATCCATCCCTTCCCGCCCAGGCCTCTGGCGGAATAGAGCCTGGACCAGAACAGGAGCCAGGAGGCTTCATCCAGCTGGCCCACCACCTCCACCCTGTCCCAGGAGGCTGGCCCCACCTCCCTCAGCGGAGCAGCAAGTAGGAGACAGGGGCACCTGGGAAGCACTGCAATGTTTTCCAGCTGTTTAGTGGGTGGTGACCAGCATTTTCAAAGTGCAGTAAAACACTAAATGTCACAGTGCACTGCACATGAGTTAAGCCCTGTGCTGGGGGATATGTTCTGGTTGAGATGTTAAGATGTTAGTCTGCTCACCTGACTGAGGAACTGCATCTGACACACTGCCCAGAGCTCCTCTTGGGTCTCACACCTAAGTTGCCTCACCCCACCTGTCTGGCTCTACGTCCCCTTCAGAGGCACTGGCGTTCAGCTGGTCCCAGGCTTCCCGAGGGGCAGCTCATGCTGCAACAACACGATACGGTGTTTGGAGCAAGGGAGAGATGCACAAGGCGCTGTGAGAGCCCAGAGGAAGGCTGGAGGTGACGCCTAAGCTGAGTTCTCCAAGATGCTCAGGCGGCCAAAGCGATGGAACGGCACTGGCAGAGGCCAGGATGTGTGAGATCATAGGGGCCCTGCAGTGACACACATTGTTTGTGAAGCTTCTAAGACCCTTTGCTGCTATGTTCCCCTCCTCAGCCTAGTGAACTCTGCTCCTCTCTCAAGGCCCAGCTCCGTGCCCTCTCTCCATCCCCAGGGTCTCATCTCGCTCTTACGCAACTCCCCACCTCCCAGCTCCCACTCAGCTTCTCAGCTGTAAGCTTCCTTAAGGCAGGAGCCAAGCTGAGGGGCCTTTTTATCACCCACAAATCCTGGCCCAGTGCATTAACAGAACGGCCCAACAGGTGTGTCTGAGTGGATGCATGAAGTTCATAGATGCAGCAGTTGTAGCTCAGAGTGGGAGTGCTTGGCTCAAGGTCACACAGCAAGTTGTGGAGTTGTGGCGTGAGCGCAGTCCTCACTCAGGGCTGTACTATGACCTTGTTCTACGATGCCAAAGCTGGGCACTTTTGTCCAGCTGACGTGGCAGAGAATGCCGGAGGAGGGGTATTGGTGTGAAGGTTGTGGGGAGGGTTGAGAGGGTTGCAGATGCAAAGGAGCAAGGCCTTCCTGGATGTGCTGCCCAGAGGCAAGCCCTGCTCTTAGGGCATGTGAGCCAGGCTAAAGGGCTCACGTCTGACACTATGACAAGCCAAGACCCCCACTGGGGGACATCTATGTCCTCTGGACATCTCTCCTGGGGCCACTGTGACATGGAAGTGGCCACCAGCCTCACCCTCTGTTTTATCCCACAACCCCTTTATGCCTTACAGCAACCTTAAGGAAGCCAAGGCAGAGGGTCCCATTCTCACTTACCCAATTAGGACACTCCGGAGCAGGAAGATGCAGTTTCTAGGGGCAGGACAGGCTTATGGCTTCCTAATCTATGAGCATGACAGGAGCAGAGAGGGCTTAGGGAATAGGCAGCACTGACATTCTGCAAAGCCACGCCTCCATTTTCCCATCTAAGTTCACTTCCAGCCCAGGACTGCAGAGCCAGTCTGCTGCCCACACTGGCTGAGTCTCCAAGTATATTTCTTCTGAGGGCCATAAGCCATGAGGCAGGGGAGGGACAAAGTGAAGGGAGTCTGGCGGAGGGGAGCCGAAGTGCAGCCCTTACCCACAGCAGCCTCTGCCCAAAAGATGGCACTCATAGAATCCAGCTCACCCAATGTTCAAGCCTGTAGGCCCTTCCTCCCCAGTCACTCCTGCTCCACCCACTGCTCGTACCAAACCTCTCTAGGCCTAAGTTTCCACATGTAAAATCAGAGAGTGGCTGGGCGTAGTGCCACAATGCCTGTAATCCCAGCAATTCAGAAGGCTGAGGTGGAAGGATCACTTGAGTCCAGGAGTTCAACACCAGCCTGGGCAACATAACAAGAGCCTGCCTCCACAACAACAACAAAAAAAAAAAATGGAAAAGAAGGAAAAAACCCATCAAGTTGCCCCTACCTTGCATATGGCTAGGTTGTGAAGCAACACAGCCGCGAAACTTCTTTGCAAAGCACAAGTGCTAGAGCCCCTTCTCTCTGCTATCGACCTCTGCTCCCTCTCCAAGCAGCTTTCAGGGTGAAAAGCCTTGGATGACACATGGGGAAGCCACCACAGCTGCAGGCTGCTTGCAAGGCTGAGGACAGCACAGCTCTCTAGCTGGGCACTTCCCTCCACACCCAGGAGTCAGTCAGTCAGCCAGCCAGCTGCTCTCTGACCCCCTCACCACGGGGTCTTCTGCCCAGCGCCTCACACATGTACACACACACCCCTTTGCTGACTCCAGCCTGTCTCACACCCCTGCTGGGCTCCCCCAGCACAATAGCCCTCTTGTATTCCCTGCCCCCACCAGGTCCCAGACCTGCTCCCAGGCCTGCCTGTTTTTCCAGCCTCTGGCAGGTTCCCCCTACCCAACCACAGAACTCAACAGCAACCTGAGTCTCTAGCCACTCCCCACCGCTTTAACCCTCCTCCTCTTCCTGGGACCTCTTCTCTCCCAGCTTTCCAAAGAGCTGCAATCCAGCCCTGGCCCTCCTCACCCCTCCCTCATCCAGTGGGCCAGGGTGGACTCATAAGCAGACCCAGGTCTTAGCCAGCTCCTTCTGCAGCCCTGGACCCCTCAGGTGAAAGGAAAATGTTATAAATAGTTGTTTTATATTTTAAGAGAAGGCCAAGGGTGAGAAGCTTTGCCCGAACGAGTGAATGTTTCTTCAGTGTATTGTTAGGTACTTGTGCAAGGGATATGTTGTAGGGGCCCTCCAGGTGCTCCCCATAAAGGCAACTATGTGGCCGGGCGCGGTGGCTCACGCCTGTAATCCCAGCACTTTGGGAGGCTGAGGCGGGCGGATCACGAGGTCAGGAGATCGAGACCATCCTGGCTAACACGGTGAAACCCCGTCTCTACTAAAAATACAAAAAATTAGCTGGGCGTGGTAGCGGGCGCCTGTAGTCCCAGCTACTCTGGAGGCTGAGGCAGGAGAATGGCGTGACCCGGGAGGCGGAGCTTGCAGTGAGCCGAGATCGCGCCACTGCACTCCAGCCTGGGCGACAGAGCAAGACTCCATCTCAAAAAAAAAAAAAAAAAAAAAAAAAAAGGCAACTATGTATGACATCATACGCTGTCGGACAGCCGACAGCGTTGGAGTTTTTTCCTAGTGTAGAAAATAACAGTCCTGTCTTCCAAGTGGGTGAGTTCAGAAGAGGCCTCATAGCCACCCTCTCTAATGACCCCACCCTTATTGCAGTAGTTGGCTGGCAGGAAGGGTGGCAGGACTGGTACCCTTCAGTGTTCATCCCGCCTGGGAGTCAGGTAGCCTACAGTGGCGTTCTCAAACTGGAGCCTGCATCAGCAACACCTGGAGGATGAAACAGCCTGTTAGGCACCCCCCCCTTCTCTTTCGGACGCAGTAGGAATGGGTGGGACCTGAGAGTATGCATTTCTATAAGCTCCCGGGTGATGCTGACGCTGCTGGACACCTTTGTCCATAGAGATGCTTCTCCCAGGTTCAGCCAAAAGCAGTTTTGGAGCCAGGGGAAGAGGAGATTGCTGGCCTTGTAAGATAGAGGTTGATACTGAACCTCAAGCCAAAGGGGCAGTCTCTTCAAAGGTCTGCATGTGGTATGTGGTGAGTAGAAGGCTCTGAACCTCACACTAGTGAACTTGGGGTTCCACTACTAGATCTTGTGATCTTTTTTTAAACCACATTTTTTGATTCCCCTCTTATGAGCAAGCCAGGCACTTTACATATCTTATCTCTACTCCTTACTCCCACAGTGCAAGGAGATATTTCTGAAGCTTGCAGAGGTGGGGTCTAAACCCAAACCTAAAGTCTAGGCTCTTAACCCTTCTGTGATTCTGCCTTAAGAAATGAGGCAGATAGCTTCGGCAATGAGAATGATGGAAGGAGGGAAATAGAACCCTTTTTTAGATAGCTGACATGTACAGGTCTGCCACAGAAGTGGGGACATACAGCTCTTCCTGGTGAGTCTCCATCTAAAGCTGCCCATCTCACACTGCACGAGCCCAGTTCCTTCCCTCCTGGGCCCTTACTCTCGGACTGCTGACTCCTAGATTGCCAGGCGTTCCCTGTCCTGTTCACTGCTGTATTCCCACCAACAAGCATCATTCCTGGCACACTTGAAGGTACCAAAGGTGTTGCATGAATCAACACATTCCCATGCCTGCAATGCCCTGAGACTCAGCCTGTTGCCAGGATTCTCCCAATCTGCACCCTAGGTGGTCAGGTCCCTGTGTGAAGCTGGAGAACTAGAGTCAAATCAAGAGGCTGGGAAATTTGCTTCTTAAAACTTATTTTAATATCCTTCTTCCCTCCCCCACCCCATTGGGAAAAGGCTAAAACAATCTGGATGGGTTTAATTACAAATTAATACATACTGTCATTGTGTAAAGTAAATCAACATTGTGGCAACAAGGGACTATTCTTGGAAAAAGTGAAACCCATATTAACAAAATATGTCATGGAAGAACCCCACTTAGTGATTTCACTGGCTGCTTGAAAGACAGTCAATGGAAAGGTCAATGTTCTGCATGTTCTCTGGGGCTTGTCCATGCCTCGGAAGAAGGTCTTGCCCGGACTCAGCCAAGCCTAGTTAGCTCCAAACAGGCCCTAGACCAAAAAAGCAAGGGAAGAGGGCATCCTTTCAATAGGACAAGGGTAGAAAGGGCAGATTGAAAGATAAAATCCTGCAGCTTCACTTAAAAGCCCACGGGGAAAAAAAAGGCAGGAAGTTACTGGGAAGGCTTAAAGAAAGACGCAGCATTTTTTCAACGTTAAAAAAATGTTAAAAAATTAAAAAACAAACAAATCAACTGCAAGATCATTGGAGAGGAAGAAAAAAGGAATAGAACTTCATTGTTTTCAGTGAGTTTGAACACGGTCTCAGCTTCATCCATGTCTTCATTATGCAGACACCATCCTCTCAGCACTGTGCTCGACCTGTGAGACCCTTTGCTTAGCAGCTTGGAGGAAATGTTTTTTTAAAAAAGGTACTATACACACATACATAAATGCACACGTTTATATGTGCATGTGTATATACATATAAATTGTAATAAAGTAGTTTTAGAAAGCTGGGGGTACCAAGGCCTCTGGGGTTGACTTCCTTGCATTCAGAATTCCACAGGACGATACCTACCCATGAACTTCTCTCCAATTTGAAACACTCCATCTTCCCTTAAGATCGCCTGATACTGAGGAGACTGAGGCAGGTCCACAAAACAAACGAAGGTCCTAGAAAATGTGTCATCAGTGACACTGTTCACATGTGAAAGGAACACTAGAGTCATGAGTTATTTGAGAGCTCTCTACCCTTTCTGACTCCCCCTCCCTGCCCAGACAACTCACAGGCCGGAATACTACATCTTTAAATATTTCTGGCTAAGCCCTCGCCACATATGTCAGTAACATTCCAAGCTGGCGACCACATGTTCAGGCTCTTGGCTCCCTCCCTCTCTACTGAGGAGTGCTCTGCTGTTTCAAGGGCACGGTGGGGCCACCCGTCTCCCATTTCAGCTCCATCTTCAGTTGATCATACATCTCAGAAACAACCAAATTAAAAAAGAAAATTGGTGCCAAAAGAATGTTCATATTTGAAACATCTATTTCTCCTTTTTTTTTTTTTTTTTTTTCTGAGACAGAGTCTCATTCTGTTGCCTAGGCTGGATTGCAGTGGTGCCATCTCGGCTCACTGCAACCTCCGCCTCCTGGGTTCCAGAAATTCTCCTGCCTCAGCCTCCCGGGTAGCTGGGACTAGAGGCACACGCCACCACGCCAGGCTAATTTTTATATTTTTAGTAGAGATGGCGTTTCACCATGTTGACCAGACTGATCTCGAACTCCCGACCTCGTGATCCACCCACCTCGGCCTCCCAAAGTGCTGGGATTACAGGCGTGAACCACCAGGCCCGGCCTGAAATATCTATTTCTTTTCAGATTATTTTTAAAATTCCATTTGATGAATCTTTTAAAGTGAGCTAGACAAAGTGTGTGTGTACATGCACACACAGACACACACCACCACACACCCACAAAATTCAGAGGCTTGGGGGGAAGGTTGTTTGCTGCCAAAAGATCTAACAGAAGAAAGCTTATGTGCTGATCAAGTTTTAATAACGTGGTTAACAAGAAATGTACACCATTTAGCAAGCACACAAAGACTATGGGTAGGAACTACTGATCCCTGGAGTGTCTGGCTCCCAAGCCCATTTTCTGCCTACCTTTGGCATAGCTTCATAGTTACTACATTCAGAGAATCCAAGAGGACTGCATGGACAGATGAACCTTTATTTAAAAAAATAGCACTTCAAATAAATTAAAAGGGACAACCGTCAAGTGTTCAAATTGTGAAGAAATAGTTGAAAACCTAGAGAGACTCCAAGCTGCAGTCTTCTAACCTCATTCTTTGTCCAATGGCAAAAACCCACACATCTCAGTACTCCCACTCAATTTTTTCCCTACTGAGATGAGGGAAGCAATTGCAAACAGGAGACCAGACGGAGGAGAAAGCTGCATCTGATTGGAATGAACATTGCCACGTACTTGCTAATACGGGTTTCACTTTATGACCAAATGTATTCTTTCAAAAATAAAAAAGGGGAGAGGGAAGCTGCATGTTTTTAAAAATTGAAATTATTTAGGGATAAAACACTAACTCTAGTGCCTTTAACGGGCAATAGCAACTTTTTTCCTCCGAAGTCAAACACCATCCCCAGCTGAGCCTTTGTGCTACAAGCTTTTCAGGAGATGTTACCTAAACTTTATTAAAAGAAAAGAACAAGTTTAAATATAGACACTGGACTAGCCCAGTCTGTATTTTCAAGTCCACATTCTTCATCTGAAGCACTGCATCAGGGACCCCCCTGAGTCTGCAAGTTTTCAAGTTCACAGTACATGGAACCAGTTTTTCTTTTTAATTTTTTCCTCACTCAGAGCAGCCACACACAGTGGCCGTTGACGCTGGAACCTCGGGCGGGGCCTTTTCCTACAAGGCCTGGCCGGAGCTGCCCAAGGTTTCTCCTCAATGAGAATCGATGCTGTCATGCTCTATGGATGGGAAAAAAGCAAGAAAATAAAAGCACCTGGTACAGGTTTCATCAGATCCATTCGGATTCGCTATGTTCCAAACCCGCTGCTGAACGCCATTTGTCCACTTTGTGTGTGTTGAACAGTTTGTGGCCTTGGAGTCAGTCTCAATTAGAAGAACTGTTATTGGACGCCCCAGAGGTTGATGCAATAGCAGCTCCAGCAGGGCTACTTGTAGAGACTGACTTTCGGATGTGAGGCAACAAGTAGGGATCACAGGCCAGCTGCTGGACATCAATGCGGTCCTCCTTTCGGTAGGCCAAGCATCGTCGAATAAACGCCTGCAAAGGAGAGTTTCTTGAAGACAGAGGCAGATAGTCTTGGCACCCCTGGAGGGAACCCTAAGGCTCTCTATCGGCTGCCAGGGCCCAGAGCAAATATCAACTAAAGAGAAGGGGCTTAAGGCCTTCCTCAGAAATCACCAGGCAGACCCAAAGAACACAAGGGAAGGAGAAGCACCAACAGAAGTACCTCTCTGCTGCCACCGATCCCTTCTCAGACAGAAAGGGCTGAGCCATTACTGAAGGGAGGAAAAAGGAAGCATGACCTCTAAATACTCCTGCCCCCAAAGCACTAAGACCAACAGAAAAAAAAAAAATCTCTCTTTGTCTTCGCTGGTTTGGATGGGAACGATCTAACTTCACGGTCCTCCATCTACAAACCATGGCCTCATGTGAACTTCCTGAGGAAGCGAAAATTCTGTCACCATATGAAGTGTCAGGAGACACACAACGACTAACACTATGATGTGTCACAGGTTATAAAATTATTTCCCTATGTCGTAAAGGGAAACGTGAAAAGGACTTGCATCTGCAATAATACTGTAGACCCAAAAATGCAGTGAGTGGGGTTGCACACGGAATTCCAGTTGACTACCAATATGGAGGCTATGTAGTTTTAGTTTCTGTAAGTCTTAGCATAAAGGCCCTTATATAGATTATCTGTCTTTTCCTGCTTGCTTTCTTCCTATTTTTTAGCTAGTTCTGTTTAATCAGTTTCAATATAACTATTTTAAATAAATTAATTTAAAAAAATCTAAAACATCATTATTACAGAAACTCAGTATTTTACATGAGGGTGACAAGGATGTGATGTGTCGGTACAGATAGGTTCATTGGCTCTCTCGAATGGACTGCTCTGGCAGGGGATATCGATGCGGAGGCTGTGCATGGGTACAGCAGGCGGTATAAGGGAACTCTATACTTTCAGTTTTGCTATGAGCCTAAAAATGCTCTAAAAAGCAAAGTTGATTTGAAACAAAATCTACAACATGAATCAAGCTACTGATTTTTTGGTTTTCCCCCATGTTTGATAAACAAATTAATAATACAATGCCAATCTGGTTTTTCAAAATTAAAGACTTACAGGTACTGGCTTGGTTAAAGCATTTGGAAGATAAAAACAATTCATAGAAATGAACATAATGATCCTTGGCCTTTAAAAATGAGCCTTTCTAGGTGAAAGACAAGGAATTGGAGTTAAACAGGTTATCTTGGCTTAAATACTGGTCAAACTGTTTTTTAAAACTTTTTTTAGAGACAAGATCTCGTTCTGTCACCCAGGCTGGAGTGCACGGGCATGATCATAGCTCATTGTACTCTCAAACTCCTGGGCTCAAGTGATCCTCTACCTCAGCCTCCCAAGTAGCTAGGACCAAAGGCGTGCCCCACCACATCTAGCTACTTTTAAAATATTTTGTAGAAATGGGTCTCACTATGTTTCCCAAGATGGTGTCAAACTTGTGGCCTCAAGCAATCCTGCCACCTCATCTTCCCATAGGATTACAGGTGTGATCCATGGCACTCAGCCAAGTAAACTTCATTTACCTTGAATTTTCTCTGTAGCTGCCAGTGTCAGCTCTTAAAACAGCAATCAACTCACATAGTTGCCCTGATTAAAACCTGCAACTGCCTTCCCTCACACTTACCCTCACCCTCCTGCCTCTCTTACCACCTTCCCATTTGCTCTGTGGACCTGCAAAAAGCTCATTCTCACATCTGAGCTTCTCTCTGCTAAAATACTTTCCCCTGCAGATCTAACGGCTCCTGCAAATCATGGCTCCCACCTTCATACCATTCAAGATACTGCTCAAACTGTCACTTCATCTTTGAGGCCTTCCCTAACCATGCCATCAAAAAAAGAGGTTTCCACCTCCTCATCCCCCTACTCTGATTTATTTCTTCATAACATGTGTCACCATCTGAAATGTATCCACTTTTTGTTTTATTGTTTTTCTCATAAGTGGAATATAAACTCCTTAAGGGTAGGGAACTGTTCTGCAGAGTTCACTGCTACATATTCGATTCCATCTCCACTACCCGGAATAGTGTCTTAGTGTTTCACAGGCATTCAGTAAATATTTGTTGTGGGAGGACAGGAAGAGAAGAGGGTAGGATTAGGAGAAACAGGGACACAGGAGATAATGCACAGAAACATTTGGAGATACTTCTGTATTCTTCACAACAAGTTCATCTAACAGACTCTAAAGTTTTGGAGACATTTGTTCACCTATTTATTGAATAAACATGAAAATTTGACAAAAGTTATATAAAGAAATAGTCTTGAAAAACCTGACAGATTAGGAGAATTAAACATCTACCAGACAATGTATTCAAGTCCCTCAGTATCGACTCTGGGTGGCAGCTGTGGCATGGGTAGTGAGAGCAGCTAGCTAGAGAATCTGCCAAGGGTTAGGTGCTACCAGTCCTCTTAAACCTCACAACCACCCTTCTCTTTTTCTTTTTTTGAGACAGGGTCTCACTGTGTTGCTGAGGCTGGAGTGCAGTGGCTATTCATAGGTATGATCATAGCACATTACAGGTGCACAGCGCTGCACCTAGCTACTAACACCTTTTAAGGAAGATGTTTTTGTCTCTGTTTTTATGGATAAGGAAAAGCAGCTTAAAAGGTTTAACTTGCCTAAAGTTACACAGCTACTACTGAGTGTAGAGCTGACACCAAAATTAGGTTAACCAGGCTTCAAAGCTGAGCCTCTCTCCAGCTCTCCTAGGACAAGTCAGGAAATCAGCATTTGCCTTAGGGATGTGTCATGGGACTTCTCCCTTGCAGATTTGATTTCTTGGTTATGCAGTACTTAAACTGTTGAACAATGGGGACAGGGAGCCATCAGTCAGGAATTATAAACAACTGCTAAAGATGTTAATTCTTACCCTGTGACATGGCAGCTAAACCACTTGGAAAAGAGGTTCTTTCCTAACCTATGTCACATAGGTACACTGTGAGGGAACGGCAGAGATCAAACACCGAAGAAAGAGATTAGACTTGTAACTGGCTGGGCACAGTGGCTCATACCTATAATTCTAGCACTTTGGAGGCTGAGGCAGGCGGATGGCTTGAGCCTAGGAGTTCGAGATCAGCCTGGGCAACACGGCGAAACCCCTTGTCTACAAAAAATACAAAAAAATAGCCAGGAGCAGTGGTGCACACCTGTAGTCCCAGCTTCTTGGGAGGCAGAGGTGGGAGGATCACCTGAGCCTGGGGAGGTCGAGGCTGTGGTGAGCCGTGATAATGCCACTGCACTCCAGACACGGTGACAGAGTGAGACTCTGTCTCAAACCAACAACAACAAAAGACTTATAACTGCTCACTTTGACTTTAAAAATGCTAAATGACCACAGCACCCAATGGGGCTGGCTACCACTCACCTAAGTAGAACTGGTTAATAAATAGAGATAAATAAAATAGCAAGGAAAAAGTAGGCTGGCTACTAGAATCTTGGTTTACAGATGTGGCAAGGATGAGTGATTATTTATAGCTTCCTTTTCACCACTTCCCATTCCATGTTTCCTTTGCCTCACGAGTTTTTTATGCCCTCACCAACTGCAACAGAATTTACTGCTTACCATTCACCTGACGTTTAACCCTATAATGTTGATATGGTTTGGCTGTGTCCCCACTCAAATCTCATCTTGAATTGTAGTTCCCATAATCCCGTGTCATGGTAGGGTCCTGGTGGGAGGTAACTGAATCATGGGGGTGGTTACCTAAGTTTCCTAAGGTCTCCCCAGCCATGCTGAGCTGAGTCAATTAAACCTCTTTCCTTTATAAATTACCCAGTCTTGGGTATATCTTTATTAGCAGCATGAGAACAGACTAATACAAATGCCTTAGTACTCTTATATAATTTCTCCTACATGGGCATTAGCTCCCCAAATTAATCATAATCCCTGAATACAGATGAAGCTGGGTATCTTTCGTGACATCCACACACCTGTTCTCTCTCAACTGGAGTCTGCTCTCCCTCCCTTTCTGACTCTAGGGAGCCTTTCCAGATTAAAACACCCACCTATCAACATTCCTTCTACTGGAACTGGGGATGGGGTGGTCAGGGTGTAAGCAATGTTCTTCTGTCAAGTGTTCTTAGGAACATTAATTCATGCCTATCCTAATATTTTTATTAACTGCTGAATTTCACACTGAAGAATCCATCCACTATTACCCAAAAAAGTAATACAGAAAGCAAAGCAGCCGTTTCTGTTGGCCAATGGGTCAAACAAAACTTACCTTTGCTTCAGGTGTTACTACTGGCTTTGGCGGGAACTGCACTTCAGTAGCTTTAAGAATCGTATTCTCTTGTAGGATGTCTTGCTGAGACTGGTTATGGCCAAAAGGCTGTCACATAAAAACAAACAAATAATGTAGGCCTCTGATGAAAATTATAGAGAAAACAATTCAATACCCCAGGGAAGGAAAAGGATAAGACATCTTCTAATTTGAATTGCTGCAAGGAACTCTGGAGACAATCCCCTCTAGTTCTCTCACTTTATAGATAAAAGGGGTTGAGAGCTCAGAGCATATGTAACTTGCTCACAGTTCAACTACCAGGTCAAAGCAGAGTGGGGACCAGAAGCAGCATCTCCTATATCCTAATGCTCTGCTAAGCTTTGCTCACACCAGAGAAAAGGGAGATCTAGAGCAGGACCCAGCAACCTCACCTGCTCTGAGGGATACATGCGGCCCTAAGAAATACACACCTGTGCCTCAGGCCAACTCAAAAAACAGAAAAAGAGAAGGAAAGGAAGTCAAAACCAAGAGGGGTAAGGACAGAGTGGGAAAAAGAAAGAGTTGGGGTTACTTAATGGCTTCAACTATGCCGAGCTGCCATTTCCTTTGTCTTTTTTTTTGAGATGGAGTCTCGCTCTGTCGCCCAGACTGGAGTACAGTGGCATGATCTCAGCTCAGTGAAAGCTCTGCCTCCCGGGTTCATGCCATTCTCCTGCCTCAGCCTCCCGAGTAGCTGGGACTACAGGCACCCGCCACCACGCCCGGCTAATTTTTTTTTTTTTTTGGTAATTTTAGTACAGACGGGGTTTCACCATGTTAGTCAGGATGGTCTCGATCTCCTGATCTTGTGATCCACCTGCCTCGGCCTCCCAAAGTGCTGGGATTACAGGTGTGAGCCACCACGCCTGGTCACCGAGCTGCCATTTTCTAATAAACTCTTAAAAACAAGTTCAACTCAAGTCTCTCTATACTGGTTCTACTGAGATCTCTCTCAAACAGTTATTTCTAGATAATTTCTACTGCTGTTATCGGCAGCAATTCAACATTGTCAGGGAATGTAAATAATAATTAAGCCTACTACCTCTGAATAGTTTCCCTGTTTTAGAGAGGTGAGATAGAAAAAAAAAAAAAAAAAAGACCAAGGAGAAGCTAAAGAGGAAGGTATAATCTGAATTAAGAGCCTGGTCTGGGGAATGTAATCAAAATATTAAGAATTCAAAGGACACACAGAACTCCCATCTGGCTTATACCCACAGCCTACTGGGAAACACTGAAACAAACAAACACACAAAAACAGCAATAGGAACATAAATACACAAATGGATCCTAATATATACATTTATAAGGCATGTTCACAAGGAAAAACAAATGTGACAATTCATTAGGTGTAGTTTACCACTTGTTGAAATATGTCACCTTGATCAGAGGTAACAATGAATACATCCTGACACCATCTCCCCAGTATAGAAATATAAAGCACGCTTTCATTAATAATAGGTTCAACTAATGGGATGGCTGGCGATAAAGATTCTGGGGATATTTTGAGTTTTGGTTCTTGGGGCCCCCAGGTTCTTGGGAAGATTGTATACTTTAATAAATAAACGATTTTTGTAAATCCCTATACACACTATCAGAATAAATACATGTTCCAGATCTAATTGAGAACAGCAAAAGTGCATGTTTTTAACAGCCCCGCAGAACTCATTAGGTGCCCTAGGGTTGAGGATTTCTGCTTACGAATAAGGCTTGTATTATTAAGTCTGTATTTTCTTTAAACCACTCCTTTCAGGATTCTATTTTGTATAACCCAATAATTAACTCCAATAGACTAATCCATACCAAGGCACTGTGTGTGTGTGTGCCACCCAAGAAAGAGATCAAGCTTCTCCATCAACCTTCTAACTTACCTTCCTTCCATAAAGACACTGATAGAAGATCACACCCACCGACCACACATCAACTTTATTTGAGATCTTTGGTGGTTCTTTCCCAACCACAAAACACTCTGGTGGTAAATACCTGGGACAAAAAAGAAATATAAATTATTAGAATAATGATCATATAAGTTTAAGACATGTACAAAAAGACAAAATAAAATATCTTGTTGAAAATAGAAATATCGTTTTTTTTTTTTTTTTTTTTGGAGACAGGGTCTTGCTCTGTCACCCAGGCTGAGTACAGTGGCGTGATCATGGCTCATTACGGCCTCAACCTCCCGAGCTCGGGTGGTTTCCCCACCTCAGCCTCCCAAGTAGCTGGGATTAAAGGCAGGCACCACCATGCCTGGGTAGTTTTTAAAAAAAATTTGTAGCAGTGGGGTCTCACTGTGTTGCCCAGGCTGGTCTCAAACTCCTGGACTCAAGTGATCCTCCCAGCTCGACCTCCTAAAGTACTGGGATTATAGGTGTGACCCACCACACCTGGCCAAAATATATGAATTTTAACAGTCAACTTAGACTTATATGGAAAGTCAATGAAAAGACACTCTAGGCGGGGTGTGGTAATCCCAGCACTTTGGGAGGACAAGGCCAGCAGATCGCTTGAACTCAAGAATTTGAGACCAGCCTGGGCAACATGGCGAAACCCTATCTCTACTAAAAATACAAAAATTAGCTGCGCCTGGTAGCACACCCCTGTAGCTCCAGCTGCTTGGGAAGCTGAGGCGGGAGGATCACCGGAGCCTGGGGGAGGTTGACTGCAGTGAGCCAAGATCATGCCACTGCACTCCAGCAAGAGAGTGAGACCCCCATCTCAAAGTAAGAAAAGACACTCTAACTTAGGGAGGCAGTAATGTCCCTATAGGGCATCAAAATAGTTCTCAATTTCCTAAGAGTGGTAAATATTCTCACTAGTCCCACTTCACTCACGATCTCGGCTCACTGCAACCTCTGCCTCCCAGGTTCAAGCGATTCTCCTGCCTCAGCCACCCAAGTAGCTGGGATTACAGGCGTGTGCCACCACGCTGGGCTAATTTTTTGTATTTTTAGTAGAGATAGGGTTTCACCGTGTTAGCCAGGATGGTCTCGATTTCCTGACCTCGTGATCCGCCCGCCTCAGCCTCCCAAAGTGCTGGGATTACAGGCATGAGCCACTGCACCTGGCCAGTTCTTGATTTTTTAATATACATAACTTAAATATGATCTTGGATAAGTATAACCTTAATTCTAAAATGACCATTTAAATATATTTGTGACTTTTTTATGGCAGTGGCAGGAAAGAATAGGAGTTGTTGAACTCATCCAAATGCAGAAAAATAAGTTAGCAAGATTTTTTTTTTTTTGAGACAGAGTCTCGCTCCATTGCCAGGCTGGAGTGTAGTAGTGTGACCTCAGCTCACTGCAACCTCCGAATAGCTGGGATTTCAGGCGTGCACCACCACGCCCAGCTAATTTTTTTATTTTTAGTATACACGGGGTTTCACCATGTTGGCCAGGATGGTCTCGATCTCTTGACCTCATGATCCGCCCGCCTTGGCCTCCCAAAGTGCTGGGATTACAGGCATGAGCCACCACACCTGGCTAGCAAGATTTTTAGAATATAAAAAGACCTGTCACTTGATTGTACATGTCTGGCAAATCCCTTTCTAGGTCTCAGTTTCTCCACCTGTAAGTGAATGAAATTAATTCTTCATCCAAATAATACTGAAAATAATAAGCATTCTAACTTACTATCAAGGATTTTGAGAGGAGAGTAAAAGACAGCTCTATGATACTAAACTGTGCTAAAAATATATATATATATATGTATATAGTTGCATATTCCATCACAATCAAAATCCCCATACAAAAAAACAATTATTCTCAAGGCATAGTCTATGGGTCACTTCTTTAAAATAAGTATTCAGCCAGGCGTGGTGGCTCACGCCTATATTCCCAGCACTTTGGGAGGCCGAGGCGGGTGGATCACCTGATATCAGGAGTTCAAGACTAGCCTGGCCAACATGGTGAAACCCCATCTCTACTAAAAATACAAAAAAATTAGCTGGGCGTGGTGGCGGGTGCATGTAAACCCAGCTACTTGAGAGGCTGAGGCAGGAGAATCACTTGAACTCGGGAGGCGGAGGCTGCAGTGAGTTGAGATCACACCATTGCACTCCAGCCCAGGCAACAAGAGCGAAACTCCGTCTCAAATAAATAAATAAATAAATAAATAAATAAATAAATAAATAAATAAATAAAGTATTCAATGTAGAAGAATTCTGTAACCAGTAAATACTGCAAATAGTTACTTATAATTTGTTATACCCTTCAGGATTATTTTTATCTGACATACTGAAGATAGTGATTATGACAGTATTTCTACCAATTTGGAGACTCTTCAAACCTTCATAGAAACCTGTAACACTTAATCTTCTCAGAAGCCCTGTCTTAAATTATTAAAAATCTCAACTATAATCTAAAGCAGAAAGAACAGTAAAATGACCCCCTAAGTAAGCACCATCCAGCTTCAAGAATTATCAACATGTGGCCAATCTCCACCATTTCTCCCAACAGACTACTTTGAAGCAAAATCCCTAGCATCACATAATTTTTACTTAAATTCTAATCACTGAATTTTTGTAGGTAAGCAACTACAGCAGTAACTATTTTAAATGCAAAAAAACTGTGCCTTAAAAAAAAAAAGATCAAACACAAAGCTCAAATCCAAATTCCAGTGAATTTATATAGCAGAGGTATAGACCTGTTTCTAGAATTTCCAGCAGCAGATATTTTTGTATCACTTAGTGACAGGAACACTAGCCCACAATAACCACCACAGTGAATAAACATTGTAAATGCAGCTTCTATTTTAAATCTGTAATTTCAAAGTTTTAATTTAGGGACTGACTTTTTACAACAGGTACCATTTCCACAAGCAGTAAGGAGCAACAGAAACCGGGGCATTGTGTCCATGGTGTTATTGGCAGGCTTCACGATGAGCACAGGGCTGATGCTGTGTTGTGAACGCCATGCCCCTCTGCTTCCTCCTCTACCTCTGATTCCCAGACAGTCAGTACTCTCTGCTAAGGCCTAGGACCTTTCAGTTCCAAAGATAAAGTGATTTGACCACCTTCCCTAGGGTACAAATAACATGTGTTGCCCCTCCGTTGGTGCTATAGAGCCTTCTCTTGCAACTCTTGAAGCAAATCCCTCATCCCATTAAGCCAGGAAGAGAGACTTGTATTTGGACTAAAAAAAACTGGGGGCCATTCTTTATATACACCAATATGTGGCTTGTGTGACCACCTCAAAATGGAAGAGGAAGCTTTATTAACACACTTTTACAACCATAGAGTTAAAGGCCTGAGTTTCAGGTATCTTTTATGGTTCTAATGGCCAAAGGTAATAGTAGGCAGAAATAGAAGCATAAAACTGGCAGGCAGAGGTAGCTTGGGTGCGGGTGGCTAGGGGAAGACAGGTGACAAGAGATGTGAAGAAATGTGCCTCAAAAACTTTTAGATCATGGCTAACAGACATGGATAAACTTCTGGTAAATTGTAGTCACTTTTTCCTGTATAGATTTCATATGCGCTATAGTTATGTTTCATCCTGATCTTCATAACTCCCTACAGTCCAACATCCTCAGGCAACTCTTGAGACAAATCCCTTATCCCATTAACCCATGAAGAGAGACCTGTATTTGGACGGAAAGATTTTGGGGCCATTCTTTATATACACATGAGCAACCTTGTTCTCTACTGACTTGCAAGGCCAACTCTGTACAAAAAACATACATTTCAAATACCTGGACACATATAAGCTCTCTTTCTTAAGGATTTTCAAGAAAGGAAAGAAAAATTAAGACAAATTAATATAAATACCAAGAGTCAAACTGTTGAAAAGACAGTAATGATTTGGGGAGAAAGTCTGCTTTGGTTTATGGCATTTTTGCCTAGCAGATAGCATACAGCAATTAATTCATTATCAACACTTCAGCATAGCAGAGCCACATCTCTATAGCCAACCTGGCAGAGCTCCTGGATACCTACCAATAAGTACCAGCACCTTGTGATGTTAGCTCCATGCCATCCACTGAATTGTAGCTATCATCATCCATGATCTTCGAAAGACCAAAATCTGTAATTTTTATCTCTCCACACGCTGTACCATTTACTAAAAGAATATTACCTAAAAAATAAAAACCTTCATGAATAAGCAGAGACTTACTGATTTAAGAGAAAAACCCAAAGTAATAGCAGATAAGAAGGGGACAACTGAACTCAAACTCTTGCAAAAGCAAACATCCAAATCCTGGGAATCAAGCAATCTGGACTCTGGATACTCAGGGAGAGTCCTCAGCATCTGCTGAAACTTCTATTTTCCAAGAATCACCTGCTTAATGTGCCAAAACCACCACTATGATGAGCTCTGGAAATAAAAATAACTGGCCAAAGTAAAATACCCTTGTTCACTTGGTCAAAACTGATGGGAAACTTTCATCTGAACTTTCAGTGAGGATCTCTAAACTACCCTGTTTAGAACAGCACTTGGGGTGTGGGGGAGGAATCAAAGAAACCATGTAAGGAAACCAAAGCTAGCACCACAGCACCGCCTACAGCTCCCATTGCAGGAAAGTGTTGAATTCAGTTATGGAAAATTCATTCACAAAATAGCCATCTTTTAAAAAATTTCTTCATCATAATTAATGTTTTAGTCATCTGAATTGTATTAGAACATTAGAGAATAGTCAATGAGACGCAATATGCACCTACCAGAAGAGTAAAGCAAAGTTTACAATTTTGCAACACCAGAAGGTAAATGTGGACCATCTTCCTAATGCCCAAGCTAAGCTGTTAGAGTTGTCTATAGAACTATGCAGATTTCTAAAACACAGCTGAAGATAACAATAAAAAATAGAGGTAAGGACTCTAGCTGCCCTGTACTCTTTGCTGATGAACATCAAAGCTAGATAATAACCATACAAAAAGATGAAAAATTCTGCTTGAAATTTATTGAAATGGGAGGCATATAAGTAAAAATAAGTTATTAATTTGGGGGCTCTTATCAAAGAGACCTGAAGCAGAGGGACTGTTATGTAGTAGGAGTCATGGGAAAAAAACAAAACTGAACTTGCTGCAACAGTTCTTTCTTAATGAGACTTACATCATGAACTGCCCTGGCTCCAAAGATAAAGGTATTGTTTCTCCAGAGTATTTAATCCAACACGCCCTCCTAAACCCAGTGCTGCTTGGCCAGGACTCTTTTTTCCCACACCTACCCAGGCAATCAAAAGTCAGATGTTATTAGCCTTTCTTGGCTGCTGTGAAATTCTCTAACTTTATCAAATTAAAAGTCACTTATAAGACCAAAGAAAACCCACTAATACTGTCTCCTAAAAGTTAGACATACCTGGTTTGAGGTCATAGTGTATGATGGGAGGTTTTATTTCATTTAAGTACTTTAAAGCATTCACAATCTGCATGATAATGGACCGGGCCTCTTTCTCCGACATTAATTTGTGCTGTTTCAGGTAGAAGTCCAGATCATTTCCCTCACAGTATTCTAATACTGTACAAAACCTAAAGACAAATAAACCAATATTTAACCATGGAATAAGAGCAAGCAGATTAACACTACCTAAATTAGTCCCATGTGAAAACTTCAGGTCATCAGCTTCTCACTCCTTTCTTCTTTGTTCCTTAAAATACTCTTCAATTGTTTATTCAGTATTAGCTGAGGGGTTTCTGGTAAGAAACTGCTTATTCTCTTGAAGAGTTTCCACACCCTCAATGTTGGAATCTGTTGTGCTCAAGTTCACCCATGGCAGACCTCTTCTTGAGTCTAGACTATAAGAATACTGATAAGAACTATAATGTATTTAAGCTAGGTATCTTCTTGGAAGGGGCTCCTTTACACACCCATGCCACACATCCACGTCTAAACAACCAGAATGTGATCAAGTACACAATTCTCTCTTTTTTTTTTTGAGACTCCGTCTCACTCTGCTGCCTAGGCTGGAGTGCAGTGGCGCAATTTTGGCTAGGTACACAATTCGCACTGCAAACATTTTATATAACCCTGAGTGCTGGCAATGAGTAAGAATCTAGAGTTTGCCCACGTCCCAAAAACTGACTGCATACTACGTCTTCTGACAGCTTGGCACAATACTGCACTACAATTTCTCTTAAACACAAGGTGTAAAAGAGCTTGTAAAGTATAGTATCTATGGTTCTAACAAAAGTATGTGGGTTCTCTTTCCTTCCCTTATGTCAATATGTCATACAGACCCATACATAAAACCATATGCCATTGGTGGCATCACAGGTCACGTGTCTATCTTCCAAGGCATTATACTCTGAAGTAAGGTGTCCTGAACTGTTTGAATATTCCTGAGGGATGAATACGTTTTGAAGTTTTCTAAGTTGTGACAATGTGGGTGTATCAGTCAGTTTAGCCTGGAAAAAAAAACCACCTGAACATTTAAAACAGAGAGACTTTAATTCAGGGAACTGATCATACAGATGATGGAAGAGCTGAGAAGACAAACTGGTCAGTGAGGCACCCTAGAGATCATCTACAGCAGGAAGCCATTAGCACCCTCAGGCAAGCAGGCCAGAAGGGAGGAGATGGTGAAACCAGAACCCAGGGTCATCAGGGGAAACTAGAATTGCGGGGAGGGAGAGGAGGTGGAGACCCCCTCCCATTTCTGCCTTCCCATTGGCTGAAACCAACAGAACACCAATGGACACATGGGCCTGATAAACACAGCCTACACGGGCTAACCCCCCAAAGATACAGAGCAGCGAAAGGGCGAGGAACAGAACTGAGAGCAAACAGACTCAGGTCTAGCGCTATGGGCCACTGAGCAATTTGAGGCCTTCATAAAGCACTGCAATTGAACATGGACACACATGGTCCTGTGGACACCACAAACTGAACAATATCTTATGTATCTTAAGAAACATGGCAGGGCATGCTAACACCCTATTTGAAAACAAATGTCTGCTGTAATCCCAGCAATTTGGGAGGCAGAGATGGGTGGATCACTTGAGGCCAGGAGTTTGAGACCAGCCTGGCCAACATAGTGAAACTCTGTCTCTACTAAAAATACAAAAAATTGGCCAGGTATGGTGGCGCATGCCTGTAATCCCAGCTACTTGGGAGGCTGAGGCAGGAGAATTGCTTGAACCCATGAGGTGGAGGTTGCAGTGAGCCAAGATCATGCCACTGCACTACTGCCTGGGCAACAGAGCAAGACTCCATCTCAAATAAAATAAAATTAAAAAAAGAAATGTCTGAAATTTATAGATTCCTCTGATCTGAGATTCTGAAATCTGAAATATAGACTCATGCTCAATGGAATGATTCTTTCACCCAAATGCAAGTTGAAAATAAAGCCTCACTTTCAGCCAGGCGCGGTGGCTCAAGCCTGTAATCCCAGGACTTTGGGAGGCCCAGGCGGGCGGATCACAAGGTCAAGAGTTCAAGACCAGCCTGCCCAGCACGGTGAAACCCTGTCTCTACTAAAAATACAAAAATTAGCCAGGCATGGTGGCGTGCATCTGTAATCCTAGCTACATGGGAGGCTGAGGTAGGAGAATCGCTTGAACCTGGGAGGTGGAGGTTGCAGTGAGCCAAGATCGCACCACTGAACTCCAGCCTGGGCAACAGAGTGAGACTCCATCTCAGGAAAAAAAAAAGGAAAACAACCAAAACAAAAGAAAGAAAAGAAAATAAAGCCTCACTTTTAATACCCAAACAATTCTCAGAAGATGTTCTAAAAATCATGGTCTGACTTATTTTTGGTGAAAATTCATCATACATACAATAGGAAGAACAAAGTAATCAACTCAAGAATAGTATAGAACCAACTCAATTTCTCACATTAGTTAAAAGTGTGTATACAATTCAAAACAGCAGATAATTTGAGCCTGATATTTAACTTTGAAATAGTTCTTGAACTTAATAGTTCAGAGAGGGGGGTCTACCTAGTATTCAAGAAATTTGCTCAAGGCAAAACAGTAATGTCATGCCCCGCCCCTTGTTTCCCAATCCTGCCTTCTAACTAGATCTTTTTAAAAAAATTCCACTCCACGTGAAACACACATGGCTAAGCTCAGTGCCAGGGCTACCCAAATGAGAAGAAATCCCTGAGAGAATGGCCCAGGTCATGTTTCCAAAGGGAATTATAGTCCTCTTTGGGGTTATTTCTAAATGTAAGGCAGCTGTCTGCACAGCCATATCTGAGACTGTTGGCTAGAACAGACCAAAACTCCTAGAATTACCCTGGGAGGCTGAGGGAACCTGAAGTCTAGACCTAGGGTATATTCTGATTCAGTTCAGACTTCTACAGAGAAACATTTCCAAATGCTGAGATATATCCAGCTAAACTGCTGGATAAACCCAGAGGCACGGGAGGTTACCTATACCAAGTAACAAAATATAGCAATGCCCACAATTAATAACTATCTCAGACAAGTTATTTAACTTCTCTGGTCCTCAAAATCCACCTATAAAATGAAAAGGCTGGACTCTGAGATCCCTTCCTATTCTAACATCCTATAAGCCTATGAGCCTGTATTTCAACATGTAGCACTGAGCCTTGTCTTCATTAGTGCCACATTTCTTATCTCAGTCTAGGATAAAATCACACGGCCAGTACTTTTTAAAAAGGTCTGTCAATGTTCATAAGAGTCTCTGGGGTGAGCAGAAACTCTCTTGAACAGTCTACACTCACTAGTGCACGTCAGTGGCATGCTGGCACCAACTCATGCCAGTTTCCAAGAGCTGACTTAAATTTTCAAGAATTTTGTGAGCTGGTTATCAAACCGTTATAAGCAAAATGTGGTATATCCACACAATGGAATATTATTTTGCCATAAAAAGGAATGAAGTACTGACACAGGCTACAAGGATGAAATTTGACAACACCATGGTAAGTGAAAGAAGCCAGTAATAAAAGTCCACATACTATATGATTCCATGCATATGAGGGTCCAGAATAGGAAATCTATAAAGATAAAACAGACAGATTAGGGCTAGGGCAGAGGGATGGAATGGTGGAATAGATGAATAGTAGTAAAAGGTATGATGGGGTTTGAGATGGTGAAAAAATTCTAAAATTGCCTCTGGTGGTTGCATGTATCTATGAATATGCTACAAACCACTAAACTGTATATTTTACATGTGTGAATCATACAGTATGTGAATTATAATTAAGATGTTTAAAAAAAAACAAAAATAAACAGGTGGTACATCAAAATTAGACACAGGAGGAATATCTACACCACGGAAACTGGCAAACACTATAAATTAGCCCTGTCTCTCTTCATACCAAGCTGGCTGTTAAACATTTACTGGCACACAAGTGCACATGTCCTTTGGCCTAGAGGTTTCTTGCTGATCCAAATCTGAATTTATGTTTGATCATTTGTCACAAATTACTTGGTTCCCTCAGAGGGTATGTCCTGGACCCAGAGTTCAGCTCTATTCCATGAACAATCAGCATTGCAAGAAAATAATATAACTGTTAAGGTAAAACAGCACAGCACTTACGAGTCAGTATCCAGTGAAAAGTAATCATACAGCTTAACTATTCTGGGATGATCCAGCTCTTTATGAATCCGGTATTCCCTACATGCATGCCTGTAAACAAAAGGGAAAATTAACAAGAAGGTATATTGGCCTGCCTTTTAGAACTCTTCAAAGATCCTCCTAAATATTCAATCATTTCTCTATTGTCTCCACATGTTAATTCCATTCAGGTCCATCTGGTCCCTCATCTGACTTTTCTCTTTGCTCATCCTATTTTCTCCACTGGAATCTACCAAGCCATTGAGAAAATAATAGGTGCTCTGGCTGGGCGTAGTGGCTCACGCCTGTAATCCCAGCACTTTGGGAGGCCGAGGCAGGTGGATCACGAGGTCAAGAGATGGAGACCATCCTGGCCAACATGGTGAAACCCCGTCTCTACTAAAAATATAAAACTTAGCTGGGCGTAGTGGTGCGCACCTGTGGTCCCAGCTACTCGGGAGGCTGAGGTAGGAGTCACTTGAACCCAGGAGTTGGAGGATGCAGTGAGCTGAGGTCGCGCCACTGCACTCCAGCCTGGTGACAGAGCGAGACTCTATCTCCAAAAATAAAATAAAATAAAATAACAGGTGCTCAAATATTTGTTAAGTGAATGGATGTCAACCCTTTTCATCCCTTTCAAGTTCATTCTATGATAATCACACCTCTTTTCCACGTATACTCAAGTATCATAGATTTTAAAATAACAAGGACGGTTATTTTCCCCCCTCCTCTAAAGCTGATACATCATATCTGTAAATGTATATATGCTCGGGTAACATCAAAGGGGTCATTTTTAGCATGTAAACCCCTTAGGTTAAAGCATTATCTGTTACATAAATCAATTAGCAGTACTTTGTATTTTTTGTTTTTAAATCCTTCTTACAAAAACAATTTAAGTGCTATTAGCTTTACTTTATTCTAATAAAATATGAAATGTGAAATTATGGAACCCCAGTTTTCTTAGAATGGCGAATTTGATACAGTCATCCACTGCAGAACAACCCTTCGGTCAATGATGCTAAGCCACACATATGACGGGGTCCCATAAGAGTATAACAGAGCTTCCCATGAACTGAGGAAGAAAAAAAAAAAAAAAGTACAACAGAGGTGAAAAATTCCTATCACCTGGTAACCCAGCAGTCATGATGTCACCACACAATGCATTACTCGCGCTTGTGGTGATGCTGGTGTAAACAAACCTACTGTGCTGCCAGCCATATTAAAGTCTAGCACCTAACAATTATCTACAGTATATAACACTTGATAATGATAATAAATGAATACATTATTGGTTTATGTATTTACTATACAGCAGGCCCTTAAATAACATCATTTTGTTATAACGCTGATTTAAAAAAAAAAAAAAAAAAAAAGGGGGCCAGGCACGGCAGCTCATGCCTGTAATCCCAGGACTTTGGGAGGCCAAGGCGGGTGGATCACCTGAGGTCGCTGGATCACCTGAGGTCAGGAGTTCGAGACCAGCCTGACCCAACATGGTGAAACCCCGTCTCTACTAAAAATACAAAAATTAGCTGGCCGTGGTGGTGGCCACCTGTAATCCCCACTACTCAAGAGGCTGAAGCAGGAGAATCACTTGAACCTGGGAGGTGGAGGTTGCAGTGAGGCGAGACTGCGCCATGGCACTCTAGCCTGGGTGATAAAGTTAGACTCCGTCTCAAAAAAAAAATCAATTCCTGGTCGGCACCACTGTCCATGTGGAGTCTGTTTGTTCTTCCCCTATCTGTGTGGGTTTTCTCAGGTTATTCTGCTTTCCTCCCACATCCCAAAGGCACATGTGTTGGGTTCACCGGCATACCCACATGGGGTGTGTGTGTGTGTGTGTGTGTGTGTGTGTGTGTGTGTGTGTACCCGCCCTGCAATGGGATGGCATCCTGTCTAGGGTGGCTCCCACCTTGCCCCTGAGCTGCTGATATAGGCTCTGGCCACCCTCAACCCTGAGTGGGGAATGAGTGGGTAAATGTTACCTTGTTTCTATTAAACTTTCTTAAATGTATATAAAGCTCATATACATTTCAACGTTTAGTATTAGAAGTGTTTTAGTCTTTATTTAGAAGCTGGGTAATGTTTTTGTGACCAGGAATATGCCACAGGAACTTAACTCTTGTTTATGTCAATTAGCCTATGGTAAAATTGGTTTTGTTACACCTTGTTTCCCTTAAAGTTGTAGTTTCCAAGAACCTATCACTGCTACTAAGTGAGGGCTTATGTACTGCACTTTTTTTGTTTTTGAGATGGAGTCTCGCTCTGTTGCCAAGGCTGGAGTGCAGTGGCGCGATCACAGCTCACTGTGGTCTTTGCCTTCCAGGTTCAAGCGATTCTCCTGCCTCAGCCTCCCAACTAGCTGGGATTACAGGCACATCCCAGCACGCCCAGCTAATTTTTGTATTTTTAGTAGAGAGGGGGTTTTGCCATGTTGGCCAGGTTGATCTTGAACTCCTGACTTCAAGTGATCCGCCTGCCATGGCCTCCCAAAGTGCTGGGATTACAGGCATGAGCCACGGCACCTGGCCTGCACTGTACTTTTTAATTATTTAAATTTTAGAGAGCAGGGGCGGTGGCTAACGGCTGTAATCCCAGCACTTTGGGAGGCTGAGGCAGGCGGATCACTTGAGGTCAGGAGTTTGAGGCCAGCCTGGCCACCATGGAGAAACTGCGTCTCTACTAAATATACAAAAAGCAGCAGGGAGCGGTGGTGTGCACCTGTAATCCCAGCTATTTGGGAGGCTGGGGCAGGAGAGACGCTTGAACCCAGGAGGCAGAGGTTGAAGTAAGCTGAGATAACACCACTGCACTCCAGCCTGGGCGACAGAGTGAGACTCCATCTCAAAAAAAAAAAAAAAAAAATTTAGAGTGTACCACTTCTACTTATTAAAAAAAAAAAATTAACTACAAAACAGCCTCAGGCGGGTCCTTCGGAGGGTATCCCAGGAAAAGGCATTGTTATCATGGGGGTGAAAGCTTCATGCATGTTATTGGCCCTGAAGAGCTTCCAGTGGGACAAGATGGAGATGGAAGAAAGTGATATTGATGGTCCTGACCCTGTGCAAGCCTAGGCTAATGAGTTGTGTGCCTTAGTTCTTAACAAAAAATGTTTAAAAATAAAAAAAAATTGTAATAGAAAAAAGCTTATAGAATAAGGATACAAGGAAAGAAAATATTTTCATACAACCGTACAATGTGATTTTTTTAAGCTAAGTGTTATTATGAGAGTCAAAAAGGTTAAAAAAAGGCAGTTTCTACAGCAAAAATGTTACAGTAAGTGAAGGTTAATTTATACTTGAAGAAAAAATTTTTAATAAATGTAGTGTAGCCTCTGTGTACAGTGTTTATAAAGTCTACAGTAGTGTACAACAGTATCCTAGACTCTGACTCACCCAGAACAACTTCCAGTTTTGCAAATTCTATTAATGGTACGGGTGTACCATTTTTATACTGTATATTTACTGCACCTTTTCTATGCTTAGATATGCTTAGATACACAATTAGTAACACAACTGCCTATAGCAGGGGTCCCCAACCCAGTACAGGTCCGTGCCTTGTTAGGAACTGGGCCACACAGCAGGAGGTGAGCAGTGGGTGAGTGAGCAAAGCTTCATCTGTGTTTACAGCTGCTCCCCATAGCTCGCATGACCGCCTGAGCTCCACGTCCTGTCAGATCAGCAGTGGCACAGATTCTCATAGGAGTGCAAACCCTACTGTGAACTGTGCACACCAGGGATCTAGGTTGTGTGCTCCTTATGAGAACCTAATGCCTGATGATCTGTCACTGTCTCCCATGACCACCAGATGGGACCGTTCAACTGCAGGAAAGCAAGCTCAGGGCTCCCACTGATTCTACATTATGGTAAGCTGTGTAATTAATTCAGTATATACTACAATGTAACACTAATAGAAATAAAGTACACAACAAATGTAATGCGCTTGAATCATCCTGAAACCATCTCCCCCTGTCCCCGGTCCATGGAAAAACTGTCTTCCACAAAACCGGTCGCTGGTGCCAAAAAGGCTGGAAACCACTGGCCTACAGTATTCAGTACAGTAACATGCTATACAGGTGTGTAGCCTAGGAGCAATGGGCTATACCATACAGCCTAGGTATGTAAGTAGGCTATACCATCTAAGCTTACATTAAGTACACTCTGTGATGTTTGCACAACAACAAAATCACCTAACGATACATTTCTCAAAATGTAGCCCCATTGTTAAGCAACATATGACTAATATGATTAGCATTTTTAAGGTACTTTTCTAGTTTAAATCATTTCATAAGGAACAAAAGTGTACTGTATAGTCTGACATATTCATATTCTGAATTTTAGAAGAACAGAATATGCTTACACAATGTAATTACCAATACTATTTTAAGAATGTAGTTCTGGCCGGGCGCAGTGGCTCGTGCCTATAATCCCAGCACTTTGGGAGGCTGAGGTGGGCAGATCACCTGAGGTCGGGAGTTCAAGACCAGCCTGACCAACGTGGAGAAACCCTGTCTCTACTAAAAAAAAAAATACAAAATTAGCCGGGGTGGTGGCGCATGCCTGTAATCCCAGCTACTCAAGAGGCTGAGGCAGGGGAATCACTTGAACCCAGGAGGCGGACGCTGTGGTGAGCTGAGATTGCGCCATTGCACTCCAGCCTGGGCAACAAGAGCGAAACTCTGTCTCGGAAAAAAAAAAAAAGAAGAAAGAATGTAGTTCTTATTTACAAAGACAGTAACTGATATTTTAAGTAATTCAGCACTATTTGGCTTAGGACATTTTGTTATAAGGCTAGTTGGAAAAGACACACTTTCCGTAGTACGGTAAAATAAAACTAAAAAACAGTGATGTTTTCAGAAACCGGTAAACTCCAGTATACCAAAGAAAAGCACTAACTAAAGAAAAGCTGAGGGAAAAATTAGGGGAAGTGGGGAAAGGGAGAAATAGGAATCTAAAAGTAATTACATATATTTTTCCCCAATGGAAACTATTTGGGCTTAGTTTCCAAGCTGCCACTTTTGGCCATTTTGCCTCCCCTGACGCTTCATTTCATCATCTTTACGTTTTTCCAAAAAACGACTTGCCAGCACTGAGGCAGGTGTTAGAACACACACTACCCTGGGGACACAGAGGCCTGGCTCCTTGCTGTGGCTCTGTGGCTCCACCTCTCTGAGCTTCGGTTTCGGCACCACTGGACTGGATGTTTTGAAGTGAGCTTGCTGCAGACACTCAGCAAATGTAGCTTTGGCCTCCCCAACCCTCAATTCCAAAGTAGCTCCACGCTGGTTTTTTTTTTTTTTAAATTACATATATTTAACAGTACAGTTTTACACAGAGTGCTAAGAGCACTTTTCTTCATATTTTACAGAAGGGCTAGAAACATACAGATTTTCTTTCTCTTTTCTTTTTTTAAGACAGTCTTGCTCTGGCGCCCAGGCTGGGGTGCAGTGGTGCCATCTTGGCTCACTGCAACTTCCGCCTCCTGGGTTCAAGGGATTCTTCTGCCTCAGCCTCCCAAGTAGGTGGGATTACAGGTGCGTGCCACCATGCCCAGCTAATTTTGTATTTTTAGTAGAGACCGGGTTTCACCATATTGGCCAGGCTGGTCTCAAACTCCTGACCTCATGATCCACCGGCCTCGGCCTCCCAAAGTGCTGGGATCACAGGTATGGACCACTACGCCCTGCCCAGATTTTCTATTAGTAATCATACAATAGCACATCACCAAATCTAGCTCCTAAATAGGATGCATTACAATTTGTTTAGAATTTAAAGGCTTAAGGGCAATAAGCAGGAGAGGAAAAAGTATGTACGTTTTTATTTTACAAAACTGACTGAAAAATACATTCAAGAAACAGTAAAGAGATTTAATACCATCTTGTTGGGTGTGGTGGCTCATGCCTGTAATCCCAGCACTTTGGCGGGCTGAAGTGGGAAGATTGCTTGAGCCCAGGAGTTAAAGACCAGCCTGGGCAACATAGTGAGACCCTATCTCAAAAAGAATTTAATATGATCTCATGTGCCCTGAAGGAGGTGGCACCTGATTAAGAGGGTTAATCGCTATGTCCAAATAATCTCCTACACGGAGCTTCTGCAACTGCAGAGTCACAGAATCATCAGTCCCCTTTCTGCCAGCACACTTGCATTTTTAAATACATTAAGATTCCTTGTAATATTGCATTTGATAAAATAAGCGTGCTGCTGTTTTTGTTTTTGAGACGGAGTCTCGCTCTGTCGCCCAGGCTGGAGTACATACAGTGGCGCGATCTTGGCTCACCACAACCTCTGCCTCCTGGGTTCAAGCAATTCTCCTTCCTCGGCTTCCTGAGCAGCTGGGATTACAGGTAGGTGCCTGCCACCATGCCTGGCTAACTTTTTTTGTATTTTTAGTAGAGACGGGGTTTCACCATGTTGGTCAGGCTGGTCTTGAACTCCTGACCTCAGGCAATCCACCCACCTCCGCCTCCCAAAGTGCTGGGATTACAGGCGTGAGCCACCGTGCCCAGCCGGTGCTGCTGTTTGTTTTTTTTGTTTTTTTTTTCAAGGTTAAAGGCCGGGCACGGTGGCTCATGCCTGTAATCCCAGCACTTTGGGAGGCTGAGGCGGATGGATCACGAGGTCAGGAGATCGAGACCATCCTGGCTAACACGGTGAAACCCCGTCTCTACTAAAAATACAAAAAAGTTAGCCAGGCTTGGTGGCAGGCACATGTAGTCCCAGCTACTCGGGAGGCTGAGGCAGGAGAATGGCGTGAACCCAGGAGGCGGAGCTTGCAGTGAGTGGAGATCGCGCCACTGCACTCCAGTCTGGGCAACAGAGTGAGACTCTGTCTCAAAAAAACAAAAAACAAACAAAAAGTTTAAAAATCTAGGGACTAAACAGATCACTGTTCTAAGTTATTTTTCACTCTAGCATGCTATAAATGTATAGCGCTCTACCCTTTGGTTTTAACTTCTTGATTTTGTGCATTTTACAGCAGAAACCAATTTCTCTTGTTGAGGTACAGAAAACACAGGAAACAAAAGGCAGCAAAAATTTAAGAATCAAAATGTCATTCAAAGTTCTCGCCAATTAAGGGAATTTGCAGAGTGTCGCTGAACCTGTGCCCAGCTCTAAAACCGCATCTCTTACTTCATCAGCAAGGCAATGACTGAGCCATGTTCAACTTTCAACTTATAATCCAAGAGATCCATGCACTACAAATACAGAGAATTTAATGAGAAACTGGAAGAAACTCATCCACCAAAATGTCTTTTACTCTCTTATAAGTTAACATATATTTAGATTTTTCAAAATGCTTACTTTTATCTTTAAAAAATTAGAATAGAGTATCATACAAAAGCATACTAACTCCGATACAAATTACTTCTGCAAATAATTTTAAGTGAAATTTTTCCTACGGCAGAATTTTTAATATGTTATTTGAGGGAGTTAAAGCAGTCGTAATACTAAATTTTTAAAATAAAAATTTTTAATAAAATTTGTTTTTATAATATAAATAAAACAATCAGTTTACTTTTTGTTTGCTTATGGTAGGAGGAGGAGAGGAATGAAGTGACAGAACAAAATTCAAAATACAACAAAACAAACACCTTTTATTTTCTTTTGAAATCTGCCTTCTTTTTTACCAGAATAAATGTCTTGATTCCAGATGGGACTGGGAAGTCATCCCCATGAATGGAAACGCAATTAACAGACCTTACTAGCAGGGTTATAGCATTTTCATATTTTATAATGTCACAACACTGAAGTGTACTACTTTTTAGTTTAATACTGAATTTTTAAAGCACTCATCAATGTCCGTTATGTGCTTGATGTAAGTCTCCTTTTAGTTCAAAGCAGTTAATGACATTTTGTCAATTCGCCATTTTCTATAGCCTGAAATGCATGAGTATGATTTTATATCACTTAGAAAGCCAATTCTTTCAAAAGAAAGGTGGAGGTACTTAAGAATTGTCTCCTCAGTGCTGCTTCCTGATTGGAAAACAAAACAAAACAAAAAAAAGAACTCCCCCCAGCTGCCCAAGCAAGAATGAAGGTCACAACAACTCACACACCCTCTCCCCAAGGTGTCTGCCAAATAGGAAATGCCCCCTCCTCAGATGAGCTCAGGCACCATGATCCCTCCTCTGATGAGGAAACAGAGTAGAAAGGCACCAATGCCAGCCTGGAACTTGAATGGAAAGAACTTAGACAAATAGGACCATCCCCTTCACGTGCTCTCTGATTCTGTCTGGTAGAGACATATGTGAGAAAACACCCAATCCATACCCACCAGGCCTCAGAGTGCTTGCCAACTGTTTGAAGGAGGGACAAGGCCCGGCTTCCACTCCTCAGTGTTTCAAAAGGCTAGATGGGCAGAACGCCCACCTGCAGTTGCTGTGGTATCCAACACTAGAGCTCTCTGCAAGGTCAGCCAGAAACCTGGATACTGAGACTAGGCAAAATACATATACGTCTCAGCACAGGAGACGTATATGTATAAAAATATGTATATGTATAGATGTATACGTATATTTTATACATATACAGATGTATACGTATATTTTATACATATACAGATGTATACGTATATTTTATACATATACAGATGTATACGTATATTTTATACATATACAGATGTATACGTATATTTTATACATATACAGATGTATACGTATATTTTATACATATACAGATGTATACGTATATTTTATACATATACATCTGTATATGTATAAAAATGCCCTACAGGGCATTTTTAAAGAGAAGCATGTACTGGTCCAACACCCTTAGGCATTCTTAGGGTCTCAATACAGTAGTGGCATTGCTCACTTATAACTGGTCAGAACAACATGTGCTTTCCTTCTCTGAAGTGCTCCTGGCACTCACTACGGTGTGCCACTCATCCCTACATATCAAGTGACTGGAATGTTCTTATAATAATGTAACTGCTCCTCAGGAGCATCTGGACTGCAGCTGCCTGTCACCTAAGAAACACACGCAGGGTGCCACAGGTCATCCCTTCTCCCTCTGCTAAGCCCTGTTGCTCTTAATGTAGCAGGAACCTTCCCTTCTCCAGTGCTGAGCACCACTGCCCATCTGTCTGGAACAGGAAGAACTTCTGGGTCCCTGATGAACAAGAGGTATAGAGCAAGAGTTGCCTTGGACCAGGCTAGAAGCCAACTAAAGGGCTACTTCAAAGACCACTGTTTTTCCCCTTCCAAATTATTATTTATAAAACAAACAAACAAACAAACAAAACACCAAAAAAAACCAAGACTGCCTTTATAGAAAGGAGGTGTTTGCTTTGTCAAAAAAGCCTGTCCCCTCCTTTCAAGGGCAGGACTTGTCTGATTCAATACTTGTACCAACAACAAGGAAACAAAACTAAGCCCAGTGGGGAACCTAATAGCAAATTAAGTCTGCATAGCCTCTAAAGCAAATGAGCCATGAACTCCAACGTTCAGAAGCTTGGGGAGATATAGGCAAAACCTGACATCAGTGGAACAAAGCAATTCACAGCTGTGCATATTGTAACAATTCATTTTAAAGAAGCCCCCCCTCTCTACCCCACATCCCAAGTACAGATGAAGGCTGCCACTAGTACTATTCTATAGAGAAGCAAGCACAGAAGTGGGACCCTGAAGACCAAGAACTTTGAGATGGGCAAACTGTGACCGGGAGGAGAACATAGCACAGAGAGGCTGAACAAGTCAAACAGGTGCCACCAAGACACACCAGGTGCCCCCAGTCTCTTCTAGAAGGAAATGACTGAAGTAGCAGAAACAGCCCACCAGCAGCTCCCTAGGGTCTAGTTTCTATAGACAAGCAACAATTTTTTTTTTTTTTGAGATGCAGTCTCGCACTCGCACCATCACCCAGGCTGGAGTGCAGTGACGTGATCTCGGCTCACTGCAAGCTCTGCCTCCCGAGTTCACGCCATTCTCCTACCTCAGCCTCCCGAGTAGCTGGGACTACAGATGCCTGCCACCACGCCCAACTAATTTTTTGTATTTTTAGTAGAGACGGGGTTTCACCGTGTTAGCCAGGATGGTCTCGATCTCCTGACTTCGTGATCTGCCTGCCTCAGCCTCCCAAAGTGCTGGGATTACAGGTGTGAGCCACCGTGCCCGGCCAGCAAAAATGATTTCTAAGGCTTTATTTACTATAGCTATTTCTAGCCACAAAGGAAGGGAAGGTTAAGAGTACCTAGGGCTTTGGATTCAGGAAAGTCTGGATTTAAATACCAGCTCAGCCACTTCCTGTTACTCCAATTCTGTAAGCATCAGTTTCCTCGTCGTAACACTGAGAATGTATTTATTCTCTCAGGGCAGTTATGAAGATTACATAAAACAAAACCAACAACAATGCACGTAAAGCTTGTAGCATAATGCTCAAACTACAGGTATTATTTAATTTTAAAAAGTCAGACACTCAAGTATCACTTACTTGTGGTAATTCTCCTTTTTCTCATCTCTCCAGTTTTTATTTAACTGGTGAATTTTCACAGCTACGTATCTTTGCTCTGTTAGATCAAATGCCTATAAAGAGAATAAATTATATACTGGGTAAATGTTAAGAAAAATTACAGGTAACTGATGTGAAGCTTTAATTTAACATATAACATAATCAAAGTCCAAAATACATTATTAAATACATCACATACTTATATCAGTGTTGCAAGCACCTTCTTGAAACTTGTGATTAGATAATTTAGAAGTCTCCAGACACACTGGCACCAAGGGATTTAGAACATAAAACCAGGCCAACACCACAAACAGAAAGATAGCCCCTGCCTTCAGAATCATTTCCCAACCATTCTCTTTCTGGACACCATCTATTCCTGTCTGGGACCCGTCTGCCTTAGGTTGTCTCTTATCCTTCAGTTGACACTGGGACTTTACAAGCTTCAAACATCCTGTCACTTTTGAAATTCCAGGGACACACACTGCCTGCCTCCTGGAGAAAATAACCCCTCACAATATACTTCTTTGGTATGATTGTTTACAAAACCACCCTGTAATTTGGCATATTGTTTATTAAAATAAAAAGAGAAACAAGAACAAAAAACAGCCCTGCCTTTAGTCCCATCTCTATATGCTGGGTAAATGAAAAGTGGTTTTGTTGTTGTTGTTTTTGAGACGGAGTCTCGCTCTGTCGCCCAGGCTGGAGTGCAACGGTGCAATCTTGGCTCACTGCAACCTCTGTCTCTCGGGTTCAAGTGATTCTCCTGCCTCAGCTTCCTGAGTAGCTGGGATTACAGGCACGCACCATCACGCCCGGCTAATTTTTGTATTTTTAGTAGAGATGGGGTTTCACCATGTTGGTCAGGCTGGTCTCCTGACCTCAGGCGATCCGCCCCGCTTCGGCCTCCCAAAGTGCTGGGATTACAGGCGTGAGCCACTGCGCCTGGCCGAAAAGCAGTTTCTAATCCCAAAAATGGCTGAAGTTAGTCACCCCAAGTCACTTCTCCAGCACTGTCCAGAGGCAGGAACCAGCTTTCCCCAATGGCCACCACTGCCAGCAAGTCCTGCATCAGCTATGTAGTGCTTGCTATAGCACAGTGAAAAAGGTAACATGGATTTTTGAGGAAGCTGGGTGTAAATCATAATTTGATAAAGTAATCTTTCAATTCAATTGAAGATTTCCCTCCAAACAAAAGAATTTATTGCATAGCTTCTTTAGAATAGTTTTTCTTAGTTTGTAAAGTTTAGATTAAAAGCTTACTACTTCAGTTTCAACACTGTTATCACCCATCTGCTAATTTCCACAAATATACAAATAAATGAAGGCAACAAGTGCAGAAAACAGTACCTAAATAGGGTGATCACTACTTTACAGATCTATCTAAACCTAAGTTTCTCTGGATAAGCACTGCATGTAGAGAGAGCTGCTTATAAAATAGAGAAACTTCCATCATTTATACCAAATTAAAACCAGTATGTTTAAAGTATAAAAACCACTCACTTCAGACATAATATCTTATTTCACAAAAATTGCAACATTTTTTATTTTTATTTTTTTATCTAGACAGGGCTTCAATGTGTTTGCCAGGCTGTTTTTGAACTCCTGGCCTCAAGTAATCTTCCCACCTTGGCCTCTCAAAATATTGGGTTAGAGGCAGTAGAGGCCATGCCCGGCCAAAAATGGAAACTTTTGAACTTCTTTTCTTAAAGAATCTTCAGTCCATTCACAATCATGAATACCATTATGGCTTCACAGTAGAAAACCATTTCAAATAATTTTTAAAAACATTAAATAAGCCGGGCGCGATGGCTCACACCTGTAATCTCAGCACTTTGGGAGGCCGAGGGAGGTGGATCATGAGGTCGGGAGATCGAGACCATCCTAACATGGTGAAACCCTGTCTCTACTAAAAAATATACAAAAAATTAGCCGGGTGTGGTGGCGGACACCTGTAGTCCCAGCTACTTGGGAAGCTGAGGCAGGAGAATGGCGTGAACCCGGGAGGCAGAGGTTGCAGTGAGCCGAGATAGCACCACTGCACTCTCCAGCCTGGGCGACAGAGCGAGATTCCGTATCAAAAAAAAAAAAAAAAAAAAAAAAACCACAAAAGAAAAAAACATTAAATACCACCCAATTTATAAGAGCACCAATGCTATTTCAAGCATAATTTTCTCTAACTACTACACTGTACTTCTATTCTAAATCCAAGACACTGTGACCTACCACTGACTTAAGAAAGGATTGTGGAGAGTGGAGAACAGCAAAAGAAAAACTACATTAAATGCACACATCACTGTAAGAAGTATTTAGATTTCAGAAATAAAATGTGTGGGGCTCAGCGTGGTGGCTCACACCTGTAATCCCAGCACTTTGGGAGGCCGAGGCAGGCAGATCACGAGGTCAGGAATTTGAAACCAGCCTAGCCAACATAGTAAAACCCCGTCTCTACCAAAAAATACAAAAATTATCCGGGTGTGGGGTCGGGCGCCTGTAATCCCAGCTACTCGGGAGGCTGAGCCAGGAGAATCACTTGAACCCGGGAGGCAGAGGTTGCAGCAGTGAGCCAAGATCACACCATTACACTACAGCCTGGACGACAGAGTGAGACTCTGTCTCAAGAGAAAAAGAAATAAAATGTTTGAAGAAATACATTAGGAAAAAATAGGATGATCAAATTACTAAAAGTAACTGGGAGGCACCAAGAACCAATTTTGATGATTTAAAATTACATACACTTCTAGGTATACATCCAAAAGAATTGAAAGCAGAGTCTCACAGAGATAACTGGACACCCAAATTCAAAACAGCACTATAGGCTGGGTGCGGTGGCTTGTGCCTATAATCCCAGCACTTTGGGAGGCAGAGATGGGCGGATCATTTGAGGTCAGGAGTTCGAGACTAGCCTGGCCAACACAGTGAAATCCCGTCTCTACTAAAAATACAAAAAAAATAGCTGGGCTTGGTGGTGCACACCTGTAATCCTAGCTACTGGAAGAGGCTGAGGCAGCAGAATCACTTGAACTGGGGAGATGGAGGTTGCAGTGAGCCGAGATTGCACCACTGCACTCCAGCCTGGGCGACAGAGCAAGACTCTGTCTCAAAACAAACAAACAAACAAAACAAAAACAAAAACAACAGCACTATACACGGTAGGCGAGAGATGGAAGCAACCCAAGTGTCCATCGACAGAGGAGGATAAACAAAATGTGGTACATACAATAAAATATTAAGTGATCTTAAAAAGGAAGGCAATCTTGTCACATGCTATAGCACAGATGAACCTTGAGGACATTATGCTAAGTAAAATAAGCTGATTATAAAAAGACGTAGTATGAGTCCACTTCTGTAAGAAATCTAAACATAGTCAAATTCAGAGTAACAGAATGTAAAATGGTTCCAAGGACAAGGAGGAGGGGGAAAGGAAAGTTGGTTAATGGCTACAGAGTTTCAGTTTTGGAAGATGAAAGAAAGTTTGAGATCTATTTCACAAAAAGTGTGAATGTACTTTACTGAACTACACACTTAAAAATGGTTAAGATGGTAAATTTTATATCTATCTTTTTACAATAAAAAATTACAAAGAAAATAAACTAAGCATTGACTTAAGAATGAACATAAATAAAAATGAAGAAAGCAGAAAGAAGGAATGAAAGCAGACATTAATGAAATAGAAAACTAACCAAATAGTTTTGATCAACAAAAAAGTTGATTCTTAGGAAAAAAATTAATAACAACACTGACTAATCTCTAGCCTATCAATCAAGAAACACAAAAATAAAAATTTTACAAGAACAGAGAAGTAACTAAGATGTGGAAAATATTTTTAAAAAATCTAGGCCAAGCATGGTGGCTGTAATCCTAGCACTTTGGAAGACTGAGGGGTGAAGATCACTTCAGGCTAGGAGTTTGAGACCAGCTTAGGCAGCACAGTGAAACCCTGTCTCTATTAAAAAAGAAAAAAAAATCTAAATGAAATAGATTTCCTAGAAAAATTAAATTACCAAAACTGACTTAAGAAGGGAGAGAAAATCTGAATATATCAATAGTTGTAGAAGAAATTGAAAACACAGCCAAATGTTTTCCACTAACTCAACATCTCCCAGGAGATTTTTCTTTTCTTTCTTTGTAGAGGCATGGTCTTGCTATGTTGCCCAGGCTGGTTTCAAACTCCTGTGCTCAAGTGATCCTCCTGCCTCGGCTCCCAGAGTGCTGGGATTATAGACATGAGCCACAGAGACTGTCCTGCCCAAGAATTTTTATGAGTCAACTCTAACAAACTTTCAAGGAGCCAACAATTCCCAAGTGATGAAAAGGGTTCCAGAGCATGGAAAAAAAGAGACTTCACAACTCTATCTAAGTAGCTAGAATAATTATGACATCAAATTTTGACAAAGCTGCTTGCATACAAAAGGTGACTATGGGCCAATCCTACTTATAAACACAGATTAAAAAATACAAATAAGATACTAGAAGCCAGGTGCAGTGGCTCATGCCTGTAACCCCAACACTTTGGGAAGCCAAGGTGTGATCACTTGAGCCCAAGAGTTCAAGACCAGCCTGGGCAACATGATGAAACCCTGTCACTATAAAAAAAAATACAAAAATTAGCCAGGTATGGTGGTACACACCTGTAATCCCAGCACTTTGGGAGGCTGAGATGGGAGTACACTTCAGCTCTGGAGTGGGAGGTTGCAGTGAGCCGAGACTGCACTGCTGCACTCTAGCCTGGGTGTCAGAGTGAGACAATGTCTCCAAAAAAAAAAAAAAAAAGATACTAGAATATCAAAACCAGTAGAGTAGTGCACTAATCATAATATAGTTCTGGAGATGAACAGTGATGTAGTGATGTCAGTCGCACAACACTGTAGTACTTAATGCCACTGAAACATATACTTAATAAAATCACAGCTGGGTGCAGTGTCTCACACCTGTAATCTCAGCACCCTGGGAGGCCAAGGCAGGAGGATTGCTTGAGCCCATAAGTTTGAGACCTGCCTGGGCAATGTAGCAAGACCCCGTCTCTAGAAAAAATTTAAAAATTAGTGCACTGGGCCTGTAGTCCCAGCTACTCAAGAGGTTGAGGCAGGAGGCTTGCTTGTGCCCAGCAGTTTGAGGCTGCAATGAACTATGATTGTGCTACCTTACTCCAGCCTGGGCAATAGAGCAAGACCCCATCTCTAAAATAAATAAATAAATAAAACCACAATTTAAAAAAAATTAAAATAAGAAAACAGTAGAAATAGTTTTACCGTTTTTATTTGCAATGAAAACTATTTTACTGAAAAGATTTATCACATATAAATTCATATGAGCATAACATAAATCCTAACAGTGAAAGCTGTATTTCTGAAAGGGACAGCTATGCAACAAAGACTACTTAATAAACAATTCTGTACTTTACAGACAGGTGCCAGAAACACGTAGAAAAATCAAACCCACATGTTATGGATCTGTAGCTATATTTAAAACATATTGAATCCCTCATTTGGTAAAAATCAACCTGGAAGCTCAGCAGCCTGTACTTCGCTAGCCCAACTGAAGCACTCTAAGCCAGGACACTCTTTCAGACTGCCAGTGCTAGTAAATGATATTAGAACACTTCTAAAACAAAAAGCAGGTTTTCCAATGGAAAAAAACCTATTCTTATTGGAAACAGGTTTGACACATCTATTCTGTAAAAGAAAGAAAGATAGCACATACTTTTTTCTAACAAATATGTATGAGGCAGGAAGTACAGAACCAGAATAAAAATCATAATTCCACGACCCAGTATATTTCCTTCTTGTTTTTTAAATCTATAATTATTTATTTTTCAAACTTGAAAATGGCAATACTGTATTCTGCTTGGTCACTTAGGTTTATTGAAAGCTGTTTTCCCAAAGATACAGGTTTTTAAAGTTTTTGAATTTCAACCAATGGATATCAACCTACAATTATCAGTATTCTTAATGTTCTCCAAGTTGGTAGGAGCCGATAATTTAACCCCCAGTCTTTGTATCCAGTTCCTTATACTTACCTTGTAAACTTCACTGAAACCTCCTCTACCCAAAAGATGTAACAACAAATATCTGTCATTTAGCGTTGGATGATCTTTAAATCTGTGGAAACAGGGAACATGTAACACCCTGAGATCATGGACTACAGTCTTCCACGCTTGCAAAATTCCCAGAATATCTAACACATTATACATATAATTATAGCTGCTGTTGGTAGTTTGACAATCAACATCAACATGGCAAATACTGAGTATAAAGTTACACAGTTCAAAGAGGCAGTGTAATTACAATGAACAGCACCAGCTATAGAGCCACAGGACTTGGGTGCTGGTCTCAGTGTAGCTACACTAGACCTTTCTTGCTCCTCCTCCTTTTTTCTGCCCTGCTATACAATGAGGGAGGGTAGATTAGAGATTTTTAGATTGTGCTATTTGGCTCCTCCAAACTATTCAAGGGCCACATGTTCCCACCATTTCAAAACTACATACAGTAAAATTCCAAGACACTTGCTATTTCCTTAAAAACAGATTTGATTTTAAAGTGAGTCACATGTTCTATGTGCATTCATTATTCTCTCTTTAAGACAGATATAACTGTGTTCCCCATATTAGACTCTACCTTGGGTATTTTCTTAATAATATGATAAAGAAATGACAAGTTCTGGCAAAAACAAATTTAAAAATATTTTTACCTAGTTCCTGATCTTAAACAATCTCACTATTAATTCTGAAATTACTTTACATGGATTTTAAGAAAGTAGGATGCCTATCTGGAGAGACATTACTGCATGGTGGTTTAGATGAAAAAGATCCAAGTTGAACTCTTTGGTCACATTATTTATGGGTCCCTGGGCAAGTTAATTTAATTTCTCTAAGCTTGTTTTCTGATTAATGTATTAAAGATGACTGGGTTATCCTGCGGATTAAATGAGAGCACTAAGGGCACTTAGGACCAAGCCTGATACACAGAGAGCTCTCAGGAAGTGGTACCTGCTGTTGTCTGCCACTTTAACAGAAAGACAGGTCCAAAGCTCATATAAGCCAAACAAAAATATACAAGCTATGGCTTTATGAAAAAATGTTTCAGGGTCCAAAAAATATGGGGAAAAAACAGATTACTTATAAAAACCCCTTTCTACTTTCAACCTACTTTTCCCAGTTTCAATTCATCTACAATTAATGTACTGAACTTAAGAGTCTTACTTAAAATCTCAACACCTGAATAGCCCTTAAAGGTCATTCAGAAACCGAGTGTCATCTCAACCCAATACTCTTTCCACAACACCACACTGTGACCCATCTTCCCTTTCTTAAGGCTCTGTAGGAAAATCTGAATATGCAACATATCTCAACCATTTACAATTACAAAGCCATATTGTTTTAGTAATCTTTATTCATGTAAAAATGCTATATGTATACACATATATACTTAATATATAAATTTAATACAATTGTATATTTAAACCAAGGCAAATCATAATTTTGTTCACAAAATTGTATTAGATGCTACAAAAGAGCTAAATACACCATGGAATCATTTATGTAACTTACATTAAGCAAACACATTATTCTAGACCATTCAATTCATATCATAAAATGCTTAGCAATCTCCAACCCAATATGCCCTGAAGTAGCTTACTGTGAATTATCTTCATTATGTATCCTTTTTAGTTCCCTGATATGTAGATTTCTAACCCTTTCTAGTCTCTCCAGCTCTGCCTGGATCTCTGCTTCCTCCTAAAGCGAAAAGGAAAGAAATAGCACAAAATAGGGGGAACTTTACCTTTTCGGGATCTTATTTCAAAAACAATAGCAGACATTTATCTTATGAAAGGCTAAAGGAAGGTGCTTTGCATTGAAAGATTTCTTTAAGAATTTTAATCATAAAAATGAGCCCATAGAAAATAATAAAATTCAAACCATACAGAGGAGTTCAGTAAGAAAAGTAAAAGTTCCCTACCCTCCTCCTCCCTCCTCTCCATGCCCACTCCTGAGATGTAATAACCACTATTAAGTTTCTTACATAAGTTTTCAGGAATGTTTTGTGCATATACATTTAGACATGGAAACATTTTTTACAAAAATCAGGTTATCTATCTGGTTCGGTTCTCATCTTTAAGTATGGATTACACTTGGTGACTTAAGTTCTACTTATTTTTATTTTTTAAGATGGAGTTTCGCTGTTGTCACCCAGGCTGGAGTGCAATGGCACGATCTCGGTTCACTGCAACCTCCGCCTCCCAGGTCCAAGTGATTCTCCTGCCTCAGCCTCCCGAGTAGCTGGGATTACAGGTACATGCCACCACGCCCAGCTAATTTTTTGTATTTTTAGTAGAGTCGGGGTTTCACCATGCTGGGCAGGCTGGTCTTGAACTCCTGACCTCAGGTGATCCACCCACCACAGCCTCCCAAAGTGCTGGCATTACAGGTGTGAGCCACCATCCCCAGCAAGTTCTACTTATTTAACAAGCTCTGAGAACCCAGTGGGAAAACAGCATGAAAACTAATATGTGAAATAAAAAACAAAAGCACACATACCAAAAGCAGTTTAGTAAATCTTTACTGACCATTATCACCTATAAAGAGCATCGACCAATGTATGGGCTTCTGAATTTTAAGAGCTGAGTAATCCACATCTAAGATATCTCAGTGAACATCATCAATAACAAATTCTATGTTATGTGCCTTTGTATTTGAATAAGGTTCACATAACACTTTCTCTTTTTAGCTAGTTTAGGCAAGGAATAAGAGCTGCTATGTGATTTGAAATATGACAGGAGTCTTCACATCAATTTCAAAACCATCTGCTCTTGTTATATATTTAAATTTTACTCCAAGGATAACCACTTGGGAAGCCTTATGATGTGTACAGAATTATCTGCTGATAGATCACTAGGGGGAAAAACACTGTCATTGGGTTGCTGGAATTGACTTGAAAATGCAAAGATAGGCCAGGCATGGTGGCTCACACCTGTAACCCGTAATCCCAGCACTTTGGGAGGCCGAGGCAGGAGGATTACTTGAGGTCAGGAGTTCGAGACCAGCCTAATGGTGAGACCCCCGTCTCTACTAAAAATACAAAAATTAGCTGGGTATGGTGGCACGTGCCTGTAATCCCAGCTAGTCAGGAGGCTGAGACACGAGAATCGCTTGAGCCCGGGAGGTGGAGGTTGCAGTGAGCCAAGATCGTGCCACTGCACTCCAGCCTGGGAGACACAGTGAGACTCCAACTCAAAAAAAAAAAAAAGAAGAAGAAAGAAAATGGAAAAATATGAGTTCTACCATTAGGCTACAAGACATGACAGTGAAAGCAGTCACTGAAGCTTTCTGCTGCTATGTGCAGCTACTATTACATTCACCCAAATGACCAAATAGCTTCAACCCCAAATTTAAACTAGGTATCACATTTCTCCAGGGAGATTTTCTCATTATACTTACCTTTTTAAGATGACCTAATCTGAGTTTGAAGATTTCTTCTTGTTCATGGTATTCTGCTAACGTTAACCTGAAAAACAGTGGTAAAAGTTTCAGTAAACTACTAGAAATCATAGTTTGCCTGTTTAAAGAGAAATGCTCAAATATACTATAAGACATATTCAGTTTCAGTCTCAGTTAAAATGACTGAAAGATGGGTTATCTTGTAGTCCTCTGACAAGAGAAAACTTCTGTGATTTACCAGATGTGATGTGAGGGAAGAACTTCAAAGCCAGAAGTCTAATTTGCAAAACATAAAAAAGAAAAAAAAGTGAGCCATATTTTTATATTATTTTTGAAATGAGTTTTGTGCCATATATTACTAAGATAAAAACTCATTCAGAGACAGCCAAAAATTCTCTAAAAATTTTTTAGAGGGCAAAACAATAAGCCAATGGATTTGATTATTCTTGTTAATACTTAAACCTTGATACTGTAATAACAAAGAGAAAGATATAGCAGCAAATTAGAGTCTAGGATTTGGAGTCTGAGGACTAGGGTTCAAAGCACTACTAAGCTACTGGCCATGTGACCTTGCGCAAGCAAATTTAACCTCTTTAACTCAGTTTCCTGAAATGCAGCAAGTGATAATACCTATCTAAGAAAGAGTGACTATTAAATGACAACATATAAAGAATATTGAAAATGCTATTTAAATCAACTCTCAAAGGGCTGACTTGATGGGTAGTCATGTGTTTCATGTTCCAACTACTCCAACAGCATCCTTACATCTCAAGAATGAACAAGTGGCCAGGCTTGGTGGCTCACTGTAATCCCAGTACTCTGGGAAGCTGAGCGGGAAGGACTTGGAGCCAGGAGTTTGAGACCAGCCTGGGCAACAAAGCAACACTCTGTCTCTGTGAAAAAAAGAAGAAAGAAGCTGGGCATGGTGGCACATGCCTGTAGTCCCAGCTACTCAGGAGGCTGAGATGGAAGGATTGCTTGAGCCCAGAAGGTTGAGGCTATAGTGAGCTATAATCATGTCACTGCACTCCAGCCCAAGCAACAGAGCAAGGCTCTGTCTCAAGAAAGAAAAGAAAAGAAAAGAAAGAGAGAGAGAGAGAAAGACAGAAAGAAAGAAAATAAAAGAAAAAAAGATGAACAAGTGAGAATTATTTTTTCTTCCATCTCTACCTTCTTCGCATTCTAGAAGCATATAGATATTTAATATTTTTAGATATCACTGTTTAGATATATTCTAAATAGCAGAAGAAAGGGGAAATATCTATCCTATCAACCAGAACAGAGCCTTTGAGGTCTAACTCAAGAAAAAATAGAAAGAAGAAGAAACTCACCCACTAGGGCTATCTCTTTACAGATGCAGAAATACCTGTATCTATTACTCCATTCCACACCAGCGAAAAACAGAAAAATTAAAAATGATGGCTAAGAATTCTCTGTCTGAAACAGGTTCGGGGCCAAGAAAGGATAATATGGCTCACTCCAAGACCCCAGAGGCCTACTTCTGGCTTCTGGTCAAAGTAAGAGCCAAGTCACAGATACTCTAATTAAAAACTGGACTGAAAGTCTTCCAGATTGGATTTTACACAGGACACCAGATAGCAATTGCTTACACATTACTAGCCTAGATTGCATTCTAATTATTCTTCTGTGGCAAAGAAACAACCTATGCTTTCTTTATCACTCCTAAGCCAATGGTTTTGTGCATTAGCATTAAATAATTTTCAAATAATACTAGAGGGAAAGTCCCTTCACAAAATACACACAGGAGTCATGAAAGAAAACATTGGTCAGATTAATTAGCCTGGACAATCTTTCAAATTTGAGCCCCTACTTGGACTTGCTGAAAGGAAAATACTTTATATTTAAGACTCAATACTCTTCCCCTCTTCTCATTCTCATTATTGCACTTGACTAGTCTTTAAAATCAAGGGAAAACAAGACTCTAGTTTTGTAACATTTGGGCTGGGTGCAGTAGCTCGCACCTGTAATCCCAGCACTTTGGGAGGCCGAGGAGGGTGGATCATTTGAGGTCAGGAGTTCAAGACCAGCCTGGCCAACATGGAGAAACTCCATCTCTACTAAAAATACAAAAACTAGCTGGGCATGGTGGTGCACGCCTGTAGTCCCAGCTACTCAGGAGGCTGAGGCAGGAGAAACGCTTGAACCCAGAAGACAGGTTTCAGTGAGCCGAGATAGCACCACTGCACTCTGGCCTGGGCGACGGAGTGAGACTTCGTCTCAAAAAAAAAAAACAACAACAACAAAATTTGGAGTTATATGAATGAAGATGTTTTCCAAGTTCATTATGCACATTTTTATCGCTATACTTAATGTAATTATTAGTTTATTCGTCTGTTCATCTCACCTAAGTAAACTGTGGGCTCCTAAGGCTGGGGCTGTATCCTTTAGCTCTGTATTCCCAGAAGAGGGCCTAGCATAAAATAAGCATTTAACATAAACTTACTAAACGAACATCAAGGAAGAGACTTCCCAAAACATCAGATATGTATGGGGTGAGGATTGGTGTTAAGCCATCTTTCTCACTAGAATGAAAGAAGATGCACTTCTAGGATGCCACAGACTTTTAACAATAATATAATACAAGTATTATTATACCTGAAGTGGATTATGTGTTGTTTTTGTGAACTAATATGAAAACATAAAGCAAATGACATATTAGTTGATAAGTTATATATCTTTTATCTGCAGCTATCTTTGGACTTGAAACTTACTTTCAGTTAAACAGAAAGGAAGAGAAGAATGGAGAAGGCAGGCATTTGTGCTTAGAATTTTCTACTCCTCCTATATATGGTAGCTATGTAAATATTGTTGAGTGACAGAGAAAAAGATGACTGTACTGCAGTTTAAGATACTGGTGTTTTCCTTAGATTCCCAGAACAGGAAACAATTCTGATGAGATCAAGTTGTGGCTTATTGGGACAATGTCCTTTTCTAACATAACAGCTTTCTGGGGGGCTTATCCTAAGTTTGTGACTATTAACTAAGTGCTCTTTTGACCAGTAAAGAGCATTCTTCAGTCTGAAATAACAGCCAGGTAACTCCCATAAGATGATACTAGTGTACCACACCCTGCAGCCACATGTAAGCAATAATATCATTTCAGTACAATGACATCTTATTTGTTAACCAGGAGTGGCCAAAAGTCATGATGTCAAGTGACATTACTTTTCCCTCTCATTCAAAATGCCCTAAAGAAAGAGCAGGTTTAAGAAAATCAATTAATTTTATATGGCATTTATATGAGTTGAGCAAATCCATTAATGTAACTGAAAAGAAGGTTTAAACCTGAGTGACCTCAAGAATTTAAAACTATTGCCGGTGACAATCAACATTTGTATTTGGGGGCAGGGTGTGGTGTCTCAGCGTTCACGTCAATAAAGAACATACGTTTCATTTTCAGCTCCATTGGTCTTGCTTTTCCGCTGTTTCTGCTCATTGGTTGCAGGAGGGGCCTGACCCATGGCAGGAGGTTTCCGCTTTGCTAACATTTTCCGTTGTCTTTCTATCTCTTCCCTCTGTGAATTTATCCTTTCCTGTTGCCTAGAGATATAAAAGACGTTGTACAAAGAAAGAAAGTCAAAAGTTTTACCACAGCTATGGAACACACACAATTTGTCACTTGTGTATCCAATTTCAGAAAAAATAAGCCCCTTTAAGTCAAGTAGAGATTTGATTTTAACTTCAGATTGGAAGGGCCAAATAATTGGTGATAGATGTTTTCTGGGAATGAGTCTGTGCTTTAAGACACTAGTTATTACTATTTTCAGAGTGGACAGGAAGGAACATATCAAATTTCTATTGTGACCTTATTTTCTGACTCAGAAGGAACAATTTTCTGATTCCTTTTTAACAGCTAAGGAAACAATTCTCTGATCTGAACCCATTAAAAGTAAATCGTATTTTAAAAGTTGTAAAAAGTTCCAAGTTCTATTTTATTTTTCTTTGGATGAAAGCTTCTCAGTTTTACGTAAAAAGATACCAAGTTTGTAGGATGCTAAAGAAAGTAAACAAGATTTTCTTTTTAGACCTATCCTTTATTCTAGTCTAAGGGAGCCATTACTACTCTACACGTCAACCCCGCCCACTGATACAGTGACACCTAGATTAAGTTTTTAAAAGAAAAATACATTTGGAGAAAGCACAACGAAGTCTTCCAACTAGTAAGAACTCCTTAGGGAATAGTATACAAAATGAATTAGTATAAAACATATTTTACAACTGCAGTTAATCTAACACCATTACCATTAGAGTATTTCCTAATAAGATGTCACATTTTTCTGTGATTAACTAGTTTACAAATTAGGGACCAATAAAAACTCCATTGTAAAAAAAAAAAACACTTTCTCTCATGTATCCTACCACCTAACAGATATTAAGGTTTACAGACTTGGTATATAAAAACATACAAAATTGGAGATTAACCATCTAACAGGTTAGTCTTTAAGTCACCCACTATAATTGACAATCAAATGATAGCTCCCTTCTCCTTCTTCCTCTACTGTGCTTTTCCACACATTCTCTTTTGTGGAACCAACCTTCATTTTTGTGGAATAATAAATCTTTTTTTTTTTTTTTTTTGAGACAGAGCCTCACTCTGTTGCCCAGGCTGGGATGCAGTGGCACGATCTCAGCTCTCAGCTCACTGCAAGCTCTGTCTCCCAAGTTCAAGTGATTCTCGTGCCTCAGCCTCCCTAATAGCTGGGATTACAGGTGTGCGCCACCATGCCCAGTTAATTTTTGTATTGTTTTAGTAGAGACAGGGTTTCATCATGTTGGCTAGGCTGGTCTCAAACTCTTGACTTCAAGTGATCCACCCGCCTCAGCCTCCCAAAGTGCTGGGATTACAGGCATGAGCCACCGTGCCCGGCAAAATCTAATTTTTTAAAACCTACACTCAAATGGAAGTTGCTCTACCCTCTTCCCTGAACATTGCTGTCAGATCTTTTCCAGATTCAGTACAGTATCTTTCGTGGAAGAACGACAAGCAGAAAACCAAGATTACTCTAAGGTAGATACCCACAATACAGTTTATTCGAACATATCTAGAAGGGCAATGCTGTATGCAAAATTAACCTAATCAGAGTATTACAAAGAAACAGCCAGTCACTTGATAATACTATGCCCTTGGCTTCAAGATGAGCCAGGTCACTGATTAGACATCAATCGAACAGCAAAATGAAAATGATAATTCAAGAGTTTTCTGTTTGCCTGAAAATTCTTTTTGATTATTAGCTAGACCTCCTCATCCCTACTCACAGAACACATATAAGGATGGCTCTCCATATCCATGGATTCAACCAACTGCAGATTGAAAATACACGAAAAAAAAAAGATGGCTGCATCTATACTGAATATGTACAAACTTTTTTCCTTATTATTCCATAAACAATATAGTATGACAATTATTTACATAGCATTTACATTTATTAGGTATTATAGGTAATCCAGAGGTGATTTAAAGTATATGGGAGGATATGCATAGGCTATGTGCAAATACTACAGATTTTATATCAGGGACTTGAGCATCCATGGATTTTGGTATCTGAGGAAGGTCCTGGAACCAATTCCCCACAAGGGACAACTATATATATAATTCATGGCTTGAAAGAAATCTGGGTTGAGACACAGAATCCTTAAGTAAAAAATCACAATCTTTATTCTGGAGAAAACATTTACCTTAACTGAACATGAATTTCCCAATTAAAAAACTAGTAAACATCTTTAGCTCATTTCTACCCTTTTCAGGGGCCATGAATGTAAGACACTCTGAACTCCCTACAGATAAACATACAATATACAGTTTAAACTATAAACTAGAGTAGCTTAGTGGAGTGCCACAACATTTTGTCTTTGAAGATTAACAGTGTTTTGCAAAATTGAGATTTTAGCAATCACCTTCATCAAACATGAAAATAATCTATTATTTTCAAGGACAATTCATATGTTTAATCTCTTCAGATTCACCAAGAAATGCTCCCCACAGCCATAATATATATAAACCATAACACAAGGGACACAGATTCCAAAACACCTTTAGGGAAATCCTAAACTGCACATTCTGAGAACGAAAGTTTGAACATGAAAGCTGATGCACCAAAGATCAATGTTACGTATTTTAAGGATTCCCATATCAATTCTTGATGTTCCTGAAACTGTTTAGCTATTGAAGAAGAAAAGAATAAAGAGAGTCTATCAGTGGTACTTCATTTAGATTTATTTTGGGAGTACAAAGGCTGGATTATGTCAAACTGTAACTTCTCACAGAACAGGAATCGTGTCTTAGCAATCCGTATATCCCCCAGCATGCATTAACAGTGCCTTTCACAGAGTTGATCCTTAAATATTTCTTGTATAGCATCAATTTTAGAGAGCGCTCGCCCTTCATCACCCATAGCAAGAGGCTATTTCTTCTATATTTTACAGAAGTATTGAGGACCCAATAAATCCATCTCATTCAAATCTAAATAACTCTATTTACCAAGCCACTGCCTGCAAAAGAGAAACAAGACAATCAATCTTCTGCACCATTATGGGTTGTGTCCCCCAAAAGATGTGTTAAAGTCGTTAGTACCTCAGGATATGACCTTATTTGGAAATAGGGTGAATAAAGATATTACTAGTGAAGATGAGGTCATACTGGACATGATAGGACCTTAATCCAATATGACCGGTATCCTTATGAGAAGAGAAGACACAGAGACGCACAGGGAGAGCACCATGTGAAGAGGAGACAGAGAATGGAGTTATGCTGCCGCAAGCCCAACACCTGGGGCTGCCACACTGCTGAAGAGGCAAAGAAAGATGTTCCCTAAAGGTTTGAGGAAGTATGGTCCTGCCCCACCTTGATTTCAGACTTTCAGACTCCTGAAGTGTGAGAGAATACATTTCTGTTACTTTAAACTACCCAGTTTATGGTATTTGTTACAGCATCCCAGGAACTGAAATGCGGGTACCTTCAGCAGCAAAACTACATTTTACACTTCAACCATACAAGAAGTAACTAGTAGTAAAGGTATTTTAAAAAATGTGGCCGGGCGCGGTGGCTCACACCTGTAATCCCAGCACTTCGGGAGGCCAAGGTGGGCGGATCACTTAGTTTGAGACCAGCCTGGCCAATATGGTGAAACCTCGTCTCTACTAAAAATACAAAAATTAGCCAGGAGTGGTGGTGTGTGCCTGTAGTCCCAGCTACTCAGGAGGTTGAGGCAGGAGAATTGCTTGAACCCAGGGGGCAGGGGTTGCAGTGAGCCGAGATCACGCCACTGCACTCCAGCCTGGGCAACAGAGCAACACTCCATCTCAAAAAAAAAAAAAAAAAAAGCACGTATTTCCAGTCATTATTTAAACAAAATTATTTTAAATAATCTGTTATCTATTTCATCTCTGAGAGGTCTGAAACTTCAAAACTTCAAACAACATGTCAATATCCCAGATGGGTTGTTTTTTTTTTTTGGAGACGAAGTCTCACTCTGTCACCCAGGCTGGAGTGCAGTGGCGTGATCTCAGCTCACTGCAACTTCCATCTCCCAGGTTCAAGCAATTCTGTCTCAGCCTCCTGGGTAGCTGGGACTATAGGTGCACGCCACCATGCCCGGCTAATTTTTGTATTTTTAGTAGAGAAGGGGTTTCACCATGTTGGCCAGGCTGGTCTCGAACTCCTGACCTCAGGATATGCACCCACCTCGACCTCCCAAACTGCTGGGATTACAGGCATGAGCCACACCACAACCAGCCCAGATGAGATTTTTAAAGATTCCCAGGATTGAATATATTCTGTATAAACTGGGAGCTGTGAAATGGTATACGATACCTAAAGAAGATCTAATGTTTATAAAATCAACAAAATGAGTGAATCATATGACTGAGAATCAGATGGTTTGACGTAAATTGCTTTAAAACGGATACTGGTTGGGAGGACAAGGTGGGTGGATCACTTGAGGTCAGGAGTTCAAGACCAGCCTGGCCAACATGGCAAAACCCCGTCTCTACTAAAAATACAAAAATTCATCAGGCATAGTGGTGGGCACCTGTAATCCCAGCTACTGAGGAGGCTGAGGCAGGAGAATCACTTGAACTCGGGAGGCAGAGGTTGCAGTGAGCCGAGATTGCACCACTGCACTGCAGCCTGGGCAATAGAGTGAGGCTCCGTCTCAAAATAAAATAAATGAAATGGATACTGGAACTTGTTACACTTCAGAATAAATACCTGGACTAGCATTACAATGCTGTAAACTTTAATTTCTTCCTCTAGTTATATGCATCTTAAATGATCACAATTTTGTACACAGGTCAAATCCCATTACTTTTTTTTTTTTTTTTTTTTGAGACAGGGTCTCGCTCTGTCACCCAGCCTGGAGTGCAGTGGCACAATCTTGGCTCACTGCAACCTCTGCCTCCCATGTTCAAGCAATTCTCCTGCCTCAGCCTGCCGAGTAGCTGGGATTACAGGCGTGTGTCACCATGCCCAACTAATTTTTGTATTTTTAGTAAAGACAGGGTTTCATCATTTTGGCCAGGCTGGTCTCAAACTCCTGGCCTCAAGTGATCTGCCCATCTCAGCCTCCCAAAGTGCTGGGATTACAGGTGGGAGCCACCACATCTGGCCAAATCCCATTACTTTAATTTTGTTTACTTCAACATAAACAAAATCTTAGTAAAGAATTTTTATTGCCTTGCCATGGACTGTTTGAGACTTCTTTAAACAAAAAGTGATATACTGAATAACATTAACATTTAGTATTTAACATTACTTTCTCAGAACTATAAAATAAGCTACTTTTTCAAAAGATTCAAACATACTGTGGAAAGCAAAAATTACTAAACTGGCCAAAAAATATTACAAATCTGATATAATTTTCCTATTAGACAATGAATCTTCTGTTTTAGGAAATTAAAGATCACTCAAAAAAAGAACCAGTGAACAAAAATAACAACAACAACAAAAAAAAATGGTGCTAAGGGTCCTATTGAGGCTATATTTGATTATCTGATTCATTTTTTAAATGCCTTTAGGTTTGTCTCTTCCCATAAAACCTAGTAGTGTTGTTAGTGTTCAGCTACTTCACCCACCAAATTACTTCACATGTCTTGGAGTTTCTCATGTGCAGAATTGTGACCTCTGAGGCTATTAGATATAGCCTTTTACAACTAGAGAATTTCAATTTCTATACTGAAGGAAATTAATTTATTAAAGCAAAATTTCAGGAACTAAAATACCTATAATTAATAGACATCAGCCAGAAACATCTTCCCAAGAGAAGACACAGATTTCTGGCCATTTATATGACTTAAAATGGTAAAACAGTGCTATCCACCTACAGTGAAGAGTCCTACTTAGGGATTTCATTTACATAGTCTCACTTCCTCTGATCTGGTGGCTCTATAGCAAAGTCATCATTTTGTACTCTACCATACAGATTTCCAGACCCTCGTGGGCATCAAGCTGCTTTTAGAGTAAGAGATAAAATATTGCTACTATAAGCAGTAAGTTTAACCACTTCTTTTTGTTTTGTTTTGTTATGAGACAGGGTCTGGCTCTGTCGCCCAGGCTGGAGGACAGTGGTACAATTCTCGGCTCACTGCATGACTCACCTCTGCCTCCTGGGCTCAAGTCATCCTCCCACCTCAGCCTCCCAAGTAGCTGGGACCACAGGTGTGTGCCACCACACCCAGCTAATTTTTGTATATTTTGTAGAGACAGGGTTTCATCATGTTGCCCAGGCTGGTCTCAAACTCCTGGGCTCAACTGATCCACCCGCTTCGGCCTCCCAAAGTGCTGGGATTACAGGCAAGAGCCACTGTGCCCGGCCAAAAGCACTTCTTAAAACTAATTACATCTCTATACAAACTCACCATCTTTCCTGAATCAAAGTCTAAAAAGACTGCTATCTAAATAGTAGCCATTGACAGGGCTGCTCAGAGTGACTACCACTACTAGAAGTCAGTGTAAGCATTAGGTGGCTTTGGCCACTATGTGGATCTTAAGTTTTATCTTCTTCTGATTCCATTTTAACAAATCTGGAAACTGGATGGTATGTCACTTCCAGGACAACTTGCATGTCTTGGCCAGGATGTTATAAACAGGTATCATACCTCCATGTAACTGCTGTTTACACTGCCCTGATACCTCTGCTATCACCAGCCACCTATGCTTAAGAGCACAGAGTGAATGCTGCTCTGAATGTCTGGTGCCGGCCTAAGAAAAGTCTGTGCTTTCCTTCCAAGGTATTCTTTGACTTGAAAGCCTCTTCACACACCAAAATATACACACATGAGGAATAATCATGAAGCAAAAACACGCTTAATCTAAGTTGGAGGTTAATGTTTCACACATAAAACAAGGACTACTAACGTCTAACTCAGAGGTTAGTTTTAACAAATATTATAAATAGCATCAATATTTGTATTTTCTTTCAGGCATAAGTTTCTTATTTGTTTCATTATTACTCAAAAGTAGTCACATGCTTTCCAATTCATACTCAACAAGCTATTTCAGCAAAAAAACACAGGAAAGAAAGGCAGTCTATAGACCCTTCCAACTCATCATGACCTAGAGATTAAAAAAAAAAAGAAGATTCACCAAAAGGTACTGCAATCTGAAGATATCTATATACATTTAAAGATCTAAGCTAACGGTAGCTAGTCACACAGTTGGAATTTGAGGATTTTAAATGTTAATTCCCTCATTGGAATAAATACCTGAATGTTTCAAATCAAAAGTTATGACAAAGACAATGAATGTTCAAGATTCCAAGCTGCACACAGGCACACACAGTGGGGCTGGTCACCACTGCCTTCCAGGAAGTGACTCTCTGATGACTGGACACTGTCTCCTTAAATAATCCCAGGAACATGTCCTATAAAGTTCTTCAGTGGTTTTATTCTGCTTTATACCTAAACTTATCTCAGGAAATTCTTTCTCAGGTCCTTTCACATTTCATTTTTCTGTGGATCCAGAAGAAATGCTCAATAGACTCTTAATGAAAATTCATTATATAATTAGAAAGATAGAAAGTCAAACCCTAGGTTTTTCTTCCTTAGCTTCAGCAATTCTGATTCTTTTAAGTTTTAATGCAGAACTCATTCTTTTTTTTTTTTTTTTTTGAGATGGAGTCTTGCTCTGTCGCCCAGGCTGGAGTGCAGTGGTACGATCTCGGCTCACTGCAACCTCCACCTCCCAGGTTCAATCAGTTCTCTGCCTCAGCCTCCCAAGTAGCTGGGATTACAGGCGCCTGCCACCACGCCTGGCTAATTTTTGTATTTCTAGTAGAGACAGGGTCTCACCATGTTGGCCAGGCTGGTCTTGAACTCCTGACCTCATGATCCACCCGCCTCGGCCTCCCAAAGTGCTGGGATTACAGGCGTGAGCCACCGCGCCTGGCCTGAACTCATACTTTATTTATTTTCTGGAACTCATTTTGTACTCCTGATTTTACTTGTGTCGTTTTTTTTCAGGACTTCACCTCATTCGATACATTTCTTTCCACATGTGGTGACTAAAAAACTAACTGAAAAGATGACTACCAATAGTAGGATTATTAATGACTACAATTACAGAAAACCTAAAAAATGCAAACGAACTTTTCAATTCTCCATTTAATCATAACAATTCACTTACTTGATAAGATTCTGAAAAGCATAACCATCTGTCCACTGTTCAGTAAATGAGGCTCCGTGTCGGACAGTAGTAAAGTGGCCCAGTCTCAAGCGGTCTTGCATGCTCTTATCTCTACACGCCATCTTCTCTTGTTTTGACTTAGGGGAAACAGACAAAAAAAGGAATTCAATACCAATTAGCATGGATAAAGACACTTCTTAGAAACTAAAACATTTAACATTATCAGGAAACATATTATTGAAAACCATACACTTCTCAGAACAGTCAGTAATGACTCCTCGGATGACTAACTATTCCTATTCAAACAAAGTAGACAAGATAGAATAATGAAACAACCACAAGTTCTTCACAGGTAAAGCTTTCCCAATCTGCCTATGTGTGTGTGGGGTTTTTTGTTTGTTTGGTTGGTTTTTTGTTTGTTTTTTTTTTTAAGACAGAGTCTTGCTCTATCACCCAGACTGGAGTGCAGAGTCATGATCTCGGCTCACTGCAGCCTCTTCTTCCCGGGTTCAAGCGATTCTCCTGCCTCAGTCTCCTGAGTAGCTGGGACTACAGGTGCATGCCACCACGTCCGGATAATTTTTTTTTTTTTTTTTTTTTTTGAGACGAAGTCTCACTCTGTTGCCCAAGCTGGAGTGCAGTGGTGGGATCTCGGCTCACTGCAACCTCCACCTCCCGGGTTCAAGCGATTCTCCTGCCTCAGCCTCCCAAGTAGCTGGGACTACAGGCACATGCCACCATGCCCAGCTAATTTTTGTATTTTTAGTAGAGACGGGGTTTCACTGTGTTGACCAGGCTGGTCTTGAACTCCTGACCTCATGATTTGCCCGCCTTGGCCTCCCAAAGTGCTGAGATTACAGGCGTGAGCCACCACACCCGGCCAATTTTTGTATTTTTTAGTAGAGACTGGTTTCGCCATGTTGGCCACGCTGGTCTTGAATTCCTGGCCTCAAGTGATCAGCCCACCTCCACCTCCCAAAGTGCTGAGATTACAGGCCTAAGCTACTGCACCCAGCCTGCCTACATGTTTTTAATCTTAGAGTTCAGCATCTCACATTTGGGCCACATCAATGCCTAGCTCTTAAGCTGTTTCCCTATTTTCTGTTTCTTCTCTATCTAATATTTTCTAGAGAACTGTTACCAATTCATCTTCTCAGAACACCACTTTGCACACTTCCAGTTTGATGTTCCAAATCTTCCATGGGTCTCTGCTACCAAACTTTGGATCCAGACAAGAAAAACCCCTCAATGCGCTAGAAGATCTGCCTCCCTGCAGAATTCTTACTCCAAAACACCTTATATACTCCTGATTCTTGAGAACATCATTCATTGAACACAGGTTTATTTAAAACCAATTATACGTCATGAACTGTAAGAATGTTAAGTATAGGACATAGAAAAAAACTGGTGTTCACAGCCTAGAGAGAGGGGGAGTTATAACCACTAAATATATTAATTGGTAATTCTAAGTACAGACGCGGTAAAGAATTCAAAGGAAAAGAATAAAGTACTGTGAGAGATGATACCATGGGATAAAAGTCCTTGAGATGTCCTGTCTATTTCAACCAACAGGCAATTTATAGCTGCAGTTTTCCATGCCCAGAACACATTTTTCCTCTTCTTTATAGCTTTCTCCAATTAGTCCCCTGCCCTTGATTTATTTTAGTGAATTTATTTTCTTTTTTTTTATTTTAAGAGACAGGGTCTCACTCTGTTGCCCAGGCTGGAGTGCAGCAGTGCAATCACAGCTTACTACAGCCTCCAACTCCTGGCTCCAATGATCCTCCCACCTCAGCCTCCTGAGTAGCTAGGACTACAGGTGTGTGCCACCACACCCAGCTAATTTTAGTGAATTCTTAATATGTGCACTGCTCATCTGAATAGGTTTCCTTATATATGTGAATGTGTCTTATTCGCCCACCCTCATGTAGACTGTTAACCCTCTGATGGCAGGAACTGTGTCTTTTGTTTCTTAGATTCATGCAAGCTGTTCTATTATGAGAAATTCATTCTTTTTTTATTACTGAGTAGTATTCCACTGTATGACAATATAATAATTTGTATCTACATTCACTTGTTAACAGACACCTAGGATGTTTCCACTTTTTGGCTATGAATAAAATTCCCATGAATATTCTCATACAAGTACTTTTATGGACATTTACTTTCTTCTGTTTTTAAAAATAAAGATGGTCTTGCTGTGCTGCCCAGGCTAGTCTCAAACTCCTGGGTTCAAGTGATCCTCCTCCCTGAGCCTCCCAAAGTGCTGGGATTATAGGTGTGAGTCACCATGCCCGGCCAACATTTGCTTTTGTTTGTCTTGGGTAAATGCCAGGAGAGGAACTGCTGGATCACAGGATTTAGTACATATTTATCTCAAATAGAAAAACTGTCCAAAAACCTTCTGAAGTAGCTGTAATATTTTACATTTCTATTGGTGTAACAAATCAGGCTGCCCCTCATCTTCACCAACCCTTGGATCTGTCAGGTTTTTTTTATTTCTAGTCATTCTACTGGGTTTGTAGTACTATCTCACGCTGGTTTTACCTTGAGTTTTCCTGATGGATAATGACATTAAACATCTTTTCATGCTTGCCATTTGCGTATTTTTATACACTCTTTTTTTGTAAACTATCTGTTCAAGTCTCTTGCTCATTATTAATGAGTTGTCTTTTTATGATTAAGTTATAAGAGTTTTAAAATTTTTAAAGTATTCAAATTCTATGAAAGATAACATTGCACTCTATGATTGCATTTTCATTTGTGTGTTTTTTGTTTTGAGACAGTCTCATTCTACTACCTAGGCTGGAGTGAAATGGCATGATCTCAGGCTCACTGCAATCTCCGCCTCCCAGGTTCAAGTGATTCTCGTGCCTCAGCCTCCAGAGTAGCTAAGATTACAGGCGCACACCCCCACACTCAGCCAATTTTTGTATTTTTAGTAGAGATGGGGTTTCACCATGTTGGCCAGGCTGATCTCGAACTCTTGACCTCAAGTGATCCACCCTCATTGGCCTCCCAAAGTGCTGGGATTACAGGCGTGAGCCACCACACCCAGTCCATTTATGCTGCTTTATATTGCATCACGGTGTAGCAGATACTCAATAAATACTCCCTATTTAGAAAGTCAGTAAGTAGATACTACAATTTCAGTTCTTTTGGAAACAAATTTAAATTTTGTTATATACTACTCCTAGCAAAGAGAAAGTTGTTTTCCTGTGAGAACTCAGAGACAGCATTATGTTTACTTTTTGTAGTATGCTATTTAGAGTTTAGAACAACTGGCTGAATCTCTGCTGATTTCAGGAAGTATTCTAAAACTTCAAAGAAATTATCTGGATTAGCATATATTTTATTTTTTCTCACTCTCAGAAAAAATTTTAAAAAGTGGTTTCTTTTCTATAAAGTTGATTAATGAGTCAAAGAATGAAACAAAATTTCCCCCAGTATCTTCGGCCTCAATAAAATAATTCATTTCACTTTTACTGAAAGACAGTGTTTCCTGTCTTTTTAACAACATTCCAAACATTTCAGGAAAATAAATCTCCAGTATATCTCAAACCTCTAGTTTGTTCTTGTAATATTGTCATTAGGAAGTACTGTCTTCTTAAAACTTCTAAGAAATAGGCTGGGCGCAGTGGTGAGCGCCTGTAATCCCAGCACTTTGGGAGGCCGAGACGGGTGGATCACTTGAGGTCAGAAGTTCAAGCCCAGCCTGGCCAACATGGCGAAACCCCGCAATTCCTCAGGGATCTTGAACTAGAAATACCATTTGACCTAGCAATCCCATTACTGGGTATATACCCAAAGGATTATAAATCATGCTGCTATAAAGACACATGCACATGTATGTTTATTGTGGCACTATTCACAATAGCAAAGACTTGGAACCAATCCAAATGTCCAACAATGATAGACTGGATTAAGAAAATGTGGCACATATATACCATGGAATACTATGCAGCCATAAAAAATGATGAGTTCATGTCCTTTGTAGGGACATGGATGAAGCTGGAAACCATCATTCTCAGCAAACTATCGCAAGGACAAAAAAACCAAACACTGCATGTTCTCACTCATAGGTGGGAATTGAACAATGAGAACACATGGACACAGGAAGGGGAACATCACACACCGGGGCCTGTTGTGGGTTGTGGGGAGTGGGGAGGCACAGCATTAGGAGATACACCTAACGTTAAATGACGAGTTGATGGATGCAGCACATCAATATGGCACATGTATACATATGTAACTAACCTGCATGTTGTGCACATATACCCTAAAACTTAAAGTATAATTAAAAAAAAAATACAAAAATTGGCCGGGCATGGTGGCGCACGCCTATAAACCCAGCTACTCAGGAGGCTGAGGCAGGAGAATTGCTTGAATCTGGGAGGCGAAGGCTACAGTGTGCTGAGATCATGCCACTGCACTCCAGCCTGGATGAGACTCAGCCTCAAAAAAAAAAAAAAAAAATTCTAATAGTTACTAATACCTATTAACAGAGATAAGTGATAATTAACCAATGAATATAATAAAGAGGACATCAGCCAATTAAGTAATCATATGCAGGTATATGACAACTTTAATTTTTTAATGCACAAAGCATTAATTATCACATTATTATATACATAAGTTATTCTAAATGCCATCTCTGAAACAAAAATGCAACTATTGTTAATGATTCTAATAGTAATAGGATACTCACTTCAATTGATAGAATGAATATAAGAATATAGGAGAGCAATACCCCAAATAAACTCAACTAGGACAAGCTGTCTCTGTTCAATATCACACTCAAAGCAATGCACAGCAACAAAGCATATCCCAAATTAACACTCTGGATGGTTGGTCTGGTGTCCATGTAAGGAAAAAATTCTAATTGTCAAATCATGTTCCTAAAAAGCTCTACTTTTAAATATTTTCATCTCAAGTAAGGAATAAGAAGCCACACAATGACACACATTGAGTATCTTGGGATACAGAGTTTAGACCAACATTATTCACTAACCTTTTCTATAAGGAGTTTCTTGCTCATTGTCACACATCTATTTAATCGTTCCTTGTATTTCTCTAGCATCTTTTGCTGTTCATCAATCTGCCGTCTCAAATCACAGTTGGCCTTCAATGAGAAAAAAATTTTTAATTAGCTCCAAGGAAGAAGATTAATGGAAAAGCAGTTTCTAGGGAGAGAAAAAAAAATCATTTCTATATGTTGTTTTATCAAAAGCAAAATTAAAGTTCAAACAGGTAAGAAGTAACTATGTCTTAGAAAAAGTAAATAATTCATTCCTTTATTCTCTCATAACATATCATCTATTTGTAAATGATAAATTGAATTACTAATTTGGGCATGTTTTTCTACTGATCATATTTTGCTCCTGCCAATAACCAGTTACAGCTACTCTTGTAATCACAAACACCTAAGCTATCACAAAATAATAATTAAAAAAATGTTAAAGCTGGGAATCGTGGCTCATGCGTGCAATCCTAGCACTTTGGGAGGCCGAGGCAGGCAGATGACTTGAGGTCAGGAGTTCAAGACCAGCCTGGCCTGCGTGGTCAAACCCCATCTCTACTAAATATAAAAAAATTAGCCACACATGGTTGCGGGAGCCTGTAATTCCAGCTACTCGGGAGGCTGAGGCGGGAGAATCGCTTGAACTCAAAGGCGAAGACTGCAGTGAGCCAAGATCACGCCACTGCACTCCAGCCTAGGTGACAGAGTAAGACTTCATCTCAAAAAAAAAAATAAAAAATAAAAAAAAAATAAACTACAATGAATGTTTAAAATACAAAGAGTGATTAAGCACATACAAAAAAATTACTGAATTTTATGTTTGCTTTGTTCTTTTTCTAGTCGCATTTAAGAAAGATAAATTTGCATAAATGTTCCTCACCAGAGAAGCCAGGCACGCCCATGCCCACAAAAGACAGAACAAACAAACAACGTCCTGGTTCAAGAATGCCAGAATGTAAATATACAGCTAATTTAGCTGTGGTCAGAAGCCTACAGTGTGGACTAAAAACTTAAAGCCTCCTGCAATAACAGAGAAGGAAAGAACCACTAACCCAAGGACGAATTTGACTTGCAAGTCCTGAATTTATTCCTTTTGTGTTAAAAAAAAGATCTCAGCTCTTCTAGCAAATAATGTTACCTCATAAAAACTCACTTAAATTATGAAAAAGAAAAACCTGTTATGTGTTCCTAAAATACTAAAAGGCACAAACAGAAGATATCACACGATACTCAATTTTTGAGACCTTGTAGCTTCATTAAAAATTTTTATCATTTTTTCTTTTGTATAATATAGCATCATTTTTAAAGTAACCCATGAGAAACAGCTTCTGTCTCCAAATGTTTCTCCTCTCCCCATCAGCATAATTTCTTCCTGTTAGTTTTTGTACAGAACCATATTATCAAAGACAGAGTGTAACTACATTTGGGTAAGTGTGATTACCAAATTCATAGTAAAGAATCTACGAAGCAAAGATCATTTAATGTATATGGAAAACCCAGTCTACTCATAAGGTGAGTGTTCCCTTGAAATCTATAATCAAATGTATGAAATCCATCAACCTCTTGGCAGTTATTTAAAATTTTAATAATTCTAAGTTTTTGTGGCTTCTGACACTAATGTCTTCGAGGAGTTCATGTTTAAAGTAACAGCTGGCAGCTGGTGAGCGTGGCTCATGCCTATAATCCCAGCACTCTGGGAGGCCGAGGCAGGAGCATCAATTAAGCCCAGGAGTTCAAGACCAGCCTCGGCAACATGGCAAAACCTTAGTCTCTATAAAATTTTGAAAATTAGCCATGTGTGGTGGCATGCGCCTCTGATGCCAGCTGTTCGGGAGGCTGAGGATTGCTTGAGCCTGGGAGGTCGAGGCTGCAGTGAGCTGTGATTGCACCACAGCACTCCAGCCTGGGAGACAGAGCAAGACACTGTGTCCTTTTTTTTTAATTAAAAAAAAGAAAAAAAAAAAGCAGCTGGCTAGTAGCTCCCAATGCAGCCATACCCAACATCTTATTAAAATGGCAAAATTCAATGAATGACGTCTGAAAGAATATACAAGACATGTAGTCTTTCCCTCACTGTCGATCCTCTAGATCTTCTAGAAGCACAAGTTCTAATCAACCTAAAAACAAGGCAGCTGCCCTCTGTGTCTTCCTTTTTTATTTATCTACTCCTTTAGTACTGCTCTACATACAAATAAAGACTGCAACAGTCTGAAGACGACGGAGTAGAAGGGACAGTAGTGAGTGAAGGAAACATATTGCTTATTAGAAAACATAAGCAAACATTTTTTTGAAACTCCTAAAGCAGTACCAAGTTAGGATTCAAGTTTTTCTCATACTCTGTCATCTCAATCTTAAAGAGTCAGATGATGGAGAAAGGCACGCCCACAATTCTTCCTCAGTACAGCAGAGCTTCTCTGTACAAAACCCTGACAGATACTGGAATTTGGCAAGGAGCTTTTTACACCCACAAACCATTTCATTATAAATCTTCGATGGCAATTCAACCAGCACCCAGATGAATAAAAACAGGAATAAGAGCAACTCCATGCAAGTATACATATCCGAACAATGAAAAATACAACACAGTGCTGAGACTACATATGGGTCTCCTCATTCAAAGATGGAGGAAAGGAAATAAAAATAACAATAGTAAATAAAAACAACAACAAAAATAGGCCCAAGGAATACAGAAAATCAGCTTGAAAACAATGAAAATGATCACCCATAGAAATCAAAAGAACATTTTAGAATACTTCTTGTCATATTTCATAAAATGCAAAAAGACGTGATATCTAGGAAATAGGAACCAAAAACCCTAGAGAATATACAAGATGGGGTAAGAAAGTATATTAGATGAGGGAAAAAAGCAGGGAAATTTAAAATGTAAATAATAGGCCTGGCACGGTGGCTCACGTCTGTTATCCCAGCACTTTGGGAGGCCAAGGTAGGAGGTTTGCTTGAGCCCAAGAGTTCAAGACCAGCCTGGACAACATAATGAGACCCTGTTCCTACAAAAAATAAAAAAATTAGCCAAGCACAGTGGCACATGCCTGTAGTCCCAGCTATTCAGGAGGCTGAAGTGAGAGGACTGCTTGAGCCTGGGAGATGAAGGCTGCAGTGAGCCATGACGGTGCCACTGCACCCAGCCTGGGCAACAGCAAGACACTGTCTCAAAAAATAAAAATGTAAACAATAAAATCAAAATTCACACGAGCTGCAGTAAATGCCAGAAATATATGGAAGACAGTGTTTAATGAGATTCAGAAGAAAGGGGCAATCATATTAAAATAAGACATAACATGTGAGAAATAAAGGAGAGAAATCAGAGATTCAAGCTAAGAGTCAAGAAGAAACCAATATAAAGAGGGATAAAAGCATAGTTAGACATAATCACACATTTTCCAAATAAAAATATATAAACCCACATATAGAGACACCCTGGGGTAATATTTAACAAATTATGGTGTTTGCTGCTTTGGTCATGAACCTCTCTGAAATACGAAATGCTTGAAAAACTGAAGGAGAAACAGAGAGAGAGAATGCGTGTTATATTTGAGAGGCAGAACGAATAGAACAAGGGGTTATGACACAAAAATCCTGCACACAGTGTTGTCTTTCCACGGGAGGGCAAAAGAGAGAATTCTCAGGTCGGTAAGGCAGAGAAAATTTAACACTGACAAATCCTTGCTGAAAAATAATCACTTAAAAATGTACCACCATCAACAGATAAAACAAAAACTATAAATAAAAAAAATACTGCTGATAAGTTTTGAAATCAGTTGAATAAACAAGTCTAACAATGACTACAAATTTGGTCATAAAGCTGCCTCTGCCTATACTCTATACATAAGAACTTAGTATCATATATAGCAGTAAGAATGGTAATTTAACAATAATAATATAGGCCGAGCGCAGTGACTCACGCCTGTAATCCCAGCACTTTGGCAGACCAAGGCAGGCTGATCACTGCAGGTCAGGAGTTCGAGACCAGTGTGGCCAATGTGGCAAAAACCCATCTCTATTAAAAATACAAAAATTAGCCAGGCATTGTGGGGCATGCCTGTAATCCCAGCTACTTGGGAGGCAGAGGCAGGAGAATCACTTGAACCTGGGTGACAAAGTGAGACTCTGTCTCAAAAAATTAATAATTAATTAATAATATAAACAGCCAAATGTAGTGGCACATGCCTATAGTCCCAACTACTTGGGAGGCCAAGGTGGGAGGATCACATCAGGCGGGGACTGGGGAGCGCACAGCTTGCAAGACTGCGCCACTGCACTCCAGCCTGGGTGACAGAGTGAGATCCTGTCTCAAAATAAATATATAAAATTAATAATAATAGCCGGGCGCGGTGGCTCACGCCTGTAATCCCAGCACTTTGGGAGGCCGAGGTGGGTGGATCACAAGGTCAGGGGTTCGAGACCAGCCTGACCAACATGGTGAAACCCCGTCTCTACTATACAAAAATTAGCTGGGCGTGGTGGCGGGCGCCTGTAATCCCAGCTACTCAGGAGGCTGAGGTAGGAGAATTGCTTGACCCCAGGAGGCGGAGGTTGCAGTGAGCTGAGATCACGCCACTGCACTTCAGCCTGGGCGACAGAGCAAGACTCTGTCTCAAAAAAAAAAAAAAAAATTAATAATAATATAAACACACCAGACTTTACTAATAAAGGCCAGACTTAGTTTAGCTATGTGCTGAATTCCAGGTTTTATATAAAAAGGAGTCAAAATACACTATTTTACCCTATGTTTTCATTAAGTACAGAAATATAATACAAGTAAAACAATTTTGGAAGTCAGATCATCATGAGTACAGTGACTTTTATAATCTGTATTATTAAACATATATTCAAACAAAATTGTACCCAAAGCCTAGTAAGAAAGACTGACAAAGGCAAGGCTGCCGATCCCCACCTTGCAGTGTCACAGTAGCCCTGGAGGTTTCAGGACCCTGAAGAGTCAGATTAACTACCACATTAGCACAAATAAGGATTAAACCTATACCTTCTAAATCACTAAAGAGAAAAATGCTAGCCAATGTTATTCATAAATCAGTAACATTTATGTATATATTCATTTGTGTGTGTGTGTGTGTATATATACACACACATATCTACTTCAAACAGCTCAAAATTACTGAAAAAAAAAATGTACCAAATGTTTAATCCCAATTAATGGAATTATGAGTGACACATTTTTCTGTATTTTGTAAAGAGCATGTATAATTTTTTTTTTTTTTTGAGGCAGGGTCTTGCTCTGTTGTCCATGCTGGAGCACAGCAGCGTGAACTTGGCTCACTGTAGCCTAGAGGTCCTGGGCTCAAGCATCTTCCCACCTCACGCTCCCAGTAGCTGGGACCACAGACACACCACCATGCCTGGCAAATTTTGTATTCTTTTATAGAAATGGGGTCTTGCTGTGTCATGCATGCTGGTCTCAAACCCCTGATCTCAAGCAATCCTCCTGCCTCAGCCTCCCAAAGTGGCAGGTATGGGCCACCATGCCCGGTCCTTTTTACTTTCTTATTTTTTTCTTGAGACAAAGTATCACTCTGTCGCCCAGGCTGGAATGCAGTGGCGCAATCTCAGCTCACTGCAACCTCCGCCTCCCAGGCTCAATCAATTCTCCTGTCTCAGCCTCCCAAGTAGCTAGACTACAGCCGCTTGCCACCACACCAGGATAACGTTTTATATTTTTTTAGTAGAGACAGGGTTTCTTTTTACCATGTTGGCCAGGGTGGTCCCAAACTCCTGACCTCAAGTGATCCACCTGCCTTGGCCTCCCAAAGTGCTGGGATTACAGGTGTGAACCACCATGTCCGGCCCTTTTTACTCTTTAAAAACTATGAGTCAGTCATGCCAAATTGCATATTCAAAATATATTGATATTTTCTAGTGGTATCTATTTAATTCCAGATGAAGCATTTTAAAGGTTTCTTTTGTAAGCACAAAAAAGTTTGGGTGAGTAGGTTATAAAAGGTACAAAAAGCAAAATGGGCTAATAAGTCCTTTGAAATAGCTTATAAAATTCAACAATATTAAAATAACTTCTCTGGAATGGGAAAACAACACTTTATACTTATTCCCACAGTTCTAGATGAAATATAACACTCCACATATCTATTTCTCCAATATAAATTCAATCATTAAAACACTACAGTATAAGATTTCCAATTTAAAGGTAGTGTTTAGAATGCAGGAACCTGGTTCCTACTCAGATTCCCTCAATTAAAGAAAAATACCCAAATGTTTATTATTTCATTGTTATTTGGCTATAGTAATTACTTCTATGATATGTACATAATCCAAATATATATAACAAATGGTGCTTGCTATAAAATCTCTTACATTTTAATACTTACTCTTAATAAATCATCTATTCTTCCCTCCTTCTTCTCTAAGTCAGAATTCTTACTGTTTTCTAGTGCAGATATTTTTTCTATTGTGAGGTCGGACTACAGAGACAAAGGTAAAACAAATTTAGGATTAGTCTCAACATGTTATATGTCATCACACTCTTCTCATTACCTTTCTCGGGGGGGTGGGAAAAAGCACTTGCTCACACAAATGGCCTAGAATCACATGGCTTAAGAAATGAAATCTGCTTGTCTCATCTCATTCTTCAAGTCCTCTGCTGGGTTCCTTATGTCCCACTACACCTACACTTCAAACACATGTTAATTCTGGAATCAAATGTATGAATTCTCACTACTGTGCACTGAACAATGTAGAAACACGTTACTCCAGAAATGAAACTAACTTTGAATAGAAAAGGATCTCACAGGAGACTTGACACACAACTCTCTAAGGAACAAATGCGCCATCTGGTGGAAACAGAGAGCAATCAGAAGGGAAGAGAAGAAGCTACCTGAGTGCTCAACTATCTAACTGAACTGTACAAGAGCTGGTGATTTAGATAAAATTCAAATGTGCTCCAGGGAGTTGTATACCTCTTGAGATTTAAGAAATTCTCCTAGATTGCCAACGATCCTGTCTTGAAGGTAATATATATAGTATCAAAAGAGCCTTCAAGAAAACCCAGTATACTCAAAACTACAAAATGGAAGCTATAGCCACCATCCTTTGCAGATACAATCCTCAAATGTTCAGAACACTACCTAAATTAAAGAGTTTCTGAACACAATTTAAGGAGTAAACCATGTTGGTATCTCACATCTGAGAGAAGTTTAGCCAGGTATAAATAAGTAAGCAGGAAAAGGAATACATTAACTACTTTCATAAATTAGAGAATTAACATTTATTGAAAGCCTACTACAAGTACACTACTAATAAACATTTTGTATACACTGTCTGAGATCATGAGAATCAACCATATTTTCACAGATGATTTGTACTAAGAAAAACTGAGGCCCAGGCCAGAATCTGAACTTAGAGGCCTTCAAAGCGTAGGTACTTTTCTTCTGTGGAATACTGTAGGGAAAAAAAAAAAAAAAAGGTGTGCAGTTTCCTTAACACCATGCTTTAGCATAAGCATTTCTGCTACAATACACCGGAAGAGTAAAGAAAAGCCTCAAAAAGTTAAAGCACCTTCCAAAGGACTTTAAATACCCATAATGCAAGTTATGAATATAATACACACAAATAATGAGGTGGTCAGAGAAATACAGAGAAGTCAGAGAAGAATGACAGACTACACAGGTTAGCCCTTATTCCTACACAGCAGGTATGCCCCTCAATTGATTATCGATCACCAACCTACCTGGGTCTGTCTGTGCTGGATGGAGATCTGTTTTTGGGAGCTGCAGGAATGCTCTGTGTTGCCAGATCCCGTAGATGAGGGACTGTTTTGCTGAGCCTACAATAAAGGTGCATTACCAATCACAGGAAAGTTTGGCATCTTTTTCCACAAACACTTGTATTAATGCAAACAACTCCATAATTTGTATCTCCACAATACAAACCCCTTCTTATGAAAGTGAGAAGTCAGGGCCACGTGGCCAAGAAGAAAGTAAAACAATTCAAATATGAGACAAAGGGCTGGACATGGTGGTTTATACCAAGTTCCTGTAAACAGGTTTAAAGTATCAAATGCTTACAAATGAATTTTTAAAATATGAAAATTAGAGAAAATGAAAAGTTATTCCTGTAATAACTTGCCTTTTTCACTTGTATTTTCATATGCTTTAGTCAGAAAAGGCTAGTGAAGCATCCAATGCACAGGGGATGCATGTAAAGGACTGTGAACCACTATTCAGAATAGTCTCCTAAACACACAAACATTATCCATGAACACACAGCGGTCTAAAATCCAGGTTGATTTCTAATACTGTCACTTGCTGACTGGGCATTCTAAGGCATTTTAAATTTATACGGTTTAGGTTCCACAATATAATTAACCTATTCAGGTTAATTATATTATATTCTCAATAATACTTTTTTTTTTTTTTCTTTTGAGATGTAGTCTTGCTCTGTCACCCAGGCTGGAGTACAGTAGCACGATCTGGGCTCACTGCAAGCTCTGCCTCCCGGGTTCATGCCATTCTCCTGCCTCAGCCTCCCGAGTAGCTGGGACTACAGGCACCCGCCACCATGCCTGGCTAATTTTTTGTATGTTTAGTGGAGACAGGGTTTCACTGTGTTAGCCAGGATGGTCTTGATCTCCTGACCTCATGATCCGCCCGCCTCAGCCTCCCAAAGTGCTGGGATTACAGGCGTGAGCCACCACACCTAGCCTAACAGTACTTTTTAAAACAAGGTAAAACTGCAGCTAACAAAGTATGACCCATCACAGACATAAGTAGAAAATATTCAATATTCTGAGAATCATGGAATGGTAAAAATACAGTACTACTATCTCATCAGAGAATACAGCATTTCCACATGTGAATTTCTTCTGATACTTTCTACATATTCTTTTGATTACTGTTCTTACTCATTAACATATTAACAATGGTATAACCACCAACTATTGAACAAGTTACTGTAACCTAAATGTTTCACTGTCATTGTCACAGGTTAATTCTTACAAAATCCTATAAGGAGACTGGGTCAGGTGGCTCACCTGTAATCCTAGCACTTTGGGAGGCTGAATCAGGTGGATCACTTGAGGACAGAAGCTCGAGACCAGCCTGGCCAACATGGCAAAACCCTATCTTACTAAAAATACAAAAATTAGCTAGGCACAGTGGTGCACACCTGTAATCCCAGCTACTCAGGAGGCTGAGGCAGGAGAATTGCTTGAGCCTGGGAGGCGGAGGTTGCAGTGAGATGAGATCACACCACTGCACTCCAGCCTGGGTGACAGAGCAAGACTCTGTCCTATAAGGTGGTTGTAATTATTAGTTCCATTTTACAAATAAATAAAATAAAAATCAGAGATATTAAGTACCTATGTGAGTTCACAGAGCTAGTGGGTGGGGTGACCAGAACTGGGGGTTGTGTCCACAATAACTGCTCTCAATGACCACAGTAGACTGTTACCACCAGCCTGTGAGCAAACTAGCACTTCCTACACACGATTTCATTGAAGGCTCACAACAGCCTCATCAGATAGGCAGCATTATTAACGCCATTTTAATGTATACATTCAATGACTATTTATTAAGTACTCCCTATGTCTAAGCACTGTGCTAGGTGCTAGGTACACATGGTAAGAGAAACCACAGACCCAGTCCTTACTCTGCCTTAATGAAGCTTACAATCCAAAACAAGATTTACTAAACACTTGGTAAATATTTGTTGAAAGAAACTGTTGAATAAACAATCATATAATAAATACACAATCACAATTAGGATAAGTGCTAAAAGAGCATATAACAAGGCACATAACCTAATTTAGAGGGTCAGGGATAAACCTTTAAAAAGTTTATGATTTGAGGCTGAGCACAGTGGCTCATGTCTGTAATCCCAGCACTTTGGGAGGCCGAGGTGGGTGGATGACCTGAGGTCAGGAATTCAAGACCAGCCTGGCCAACATGGTGAAACCCCATCTCTACTGGAAATACAAAAAATTAGCCAGGCGCAGTGGCGCACACCTGTAATCCCAGCTACTGGGGAGGCTGAGGCAGGAGAATCGCTTGAACCTGGGAGGCGGAGCTTGCAGTGAGCCAAGATTGTGTCACTTCACTCCAGCCTGGGCAACAGAGTGAGACTTCGTCTCAAAAAACAAAAAAAAGTTTATGATTTGAGGCTGGGTGCGGTGGCTCAGGCGTATAATCCCAGCACTTTGGGAGGCTGAGGCAGGTGGATCAGCTAAGATCAGAAGTTGAAGACCAGCCTGGCCAACATGGTGAAATCTCATCTCTACTAAAAAAAAAAAAAAACAATACAAAACAAAAAAAATTAGCCAGGCGTGGTGGTGGGCGCCTGTAATCCCAGCTACTCAGGAGGCTGGGGCATGAGAATTGCTTGAGCCCGGGAGGTGGAGGTTGCGATGAGCTGAGATCACACCACTGCACTCTAGCCTGGGTGACAGAGCAAGACTCCGTCTTGCGGTGGGGGTCTTGGGGGGGAGCACCAAGTCTATATAATTCCAAATAACTAAATATGTTCTCTACTCTAGGATGCAGCAAATCCAATCTTTCCTTACTAATTAAGGGTCATCATTATGAACCTCAAGTATTATAATGCACTAGGATACAAGCATTTGTATAACTGAAGATTTCCTTCAGTTATCATTTGATTGCTTTTACAATCCTCTCCTTTTACAATGTGTTTCTATTTTTTTTTTTTTTTTTTTTTTTTTTTTTTTTTTTTTTTGAGATGGAGTCTTGCTCTGTCACTTAGGCTGGAGTGTAGTGGCACGATCTCGTCTCACTGCAAGCTCTGCCTCCCAGGTTCACGCCGTTCTCCTGACTCAGCCTCCCGAGTAGCTGGGACTACAGGCACCCGCCACCACTCCCGGGTAATTTTTTGTATTTTTTTTTTAGTACAGACGGTGTTTTCACCAGGTTAGCCAGGATGGTTTCGATCTCCTGACCTCATGATCCCCCCACCTCGGCCTCCCAAAGTGCTGGGATTACAGGTGTGAGCCACCGCGCCCGGCCCTACAATGTGTTTCTATACAAATGACTGTCTGAACTATATTTATAATAAGAGCCAATAAGAATCAAATGATTAGACTGGGTGCAGTGGCTCACACCTGTAATCCCAGCACTTTGGGAGGCTGAGGTGGGTGGATCATGAGGTCAGGAGTTCAAGACCAGCCTGGCCAACATGGTGAAACCCTGTCTCTACTAAACATACAAAAAAAAATAATCTGGGCGTGGGGGCGGGTGCCTATAATCCCAGCTACTCAGGAGGCTGAGGCAGGAGAACTGCTTTAACCCAGGAGGTGGAGGTTGCAGTGAGCCGAGATCATGCCACCGCACTCCAGCCTGGGCGACACATCAAGACTCTGTCTCAAAAAATAAAAAATAAAAAAAAGAATCAAATGATTAAAAGACACTTCTACAGATTTCTAGATATATGGTATATTGGTTTAAATATGCTTATATCTGATTCTAAGTTTTCTTCCAGCAAACTGAGGGTGTTAGAAAGTGATGTAGTGAGATATTTCTAAATTAAAGCTCACATAGGGCCGGGTGCAGTGGCTCATGCCTGTAATCCTGTCACTTTGGGAGGCCAAGACAGGCAGATCATGAGGTCAGGAGTTCAAGACCAGCCTGGCCAATATGGTGAAACCTCGTCTCTACTAAAAATATAAAAAATTAGCCAGGTGTGGTGGTGCGTGCCTGTAGTCCCAGCTACTTGGGAGGCTGAGGCAGGAGAATCGCTTGAACCTGGGAGGCAGAGGATGCAGTGAGTCGAGATCGTACCACTGCACTCCAGCCTGGGTGACAGAGTGAGACTCCAGCTCAAAAAAAAAATAAAAATAAAAAAGACACACACACACACACACACACACACACACACACATATATATATATATGGCCCAATGATAAGTAAAATGCAAAAGTAAACTGAGGAAGTAGGCAGTTAGGAAGTTCAAAGTGTGAGCACTTAACTTCCGTGGAATACCGTAAACAAAAAACAGTGTGCGCACTTTCCTTAACACCATGCTGCAGTATAAGCATTTCTGCTCCAATACACTAGAAGGGTAAAGAAAAGCCTCAAAAACTTAAAGCACATTCCAAAGGACTTTAATTACCCATAATGCAAGTTCTGAATATAATACAAACAATCAGATACCAACAGAGAAATAGAGAAGACAAAGGGGAATCATAGACTATCTAAGGTTACCATTTATTCCTATGCAGCAAATACACCCCTCCATTGGTTATTGATCATCAGCCTACCCGGGTCTGTCTGTGCTGGATAGAGATCTGCTTTTGGGAGTTGTAGGAATGGCTCTGTGTTGCCAGATCCCATAGAAGAGGGATCCAAAGGCCCTTTACAGATTTCTTGATATATGGTATATGGGTTTAAATATGCTTATTTCTGACTCTAAGTTGTCTTCCAGCAAACTAAGGGTGTTAGATGTTTCCAAATTAAAGCTTTCTGTAAAAATACACATATAAATAGCTCATTGATAAGTAAAAATGCAAAAGTTAACTGAGGACGTTGGCAGTTAGGAAATTCCTCAGTTGGGAAGCAGAAAATCCTCATGAAAATGAAAACAATGTTTTCAAAAGGTAAAAGGTACTACACAATATAGGGATCTCATGTGACAATGCTCAGATCCGTTAGAGAAAAAAATGCTGTAACTGATCATTCATTCAACATTAAATGTGACCCTCTGTGCCTGGTCCTGTGTTAAAATCTAGAAATGCCAAACTGGAAAACAAAGAGACTATGTTACCAAAAAGAAAAAAAAAAAAAATCCATGCCAACACCTAATCACTCTAATCCCTCATTCCACTAAGCTAAATACATTTTCAAGACAACCCCAACAGCACAAAAGGAAAAATCCAAGACGAAAAAACAATACCTAATCATAAGAGTTAAAAGATAATTCAATAAACAACTTTAAAAGTAAAGTATCAGTTTAGCACTTGATTTTCAATAGTTTATAGTATGAAATGACAAACTGCTTTGGTTCATTTCATAAACTGAAACTCTGCATTTAGATAACTGTATTAAAGGTTCTTAAGATGAAAAAAATAAAATAGGTTCAGAGAGGATCAAAAGTATACTGTAGCTACAAAAATTAAAAAAGTAAAGAACATGAATAATCAAATTGACAAAATAAGATTATCAAAGTTTAAAAATTTAATAGGTGGGTTAAATATCAAAATGGACACAGCTGAATACACAGCCAGTAACCTAAAAGACAATGTCAAGAAAATCTCCCAGAAGAGGCCGGGTGCGGTGTCTCATGCCTGTAATCCCAGCACTTTGGGAGGCCGAGACAGGTGGATCACCTGAGGTCAGGAGTTCGAGACCAGCCTGGCCAACATGGTGAAACCCCGTCTCTACTAAAAATATTTTTAAAAATTAGCTGGGTGTGGTGGTATGTGCCTATAGTCCCAATTACTCGGGAGGCTGAGGCAGAAGAATCGCTTGAACCTGGGTGGCAGAGGTTGCAGTGAGCCAAGATCACGCCACCGCACTCCAGCCTGGGTGACATGGTGAGACTCAGTCTCAAAAAAAAAAAAAAAGAAAGAAAAAGAAAATAAGAAAATCTCCCAGAAGATAAAACAAAAGGTTAAATGGAGCACAAAAGAAAAGAAACATGAATAGCACAGAGACCCTGAAACTATCTAATGGCTTTCTAGAGAAAAGAACAGAGGAAATGAAATAATCAAAGAAACAGTAAAACAAAATTTCTCTGAAATAAAAAACCCTTTTCATTATGTAAAAAAAAAAAAAAAACAATCAACAAACTCAAAATAGGGAACTTTCTCAGCCGGGTGCAGTGGCTCACGCCTATAATCGCAGTACTTTGGGAAGCCAAAGCGAGCTGATAGCTTGAGCTCAGGAGTTCCAGACCACCCTGGCCAACATAGCAAAACCCTGTCTCTACAAAAGAAATTAGGACATGGTGTGGTGGCTCATGACTGTAATCCCAGCATTCTGGGAGGCCAAGGCGGGCAGATCACTTGAGGTCAGGAGTTCAAGACCAGCCTGGCCAACATGGTGAAACTCTGTCTCTACTAAAGATACAAAAATTAGCCAGGCACAGTGGTGTGAGCCTGTAATCCTAGCTACTCAGAAGGCTGAGGCAGGAGAATTGCTTGAATCTGGGAAGCAGAGGTTGCACTGAACTGACATCCATGCCACTGCACTCCAGCCTCAGTGGCAAAGGAAGACTTTGCTCAACAAACAAACAAACAAACAAACAAAAAATCAGCCGGGCGTGGTGGCACACACCTGTAGTCCCAGCTATTTGGGGAGGCTGAGGTGGGAGGATGGCTTGAGCCCAAGCAGTTGAGGCTGTAGTGAGCCACAATTAGGCCACTGCACTCCAACAGCCTGGGTGACAAAATGAGACCCTGTCTTTAAACAACAACAACAACAACAACAAGAGGAACTTTGTTAACCTAAAAAATGACCACCTCTGAAAAACATACAGTAAACATGATACTTTTTCTCTTTTTTTTGAGACAGTCTCTCGTTCTGTCATCCAGGCTGGAGCGCAATGGCACAATCTCAGCTCACTGCAACCTCCGTCTCCTGGGTTCAAGCAATTCCCCTGCCTCAGCCTCCCAAATAACTGGGATTACAGGTGCACACCACCATGCCTGGCTAATGTAATATTTATTTTTAAAGACCTCATATTTTCCCTTAAAAATCATGAACAAGAAAGACAAGGATGTCCCAGAAAAACTGGATGATACCTTTTTAACTTTAGCTAATATGTTTACACACAGAATTTTCTTTACAATTAACGTTTTAAAACTTGCTTAAACCTTTAAAACAATCCCAGCACTTTAGGAAGCTGAGGTGAGTGAATCACAAGATCAGGAGTTCGAGACCAGCCTGGTCAACATGGTGAAACCATCTCTACTAAAAATACAAAAAAATTAGTTGGGCATAGTGGCAGGCACCTATAATCCCAGCTACTCGGGAGGCTGAGGCAGGAGAATCGCTTGAACCCGGGAGGCGGAGGTTGCAGTGAGCTGAGATCGCACCACTGCACTACAGCCTAGGCAAAAGAGCAAGACTCCATCATGACAGATCAACATACAAAAATCAATTGTATTTCTATACTCTAGCAATGAGCAATCTGAAAATAAAACTAAGAAAACTATTCCATTTGCAATAGCGTAAAAAGAATAAATACTTAGGAATAATTTTAACAAAAGAAATATAGGACTATATATTGCAAGTTGCAAAACATTGTTGAAAGAAATCAAAGGGTCCTAAATAGATATTTTGTGTTCATGGATTGAAAGACTTAATACTGTTAAAAAGGCAATACTTCTCAAATTGATCTACGGATTCAACACAATTGCTATCAAATCCTATCTGGTTTATTTATAGAAACTGAAAGGATGATCTTAAAAATCACAGGGAAATGCAACAGATCCCAAACAGCCAATACAATCTTGAAACCCAACAAAGTTGGAAGGCTTGCACTTCCCAATTTCAAGACTTATTACAAAGCTACAGTTATTCAGACAGTGTGGTCCTGGCATAAAGACAGGTGGTATGGTTTTTTCTGTGTCCCCACCCAAATCTCATGTTGAATTGTACTCCTCATATGTCAGGGGAAGGGTCTGGTGGGAGCTGATTGGATCACGAGGGCATATTTCCCCCTTGCTGTTCTCATGATAGTGAGTGAGTTCTCACGAGATCTGATGGTTTAAAAGTGCATGGCACTTTCCCCTTCACTCTCTCATTCTCTTTCCTGAGAAGAAGGTGCTTGCTTCTCCTTCACCTTCTCCCATGACTGTAAGCTTCCTGAGGCCTCCCAGTCATGCTTCCTGTTAAGCCTGCAGAACTATGAGTTAATTAAACCTCTTTTCTTCATAAATTACCCAGTCTCAGGTAGTTCTTTGTAGCAGTGTGAGAATGGGCTAATATAACAAAGATATAGATGGAGCAGATTTAGAGTCCATAAATAAACCTCTTGCTGTAAGTCAGTTCATTTTTGAAAACGGTGCCGACAGTTCAATGGTAAAAGCACAGTATTTTCAACAAATGGTGCTGGGACAATAGGATATACACATGCAAAAAAAATGAAGTTGGAACTCCTTCCTCATACCACACACAAAAATTAACACAAGATGGAAAAAAGACCTAAATATAAGAGCTAAAAGTATAGAACACATAGAAGAAAATATAAGAGTAAATTTTCTTGACTTTAGGTTAGGTGAAGCCTTGGCTACAACACTAAAAGCATAAGCAACAAAAGAAAAAAAACAGATAAATTGAACTTTTCTCAAAATTAAAAACTTCTGTACTTCACAGGACACCGTCAAGAAGTAAACTGACCACCCACAGAATAGAAAACCTTTGCCAATCATATAGTTGACAAAGATCTAATATTCAGAATATATAAAGAATGCTTAGAACTTAACAATAAAGGCAACACAATTTAAAAATGGGTAAAGGATTTGAATAGTGATCTCTCCAAAGAAGATGCACAAAAGCCCAATTAGCAAATGAAAAAATGCTCAACATCACCAGTTTTTTGGGGAATGCAAATCAAAACCACAATGAGATGCCACTTAACACCCACTAGGATGGCTATAATGAAAAAGAGAGACAATAGCAAGTACTGGCAAGGACATGGAGAAATTGGAATGTACTGCTGCGGGGAATGTAAAATGGTGCAGCTGCTGTGGAAGAGTCTGGCAGTTCCTCAAAAACAGTTACCATATGACCTGGCAATTTCACTCTCCAGCATATATCCAAAAGAAACGAAAACGTATGTCTACACAAAGTCTTATACATGAATGTTCATAGCAACATCATTCATAATAGCCAAGAAGTGGAAACAACCTAAATGTCCATCGACTGGTAAAAGGATAAAGCCGTGACCAACTGGCACCAAAAAAGAACGATTCTATTTACTGATGTACACCCATGAAAATCCATGAAGCCATGATAATCAAAGAGAAAGCTATTTGTCACAGCTATCAAACAACTCCCTACTTTAAAAGTTAAAAAAAAATTTAAAAGCCTCATTAGTAATTAAAAGGAAAGAACTAAGCATTTAGCCTGTCTTTCTAGAAATGTATGTCAGTGTAGAGCAACAGGCACAGATGATAAGAAAGTTCTATTTTATAGATGCTAATAGACATGTTATAATGCTAATTTCGCTATCTAGCAAAATGTTAACATGTTTTTTAAAAATGCCTATTTAACTATTTAGAGATAGGAGGTCAAGATTTCTGAATTGTATTTTAAAATACTTTGGCATAAAAAAAGCAAACTACCTTTTTAAAAAATCAAGTTTTGAAGAACATCTGCATAATGTTAAAAGACACAAGTTTTAAGGAAACAACAGACTTGCCATTAAGGGAAAAAAAGATCCAGTAGACCTTGACAACCAGAACTGTTTCAATCTAAACTAATTCAATGTCTCTCTTCTTTTCAGTGAGTCCAATAAAATCATTTGGTTTTGCAATGCCAAACAATGAAACAATCATAATATTGTAAATGTTCCTTCTTTTCAAGTCTTAGAATAATTTACAAAGCAGAAAAGACTCAATTGTAGTTAAAATAACAAACTAAATATCAAACACTCATACTGTAACAATAACTAAACAACTGAAAAAGAAAGAAAGACTGGGTGAAAGTTATGTTAAATTTGTCTTTCATAACGAGGAGTAAACAGATCTTACTTAAAGTTGATTAAATAAGGCCAGGTACAGTGGCTCAAGCCTCTAATCCCCACACTTTGAGAGGCCAAGGTAGGAGGATGGTTCAAGACCAGCCTAGGCAACACAGTGGGACCCTGTCTCCACCAATAAATAAATAAGATTAAATAAGGAACACATTATTTGACATTAAAATGGTAATCCTTAGAAAATCCAAAACACAAACTGTTAACAGTAGTTATCTCTCTGAGAAATCCAAGGGAAGAATTTTACGCTTCTCCATCTCCTCAATTTCTTGCGGGTCATGTGCATGTTCTATTTTCATAATTTAGGAAACTATTTGCTTATGATTTTCCCTGACAACATTCTCACCAATAGAAGAGGAAATGACCTTTTTCTAATCCCTCTACATCTCCCTTCTTACTGGATCTTTATGTATGTTGTAATGCCATAAAGTTAAAAGTGAGAGGTCAGCTCAGATATCTTATTCTCTAGCCTGATATATATTGTCTTTGTACAAACAGATAGTCTTCATACTGGGAGCTAGTGTGGTGGTACAGAATGAGCACTAGACTGTGAGTCCAAATACTAATTTTTTTTTTTCTTTGAGACTGAGTCTCACTTTGTCACCCAGGCTGGAGTGCAGTGGTGCAATCTCTAGCTGCAGCTACTGTGGTGCACTCTAGTTGCAGCTACTCTGGAAACTGAGGCAAGAGAATTGCTTGAACCCAGAAGTTCCAAGGCTATAGTATGCTATAATGCTATGATTGCACCTGTAAATAGCCACCGTACCCCAGCCTGGGCAACATAGCGAGACCTCTCTCTTAAAAATAAAACCTCAAATTTCCTATGTTAAAACATAGAATTATGTAATAATTTTAAACATTTAAAAGATCAAATTCTTAATATTCTGCCACCTGCTATTTTTATCAACACATATTTAGAAATCTTTCATTGGTGTATATACAGCTACCTCACTTCTTTTGCCAGCTGTATAGCATTCCACTGTACAAATATATTACGATTCATTTAACCAGTCCTTCTATAAAGAATGCTTTTACTAACTCATGCAACATATAATTACACTGAGTGCCTATTAGAGCAGGTCCCGTTCTGGGCATTAGAGATACACAAGTGAACAAAGCAAAGTCCTTGACCTGATGGAGCTTACATTCCAGTGGGGGGAAGTCAGACAAAAGTCCATCATAGTACGTCAGCTGGTGTAGACTAAGGAGAAAAACAACGCAGGGCCTAGGAGCTCAGTAACAGGTGGGATGGGTGGGGAGAAGTTGCTATTTTATAGTGTGGCCAGGGTAGGCCTCTCTAATAGGGTAAATATAAGCAGAAACCAGAGGGAACTGAGAGAGCAGGGCATGATGATATATGGGTGAAGAATGTTAGGGCAAAGGCAACAGCCAACGCAAAGGCCCCGAGGTGAGAGCATCACTGAGAGAGAGTATTTGAGAAAACAAGGTGGCTAGCGTGCATGGAATCTGATGAGAAAGGTAGATGGTAGTAAAACATGTCAGGGTGGAGGAAAACAAACCATGCAGGGCCACTTTAAGGACTTTTCGACAGGGGAGTGGCATGACTGGACTTACGTTTCAACACAATCACTCTGCTTTGTTAAGAACAGATTAAAAGAAAACAAAGATCAAAGCAATGGGTCCAGTTATCTCAGTGGGAGACAATGGTTTAAGTTGGAGTGGCAGTAGTGAAGAGAATTAGAAGTGGTAAAATTCTGAACACAGGCCAGATGCAGTGGCTCATGCCTGTAATCCCAGCACTTTGGGAGGCCAAGGCGGGTGGATCACCTGAGGTTAGGAGTTCAAGACCAGCCTGGCCAACATGGTGAAACCCTATCTCTACTAAAAATACAAAAATCAGCTGGGTATGGTGGTACGCGCCTGTAATCCCAGTTACTTGGGAGGCTGAGGCAGGAGAACCGGCTTGAACCTGGGAGGTGGAAGTTGCAGTGAGCCCAGATTGCACTCCAGCCTGGGTAACAACGCAAGACTCTGTCTCAAAAAAAAAAAAAAAAAAAAAAATTCTGAACATATTTTGAAGGTAAAATCAATAAGCTTTACTGATAGATTTGGATTTGGCATATAATATAAAAAGAAGAGAAAGACAAGAATGACTCCAAGGATTTTAGCTGTAACAATTAGAAGGAGAAAAGTTGACAGTTATTGAGATGTAGAAGGCTGTGGAAGTCAGGCACGGTGGCCCACACCTAAAATCCCAGCACTTTGGGAGGCCAAACTGGGAGGATTACTTGAGTTCAGGTGTTCAAGAACAGCCTAGGTAACACACTAATACTCTGTCTCTATTAAAAAAAAAAAAAAAAAAGAAAAGAAAGAAAGAAGAAGAAAGAAGAAAGGAGAAAGAAGAAGAGGAAGAGGAGGAGGAGGAGGAGGAGAAAGGCAGCTGTAGGAGAAATGGGTTTCGGGTGGGGAACAGAAGGAAGAGTTCAGTTTTGAACATGTTACATTTGACATGTTTGTTAGACATAGAAAGGAAATGACTGGAGGCAACTGACACAGGCCTGAAATTCAGGGCAGAGCCCTGGCTAGACGCATAAACTTGGAAGTCCTCTGCACATAGGAGTTAAATTTTAGTAACAAAGGAACTAGATGAGATTAAGAAGGCTGGGTGTGGTGGCTCCCGTCTGTAATCCCAGAACTTTGGGGAGGCCGAGGCGGGAGGATCACTTGAGGTCAGGAGTTTGAGACCATAGAGGTCAGGAGTTGACCATGTTGCCTGGCCAACATGGCAATACTCTGTCTCTACTAAAAACAAAAATCAGCCAGGCGTGGTAGCCAACGCCTGTACTCCCAGCTACTTGGGAGGCTGAGGTGGGGAAATCGCTTGAGCCCAGGAGATGGAGGTTGGAGTGAGCTGAGATTGCACCACTGCACTCCAGCCTGGGCAACAGAGTGAGACCCTGTCTCAATTGAAAAAAAAAAAAAAAAAAAGAGAGGGAGGTTAAGAAGAAAATGAAGGTAGATAAATGAGTCTGAAGACAGAGCCCTGGAACACTCTAATGTTCAGAGATAGAGAATGTGAGGAAAAATCAAGAGTGGAAGCCGAGTGAAAGACCGTATGCTTAGAGAAGAAAGAAGTGATCAATAGTTGCTAATGAATTACGTCAGATGAGGTCTGATGCGAAGGTCATATCCTCTGAAATACTGGAAGGGAAACTGCTTCCAGATTTTTTGCAACAATAAACAATACCTCAATAAATATCTTTGTGTAATTTTATGGGAATGGAATTTCTGGACCCAAGGATATGTAAACTTAACATTGAGATACATTACCAAGTTGTCCACATGACTTCAACAATTTATAGACAGAATAAAACTGAATATATCTCTAAACTATCACCTACACCAAGAACTATCAAACTTATTAATCCTTGCCAATTTGCTAGGTCAAAAATGTTATCTTGTTTTATTTTGCACTTCTCTATGGCCAAAATTGAGCATTATTTCATGTTATTAGCCACTTGCCTTCTTTTCAAAAACAGTCTTTGCCTACTTTTCTAAGAATCTGCTTTCCTTTGCTGATTTACACTTGTATATTAATACTAACCCTTTTACTATTTTCTTTCCTTATACTACTAAGCTTATATGCTGGCTGGTACTGCTGAGAAGCAAAGAGAAACAAAACTGTACCAGAGCATTTAGACTTTTGGTTTTCATACTGTTTCCATGTTCCTTCTTCATACATGATCATTTTGTTACTAGTCTCTGCCACCTCTTTCCACATGAGAACAACACGGCTATAGCATCTGCTACTCCTCTGATAACGGAGTGCGTCAGCTGATAGGACTAAGTAGGTGGTCCTTCACGTGCATCCACCACAAGCCTACATACCATACTTTTTACAGAAGATGGAAAGGGGAACAAGTTCTTGCTGACCAAATCTTGTGTATTTAACTATGCTCATTACACAGTGGGCACTCAGTACGTATTTGTGGAGTAAACAAACAGAATTCCTCTCAAGTGAAAAAGAGGTCATTTTAATGCCTTAAAAATGACCAAAAGACAAATAACTCCCTAATTATCCAAGGTTTTTTCTGGAAAAGTAAGATCCAAGATAAAGATTTAACAAAGGCCAGGCGCGGTGGCTCATGCCTGTAATCCCAGCACTTTGGGAGGCTGAGGCGGGCGGATCACGAGGTCAGGAGATCGAGACCATCCTGGCTAACATGGTGAAACCCCATCTCTAATAAAAATACAAAAAATTAGCCAGGCGTGGTGGCGGGTGCCTGTAGTCCCAGCTACTCGGGAGGCTGAGGCAGGAGAATGGCGTGAACCCGAGAGGCAGAGCTTGCAGTGAGCCAAGATCAGGCCACTGCACTCCAGACTGGGCGACAGAACCAGACTCCATCTCAAAAAAAAAAAAAAAAAAAACAAAGATTTAACAAAAGTAAGTGTATGATAAACATTAACAATCTCGAAATGTGTGAATGACACACATACATTCTTTAGAACAATACTATAGCATACTGCATTCTCAAAGGAACTATTCCATACTGCTGTCAGTCCCTCTCACAATATTATATAGGTCAATTCTCCCATTTTTAAAGTATGTATATTTCCTTTGTTACCTGGGGATAGGATATACTGTCTTCACACAAGAAGTTTCCCCATTCCTTTGATGATTAAAGATCAAAACACTTCTAACATTAAACACTGAAATAAAAGTGAGCTCTACATACATTTAAGTAAGATTAATAAAAACAAGTAAGATAATGATTTATCTGTTTATTCCAGTACAGAGTGGTGAAAAGCCAGAGCCTATCCCAGGCAGCTCAGGGTGCAAGCAGAAACCAGACCTGGACAGGAAGCCATTCTGTTGCACACACACACCTACACTCACTCAGACTGGGACTCCGTAGACACACCAGTGAACCTAATGCACACATCTCTGGGATACAGGAGGAAACCAGAGTGCCCTAAGAAAACCCACACAGACATGGAGAAAACACGCAAACTCCACACAGACAGTGGCGTCAGCTCACAGTGTCTAATTAACACTATCACGAAACCATGTTGAATGAAATGACGTTATTCAAGGAGCGTTGTATCTCTTTCTTAAGGTAAAGCTATCATAACTATAAGAAAACATTCCATATCATGCACAATAGTTTCCTATCTGGTTAACTGTTTTATTATTTCTATTTCCTTTCCTTAAGACAACCACCATTTTCAGCACCTTTTTGAACACAGTTGGTGGAGTGTGGATTGGAGACTTATAGACACCACAGGATAAATAAACAGGAAACTTAAATTATAACTGGACAAAATGAACCAGTAAGAGGGACAAAATCTGGATGAGTGGTGACTTAGTTGTGAAAGATGCCCCTGAAAGTGGAATAGGAATACGGCGACGGGGCTTTCTGTTACTCTGGCACCCTTGGCAACAAACAGGTGACCTGGCAGGGCCCAAAAACCAGGAAAAGTAACATTTGGTTCAAATTGCACTCATAGCGCCTTATGAAATGAGGTCAAACTTTCATAATACTCAAATTCTTGTTCTTCAAAGATAGAGAAAGAAGTAAGCTGAAAGGAGCGAACAGGTAGCCAAATATTCCTGAGAAAGGTTAAGTGTACCAACACTCTGAAGGGGTGAGAAAGCAAGTGTGTACATAGCCCAAATACTACACGGGGTAAATGACCAGTAACTTGCTGTGAGAATGCCTGCCTACATACTAAAACTGTACTGACTTGAGTATTAACTTACATAGATGATGGCTGGAACTCGGAGACTCTATTTTTAATTATATCTTGGTTACTAATGGAATTTGATCTGTATTTTCTTCTTTGTCAATCTAAGATTATGCTTTCCTTCCTTCCCATTGTGGGTTCAGGCTTTGACAAAGCAGTCTCCCTCAGGAGCTTGAACCAAGGGAGACTGGGAAAAACACAATATATTTAGAAGTGATGTAGAATTAGACATGTTTGGGAATGATGATAAGGGGAGATCACATTTTAAAAAAAAGTATTAGAAATGTCCCTATCTCTCTATCAAAATAATTAATCCAACCTCATCAAGGAGCACTAGGGCAATGGAAAGGATATGAATTAACTTAGGCTTTGTACTCACTGAAACAAAAGTGAAGCAGAGGCCAGCTCCCCTTTGCGCCAGCTGCTCTGTGTCAAGCCGAGGTTTTGCTAGCATCACTGACATGAGGGTTGGCAGAGCAGACTGCTCCTCCGTTGCCTCCTTTGCAGCACTGCCATCTAAACCATAGAGGGGCTGTTCTACTCGTCGCTGGAAAACAGTAAAGAAACACACAAATGACATGAGAAAGATAATCTGATACTGCCCAAACATGCAACGGGTTAAAAACAGTTATCAAATATAAGATGAATGGTTTATTTAAAAAGGCCTCTCTAAAAATAATTATGGAGAGCATACCAACATTATCATTGTATTATAACCTATCTAAAAATGTGACTATCTTACTCAAATTCTTTGACATTATATTTTAATGGTTCTATATTTATGAGAGTCTGAATTTACATGTTACTTTGTAGAATTCTACAAATCAACTTCATAATGCCCTCAACCCTACACAGGAAATATTATTTCTATCCTGTAGGTAAATGAAAATTAAGACATTGTCCCATGACTTTTTTTTCTTTTTTCTTTTTTCTTTTTTTTTTGAGATGGAGTTTCATTCTTGTTGCCCAGGCTGGAGTGCAATGGAGAGTCTCTGCTCTCACTGCATGCAACCTCTGTCTCCTGGGTTCAAGCGATTCTCCTGTCTCAGCCTCCCAAGTAGCTGGGATTACAGGTGCCTGCCACCACGCCTGGCTAATTTTTTTGTATTTTTAGTAGAGACGGGGTTTCACCATGTTGGCCAGGCTGGTCTCGAACTCCTGACCTCAGGTGATCTGCCCGCCTCAGCCTCCCAAAGTGCTGGGATTACAGGCATGAGCCACCGTGCCTGGCCTGTCACGTGACTTTATAGGTGAAGCTTATTTCACTCTCAATTCTGTTCTTGCTGTACTATATTTAGATGCAAAAATCTAAAATAAATGCAAGCAAAACAAGTTCCACAGTATACTAAAAGGATAATACATCACAATTACGCATAACTCACTCCAGAAACCTAAAAATGATTCAACATTAGCAAATCTACTAATGTAATTCATTACATTAACTTTAGGGAGGGATAAATTAAGATTCTTCCTGTTGGATACCAAAAAGGATACACACACTGTTAGGCAACTCTTAAAAGACTGGAATTGGCAAGGCACAATGGCTCATGCCTGTAATCCCAGTACTTTGGGAGGCCAAGGCAGGCGGATCACTTGAAGTCAGGAGTTCAAGACCAGCCTGGCCAACGTGGTGAAACCCATCTCTATTAAAAATACAAAAATTATCCAGGCGTGGTCGTGGGCACCTGTAATCCAAGATACTCGGGAGGCTAAGGCAGAAGAATTGCTTAAACCCAGGAGGCGGAAGTTGCAGTGAGCCCAGATTGCGCCACTGCACTCCAGCCTGGGTAACAGAGAGCGACTCTATCTCCAAAAAAAAAAAAAAAAAAAAAAAAGACTGGAATTATCCACTTTTAATGCAATGAAGAGTATGTTTTTCAAAAATTAAAATATCATAATTAATGGTGCTAAGACTGGAGACCCTTTCAATTAAAGCTAGAAAACAAGACAAAAGTAACACATTCTCATATTAAACGTTATTATGAAAGTTTTAGCCAATGTAAAAAAGAAAAAAATGAAGTAAAAATATTAGAAATTAAAGATTTTTAGTGTCATTTTTGGATGATATAACCATTCACAAAGGAAACCAAGCAAATCAATGGAAAAATTACTATAACAATTAAAAGGAGCTCAGTAAGATGGCCAAATACAAAATAAATACACTAAAATTGATAGCTTCCCCAACTGATTTTAATCAGAGCATGTAACAGAAGGAAAAGCAGATTCAAAGTAGCAAACAAAAATCTGTAAAATACTTGAAAGCAAACTTAAGAAACATGCAGAACACCTTTGAAGAAAAACTATACAGCTTCACAGATGAATATAAAAGATGATCTAAGTTAAACGGTAATATCATGTTCCTGGGTTCAGATTCTACAAACATCAAATTTCTCTAAAACCCAAGTTTAATGTTTTAAATTTTGTGTTTGGCCTTTTTCTCTTCCAAGGGGTAGTCTTATGGTGGTATAGTGGTCATCTAGGTTCTCTCTCATGCTTTCTTGGGCAGTTGTTTTTGTAGAATTTCACAATAAATTCTAAGGTTCACTTAAAAAAATAATCATAATCAGCCACATAATTTTTGAGAAAAAGTATCAGGGAAACTTGACCGGATAGTGAAACATACTACAATGTTACATTAACTAAAACAGTATCATACAGATACAGAAGCAGACAGATTGACCAGTGGCACAGAATACAGAATTCAGAAACAGATCTATATAATATAGATATATAAGTTGTGATTAATGTGCATTTCATATTAGCGGGAACTTATTAAAAAGATGGTAGGACGTTTGTGCAGATATTAGAAAAAAAGGGAAAAGAAGATTCCTACCTTTTATCATATATAAAAAATTACAAGAAGAAAAAATAAACAAATGCTTTTAGAATTTTCTAGTGGTAAAGGACTTTTTAAACATGACATTAAAAATATAAACCATGGGCGGGGCACAGTGGCTCATGCCTGTAATCCCAGCACTTTGGGAGGCCGCGATGGGCAAATCACTTGAGGTCAGGAGTTTGAGACCAGCCTGGCCAACGTGGCAAAACCCTGCCTCTACTAAAAATACAAAAATTAGCTGGGCATGGTGGCACATGCCTGTAGTCCCAGCTACTCGGGAAGCTGAGGCATGAGAATCACTTGAACGCGGGAGGCAGAGGCTGCAGTGAACCAAGATCACACCACTGCACTCCAGCCTGGGCTACACAGCAAGACCCTGTCTCAAAAAAAAAAAAAAATTACACACACACACACAGACACACACACACTGGGCTACACAGCAAGACCCTGTCTCAAAAAAAAAAAAAATTACACACACACACACAGACACACACACACACACACACACACCCCGTATAGGAATACACCATATGGGAACATCTAAGAATAAGACAAATCCCATAAGTCATAAAGGAAAAACACTGATAAATTTAACTACTTCAATTTTTTTGCATCTGAATGGTAAAAGTCAACATAAAGTTAAAAGACAAGATTACAAACAAGCAAAAATATTTACAATATAACAAATTAATAATATAAATAATTTATTAAATCTTAATAAATAATGCTTTACCTATCAGTAAAACAAAAACCAAAACACACAAGTATTTCAAAAGAGACATATGCAAAGGACCTGAACAAGCATTAAAAGAGAAATCCAAAAGGCCATTAAACATATGATGTTTAATATACATAACTAATGAACAAATGCAAGTTAAAACAAGGTATTTTTCTTTATGCCAAAGGTTACAATGATAAAATTCAGTATTATTAGCAGGGTGTGAAAAAATTGGTACTCTCAAACTGCTAATAACCTTCTAGCAATTTATGTGATGACATTTTTAAATGATCATATTCTGACCTGGGAATTACTATTAGGGGATTTATCTAGGAAAAATGCGTAAGTTAATAAGTATGTATAAGGATGTTCATTGCAGCACTATTTATAGATATAAATGCTTACAAGATACTGGTTAAATAAACTAATACAATGGAAATAAGAAAACCTATTATATAAACATACATGTATATCTCAAAAAGTCTAGAAATATTTGCCCACCATACTCTCTAATAACAGTTCTTTTGGAGGGAACTTTCTATTTCACCATTTCTGAATTGTTGAACTTTCATAATCTGCATGAATAAAGGAAATAATTTTCCTTAATCAGGAATAGTTCTTTAACGTTTTCATGTCAAAAAAAATAAAAGTAAAATGATCCTGACAAAGAAATTAGTTTTTGAATCTATGAGTAGAGTCCTACCCCAGCAAATGTAACAGTTTAAACCCAGGCTCCAGAACACCTGTGATACCCATTGATGACAACATTCTCACTGCATGGGAGAACGAGCTGCAACAGTAAAATTAAACCTTCTGCCATATATTCAATAAATACCTGCCAAGGATTGAAAGATTTAAAAACATTTCTGTAAATACACTATGTAGGCTACAGCCTTTCCTGTTTGAACCAACGTCTCCCTGGGGGGGGAAAAAAACTATACAGATAGGATAAAATATGGGCGAACAACAACAACAACAACAACAAAAAAACATTAAAAGCACTGAAGAGTTGATAAAGTATTAGGGATCTGCCAGAGCAAAATCTAAGGGAAATTAGGAACATAAGACAGGTAAAAGAAGTACCAAAGCCACATATGGCCTAAGGGCACTTGCAGATCTTGAATTTCCATTTTCAGGGCAACATGGTATCAAGCAGATAGTCACAGACCAAAGCCCACCCAAGGGAGAGGGTTCAATAGGAAACCCTTCCCACTTCAAGCTGGGCCTCCAAAGAGCTACCTACATTCTCAAGGAAAGGGTAAACCAAAAGAAAAATTACCCCCACCCTCAGATGGCTGCCAGGAAGTTGCCTTGGCAGTGTAAGAGTTGGGGGTTGTCTTGAGAAATGTTGACACAATCCAAATCAATATTTCCTAGCAGTTGAAATAAGCAAACAAAATAAACTAAACAAAATATAAGCCATAAATTCACTAAAGTGGTATATAAAAGAGGTAAAATCTCTAGGTACTCGGAAGGAGCAAATAAAAATTTTCCCTGAATTAACACATCTTCATTCATCCTAGATCTTGAAGAAACCCCCCAAAAAATTTTTCAAGAACAATGAGGAGTACACAGTTAAAAAACAAAGCATAAAAGAAATAAAGCCATGAACAACAACTAAGAAAAACAAGGGACACCAGAAACAGATTCATAAAAGCTTCAGATGCTAGAATTATCAAACAGATTATAAAATAATTGTGTCTACCATATTTTAAAAAATAAAAGACAGGCTTGAAAATATCTGCAGGAAATGTAATTCTTTTTCTTCAAAAGGCAGTAACCAATTCAATAGAGCTAATAGCAAATTAGAAACAATAAAACAGGATCTGGGAACTGAAAGGCAAGAAGAAATTATCCATGATGGAGTATATAAAGACAAGAAGAACAAAAATACAAAAAAAGTCAAAAGCCATGGTAATAAAATTAGAAAGTATAATGTATGGTTAATTAGAATTTCATAAGAGAAGGAAAAAAGAACAAGTCAGAGATAATATTCAAAGAGACAATGGCTAATTATTCAGAACGGATGAAAGATACCAACCCACAAATTCCAGAAGTCCAAGAAATCACAAGCAAGAGAAATGAAATGACACATCATCATAAAACTACAGAACACCATAGCTAAAGACTTTTAAAGCAGCCAGGGGAAAAAAAGCAGATACCTTCAAAGAAACAACAGGCAAATGACAGCTGATTTCTTAATAGTAACAATGGAGGGTTAGAACATGGTAATGAATTACTGCTCAATTGTGTTAAAAGAAAAAAAAAGAAAGCGAACCTAAAAATATACACAGCCAAAAATACCTTTCAGGAATAAGAGCAAAATAAAGTTATTTCAGTAAACAAAAACCTAGAGAGTTAATCTCTAGCAGATATATTCTAGAAGAATACTAAAGGAATACTTAGGCAGAAGGAAAGCAACCCCAGGTGGAAGGTGTAGGATGCAAAAAGGAAAGAAGTACAAAGAGGTAAATACATAGATAAACCTAAACGAACACTGATAGCACTGAACAGTAATATTTTATGAGACCAAAAAAAGGCAAAATAAAAACATACACCACTACCACCAAATCAGTAGCAGAGTAAACAGTGTTCTGGGGACATTATTTTATTTGGTAGAGGATGAAGATACAACTGACTTCAAATTTTGGCATGTGGTAATTTATTCTTATTTTTTCTTTTCTGGGGGTTTTGAGACAGGGTCTCACTCTATGCTACAGGATGGAGCGCAGTGGTGTGATCATGGCTCGCTCCAGCCTCAACCTCCTAGGCTCGAGGAATCCTCTCACCTCAGCCACCTGAGTAGCTGGGACTACAAGGTGCATGCCACCATGCCTGGCTAATTTTTAAATGTTGTTTTTTGTTTGTTTGTTTGTTTGTTTGTTTCTGAGACAGTCTTGCACTGTCACCCAGGCTAGAGTGCAGTGGTGTGATCTCGGTTCACTGCAACCTCTGCCTCCCGGGTTCAAGAGATTCTCCTGCCTCAGCCTCCTGAGTGGCAGGGATTACAGGCACCTGCCACCAAGCCCAGCTAAGTTTTTGTATTTTTAGTAGAGACAGGGTTTCACCACATTGGCCAGGCTGGTCTCGAACTCCTGACCTCATGATTTGCCTGCCTCGTACAGACAGGGATCTCACTATATTGCTTAGGCTGGTCTCGAACTCCTGAGCTCGAGTAATCCTCCCACGTGGGTCCCCAGGTCTCCCAAAGTGCTAGGATTACAGGCGTGAACCACCACGCCCGGCGGTATGTGGTACTTTCTAAGAGAAACACCAAAGACAGCCTAGCTACTAGCAGAGGAGGAAAACAGAAAATGACTTAAAAAAAAAATCCAATCTAAATGGAAGCAAGAAATTAAAGAAAAAGGAACACAGAACAGGCAAGATAAATAAAAAACACATTAAACAATGATATATCTAAACTGAATGTGGTGGTAATTATATTGAATGTAAATAGGATAATAAAAAATTTTAGACTTAAGAGAAAAAAATCTAATTATATGGTATTTGCCCAAGATAGAAAACATAATGCAAATTTGACAGTATTAAGAATGGAAATAGTTATACCTCACAATGATTTGGATATATTAAATATCAGATAAACCACATTTAAAGCAAAGGGCTTCAGCCAGGCTCAGGGGCTCATGCCTATAATCCCAATACTTTGGGAGGCCAAGGCAGGCAGATCACTTGAGACCAGGAGTTCCAGACCAGCCTGGCCAACATGGAGAAAACCCAACTAAAAATACAAAAAGATTATCTCGGCATGGTGATGCATGCCTGTAATCCCAGGTATTTGGGAGGCTGAGGCACAAGAATCACTTGAACCCAGGAGGCGGAGGTTGTAGTGAGCCAAGATCGTGCACTGAACTCCAGCCTGGGCAACAGAGCAAGAACCTGTCTCAAAAATAAAAATTAAAATTAAAAAATAAAGCAAAGAGCTTTAAAGAGATGAAGAGAGTCATAATACATAAAACAAAATTTAATATAAATGTAAGAAGAAACAGACAACTTCCACAATCACAGCGAGAGATACAAATATACACACCGCTCTTAATAATTGATAGAACAGCCAAAAATAAAAATACCTAAGATTTAAACACTGAGTTTACCTACTGGCAAAACTGAACTATTTTGTTTATGGATTCAGACATGGATAGTTTAAACTACACGAAAACAAAAATGATTACCACAAAAACCAGCCAAGTGATCACTTCTAGGGTAGTGGGAGTTGTGATCAGGGAACAGCATGTAGGTTTCCAGCTGCTGGAAATAGTCTACCTTCCTATGTAACAATTACATAGAGTTAACTTTATAGTGATTTTCTGAGAGCTTTTTTGTGAAGGACCAGACAAATATTTTAGGTTTTGCAGGCCACATCAGTCTCTGTCATATATCCTTCGTTTCTAAAACCTTTTAAAAATCTAAAAATCATTCCGAGCTTGCCAGGCGCAGTTGCTCACGCCTGTAATTCCAGCACTTTGGGAGGCTGAGGCGGGTGGATTACTTGAAGTCAGGAGATAGAGGCCAGCCTGGCCAACATGGCGAAACCTCGTGTCTACTAAAAACACAAAAATTAGCCAGGCGTGGTGGTGCACACCTGTAGTCCCAGCTACTCGGGAGGCTGAGGCAGGAGAATCGCTTGAACCCGGGAGGCTGAGGTTGCAGTGAGCCAAGATTGCGCCACTGCACTCCAGCCTGGGGGATACAGTGAGACTTTGTCTCCAAAAATAACATAAATTAAAATGAAATAAATTTAAAAAAATAAAAATCATTCCTAGCTTGCCAGCTGTGACCTGTCTTTTGCCAACTCCTGCATGAAAACTTTCATGTTTTACATACTTTATTTTTTATATTTAACACAAATACAAAATAATCTTTTATAGGGAAAAAGGTGAAAATAATTTTTTATCCATCTATTCTTCCCTGTCAGCACAATTTTGAACACCTATTGTGTCCCAAGCACTGTTTTGGATGCTGGAGACTGAAAATGAAATAAGACATTATTGCTTACATGTCAAGTGGGGGAAATTAGTTTAAAAATTACACCTTTATGTAACAAGAGACAGCAGTAAACAAAGCAAAGCAAAATCCCCATTCTTATGAGATTAACATTCTAGGCTGGGCACGGTGACTCATGCCTGTAATCCCAACACTTTGGGAGGCCGAGGCGGGCGGATCACGAGGTCAAGAGATCGAGACCATCCTGGCCAACATGGTGAAACCCCGTCTCTACTAAAAATACAAAAATTAGCTGGGCGTGGTGGCGCGTGTCTGTAGTCCCAGCTACTTGGGAGGCTGAGGCAGGAGAATCGCTTGAAACTGGAAGGCGGAGGTTGCGGTGAACCAAGATCGCACCACTGCACTCCAGCCTGGGCAACAAAAGCGAAACTCCGTCTCAAAAAAAAAAAATCTAGTCGGAAGATGGGCAATTAACTAATTATATAGTACAAAATTAAAATATATAAATTATTAAATGAAAATTAAACTTATAACACACCAATGAAAATAAATGACCTATAAAATACACAATGAAATGGATAAACCTCACAAAAGTAACGTGCAACAAAAGGAGCTAGACACAAGAGTATACACTGAATGTCTTTTACACAAGATACAAAAAAAAATTCATCTATGTTGTTAGAGGTCAGGCTAGTGGCTAGCCACAGCGGCAGGGAGGGGGTTAGTAACTGAAAGGGAACTCAGGGGGACTTCTGCAGCACTGGTAATATTTCTTGTGCTTGTAGAGTTTGTGAAAATTCATGCGAACTGTAGACTTACAATGTGTACTCTTCTGTACGTATAAATATGAATCAACAAAAAAATTTAAATATATATTAAAATGTATGTACATGGGTGTGTCAAGTGCCAATAACTTAGAATTAAAATAAAGTACAGTTAGGAACAAATTGACAAGGTATGAGGGACTGCTATTTTAGAGAAGTTGGCTAAGGGAGACCGCTTAGCTAAGGTCATTTTTGAGCAACAACCTGATGAAGAGATTGCTGGTATCTGAGAAAAGAATGTTCCTGGAAGAGGGAATAACAAGTACAAAGACCCTATAGCAAAAGCGTTTTTCACAGAGCTCAAGGAGGCCAGTGTGGCTGCAGTGGCATGAAGGAGAGGGAGAATGGCTGCAGATGTCAGAATCAGGTGGACGATGGGAAGCACAGATCACGCAGGAGCTTTTAGGTCACATAAAGACTTCAGTCTAGGAAGTGTTGAGCAGACGAGTGCTGGGATGTGTCTGAACATTTTAACAATTACTCGGGCTATTACATTAAGACTAGGTGAAACAAGGGCAAAAACAAGGAGACTACTTTGAAAGCTAATGCAGTGAACTGGAAAAATAGAAAAGTGGTCATATTCTAATATATTTTAAAGGAAAAACAGGATTTTCTGATGGATTACATTTGGGGCATGAGGCTGTGACCTGAAAAACCAGATGGTGTAACCTGTCATTTACCAGGACAAGGCAGATTACAGGAAGAGCAGTTCAATGTTATTGTTATGGTAGGGAAGGGAAAGCAAGAGTTCCTTTTTGGACATGCTCAAGCAGTACAAGTGGAAATGTCAAGTAGACAGCTGGATACATAATTATTGGGGAGACCAGACCCCATGTGAAGGGCTAGCAAGTTCATTCATCTCAAAGGCAGATGGATGTGGGTACTGATGCAAGGAGCTTGGCAAATCTGCAGTAGGAGCATGTGGAAATGCTCTTCTGATTGTTTCTATTTTCTCAGTAACATAAAAAAGGAAGGCCATCAGTTAGCAGAAGAATTGCTGGAGGTTTGCAGGAGATGACAAAAATAGGACATATTCATGGAGGAAAGGGAACTAAGTAGAAATACAGTAGGACTGGCAGGCAGTGAGAGGTATACATGAGGCCAGTGCTCATGACCAGATCAGTCAGTCACCTTGGTGTATGTGTTTTCCTCCAACCATGCTGAGTTGCCTAGAGGCAGGCAAGGAAAAGGTGGAGGATTAAGCTTTGGTTTCTATTTTAACACCTCATCTATACTCAGATTTGCATGATGATGAGGCTCAGCCACATTCATATAGCTGGCAAAAATGTCTACAGATCATTGAGTTCATCTCTTTTGTCTTCAGGTAAGATTCAACCTAAACTGACACATGAGAGATGGGTGGTCACACCATTAAAAACCAAATGAAAAAGGCATTTCAGGAAGAAAAGAGTGATAGACAACATCGAGAAATTCTACAAAACGTATCTGTCCCAAATAGATAATCTGCAATCTCATTTAATATCTTTTAGACTTTAATTGGTTTGAAACTTAAGAAAAACAGAGACACAGGCCTCTTCAACAGTTAACTAACAAACCTCAACCTGCCCAAATTGGATCTATGATCAAACAAACATTTCTAACATTTTAAACTATGGCCAAGGATGGTCTGACACAATGGCTAATGCCTGTAATCTCAACACTTTGGGAGGTGGAGGCAGGCAGACCACATGATCTCAGGAGTTTGAGACCAGCCTGGGCAATATGGTGAAACCACGCCTCTACAAAAAAATACAAAAATTAGCCGGGCGTAGTGGTACATGCCTGTACTACGAGCTACTCAGGAAGTTGATTTGGGAGAATCACTTGAGCCTACGAGGCAGAGGTTGCTGTGAGTCATGATCGTACCACTGCACTCTAGCCTGAGTGACAGAACAAGACTGTCTCAAAAAAAAAAAAAAAAATTACATATATATGGCAAGGATGACACAGTAATAGCCAAAACTTCTTAGTTGTTTTCATAAGTTTAACTTATGTTTTCATAAGTGCTTTAATAATTACAATAATCCTAATGAAGGTTTTTATGAGACAGTAGAGGGGGAGAAAGTACATTTTAAAATACTTTAACAATACAGAAGCCTAAATCGCTTAGGAAATGAGTACTATTACACAACTCTACCAAGGCAAAGAAAAACAACTTTCCTAAAAATCAGTGATCTAAAATAAAAACTTCTGTCCCAGAGACCCTGTCTCCCAAGATCCCAGAGGCAATACCTAAGGTATTAGGGGATAGAGCACACTCTTGAGTAAGAGGTCTTACACAGTATCAACAAATAATGCGAAGACACTGGAGCAAATAAACATAATCCTATGTTAGCTTACTCAGGAATTCTCAACCTTGGCACCACTGATATTTTGGACCAGGTAATTCTTCTTTGCAGGGAGGCTGTCCTAACATTACAGAATGTTTACCAGCATCCCTGACTTCTGCCCAGTAGATGCCTATAGTGTCATCCCCATACCTCCGAGCAGTGACAACCAATAATGACTCCAGTTATTCACAAATGTTCCTGAGGGGCAAAACTGCCACCAACTGAGAACCATTAACTTAGGTATAATGTTTTTAAGACCTTCAGATCTCTTTTACAGGCTGGAAACATACCTATCACAAATCTGCATAGCATTAGTTTTTCTAGTACATTACTGAATAAGCTCTGGAGATAACTCAATTATGCCAGAAGCTGGTCAAATTTTAAAATAAAAATAAACCCTAAAGGAACATACAAATTTGGCAAGGGAAAAAACCTAATGTTTCGATTGGAATCAATTCTTTGATAGACTACTGAGCTGTAGGATTAGAGGTAATTTATTATATAGAGATATTAGGATTGGCTCTTCTGTAAAAAGCTAATTTACTGACAACAGATTTGAATCAAAGTAAGGGATTCATAGGTAAAACTATGAACTTTTCTCCCTAATGCTTCATTCCCTGTGGGTAATTAATGAAAGAGAAACTTTGCTTGAGTGTTTCTGGGCATCTTGTCTCCTACAACAGGTGTCAAATTTCTCCAGGTGAATGCTTACCGGTAAGGGATTGGATAAGGAATGTTGCGGTGAGGATCGTGCAACTGGTGGAACACTTCTGCCAGGGCTGGTTCCTGGCGCGCTTCCCCCAGCAAACTGGCCAACAGGGAAAAACCGATATGAATAATTCAAAACAGTACTATGCTTCAGATAAGGAGAGTAAAAGATTAATACACAAACAGATCTTAATTATATGGCCCCTTTAAGTTAACACATCTTACTCTAGAGAGAAAATGCCACACAAGTCAAATTCTGCTAATTTTTAATGAGATTTTTAAGAAGGAGCTCCAGCAGAAATATACCAAGATATAAAGAAAACATGGCTAGAAAGCTGAAGGTATACATGATTTTGAAAGGACATGAGAGAAGAATGTTTTCCCTTCTTGTCTCCAAATACACGAAGCAGAAATGCAGTGGTGCAGTGGATGTTAGTGTCTTTAGTAACCACTAACGATGGGTCAGGGAACTCACTACATGTTCCACTGTACTAAAGGGAGGAGGACAAAAGAAGAGTCCAAGTCATTCCACCTCAATCTTTGTAAGACACAAAACCTCGTCTGGCCAAGAGAAAAATCACCTCATTTGTGAATTCTTATATCATCACAGACAAGACACATAATAAATTTAAATTTAGGAAGGCAGCAGCAGTTTTCTCTTATTGAGAGATGGGGCAGCATTAACTGATGAAGATGGGGAGAAAGGGAAGAAGAGTACAGTAAAGGCAAAACATTACTTTCTTTCTTTCTTTCTTTTTTTTGGAGACAGGGTCTCACTGTCACCCAGGCTGGAGTGCAGTAGATCATGGCTCACTGCAGCCTCGACTTCTCAGGCTCAAGTGATCCTCCCACCTCAGCCTCCCAAGTAGCCAGGACTATAAGTGTGTGCCACCACACCTGGCTAATTTTTTCTGTTTTTTGTAGAGACAGGGTTTCCCCATGTTGCCCAGGTTGGCCTCGAACTCATGGGTTCAAGCGATCCTCCCATCTTGGCCTCCCAAAGTGCTGGGATTACAAGCATAAGCCACCTCGCCTGGCCAAAATATTACTTTCTAAAGCCTCAAATGAACACAAGGATTTAGGGTTTTTTAAAAAAAATCACTATAGAGTTTTTTTGTTTTGTTTTGTTTGTTTGTTTTTTCAAAAAATGTAACTTACCTCAAAGTAATCACTAATTTTATGTCCCCTAGGAGTGCCTTTCCCTGAAAATGAAACCAAAGTAAATACAGTTTTTCCAATACACATATAAACCATCATTCACTAAAATGTACTATACATTCAGTAACTACATACATTGCTATAAACCCAAGTGTCAGCTTTACTTGTAACAAATGAGCCAAAATACCTTAGCCCAAGAACAGACTATTTCCTCCATAAAATAAAGGACTGAACAAGCAGTGAAAGGAAGAATTTTTCACAGCTTTAAGATTCTGTAATTTTTCTTGTCACTTTGGGAGAATTTTGCTCCCAAAGACAAAATGAATTATCTGTAGATTTTAAAAGATAAGAAGGATGCAACAAGACTGGGCTTTCTATTCCTTAGAATGGGAGGAAAAAAAGCCAAGCCATTTTTTCTTTCTTTGATTATATAAAGATATTTGGCATTATAACCATCATGTTTACAGATTTATCCCAATGGGTTCCAATATTCAACTAAACAACTGCCACGGAAGAACAGTAGGCAGAAAGGACAGTAATGTAAATGAAGCACTTTTAGCTGGCTGTCATTAACAAATCACTGATCTAACAAAAGACAAGAGTTAAAACTCTGACATAACCTCTTTTTTGTACAATATATATTTGGTGTAAAGAAAAACCTGTGGTTAAGAAGATTGTTAGCTTACAACAGGGAAAACAAAAGAGTCCCCGAAGAACTAACACTGTTCTGTCAGGTGTATACCAAATGGCAAGTCTGTAATAAACAGTCTGATATTCCCTTAAGATACACAAACCTCCTTTATCAGGAATCCCTGTGTACAAACTAATTATTTAGTATGAGTTAGAAAATTCTATCTAAGTACATTAGAATTGAGTACTTTTGTTGATACGAAATTATTACTACCTTGGCTAGTTTCATATGGTTCAGCTTTTCTTTTCCGATTTCGCTGGTCATTCTGCTTTTTCTCGGGAGTCTGTCAAATACCATATAAGTCACAATTAGCATTTTGGTAAATTTTTCACGTTAGGAAAAACAGCGAGTATACACAAAATATTGAATATATAAACAGATATAACTGGCCCAGACAAGTCCTGAATCACTGTCTTCCTCTTAAAACTGAGTATAACAAAGAGTATTAGGGTCTAGAACCAAACCATCCACACAATTTTTGGCAAACTGCTTAAAATATCAGAGCTTGAGTTTATTCATCTGTAAATCAGAGCTGCTACAAAACCTTCATAAGATATTTAATAGAGCACAAATGTAGGACAAATGTCCACCATATGTTAAGTTCTCAGAAAACTGTTGTTACACTACTTCTACTTTAAATCCAATCTTTTTTCCAAAAAGGAGAGATCTGCAAAGTACAAAGTAGGTGGCTACAGACTTACACTTAGACCCATCTACAGGCAGCTAGGTTATATGCCAAATAAAAAAAAAAAATCTCATGCATGAGGGCTGTGAATAGTTAAGCAAATGAACAAAAAGTCTTCGCCAGGCACTGTGGCTCATGTCTGTAATCCCAGCACTTTGGAGGCTGAGGTGGGAGGATGGCTTGGGTTCCAGACCAGCCTGGGCAACATAGCAAGGCCCCGCCTCTAAAAATATTTTTAAAAATTAGCCAGGCACGGTGGCACCTAGCTACTCAGGAGGCTGAGACAGGAGGACTGCTTGAGTTCAGGAGTGTCAGGTTACAATGAGCTATGATTGCACCACTGCACTCTGACCTGCATGACAGAGCGAGGCCATGTCTCGAAAAAAGTTGTAAAAATAAAATCAGTCAATCAATTTTATCTTCCATTTAAACAGGAACAATATTGCAAATTTCTATCCTTTACTGATGGCAACTATGCAAAAATTTTAAGACATGTAAGATCCACACATGATTATAATAAAAACCCGTGAGGGCCACATCATAACTGTACGTATGCAAAGAGCACACAGCTCAAAGGGGAGCAATTTACACAGAGTCTAACAGCACCCAGGGAGTTAATTAAGCAGTGCTATCTTTTCTGTGAGATGGGGGTCTCACTCTGTCGCCCAGGATGGAGTGCAGTGGTGCCATCACAGCTCACTGCAGCCTCATTCTCCCGGGTGCAAACGATCCTCCGACCTCCAAGTAGCTGGGGCCACAGGTGTGTACCACCACACCCTGCTAAGTTTTTTTGTAGAAACGAGTTCTCACTATGTTGCCCAGGCTGGTCTCCAACTCCCAGCCTCAAGCAATCTGCCCGCCTCAGCCTCCCAAAGTGCTGGGATTACAGCCTTGAGCCACCAAACCTGGCCCAAACGTACAAGTATGAAAAGTCCTGCCATGAACATAGCTTCTTACCTCTACTTCTTTATCACTCAAGGATCCGACGCTGCACAAGCTCTGGTTGGAAGACTCACTATTAAGTGGTCCCTGAAAGAAAAAAAAATCATAAATAAATAAATTTTAATCCTAAGAGGATAGCAAAACTGAAGAAGAAGCCTGATGATTTTTTTTTTTTTTTTTTTTAGACAGAGTTTCACTGTTATCACCCCGGCTGGAATACAATGGCGTGATCTCGGCTCACTGCAACCTCTGCCTCCTGGGTTCAAGTGATTCTCCCACCTCAGCCTCTCGAGTAGCTGGGATTACAGGTGCCCACCACCACGCCCAGCTGATTTTTGTATTTTTAGTAGAGATGGGGTTTCACCATGTTGGCCAGGCTGGTCTCGATCTCCTGACCTCAGGTGATCTGCCTGTCTCGACCTCCCAAAGTGCTGGGATTACAGTTGTGAGCCACCGCACCCATCCCTGAGGGCTTTCTTTATTCCTGGGAAGAATGCGACTTCAGTGTTTCTCATCCTGCCCTGACTTCTGTTGCTGAGGCTGTCTCAGGCAAGTACTCTCAGAGGCAGGGGCTCCCTTCTTCTGCTCAATCCCTACTTGTGGAAAAGGGGCTCTTTCATAGGCATGACACACTGAGAATACTGGGAATCCAACGACCCTCTCTCCCAGCTCATGGGACAGTGGTTCCACAACAGGAGAGACAAGCCAAGAGGACCCCAGGCTGCTGACCTGCCCCATACCCTCCTAGAGCTGGGGTAGCATTCACAGAAAAGCTTGCTATTGTCCCCACCTAGTCTACCACTAGAACCCTGGCTCAGATACTTTGCCTAAGGGAAGAAGCAGGAACACAGAGTATCTCAAAGGACCTAACTTCACTTGCAAGAGTGTGACAAGTTTCAGTCTAAGGGTGTTCCCAAAAACAATAGGGGTTGTGGTACTACGCAAGTGGAAAGAGGTTCCTGGATGTAATGAAGATACAGCCTAGACTGTAGACTGGCTAGTTTGTAGGAGAGACCCAGGGCATAAAACAGCCACAAGGAGCCTTCGTTTTATAACTAATGACTAGTTCAGCAAGGTTGTAGAATACAAGACTGATAGACAAAAATCCATTTTTTTATACTTGCAATTGAACAATCTGAAAATGAAGAAAATAATTCCATACACAGTAGCATCAAGAGGAAGAAATAATTTTATATTATAAACAATAATAATTTATTATTGTTTCGCCATGTTGGCCAGGCTGGTCTCGAACTCCTGACCTCAGGTGATCCACCCGCCTCCGCCTCCCGAAGTGCTGAGATTAAAGACGTGAGCCACCGCACCCGGCCCCAGCTGACTTCTTTGTAGAAATTGGTAGGCAAATTCTAACATGCATATGGAATTGCTAGGAACCAATCCTGAAAAAGCAGGAAGGCTCATACTTCATCACCTAAAAACAAAGCCACAGTAATCAAGACAGTACAGTACTAGCATAAGGTTAGATCAATGGAATAGAATTGAGAGTCCAGGAATAAATCCATAATTGTGGTCAAATGATTTTTGACAAGGGTGCCAACACAATTCAACGAGGGAAAGAATAGTCTTTTCAGCAAATGGTGCCAGGAGTAGATAGCCACAGGCAAAACAATGAAGTTGTACCCTTCCTTCACATCAACATAAAAATTAACTCAAAACAGGCTGGGAGCAGTGGCTCACTCCTATAATCCCAGCACTCTGGGAGGCCAAGGTGGGTGGATCCCTTGAGCTCAGGAGTTAGAGACCAGCCTGGCCAACATGGTGAAACCCCATCTCTACCAAAAATACAAAAAATTAGCGAGGCATGGTGGTGTGCACCTGTGGTCCCAGCTACTTGGAGGCTGAGGTGGGCAGATCGCTTGAGCCCGAGAAGTAGAGGTTGCAATGAGCCAAGATCGCGCCACTGCACATTGCACTCCAGCCTGGGTGACAGAGCCAAGACCTTGTCTCAAAACAAAACAGTTATGAGTAAAATAAAAACATGTTTATTACTTAATTTTAAAAGCAATTTTTCCTATTTTTATGTTACTGCTGATATACAGAAATTATTAATTTTCATGGTTTTTATTTAGCCAGTCACTTTACTGAATTGTTCTTCTTAATCATTTTCAGTCTTTTCCTTTCTTTCTTTTTTTTTTGGAGACGGAGTCTCGCTCTGTAGCCCAGGCTGGAGTGCAAAGGTGTGATATCAGCTCACTGCAACCCCTGCCTCCCAGATTCAAGCAATTCTTCCGCCTCAGCCTCCCACGTAGCTGGGATTACAAGCACACACCACCACACCTGGCTAATTTTTTTGTATTTTTAGTAGAGAAGGGGTTTCACCATGTTGGCCATGCTGGTCTGGAACTCCTGCCTTCAAGTGATCCGCCCACCTCAGACTCCCAAAGTGCTGAGATTATAGCCATGAGCCACTGCACCAGGCCCAGTTTGTTCCTTTCCATTTAGTTGTCTAGGTATAAAATCATAGCATTTGTAAATAACAAGGTTTTATCTTCCTTTCTATAATTTATACCTCTTATTTGTTTTACATTTTACTGCACTGAATAAAACATGAAATAATAATCATAGAAAACATTTTTCCGTTCTTCATTTTCATGGTAACACCTCTAATGCTTTACCATTAAAAACTATATTAACCCATTTATGCCCGAGGTTGCAAATTTTTTCTGTGAAAAATCAGACCTTGGTGATGACCTTGAACAGTAGGATATCAATAACTGCCACAAGCTTAGCAACCCAATAATGAAACACTAAGCATAAATGGGCTAAAACCCCAAACGGACAAAACAATCTTGAAAAAGAACTAAGTTGGAGGTCCCACACTTCCTGATTTCAAAACTTACTACATGCCGGACGCAATGGCTCACGCCTGTAATCCCAGCACTTTGGGAGGTCGAGACAGGCGGATCACCTGAGGTCAGGAGTTCAAGACCAGCCTGGCCAACACGGTGAAATCCCATCTATACTAAAATTACAAAACATAGTCGGGCGGGATGGTGCACACCAATAGTCCCAGCTAGTCGGGAGACTGAGGCAGGACAGTCGCTTGAACCTGGGAGGTGAAGGTTGCAGTGAGCTGAGATTGTATCACTGTATTCCGGCCTGGGCAACAAAGTGAGACTCCATCTCAAAAAATAATAATAATAATTAATTTTAAAAAATTCGGCCGGCGTGGTGGCTCACGCCTGTAATCCCAGCACTTTGGGAGGCCGAGGCGGGCGGATCACAATGTCAGGAGATCGAGACCACGGTGAAACCCCGTCTCTACTAAAAATACAAAAAATTAGCTGGGTGCAGTGGCGGGCGCCTGTAGTCCCAGCTACTTGGGAGGCTGAGGCAGAAGAATGGCGTGAACCCGGAAGGTGGAGCTTGCAGTGAGCTGAGATCGCGCCACTGCACTCCAGCCTGGGCAACAGAGCGAGACTCCGTCTCAAAATAAATAAATAAATCAATAAAAAATAAAAAATTACAAAGCTATAGTAATCAAAACATCGTGGTATTGGCATTAAAGACAGACAGATATCAATGGAAAAGAATGGACCGCCAGAAGGAAATCCTCACATACATGGTCAAATGATTTTTGATAAGGTGCCAAGGCTATTCAATGGTGAAAGTCAATTTTTTCAAAACCTGGTGCTGGAGGCTGGCATGGTGGCTCACGCCTGTAATCCCAGCACTTTGGGAGGGTGAGGCAGGCGGATCACTTGAGGTCAGGAGTTTGAGACCAGTCTGGCCAACATGGCGAACCCAACCTCTACTAAAAATACAAAAATTAGCTGGGCATGGTGACACACGCCTGTAATCCCAGCTACTCGGGTGGCTGAGGCACGAGAATCACTTGAACCTGCAAGGTGGAGGTTGCAGTGAGCTGAGATTACTGCCAGCGCACTCCAGCCTGGACAACAGAGTGAGACGGTCTCAAAAAATGGTGCTGGAGAAACTGGATATGTACATGCAAATGAAATGAAAGTTGGACCATTACCACATGCAAAAATTAACTCAAAACACATCAAAGACCTAAACATAAGAACTAAAACTAGCTTTCCAGCCCCGGCCCCGGACCCTGCAGCTGCAGAGATGTTGATGCCTAAGAAGAACTGGATTGCCATTTATGAACTCCTTTTTAAGGAGGGAGTCATGGTGGCCAAGAAGGATGTCCACATGCCTAAGCACCCGGAGCTGGCAGACAAGAATGTGCCCAACCTTCATGTCATGAAGGCCATGCAGTCTCTCAAGTGCCGAGGCTACGTGAAAGAACACTTTGCCTGGAGACATTTCTACTGGTACCTTACCAATGAGTGTATCCAGTATCTCCGTGATTACCTTCATCTGCCCCCGGAGATTGTGCCTGCCACCCTACGCCGTAGCCGTCCAGAGACTGGCAGGCCTCGGCCTAAAGGTCTGTATATGAGGAGTGCTGTGCTACCTGGTGCCGACAAGAAAGCCGAGGCTGGGGCTGGGTCAGCAACCGAATTCTAGTTTAGAGGCGGATTTGGTTGTGGACGTGGTCAGCCACCTCAGTAAAACTGGAGAGGATTCTTTTGCATTGAATAAATTTACAGCCAAAAAAAAAAAAAAAAGAACTAAAACTATAATCAACTCTTAGAAGAAAACAGGGAGAGCCGGGCGCGGTGACTCATGCCTGTAATCCCAGCACTTTGGGAGGCCGAGGTGAGCGGATCACCTGAGTTCAGGAGTTTGAGACCAGCCTGGCCAACATGATGAAATTCCATCTCTACTAAAACTACAAAAATTAGCTGGGCGTGGTGGCGGGCGCCTGTAATTCCAGCTACTTGGGAGGCTGAGGCAGGAGAATCACTTGAACCCGGGAGGAGGAGTTTGCAGTGAGCTGAAATCGCGCCACTGCACTCCAGCCTGGGCTACAGAGACTCCATCTCAAAAAAAAGAAGAAGAAAACAGGGAGAAAGTGTTACAGCGTTGAATTTAGCAATGATTTCTCGAATGTGACACCAAAAGCAGAGATAAAAACAGTAAAAATACATAAAATAGACATCAAAATTTAAAATCTGTGCATTAAACAACACAATCAACAGAATAAAAAGGAAACCCATGGAATGGGAGAAAATGCTTGCAATTTACATATATGGTAAGGCATTAATAACCCAAATATATGAATAACTGCTACAACTCAACAACAACAAAATAAACAACCCAATGAAAAAATGGGCAAAGGACTTGAACAGATATTTCTCCAAAGATATAAAAATGGCCAACGACCACATGAAAAGATGCTCAAAATCACTAATTTTAGGAAACTGCAACTCACAAAAAGACACCGCCTCACATCCATTGAGGTGACCACTACCAAGAAAACAAAAAACCAACCAACCCTACAAAATAACAAGTATTAGTGAGGATCTGGAGTAACTGGAATACTTGCACACTGTTGATGGGAATATAAAATGGCATAGCCACTATGGAAAACTATGGCAGTTCCTCAAAAACGGAATTATCGTATGATACAACAATTCCATTTCTGGGAATATACTCAAAAGAGTTGAAAGCAGGGCCTCAAAGAGATAGCTGTGCAACCATGTTCACGGCAGTATTATTCACAATAGCCAAAAGGTGCAAGCAACTCAAATATCCATCAACATATGAATGGATAAACAAAATGTGGTGTATACATGAAATTCTACATTCTACAACATGGATAAGCCCTGAGAACATTATGCTAAGTGAATAAGCCAGTCACAAGAAGACAAATACTTTGTGATAGATGAGGCACCTATAATAGTTAAATTCATAGAGTCAGAAAGTAGAATGGTAGCTGCCAGGGGTTGGGGAGGAAGGTAGAGATGAGGAGTTGTTTAATGGGCATTTCAGTTTTCATTTTCCTAGGCAAAAAAAGTTCTGGAAATTGGATGCAAACAATATGAATGTATTTACTACTGAACTGTACACTTAAAAATGGTTAAGATGGTGGGCCGGGCACGGTGGCTCAGGGCTGGGCGCGGTGGCTCACGCCTGTAAGCCCAGCACTTTGGGAGGCTGAGGCAGGTGGATCACGTGAGGCCAGGAGTTTGAGAGAAGCATGGCCAACATGGCGAAACCCCATCTCTACTAAAAATACAAAAATTAGCTGGGTGTGGTGGCGGGCGCTTGTAATCCCAGCTACTCAGGAAGCTGAGGCAGGAGAATGGTTTGAAGCTGGGAGGCAGAGGTTGCATTGATCCAAGATCGCGCCACTGCACTCCAGCCTGGGCAACAAGAGCAAAACTCCATCTCAAAAAAAAAAAAAAAAGAAGGTTAAGATGGTAAATTTTATGTTATGTGTATTTTACCACAATTAAAAAGTTTTTGAAACTGTATTGTTTTTAAAATTACAAAGTAGGAATGACTATTGAGTTTATCCAAATTTTTTTTTTTTAATTATTATTGACTGGGCATGGTGGCTCACACCTGTAAGCCCAGAACTGTGGGCAGCTGAGGTGGTGGATCATTTGAGGTCAGGAGTTTGAGACCAGCCTGGCCAACATGGTGAAACCCCCATATCTACTAAAAATACAAAAATTAGCCAGGCATGGTAGCACACACCTATAGTCCCAGCTACTTGGGAGGCTGAGGCAGAAGAATCGCTTGAACCCAGGAGGTGGAGGTTGCAATAAGCTGAGATCGCACCACTGCACACCAGCCTGGGCAATAGAGCGAGACTCCATCTCAAAAAAAAAAAAATTATTATTTATTTGCTGTGTTGTAAAGTAATAACAATAATAACTAACACGTAGCACTTTTTTTAAACACAATCCTCAAAAGCTCACATAATGTAGCACTTTACAGGCAAGACATTCTATATTAGCACATTTAATCGTCACAGCTTATAAAAACAGACCCTTGGCCAGGCACGGTGGGCTCACACCTGTAATCCCAACACTTTGGGTGACTGAGGCGGGTGGATCACAAGGTCAGGAGTTCAAGACCAGCCTGGCCAAGATGGTGAAACTCTGTCTCTACTAAAAATACAAAAAATTAGCTGGACGTGGTGGCAGGTGCCTGTAATCCCAGCTACTCAGGAGGCTGAGGCAGAGAACTTCTTGAACCCAGGAGACGGAGGTTGCAGTGAGCCAAGATCGCACCACTGTACTCTAGCCTGGGTGACAGAGCCAGACTCCATCCCAAAAAACAAAACAAAACAAAAAAAACAGACCCACATAAATATATCCAACTGATTTTTTACAAAAGTATAAAAGCAATTTAATAGGGTTCACCCCTGTGATCCCAACACTTTGAGAGCATGAGGTGGGAGGATAGCTTGAGGATCACTTGAGCCCAGGAGTTTGAGACCAGCCTGGGCAACAAAGCGAGATCCCATCTGTACAAAAAAATGAAAAAGTTAGCCAGCCATGGTGGCACTGTCTGCAGTCCTAGCTCCTAGCTAATTAGAAGGCTCAGGCGGGAGCTCAGGAGTGCGAGTGCAAGGTTACAGTGAATTATGATCACACCACTGCACTCCAGCCTGGGCAACAGAATAAAAACCTGTCTCTTTAAAAAAAAAAAAAAAAAAAGGCAATTTAATAAATTACATAAATTGAAAAAAAGAGACTTTTAAATAAATGCTACTGGAACAACTAGATGCATAGGCAAAACAAACAAACAAAACAAAACAAAAAAACACCTTGCTTACACCTTATAAAATATTAACTCGGCCGGGTGTGGTGGCTCACACCTGTAATCCCAGCACTTTGGGAGGCCGACGCAGGTGGATCACCTGAGGTCTGGTGTTCAAGACCAGCCTGGCCAACATTGTGAAACCCCGTCTCTACTAAAAATACAAAAAGTTAGCTGGGCATGGTGGCGGGTGCCTGTAATCCCAGCTACCTGGGAGGCTGAGGCAGGAGAATCGCTTGAACCTGGGAGGCAGAGGTTGCAATGAGCTGAGATCGCACCATTGCACTCCAGCCCGGGCAACGAGAGCGAAACTTCGTCTCTAATAATAATAATAATAATAATAATAATAATAATTAATAAATTTTTAAAAGAGAAAAAAACAAAATAGATCAAGAACTTAAATGTAAAACATAAAACTGTTAGGAAAAAAGGGGAGAAAAATCTCTACAACTTAGAACTAAGCCAACAGTTCCTAGACTTGACACCAAAAGCTCTAATCCACAAAAGGAAACACTGATAAATGGAAGCTCATCAAAAGTACAGAGTAAGACCCTGTAAACAGGATGAGGAAACAAATTACTGACTGGAAGAAAATATTTTCAAGTCACACATCTACCAAGGAACTTGAGATTAGACTATCTAAAGAATTCCAATTAGAAAATTGGCAAAAAAATATGAATAGACATTTTACTAAAGAGGATGTAGGCCGGGGGCGGTGGCTCACCAGCACTTTGGGAGGCTGAGGCAGGCGGATTACCTGAGGTCAGGAGTTCGAGACCAGCCTGACCAACGTGGAGAAACCCCGTCTCTACTGAAAAATACAAAATTAGCCAGGCGTGGTGGTGCATGCCTGTAATCCCAGCTACTCGGGAGGCTGAGGCAGGAGAATTGCTTGAACCCAGGGGGCAGAGGTTGCAGTAAGCCGAGACCATGCCATTTGTACTCCAGCCTGGGCAATAAGAGCAAAACTCCATCTCAAAAAAAAAAAAAAAAAAAAAAAAAGGAGGGGTGATGTAAAGATGGCTAATGAGCACAAGAAAAGATGTTCAACACGTTAGCCTTTAGGGAAATAAAAGTTTAAACCACAATGAGATTTCATTACACACCTTTAAGAATGGTTAAAATAAAAAATAGCAACAACGCTAAACACTGTCAAGGATGTAGAGAAACTGAATCACTTACATATATTGCTAGTGAGAATGTAAAAAGGTAAAGCTTTTTTGACGGTTTCTTTTAAAACTAAAAATGCACTTAAAACTTATCATTTGACCCAGCAATTGTACTCTTGAACATTTATTCCAGAGAAAGAAAAACATGTTGGTGTAAAAACCTCTATAAGAATGTTCAGAGTAGCTTTGTTCATAATAGCCAAAAACTGGAAACAAACCAAATGTCCTCATGGAGGCAATGGTTAAGTAAAGTGTACTATATCCACACCATGGAACACTGCACAGCAATAAAAAGGAATGGCCTATTTATATATGCAAAATCTTGGAACTTCAAGGAAATTATGCCAAGTGAAAAAAGCCAATCTCAGAAAGCTGTAGGCTGGGTGCGGTGGCTCACACCTGTAATTCTAGCACTTTGGGAGACCAAGGCAGCAAGATTGCTTGAACCCAGGAATTCAAGACCAGCCTGGCCAATATAGTGAGACCCTGTCTCTACAAAAAATTTAAAAATTAGCTAGCGTGGTGGTGTGTACCTGTAGTCCCAGCTACTCTGGAGGCTGAGATGGGAGGATCACTTGAACCCAGGAGGCAGAGGCTGCAGTGAGCTAAGATTGCACCACTGCATTCCAGCCTGAGTGACAGGGTGAGACTCTGTCTCAAAATAAAAGGTTGTGTACTTTGTGACTCCATTTATATATATTAATTATGAAATAATGAAATTATAGAGGAAAATAGATCTGTAGTTGTCAAGAATTAAGTTTTCAAGGGAGAGTGAGTGGGTGTGGCTACAAACGCGTAGCAGGAAAGAGCCTTATGATGAAGTAGTTTCTGCAACTTGACTGTAGTGGTTACAAGCTACACATGTGATAAAATTGCCTAGAAGTGTAATACACACACACAAATGATTCATGTATAACTTGAAATGTGAATTAGTCCTATGGATTGTACCAATGTCAATTTTTTGGTTTTAATAACATACTAGAATTATACATGAGGAGAGATGCACGGTGCATGAACAGAACCTTCCTATACATTTTGTGCAACTTCCTGCCAATCTCTAATTACTCTGAAATAAAAAAGATTTTTCTAAAGTTTTTGGGGTTTTATGTATTACTTATTATTGTAAAGTAATAATAATGATAACCAACACTTAGGTAGCATTTGCTAGGGCCAGGTATATCAGGGCATTTAACCCTCATAACAACCTGTTATGAGCTGAACTGTGTCCTCCCAAAATTCCTATGTTGAAGCCCTAATCTCCAGTACTTTAGTGTATTTGGAGATAGAAGCGTAAATCCATTAAAACTGGTATTCTTATGAGAGGAGATCAGGACAAAGAATGAGAGAGAGCAAGTGAGCACGCACAGACATGTATGCACACAGAGGGACTACAATATGAGGCCACAGGAAGGAGGCAGACATCTGCAAGCCAAGGAGAAAGGCCTCAGAAGAAACCAAACCTGCTGACACCTTGCTATTGCACTTCTAGTCTTCAGAACTATAAGAAAATAAATTTCTGTTGTTTAAGCCACACAGTCTGTGGTATCTGTTATGGTTGCCCTACCTTGTGAGGTAGCTGCTCTTATTACTCACTTACAGATGAGGAAAGCATAAGAAGATCAGTAAACTCATTCAAGGTCACACAGTCATTAGGAAGCAAAGCCAAGATCTGAACCAAGGCTATCTGGTTCAAAAAAAGTACTTCTCACCATTAAGCCATACTTAGTCTGTAGGTGCTGTTATGACAGAATGCCTGAGACTGGGTAATTTTTTTTGAGACAGGGTCTCGCTCTGTCACCCAGGCTGGAGTGCAGTGTTCCAATCCTGGCTCACTGCAGTCTTGACCTCTGGGCTCAAGCAATCCTCCTGCCTCAGCCTCCCAAGTAGTTGGCATTACAGGCACATGCCACCACGTCTGGCTAATTTTTGTGTTTATGTAGAGACGGGGTTTCACCACTTTGCCCAGGCTGGTCTCGAATGGCTCAAGCAGTACACTCGCCTCTACCTCCGAAAGTGCTGGGATTACAGGCATGAGCCACTGCACCCAGCAGACTGGGTAATTTATGAAAAACAGAAATTTAATTTCTGACAGTTCTGGAGGCTGGGAAGTACAATACCAAGGCACCAGCAGGTTAGGTGTCTGGTGAGGGTCCAGGCTCTGCTTCCAAGATGGTGCCTTCAACACTGTGTCCTCCAGAGGGAAGGAATCCTACATCCTCACAAAGTAGAAGGCAGAAGGGCAAGAGGGGACGGACACTGTCCTCACATGGCAAGGTGTAAAAACAGACAAGGTTACGCCATCAAGCCTTTAAAAGGATACCTAGTCCCATTCATGAGAGGAGGAGCTCTCTTTACCTAATCACCTCTTAATACACTGGCAACACCTGAATTTTGGAAGGAACACATTCAAACCACAGCACTGACTCTAGAAATATTACTGAGTTTTTAAACACGAACTTGTTTGACATTCCTAGGATAACCTACTTGAAACAAAACAAAGGAATAATCTGCTGTAGCCATTTACTAGTATTTTTATTTTATTTTAAACATCTATACATTCACTTTTACTTTTTCATGTTTGTCATTTTGCTGTCAGAGTTGTTTACTTCTATCATATTATTCAACATGAGAAGTATCCGCTTCTTAAAGGTTAGGAGAGACCAGGAGTGGTGGCTCACACCTATAATCTCAACAATTTGGGAGGCTGAGGAGGGAAGATTACTTGACCCCAAGGGTTCCAGACCAGCTTGGGCAGCATAGCAAGATCCCATCTCTACAAAAAATTAGAAAATTACCCGGGTGTGGTGGCCCATGCCTGTGGTCCCAGCTACTTGGGAGGCTGAGGTAGGGGAACTGCCTGAGCCCAGGAGGTCGAGGCTGCAGTGAGCTATGTTTGTACCATTGCACTCTAGCCTGGGTGACAGAGCAAGACCCTGTCTCGAAAAATAAATAAATAAATAAATAAAATAAAAGGTTAGGAGAAATCACCAACACCTAGAGAGGAGGAAGTAGTTTTATAATCGCCTCAATTTTTTTCTTGGTTACAGGAGTCTATTCTGGTTTTGTTGTTGTTGTTGTTGAGATGGAGTCTCACTCTATTGCCCAGGCAGGAGTGCAGTGGTGCAATCTCGGCTCACTACAACCTCCACCTCCCGGGTTCAAGCGATTCTTGTGCCTCAGCCTCCCAAGTAGCTGGGATTACAAGCGCACACCACCACGCTTGGCTAATTTTTGTATTTTTAGTAAAGACAGGGTTTTACCATGTTGCCCAGGCTGGTCTCAAACTCCTGACTTCAGGTGATCCGCCTGCCCTCGGCCTCCCAAAGTGCTGCGATTACAGGCGTGAAACACCACGCCCGGCCCCTATTCTGATTTTTATGTCTTATTTCGTCAGTATTAATTCCTAGTATCTTTGAAATTATTTATTCATTGAGACTTTCATATAACTAACAACATTCACTTCCAGTATTTTCTTTTTGTAAGTCCTCAGTACCTTTTGTTATATCCGATGTACTCTCCTTCATTTTGCCTTTTGTTTCCTAATTTTCCAACTCTTGATTATTTCCCATTCTTCTGTTTTGCAATGTATTTATTTCTTCTTGCATATTTATTGTTTTTTCCTCCTCTTTTCTAGTTTTCCTAAAACCATAAATTGAATGGTAAATTCATACTCTTGTACATTAAATGCTTCTTTGTCCACATTATTTAAGTTTAACTATGTGGTATTTTATCTTATTTTCTTAGTAAAATAGTCTGTTACTTGTCATTTGCTATATAATAGCTATCTGGGAGAATGCTTACTAATATCCATATCACTTGGGAGGGAAAATTATCCTTTAAAAGAGCCACCCACAGACTCAAAAAAAAAAAAAAAAAAACTAGGAAATTTTTTTAATTTACTGGTTTAAATTTGTTAATTTCACAAATTTAAACAAATTTAACTAGTCTGATTTGTTAAATCAAAACTAATTTTGATAAGATCTCTCCATAAAAGTTATATTGTCTATGACAACATTTAAACTACCTCCCCTGTCTCCTGCTGATAATAATTTTCTAAGTAAAAAAATCAAATGGACAGTTTAGAAGATGAACAAGAGTCAAGTTTCTTGTTTTTAAAAGAGTACAGTTTGCAAAAATAAAACATGTTTCTAATATACTTAAAATGTACTTTTTTTTCTAGGGGGATCTTAAAAAATACTTTAGTTACAAGCCTAGAGAAAATTCTGTGGATAAATTATAAATCCATGAACACTGAGGTTAAGATGCAAATGTTGACTACCAGCCCTTTAGCACCACGAAGGAGGCTCATATAAACTAAGAAAAACTTGTAGAATAGAGGCCAAAGGTTAATCTTTCACTCCTGTAAAAGTTTAAATGTCAACATTTACTGAGTTTCTAAAGTTTTCATTTCCTCCTTAGACCAAATTGGCTGCTTAAAAGGGACTGAGAACAGAAGACAAAAGTTACGCCTGCCTAGGTATAAAGAAGCATAGCTGCCAACAAAGTCAAACTACCCCATACTCCAGTAAAGAAGATAACGCCATTTAAAAAAACTAAAGGTCTCTATGCTTTTTATTTTAGTCACTAGTAGTACTACCTTTTCATACCATACCAGAGTCAAAATAGCCATCAAAATAGTTTGACTCCCAGAGACCTTGCAGCATTCCTAGAAGTGAAACAGATGTGAAATCTGTTAAGTTCTTCCTTGATGTGTATAAACAGAAGAGTTCTAGGTCAAGTGAAAAAAAGTTTACCTTTTTTTTTTCTTTTTTTGAGACAAAGTTTTGCTCTTTTGCCCAGGCTGGAGTACAATGGCACGATCTCGGCTGACCGCAACCTCTGCCTCCTGGGTTCAAGCGATTCTCCTGCCTCAGCCTCCCTAAGTGCTAGGATTACAGATGTGACTCAGCGCGCCCCGCCAAAAAAAACCCCACTTTCAATAAGTGACAAAACACTGTAAATAAATGTGTTTACAGGATGATTATTTAAAGAACAATGACCCAAACTAGGTCTGTATGTATCAACATCTACCTAGTAAATCTCCAAAATCATCTGCTGAGTGGAAAATGAGCTATTACAGTTCTCATTATTATAAAAGTATGCAAACATTCTTTATATAACTGAAAATTACTCATTAAAGAAAAAACAAATTCTAAGGGAAAACAGTACAATTCCAATACACAGAGAAGCACTAGCCATATGCAACTACTACACATTTCATTATGGGGCCTATAATCTATGTTTTTAGCTTTCTCTTTATGCTAAAAAGTTCTCTTTTATCGAGAACAAATTCAATATTTAAATTACAGACAGAAACTAGAAGCTCTGTACAAAATCCTGGAGCACATTCACAGTAAAGAAAACAAAGAAATAGAAAAATGAGAACAAAAATATAAAAATGAACATAATCTAGATTTAAAATACCCAAGAGGTATGTAACCTTGAAGAAAATTCAGTGACCAATAAGTTTAGTTTTGTGGCTTCTTCTGTTGTGAACAGACTATTACTTCACATATGAGGAAAAAAAAGAAAAAAAATCCCACTGCCATCTCCAGCAGAAACTGTATAACAAAATTCCTACTGGAACTGGTGTAAGATGATGCAGGAGTCAACATTCCAGTTCTGGTTCTTGACTGTGGCACAAGCGTTAACAAGTTTACTATAAAGAACTAAGCAGATGTCACTAATATGGCCTTCCTTCAAGGCCCAGAAGTTAAGATAGCAACTTTAAGTTCATATAACCAATGACTACCTCCTACATACACACACGTCCTAGCACTGGTTCCAGGTTCTACCTATCTGTCTGGAGAAGACAGTTGGGAGAGCTTTCCACCAAGCCATGGCAATCTCATCTGTGACCTGCCAATTCCAAAAATTACACTACTAACCTATAATCACATGATGGCAGTACATTTGGTATAACCCACATATGACTCTCAGCTAGATAACTGTTACTTATGACTCTAAATTACATATTTCCAAGGTACAGGCCCATGGCTCAGAGTTAAACTAACTTAAAATTTAAATAGACACTGACTTGGATTAAAGTGTATTGACTGGGTGCGGAGGCTCACACCTGTAATCCCAGCACTTCGGGAGGCCGAGGCAGGAGGATCACTTGAGCCCAGGAGTTTGAGACCAGCCTGAGCAACATGGCAAAACCCCATCTCTACAAAAAAAATAAATAATTAGCCAGGCATGATGGCATGCACCTGCAGTCCCAGCTACTAAGGAGGCTGAGGTAGGAAGATCAATTGAGCCCAAGAGACGGAGGTTGCAGTCAGCCTTGATCGCACCACTGCGCTCCAGCCTGGAATTGGTATAACAATAAGATGCAGGAGTCAACATTCCACCCAACATTCTGGGTGACATAGCAAGAATATGTCTCAAAAAAATTTGAAAACAGTGTATTAAAAGCATTTTTAAAATGGTGTCTCAAAAATAAAAACAAAAAAATAGAATAAAAGAAGAAGAAAAAAACAACTGGTGTCTTGAGCTGCATGTGGTGGCTCATGCCTGTAATCCCAACAGTTTGGGAGTCTAAGGCGGGAGGACCACTTGAGGCCAGGACTTCAAGACAGCTTGAGCAATGTAGTGAGACCCGGTCTCTACCAAAAAAAAAAAAAAAAAAAAAAAAAATCTGGGTATGGTAGTGCATGACTGTAGTCTTCACTTCTTAGAAGGCTGAGTTGTGAGGATCACTTAAGTCCAGGAGTTTGAGACAGCAGTGAGCTATGACTGCACCACTGCACTTTAGTCTGGGCAACAGAGTAAGATCCTGCCTCTAAAACAAAATTTTAAAATAAGAAATAAAACTGGCATTTTGACATATCAGCTGTGAGGTGCATGACAAGAAATCCTGACAGTGTTTTTTCTTGTGAGTGACGTACTTTTAAAATAAAATCACGGCCAGGCAGAGTGGCTCACACCTGTAATTCCAACACTCTGGGAGGCTGAGTCAAGTGGATCACTTGAGGTCAGGAACTCGAGACCTGGGCAATACAGCAACACCCTGTCTCTACCAAGACTTCCAAAATTAGCCAGGCATGGTGGCGCACGCCTGTAGTCCCAGCTATTCAGGTGGTTAAGGAAGAAGAATCACTTGAAACTGCGAGGCGGAGGTTGCAGTAAGCCAAGATCACGCCACTAAGTGAGACAGAGTGAGACTCAGTCTCAAAGTAATAAATAAATAAATAATAAAATAGACTCAAAATTAGCACTATATATATACATTTTTTAAAGATAAGGTCTCACTCTGTCGCCCAGGCTCAGTGCAGTGGTGCCATCACAGCTCACTGGCAGCCTCAACCTCCCAGGCTCAAGCAATCCTCCCATCTCAGCCTCCCAAGTAGCTGAGACTACAAGTTCATGCCGCCATGTCCGGCTTTTTTTAATTTAATTTTTTGGTAGAGGTGGGGTCCTACTATGTTGCCCTGGCTGGTCTCAAACTCTTGGGCTCTACAGATCCACCCACCTTGGCCTCCCAAAGTGCACAGATTATAGGCATGAGCCACCATGCCCTGCCTAAAAAATTAATCTCATTTACTTGCATTTCCTCCTGACTAGGAACACATGGGATGGTCCAAGGGTATGATCAACAGAGAACAGCTGGTCCTGACAGTTTAAAGTCAAATAGGTGTAGGACTAAATCTCTGAACCACTGTATGAAACTGGGCAAATCACTGAAGTTCTATTAGCTCTTCTTGAAATCTGTGGATTTCAAGAGTAAAAACCACCTACCTTATGGATGTTTCAAGGATTAAATAAAACAGTACTATATGTTGGGGATGAGGGTAATACAGTGCCTGAAATATAGTTGGTGCTCAATGAAGATTATTAGTTACTTCTTTTCCCCTATATGGGAGTCCTGCATGGACCATCCTTAACATGAAATTTTAACCAACCAACCAGTTTCAACCACCCTATGAACTACCAAGCATGTATTACAACAAAATAACTTGCCACCCATAGGGGCCAAATTATTCAACAAGTCACAATATTTAAGATATAACTGGCCGAGCGTGGTGGCTCACGCCTGTAATCCCAGCACTTTGGGAGGTCAAGGCGGGTGGATCACCTGAGGTCGGGAGTTCCAGACCAGCCTGACCAACATGGAGAAACCCCGTCTCTACTAAAAATACAAAAAAAAAAATTAGCTGGGGTGGTGGCACATGCCTGTAATCCCAGCTACTCGGGAGGCTGAGGCAGGAGAATGGCTTGAACCTGGGAGGGGGAGGCTGCAGTGAGCTGAGATCACGCCATTACACTCCAGCCTGGGCAACAAGAGGGAAACTCTGTCTCAAAAAAAAAAAAAAAAAGATATAACTAGGCCAGATGCTGTGGCTCATGCCTGTAATCCCAGCACTTTGGGAGACTGGGGCGGGAGGATCACATGAGACCAGGAGTTTAAGAGCAGCCTGGCCAACATGGCAAAACCCCATCTCTCCTAAAAACACAAAAATTAGCCAGACATGGTGGCACAACGTCCATAATCCCAGCAACTAGGGTGGCTGAGGCATGAGAATCACCTGAACCCGGGAGGCAGAGGTTGCAGTGGGCTGAGATCGTGCAACAGCACTCCAGCCTAAGTGACAGAGTGAGACCCTGTCTCAAAAAAAAAAAAAAAAAAAAGTTATAACTAAAAAGTAAAAGCTTTGAACCACTCATCTAAATAAAAAATGTTAAGCCAGGCCCGGTGCGGTGGCTCACACCTGTAATTCCAGCACTTTGGGAGGCCAAGGCAGGCGGATCACAGGGTCAGGAGATCAAGACTATCCTGGCTAACACAGTGAAACCCCGTCTCTACTAAAAATACAAAAATTAGCCAAGCATGGCGGCATGTGCCTGTAGTCCCAGCTGCTGGGGAGGCTGAGGCAGGAGAATGGCGTGAACCTGGGAGGCGGAGCTTGCCGTGAGCCAAGATCGCGCCACTGCACTCCAGCCTGGGCGAGAGAGCGAGACTCCGTCTCAAAAAAAAAAAAAAAAAAAAAAAAAGTTAAGCCAAAGCCGGAAACTGAGGTCCTACATTTATTTCTCCCTTCAATTTCCATTAGATTATAAATTTTATGAGGGCACGGGTCAATGTTTTTATTCACTACTATATCCCTAGCACAGTATCTACTACATAGATGTTTATAAAGACATGCTTATGAACAAATTAATGTTCTTTAATCCTTTGCACCTGAATGCCTTCATCCATGAAACAAGAATATAAAATAATTTCTTCTGTTCTTGGGGAATGTTTTAACATTGCACATTATTTGATGCTATTATAAATGATTTGCTTTTCTTTTTCGCTTTTACTTCAACTGCCAATTGTTCATTGCTAGTATGAGAAATACAACTAGATCTTGCAAATTGATTTATATTCTAACTAAACTTAAATTCTAGTAGCTTTTTTATAGCTTGCTTAAGGCTATGTGTACAATCATGACATCTAAAGAATAAATAGTTTTACTTTTACTTTGTAATCTGTAAGATTATTCCTTTTACTTGTCTTATTTCATTGGCTAGGACCTTTGGAACATGTTTAATAGAGGTTGCGAAAACAATTACCATTGACTTGTTTGGAGTATTATATAGAAAGCATTCACTCTTTTACCATAAGTATGATGTTACTTATATATTTTTCATAAATGCCTTTTATCAGATTAAAGAAGTTCCCTTCTATTCCTAGTGAGCTGAGAGCTTTTATCACAAATAGTGTTAACAGTTAGTCAAATGCTTTTTAGGTAACTATTACAAAGCCACTTAGCTTTTCTCCTTTATTCTATTAATATGGTGAATTACAATGAATTCTAATGCTAAATCAACTTTGCAACTGGGATAATCCAATTAGTTATGGTTTTATTCACTGCTAGATTCAATTTTCTAGTATTTTGTTAATTATTTCTATATATATGTTGAGGGATATTGAGCTACAGTTTTCTTTTTTCCTAATGTCTTGGTCTGGTTTGGTATCAAGGTAATGCTGGCCTCATAAATGTCTTGTGAAATTTGTAAAAAAAAAAAAAAAAATTGGTATTTTTTCCTTAAATGTTTGATAGAATTTACCAACAAAGCCATGTAGGTCTGGATTCTTCTTTTTAGGAAGACTTTGTTTGATTGTTTGTTTGTGACACTGATTGTGCCACTGCATTCCAGCCTCAACCTCCTGGGTTCAGGCAATCCTCCCACCTCAGTCTCTCAAGTAGCTGGGACCACAGGCGTGCACCACCACACCTGACTAATTTTCATTTATTTATATTTTTTGTAGAGATGAGTCTCGCTATATTGCCCAGGCTGGTCTCAAACTCCTGGGCTCAAGTGATCCTCCTGCCTTAGCCTCCCAAAGTGCTGGGACTAGAGCCATGAGTCACCGTGCCTGGCCTTGTGGGAAGATTTTTAATCCAATTTCTGTAATAAATATGGGGTTATTCAGATTCTCATTCTTTCTTTTTTTTTTAATTTGTTTTTTCTTCCAGTATTTTTGTATTTTAGTATTTTTGTATTTTGCTATATTGCCCAGGCTGGTCTCAAACTCCTAGACTCAAGCAATTGGCCCACCTTGGCCAAACACAGTGCTGGGATTACAGGAGTGAGCCACCTCACCCGGCCTTGTTTTCTATCTCATTTACTTTAGCTCTTTATTATTTCTCTTCTATTTAGATTTCTCTTTCTATTAAGGCAAAATGTTAGGTCACTGATTTTAGACCTTTATTTTAAAGCTGAAGTTTCCTTCTAAAGCACTGTATTAGCTGTATCCCACAAATTTTGATATACTGTGTTTTCATTTTCATTTAATTACAAATATTTTCTTTTTTTTCTTTTGAGACGGAGTCTTGCTCTGTCACCCAGGCTGGAGTGTAGTGGCACGATCTTGGCTCACTGCAAGCTCCACCTCCCAGGTTCACACCATTCTCCTGCCTCAGCCTCCCATGTAGCTGGGACTACAGGCACCTGCCACCACGCCCGGCTAATTTTTTGTGTATTTAGCAGAGATGGGGTTTCACCGCGTTAGCCAGGATGGTCTCGATCTCCTGACCTCGTGATCCGCCCACTTCGGCCTCCCAAAGTGCTGGGATTACAGGTGTGAGTCACCATGCCCGGCTCACAAATATTTTCTAGTATCTCACAAATTTTGATATATTGTGTTTTCATTTTCACTTAGCTATGAATATTTTCTAATTTCCTTTGTGAATTCTTTGACCTAAAGGTTATTTTGAAGTATGTTATTTCACTTTCAAATATTCGGAGATTTTCCAGATATCTTTTTCATTTCTAATTTAATTCCATTGTAGTCAGAGTAGACACTACACATTTCAATCCTTTTAAATTTGTTGAAATGTGTTTTGTAGCCCAGCATATGGTCTATTTTGGTAAATGTTCCATGTGCACTTGAAAAGAATGTGGGCAGAGTGTTCTATAAATGTCAATTAAGTATAGTCCATTGAGGGTATTGTCCAAATCTTCTATAACCTTACTGATTTTTTGCCTGCTTGTTCTATCAGTTATTAAGGAACAATGTTGTAATTTCCAAATGTAATTGTGGATTTGTCTATTTCTCCTTTCAACTGTCAGTTTTTGCTTCCACTCTGTTACTGGATGCATATACATTTAGGACCGCTGTGTCTTCTCAAAAAATTGATCCTTCTTTCGTGATGAATCATGCTTCATTACTCCTAGCAATATTTTTCTTGTTCTGAGGTCTCCTTTGTCTAATAAAAATCACTCTAGCTTTTTTATACTTAGTGTTTATACTTAGCTTTTTTATATTTAGTGATACTGTTTATACAGTATCTTTTTCCATTCTTTTAAATATAAAGATACAATTAGCCAGGTGTGGTAGTACACACTTGTAGTCTTCCCTACTTGGCAGGCTGAGGCGGGAGGATCACTTGAGCCCAGGAGTTTAAGGCTGCAGTGAACTATGATCATACCACTGCACTCCAGCTTGGGCAACATAGGGAGACCCTCATCTCTTTAAAAAATAAAATAATAATAATAAAGACTCGATCTAGGAAATTCATTGTAATAAAAGGTTTGCTAGTAAAAGCAGGATCCCATTATAGCAAATGGCACTCTAAAAAGTTCTGTAAGAACGGCCCATAATAAGAATTTTGTTCTAATCTTTTATTTTAGAAATAAATAAAACTTTGGAGAACTTGTTAAAATAAGTTTTTCACAACAAATAATTCTTTTTTTCTTTTTTTTTTTTTAGACTGAGTCTCGTTCTGTCGCCCAGGCTAGAGTGCAATTGCACGATCTCAGCTCAATGCAACCTCTGCCTCCCAGGTTCAAGCAATTCTCATGCCTCAGCCTCCCGAGTAGCTGGGATTACAGGCACATGCCACCATGCCCGGCTAATTTTTTGTATTTTTAGTAGAGACAGGGTTTTACCATGTTGCCCAGGCTGGTCTCAAACTCCTGAGCTCAGGCAATCCGCCCACCTCGGCCTCCCAAAGTGCTAGGATTACAGGCGTGAGCCACCTTGCCTGGCAAACAAATAATACTATACAACAAATGGCTCCTTGAGTTCTGGTCCAGAGTATGTAACAATTTTCTTTGTTTTCCTTACTGAGCACGATTAGTAGGTAAAAAATAGGCTGGGCACGGTGCCTAACACCTGTAATCCCAACACTCCGGGAGGCTGAGGTGGGCGAATCACTTGAACCCAGGAGTTCGAGACCAGGCTGGGCAACGTGGCAAAACACCGTCCTTTTTTTTTTGTTTGTGAGACGGAGTCTTACTCTGTCACCCAGGCTGGAATGTAGAAGCTCAATCTCGGCTCACTGCACCTCCTGGGTTCAAGCGATTCTCCTGTCTCAGCCTCCCGAGTAGCTGGGACTACAAGCGCACACCAACAAGCCCAGCTAATTTTCATGTTTTTAGTAGAGACAGGGTTTTGCCGTGGTCGCCAGGCTGGTCTCGAATTCCTGACCTCAGATGATCCACCCACCTCAGCCTCCCAAAGTGCTGGGATTACAGGCATGAGTCACTGCGCCTGGCCAACCTCGTCTTTACAAAAAATACAAAAATTAGCTGGGGACAGTGGCACATGCCTGTGGTCCCAGCTACTCAGGGAGGCTGAGGTGGGAGGGTCTCGTGAGCCCTGGAGGTTGAGGCTGCAGAGAGCCATGACTGCGCCACTGCACTCCAGCCTGGGTGACAGAGAGAGACTGTGTCTCAAACAAACAAACAAATAAACCAAAGAAATCGCTGATCAAGAGCTGAGACCTTTTAACTTTTGCTCCAGTATCAAGCAAGACATACAGGTCTAACTCACTTTTCCCCACATAAAATATTCTAATCATCTCTAGAAAAATCCTCTTTCAAAATGAGCTACCAAGTAATAATACAGTAAAAAAGACAGGGCTTGGCTAGGCCCGGTGGCTCATGCCTGTAATCCCAGCACTTTGGGAGGCCAAGGCAGGTGGATAACCTGAGGTCAGGAGTTCGAGACCAGCCTGGGCAAAATGGCAAAACCCCACCTCTACTAAAAACACAAAAAATTAGCTGGGTGTGGTGGCGCACACCTGTAATCCCAGCTATTTGGGAAGCTGAGAAAGGAGAATCGCTTGAGCCCAGGAGGCAGAGGTCGCAGTGACCCGAGACTGTGCCACTGCACTACAGCCTGGGCGACAGAGCAAGACTTTGTCTCAAAAAAAAAAAAAAAAAGGGGGGCTTTCTACGACACTATCAACTATGTTTAAGTTAACTAAATCTTTTAACTTTCTAATTCATTACATGGTGCTACTGTTTTCTCTCCAAGACCTAAAAACTAGGAATTATAACTTTTGATAATATGTATATTACAAATTAATTCCAATATCCCAAAACCTGAAAGCCCTAAGGAATCTGTTACGGTGAATGAAATTTTCCTTGCAATAGTACTTGCAGAATTTAATGTAAGCCCTCATTTAAACCTATTTTACACACACAGAATTCAAAAGAAACATGGACATTATCAGGTATAAAGGTTTGTTCTTCATATCTTCAGTAAGTCCAAGAGGTAATAATGAGGGTTTCTGAATTATTTTTCACTGACACAATCTAGTTAAAATGTCAGATTGGGCTGGGCACGGTGGCTCACACCTGTAATCCCAGCACTTTGGGAGGCCAAGGTGGGTGGATCACCTGAGGTCAGGAGTTCGAGACCAGCCTGGCCAACATGGTAAAACCCCATATCTACTAAAAATACAAAATATTAGCTGGGCATGGTGGCACGGGACTGTAACCCCAGCTACTCAGGAGGCTGAAGTAGGAGAATCACTTGATCCTGGGAGGTGGAGGTTGCAGTAAGCCTAGATCGTGCCACTGCACTCCAGCCCGGGCAACAAGAGCAAAACTCTGTCTCAAAAGAATACAATACAATACAAATGTCAGATTGGCTTGACTTTAGCTCAACTTCTATCAACTCCTAATAGATGAAAGGATTTCAACTCCCTGTAGTAAAACTTACCACAAACTATCTAAAGCTCTCATTAATAAAATTGGAGAAATAAAGTACTGCTTAATAAATTCAGTCTAATAATGGGGGAAAAAGCCTTTTAAAACATGGTCTCAAGAGTGGGAGGAATAACAGTAAAAGGTTGGGAATTAGATTTAGTCCAGTCTCTTCCACAATGATTCTCCACACAACATCTCTAATAATTATGTGCATAGCTTCTGCTCAAATACTTTCTGTAAGAGAAAAATACTGTGTAGAGAAAAACAAAGCAGTGTACTTAATTCAGGTCAACTAACTATAAGTCAGTGGTTTCTTTAACCTATTTTGAGTCACAGAATTTTTTTTTTCTGAGACAGGGTCTCACTCTGTCACCCAGGCTGAAGTGTGGAAGTGCATATACAACTCACTCTGGCTTTGACCTCGACCTCCAAGACTCAGGTAATCCTCTCACTTCAGCCTCCCGGACAGATGCAGATGGGACTATAGGCACACGCCACCATGCCTGGCTAATTATTTGTATTTTTTGGAGAGATGGGGTTTCACCACTTTGCCCAGGCTGGTCTCAAACTCCTAGGCTCAATGGTCCTCTTGCCTCGGCCACCCAAAATGCTGGGCCTCGCCACTGTCCCTGGCCAAAGAACTTTTTTTTTTTTTTTTTTTTTGAGATGGAGTCTCACTCTGTTGCCCAGGCTGGAGTGCAGTGGCGCGATCTTGGCTCACTGCAAGTTCTGCCTCCCGGGTTCACACCATTCTCCTGCCTCAGCCTCCCGAGTAGCTGGGACTACAGGCGCCTGCCACCATGCCCAGCTAATTTTTTTTGTACTTTTAGTAGAGACGGGGTTTCACTATGTTAGCCAGGATGGTCTCAATCTCCTGACCTCGTGATCCACCTGCCTTGGCCTCCCAAAGTGCTGGGATTACAGGCGTGAGACACCGTGCCCAGCCCCAAAGAACTTTTTAAGAACGTAATAAAACCATGGACTCTTTCTAAAGAAAAATATACATCCATGTATATACACACACACAAATATTTACCTATCATTTCACAGAGTTCAAGGACCCTGATGCCTGTCCACCCCTTGCCATACTTGACTATGGGAGACAAATTCCTCCTCTCCATGGAGAAGAATGTGGCCATATCTACTGAAATCACAAATGCATACATCCTTGAAAAAAGCAATTCCACTTCTAGGGATTTATCCTGTAAATGTATCTGAATGTGTGTTAAATGACATTATGTACAAGATTATTCACTATAGCACTATTTATATCAACAAAACACTGCTGTCCATCTAAGTGTCCATCAACAGGAAACGGTTCAGCCATACAATGAAATACAAAGCAGCCTTGAAAAAAAGAACAAAGAAGCTCTATATGTATGAATGTAAAACAATTCCTGAAATATCTTAAGCACAAGAAGCAAAATGCACAATAGTTTATATAATATACTTGCATTTTTTAAAAATGGAAGGGTTGAATATACATAAGTATTTGCAGATATATCTCTCAAATATAAGAAACTTTTTAACAGTTGTCTCTAGGAAGGAAACCAGGTGGATAAGGGAGAAATGTAGAAGAGATGTTTCACTGTATATCTGTGAAAGATTCTGAATTGTGTACTATATATTAACTAGTAAAAAATTTTAATTTTGGGGCCAGGCATGGTGGCTTACACCTGTAATCACAGCACTTTGAGAGGCAGAGGTGGGTGGATTGTCTGAGCTCAGGAGTTCGAGACCAAAGCCTGGGCAACATGGTGAAACCCCGTCTCTACTAAAAAACAAAAAAAAAAATTAGCTGGGCACGGCAGCATGCGCCCATAATCCGAGCTACTCGGGAGGCTGAGACAGGAGAATCGCTTGAACCTGGGAGGCAGAGGTTGCAGTGAGCCGAGATCATGACATTGCCCTCCAGCCTGGGTGACAGAGTAAGACTCCGTCTCCAATATATATATATATATATATAATTTTTAAAATTTTTTACCACATACCTAGACTTCAAGAAAACTAATCAAGATTAATTATTTAAAAACACGCCTCAGCCAGGCGTGGTGGCTTATGCATGTAATCCCATCACTTTGGGAAGCTGAGGTGGGAGGATCACTTGAGGCTGGGAGGCAGAGTTTGCAGTGAACCAAGACTGCGCCACTGCACTCCAGCCTGGGTGACAGAGTGAGACCCTATCTAAAAATAAAAATAAAAAATAAAAAAGGCCTCTGCCCTGGACTCTAAACTCTTTTGCTAAGCTTCAAAACCAAGCTATCCTATACTAATCATTCTTTAATTTATTCCTAATAATATTGTATCAAAATTGTTCTGAGTTTTTTGTTTTTTGAGATGGAGTTTCCCTCCTGTTGCGCGGGCTAGACTGCAATGGTGTGATCTTGGCTCACCACCACCTCATGCCCGGCCATGAGGTTGTTTATCTACAGTAATCGTTTCCTTTTTTTTTGGAGATAGGGTCTTGCTCTGTCACCCAGGCTGGAGCACAGTGGTGCAATCTTGGCTCACAGCAACCTCCGCCTCCCGGGTTCAAGTGATCCTCCTGCCTCAGCCTCCCAAGTAGTTGAGGTTACAAGTGCCCACCACCATGCCCAGCTAATTTTTGTATTTTTTAGTAAAGACGGGGTTTCACCATGTTGGCCAGGCTGGTCTTAAACTCCTCACCTCCAGTGATTCACCTGCCTCGGTCTCCCAAAGTGCTAGGATGATAGGCATGAGCCACCACACCCAGCCAATCTACAGTAATCTTAATTCTGCTTTCTGAGCAATACACAATGAACAAGTTAATTATACTCCCTTATTCTGGGATCATAATACCTTCCCATCAGCATATCCATCCTCAGCTATGTGCCATAGGCATCTGAGTCCCTGTTTGTCTGATTATAAATGCCTCAAGACTATACAATGCATCTGGGCCAGGCACGGTGGCTCACACCTGTAATCCCAGCACTTTGGGAGGCCAAGGCAGGTGAATCACTTGAGACGGGTGGATCACCTGAGGTCAGGAGTTCGAGACTAGCCTGGGCAACGTGGTGAAACCCCTTCTCTATCAAAAATATTGGCCAGACGCAGTGGCTCATGCCTATAATCCCAACACTTTGAAAGGCCAAGGCAGGCAGATCCCTTGAGGTCAGGAGTTCGAGATCAGCCTGGCCAACAAGGTGAAACCCCATCTCTACTGAAAATACAAAAATCAGCCAGGTACTGATGTACTCAATTTTAAAATAAAATTCTGGCTGGGCATGGTGGCTGATGCTTGTAATCCCAGCACTTTCGGAGGCCAAGGCGGGTGGATCACTTGAGGTCAAGAGTTCAAGACCAGTCTGGCCAGCATGGTGAAACCCCATATCTACTAAAAATACAAAAATTAGCCAGGCGTGACGGCACACGCCTGTAGTCCCAGCTACTTGAGAGGCTGAGACAGAAGAATCGCTTGAACCCAGGAGACGGAGGTTACATGAGCTGAGATCACACCACTGCACTCCAGCCTAGGCAACAGAGTGAGACTCTGTCTCAAAAACAAAACAAAATAGAATACAGTAAAATTCTAGTACAGCAAATCTGGATAGCAAATTAGCAAATGTGTGATATTCTAAAAGTAACCTACGGTTTGACTAACATGAAAGTCTATCCTATGGCTGGGCGTAGTGGCTCACCATGGTGAAACCCCGTCTCTACTAAAAATACAAAAATTAGCCGGGCATGGTGGTGGGCACCTGTAATCCCAGCTACTTGGAAGGCTGAAGCAGAAGAATCACTTGAACCCAGGAGGCGGAGGTTGCAGTGAGCCAAGGTTGTGCCATTGCACTCCAGCCTGGGTGACAGAGCAAGACTCCATCTCAAAAAAAAAAAGACTATCCTATGTAACTTGCCAAGTTACATGGTAGCTTAGTTCTTACTTACTGGGCCAATAATACTATTTGTAATAGTTGCAATTTGACTGTCATTACTAGTTCATCTGCATATGTTAACAGGATTTCTAAGACTTCTAAAGCTTTTGTAGAATGTGAATTAAAAGAACCACTATTTTCTAGCTGTCCCTTATTAATAAGGCCTGAGAGGAGGTCAACAAAAGAGTACAGTTTAATATGATCCAACAATTCAACTTCTGGGTCTGCAGCCACAAGAATTTAAAGCAGGCACTGCAAGACTACAGCCACTTTCATAGCAGCAGCATTTGTTTTTTCATAGCACTATTCACAATAGCCAAATGGTAAAAGTAACCCGAGGGTCCATCAACAGATGAATGAATAAACAAGATGTGGTATATGCATACAATGAAATATTACTCAGCCTTAAAAAGGAAGGAAATGAAATTTTGACATATACTACAACACAGATAAACTTCGAAGATACTATGCTAAGTGAAACAAGCCAGTCAAAAGGACAAATACTGCTATGATTTCATTCACATTAGTACCTAGAGTAGTCAAATTCACAGAGATGGAAAAACAGAATGATAGTTGCCAGGGCCTGGGGAGTTATTGGGAGGTTTTTTCGTTGTCATTGTTTTGTTTTTTGAGACGGAGTCTTGCTTTGTCGACTAGACTGGAGTGCAGTGGCATGATCTCGGCTCACTGCAACCTCCACCTCCCGGTTCAAGTGATTCTCTTGCATCAGCCTCCTAAGTAGCTGTAATTACAGGTGCCCACCAACATGCCCGGCTAACTTTTTTGTATTTTTAGTAGAGTTGGGGTTTCACTATGTTGGCCAGGCTGGTCTCGAACTCCTGATTTTGTGATCTGCCCACCTCGGCCTCCCAAAATAGTGAAATTATGGGCTTGAACCATTGTGCCTGGCCTGGGAGTTATTATTTAATGGGCATGGAGTTACGATTTGGGAAGATGAAAAAGTTCTGGGCCAGGCGCAGTGGCTCATGCCTGTAATCCCAGCATTTTGGGAGGCCAAGGTGGGTGGATCACCTGAGAGGTCAGGAGTTCAAGAACAGCCTGGCCAACATGGTGAAACCCCATCTCTACTAAAGTACAAAAATTAGCCCGGCGAGGTGGCAGGTCCCTGTAATCCCAGCTACTCGGGAAGCTGAGGCAGGAGAATCGCTTGAACCTGGGAGGCGGAGATCACAGTGAGCCAAGATCGTGCCACTGCACTCCAGCCTGGGCGACAGAGTAAGACTGAGTCTCAAAAAACAAAAAAAAAAACAGTTTAATAACAAATCTCTATCTCCCTCATCTAGTTAGGACTAGAAAACAGACACCATCCTTATTCTGAGACTATTTTTAGAAAAATGTTTCACCTTTATTTTCCTCACTGCTGTCTTCGGAGTATATTTAATGGGCAAAACAAGGTACTTTTCTTGCTCCTATGGTATTTTTCTAATATCGTTATTTTATTGTATGCAACCCATGTTCCCAAAAGGCTATATATATACAAAATGAAGGAAATAATTTTGGCAGATTTTATCCTATAGAACCTTTGTTCCTGAAGGTTTATATTTTAATACCACCACTCATTCTTTCACACTATTAATACTTAACTGGAATTTTTGGAATTTATTATCCTGTATCTCAAATCTGGCTTCCTCTTTTTGTGTAGTTCATCAAACATAAAATTCTTAAATTGGAAGTGCCCAGAGAATTGAAATGACTCCTAAGTTAACTAGAGCTAGCTAACTTCTTAGCAGATTCTAGTATCAAAGTTATATTATTCCTACTCCAATACTTTGCAATATATGCAGTTTTTTAGAAAAAGGATATGTTAAGAGTAAGATATGGGGGCCGGGTGTGAGGGCTCACGCCTGTAATCCCAGTGCTTTGGGAGGCCAAGACGGGTGGATCATGAGGTCAGGAGATCGAGACCATCCTGGCCAACACGGTGAAACCCCATCTCTACTAAAAATACAAAAATTAGCAGGGCATGGTGGCACCCACCTATAGTCCCAACTACTAGGGAGGCTGAGGCAGAATTGCTTGAACCCAGGAAGCGGAGCTTGCAGTGAGCCGAGATCACGCTACTGCACTCGAGGAGCCTGGGGACAGAGCAAGACTGTCTCAAAAATAAATAAATAAATATATGAAGTACTTAGCTAACCATGGCCAACATATTAGGAAGTAGATTCCAAACTAATCCCATCACATCTAGTAGTAGCCAGGATCAAGTGAAACATACCACCAGGAGGAACCTAACAATTTAAGACCCAGACAAGGTAGAGAGGAAGAATAGAACTAAGTCAAATTATCCCTAGACCCAGGTATGAAATAAGAAACCACTGATAATATACCTTATTTGTTTTCCCTCTCATGGCCTTTCTTAAAAATAAAATTTTAAGAAATCTTTCCATTTAATCTGAATTTAACTAAAAGTAAACAGAGAATAGGAAATAAATGACTTTAAAGGCCAAGAGTGATGACAACGCCAATGCCAACCACTTATAGGCAGGAAGGAAGAAGGAAGCAGATGAGAAGTGAAAGTCACAAGGAGGTAAACTTTATAGTGACACAAGAGTTCACACACACTAAGTGTTAGTTTTATATTATTGACTGCAAAGCAATGAAATAAAGAATTACTTCTGTAAGAAGTCAAGAATCCAGAGACACAAGACCAGAACTCAAAAAAATCACTTCTGCTGGGTGCAATGGCACATGCCTGTTGTCTTAGCTACTTAGGAGGCTGAGGTGGGAGAATCACTTGAGCCCAGGAGTTTGAGGCCAGCCTGGGGATGAAGTCCTGTCGCTAAAAGTTAAAATTTAAAAATAAAAAATGATTTCAATTTGAAGTCATTTGCAGATTAAATTCTAAAGAAAAATTTTTGAAATTAGGCCAGGCATGGTGGCTCATGCCTGTAATCCCAGCATTTTGGGAGGCCGAGGAAGGTGGATCACCTGAGGTCAGGAGTTCGAGACCAGCCCGGCCAACATGGTGAAATCCTGTCTATACTAAAAATACAAAAATTAGCTGCGTGCGGTGGCGCGTGCCTATAGTCCCAGCTACTTGGGAGGCTGAGGCAGGAGAATCGCTTGAACCCGGGAGGTGGAGGTTGCAGTGAGCCGAGATCATGCCATTGCACTCCAGCCTGGCAACAGAGCAAGACTCCATCTCAAAAAAGAAAAAGAAAAAGAAAAATCTATGAAATTAAGCTATAATTTAAGAGGCCTGGGAGTATAGAGAGAGAAGAAAGTCAAAGCCCAGACCCTGCCCAATGAGGGGAGTGTGGGAAAGCCACCCCATACATTAGAAGACCCATGGGCTACACCCTCAGGATAAGAGTGACTCAGCTCTTATAAAATTTCAACGTATAGGTTTATGTAGATTAGGCAAATCTAAAGAGAAAATTAATCAAGTGGAAGATAGGTCACAAGAAACTACCAAGTATTTAGATAAGAAAACAAAAAGACAAGCAATACAAGAGACAGGGTAAGAGGCAGAGAAAACACAATGAGAAGGTCTAGTATATGTTTAGCATGCCAGAGAAGACAGAATAAGACAGAAGCAATATATGACAAGATAACGGCTGAGAATATTCTATAACTGGTTGGGTGTGATGGCCCATGCCTGTAATCCCAACACTTTCGGAGGCCAAGGCAGGTGGATCACTTGAGGTCAGGAGTTCAAGACCAGCCTGGCCAACATGGTGAAACCAATCTCTACTAAAAATACAAAAATTAGCCAGGCGTGGTGGTGGGCGCCTGTAATTCCAGCTACTCAGGAGGCTGACACAGGGAGAATTGCTTGAACCTGAAGGCAGAGGTTGCAGTGAGATGAGATCGCACCACCACACTCCAGCCTGGGCAAGTTGACTCCATCTCAAAAAAATAAAAATAAAAATAAAGAGCCCAATGGAAGCCAGTAGACAACTGTGAACAATGGACTTTAGTTAATAACGTATCATCAATTGTAACAAAGACACTAATAATGCAAAATGTGAATAATGAGAAACTAGGGTAAGGAAGTATATGGGAACTCTGTTATTAGCAGCTCAATTTTCTATAAACCTAAAAGTGCTCTAGAAAATATACAGGCTGGGCATGGTAGCTCACACCTGTAATAATGCAAAATGTGAATAATGAGAAAATAGGGTGAGGAAGTATATAGGAACTCTGCATTAGCTGCTCAATTTTCTATAAACCTAAAAGAGCTCTAGAAAACATACAGACTGGGCACAGTAGCTCACACCTGTAATCCCAGCACTTTGGGAGGCCAAGGCTGGCGGATCGCCTGAGGTTAGGAGTTCGAGATCAGCCTGGCCAACATGATGAAACCCCATCTCTACTAAAAATACAAAAAAAGAAAAATTAGCCGGGCATGGTGGCACGTGCCTTTAGTCCCAGATACTCAGGAGGTTGAGGCAGAAGAATCACTTGAGCCCAGAAGGCAGAGGTTTCAGTGAGCTGAAATCGCACCACTGCACTCAAGCCTGGGTGACACAGTGAGACCATGTCTCAAAAAAAAAAAAAAATTTACACACACACACACACACACACACACGTACAATTAAATACAGAACAGCAATGGCGTGTGAATTGTGAGGGGAATAAATGGAGTTAAATCTTCAAGGTCACCAGTCTGGGCAACATGGCAAAACTGTTTCTACAAAAAATACAAAAATTTGCAAGATGCTGATGGGAGGCATTTTTTTTCTAAATTTATAAAAAGAAAAACTACAAAAATTATTCAAGTGTGGTGGTGTGTGCCTGTAGGCCCAGCTACTCAGGAGGCTGAGGCGGGAGGAGCACTTGAGCCCAGGAGGTCAAGGCTGCAGTGAGCCATGATCATGCCACTTCACTCCAGCCTGGGTGACAGAGTGACACCCCATCTCAAAAAAAAAAAAAAAAAAAAAAATCTTCAAGGCCCTCGTACTGACCAAGAGGAAGACAAAGGTATTAACATTAACCTTTGATAAGTTAAAAATATCTGTTGTAATTTCTGTGGTAACCAATAAAAGAACAGAAAGAGTGCAAGACTTCCAAACTAGAATTTCAAGTTATGAATAAAAACAGTCTGGATTAAGGCAGTAGCAATGGGGGCAGAAAAACACTTCAGAAATTTCAGAGAAAGAGGCACGTGTTGGTACTTGACTACATGTGAAATAAGGAGGAAATCAAATAAATACTAAAGTAAATTAATCCACAGTTCCTTAAAATGCATCAATATAAGTATAGGCCATTTCTCAGCATTCATACTTGTTGAGAATTGTCAGGCATGTAATTAAATGTAAGACATACAAACATTTTTAAAAAATGAAAGTGACTTTGGTATGTGAAAAAGCTGACACTAGATATTCATAACTGAAAGCTTCTAATTGCTGCAATGAACTACATGAAAAGAAAGGTATCAGTTGGTTAAATACCTTTTCAGAAGTCAATTTGATTATATAATGTGATGTATCAGACTTAAAAATTTATAAAAGATAGAAAAAGAGTTCCTTGGCCCGGGCACGGTGGCTGACGCCTGTAATCCCAGCACTTTGGGAGGCCAAGGCGGGTGAACTCCAGAGGTCAGGAGTTCGAGACCAGCCTGGCCAACATGGTAAAACCTCGTCTCTATTAAAAATACAAAAATTAGGTGGGCATGGTGGCGGGCACCTCCCAGCCACTCGGGAGGCTGAGGCAGCAGAATCGCTTGAACCCGGGAGGTGGAGATTGCTGTGAGCAGAGATCATGCCACTGCACTCCAGCCTGGGCGACAAGAGTGAAACTCCGTCTCCAAAAAAAAAAGTGAGAACTTAAAAGATACTTGCCGCCGGGCGCACTGGCTCACACCTGTAATCCCAGCACTTTGGGAGGCCGAGGTAGGCAGATCACTTGAGGTCGGAAGTTCAAGAACAACCTGACCAACATGAAGAAACCCCACCTCTAATAAAAATACAAAATTAGCCGGGCGTGTTGGCGCATGCCTGTAATCCCAGCTATTTGGGAGGCTGAGGCAGGAGAATCACTTGGACCTGGGAGGCGGATGTTGCGGTGAGCCGAGATCATGCCATTGCACTCCAGCCTGGGCAACAAGAGTGAAACTCCGTCTCAAAAAAAAAAAAAAAAAAAAGATACTTGCCAAGGATTTAAGTAAAGAATTCCTGCAGATTAAAAGAATATCATAAATTTTTACAGATATCTCCTTGCTGACTTACTTTTTTTTTTTTTTTTTGAGACGGAGGCGCACTCTGTTGGCCATGCTGGAGCGCAATGGCGCGATCTCAGCTCACTGCAACCTCTGCCTCCCACGTTCAAGCAATTCTCCTGCCTCAGCCTCCTGAGCAGCTGGGACTACAGGCGCGTGCTGACTTATCTAGTCTTTCTAGGGCGGTTAACTTAGTTCTCTTGGAAACAATTCTTTCATTTTGCAATCATATTTCTTTCTTTTTTTTTTTTTTTGAGACAGAGTCTCGCTCTGTCGCCCAGGCTGGAGTGCAGTGGCATGATCTCGGCTAACTGCAACCTCCGACTCCCTGGTTCAAGTGATTCTCCCGCCTTAGCCTCCTGAGTAGCTGGGATTACAGGCACATGCCACCACGCCCGGCTTATTTTTTGTATTTTTAGTAGAGACGGGTTTTGGCATGTTGGCCAGGACGGTCTCGATCTCCTGACCTCGTGATCTGCCTGCCTCGGCCTCCCAAAGTGCTGGGATTACAGGCGTAAGCCACTGCGCCCAGCCTGCAATCATATTTCATTGCATTATGCAATTGTGTATTAAATAGAATAATTACAACACAAGTGTAAGTTATTGTAAAATGATCATTGACATGGCTATAATTCAACTGGTGGGAGCAATGTGATAAGCATCAGTCAGTATGGCTTATAAAGAGAGAATGGAGAATGCCTATTAATCCAGTGAGTTGATTATGTACAGATTTGTTAACCATTATCCCTGTTATAAAAGATCTAAATTCATTTCTTATTGCTTTTGTTGTACTGTTGGAACAGTACCTGGCACACAGTATTATAAGTATTTGCTACTGTATTAGCATTGATATCCAACTAGGTACAAGTAACAATGCATGCAAGGGTGAAATTCTGCCTACTTTACATGGTCTCCAGAACTGCTGAGACTATCTGTACTTAAACTGTCAAAAGGGAGCAGGGTGTGAAATATAAACTGCAACAGGTTGATTGAAAACATATGAATTCAAGATATAGTCAGTTTCACATTACTAGAAGTAGATCATCCAGTGCTTACAGGAAGAGGTCTTTAAAAAGAGGTAGGACAGGCCAGGCGCGGTGGCTCACGCCTGTCATCACAGCAATTTGGGAGGCCGAGGCGGGCGGATCATGAGGTCAAGAGAGAGAGACCATCCTGGCCAACTAACATGGCAAAACCCCATCTCTACTAAAAATATAAAAATTAGCTGAGAATAGTGGCACACGCCTGTAGTCCTAGCTACTTGGGGAGGCTGAGGCAAGAGAATCGCTTGAACCTGGGAGGCAGAGGCTGCAGCGAGCCGAGATCGCGCCACTGCACTCTAGCCCAGGTGACAGAGTGAGACCCCGTCTCAAAAAAAGAGGTAGGACAGCTCACATGTCAAGTCAACAAGACATAAAGAACTAGCAGCCGGGTGCAGTGGCCCATACCTGTAATCCCAGCACTTTGGGAGGCCAAGGTGGGCAGATCACGAGGTCAGGAGATCGAGACCATCCTGGCTAACACGGTGAAACCCCGTCTCTACTAAAAATACAAAAAATTAGCTGTGCGTGGTGGCAGGCACCTGCAGTCCCAGCTACTCGGGAGGCTGAGGCAGGAGAATGGCGTGAACCTGGGAGGCGGAGCTTGCAGTGAGTAGAGATTGCATCACTGCACTCCAGCCTGGGCGACAGAGTGAGATTCCGTCTCAAAAAAAAAAAAAAAAAAAAAACCAGAAAATTACTAGGTTCACAACCCAGTTTAACCTTATCACCTCAAAACTGCTAAGACGATGGCTCCAGGTCCTCCTAAAAAGGGGCAGCTAGACTAGAGAGCCTGCTATAGACTTTTGGGTGCACATTACTACTTTCCCCTCATCAGTTCATGACAGAAAACGTCAATCTTTTAAACAAAAACCAAATAGTGCATCCCAAAGCCCAAAATAAATGACTTTTGTTTTACCATTATTATGAAGTAAATATGCTGAGAAACTGAGTACCTACCTATAAACACACTATGCAAGAAAATTAAAAATTTGCACTATGCAAGAAAATTAGAAATAAAAAATTAAAAACCTAAATATAGGTAATGAGCAACTTAAATATAAGTAATAGATGTGGAGATTTGGCCATTTTGTTTTAGTCTAAGTAATGGAGTGTATATCTAATTTGCAGGTGGAAAAAACTCGAAAGTTATACAACAGAAGATTTACAACAACCAGAAAGTTCAAAGGCTGTAGCTACTTGTAACACTCTTGTCCACTAGGAAAGAATCCACAGTGGCACTGACTTTCTTCCTTCTATGGACATCAAAAAGTACTGAAAAATGTTATGAATAGTTAGGAGAAATTCAAGAGACAGCCCAAGAGGCTGAACCAGTCCCACTAGATGGCACCATCACAGGGAAGTCACTCTGCTCTCTTATTTGGAGCTGCAGGGGCTGAAATCTTTTTTGATCTTTGAAAAACAAAGCTGTCATCAACACAGTGATATTCTTTTTTTGTTTTGTTTTGTTTTTTGAGACGGAGCCTTGCTCTGTCGCCCAGGCTCACTGCAAGCCCCGCCTCCCGGGCTCAGCCATTCTCCTGCCTCAGCCTCCCAGGTAGCTGGGATTACAGGCACCCACCACCAAGCTCAGCTAATTTTTTGTATTTTTTAATAGAGATGGGGTTTCACCGTGTTAGCCAGGATGGTCTCGATCTCCTGACCTCGTGATCTGCCTGCTTTAGCCTCCCAAAGTGCTGGGATTACAGGCGTGAGCCACCGTGCCTGGCCCTAACACAGTGATATTCTTATTGGGAAATAATGATCCAAAATGAGAATTCAAAGCCAGGGAGAGGAGTTTTTCCAAAAGCACCCTTTTCTCCCAGTATCATCATCCCCTCCACACCCCCATTTCAAATCAATAGTCTGAGAGGTACGATGTCTTACTGGTAAAAGAAGTAATACAAAGGCTGGGCGCGATGGCTCACACCTATAATCCCAGCACTTCGGGAGGCTGAGGCGGGTGGATCACCTGAGGTCAGGATTTCGAGACCAGCCTGGCCAACACGGTGAAACTCCATCTCTACTAAAAATACAAAAAATTAGCCGGGTATGGTGGCACGTGCCTGTAATCCCAGCTACTCGGGAGGCTGAGGCACGAGAATTGCTTGAACCCAGGAAGCGGAGGTTGCAGTGAGCTGAGATCGCGCCACTGCACTCCAGCCTGGGCAACAAGAGTGAATCTCTGTCTCAAAAAAAAAAGAAGTCATACGAAATGGAGATTTTCTTTTCCCGGCTCTGCAAACTACAGAATTAATTTTTTTCTTCAAGTTTCTTTGTTATGGAAAAAAAAAATACTCTCCTGCTAGTCCTCAAATAACAAATTCATTGTAATCAATATACTTACCGTGACTGGAAATATCAAAGTAACATACGACTACTTAAGCTGGGCACAGTGGCTCACACCTATAATCCCAGCACTTTGGGAGGCCGAGGCAGGCACATCACAAGGTCGGGAGTTCGAGATCAGCCTGGCCAATATGGTGAAACCCCATCTACTAAAAATACAAAAATTAGCTGGGCATGGTAGCAGGTGCCTATAGTCCCAGCTACTCAGGAGGCTGAGGCAGGAGAATAGCTTGAACCCGGGAGGCAGAGATTGCAGTGCGCCGAGATTGTGCTACTGCACTCCAGCCTGGTTGACAGAGCAAAACTCTGTCTCAAAAAAAAAACAACTAATGGAATAAAAACAACTGGAAATAAAGCTGGGTGCAGTGGCTCATGCCTGTAATCCCAACACTCTGGGAGGCAGAGGCAGGTGGATCATTTGAGGTCAGGAGTTCAAGACCAACCTGTCCAACATGGTAAAACCCCATCTCTACTAAAAATACAAAAATTAACAGGGTGGTAGTGGCGCACGCCTGTAATCCCAGCTATCTATAGGCTGAGGCAGGAGAATTGCTTGAGACTGGGAGATGGAGGTTGAGGTGAGCCGAGATCGTGCCACTGCACTCCAGCCTAGGCTAGAGAGTGAGACCCTCTCAAAAACAAACAAAAAAACTGGAAATAGGTAAATTTCTTTTTCTGTACAGAGAACTTCTTTCTATGTTAAAGGTAGAATTTCCTATTAAACAGATAGGTTACTGTATTAAAGTTTTCTGATACCTTAGTTACATGACTTTAAGTTGGGTCTAGACAGCAACATGTTGAATGTCACTCATTCTTATCACTTATGCCCTACTCCATCAAAAGTATACTTGAATACAGCCATCACGAACCTAAAAACAGAACAACAACCCTAATCCAAAGATCAGTGAGCTTAACTATGTAAAATTTGAATACAAACTTACTGACTTACGGGAGGCGGGGGTGGGGGGACCATTTAAACAGACAGATCTGGACATTAGCCTTATGCTCAATCTTCAAGTTAAAAAGACACATCAGAGGTCATTTAGAGATCAATTTAGTATTCAAATATATTGCTCACTTCTATTTGAAGCTACTTCACCTAGATCAGAGAGTTTACATTTGTAAATGTAACTTCAGTATACAACGTCCAGGGGCACAGCCACTCTAAAGTGCCACAAAAGTAAACTGTTTAAGTGGCCAAAGAAATTAAGAATATGTAACAAATCCTGTGTTCCCACAGCACCTTGTCACAGCTCTAATACAGATCTCATCACGGTATCATCTCTCTCTCCCCATACTGCAGATGTGGAGGTACTGTGCTCAAGCATCAGCCCTAACACCTTGCACAATGCCTAGCATACAGCAGGTGCTCAATATTTGTTGAATAAACAAAAACTATCAAGCTGGTTGGGCGTGGTGGCTCATGCCTGTAATCCTAGCACTTTGGAACACCAAGACAGGCAGATCACTGGAGGTCAGGAGTTCGAGACCCAGCCTGGCCAACATGGAGAAACCCTGTCTCTACTAAAAATAAAAAAAATTAACCAGGCATGGTGGTGCATGCCTGTAATCCCAGCTACTCAGGATGCTGAGGCAAGAGAATCGCTTGAACCCAGGAGGCAGAGGTTGCAGTGAGCCCAGATTGTGCCACTGCACTCCAGCCTGGGTGACAGAGCAAGGCTCTGACTCAAAAAAAAAAAAAACAAAACCCTATCAAGCTATCCCGGCTCACCAAAACTGTGAGACCCATCAAAGAAGCCCATTTTTCCAACTAAACCTCAACACGCCTTCTCCTTGGAGAAGCTACTAACTAAAGCACGAGATCAACACCCAGGTTACCATGAGACAGGATTTCTTGAAAAGCACAGAAACAAATGTTGTATCACACTGGTTAAAGATCAAAAGCTCAGCCAGGCACAGTGGCTCCTGCCTGTGATCCCAGCACTTTGGGAGGCTGAGGCAGGTGGATCACCTGAGGTCAGGAGTTCGAGACCAGCCTGGCCAACATGGTGAAACCCCATCTCTACTAAAAATACAAAAATCAGCTGGGCGTGGTGGCGGGCACCTGTAATCCCAGCTACTCAGGAGGCTGAGGCAGGAGAATCATCACCTGAACCCAGGAGGTGGAGGCTGCAGTGAGCCGAGATCACGCCATTGCACTCCAGCCTCGGCGACAAGAGGAAAACTCTGTCTCAAAAAAAAAAATTCAGTAGCTCATACGTTCACACATCTCAAGCCCAAGTAATATGATCTTGGACCAATAAAGCTTTTAAATAAAATATCGTAAATATACTTTGCATACTGTATTAAAATCAAACATTTTACACATTGTAAAATCATCCTATGAGAGCAGAGGGGTGGACCAGTGGGTACATAAACATGCATAGGAAACTATAACATTGCTTAACTTCATACGTGCCCGTTAATGGGGGCCTAATCTAATATTATGCTCCTGCAACAAAAATAAAAACTAAGAAGGAAGAATGAGAAGAGCAACAAACCAGTCTGGGGGTGCAACCAGTAAAGAGTCTGCAGACTTCACAGAGGCCAATTTTTCAATACTCTACCATGTAACTACCTCCAAAGTCCAATGTAACAAAGCTATGCAATGCCTTGTAATTTTCTTTCTGAATGGCTGACAAGTTTTAACAAAATATGGCATAGAATCTATACACACATCCTGTTAGTTTCCTTGTAACAAGAACCATGAGAAACCTCTCCTATACCAGAAAGGAAGAAGAAACATATATTCCCATATAGAACATTTTCAAACCTACTATGTTAAATGACTACTGGAATGACCAGTAGGATCTAAAAGTTCACTGAAATTAAGACCCAAATCTTCTCCCCTGCAAACTATCAGAAGGGCCTACCCAAATTGCTCTTAATCATTTAAAAAATGTGTTTAAATTAGAATATGAATAGTGTTCATGATCATCATTTTACTCACCTTACTAACACCTACTCCAGTAAACCTGGCCTCCAATAATTCCTGCCGTCGTGGGTCCAGGCTATGCAATTCTTCCATCATTTCTGCTGAAAAAGAAAAAGTAGGCTGTGAAACCATAAACACTAAAATGTGAGGAGGCAATTTTCTGTAGAACAAAACTCACAGTAATTATTTCACTGAAAGATCAAATGCAGGTAAATCTCAAGTAAATATAGCATACAAGTGGTAGACTACTATGTGCTGCATCAAACAGTAATATATTGAAAAGTTTTAAAGCAGCTCAGAAGTCCTCTTCTATGACAGCCACTTTTTCTTCCCTAGTTCTGATTTGATTTTAACAGCAAAAATAAACCCCTCAAACCCTTCATATAATTTCTGTAAAAGTTGAGCACAGGGGAAAGAACAAAACAAGAACTAGCCTGCAAAAAGAAAATTCCTTCTATCAGCCTTAATCTAGCTAAGTATCTTCAGATATTTATTTCCCACTCAGGAAGTAGTCCTTAAACTAAAAATATGAATCATTGACAATAATTTCAAAAGAATATAGGATGAATCAGAAGCTACAAATAACTGCAAAATCACTATTATACAGCTCCTGTCTCTGAAGAGCTCACAGTAGCTCATGAGAAAAGGAATTATTTTAAATTTAATAGAGAGCCCACGGTAAAACCATCCACCTCCATTCACTCAGTAAATTAATATAGCTCCATAACAATCCCTTTAAAAAATCTTTTTCTGACCACTCCCTGCAGTAGTTTTCTCTTGATTCTGGACATCTGCTTTTAGCCCTTCTTCCAAGCAGGGAGGGGCAGGAGGACACCATTTTTAAACTTCCATAACCAATTAATGCACAGGCTACTTTCAGCAAATATGTTCATCCTTTGCAAGAGACCAACTCCTACACGACCCATTTAAAACCTCTCTTTAATATTAACAGTGGAAAAGAAACATATTACATAGAACCCCTTCGAACACATTATTAAGTAGTTGGAATGGTTGGTGTGATTTTAAAGTTACTGAAAAGATGAATCGAACATTCTCCTCTGCAATCCAACAACTCTACAATCTCCAGTAACAACCCCCTTACAAGTCCTTCAGTTTCATTTCCCTTCCTGGATTGAGAGCCTGGGGCAAAGGGGAATGAAAAGGTGACAAATTAAAGTTTCACCCACACATGCAAGTGCAGGTTAGAGAGAGAATTAGGAAATTCTCAGAAAGGTTGAAATGCATCTTTACAAAAAGAAAAAGAAGGAAAAAAAAGAGACTGGGAGAATGAGTTTCCCCCGTGGCCTTCCTCGCGTCTTGCCCTGCCCTAATCGAGGTCGGAATGGCAAAGGTTGCAGTCTCTCCCAAACCCCAAGGTCTCTCGCAACACTTCCCAAACCTCCATCCCCAGGCCCGGCCCGGAAAATGACGCCCCGGCGGTTATTCCGTTTAATGTCAACTCATGTTAAGGAAATAGCCACTCCGTCTAATTCCAGCGGGGCCTTGGACTGGGATCCTCCCTGCAGCCCACAGCCGGGAAGCAGGAGCGATGGGGCCTGGTCCCGGCGCCCCTCGCCGGCTCCAAACTTTCCCCAACTCCAGGCCCACCTGTCACGGAGGAAGGGAGGGCCGGCTCTCGGGGGCGCCCGGGAGGCTGCCGAGGCCTCCAGCTGCCTGGGGGCCCCCGTCTCTCCTCCGGCCGCCGGCCCCAATCCCAGGCCGGGGCCGCCTGGGCCTCCCCCATCTTCTGCCCGGCCCCTCAGCGACCCGCAGCCCTCAGGGAGCCCCTCCCGCCTCAGCGCCCAGGAGCTGCGGTCCGGAGCCGGCCCCGAGCTGGGCCCAGGTCGCAGGCTCCTCAGGCCAAAGGGGTCCCCAGGACGGTTAATGCCCCAGGCCTGGAGTCCTCCCCCGCCCGGGGCTCAGCCTCTCACCTGCCGCCGCCGCCGCCGCCGCTCCACGCTCCTCCCGGGAGGGGCCCCGACCCGACCCGGCTGCGGACCGCTCCGCTCTCCCCCTGGGCAGGCCCGGGGCGGAGCCGGGGCCTCTCCTGAGCGCCGCAACCCCCCGCCCGGGCAGCCGCCGCCGGCGCCGGGCTCCACGAGAGGGCGGGCGGGGGAGGGGGGGCACGAAGGCCGCAGATCCCCGGGCTCGCGTACAGAGCCAGGCGCCCGACGCGGGCCCGGGCCCGGGCGGCCGCGGGGGGCGCGGGACCGGCCTCCTGGCGCCGGACAAAGGCCAAGGGAGGCGCAGGAGGGCCCAGGCCGGGCCAGGAGGTGGGGGCCCGCTCGGCTGGGGGCCACTCGGGTGCGGCGCGGAGGGCGGGGGGGTCGGAACCGCTGGTGCCCAGGACCCGCCTCCGGCCCCTTAATCCGGATCGGTTCGGTCCGGATTAGTAGTGATCGGTGTAAACACACTAGTGAAACCGCGTGTTTCCTCGCGAGATTTGCACGGCTGGGAGGCGGGGGGGGTCCTGGGGGGGTGGGGGAAGCGCCGACAGTGGGGGAGCAGGGGGAGGGGACGAGGAAGGTGGGGGGGGGTCCCCGCTGCCCCGGCGCCCCGCCTTCTCCAATCAGCGGCCGCGCTGCCGGGCAGGGGTTAACCAGGGGACCCCGCGCCGGCGGAGGAAGCCGCGCCTCGCCGGACGGCTGAGGGCGGGCGACGGGCGGCGCCGGCTGACGGGCCGCAACGCGAGGGGAGGTCCGGCGGCCCGGGGCGCCCTGCGACTGCCCGAGGCCGGAGGCCCGGAGGACCCGCCGCCGCCTTTGTGTCGCCGGCCCCCGCCCCGCTGGACTGGCCCGGGCCGGGGCGGTTGGGCCGGCGCTGAAGGGGCTTGGCCGCCCGGGTCCACCCGTTCCCGGATCCGCCTCGCCGGCCCCCGCGCCCGCCCAACCCCTGCCCAGCCCCTCGGCTCCGCGAGTTTGGGTGAGAAGTGCGGCGGCTTTTCCCAGGGATGGAGTTTAGAGGACGCTAATCCTATGTGTGAGCGGCGGACCCCGCCCGGACTTCCCGGAGGCGCCCGGTTAGTGAGGCGACGGCGCCCACCCGCGTTCGCGGGCTCCCGGCCGCCACTCCCCGGAGCCGCCGGCCCGCCCCAGCCCCGCGCGTCGCCCGGGAGGGCGGGCTGCACTCCCTCCACGTACCTGGCTGGCAGAGCGTCTCCAGGGACAAAAGGTGCCCTGGGATCAAAGCCGAGCCCCCGCCCCCGCGGGGATGCTGCCCTCCGGAAGGAGGGGCGCTGCCCCCAAGGTACTCTCCCCGGGCACCCAGGGGGAGGTTCCATTTCAACCTCCGATGAAAAACACGGCCCTCCCGGGTACTTAGGAGGGTCTGAGGGTAAGTGCCAAGATGGAGAAAACACGCCGGCCCCTCACAGAGTATCTCCTGAGGAATGAGAACTATCTAGCGGGCAAGGAGGGCTTCCTGCATAGCAGAGGGCACCCCCTCTGATCCCCCAAGGCCAAGGGAAAAAAATCACTCTTCACCGGCGCCCCTGAGCCAGGACAGGCTCCAGTGCAGCCACCCACCTTATAATTTTCCGCGGATGCTGCCTTGATCAGATGTCTGAAGATGACTTTAAGGACTACAAGCAAATCTCAAGGGAAAAATTCAGACCTTGAACAACAGCCTTGAACTTTTTCAGGGTTAGACAAGTACTCCCCAGTGGAGTTTCTGCCCTTATTTCTTCGTTCTTCTCTTAATTCTTCCATATTTTAACAGAACACAGACCTGCCGAAACGACACAGGATGGCTCTTTGCTTTTTGTTAGTTCTCCAACCTTCCAAACCCTTGGGGCACATGCAAGCACTGTGGAAAAACTTCATTAAACCAAGAGTCATCTTACTCCAGATCCCAGACTGCTTGGGAAGTTGGACATGCATATTCCCAAAGAGAACAGTGTTGGAAGAAGACAGGAGAGCAGCTCGCGGGTTGGGGGTAGAGGGTAGGAAAAGAGGGCAAGATGGAGGACTACCACTCGAGGCCAGCCTCCACTGCCTGTTAGGGCGGTAGAACCTAAGAGCCGGTCCAAGGCAACACAAAAGACAGTGAGGCTAGGTCTTTAATTGCAGCCAACGATCAAGAAAGCAACTCCATCAAATGACACTGTCTTTTTAAAAAAAATTTTTTTTTTTTGAGACAGAGTCTCGCTCTGTCGCCCAGGCTGGAGTGCAGTGGTGCGATCTTGGCTCACTGCAACCTCTGCCACCCGGGTTCAAGCAGTTCTCCCTGCCTCAGCCTCCTGAGTAGCCGGGATTACAGGCACGCGCTACCAGGCCCGGCTAATTTTTTTTTTTTTTCTTTTTTGGTAGAATCGAGGTTTTGCCATGTTGGCCACGTTGGTCTCGAATTCCTGACCTCAGTTGATCCGCCCATCTCAGCCTCCCAAAGTGCTGGGATTTCAAGCGTTAGCCACCGCACTCGACCAAATGACACTGTCTTAAATGATTTAATGTCTTAAATCGGGAAAGGAGAGTAAGAGAAAGCACTCAATGGAGTCAGAGGTGTCTTGCAGCCTAGCTCTTTCCACAGACAAGCCACATGGGCCTATCATCTAACCTTTTCAAACTTCTCCAACTGCTTCTGTGATGGAGGGATTTGGGCTAGAGGATCTTTTTATTTTATTTTATTTTATTTTATTTTGGTGACAGAGTCTCACACTGTCGCCCGGGCTGAAGTGCAGTGGCACAATCTCAGCTTGCTGCAACCTCTTTCTCCTGGGTTCATGCGATTCTCCCGCCTCAGCCTCCCAACTAGCTGGGATTACAGGCGCACACCACCACACCTGGCTTATTTTTTGTGTTTTTAGTAGAGACGGAGTTTCACTATGTTGGCCAGACTGGTCTCGAACTCCTGACCTCGTGATCCGCCCACCTCGGCCTCCCAAAGTGCTGTGATTACAGGCATGAGCCACCGCGCCTGGCCGATGATCCCATTTTTCAAAGTAGGCTGGGTGCGGTAGCTCACGCCTGTAATCCCAGCACTCTGGGAGGCTAAGGCGGGTGGATCACTTGAGGCCAGCAGTTCGAGACCAGCCTGGCCAACATGGTGAAACCCCGTGTCTACTAAAAATACAAAAATTAGCTCGGCATAGTGGTACGTACCTGTACTTTCAGCTACTTGGGAGGTTGAGACAGGAGAATTTTGCTTGAACCCAGGAGGCGGAGGTTGCAGTGAGCCAAGATGGCACCACTGCACTCCATTCTGGGTGACAGAGTGAGACCCTGTCTCAAAAATAATGATAATAAAATAAAAGTAATTATTTAAGGCTGGGAGCGGTGGCTCACGCCTGTAATCACAGCATTTTGGGAGGCCGAGGCGGTGGATCATGAGGTCAGGAGGTCGAGACCATCCTGTCTTAACACGGTGAAACCCTGTCTCTACTAAAAATACAAAAAAATTAGCCAGGCGTGGTGGCGGGCGCCTGTAGTCCCAGCTACTCGGGAGGCTAAGGCAGGAGAATCGCTTGAACCCAGGAGGCGGAGGTTGCAGTGAGCCGAGATCACACCACTGCACTCCAGCCTGGGTGACAGAGCGAGACTCCGTCTCAAAAAAAATAATTATTATTTAAAATAATCATTGGGCCTGGCGCGGTGGCTCACACCTGTAATCCTAGCACTTTGGGAGGCCAAGGCGGGTGGATCACGAGGTCAGGAGATTGAGATCCAGCCTGGCCAACATGGTGAAACCCCATCTCTGCTAAAAATATTTTTTAAATTAGCTGAGCGTGGTGGTGGGCACCTGTAATCCCAGCTAGTCGGGAGACTGAGGCAGGAGAATCGCTTGAACCTGGGAGTCGAAGGTTGCAGTGAGCCGAGGTCGTGCCACTGCAGTCCACCTGGCCAACACAGCAGGCCTCTCTCTAAAATAATAATTATTATTATTGTTATTCTTGACAGGCCAGTGTAGAACAGGTGGGGCATCTGTGGTATGACAGAACTGGGTTCCAATTCTGTCCCTTCACCTGTCCCAGGTTCCTCATCTGAAAACTGTGACCCAGTAAACCTAATTTCATGAGCAGCTTTCATTAAAATTGAAATAATGTTGGAAAATGCCTTGTAACCGTGCTTGATATAGAGTAGTTACTTAGCCAGTTATTTCCTCTCTTCTTCCAATTCCTAACAAAATGGAAAAACGTTTGGTTGCTAGGAAAGAGCTCTAAGGGGATTTTGTTGTTGTTTGAGACAAAGTTTGGCTCTATCGCCCAGGATGGAGTGCAATGGCACAATCTCTGCTCACTGCAACCTCCGCCATAGACAGGAGCCAAGCATAGTGGCGTGCACCTGTCTGTAGTTCCAGCCTCTTAGGAGGCTGAGGCAGGAGGGTTGCTTGAGGCCAGGAGTTTGAGTCTAGCTTGGGCAATATATTGAAACCTTGTCTCTTAAAAAAAAAAAAAAAAGAGGCCAGGTGTAGTGGCTCACGCCTGTAATCCCAGCACATTGGGAGGCCGAGGCAGTGGATCACTTGACCCCAGGAGTTGGAGACCAGCCTGGGCAACATGCAAACTTCCGTCTTCTAGGCCGGGCGCGGTGGCTCAACACCTGTAATACCAGCACTTTGGTAGGCCGAGGCGGGCAGATCACGAGGTCAGGAGATCGAGACCATCCTGGCTAAGGTGAAACCCAGTCTCTACTAAAAATAAAAAAAAAATTAGCCGGGTGTGGTGGCTGGCACCTGTAGTCCCGGCTACTTGGGAGGCTGAGGCAGGAGAATGGCATGAACCCAGGAGGTGGAGCTTGCAGTAAGCCGAGACCGCACCACTGCACTCCAGCCCAGGCAACAGAGCTAGACGCCCTCTCAAATAAAAGTAAATAAATAAATAAAATTATGTCATTAAAAAAAAATACAGGGCCGGGCGCGGTGGCTCATGCTTGTAATCCCAGCACTTTGGGAGGGTGAAGCGGGTGAATCACGAGGTCAGGAGATGGAGAGCATCCTGGCTAACACAGTGAAACCCCGTCTCTACTAAAAATACAAAAAATTAGCCGGGCAAGGCAGCGTGTGTCTGTAGTCCCAGCTGCTGGGGAGGCTGAGGCAGGAGAATGGCATGAACCCAGGAGGCAGAGCTTGCAGTGAGCCAAGATCCCGCCACTGCACTCCAGCCTGGGCGACAGAGCGAGACTCGGTCTCAAAAAATAATAATTAACAAAAAAAAATACAAAAGTTAGATGCGCATGTTGCCATATGCTCGTGGTCCCAGCTACTCGGCAAGCTGAGGTTGGGAGATCACTTGAGCCCAGAAGGTGGAGGTTGCAGTGAGCTGAGAACCCACCATTGTACTCCAGCCTGCGTGTCAGTGAGATTCTGTCTCAAAAAAAAGAAAAGAAAAAAAATCTAGGCTATGCTCCCTAGTATGGGAAATCTAGTCTAGTCATTTGGCAGAATCAGGCTTTGCGGGCCATATTGTCTCTGTCGTAACTACCAACTCTGCTGGTTAAAAGGGAAGTAGCCACAAACAATGTCTGAATGATGGATTATGGCTGTGTTCCAATAAAACTTTATTTGCAAAAACAGGTTGCTGGTTGCAAGGTAGTTTTCCAACCTCTACGTGATTCTCAGACTTTAGGTTGCATCATAATCACCTGGAGGGCTTGTTCAAACGCAGATTGCTGGGCCCCACCCCCAGAATTTTTTATTCAGCCAGTCTGGGGTGGGGCTGATATTTGTATGTCTAACAACTTTCCAGGTGAGGCTGGTTGATGATGGTCTGGAAACCACTTTGAAAACCTCTGAAGCTTTTCTCAACTCCCTTTGTGTACCTAAAACACTTTATCCCTACTGTAGATGTAGTATTTAGCGTGTTATATTAGTTTAGTGATTGGTGTGTGGGTCTCTGGGAGCCTTTCTGAATCACCTCCCTAGCCTAGTGCCTGACAATAGCAATTTGCTCCCCATTCATTGACTGAACTGAAACCAGAGGGTCATGGTCATCATCATTGTTCCAAGCCATAGATAGAAGATGAAGTCACCACCCCCGATCTCAGAGCTCATCAGAGTAGAGCTTGGGCTGGACTATGCCCTTCTCTGCAGTGAGCAGTTTTCTCTGTGGAGCTCTGCAACCTGGAGCCAGCCCTGCCTGGGGTAAGAGGAAAAAGGACTCCTTCCCCCCAGCCCCACAGCCTGTACGCAAACACACCAGGAGACATGACCTGCTCAGAGGAGACCTGGAACCAAGGGAATAAAATGAGAGTGGGTTGGGGGCTTGGCTGTTTGTTATTTTTTTGCTTGTAAGTGGACAATTTGTGGTGTGGTGTGTGAATTTGGGGTCTTAAATCCAGATAGCTGTCTGCTGTGGACAGCCACTGTTTCTGAATTACAGGGCATTTCAAGTGACCTGTGGTCAGGATGTTTTCTCTCAGATCAGGCAAAATCAATTGGTCCTGATAATAACCAGGGGAGTTGTACTTTCCCTATCTTGAGTAGAAGACACAGCTCCCAGGTCCACCTGTCTCTCCTGACTGCCCACCTCCTGGCTTTTTTTTTTTTTTTGAGACGGGGTCTTGCTCCGTCGCCTAGGCTGGAGTGCAGTGGTGCGATCTCAGCTCACTGCAACCTGGGCCTCCTGGATTCAAGAGATTCTCCTGCTTCAGCCTAGCAAGGAGCTGGGATTACAGACGCGTGCCACCTCGCCCAGCTAATTTTTTTTATTTTTAGTAGAGACGGGGTTTCACCGTGTTAGCCAGGATGCTCTCGATCTCCCGACCTCGTGATCCACCCACCTTGGCCTCCCAAAGTGCTGGGATTACAGGCATGAGCCACCGTGCCCGGCCAGCCTCCTGGCTTTTATCCTGGGGGCACTGCAAGTAGAGCCAGGCATGTGGCCCATGCATCCTTCCCAGCCTCTCTTTCCTGCTGGGCATGGAGGAGGAGGCACTGCCAGGAGCTCCCCACAGACAGGCGCTGCTTACTAATGGGTTGGCTGCAAACTGTAGGCATAACAGTTACCTTCCTCTTCACGACCCCTAGGCCTGACGAGGCTTACACAGGAATTTCTTTGATTTGTGAAGTCTTAAGACTATACTGCTGGGCGCGGTGGCTCACGCCTGTAATCCCAGCACTTTGGGAGGCTGAGGCAGGCGGATCACGAGGTCAGGAGATCAAGACCATCCTGGCTAACACGGTGAAACCCCGTCTCTACTAAAAACACAAAAAATTAGCCGGACATGGTGGGGGGGCGCCTGTAGTCCCAGCTACTTGGGAGGCTGAGGCAGGAGAATGGCACGAACCCAGGAGGCAGAACTTGCAGTGAGCCGAAATCACACCACTGCACTCTGCACTCCAGCCTAGGCGACAGAGTAAGACTCTGTCTAAAAAAAAAAAAAAAAAAAAAAAAAAAAAGACTATACTACCTAATCTTCCATGCCTCGCTCTTTCCACGTTAATAGACAAAACCAGGAAAAAGGACTGCTCCCCCTCCTGCTCTTGACTGGGCTCCATAAGAACTGCCAAAAGGCCAGGCAGTATTTGCTACTCTTCTGGGGTTCACTTCTGAAAGGTGCGACCCTGCAACCTAGAGCACAGGGAAGTTAGGACAGCAGAGGAGCCGGGCCGAGCCGACGCTGGCTTAGAACTCTTTCTGATACTCCCTGTTCCCGCCAGCTCGTTAGCCCAGCCTGCCAATCAGTTTTGCATCAATAAACTTTATGTTCTGAGGTTGGCCAGATGAATGAGAGGAGAGCAGCTAAAGACTGATCTCTGACCTTGGCACATAAACAGCCTCCAGATTGGACTTGACAGTTAATAAAGGAAAGGCCCTGCAATTCTCTGATGCCTTTTTGCCTTAATTAGATTGAGCATTCAAAGGCTATGGGGAAATCTTCCATTTGAAGAGAAAAACCTCACAAGACAGGAAGTCACTTCACTCATTCATTCTTTCAGACTGTCAATCATTCGGTCTACAGTCACTGGCATTTGTCAAATGCCCTATTACCTGTGCTCAGCACTATGCTAACTGCTTTTGAGTCGAGTGGCTGCAAGAATTCCAGAAGTCCATGCCGTGCTCTTCTGGAAGACTGCACAGCCAGGCAGTCAAGAGCACAAGCTTCAGTTTAACATATCTGAGCTCAAATCCTGATTCTGCCATGTGACTTTTGGCAAGTTACTTAAACTCTCTGCCTTTAGTTTCCTCTTGGAGTAAATAATACCAACCTCCACAGGCTGTCATCAAGGCCAAATGAGACCATCTGTGTAAAGTGGGCAGCACAGAGCCTGGTGCTTGGCAGATGCCTGGTGGCCATGAACATGACAGTGCCTGCACCTGGCTGAACTGTCAGGCCGAGAAGCTTCCCTTCCTTCCCTCTCTCCCCTCCCCCATTCCTGGCATGCTGCCAGTCACTGGGGAGCTGGTGATGACTCACAATCCCTGCCCTCAGTGATATTATAAATCTATTGTTGGCCGAGCACTGTGGCACAACGCTTGTAATCCCAGCACTTTGGGAGGCTGAGGCAGAAGGATCACTTGAGGCCAGAAGTTTGAGACCAGCCTGGGCAACATACCAAGATCCCGTCTCTACCGAAAATTTAAAAATTAGCCAGGCATGGTGGTGTGCACCTGTAGTCCTAGCTACTTGGGAGTTGGGAGGCTAAGGCAGAAGGATCGTTTGAGCCTCGCAGTTCAGGGTTACGGCCTGGGTGAAAGAGGGAGACCCTGTCCCTTTAAAAATAAAAATAAAAAAAAACTATTGGCCAGGCACTATTGGCTCATGCCTGTAATACCAGGACTTTGGGAGGCTGAGGCAGGTGGATCACTTGAGGCCTGGAGTTCAAGACCAGCCTGGCCAACAGGGTGAAACCCTGTCTCTACTAATAATACAAAAAATTAGCCAGGCGTGGTGGCACATGCCTATAATCCCAGCTACTCAGGAGGCTGAGGCAGGAGAATTGCTTGAACCTGGGAGGCAGAAGTTGCAGTGAGCCGAGATCACACTGCTGTACTCCAGCATGGACAACAGTGGGAGACTCCCTCTCAAACGTGCACACACACACACACACACACACACACACACACACACACACCAAAAAACAGGACGGCCGGGCACAGTGGCTCATGCCTGTAATCCCAGCACTTTGGGAGGCCAAGGTGGGCAGATCATGAGGTCAGGAGTTTGAGACCAGCCTGGCCAATATGGTGAAACCCCGACTCTATTAAAAATACAAAAATTAGCCAGGCATCATGGCACGTGCCAATAGTCCCAGCTACTTGGGAGGCTGAGGCAGAAAAATCGCTTGAACCTGGGAGGTGGGAGGTTGCAGTGAGCGGAGATCGTGCCACTGCACTCCAGCCTGGGCAACAGAGTGAGACTCAGTCTCAAAAAAAAAAAAAAAAAAAATTCCCTGAACCCTTTCATGCTATATTTGCTCGCACATACAGGTTTCTTCAGTGTTAACCGTGTTCATCACATTGATGTGCTGTTTCACTTCATGCTGTGTGATGTGAACTTCGGCCAGAGCAAGGAGAAAGCAGTATATACTCTGAAAAGGACCCCGCACCGTGTTCACCCAAACAGCACCTCGTCATGCATCTCAGAGCCCTCGGCCTCTGGGCCACCTCCTCACTCCCCCAGGGGTGCTCTGAAGCCTTAAACAGTCTGCTTTTCTTTTTCTTTTCTTTCTTTCTTTCTTTTTTTTTTTTTAACAGAGTCTCGCTCTTGTTGCCCAGGCTGGAGTGCAGTGGTGTGATCTTGGCTCACCACAACCTCTGCCTCCCGGGTTCAAGCGATTCTCCTGCCTCAGCCTCCCGAGTAGCTGGGATTACAAGCATGCGCCAGGGATTACACGCCTGGCTAATTTTGTAGTTTTAGTAGAGATGGGGTTTCTCCATGTTGGTCAGGCTGGTCTCCAACTCCCGACCTCAGGTGATCCACCTGCCTCAGCCTCCCAAAGTGCTGGGATTACAGGTGTGAGCCACCACACCCGCCTCTCTTTTTTTTTCTTTTTTCTTTCTCTTTTTTTTTTTTTTTTTTTGAGAAGGATTCTCGCTCTGTCACCCAGACTGGAGTGCAGTGGCGAGATCTGGGCTCACTGCAACCTCCACCTCCCGGGTTCAGGCGATTCTCCTGCCTCAGCCCTCTGAGTAGCTGAGACTACAGGTGCCCACCACCACGCCCACCTAATTTTTTGTATTTTTAGTAAAGACGGAGTTTCACCGTGTTAGCCGGATGGTCTCACTCTCCTAACCTCATGATGTGCCTGCCTCGGCCTCCCAAAGTGCTGGGATTATAGGCGTGAGCCACCATGCCTGGCCAGCAGTCTGCCTTTCACGTGCCTCTTTGTATTTATTGGTTTTTTTGTTTTTTTTTTTGGAGACAGAGTCTCAGTCTGTCGCTCAGGATGCTGGAGTGCAGTGGCACAATCTTGGCTCACTGCAGTCTCTGCCTCCCAGGTTCAAGCAATTCTCCTGCCTTGGCCTCCTGAGTAGCTGGGACTACAGGCACACGCCACCACACCCGGCTAATTTTTGTATTTTTATTAGATACAGGGTTTCGCCATATTGGTCATGCTGGTCTCGAACTCCTGACCTCAGGTGATCTGCCCACCTCAACCTCCCCAAGTGCTGGGATTACAGGCATGAGCCACCATGCCTGGCCTTCTTGTATTTATTGGTTTTAATCCTCAATTAGAAACGTCTTAGGCAATTGTCTAGTTTTTACTAGCTATCTTTAATTCTTTTTTTTTTTTTAAGTGAAATGAAGTTTATTAAGTAAGTAAAGGAATAAAAGAATGGCTACTCTGCCAGGTGCAGTGGCTCACGCCGGTAATCCCAGCACTTTGGGAGGCCAAGGCGGGTGGATCACTAGGTTAGGAGTTCAAGACAAGCCTGGCCAAGATGGTGAAACCTCGTCTCTGCTAAAAATACAAAAATTAGCCAGACGTGGTAGTGGCGCATGCCTGTAATCCCAGCTACATGGGAGGCTGAGGCAGAGAATCGCTTGAACCTGGGAGGCGGAGGTTGCAGTAAGCCGAGATCGCGCTATTGCACTCCAGCCTGGGTGACAAGAGCAAAACTCCGTCTCAAAAAAAAAAAAAAAAAAAGGAATGGTTACTCCATAGGCAGAGCAGCCACTATCCTTAATTCTTAAATAACCCAGGCTCGTGCTATTCAGTATATGCTTCCCATCACTTCCTAAAGGGACCATGAGCGTACTGGAGTTCAGAGTCCTTTGAGATCTCCTAGTTCAATCTCCTCATGTTACAGATGGAGAAACTGAGTCTTGGAGGTGTGGGGACTTAATCTTTCCTCTTGTCTCCCTCCCTAAACCAATAAACAATCTTCACCCAGATCGTCAACACAAACCCACAAATCCCACCAGTTTTTCCCTGCGGGAACCTCCCCATTGCTCTCCTGGCCCTTCTTAGCAGAGAGCCCCATATCCTACGTAGAGTACAGAGGGGAAGTCATCAGACAGGAAAGCCCCCCACCAAGTTGCCCATCTGACGTGTGGCTGCCCCACACTGGGCAAAGGCCACCCTCCAGGCCCTCACTCTGGGCCATCCACCTGCTCCTCCAGGATTCTGCCCTGCACCTCTCACCCCTGGCTGACATAATCACCTTCTCCTCCTCCCTTCCATGAGCATTGCTTTCAACACACATTTATGCTCCCATTCTTCAAAAAATTTCTCAATTGTATGAAACTTTCTCTTGACCCTGCTAGTCACCCTTCCTTTTTGTAATTAAAATTTAAAAAAAATTTTTTTTGAGGCGGAGTCTCACTGTCGCCCAGGCTGGAGTGCAGTGGCCCGATCTTGGTTCACTACACGCTCTGCCTCCCGGGTTCACACCATTCTCCTGCCTCAGCCTCCCGAGTAGCTGGGACTACAGGCGCCCACCACCATGCCCAGCTAATTTTTTGTATTTTTAGTAGAGACGGGGTTTCACTGTGTTAGGATGGTCTCAATCTCCTGACCTCATGATCTGCCTGCCTCGGCCTCTCAAACTGCTGGGATTACAGGCGTGAGCCACCGCGCCTGGCCTCTTTTTTTTTTTTTTTTTTTTTTTTTGAGACAGATTCTCGCTCTGTTGCCGAGGCTGGAGTGCAATGGTGTGATCCTGGCTCGCCGCAACCTCCACCTCCTGGGTTCAAGCTATTCTCCTGCCTCAGCCTCCTGAGTAGCTGGGATTACAGGCACCTGCCACCACGCCCGGCTAATTTTTGTATTTTTATTAGAGACAGGGTTTCACCATGCTGGCCAGGCTGGTCTTGAACTCCCGACCTCAGGTGATCCGCCCACCTCGGCCTCCCAAAGTGCTGGGATTACAGGCGTGAGCCACCGTGCCCGGCAAGCCCGGCTAATTTTTGTATTTTTAGTAGAGATGGGGTTTCACCATGTTGGCCAGGCTGGTCTTGAACTCTTGACCTCAAGTGATCTGCCGGCCTCGACCTTCCAAAGTGCTGGGATGACAGGCGTAAGCCACCGCACCCAACTTAGTTTTTTTTTGGAGACAGGTTCTCAGTCTGTCATCTAGTCTGGAGTGCAATGGCAAGATCTAGCTCACTGCAACCTCCGCCTCCTGTGTTCAAGCTACTCTCCTGCCTCAGCCTCCGGAGTAGCTGGGATTACAGGCAGGCGCCCGCCACCACGCCCAGCTAATTTATTTATTTATTTATTTAAATTTTTTGAGACGGAGTTTTGCTCTTGTTGCCCAGGCTGGAGTGCAATGGCGCAATCTCAGCTCACTGCAACCTCCGCCTCCTGGGTTTCAAGTGATTCTCCTGGCTCAGCCTCCCACGTAGCTGGGATTACAGGCATGCACCACCACACCCGGCTAATTTTTTGTATTTTTAGTAGAGACGGGGTTTCACCATGTCAGCCAGGCTGGTCTTGAACTCCTGACCTCAGGTGATCCACCCGCCTCGGCCTCCCAAAGTGCTGGGATTACAGGAGTGAGCCACTGCACCCGGCTGCACCCAACTTTGTAAGGAAATAATTAAGCTGAAAGAGGAGTTGAAAAAATATTAAAATATTCTTCACCTAGATTTTTCCAATTAGCATTTTGCCATCTGTGCTTTCTCTGTGTATGGGGTATGTGTTTAATTTTTTGTTATTGTTGGAGCACTGGAAAGTTTCAAGTATCTACTCTTTCTGCCCTAAATACTACAATGTGTGTCTCCTACAGTTTCTCTCTTACCACACACCATTATCACACACAACAAATTCAGAGCTGCTATATATTATCTAATACAGGCCAGGCGTGGTGGCTCACGCCTGTAATCCCAGCACTTTAGGAGGCTGAGGCTGGAGAATCACTTCCTGAGCCCAGGAAGTTGAGGCTGCAGTGAGCTCCCTGCACTCCATCCTGCATGCCAGAGTGAGACCTTGTCTCAACAAAAAAAGGTATTATCTAATATGGAGTCCATTTTCCAATTTCCCCATTTGCCCCCAAAATGTCCTATATAGCTATTTTTTTAAGTATAAATATTTTTTATTTCAGAGATAGGGTCTTGCTCTGTCACCCAGGCTGGAATGCAGTGGTGCAATTGTAGCTCACCCACAGCCTCAACGTCCTGGGCTCAAGCCATCCTCCTGCCTCGGCCTCCGAGTAGCTGGGACTATACCCGGCTCATAGCTGTTTTTTAATCCAGAGCCCAGGCAGGGATGAGATGAGGCCAGGCACTGGTGATCATGCTGTTTTACTCTTCCTTCCCATCCCAATTTGGCTTCCAGATTCCTCCCTCCACCCAGAGGGCTCTGGTCAAAGTCAGGAGCCACTTGCATTACCAGATCTAAAGGATCCTTCTCGCTGGGCGCGGTGGCTCACGCCTGTAATGCCAGCATTTTGGGAGGGCGGAACACCTGAGGTCAGGAGTTAGAGACCAGCCTGGCCAACATGGCGAAACCCCATCTCCACTAAAAATGCAAAAATTAACTGGGCATGGTGGGCGCCTGTAATCCCAGCTATTCAGGAGGCTGAGGTAGGAGAATCACTTGAATCTGGGAGGTGGAGGTTGCAGTGGGCTGAGATGGCACCATTGCACTCCAGCCTGGCCAACAAGAGTGAAACTCCATCTCAAAAAAGAAAAAAAAAAGAAAGAAAGAATCCTTCTCTATCTTGTCTTCATTCTCTGTCTTCAGCAGGGACTCAACAAGGGCAGTTTCCTCTGAGTTTCTGGTTCACAGCACATTCCCATTTCCTCCCTAACTCAGAGATTTGTGGCTTCAAACACCAGTTGTGCACTGATGCCACCCACACTTCCAGCATCCAGGGGCGTCCAGCCCTGACCTGTGTCCCCCACTCCAGACTGACATGTTCCACTGCCTTCTCCACACTTCCATGTGTGTGTGCCATGGGTACCTCAATGGGTCTGAACAGAAGTCTTCATGTCTTCCCTTCTTCCCCAGCTCAGGAGCAGAACAGCACGACCATCACCACCATTTATCCTTGATAACAGCCTTTCCTTTCCCCCTCCAGCCCCTCCACCCACAGGTCCTCTTGGACCCACCTGTCTCCATCCTCACCTACATCGCTGAAGCCTGGCCCCCCATTCAGAGTCCAGAAGTATCCAGGGCCCTCCATGTGGCTCTCAGCTCTTGCCCCACCTCCACAGTACACTTTCCACAGTGCTAATCTCTTTAAAATGTAAATCAGATCTGGTCACTCCCTCCCTTAAAACCCTTTCATAGCTGCTCATTGGAGTGAAAAAAAAATCTCAGCTCCTTCTGGCTTATAAGGCCCAGGTGGTCCAACCCTGCCTCTATCTCATCTCCAGCCTCCTCCACCATTCTTGCCGGGGACCCTCCGGGGCCTGCCTTTAGCTGCTTGAATGCAGATATTTTCCTGTCTGGGGGCTTTTATACTTCCTTTCACCCTGGCCTGCCATGCTGTCACCCTGGAATATCCCCTGGCTGCCTCCCCTCCACCTTCCTGGCCTCCCAGAGCTCCCCAGCGCTTACTATCCAGATCCTGCTGCCTGGAGCGGGCTGTCCTCTCCATCTGGGGTCCGGGGCAGGGGCTCTGACTGGCTCAGCTCAGGACACATGCATGGCCTTCTCCATTCACCTGGACAAGGGCGGGGGTAAGGGATCATCATTTGGTCTAGATTCATTCTCATAATATTCATTATTATTATATGCATATTTTCTTCTGATTTTAAAATTAATTAAAACAATTTCCAGGGCCCCTAACAGTGTCATAGGCCTGATGGAGCAGCGGAACCTGCCTGAGGGTAAAGCTGAAGTTCCTCAGAAACCAGACGGCCTTACAGCCTCTTCACTGCTCTTTGAGATGGAAGAGAAGAAATGCAGATGAGTGCTTTCTGCTACAAATCTCATCTCTCCAAGCTGAAGTTGCCAAGGAACATGCCATCACTGTAACTGCTAAAAACACAACGTATAATGAAATGCATCTTCTACAAATGAATCTGTGAATACAGAATAGCCTACAGAGGTTGACAGTTTGATTCTGTTCTCTGCAAGGCATTAGAATTTCACTATGGGGGCCACTAGGACTGCTCTATTAATTAATTATGTGTATTCTATTGTTTTTTGTTGGTTTTTTTTTTCAGATGGAGTCTCACTTTGTCGCCCAGGCTGGAGTGCAGTGGCTCTATCTCAGCTCACTGCAACCTCCCAGGTTCAGGCAATTCTCCAGCTTCAGCATCCCGAATAGCTGAGACTGTAGGCGCTCACCACCACACCCAGCTAATTTTTGTGTTTTTTTTTTTTGTTTTTGAGAGATGGAGTCTTGCTCTGTCGCCCTGGCTGGAGTGCAGTGGCGCATGATCTCAGTTCACTGCGACCTCTACCCCCCGGGTTCAAGCAATTCTCCTGCCTCAGCTTCCCAAGTAGCTGGGACCGCAGGCGTGCACCACCACACCCAGATAATTTTTGTAATTTTTTTTTTTTTGAGATGGAGTCTCACTCTCTCGCCCAGGCTGGAGAGCAGTGGCATGATCTCGGCTCACTGCAAGCTCCGCCACCCGGGTTCACGCCATTCTCCTGCCTCAGCCTCCCAAGTAGCTGGGACTACAGATGCACACCACCATGCCTGGCTAATTTTTTGTATTTTTAGTAGAGACGGGGTTTCATCGTGTTAGCCAGGATGGTCCCAATCTCCTGACCTCGTGATCCACCCGCCTCAGCCTCCCAAAGTGCTGGGATTACAGGCGTGAGCCACCGCTCCCGGCCAATTTTTGTAATTTTTTAGTAGAGACAGGGTTTCACTGTATGTTGGCCAGGATGGTCTCCAACTCCTGACCTCAGATGATCTGCTCGCCTCGGCCTCCCAAAGTGCTGGGATTACAGGTGTGAGCCACTGCGCCTGGCCTGTTCTATCGTTTGTTTTGTTTGTTTTTAAGAGGGAGTCTTGCTGTGTTGCCAGGCTGGAGTGCAGTGGTGCAATCTTGGCTCACTGCAACCTCTGCCTCCTGGGTTCAAGCGATTCTCCTGCCTCAGCCTCCTGAGTAGCCAGGATTACAGACGTGTACCACCACGCCCAGTTAATTTTTTGTATTTTTGGTAGAGATAGGATTTCACCATGTTGGCCAGGCTGGTCTTGAACTCTTGACCTCAAGTGATCTACCCACTTCAGCCTCCCAAAGTGCTGGGATTACAGGCGTGAGCCACTGTGCCTGGCCCTATTCTATTGTTTATACTCAATTTTCAGTCGAAGAAAACAGCATGAGAGAACTTTAACTTGGCCAAGATGGCAGAGAGAACAAATGGTGACCCCAGGGTTTCAACCCCAGCCCCTGCTCTTAGGGGTTGCTTTGGAGAGATTGGGTTTGAGGTGCCTGGGGCCCTGCTAGGGGAGAGATATGTCTAGGAGTTATTTAGATAAACTAGTTCAAGGCTCAAGAGAGATCCTTAGCTCGTGACATAGATTTGGGAATTATTCTTGTATTGGTAGCACTTAGAGATTCAAAGTGGATCAGCTCATTCACCCTTGTCATCTTGTGGGGCCTAGAATTGTTTCCACACGTCTAAACCATCCTGATGCAGCCTCCTCCCCATGACAGGCTTGCTCCCTGGCTGGCTCTTTTGTCCTGCTCTTTCCCAGGAATGCGTGGCTTAGAAGGAACACTTAGGGAGCCCCTCCTTTCTGCAGGTTTTGAGGTCCATCGCCAGCCCTGCTGTTTCCTGCTGGATCGAGTGGCAAAACTTGTCTTTCCTCCCTTTGGTGCCTGACACTCTCAGGGACATGGCTTGTAGGTGACATTCTAAGCACTTGCCCACCCAATAAATATTTACTGAGCACCTTCATGTGCCAGGCAAATCTAGGTACTGAGGATACAACTGTGAGCAAAATCAACCAGGTCCCCGGACCCAAGGGGCAAGCCCATAGTCTAGAGGCAGGAGGCAGAAGTGAGCAGGAACAAGGATGCTGCTAAGGAGTCATAAGAAATGCAAAGCCAGGCACAGTGGCTCACGCCTGTAATCCCCGCACTTCCGGAGGCTGAGGCGGGTGGATTACCTGAGGTCAGGCGTTCAAGACCAGCCTGACCAACATGGTGAAACCCCATCTCTACTAAAAATACAAAAATTAATCGGGCGTGGTGACAGGTGCCTGTGATCCTGGCTACTTGGGAGGCTGAGGCAGGAGAATCTTGAACCTGGGAGGCGGTTGCAGTGAGTCAAGATTGTGCCATTGCACTCCAGCCTGGGCAACAAAAGTGAAACTCCGTCTTAAGGAAGAAAGGAAGGAAGGAAGGAAGAGAAGGAAGGAGGGAGGGGAGGAAGGAAGGGAAAAGAGGAAGGAAGGAAAAGAAAGAGAGAGGAGAAAGAAAGAAAGAAAGAGAGAGGGAGAGAGACAATCAAGAAAGAAAGACAAACCCTGGGACGCTGTGGGACCGAGGGGTCGTGGGAGGTCAGGGAACGACTGTTAGACGGGCAAGGCCTGAGGGTATAGGATTGGCATGTCTAGAAGGCCTGCTTGAAGGTGCCCAGGGGTCGAGGAGAGTGGAGAGGGGCTTAGAAAGGGAGGAGGATCAGAAGGGAGGGGAATGTCCTCCCGGCATACTACAAATGCAAACATTAGCCAAACGTGGTGGCGGGTGCCTGTAATCCCAGCTACTCGGGAGGCTTAGGTAGGAGAATCGCTTGAACCCAGGAAGAGGAGGTTGCAGTGAACCAAGATTGTGCAGTGATCTTCGTCTAAAAAAAAAAAAAGTCAAGAGAGCTGGGCACAGTGGCTTACGGCTCACACCTATAATCCCAGCACTTTGGGAGGCAGAGGTGGGAGGATCACTAGAGCCCAGGACTTTGAGACCAGCCTAAGCAACATGGTGAGACCGCACGCAGTCTCTTGTCTCTTAAAAAACTTAGACAGGCATGGTGGCACACACTTGTAATTCCAGTTACTTGGGAGGCTCAGGCGGGGAGGACTGCTTGAGCCCAGAAGTTCAAAATTAAAATTGCAGTGACCTATGACTGTGCCACTGCACCTCCAGTCTGGGTAACAGAGCCAGACTCTGTCAAAAGAAAGAAAGAAAAGAAAGACAAGAAAAAAAAGAAAAGAAAGAAGGAAGGAAAAAAAAAAGGCAAGAGCAGACAGCTCTTTGTGAAGGAGAGGAAAAAGGAGGAAGAAGGAGCAAGAAAGAGGCAGCAGCAGGACTGGCTGGGTTCTTCGTGAGACCCAATGTAAAATGAAAATGCTGGGCCCCTCGTTAAAAATAATTATTATTAATTCTGGGCTGGGTGTAGTGGCTCACACCTATAATCCCAGCACTTTGGGTGGCCGAGGTGGGTGGAATCACTTGAGGTCAGGAGTTCAAGACCAGCCTGGCCAACATGGTGAAACCCCATCTCTACTAAAAATACAAAAATTAGGCTGGGTGTGGTGGCTCACGCCTGTAATCCCAGCACTTTGGGAGGCCAAGTCGGGTGGATCATGAGGTCAGGAGTTCGAGACCAGCCTGACCAACATGGTGAAACCCCATCTCTACTAAAAATACAAAAATTAGCCAGGCATGGTGGCGGGCACCTGTAATCCCAGCTATTCTGGAGGCTGAGGCAGGAGAACCACTTGAACCCAGGAGGCAGAGGTTGCAGTGAGCCAAGATTCTGCCACTGCACTCCAGCCTGGGTGACAAAACAAGACCCTGTCTCAAAACAAAACAAAACAAAACAAAAAAACCCAAAAATACAAAAATTAGCCAGGCGTAGTGGCGGGCACCTGTAGTCTCAGCTACTCGGGAGGCTGAGGCAGGAGAATTGCTTGAACCCAGGAGGCAGAGGTTGCAGTGAGCCCAGATCGCACCACTGCGCTCCAGTCTGGGTGACAGAGCGACACTCTGTCTCAAAAAAAAAAAGAAAAGAAAAGAAAAAAATGAATTCTTGCCGGGCTAATCCCAGCTACTCGGGAGACTGAGGCAGGAGAATCGCTTGAACCCAGGAGGCAGAGGTTGCAGTGAGCCGAGATCATGCTACTGCACTCCAGCCTGGGCAACAGAGTGAGACTGGAGACTCTGTCTCAAAAACAAACCAACCAACCAACCGGAAAAAAAAAAAAAAAGGAAAAGAAAGAAGCAAGGAGAAGGAATCTCAAGACAGCAATTGCAGGGCATGAAATCAAGCGTGGGCCCTTCTGCAACTGAGCAGGCCACAGCCTGTGAAGCCTCCACGGAACCCCTTGAACATGAGGGATTAGAATCCCAGCACCCCCTGCCCAGGCGCGGTGGCTCACGCCTGTAATCCCAGCACTTTGGGAGGCCAAGGTGGGCGGATCACGAGGTCAGGAGATCGAGACCATCCTGGCTAACACGGTGAAACCCCTTCTCTACTAAAAATTCAAAAAATTAGCCGGGCGTGGTAGCTGTAGTTCCAGCTACTGGTTGGGGGTTGGGAGGCTGAGGCAGCAGAATGGCGTGAACCCGGGAGGCGGAGGTTGCAGTAAACCGAGATCGCGCCATTGCACTCCAGTCTGGGCGACAGAGCAAGACTCCATCTCAAAAAAAAAAAAAAAAAAAAAAATCCCAGCTCCCCCTTCACCCCAGGAGGACCTGGCCCATAGGGTAAAGATGGGGGATTTCAGTTTTCTATTTTGATGAAAATGTTGCAATTTGGACAGTGTTGCAACACAAACACAAATTATGTAGCCAGTTGCATGGACTGTTGATAGTTGTTTTACTAAAACTTCTGATAGCTGCAGGGTTTTCTTCTCCTGGGGAGGTTTGGGGTGAGGGTGCCTTCTCCTCCAGCCCGCAGCAGGGTTAACATCTGAGCAGGTGTAACATTTTCCTGGACTGGCATCACTGGTTGGAGCCAAAAATGTCTAAACCCGTATATTATGTCAGATATCATTTAAATCAAACTACCTCTCCCTAATCTAAGGCTAATTACCTCACGATTAACACTGGTCATCTGACCTTGGTAAACCATTTACCCTCCCTGAACTTCGGATTTCCTCATCTGTAAAATGGAGATAATTACGCTTATATTCACATAGGCAATGTGAGGATTAAATATATGAAAAGCTATTTAAAGAGTCTTAAGGTCTGGACAAACGCCAGCTCGTGTTAGTGCCAACCTGCTCAGCAGTTGCTTCGTTGGTGCGATGGGGCATCTCGGAACGGGACGGCTTGACAGAAACCTCTCTTGGTGCCATGCAATCTCTGGGCTCAGCTGTATTCTGAACAATCAACTTCTGATCTAAATTCAGTTTCTCAAGTAGCTTCCCTTCCTGGGGAGATCCCCTCAGCTTGTCAGTTACGTTTCAGATTACAGATCAATAATCTTGCTTTAGGAGCACGATTAGTGGGGTGGGGAAAAATAAAGAAAAGCAAAATAATCTTGCTGTATAATCCAGACCCTTGTGAGCGGGGCTGACCTCACAGCTTTAACAGTTCCTAAATGAACTGAGAAGAACCCAGACCCTGCACACGAGGGTTGATTGGAAGCCGGCAATCATTCTCACTCATTTCTCAGTACCTAATGCACTTGGGTAGTACTCATTAAAGTGTGCTAGGGCTGGGTGTGGTGGCTCAGGCCTGTAATCCAAGCACTTTGGGAGGCCAAGGCAGGAGGATCACTTGAGGCCAGGGGTTTGAGACCAGCATGGCCAGCATGGCCAAACCCTGTCTCTACAAAAAATACAAAAAAATTAGCCAAGTGTGGTAGCGCATGCCTGTAATCCCAGCTACTAGGGAGGCTGAGGCACGAGAATTGCTTGAACCCAGGAGGTTGAGGCTGCAGTGAGCCGAGATTGCACCACTGCACTCCAGCCTGGGTGACAGAGCGAGACTCTGTCTGAAAAAAAAAAAATGTGCTTGAGGCAGATACATTCATTACGAGAGTGAGCAATGGTACCAAGCTTAAGATTGATGATGCAGCGTTCCCCACACTGGGTGGGTGGAGAATCCACCATGAGCCTCAGGCCTTTGCACTGGCTGTTTCTCCCACAGAGAAGATGTTCCATGAGAGACGTGACCTTCTCCAGGAGGCCTTCCTTGTCCCCACTCCCAACCTCAGAGTGTGCCTTTTCCCTGATCCCTGCCACCTCTCTATTTTCCCTAGCTTGCTTGGTTCTTCCTGGCACATGCCCACGTGTTAGAGGATTTATGGGTTTATTGTTGGAATCTCCCCGTCCAAATTTGACAGCTCCAGGAAAGGTGTGACTGATGCGTTCACTCCTGTTTCCAGACCTAGTGCTCCAAGTCTTTGGCCCCAAAGGCATCCAGCTGGAACTTAAGATATTGTTTTGTTTTCATTGTATTTATCTTTAAAATACATTTTTATTTTTATTTATTTATTCTTAAATAGAGATGGGGCCTCACTATGTTGCCCAGGCTTGCCTCAAACTCCTCAAAGGGTTTAAGCCATCCTGGGTTCAAGTGATCCTCACACCTTGGCCCCCCAAAGTGTTAGGATTACAGGGGTTAGCCACTGCACATGGCCCACAAATACTTTCAATTCATGGCAACCAGTACTTGTTTTACTTTTATAGCAGTGATTTTAAAAAAATCCCTTAAAAATAAATTTAAGGCCGGGCACAGTGGCTCACGCTTGTAATCCCAGCACTTTGGGAGGCTGAGGTGGGCAGATCACGAGATCAAGAGATTGAGACCATCCTGGCCAACATGGTGAAACCCCGTCTCTACTAAAAATACAAAAAATTAGCCAGGCGTGGTGGCACGCACCTGTAGTCCCAGCTACCCAGGAGGCCGAGGCAGGAGAATCACTTGAACTGGGAGGCGGAGGTTGCAGTGAGCTGAGATCGTGCTACTGCACTCCAGCCTGGGTGACAGAGAAAGACTCCATCTCAAAAAATAATAATAAAAACAAATAAACACATTTAAGTAAAAATATAAATTTTTAAAAAATTTTTTTGTTTTTTGAGATAGAGTCTCACTCTGTCTGTCACTCAGGCTGGAGTGCAGTGGCACAATCTCACTGCAACCTCCGCCTCCTGGGTTCAAGCGATTCTCCTGCCTCAGCCTCCTCAGTAGCTGGGACTACAGGCAAGCACCACCCCCCCCCAGCTGATTTTTGTATTTTTTTTTTTTCTGTAGTAGAGATGGGGTTTCACTATGTTGGCCAAGCTGGTCTGGGCTCAGGTGATATGCCTGCTTTGGCCTCCAAAGTGCTGGGATTACAGGTGTGAGCCACTGCGCCTGGTCAAAAATATACATAATGTAAAAAGATTCAATAATGGTCTACTCGGATATCAATATTTGGGAAGATGAAATAAACCAGCTGAAGTCTAGGAAATCATGCTCTTACGGATGCCTTTTTGGGGATTCTGCCTGCCATTGTGGGAACTGCCTGCCTAGACACACACACATGCACATGCTGCACACCCATTTTACAGAGACATCAAACCTCAGGAGCTTGGTTACAGCTGCCTCCCACAAGTGCACTAAGGAGCAGAGAAGTGGTCCTTAAAGAGGCTGCAGGAGTGAGAGCAACCACACACCTCCCAGGGTGGGGTCCAGGAGGCGCCCTGTGCCCTTCTACTGTTGTTTTTTGTTTAAGCCACCTTGAGCTGTTGATATTTGCAACCTTGTATGATTTTTTTTAAGTTAAATACAAGCTGTGTATCCGGGGTGTCTGTGCAGTGGTGGGGGGCAGCGGGCAGGGTAGGAAGAAGCTATTCGGGCATTCAGTCCCCACTTACTGGGCACTGACCATGGGCCGCGGGCTTTGGTAGTCTGCTGTGTTTAGAATACAATGGTCCCCCAATAAACTCATTATTTATTTATTTATGTATGTATGTATTTGAGATGGAGTCTCACTCTTGTCACTCAGGCTGGAATGCAATGGCTTGATCTCGGCTCACTGTAACCTCCACCTTCCAGGTTGAAGCTATTCTCCTGCCTCAGTCTCCCGAGTAGCTGGCATTACAGATGTGCACCACTACGCCCAGCTAATTTTTGTATTTTCGGTAGAGACGGGGTTTCACCATGTTGTCCAGGCTGGTCTTGAACTCCTGACCTCAGGTGATCTGCCTGCTTTGGACCCCCAAAGTACTGGGATTACAGGCGTGACCCACCGTGCCTGGCCTTTTTTATTTTTTATTTTTTGAGGCAGAGTTTTGCTCTTGTCACTCAGGCTGGAGTGCAATAGCAGGATCTCAGCTCATTGCAACCTCCGCCTCCCGGGTTCAAGTGATTCTCTTGCCCCAGCTTCCCAAGTAGCTGGGATTACAGGCACTCACCACCATGCCTGGGTAATTTTCAGTAGAGACAGGGTTTCACCATGTTGGCCAGGCTGGTCTTGAATTCCTGACCTCAAGGGATCCACCTGTCTTGGCCTCCAAAGGGATTACAGGCATGAGCCACTGCACCCTGTCAGAAACTCATAATTTAATGAGCTCGATTGAATGTTGGCCTTAATCGTCCACAAAATATTGAGGGGTAATGAGAAGCAAGGCTGAAGAGGGTGACGGGGGCTTGTCAGTAGCAGGGCTCTTCAGGGCCCTCGCCATTCTGCTCACCCTTAGAGGGTTTCTCAAGCGTGCCACTGCTGATAAATGTTCCTCCCTCCCTCCCTTCTTTCCTTCTTCCCTTTCTCTCTCTCTTTTTTTTTTTTTTTTTTTTTTTGAAGGAGTCTCACTCTGTCACCCAGGCTGAAGTGCAGTGGCGTGATCTCGGCTCACTGAAACCTCAGCCTCCTGGGTTCAAGCTATTCTCCTGCCTCGGCTCCCCCGGTAGCTGGGATTACAGGCATGGGTCACCACACCCGGCTACTTTTCTTTTTCTTTCTTACCTTTCCTTCGTTCTCTCTCCCTCTCTCCTTCCTTCTTTCCTTTCTATCTCTCTCTCTTTTCTTTTCTTTTTTGAGACGGAGTCTTGCTGTGTCACCCAGCAGTGGTGTGATCACAGCTCACTGAAGCCTTGAACTTCTGGGCTCAAGCGATCCTCTCACCTCAGCCACCTGAGTAGCTAGGACTACACGCAGGCACCGCCACGCCTGGCTAATTTTTTATTTTTTTGTATGAACAGGATGCTGCTATGTTACCCAGGCTGGTCTTGAACTCCTGGACTCAAGCGATCCTCCCATCTTGGCCTCCCAAAGTGCTGGGATTACAGGTGTGAGCCACCACACCTGGCTATAACATTAAATTTTAATGGCAAAATCCAAATTCAGAGAATGGAAGTAGAGAATGAATGAATGAAGGCAGTGTGAGGCTCATCTGTGGGTAAAGATGCCAAGCTTGAGGCTGGAGTCAAGGCTACCATGTCTCAGGGTCCCCAGTGGGGTATTAAATCGGACTGTGGTGATTTGTCCTGAAACCTGGTCATGGAGTGTGTTTCACTGGCTACAGAGACAATGTCCAACCTTGAGCCAAGACACTTATTTAAATAAAATGAGGCAGTCATGATGCAATGTTTCAGTGTTTTCACCTGGGAAATTCACCATGAGCACTTCTTCTACCTCTTAACCAGGGTTCCCAAATCACAACCTGTAGACCAAAGTAGGAAGCACACACAAATCTGCAACGCATCAACGCAGCCAGGCTCTGAAAATAGCAGCTGCAGCCACAAACCAAAGAACAGGCCTTTGTGAACAGACTGAAAGAAACTGCTTGTCCTGAGCTCATCTTTTAAGCCACAGAGAGAACTCCTTACTCCTACTAAAGTATGTCTTTAAGCAAAGATAGGAATCAATTACATCCAAGTAGGATGTCTTAGCACGTTAGATTTTCCCTTTCTCACTAAGTTTCCAAGTCCTAATTTTCCTACCAGAGCCCAAGAGAATATGAACTTATATGAAAAGAGGTGGCTGACCCATTGTACATAGGTTTGATAGCATTAACAGAGGCCAGGCTCTGCATGAATCCTGCAAGACCAGGAGATGAATCCCTTTCACAGTGCAAAACCCACTTTCAGGGTGATCGCTGCCCTCAGGAACATGGTTTCACTCCAATAGCTCCAGTGCATCTGTCTCAAACTGTCTCTCATTTTTCAAACAACATTGAATTTATCTCTCACCCTAATTAACACGACTTAGAAAGGTAAATCAGTTTCAGAAACACTTCTGTTAGATTCACACTGAAACCACACAACTTCCTGAGCAGCTTCACACCTGGAGCCACCTTCCAGCCCCGCATAGCACCTTTCTTTTTTTTTTTTTTTTTGAGATGGAGTCTTGCTCTGTCACCCAGGCTGGTGTGCAATCTCTGCTCACTGCAATCTCCGCCTCCTGGGTTCAAGCAATTCTCCTGCCTCAGCCTCCCCAGTAGCTGGGATTACAGGCTCCCACCACCATGCCTGGCTAAATTTTTTTATTTTTTATTTTTAGTAGAGATGGGTTCTGCCATGTTGGCCAGGCTGGTCTCAAACTCCTGACCTCAGGTGATCCGCCAGCCACGGCCTCCCAAAGTGCTGGGATTACAAGCATGAGCCACCACGCCCGACCCACCATTCTTGCATTAAGCATATTAAGAGATACCATTCAGAGCCAGACTCATAGTTGAGACAGTATTTATTTTTTAAGTGGCACTGAGGTCATATACTTTAATCCCTCCCAACAAATGTAACAGTCCTCTGCCCATCATTAGCGATTCTGAGGATGAAACGTTATGCAAAGTCCCTTGCAGAGTCAAATTTGGCCTGAGAGATAAAAAGTCGAGCTTAGCAGATGGCAGAGAATAAAAGGGAGCAGGGGCAGGAGAAGGCTCGTCTTTTTAATCTAAGCCCAAAGCCCAAACCAGGTGCCAGAAAGATAAAATAAAAACTGTGCCTATAGTGTTGAAATGCTTTAGGGATGCTGAAGGACAGTCTTTAGAGAATCATTTAAATTAATGTATCTATTCTTCATTTCAAAAGATAAATGAAATACCATCCCAGTGATTCAGTTTTTTCCAGTTTTAAGTAAATACAGTAATGGAAAAGATGGGAGCTCTCTTCCTCCCTTCATTCTTTGCTCCCACCTCTGAAAACCCATTAAGTGGGGCCAGTCGCAGTGGCTCATCCCAGCACTTTGGGAGGCCGAGGTGGGAGGATTGCTTGAGCTCAGGAGTTCAAGACCAGCCTGGGACACATGATGAAACCCTGTCTCTACAAAAAATACAAAAATTAGGCTTGGTGGCACATGCCTGTAGTCCCATCTACTTGGGAGGCTGGGGTGGGAGAATCACCTGAGCCTGGGAGGTCGAGGCTGCAGTGAGCAGTGATCGTGCTGCTGCATTCCAGCCTGGGTGAGCCTGTCTCAAAAACAACAACAAATAACCCCACAAGAAACTCAAATACCCATGGGTCCATATTGAGACAAGTAAATCAGATATGAGAAAGCTTTTCTGTACAAAATACCAACCAATCAGTGTAGAAGGAATGGAAGCATCAGAAACCACTATTTGGCAACTATCATAGTTATTCAGCCAAAAAGCAGCAATAGATACTGAAACTAGGGGGTAGAAGTTTGATGAGGAACAGGATATTTAGTCTCAAAGCACTTCCCTACAAAATACTTATTAACTTTACAGTGGCAGAACCCGGCAGACAACACAACTAAGTGACATCACCAATAATGGGGAAATTCATAATCATGTGTCGCCTGATACGATCCTATGGGAGGAACACAGCATTACCTCTGAATATTCCTGCCCAAAATGCAGAGCCTGAACCAAATCATGAAGAAACACCAACAAACCCAATTCGAGTTTACACAATAGCCTCTTACCTTAAAATGCAAAGGTGCAAAAGCAAGCCTAACCCGTAGACTGAAGGAGACTGAGACACAACTAATAAATTCAATACAATTATTTATTTTTTACATTTTTTTTGTTTTTTATTTTGAGACGGAGTCTCACTGTTGCCCAGGCTGGAGTGCAATGGCGCGATCTCGGCTCACCGCAACCTCCGCCTCCCAGGTTCAAATGATTCTCTAGAGCCACCCTCCCAAATAGCTGGGATTACAGGCGCCCACCACCATGCCCAGCTAATTTTTTTTTTTTTTTTTTTTGAGACGGAGTTTCACTCTTGTTGCCCAGGCTGGAGTGCAATGGTGCCATCTCGGCTCACTGCAACCTCCGCCTCCCAGATTCAAGTGATTCTCCTGCCTCAGCCTTCCAAGTGGATGGGGTTACAGGCATGCGCCATCACACCTGGCTATTTTGTATTTTTAGTAGAGACGGGGTTTCTCCATGTTGGTCAGGCTGGTCTCCAACTCCCGACCTCAGGTGATCCACCTACCTTGGTCTCTCAAAGTGCTGGGATTACAGGCGTGAGCCACCGTGCCAGGTCTGTATTGTTAGCAGTGATGGGGTTTCATTAAGTTGGCCAGGCTGGTCTCGAACTCCCGACCTCAAATGATCCGCCCACCTTGGCCTCCCAAAGTGCTGGGATTACAGGTGTGAGCCACCGCACCCGGCCTATTTTTAACATTTTTTAAAAAGTCAGGGTCTTGGCCGGGCGTGGTGGCTCACGCCTGTAATCCCAGCACTTTGGGAGGCCAAGGCGGGCAGATCACCTGAGGTCGGGAGTTCGAGATCAGCCTGACCAACATGGAGAAACTCTGTCTCTACTAAAAATACAAAAAATTAGCCGGGAATGGTGGCACATGCCTGTAATTCCAGCTACTTGGGAGGCTGAGGCAGGAGAATCATTTAAACTTGGGAGGCAGAGGTTGCGGTGAGCTGAAATTGTGCCATTGTACTCCAGCCTGGGCAACAAGAGCGAAGCTCTGTCTCAAAAAAAAAAAAAAAAAAAAGTCAGGGTCTTGCTACATTACCCAGCCTGGTCTTGAACTCCTGCCTTGGGCTCCCAAAATGCTAGGATTACAGGAGCCACTGTGCCCAGCCAACATAATCATGTTTTTGTGTGACAAAGCTATTATTGGGACTACTGGGTAAACATGAATGGTTAGTGGCTGGCATTAATGTTTCCATGTATTCCTACTTGTGATGGATACATTTGGTGATGTTGGGACATCAGAAAAAAATGGACTATTCTTGCAGTATTCCTATATAAATTTATTATTCCAAAATTTAGAAAAACATCAACAAGGTGAAAGCTAGGCATCTTTGTTTCTGAGATGCAGTTTCGCTCTTGTCACCCAGGCTGGAGTGCAATGGCACCATCTCGGCTCACTGCAACCTCTGCCTCCCAGGTTCAAGCAATTCTACTTCAGCCTCCTGAGTAGCTGGGATTACAGGCGCCCACAGCCATGCCGGGCTGATTTTTTATTTTTTAGTGGAGACGGGGTTTCACTATGTTAGCCAGGCTGGACTGGAACTCCTGACCTCAAGTGATCTGCCCACCTCGGCCTCCCAAAGTGCTGGGATTATAGGCATGAGCCGCCACGCCTGGTCGAAAAGTCCTTACTTTCTAAAATTAAGGATATATCCTATAACTGCATGGATCAAGAGAGAAATATGTAAAAATAACTGAAAAAATGCAGAACATAAAAAAAAAGGATCTAACAATTAGCTAGGCATGATGGTGCCCACCTGCAGTCCTAGCTACTCAGGAGGCTGAGGCGGAGGGATGGCTTGAGCCAGAAGTTTGAGGTGATAATGAGCTATCATTGCACCACTGAACTCCAGCCTGGGCAACAAAGTGAGAGCCCTGTCTCCTTAAAAAAAAAAAAAAAAAAAAAAAAAAAAAGGCATCTAACACTGATAATGATCACATTCAGAAGTGAAGTGATGATGTGGTTAAAATTAAGAAGTTCCCTCAATTCCTTTTGTGTCAAACACTTAAGGGTGCATTAAAAAAGATAATTTTGCAAAAAGTGAAAATTCTTTTCTTTTTTTTTTTTGAGACGGAGTCTTCCTCTGTTGCCCAGGCTGGAATGCAGTGACATGATCTTGGCTCACTGCAACCTCCACCTCCCAGGTTCAAACGATTCTCCTGCCTCAGCCTCCCGAGTAGCTGGGACTACAGGGGACTACAGGTGTGTGCCACCATGCCCAGCTAATTTTTTTGGTATTTTTAGTGGAGACGAGGTTTCACCGTGTTGGCCAGGATGGTCTCGATCTCCTGACCTCGTGATCCGCCTGCCTCAGCCTCCCAAAGTGTTGGGATTACAGGCATGAGCTGCCGCACCCGGCCAAATTCTTTTAATTCTTTAGACACAGGTTAGAGGGGGAACAATGCTTAAAATTCCATGGAACTAAGATTTTTTTTTTATTTTTATTTTTTTGAGACAGAGTCTTGCTTTGTTGCCCAGGCTGGAGTGCAGTGGCACAATCTCAGCTCACTGCAACCTCTGCCTCCTGGGTTCAAGCAATTCTCCTGCCTCAGTCTCCCAAGTAGCTGGATTACAGGCACCCACCAACACACTCAGCTAATTTTTTTATCTTTAGTAGAGACGGGGTTTCACCATGTTGGCCACGCTGGTCTCCAACTCCTGACCTCAGCTGATCCGCCCGCCTTGGCCTCCCAAAGTGCTGGGATTACAGGTGTGAGCCACCGTGCCTGGCGGAACTAAGATTAAAGCGAAGACCACGATCAATTACTTAACAAGAACACCACATTTTGATGCTCTCTGTAGGGTCATTTTTTTTTGTCAGGAAAATATCTGATCTGATTCTTCCCAGCTTGCTTCCCCTACAACTTAATAAGCCCTTCACTAACCTCTGTATGTATTAACTGCAATTGCCTAGCCCGGCATTTACATTCTCAAAAGATTTAACGCAATTACAGTCAAAAAACACTTGTCATATGTAACACTTTTTCACATGGAAATAAATTGGTGGTTTAAGGTTTACAATTCCTTTGAATAAAATTTCAGTTATTAGTTACAAAATGCTAAGACAGATTGAGATCTCAAAGAAAGAACTTGAGAAAATTATGTTTTAAAGGACTTCACAAATATGAAGCATAATTGTTAGAATCCTGATACAAAGTAACTTTTCCTAGGTTTAAGGTTCAAGTCTGAATTCTTGAATTGTCCAACATCAACGAGACCTCATTTATATTTTTTATTTTTATTATTACTTTCAGATACAGGGTCTCTCACTATTTTGCCCAGGTTGGACTGCTGGGCTCAATGGATCCTCCCCGCCTCAGCCTCCTGAGTGGCTGGGATTACAGGCATGCACCACGCCCAGTGCTACAATTTTTTTTTTAAAAAAGCCCGGAAACACAATGGGCTTGCATCGTGTTGGCAGCAGGTGCCTCTCAGCTGGTGCTGGACAGAAGGGGCTTGCAGTATTTGCACTGAATCCAAACCCGGTACATTGTCAGTTGCTTTCCTCGGTTCACCTGCAGTCGGCGATCCACCAGGTTCTGAACTTTTTCCAGTCCAGCAGTGGTGAAAAGCGTGTCCAGTTCCTCTAGTGTGGAAAATAAAAGATGTTTATGCATTTTTCCCCTCAAGAAAAGGCATTTTTATCTACTAAGTCCTTGTTAAAAGGGGCTCTGGGAAGTTGCTGTCATGTTTTTTACATGGCCATTTGGTTATAAATGCAGTGGTGGCTTGGTAACAGTAAGTTCATGTTTAGGTAGGGGAAGCCACTGCGTATGGGCCGCGGTTTTTTCTTTTTTAAAAACCTTTGGTTTATATTTGGCCTTTAGGCTCTATGAACACCTTAAAATTTATGCAAAAATATCTATGTATGTCAAAGCAATTGTTTTAGGAAAGTGGTTTCATCATCTTAACCAAAGGCTCAAAGAAGGTGACCCTGAAAAGGGCCCAGGAACGGAGAATTTGGAAGGCCCAGGTGAAGGATGAAGCCTGTGGATAGGCCAGTTGCAGAGGAGAGCAGTTCCCAGCACCCCTAGAACCCAGGGTTCACCCTGACCCGGGCACACCAAAGCACAACCCCGTGTAGAGGGTGAAACAGGCTGGACTGGAGATGAGCCTTGCAGAGTGGGCAGGCTTCCCATTTTGGACAGTGGCAGACAGGGAGAGCAGAGCAGGACTGAAGGCATGGACAAGCCAGGGCTGCCTGGGGGCCCCAGTGCCTGGCTGCCATGGGTAGCCTAGCCCAGGGTGGAAGAGGGTGTGAGCAGCAGGGAACCGCAGGAAACAGCCTGCCTAAAAGGCAGGAGGGACCAGATAGTTTTCCTTCTGAACGTGCCTTGAAGACCATCTCATCTGGTACTGGGGACTTTTAGTGTAAAAAGATGGGTGTTTCATACCTTGTGTGAAGAAGTAAACTCTGGTTCCATCACCTCTCACGTAGAAATTTCCAGATAGACACTGACCTGCAGAGTGATGTGTTAAAAATCAGAGACACTTAAAAGCACTTCTTTGACTCGCATTGCTAAGGAATGTTAACTGGGAGGTCAGTTTGTTGGGTGGAGAGCACTCCTGCCTCAGTGCTTCGGGAAGAGCAGCTCAACAGGAGTAAGTCACAATGTCAGAAAACATGACGTTCCTAAGCACCCCACTCCAAAACTCTAGAATTGTTTGATGAAAACAACTTGTTCACTCTCCCAACCCCATTAAATTAACAGCACAAACTTTTTATTTATTTATTTATTTTGAGACGGAGTTTCGCTCTTGTTGCCTAGGCTGGGTGCAATGGCGTGACCTCGGATCACTGCAACCTCTGCCTCCCAGGTTCAAGTGATTCTCCTGCCTCAGCCTCCCAAGTAGCTGGGATTACAGGTTCCCACCACCATGCCCAGCTAATTTTTTGTATTTTTAGTAGAGTCAGGGTTTCACCATGTTGGCCAGGCTGGTCTCAAACTCCTCACCTCAGGTGATCCACCCACCGTGGCCTCCCAAAGTGCTGGGATTAAAGGCATGAGCCACCGTGCCTGGCCTATTTTTATTTTTTTTAATTAAGCAATATAGCTGAGTTTAAGGAAACTTGAGACAATCATTACCATTTTGGTGGTGACTGTCCTTTGCATGTCTCTTCACATGTCTACAGAATCATAAATACAACTCAGATATTGTTTTGATCATGAACATGCTTTCCCTTCTGCTGCTAACCTCCCTGACCTTACCTCAGTTTACCGGCCTGGCACATACTTCTAGACCTTCCTGAATGCCCAAATCATCACACAAGTGTGTACTTATTTCCCTGCAGATACTGGTATAGGGGGATGGAGTTTAAAATACTCCCTTGCACATTGCTCTCCTCTCACTGAATACAGAACAGAAATCCCTCCAAGTTCAGTGGTACGGGGTCCACCTCAGGTGACAAGCACAACATCTCCCTATCCAGAGGCATTCACTTTGTTTACAAAGTTTTGCTCCTGCATGTATTATGTGCTAGTTCTTGACTATATTCAAAAAAAATGACTGGATTGAACAATAATTGGGTGCTTAAAAAAAGGCTGTAAGCCGAGCGCAGTGGCTCACACCTGTAATCCCAGGACTTTGGGAGGCTGAGGTGGGTGGATCACCTAAGGTCAGGAGTTCGAGACCAGCCTGACCAACATGGTGAAACCCTGTCTCTACTAAAAATACAAAAAAATTAGCCAGGCGTGGTGGCACATGCCTGTAGTCTCGGCTATTCGGGAGGCTGAGGCAGGAGAATTGCTTGAACCCAAGAGACAGAGGTTGCAGTGAGCCGAGATCGTGCCATTGCACTCCAGCCTGGGAGACAGAGCGAGACTCCGTCTCAAAAAAAAAAAGGCTGTAACACTGGGCACAGTGGCTCACACCTGTAATCCCAGCATTTTGGGAGGCCAAGGCGGGTGGACCCAGGAGGCAGAGGTTGCAGTGAGCCGAGATCACGCCATTGCACTCCAGCCTGGGCAATAACGGCAAAACTCCATCTCAAAAAAAAAGGCTGTAACAATTTCTTTTTCTACCAGTAATGAAGGAATGCACCTCTTTCTTTGAATTGGCCAGCAATAGGAAGTACTAACTCGTTATTTTTATTTCCTTGAAGTGTTGTTTACTGGCCATTTAGATATGTTCTTCTGTGAACTGACTAAATACTCCTCGCCTGTTTTTTGGGTGGGTCACTGATCTTTTCCTTATCAGTTTCATGAGAGCTCCTTGAAGAGCAAAGATATTAAGTCTTTATCTATTATATGCACTGAAAATATTCCTTCTTACTCCGTCATTTGCCTTTTACATTTTTAATGGCATCTTTTGTCATGCCACATTTAAAATTATTTATGTCTTTCAAATATCTTTTTTTTTTTTTCTTGAGACAGTTTCACTCGTTGCCCAGGCTGGAGTGCAATGGTGTGATCTTGGCTCACTGCAACCTCTGCCTCCTGGGTTCAAGCGATTCTCCTGCCTCAGCCTCCCGAGTAGCTGGGATTACAGGCATGCGCCACCATGCCCAGCTAATTTGTATTTTTAGTAGAGACAGGGTTTCTCCATGTTGGTCAGGCTGGTCTTGAACTCTTGAACTCAGGCGATCCACCCACCTCGGCCTCCCAAAGTGTTGGAATTACAGGCATGAGCCACTGCGCCCGGCTGTCTTTCAAATGTCTTTCTAATAAAAGCTCTTCTAAAGGTAGCTGTCTTGCTTAAAAAGACCTCAATATCTAGATTATACAAGCCTCTTCAGTTTTCTTAAAAAATATACTACTCTGTCACATATTAAATGGCTTTATATAAGGAGTTCTAATTCTAGAGTTTCTATTCTGATGGCAGCACCATTTTTTGATTATAGTGGCCAAATACCTTTTTTTTTTTTTAATTATACTTTAAGTTCTGGGGTACATGTGCAGAACGTGCAGGTTTATTACATATGTATACATGTGCCATGGAGGTTTGCTGCACCCATCAACCCGTCATCTACATTAGGTATTTCTGCTAATGCTATCCCTCTCCCAGCCCCCTCACCCCCAGACAGACCCCAGTGTGTGATGCCCCCCGCCCCGTGTCCATGTGTTCTCATTGTTCAACTCCCACTTATGAGTGAGAAAAAGTGGTGTTTGGTTTTCTGTTCTTGTGTTAGTTTGCTGAGAATGATGATTTCCAGCTTCATCCATGTCCCTGCAAAGGACATGATCTCTAGTGGTTAGGATTCAGCACTTTCAAAATACCTTTTTTAAACCGAAGCTGAGCCATGTCATAGCGGCCGTAATCTCGCAGAAGCATCATCCCGCCAGGTTTCAGAAGCCTGCTCAGCCTGTTGATAGCCTTCTGCATCCTGTGGAGCAGCAGGGAATGACGGTCAATCAGGTCTCCTTAAAGACGGGGTTCTCTTTCCCTGTAGCATATCCCAAAAAGCCAGTGGACTTCCTCAACTGACACACCAAGTCTGAGATCTAAGCTCCTCTACTCTTGCTTCAGTTAGAACTGAAGGACATTAGCTGCCTGCTCACAGCTGTGGCCTCGATCCACTGCCTTCAGCCTGAAGGGGCCCGAGGACAGCCCGCTTCTGCCGTAAGAAAGTTCCCTGCTCCTGGCCGGGTGCGGTGGCTCATGCTTGTAATACCAGCACTTTGGGAGGCTGAGGCAGGTGGATCACATGAGGTCAGGAGTTTGAGACCAGCCTGGCCAAAATGGTTAAACCCCATCTCTACTAAAAATACAAAAAGTAGCCAGGTGTGGTGGCGTGTGCCTGTAATCCCAGACACTCAGGAGGCTGAGGCAGGAGAATTTCTGGAACCTGGGAGGTGGAGGTTGCAGTGAGCCAAGATTGCACCACTGCCCTCCGGCCTGGGCCGCAGAGTAACTGAGACTTTGTCTCCAAAAAACAAACAAACAAACAAAAGTTCTCTGCTCTCTATCTGGCTCACTTCCCCACTGTCCTAGATAGCCATCTTTGCCCTGTGCGCCTGTGGCTGAGCTGAATCCTGAGCATCCAGTGGGTTCTGCTAGGTGACTTATCTGCCTGCATCATTAGACCTGAGCTCTTTCAATGTAGGGGCTGTATCTTTCTGTTTGTTAAATGAAGACTTGTCCTCAAGAACTTACAATACAATCAGTATGCAAATGAGTATAACAGACAGAGGGTTTTACACTTAGGTCTGTGTTTTCCATATGCAGTGTTCTTCAAAAGTCTTGGTGCAGGTTGAAGCTTTCATAACTTCAGAAGTCTAAATGCTACAAACTTCACCAAAAAAATTTCAAAGTCTATTTAAATTTTGCATAATGAATGTTTCCCTCTTAAAAAAAACCAAAAAACAAAAAAACGGCCAAGGCAGGCAGATCACCTGAGGTCAGGAGTTCGAGACCAGCCTGGCCAACATGGTGAAACCCTGTCTCTACTAAAAATACAAAAAAATTAGCCAGGGATGGTGGCAGGCACCTGTAATCCTAGCTACTTGGGAGGCTGAGGCAGGAGAATCGCTTGAACCTGGGAGGCGGAGATTGCAGTGAGCCAAGACCATAGCACTGCACTCCAGCCTGGGCAACAAGAGTGAAACTCCATCTCAGAAAACAAACAAACAAACAAAAAACAGCTGGGGTCCTGCTATGCTATGTTGCCTCGGCTGGACTCTTGGGCTCAAGTGATCCTCCTGCCTCAGTCTCTAGGTAGCTGGGACTAAAAGTGTGTGCCACTGTGTCTGGCTTGAATTTTAAATTTTAATAATTTGTTTTAGTCCATGTCAATTTTTAAAAAGTTTGTAGCATTGAAACTTCTAAGGTCATAGGTTTTTTTTGAGACAGGGTCTCACTCTGTCACCCAGGCTGCAGTGCAGTGGTGTGATCGTAGCTCACTTCACTGCAGCCTCAAACTCCTGGGCTTAAGCCATACTCCTGCCTCAGCCTTCTGAGTAGCTGGGACTACAGATATGCACCTGGCTAAATTTTTTTATTTTTATTTTTAGTAGAGATAACGGTCCTGCTTTGTTGCCCAAGCTGGTCTTGAGCTCCTGGCTTCAAGCACTCCTCCCACCTCAGCCTCCCAAAGTGGTGGGATTATAGGCGTGAGCCACTGTGCCTGGTCAACCTCTGCAATTATTAAAGTTTAAAACCATGGTAGGCCTTTTGGGTTATCCTGCATATGCCTTTATTTCACACTCATCCTCTCAGGTTGGATGACTTCAGTACCCTTCTAGAGGAAGTGTGGCCTTCTAGAGGAAGGTCAATCACCCAAAGCTCCTATCCTGTGCAGCCAGTGAGGGGTCCTTGGACTCTGGGAGATAAACCAGGATCTCAATCACTGGTCCCTGCAGTCTCTAGTCATGTAATCTGGCTTCCTAACACCAGCTTACCTTGACCTTTAACACTAACTTACTTAATCATCCTTTGCAGGACTCTGATGACACAGAATGAGGAGATGTTTGAAGTCTCTAATCTCATGATTTCATGGGTATAGTTTACCCTAACATGTGCCAACCCCCAGCCTGTCCAGACTCACTGCACTCTGGCAGTGCCAAGGGCTTCCATGGAATTAGTCAATGGTATCTGAATCTCTGAGCCACCATCTGACTCTGCTTCCTTGAGAAGGTAGTTTTGGTCAGGTTGCAGTGGCTCATGCCTGTAATCCCAGCACTTTGGGATGCCGAGGTGGGTGGATAACTTGAGGTAAGGAGTTCAAGACCAGCCTGGCCAACATAGTGAAACCCCGTCTCTACTAAAAATACAAAAAATATTAGCCAGGTGTGGTGGTGCTTGTCTGTAATCCCAGCTGCTCGGGAGGCTGAGGCAGGAGAATCGCTTTAACCTTGGAGGCAGAGGTTGCAGTGAACTGAAATCTCACCACTGCACTCCAGCCTGGGCAACAGAGTGAGACTCCATCTCAGAAAAAAAAAAGAGAAGGTAGTGTCACAGGACCACTGGTTACCTATGCATATGAAGTTTTAATGGTGTATTTTAGGATATAGCATTTGACTTTCCTTTAATCTGAATCTGATTTTATAGAATTCTGTATCACACTTTCCTAAAACACTGTAAGCATCAGAGAACACCTTAGTTAAGGTTCAATGTAAATTTCATGTTGCTAATAAGGTTGTTTTATTTAAAGCATTTAAAAGGCCAATAGGCTGGGCGTGGTGGCTCACGCCTGTAATTCCAGCACTTTGGGAGGCCGTGGCGGGCGGATCATGAGGTCATGAGGTCAGGAGTTTGAGACCAGCCTGGCCAACATGGTGAAACACCATCTCTACTAAAAAAAAAAAATACAAAAATTAGCCAGGCATGGTGGCGTACACCTGTAATCCCAGCTGCTTGGGAGGCTGAGGCAGGAGAATTGGTTGAACCCGGGAGGTGGAGGTTGCAGTGAGCCAAGATCTCATCACTGCACCCCAGCCGGGGCAACAGAGCAAGACTCCGTCTTCAAAAAAAAAAAAAAGGCCAGCATAGTGGCTCATGCCTGTAATCCCAGCATTTTGCAAGGTTGAGGCAAGCAGATTACAAGGTCAGGAGTTTAAGACCAGCCTGGCCAACATGGTGAAACCCCGCATCTACTAAAAATACAAAAATTAGCTGGGCATGGTAGCAGGTGCCTGTAATCCCAGCTACTCGGGAGGTTGAGGCAGGAGAATTGTGTGAACCGGGGAGGTGGAGGTTGCAATGAGCCTAGATCACGCCATTGCATTCCAGCCCAGGCGACAGGGCAAGACTCCATCTCAAAAAAATAAAATAAAATAAAATAAAAATCCAATAATGAGACATTACCTAAGAGCTGTGACACCCACAGTTCACAGTTCTAAAACGGCATGTGATGAGACTATCAATAGGAATTTCCCCACATACTCATTAGAGACTGATTTCCCATTCTTTCCCAATGTTGAGCCACAACAAGGAAATGAAGAACCAACTACTGCAGAAGTTTCGAGGCCAGAACAGAAGTTGGACATCAAGACAAATTTAGGAAAATGGCTGAGATGCTCACATCACTACAAATGGTGTGGCTTCTTTGTGTCTATCAGAACATAAACAAAACTCTTTTTACTTTGAGCCCAACTCTAATATCAAGGTCCCTCGCCAGGCTGGGCATGGTGGCTCACACCTATAATCCCAGCACTTTGGGAGGCCAAGGTGGGAGGATCGCTTGAGCCCAGGAATTCAAGACCAGTCTGGGCAACATGGCAAAACCCCATCTCTGCTAAAAACACAAAAATTGGCCAGGACTGGTGGCACGTGCCTGTGGTCCCACCTACTTGGGAAGCTGAGGAGGGAGGATCATTTAAGCCCAAGAGGTTAAGGCTGCAGTGAGCCATGATCGTGCCACTGCACTCCAGCCTGGGCTGACAGAGCAAGAACCTATTTTAAAAAAAAAGGTCCCTCACCAAAGCTTCCTTTTTGTGACACTACCAGCCAAGGGACCCAAACTTACTTGTCTGGAACAATTGCTGAAAGAACAAATATGAGAATGATAATATCAAGACTGCCCTTGGGCACTGGGTAACTCTTCTCTTCATCACACAGGTCGTGAACAAAGGCAAAACACCGAGAAGGATCATATTCTGAATTTGTCTGCAGACAGATGGAAGACACAGGTAAGTTAGAAAATATTAACATAGCCTAAAGAAAAGATTATCTTGTTTTAAATTTTAAATGTAACTGTTGCTACTTCACAAAGAGGGATATATTTCTTTTTTCTTTTTTTTCTTGAGGCAAAATCTCCCCATGTTGCCCAGGCTGGCCTCAAACTCTTGGGTTCACGCGATAGGATCACTTGCCTCACCCTCCAGAGTAGGGGATATATTTCTAATCATTATATAGATTGGTGAAAAAGTAATTGCGGTTTTTGCTATTGAAAGTAATGGCAAGGATGTGGAGACTCATGCCTGTAATCCCAGCACTTTGGGAGGCCAAGGCGGGAGGATCACCTAAGATCAGGAGTTCGAGGCCAGCCTGACCAACATGGAGAAACCCCATCTCTACTAAAAATACAAAATTAGCTGGGTGTGGTGGCACATGCCTATAATCCCAGCTACTCGGGAGGCTGAGGCAGGAGAATCGCTTGAACCCAGGAGGCAGAGGTTGCAGTGAGCCGAGATTGCACCATTGCACTCCAGCCTGGGCAACAAGAGTGAAACTCCATCTAAAAAAAAGAAAAAAAAAAAAAAAGTAACGGCAAAAACGACAATTACTTTTGCATCAATCTAATAGCATGTTATTTCAGGGAGGACTCAAAGAGTAAAGATCAGGAATAATTGAAGGGAGACAGTGAGGAATCTAATAGTTGCTTTTAAAATAGAACATTCCTGACTCCCCTACTTTTATTCTTTATTCTTGTGTACTTTCTGTACTTCTCATGCATGAAGTCAGATCTAAGAATTGGAAAACGATCATGAAAATGAGTGACCAACAGGGAAAAAAAAACATTCGTAAGGAGAGAGACAGCACATACTTTAAATAAGCACGCGGTGGTTCACGCCTGTAATCCCAGCACTTTGGGAGGCCGAGGCAGGCGGATCATGAGTCAGGAGATGGAGACCATCCTGGCTAACATGGTGAAACCCCGTCTCCACTAAAAATACAAAAAATTAGCCGGGCGTGGTGGCAGGTGCCTGTAGTCCCAGCTACTCGGGAGGCTGAGGCAGGAGAATGGCGTGAACCCGGGAGGCGGAGCTTTCAGTAAGCTGAGATGGCACCACTGCACTCCAGCCTGGGCGACAGAGGGAGACTCCGTCTCAAAAACAAAAACAAAAACAAACAAACAAACAAACCAAAAGCACGATCTGCTAGGCACGGTGGCTCACGCCTAGAATCCCAGCACCCTGGGAGGCTGAGGCAGGAGGATCACTTGAGCCCAGGAGTTTGAGACCAGCTAGGCAACATAGTGAGACTTCATCTCTACAAAAAATAAAAAAATGCCGGGTGCATGCCTGTAATCCTAGCACTTTGGGAGGTCGAGGTGGGAGGATTACCTGAGGTCAGGAGTTCAAAACCAGCCTGGCCAACACAGTGAAACCCCGTCTCTACTAAAAATACAAAAAAATTAGCTGGGTGCAGTGGCACCCGCCTGTAATCCCAGCTACTCTGGAGGCTGAGGCAGGAGAATCGCTTGAACCTGGGAGGCGGAGGTTGCAGTGAGCCAAGATCACGCCACTGCACTCCAGCCTGGGCGACAGAGCTAGACTCCGTCGCAAAAAAAAAAAAAAAAAAAAAAATTAGCCAAGTGTGGTGGCATGTGCCCATAGTCCCAGTTACACAGGAGGTGGGAGAATCACTTGAGCCCAGGAGATCAAGGCCACAGTGAGTTTGATTGTACCACCGCACTCCAGCCTGAGTGACTGAGACCCTGTCTCAAAACAAACAACAAAGCACACGATTTAAAACAACTCCCAACTAGAAAATATTACACAAACCATAGAATTCTTCAGGAAAATCTATTTCTGTAGATGTAGAAAATTTACTTTGTTATCAAAAACTGAAGTAAAGGTAGGCTTCAATATTCATTTGGTCTTTAACTGAATAATAATTCTAAAAGCATGGCACTACCAATTCCTAATCTGCCCTAACAGCATTGTACATAATTGTGACAGACTCTTTTTTTTTTTTTTTTTTGAAACAGAGTCTTGTTCTGTTGCCCAGGCTGGAGTGGTGCGATCTCGGCTCACTGCAACCTCTGCTTCCCAGGTTCAAGCAATTCTCCTGCCTCAGCCTCCCCAGTAGCTGGGATTACAGGTGCATGCCACCACGTCCTGCCAGTTTTTGTATTTTTTTTTTTTTTTTTGAGATGGAGTTTCACTCTTGTAGCCCAGGCTGGAGTGCAATGGCGTGATCTTGGCTCACTACAACCTCTGCCTCCCAGATTCAAGCGATTCTCCTGCCTCAGCCTCCCGAGTAGCTGGGACTACAGGCACCTACCACCATACCTGGCTAATTTTTGTATTTTTAGTAGAGATGGAGTTTCACCATATTGGCCAGGCTGATCTGGAACTCTTGACCTCAGATGATCTGCCCGTCTTAGCCTCCCAAAGTGCTGGGATTACAGGCATGAACCACTGCACCCGGCCTAGTTTTTGTGTTTTTTAAAGTAGAGACAGGGTTTCACCATGTTGGCCAGGCTGGTCTTGAACTCCTGACCTCAAGTGATCTGCCCACCTCAGCCTCCCAAAGTGCTGGCCACCATGCCCGGCCAATTGTAACAGACACATTTTTTTTTTTTTGAGATGGAGTCTTGCTCTGTCACCCAGGCTGGAGTGCAGTGGTGCGATCTCGGCTCACTGCAACCTCCGCCTCCTGGGTTCAAGCGATTCTTCTGCTTCAGCCTCCCAAGTAGCTGGGACAACAGGTGCGTGCCACCAAACCCAGCTAAATTTCACATTTTTAGTAGAGACGGGGTTTCACCATATTGGTCAGGATGGTATCGAACTCCTGACCTCGTGATCCGCTGGCCTTGGCCTCCCAAAGTGCTGGGATGACAGGTGTGAGCCACTGACCCCAGCCATAACAGATACATTTTAAGGCATCTACCCTCAATGTCCGTCTTCTGCAAATATGTGAGTTTGTTTCTCATTGGCCAAAGCTGATTCAAACAGGGCTGCTGTATTTATCAGCTAGGTTGTGTTAACTAGACTTTCCAGGGACTTCAGAACTGGGACACAATCATTTTAGTGAGGCACCATGAACCCCTGAACAGGGTGAGCTTGTAAGGGACTGGGAGGAGCAAGCACGTTGGGGCCGCGTGCAAAATTAGGAAATACTGACTAGAGAAAACTGGTATGCAAAGAGGGAAAAAACAAATGGGCCCTGGACAATGACAGGTAAGATACCAGGAACTTGGGGCTGTATTTTGTGCCCTTAGGTTCTATGACATTCTACTTTATTGCTTTGAGTTTGTCTAGACGTTTCTGTTACTTGTAACTCAAAGAACCCCAATGGAATCATCTCATCAGGTTCGCCTGAGCCCAAAATTCAAGGCTACAGTGGGCTATGATTGTGTCACTCTACTTCAGCCTGGGCAACACAGTGAGACCCTGTCTCAAAAAAAAAAAAAAAAAAAAAGTGAAGCCTGAAGATGTGACTGAATTGCTGCAATCTTGTTGCTGCTTGTTTTTTAGTCTTATTCTTTCTTTCTTTCTTTCTTTTTAAACCAGCATCCTTATCTATAAGGAGTTGCTTCTTACGGTTGGGCAAAGAAAGTGGTTTATTGAGATCAAATCTACTCCAGTAAAGATGCTATGAACATTGTTTAGAAATGGCAAGAAAGGTTTTTTGTTTTGAAATGGCATCAAACTTAGTTGATAAAGCAGCAGCAGGGTTTGAGAGAATGGACTTCAATTTGAAAGAAGCTCTACTGTGGGCAAAATCCTATCAGCATCGCATGCTACGGAGAAATCTTTCATGAAAGGAAGAGCCAAATGATACGGTAAACTTCACTGTTACCTTATTTTAAGAAATTGCCAGTCACCCCAGCCCTTAGCAACGACCACCCCAACCCTTGGCAATCACCACCCTGATCAGTCAGCAGCCATCAATATCAAGGCAAGACCGTCCACTAGCAAAGATTACAACTTGCTGAAGGTTTAGATGATTATTAACATGTTTTAGCAATAAACTATTTTTTTTTCTTTCTCTCTCTTTTTTTTGAGATGGAGTCTCACTGTCGCCCAGACTGGAGTGCAGTGGCACAATCTTGGCTGACTGCAACCTTTGCCTCCCCAGTTCAAGCGATTCTCCTGCTTCAGCCTTTTGAGTAGCTGGGACTACAGGTGCCCACCACCATGCCTGGATAATTTCTTGTATTTTTCTTTAGTAGAGATGGGGTTTCACCATGTTGCCTAGGCCAGTCTTGAACTCCTGATCTCAAGTGATCTGTCTGCCTCAGCCTCCCAAAGTGTTGGGATGACAGGCATTAAGCCATTGTGGCCGACCAATAATGTATTTTTATTTTTTTGAGATGGAGTCTCACTCTGTTGTCTAGCTGGAGTGCAGTGGCGCGATCTCAGCTCACTGCAACCTCCACCTCCTGAGTTCAAGTGATTCTCCTGCCTCAGCCTCCTGAGTAGCTGAAATTACAGGTATGCGCCATTTTTTGTATTTTTAGCCCGGCTAATTTTTTTGTATTTTTAGTAGAGACAGGGTTTCACTTGGTCAGGCTGGTCTTGAACTCCTGACCTCGTGATCTGCCCACCCCGGCCTCCCAAAGTGCTGGGATTACAGGCATGAGTCACCGCACCAGCATGCAATCGTATTTCATTAGTTTATGCAATTGTGTATTAAATTTAATAATTACAACACAAGTGTAAGCTATCATTCGAGACCAGCCTGGGCAACGTGGTGAAACTCTTCCTTTCACTTGAACACACAGAGGACACTGTAGAGTATGAAGTGGCCTAATTGCAATATTGTGTCTTAGAGAACAAGGAGACCTGAGGAGAGGGAGAGAAATGGAATGGCAGGTTGGTGGAGCAGTCACAACGCATGCATTTATTAAGTTGACCGTCTTACACAGATGTGATTTGTGGAACCCCAAACCAAGTACAACAGTAACATCACACACTATAACATACATAACAGTAAAAAAGTCTGAAATATTCTGAGAATCACCAAAGCATGACACATAGATACTAAGTGAGCATATGGTGGTGGAGAAATGGCACCGGTAGGCTTGCTTGATGCAGGGTTGCCACAAACTTTCAATATATGAACAGATACGACATCTATACAGTGTGATAAAGTGAACTGCAATAAAACAAGGTATGCTCGTTATCAGTAAATCTTTTACTTTTAGACCGTAAGAACACAGACTGTATAAGAACACAGCCAGAGACCTTGATTTTTAGGAGAACCTTTTCCCTTTAATCAGTGGAAATTACCAATAGGTAATTTCCCATTGTACTCACCTGGACCAGTTCTATAGCTGTGGAAGAAAAATCACAGCAATAAACAAAGAGTCCTGGGTCACTGAAATGGGCAGAAAAGACAGAACAATGAGACTACAAATCGAGCTATGTCTACTCTCATTCTTGTGTAGCACAGTTAAAATATCAAATGGGAAAAACTATCATTCATTCAAATAAACTGTATCTATTAGTCACAACATATTTCATTTTGGTTAAAATCCCTTTTGAATTATATCCTTTTGGAGGCTCTGTGGACATAGCTAATATGAAGTTTATAAAACAACCAGGGAGTTTCAAATCAATGTCTTCTCTTTTTCCACCTACAGAAATCCTACTTTTCCCTCAAATGAAGCCTTGCTTGATAGCACCACAAGAATTCTTTTTTCTTCGCTGAGCCACCCTGGCACTTTCTCCACACCAGGAACACATCTGTACCTGTCTGTTGGCCCCCACCACATAGTGAGTGAGTGCTTTGACAGTGGCGATTATATCTTTCGCTTATTAGTTCACCAAACACTACTGAGAGCCCACTATGCATTGGGTATTATCTTAGATGCTGAGGAGATAAAGATGAACAACACAAAATCCCTGTGCTTATTTTTCTTGGTATCCTCACTATCTAGCACAAGTCTCAGCACAAGGTAGCAACACAAAAAATGTTGATTTTAAAACCATCAAAATTGCTTTCAATTATGAAGCACATTATATATTTATTCTGAAGACATCAAAATACAAAACAATTTGTAATGCCAGAATTCTGTTAGTACAGGTCTAAATGAAAATGGGAGAGGAGGAAGGCTGTATGCTTGCATTTTAGAAACAACAGCCCAGAACTCTTCTGCACTGTTGGGCTCATTATGAGTGAGCCCCTGGGATTTTTGGGAGTATGCAATACCTCCAGCCTCTCAAAGGCATGGGCTCTGCTTCCTGCTGAACTGTTGACCTTTGGAGCAGACGACTTCTGGGAGGTATAATCAAGACTAAAAACCTGGGGAACTGCAGCATTTGCTATGGTAATCACTAGCTACCTGTGGCTACTTAAATTAAAAATTTAGTTTCTCAGTCCCATTAGATACATTTCACACGTGGCTACTGACCATCATAAGGGAGAGTGAAGATGCAGAACATTTCCGTCACTGCACAAAGTTCTATTCCACAGCACTGCTCCGAAAGCAGGGTCCATGCCTGTCCTGTTCTCTAATCAGCCAGGCAGCTGCATCTGCCGAGTACCCATTAAGGTCACGGGCTAAGTTCTATCAGACTCAGCTTCTGCTTTCTCAAAGACTCATTGCAGTCTTTGCCTCCTGGGTTCAAGTGATCCTCCCACCTCAGCCCCCCAAGTAGCTCGGATTACAGGTGCGCACCACCGTGCCCAGCTAATTTTTGTATTTTTAGTAGAGACGGGGTTTCACCATGTTGGCCAGGCTAGTCTCAAACTCCTGACCTCAGGTGATCCACCTGCCTTGGCCTCCCAAGGTGCTGGAATTTCAGGGGTGAGCCACCGCGCCTGGCAAGCGTTGTTTTCTTATGTTTTTCTTTTTTTTTTTTTTGAGACACGAGGTCTCAGCTGTGTCACCCAGGCTGGAGTACAGTGGCGCAATCTCAGCTCACTGAAGCCTCTGCCTCCCAGGTTCAAGTGATTCTCTGGCCTCAGCCTCCTGAGTAGCTGGAACTACAGGTGCCCACCACCATGCCCTGTTAATTTTTGTATTTTTAGGAGAGACGGGGTTTCACCATGTTGACTAGGTTGGTCTTGAACTCCTGACCTTAAGTAATCTGCCCACTTTGGCTTCCCAAAGTGTTCAGATTACAGGCATGAGCCACCGTGCCTGGCCTCTTTGTGCTTTTCTTTTTTTTTTGAGATGGAGTTTTGCTTTTGTCACCCACGCTGGAGTGCAATAGTGTGGTCTCAGCTCACTGCAACCTCCACTCCTGGGTCCAAGCCATTCTCCTGCCTTAGCTTCCTGAGTAGCTGGGATTACAGGCGCCCACCACCACACCTGGTTAATTTTTGTATTTTTAGTAAAGATGGGGTTTTGCCATGTTAGCCAGGCTGGGCTTGAACTCCTGACCTCAGGTGATCTGCCCACCTTGGCCTCTCAAAGTGCTGGGATTACAAGAGTGAGCCACCACGCCTGGCCTGTGCTTTTCTTTAAGTTTTCTACAGGTCATATAGTTGTCCCTTGGTATCCAGCTCAAGTCTCTTACACAATGGTGTCGGGTGTAGCATTTGCATACAACCCACACACATCCTCCTGCATACATTAAATCATCTATAATGCCTAATATAAATGCTATGTAAACAGTTATATTTTTAAAAATTGTTGTATTATTGATTGATTTTTGAGACAGGGTCTTGCTCTGTCACCTGGAGTACAGTGGTGTGTGTGATCATGGCTCACTGCAGCCCCAACCAATCCTCTGGCCTCAGCCTCCAAAGTAGCTGAGACTACAGGTGCATGCCAGCATGCTTGGCAATTTTTTTTTTTTTGAGACGGAGTCTCACTCTGTCACCCAGGCTGGAGTGTAGTGGTGCAATCTCCGCTCACTGCAAGCTCCGCCTCCCAGGTTCACGCCATTCTCCTGCCTCAGCCTCCCAAGTAGCTGGGACTACAGGTGCCTGCCACCATGCCCGGCTAATTTTTTTTTGTATTTTGAGTGGAGACGGGGTTTCACTGTGTTAGCCAGGATGGTCTCCATCTCCTGACCTTGTGATCTGCCCGTCTTGGCCTCCCAAAGTGCTGGGATTACAGGTGTGAGCCACAGCGCCTGGCGGCTAATTTTTTTGTAGAGACAGGGTCTCACTATGTTGCTCAGGCTCGTCCTGAACTCCTGGGCTCAGGTGATCCTATCTCCTTGGCCTTCCAAAGTGCTGGGATTATAGGCATGGGCCACTGCGCCTGGCCTACACTATTTATTTTCAATCCATGATTGCTTGAATCCTCGGATGCAGAAAAGGTGAATATGAAGGGCTAAGAGTATTATTTTTAAAATCAGAGTCCTTAATTGGGCTCTGAGGATAGAACTGTATTTCAAAATAATTGGTTTTCTCTATTTTACTTCATATACTTAAAATTAGCCCAAGATAAAGCTATATAGATTTGTGCATTTGTAGAGTAGTGGTTGCTTAGGGCTAGAGATTGGGGGAAATTGGGAAATGGGGAGTGACTGCTAATGGGTATAGGGCTTCTTTTTGGGATGATGAAAATGTCCTGAAGTTGACTGCAGTGATGGCTGCACAACTCTGTGAATTAACTTAAAACCACTGTATTACGGCCAGGTGCGGTGGCTCACGCCTGTAATCCCAGCACTTTGGCAGGCCGAGGCAGGCAGATCACGAGGTCAGGAATTTGAGACCAGCCTGGCCAACACAGTGAATCCCCATTTCTTCTAAAAATACAAAAATTAGCTGGGTGTGGTGGCGGGCGCCTGTAATCCCAGCTACTCAGGAGGCTGAGGCAGGAGAATCGCTTGAAACTGGGAGGCAGAGGTTGCAGTGAGCCAAGATCGTGCCACTGCATTCCAGCCTGGGCAACAGGGCAAGATGCCATCTCAAAACCAAAACAAAACAAAACGAAAACCAACCAAACAAAAAAACCACTGTATTATACACTTTATATCTCAATAAAGCTGCTATATATAAAAAGAAAACAAATGAAAAATACATTAGCCTGAGAAATGATCCTAAGGCTTTATCAGATACATTAAAAAAATATTAAGAACCCTGGCCTGGGCAACATGGCAAAACCCCGTTTCTACAAAAAAGACAAAAATTAGCAGGGGTGGTGGCACACGCCTGTTGTCCCAGCTACTTGGGAGGCTGAGGTGGGAGGGTCACCTGAACCCTGGAAGGTTGAAGCTACAGTGAGCTGTGATGGCACCACTGCATTCCAGCTTGGGTGACAGAAATCCTGTCTCAAAAGAAAAAAAAAAAGGATCCAGGCAATAGGGTAACTCAAGAAACATAAAAAGGCTGTAAAGACTGCAGAGTGGGCTGGGCATGGTGGCTCATGCCTGTAATCCCAGCACTTTGGGAGGCCGACGTGGGTGGATCACCTGAGGTCAGGAGTTCGAGACCCGCCTGGCCAACATGGTGAAAGCTCATCTCTACTAAAAAGTACAAAAATTAGCTGGGTGCAGTGGCTCACACCTGTAATCCCAGCACTTTGGGAGGCTGAGGCGGGTGGATCACCTGAAGTCGGGAGTTCGAAACCAGCCTGACCAACATGGAGAAACCCCGTCTCTACTAAAAATACAAAATTAGCTGGGTATGGTGGCACATGCCTGTAATCCCAGCTACTTGGGAGGCTGAGGCAGGAGAATTGCTTGATCCCAGGAGGCGGAGGTTGCGGTGAGCCAAGATCGCACCACTGCACTCCAGCCTGGGCAACAAGAGCAAAACTCTGTCTCAATCAACCAATCAATCAATCAATCAATAATACAAAAATTAGCTGGGCGTGGTGGTGGGCACCTGTAATCCCAACTACTCGGGAGGCTGAGGCAGGATAATTGCTTGAACCTGGGAGGCGGAGGTTGAGGCTAGCCGAGATCGAATCACTGCACTCCAGCCTGGGTGACAGAGTGAGACTGTCTCAAAAAAGACTGCAGAGTGAGGCAGCTGGACGATAACAACTAGGGAAGTTTTCTAGATGCTTCTGATCTAGAATGTGAGGAAGGAAGGAAATAGTGTAGTAGAAACAAAGGACATTTTGGAAAGGTACGGAGTCAGGGGAAGACATGCAAGGTGTGACCAGTGCACTGAGGGATAAGAGGACATACTTTATAGGGCACACTCTTGTAGAGGACTTTGAAAACTATGCCCAACAATTTAAACCTGATTCACAGGCAGTAGAAAACATGTCAATTCTAAGCCAGTGAATTACATGAACAAGTGGGTTCTAGCAAGATATTGAACACAGCGATCTTATTTAAATGGCATAAAGAGGCTGTGGCAAAGATGCCATCTACATTATTTTACATGCATTGATGATATTGATAATTAATGGCCATAACTTGAAGCTAAGTCAATCTCCCATTTGAGGTGGGTTCCTCAGACTGTAACTTCAAGAGCAGAACAATCTCTTTTCTTCAGTGTTAGCTACTAGGACTTGCCATTTTCTTAGAAATTTCTGAGAACAAATTGTAGAAATATTTAAGTGTATATTAGTAATGAGGCTAATGTTTTACTTAATCCTGTTAATGAATACTGTGGGCTAAATTGGCAAAGTATATATTATATGAAACCTTTGAGAAACAGTGGATTCCAGTAATGCATACAGAACTGGAATGTCATTTCCACAAGGGGTTTAAAAACAGCTATAGGGCCGGGAGCCATGGCTCACGCCTGTAATCCCAGCACTTTGGGAGGCTGAGGTGGGTGGATCACTTGAGGTCAGGAGTTCGAGACCAGCCTAGCCAACATGGCAAAACCCCATCTCTACTAAAAATACAAAAATTAGCTGGGCATTGTGGCGCATGCCTGTAATCCCAGGTATTTGGGAGGCTGAGGCAGGAGAATCGCTTGAACCCAGGAGGCAGAGGTTGCAGTGAGCCAAGATTACGCCACTGCACTCCAGCCTGGGCAACAGAGCAAGACTCCATCTCAAACAAAACAAAACAGATATGGTATAATAAATATATCTGGTGTTGGTCTTTGTGGTTCCAGGCACAGAGTTCCAAAAACCTTAAGAATTTCCTCAGCAGGCTGGGCGCGGTGGCTCACACATATAATCCCAGCACTTTGGGAGGCCGAGGCAGGTGGATCACCTGAGGTCAGGAGTCTGAGACCAGCCTGGCCAATGTGGTGAAACCCTGTCTCTACTAAAAATATAAAAATTAGTTGTGTGTGGTGGCATGCACCCTTAATCCCAGCTACTAGGGAGGCTGAGGCAGGTGAATCACTTGAACCCGGAAGGCGGAGGTTGCAATGAGTCGAGATTGTGCCACTGCACTCCAACCTGGGTGATGAAGCAAGACTCTGTATCTTTTGTTATTCATAATGAACTCCCTCAGGACCACACTGAATTTAATGAGATGACCTGGGGTGGGGCCAACACTAGTAAGGGCAAACCGATTGGAACTTTCAGCTTCACCCACCAATGTCCTGAATAGAAATGCAGATTATGTTGTATGAAAACTATTTTCTTCTTCTCCTTTTAAAATTAATTTTCCCATGAGTCTGTGTCCTAGCTGTATAAAAACTCTTGAGGCTGGGAACGGTGACTTATGCATGTAATTCCAGCACTTTGGGAGGCCGAGGCAAGAGGATCACTTGAGCCCAGGAGTTTGAGACCAGTCTGGGCAACAAAGTGAGACCCTGTCTCTACAAAAAATAAACAAAAATTAGCTGGGTATGGTGGCATGTGTCTGTAGTCCCAGCTACTTGGGAGGCTGAGGTGAGAGGATTGCTTGAGCCTAGGAGTTTGAGCCTGCAGTGTGCTATGGGCGCACCACTGTGCGCTAGTCGGGATGACAGAACAAGAGCTTGTCTCAAAACTAAAAAAAACCCCTTGATGAGCTTCCAGGTTGGTGAACACATCCGTGTGCTAGGAGGACACTGCACTGAGCTCCTCAGGGTCAAAGCTCCTGAGCGTGAGATCCTCTGAACCCCACTCTAATTACTTCTTCAGCTGGCTGTTAATCTGTATCCTTCATAACAAACACATAAATGTAAGTAAAGTGTTTCCCTGAGTTCTGTGAGCCATTCTAGGAAATTATTGAACTGGAGATAGGGCTACCCTGATTTACAGCCTGTAGGGCAGAAACACGGAGGGCCAGATTCACAACTGGCATCTGAAGTGGGGGGCAGTCTTCTGGGACCGAACCCTTAACTTGTGGGATCTGACACCAACTCCAAGTAGACAGTGTCAGAATTGAATTGTAGGACACCCAGCTGTTTTTGAATTGGTCAGTGTTGGCAAAAACCCCGCACATTTGGTGTCAGAAGCGTTCTGTTTAAGTACACAAAACCAGTGTGTTTTCATCAGAACAGGAGACATCTTCATGTATGTTAGCTTTCTCAACTCTACCATGGGGGTGATGACAACTCAGCCACTGACTGTTCTTCAGAGATCATGAGAATGGAAAAGTTGAACACATTTGTTCCTTAGAAGAAGAAGAAGGCGCTAAATGTTAACACTAGCAAGTTTTAAGTCTAATTTTCCAAATGACAAAGATAATCAAATTAAAACAATCCATAAATGAACAATGTAGAAATCTGAATCTGACATAATCCATATTTTCCAATAACCATTACTGATAGTTTGATGCAGCAAGTTTTGAAAAAACCTTTACTTTTTTTTCTTGCTACATTGCCCTGGCTGGTCTCACACTCCTGGCCTCAAGCAATCCTGCTTTGGCCTCCCAAAGTGCTGGGATTACTGTCGTGAAGCAATGCGCCCAGCCAACCTTCACTTTTATCTTCTTTGCTATCATAAACTTTTACAACATACTTACTTGTTCGTTTGTAAAATTGGAAAGACTGTGTTTCCCACACCACAGCCAACCTGCAGACAGAAATGAACTATTAATCACAGAACTTTCCAGAGTTAATTCCCTAAAGCTAGAAAAGCTAGAAAAATAATAATCAACAAGAATCTGGCCTAACTGTATTAGGGAAGGTGTAGTGACCAGAGCTAAACAGTACTCATGACATTTGTTGATTTTGATGTTGACTTCAGGAACCCTTAAAAGACAAGAGCACGGGTTTTTATTAGCAGAAACGAGGTGGTCTAGAAAAAAGGGCAAGGATTGCTTTTATCTTTTGAGTTCTAGCAAATGGTCCTGTAGATGAAGTATTTTCTTACTGAGCTTATATTATTATTGTGAAAATATTTGTAATAGACTGTGCTGAAAAATGTATGAAAAGGGGACCCTGACAACCTTGTCCTAAACACAGTGCTGCGTGGTAATGAAGACAGCAACTATTTATTAAGGGCTTAACTATGTGCCAGATACTGTTCTTAGCCCTTTTACATACATTATCTCCATCCTCATAACTATAAAGTGCAGAGGCAGCAGTCTCACTGCTCAGAGAGGGTAAGGAAATTGTCTAAGATCACACCATAGGACTCAATCCCAAGGCTGACCAGTTCCAGAACCAGCTTCCAGTAACGTGCGCAGTCCCCATTTATGAATTTACATTATACCAATCTAGACATTTTTCCAGGTCTAGACTCTGCAACACCATCCAAATGCAGAGGAAGAGAATTATCCCAGGCCTAAGAAACAGGCACCATCCTAACTACCCTCTCCATTCCTGTAACTGTATTAGAAGAGAAGCAACAATTTCTTCTGATCTGGGACTTTTTTCCAGAGTTATAGCATGATCATGTTGAGCTCCTTCACCTGTATGATGCAGTGGCATGTGACAGGTACAGCATGATGCCATTAATACAATTTTTGGAAGTGACATGCTATTCTCGTGTGATCTTTGTCCGTCATGACTACCAGATATCTGGTCTGCATTGAGGGCATTTTATCAGTTCAAAAATGGAGGTGATTCCAGGCTAATATAAGGGTCAAGTCTAGTCAGCATCATCCAATAGAAGTTACTTTTGTTGTCAGCCTCTCTATGCTACCTCATGTGCACAAATATAATAGCTTCACATATCCCACTACCAAGACAATAAAAGGTTACCTCCAGTATTCGGTAGGTGGCTGAGGATCCAGGAAACTCATCAGCACAAATTTCCAGGTCACTAATTTTCTGAGTTACATTCTCCTCCACAGGAAGTGTCTGTGTTTTATGTTCAAGGCTCTTTGAAGAACACTTGTGCTGTTCTTCCATTATTAAACCAGGTCCATCCTCATTGTTTCTACATTCAGGTACTTCACTCTTGTTCTCCAAGAACCAGTCCTTCAAATGATTTTGATTTTGGCTAGGTGCCAGCTCAGGGAATTCGGTAAAAAGCCAATGTCTATCCTTGAAAAACCCATTTTCGTGGATTTTGTAGAAGTCATTCCAGTATTTGTGGGCATTGATCTCATAATCAACTGTAAATATTTAAGAAAAAATTTTAAGAACCAGCTCTCAAATGTTTTATTTATATCTAATATCAATTATCCTGCTTTACCAAATGTCACTTTAATACTAAAAGTATCCTCAGGTAGAGCCACAGTCCCAGAACTGAAGGCATTTCTGAGGTCATTTAGTCCTGCCATCTGGCATTATACCCTAATGCCCCTATCCGTCATTATAGGAGAGTCTAAATTCTGTTTGAACAATCAACCAGAGAACTTACTATCTATCAAGTGTCCTCCTACATCTTTGGATGCCTTTTTTTTTTTTTTTGAGACAGAGTCTCGCTCTGTCACCCAGGCTGGAGTGCAGGGGCGCAATCTTGGCTCACTGCAAGCTCCACCTCCCGGGTTCATGCCATTCTCCTGCCTCATCCTACTGAGTAGCTGGGACTACAGGCGCCTGCCACCACGCCCGGCTAATTTTTTGTATTTTTTAGTACAGACGGGGTTTCACCGTGTTAGCCAGGATGGTCTCGATCTCCTGACCTCGTGATCCACCCGCCTCGGCCTCCCAAAGTGCTGGGATTACAGGCATGAGTCATCGCGCCCAGCCAGATGACTTTTAACTATTAAAAAATCCTAGAAGTAGCCAGGTGCAGTGGCTCATGCCTGTAATCCCAGCACTTTGGGAGGCTGAGGTGGGCGGATCACGAGGTCAGGAGATCGAGACCATCCTGGCCAGCACGGTGAAACCCCGTCTGTACTAAAATACAAAAAATTAGCCAGGCGTGGTGGTGCACACCTGTAGTCCCAGCTACTAGGGAGGCTGAGGCAGGGGAATCGCTTGAACCAGGGAGGAGGAGATTGCAGCGAGCTGAGATCGTGCCACTGCACTCCAGCCTGGTGACAGAGCGAGACTCCATCTCCAAAAAAAAAAAAAAAGTATGGACAGTTTAAATGAAGGCTGTTTTTAAGGTGATCATGACAGTCCCAGATTTCAGTTTACTGCTCTTGCCAATTCAGGGGGCCTTGACTAGTGTAGTAGAAAGAATAAAAACCTAACAAATTGAGCAGGACAGTGACAATGGAAGTTGGAATCCACTAAGAAGTGTGTTAACAACTCACAACTCACCTGCTGAATCAACCAAGACTCCCTAAGAAACAGGATTTTAGTTCCACTACTGCTACTACTGACTGCTTACCTCTGGGAAAAGCACTTAATGTCCTGTGGTCCAAGTGTCTTTAACTATAAAAAGAGAATATTGAACCACATGATTTTCAAAATCCCTTTCAACTATTAACTTGCTTTGATCTAGTTGCTGTCAAAATATGCAGGGTGAATGTTTTGTAACTGGAATCTTTTTGTTGTACAGAACTCTTTCAGCGGGTACTAAATTTGTAGTCCTATCTTCAATTGTCTGGAACAATCAGTCCTAGTTTTACTATCTAGGGATATTTTGCAGTGAAATCATCCACCTCTCAAGCAGGGGCCTCCTTTTCTTTGGCCAGACTTATCTCCACTCTGCTGCATCCACCTTTCCTTGACTAAAGCCCTAAATTCTCATAACCATCACACAAGTAATAGACACACAGTCACCAGTCACTAGCCCCCCTCCCAACAATATTTAGAATCTAATCACTTCAATGAAGCTTCAATGGAAAACATCTCCTCATGGAAAATGCAAATCAAGTAAAAAGTACAGGTTCTAAGATGATCGCGTGACCACACAGTTGTCATTGGCTAGCCATATCAACGTGGATCTACTAAACATAATTAAAGACAACATTACCCTCCTCCAAAGTAAAACTATATATAAAAAAACCCTCTACGACTTAAGATTTTGTTACAATGCAGCCCTTTTCTCTCCTTGCTCATCCCCTCCCTGTCCCGCTCTACTCCTGAGATCTGCATCAGGCCAGGAATAAAGGATCTGGGCGGCCGCGGTTCCCTGGCCTCTCCGGGAGGGCGCGTTCGGCAGTACGCTGGCTGTTGATACCAATGAGAGCCCATTTAAGCGCACCTTGTTTCTCCTGGCACACCCGCTGGATACTGTTCTCCTGGACTTTTCTCTCCGCCGCCGCGGCTTGCTCTTCCGACCACTCCACATTGTCCCTGAGAAAATCAAACGGGCAGCTTAGGGGCCTCACGTCCTGGCTGCGGGCAGGGTGAGTCGCTGGCCTAGGAGTTTCTCTCCCCTTGGAGAGTGCCTCGGGTAGGGCAGCTTGACTCGTGGCCGGCGGTCAGGGGCTTTTCGGAGTGCTCCGAGGCGGCGGGACAGAGGGTCAGCGACAGGCCGGGCGAAGGGGCAGAGTGATTACCAGGCATTGTGGTGGAAGACGCGCGCCGGATCTCTCAGGAACCGGCTTCCGAACTGCTGCCTCTTATCGGCGAGGACTGCAGGTGCACCTTCAGGGTAGGAGCCGGCCATGACACCGGAGCCGGAAACACTTTACTTTCCGTAACGTGAGAACTTCCTGCGGACCACGCCCTCTTTCAGAAGACGCGGAGTCTGGGCGGGAAAAAGGGTGGCGGGACAGGGCGGCACTGGAGTCTGGTCCGGGTGGCGCTCGGGAGCTGTCGTTTGGGGCTGTCCCAGGGTTGGCGAAGGGCTCTCTAGGAGAGGGGACCAGGCAGGGGGAAATTCTCCCCGGAGGAGTCGTTTCTCATTGATGAGGTGCTGATGGACGTGCAGGTTAGGCAGAAAGTGGGAGACATTCCACTTGAGACCCAGTTCAATGCTGGGATCCTCTTAACAGGTTCCCCAGCTTCCCTCAAGTTATAAAACAGGAAAAATCTTGAATCATTATAAGAGTTGAGGCTACCTAGTTCCACTGCGGAGCCGATGTCCAGAACTGAAGAAGGTAGCAAGCAGCGGGAAGAAACAGGGCAATTTCCAGCTTCTATATTCAGCTCTTAATAGTGTGGGTGTATATGTATACACAGTGTGTATATATATTTTGGTTGGGGTAGGGGGAGATGGAGATATGAAATTAGAGAACACGAGGCTTAGCAAATCAAATGGAATATCCAAGGACAATTTTTTTTTAAATTATAACCATCTAACCTTTTTGAATCATGCATATTTATTATAATTATCCTTATTAGCACAATTAAGATTGTAATACACACATACAAACAGTTTGTCATAGTAATACATTTCAGCCTTACATTTCTATTTCTAGATCTAACACAAATAGACTCTCAAAAGAATCTAGAAGAAAGTATGTTATAGACATAAGGTTATTTGAGAAGACTTCCAAGAGAAGCATGATGAATACCACTTGGAAAAGAAGGAAAGGGCAGAGACCAAACAAGGACCAGCCCAATACCTCTTGGACTTTATTTAATGTCATAATGTCAGAATAAAGGGAAAGATGAATTTTTTTAAAAAAGGAAAGGGTTAGTGCAGTGCTAGACATAGCACATGGGTAATTAGTACTTTTTTTTTTTTTTGAGACGGAGTCTTGCTCTGTTTCCCAGGCTAGAGTGCAGTAGCCGGATCTCAGCTCGTTATAACCTCCATGTTCTGGGCTCAGGTGGTTCTCCTGCCTCAGCCTCCTGAGTAGCCGGGATTACAGGTGCGCGCTACCACACTCAGCTAATTTTTGTATTTTTAGTAGAGATGGGGTTTCACCATGTTGCCTGGGCTGGTCCCAAACTCCTGACCTCAAATGATCTGCCCGCCTCGGTCTCCCAAAGTGTTGGGATTACAGGCGTGAGCCACCGCGCCCAGCCAGTAATTGTTTATTCCATTGTAAATTCTTTCTGTAGGTAAAACTACGGGGAGCAATGAATGATTCTATACTTTTTCCTCCAAAGAAATGGGAACAAGCTCTAAGCCTCTCTAATCAGGAAGAAAAATACACAAGTTAATAAAAAAAATAGTAAATAAGTTGTACTTCATTTGAAGACAATATGCTTTTGCCATTCTTGTGGTCTTCGGAAACATTTTGAACACAAGCTCCATACCCAGAAACAAGTACAAGGAATTTTTATCTTTTCTCAAGGCCAGCTGTTTGCAGATATGGTGGTTGATTTACATTTATTTCTGGCATCTTGTTTTCTCATCTATGGGCTTTTATTCTCCCCTCACTAAAAGCTGTTAGTGTTCCCAATCAACAGTCCCACTGCATATTTTCTTGCAGACAGCTCATTGTCTTCACTCTAATTTACTATATTAGTTCCAGTGGAGACATTTTAAATGTCAAACAGCTTTGGCCTTTTTTCTGTGAAATGTGCTAAAGTATCCTAAACTTAACTTTATTTTTTATTTTTATTTATTTATTTTTGAGACGGAGTCTCGCACTGTCTACCAGGCTGGAGTGTAGTGGCGTGATCTCGGCTCACTGCAAGCTCCCTATTTCACGGGTTCACGCCATTCTCCTGCCTCAGCCTCCCGAGTAGCTGGGACTACAGGCGCCCGCCACCATGCCCGGCTAATTTTTTGTGTTTTTAGTAGAGACAGGGTTTCACCGTGTTAGCCAGGATGGTCTCGATCTCCTGACCTCATGATCCACCCACCTCGGCCTCCCAAAGTGCTGGGATTACAGGAGTGAGCCACCGCCCCTGGCCTAAACTTAATTTTATACAATTATATTTGATTGGCCTGTAAAACCTATTTTTCGAAGCACCTAAAATAATTTTTCATAAGTTTGACATGGCTGTGAGTTCTCTGGTGTCAGACTTTATACTGGATTGTAGCTTCAGAAACGCCACGTTTCAGAGGAACTAAGGGTCCCTCTGGTGGTAAGTAAGGAGAACTCTTCTAGCTCAGTGGGTGGCATGGGTTTAACGCTTGTAAAGGTTAAAAACTCTCATTCTGGATTATTGCTTTAGGTTGTTAGCCAAGGACAAGGGTAGTTAATTGTGTTTTTTTGTTTTTTGTTTTTTTTTTGAGACGAAGCTCTGTCGCCCAGGCTGGAGTGCAGTGGCATGATCTCGGTTCACTGCAAGCTCCACCTCCCGGGCTCAAGCCAGTCTCCTGCTTCAGCCTCCTGAGTAGCTGAGATTACAGGCCATCGCCACCACACCCAGCTAATTTTTGCATTTTAGTAGAGACGGGTTTCACAATGTTGGCCAGGCTGATATTGAACTCCTGACCTCAAATGATCCGTCTGCCTCAGCCTCCCAAAGTGCTGGGATTACAGGCGTTAGCCACCGCACCCGGCCTTTCTTCTCCTTTTTTTCTTTGAGATAGGGCATCACTCTGTCACGCAGGCTGGAGTACAGTGGCACGATCACAGCTCACTGCAACCTCTGCCTCCCAGGCTCAAGTGATTCTCCCACATCAGCCAACAGAGAAGCTGGGACTAGAGGTTTGTGCCACCATACCCCAATAATTTTTGCATTTTTTGTGGAGACAGTGTTTTGCCATGATGCCCAGGCTGGCCTCGAACTCCTGGTCTTGAGCAATCCGTCTGCCTCGGCCTCCCCCAAGTGCTGGGATTACAGACATGAGCCACTGCACCTGGCCTGTGTTTTCTTATTGCAAAATAGATTTTTTATTATAGAACATTTAGAAGATATCGATAAAACAAAAGAAAATACTTCTTCCCACCATTAATTTGACTCATTAACGCTTTGGCTTATATCATCCCAGTTCTTTCTTTCTAATTTAGTTATGTAAGTGACTTTACATTAAAATAGTTTCAGAACAAAATGCTTTGTGCTTTTTTTTTTAAACAATTACATTCATCTGGCTGGGCGCAGTGGCTCACACCTGTAATCCCAGCACTTTGGGAGACCAAGGTGGGTGGATCACGAGGTCAGGAGTTTGAGACCAGCCAGACCAAGATGGTGAAACCCCCGTCTCTACTAAAAATACAAAAATTAGGCTGGGTGTGGTGGCTCACGTCTGTAATCCCAGCACTTTGGGAGGCCGAGGTGGGCGGATCACGAGGTCAGGAGATCGAGACCATCCTGGCCAACATGGTGAAACCCCATCTCTACTAAAATACAAAAAATTAGCCAGGGGTGGTGGTACACGCCTGTAGTCCCAGCTACTTAGGAGGCTGAGGCAGGAGAATCACTTGAACCTGGGTGTTGGAGGTTGTAGTGAGCCGAGATTGTGTCACTGCACTTCAGCTTGGGCGACAGAGCGAGACTCCTTCTCACACACAAAAAAAATAAATAATAAATAAATAAATAATAAATAAATAAAATTAGCCGGGCACAGTGGTGGGTGCCTGTAATCCCAGCTACTCGGGAGGCTGAGACAGGAGAATCGCTTGAACTCAGGAGGCGGAGGTTGCAGTGGGCTGAGATCGTGCCACTGCAGGCCAGCCTGGCAACAGAGCAAGACTCCGTCTCAAACAACAACAACAACAACAACAAGAAAACCCAATTACATTCATCCATTTTAAGTGTACAGTTCAATACATTTTCATAAAAATCTGTATTTGTGTAATCAGTGTCACAATCTAGTTTTAGAACAACGCCTTGAAGTTCTCCCATGCCACTTAGCAGTTGTAGTCTGCTTTTTAACTTAATAATAACTTGGGGACATTATTCTTTTGTTCGAAATATTCTTTTACAACATCACTTAATGTCCTTCTGGTATTGTTTCGTATAGCTATATCATGCTTTATTGGACATTTAGGTCACTTTAAGTTTCATACTATTAAAAATTTAACGGCTGGGTGCAGTGGCTCACACCTGTAATCCCAGCACTTTGGGAGGCCGAGGCAGGTGGATCACGACGTCAGGAGTTCAAGACCATCCTGGTCAGCATGATGAAACCCCGTCTCTACTAAAAATACAAAAATTAGCCAGGTATGGTGGTACGCACCTGTAGTCCCAGGTACTCGGGAGGGTGAGGCAGAAGAATGGCTTGAACCCTAGAGGCGGAGGTTGCAGTGAGCTGAGATCACGCCACTGCACTCCAGCCTGGGTGACAGAGTGAGACTCTGTCTCAAAAAAAAAAAGAAAGAAAAAAAAACAGAAAAAAATTCAACATGGTGTACATCTTTGTAATGAAATAATTTTGTACATTCATGATTATTTCTTTATGATTAATTTCTAGGAGAGGAATTGCTGAGTCAATGGTTATAATTAGCTCCATCACTAAGCTCTGTGAGGTTAAGTCATTTTACTTGTTTGTTAACTGTTATATGTCCAGGTCCTAGAACTAGGTCTGGCAAACAGTATGCAACTCAGTAGATAATTGATGAATGAATGGATGGGTGAGTACCCTCTTGCTATACCATATTTCAGCACAGAGATGCCAATTTACACTGTCATCAACAGTGTGTGACAATTCAATAGAAAGAATGTATTGCTGTACATTTTAGATTTTCCAGGACAGATCCTATTAAAAATATTCTGCCCTGTTATCTCACTGATGCAAAGAAATATTCCAGGAATTGTAACATTTTGGCATCCAAATTATATCTCCTAGATTCCCTGTTATACCCACAGCCATATGAAAAGTCTCTTGTCAAGTCATAAATCTTGTTTTTAGCTAGAAAATATGGCTGCTTATCTACCTATAAGGTTAGTTCTTCTCTCCAACATTGTATCTTTATAAATAATAGCAGGTATATTTAGACTCTTTTGACTATTCATGTTAACACTCACAAAATTACCTCAAGGCCATTTCAATAAACAGTTTTGGGGGCACTATCTTCATTGCTTTTTCCTGGCATTTTATAATTTTACAGCGGGGCACAGTGACTCATGCCTGTTATCCCGGCACTTTGGGAGGCTGAGGTTGGCAAATCATCTGAGTTCAGGAGTTTGAGACTAGCCTGGGCAACATGGCGAAACCCCATCTCTACTAAAAATACAAAAATTAGCTGGGTGTGGTGGCACGCACCTGTAATCCCAGCTACTTGGGAGGCTGAGGCAGGTGAAACGCTTGAGCCTGGGGAGGTGGAGGTTGCAGCGAGCTGAGATCACGTTGCTGCACTGCAGCCTGGGCAACAGAGTGAGACTCTGCCTCAATTTTTTTTTTTTTTTTGACATTATGAGGCATTGTCCCCATCAATATTGGACATATCTTTTCCTTTTTCTGGGTCAAAATTTTTCTAGAATAGTGATTTAAAAAGCATTTGTTCTATATGTTGAGTGTGATGGACTGGTTTGCACCCACACACCAGCAAACCAGCTTCTCGGACAACATTTACAAATAGTTGATCTCATCCCTTATATTTTTTTTCATCCCTTACATTTTTAGATCAGAATTGGCACAAGAAATAAAACATTTTGCCATCCTGACAGTAGATCAGAAGGTTAATATAGATTTAGTCTTGGTACATCCAGATTTCCTGAGTCCAAAAGTGGTCTGTCTCTCTGTGGGCAACCCTTGAGAACCACAGAAAAATACCCCAGTGGGACTGGGCACAGTAGCTCATACTTGTAATAACAACACTTTGGGAGGCTGAGGTGGGAGGATCACTTCAGCCCAGGAGTTTGAGACCAGCCTGAGCAACATAGGGAGTCCGCGTCTCTATAAAAATAAAAAAAATTAGCTGGGCATGGTGGTGTGCCCCTGTAGTTCCAGCTACGTGAGAGGCTGAGGTGGGAGGATTGCTTGAGCCCAGGAGGTTGAGGCTGCAGCGAGCCATGATTTTGTCACTGCATACCAGCCTGGGTGACAGAGTGAAACCCTGTCTCTAAACAAACACACACACACACACACACACACACACAAAACAAAACAAACCAAAACAAAAAACCCAGTAATGGATGATACACACTTAAACATGATTGAAAGGGCAAATTTTATGTAATGTGTATTTTACCATAATAAAAAATTATAATCCCCCAAACTTGTAATATAGTTATATATGTGCTTCTTTATCAAATGCATTAAAGAACAGCAACAATAAATACAATGGATGTGATCAGCTATTCATTTTGTTTGTTTGTTTTGTTTTGAGACAGAATCTTGCTCTGTCACCCAGGATGGAGTGCAGTGGCATAATCGCAGTTTATACTCACCATAAACTCACTGCAACCTCGACCTCCCAGGTTCAAGCAATTCTCCCGCTTCAGCCTCCAGAGTAGCTGGGATTATGGGCGTGTGCCACCACGCCCGACTAATTTTTGTATTTTTAGTAGAGACAGGGTTTCACCATGTCGACCAGGCTGGCCTTGAACTCCTGACCTCAGGTGATCCGCCCGCCTCAGCCTCCCGAAGTGCTGGGATTACAGGCATGAGCCATCGCATCTGGCTGTGTTCAGCTATTTGTAAGAGCAATCTAAGTGTGCAGCTGTGTAGCTAAGGAGCCTTGGGAATACCCAAATTTAATCAAGGTTCATTTAGGGCTTGCTGATCCTATTCCCTGAAACTGAAAGGTCATCCTCAGCTGCTGTCTCTAGTCTCTTTCACAAACAATTGAAAACCTAACCCAGTTTACACTCACCATAAACTCAGAGGTTTATTGCTTGGAGGGCCCTTAGCTCAGGCCAACTTTTCTCCTTCCTGATGAGGCTTAGGCAGTCTTAAGCCAGGTAGGGGCAGCAGAGTGCAGCTGGTTGCTAGGGAACTAACAGCCCAGCATCTATTTACTAGTAAAGATTTAGGAAAGGGGGCCGGGTGCGGTGGCTCACGCCTGTAATCCCAGCACTTTGGGAGGCCGAGGCGGGTGGATCACGAGGTCAGGAGATCGTAGACCATCCTGACCAACATGGTGATAACCCCATCTCTATTAAAAATACAAAAATTAGCTGGGTGTGGTGGTGGGTGCCTGTAATCCCAGCTACTCGGGAGGCTCAGCCAGGAAAATGGCTTGAACCCAGGAGGTGGAGGTTACAGTAAACCAACATCATGCCACTGCACTCCAGCCTGGTGACAGAGGAAGACTCTGTCTCAAAAAAAAAAAAAAAAAGATTTAGGAAAGGGAAACCATTTTATGACTTAAACTTTTTTACTGGTCAGAATCCAAAAGATGTCAAAATTTCCAGCTTCTAAGAATGTACTTAGACAAAAGCAAGAAACAATAATTTTGATAACTATGAAAAAGTAGTTTGTGATGAGCTGTTTAGAAAATGTAGAAATTTCATTGTTGAAATCCCTTTAAACCTTTCCGTTTTCTTTTTCTTCCTGAGTCTGTGTAACATTCACTGGTATCTGATGAGGAAGAGGATCTGGAGTTATGGGAGGAATTTCTATTCACATAGGCATCATATAACCTTAAGTCCTTAGGAGAAAGTAATTCTTGGCAAACATTCCAGGACCATGTATAAGTAGAAAAGGTGTCATAAAAGGACTCATTTCTAGAGTCCATCCCAATCAAATCCCCTCGGATCTTCTGCCAGAGGTTTAGCATCTCTTTTCGGTGTTCAAGGGCAATTCCTAAATTATAGGTATCAGTAGCTCTCTTCACCTGCAGTGAGAGACCAGAAGTTTATTGTAGTTACCTTAAAGTAGCTTTGATTTGTGGACCACAATGATAGATACCCCAAGAGTTATGTCCCTGGGCTACTCGAAAGTCACTGAATCTATACATTAGGTGGTGCCTCGTGAGGACGTGTGAGCTAGGAGGTGATGGACAATCAAAATGTACTGCTTGGGAATAATGAGGTAATAAGAAATTTTATAAGGATATGAAAAATACAATGGACTAAAATAGACTGAAGTATGGTATGGAGATAGGCTAGGGATATAACAGGAGGGCCAATTCAGCCACTCAGTTCAGCCTAGGATAGGGAGAACTGACTGGGAGAAGATGCTGAGCTGAGTAGGTCCTCAAGGATGTGATCAAATTGACGGAGTAAGTGGTGAGGGGAAGGTGTTCCAGGGAGAGGGGACAGCACAAACAGAGACCCCAAGGCAGTAAATATCCTGGAGGTGTGGCAGGAGGGTTCAGGCACTTGGTATTGCTGGAGTGTCAAGTTTAAAGTGGGAGGAATAAATAATGACAAAGGACAGGCAGGCCCTTACACTTAATCTTATAAGTCAGTAATCTCTGTGAGGCTAGCAAAAGCCTATTCCTCAGTGAAAATCATGCTGTAGTGACCCACTGTTTCTAATGAAAGTGAAATAAATCCCTTAAGCAGAAAATAGAGTTGAAATTGCCATCATTGAGAGGGACATGTTCACTTTTAAGCAGTACAGTGCCATGGTTGGCTCTTCATGTTGGATCATTAGCAGCTGTGTGGAGAATGGTTGGAGGATACCAGGTTGGAGACTGCCTCATCTAAGGCAGTGGTAATGGGGATGGAGTGAAGGGGACAGATTTGAAAAATGTGGTTTTTTTGTTTTTTTTTGTTTTTTTTTGTTTTTGAGACGGAGTCTTGCCCTGTTGCCTAACCTGGACTGCAGTAGTACGATCTTGGCTCATCACAACCTCTGCCTCCTGGGTTGAAGGGATTCTCCTGCCTCAGCCTCCCGAGTAGCTGGGATTACAGGCGCCCACGACCATGCCCAGCTAATTTTTGTATTTTTAGTAGAGACGGGGTTTCACCATGTTGGCCAGGCTGGTCTCAAACTCCTGACCTCAGGTGATTCGCCTGCCTTAGCTTCCCAAAGTGCTAGGATTACAGGTGTGAGCCACCATGCCCAGCCCTGAAAAACCTTTTAGAGAATGACAATCAGCCAGACCTGGGGATTAGCAGATGTGAGGAATGAGGAAAAAACCCGAGTTAAGGATAGCTCCTGGCTTTCTAGCTTCAGTGACTGAGTAGATGCTATCAACTGAGACACATGCAATATACTCTCATAACAAACCTGCACATGTACCCCGTGGATCTAAAATAAAAGTTGACCTTATTTAAACACACACACACACACACACACACACACAAAACAAACAAACAAACACCTGAGATACAGAATTCCCAGGGGAGAACCAGTTGGCTGCAGAAGATGATGAGTTTTGTTTTGGACATGTTGAGTTTGTTATGTTATGAGACCCAGCGTAGAGGTAGAAATAGTCATCAGGTGGTCAGTGAGATAGGACAGACATAGAGGAAAGAAGTTAGGTTAGTGACAACTTTAACAGTAATCAGTACATAGGTGGCAGCTGAACCAAGGAGGATAGATTGAGATAGCCCAAAGAATACTTGCCCTAGCTGTTCTTTACCTAATGCCAAGATTTCCAATGTATTAATATCAAACTATTGATCTTCTCAAGCTTCTTAGCCCTGGTGCAGCTGGTGTCCCAGGGCTAGAGGCCTCAGGACGTAAGATTCTTTCACCATGAATCTCTGAGTACACTACTCACTGTGACTGTTGGTTAACTACCTTAATTAGTTTGATATTTCTGGAATAACACAAATGAATGTCCCAGAAATAACAGTGAGTATAGCTGCATAGGTGAATAGCAGGATGAATCATAACACTTAACATTTGAATCCATTTGATTATAGAGAAAGAAATGGTGTTATTACAATGGGTAAACATGAGAAACAACCTTGTCTCATTTTAAAGACATAGAGCAGATAAAAATTCTCTTGGTTTTATGGTGTAGTATTGAAGTGGACAATATTTTTGTCAGTGATTTCTGGGAAGGAACTCAACAAGGAATACTCACATGTTGTTTAATAGCAGTTGCATCGGCCACTGTACAAGTCTGCTTTTTCTTGAGCATTTGATCAATGGTGAAGATGTTATTTGAATAACCTGAGGCAGGGTCCATAGACTTTATATTTGCTGCCTTTATGCATATTTAAAAAAGAAGGTTAGTAATACATTTTAATTTGAATTATACAACAAAAAGACATAATAAATAAGTATATTTTATTATAGAAGGATTTGTATATAATTTATAAGGTTATTGCCAAACCATTTGTTTGTTTGTTTAGACTTTTTTCCGGGTCCCTCAGGAGTGGCATTTGGCATATGTGCAAAAATATCTGTATATCCTAGATGGTGCCCTAGGACTGGAATTGCTAGGTCAAAAGGTGTGAGGTCTGTCCTTTTGGTAATTATTGCCAAATTTCCTCTGTAGAGGGTGAACCAATTTACAAACGTATCTGTAACTTATGAGTATACCCATGTTTTTTCATCTTGATCAATATAATATGAAAAGATAAATATCTGAGGAGAGTTTTAACTTGGATCTTTTATGAGGAATGAGGTTGAATATTTTTTCATGTTTCTGAGAACTGTCTGTTCATACCCTTTGCCCATTTTTATATAGGTTATTTTTTTCTTATGAATTTGAAGTTCTTTGAAGTTAGCCTTCTGTGTTATGAGTGGCAACTGTGATTTTTTTTGGCCATATGGAGATTTTTGATCTTGAAGCAGTGGAATTAATATCTTTTTATTTAAAAATGCATTTGACTTTTGTATCACAGTTAGGGAGGCTTTCCCAGAGTTTATTTCAGTATGTTTAAGGTTTCTTTTCTTTTTCTTTCTCTCTGACCCTCCATTTATTCCTTTTACATTTCATCCATTTGCAATTTGTATATGAAGTGTGAATCTCATTTTTTTCCTCAGATGCCTACTCAGTGCATTATTTGTTGAATAATCTATCATTTTCCTGTTGTGTTGAAATGTCACGTTTTCCTTAAGTTAAAATTCTCCACATAGCTCTATTTATTTTGGGACTTTCTATTTTCTTCCTTGGGTCTGTCTGTTAATATCATACTGTTTTAATAATTGAGACTTTTTTTTTTTTGAGACAGAGTCATGAAAGTGGCTCATGCCTGTGATTCCAGCACTTTGGGAGGCTGAGGAGGGTGGATTGCTTGAGCCCAGGAGTTCAAGACCAGCCAACATGGCGAAACCCCATCTCTACTAAAAATACAAAAACTAGCTGGGCATGGTGGCACGTGTCTGTAGTCCCAGCTACTAGAGAGGCTGAAGTGGGAGGATTGCTTGAGCCTGGGAGGCAGAGGTTGTAGTGAGCTGATATCACATCACTGCACTCCAGCCTGGGTGACAAAGTTGAGACCCTGTCTCAACAACAACAACAAAAAACCCTTGGGGAAAATTTGAAAAAATCACATTAAAGTTATAGACAAGTAAGAAAGAACAACACCCTTATAATGTCAAACATTCTTTTTTTTTTTTTTTTTTTTTGAGACAGAGTCTCGCTGGAGTGCAGTGGTGGGATCTTGGCTCACTGCAACCTTTGCCTCCCGGGTTCAAGTGATTCTCCTGCCTCAGCCTCCCTAGTAGCTGGGATTACAGACACGCGCCACCATGCCTGGCTACATTTTGTATTTTTAGTAGAGATGGGGTTTCACCATGTTGGCCAGGCTGGTCTCGAACTCCTGACCTCAGGTGATCCGCCTGCCTTGGCCTCCAAAAGTGCTGAGATTACAGGTGTAAGCCACCATGCCCGGCCTTGAAAGTGTTTTTATTTACTCTCCCTCTTGAATGATAGCTTAGCTGGAAATACTTTTCTCTCCTCAATCTATAGATATTATTTGATTGTCTTCTGGCCTTTATTTTTGCATGCATGGTCTCCTGTTAGTCTACTTTTTGTTCCTTTGTAAGTTATTTATTTTTTCTGTCTGTCTTCCTCCCTCCCTCCCTTCCTTCCTTCCTTCCTTCCTTCCTTCCTTCCTTCCTTCCTTCCTTCTTTCCTTCCTTCCTTTCTTCCCTCCTTCCTCCCTCCCTCCCTCCCTCCCTCCCTCCATCTCTTTCTCTCTTTCTTTCTTTCTTTCTTTAGAGACAGAGTGTTGCTTGGTGGCCCAGGCTGGAGTGCAGTGGTGCAAATCTCGGCTCACTGCAACCTCTGCCTTCTGGGTTCAAGAGATTCTCTTGCCTCAGCCTCCCAAGTAGCTGGGATTACAGGCATGTGCCATCATGCCTGACTAATTTTTGTATTTAGTACAGATGGGGTTTCATCATGTTGGCCAGGCTGGTCTTGAACTCCTGACCTCAGGCGATCCACCTGCCTTGGCCTCCCAAAGTGCTGGGATTACAGATGTGAGCCACTGTGCTTGGCCTCTGGTTGCTTTTGAAGTGTTTTCTTTGTCTCCATTTTCAACTGCAATGTTTCAAGTTGTATTTTCTTTTATATATGCTGCTCCAGGGTGTTTTCTTCAATTTAAGAATTCATATCTTTTATCAATTTAGAAAAATTCTCAGTCATTCCTAAAAATACTCAGTCATTACTAAACACCTCTCTTTAATAATTTAAAACATGTTTTACAGTCTTTTAAAGATCTGCTATATCAAATTATGATACTCCTCTTGTTTACCTACTGACTTTTTTTGAGAGTAGATTATTTCCTTTTATGGCTTGTAATTTTTGTGAACCTATCTTTAAAAGAGATTTTAAAAGATTTTTGATATAAGCTGTGCAAACCTAGGATATGGATGTGTTTATGTTTGTGTCTGGCAGACCTCCCAAGGTAATACCAATCTAAAACCGGTTTTTAAGGTAATTTTACTGCTTGGAGATTTCATCCAATGTGGAAACTATAAATTCAGATTCTGAATCCATGCATCCTACAATCCTGAGTTTCAAATTCTTCACAGAATACTTTCTTCTCTATTCAGAGCTTTGAGCAGACCAAGCTTGGCTATGGACTGAGTTTCTTACCCCTCCTTTTACTGAGAGGGCAACCCTTACAGATACTGGTTTCAATTCCAGTTGCTTACTTCCAGGGATCCACATCTCCTGACCCTGAATGGGCATCTAAACCCCAATCCCAACTCATCAGGGCCGAGATCTATTGCCACTTGTTAACTTGTGAACTTGTTATTCTGGCTTTAGGTGCTCTCTCTCTCTCTCTCTTGCTTTCTGAAACATGGGGTTTTCCTTTCTTTTGAATACATTTTTGAATGTTTGTCATTTTATTTAGTCCAGTATTCATATATATATTTATATATATATTTTGTAGAGACAGAATTTTACCATGCTGCCTAGGCTGGTCTCGAATTCCTCGGCTCAAGCAATCCACCTTCCTTGGCCTCCTAAAGTGTTGGGGTTACAGGCATGAGCTACCATACCCAGCCCTATCCAATATTTTAACGTGGTCATAGGGAGTCTATGTGTGGGGTCAAGTAGTGTTCATGTAACTCAGTTACTTTCTGAAACTTGAAAGTACCATTTCTTTCTTTTCTTTTTTGTAGAGACGGGGTTTCACCATGTTGCTCAGGTTGGTCTCAAACTCCTGAGCTCAAGTGATCCAGCCACCTCAGCCTCCCAAAGTGCTGGGATTATAGGCATGAGGCACTGTGCCCAGCCTATTTCTTGGTTCTAATGAACATTTATTTTATTTCATTTTGAGATGGAATTTTGCTCTTATTGCCCAGGCTGGAGTGCAATGGTGTGATCTTGGCTCACCACAACCTCTGCCTCCCGGGTTCAAGCGATTCTCCTGCCTCAGCCTCCTGAGTAGCTGGGATTACAGGCATATGCCACCACGCTCAGCTAATTTTGTATTTTTAGTAGAGATGGAGTTTCTCCATGTTGGTCAGGCTGGTCTCGAACTCTCGACCTCAGGTGATCCACCTGCTTTGGCCTCCCAAAGTGCTGGGATTACAGGCATGAGCCACTGCACCCAGCCTCTAATGAACATTTATAAATATACAATTATATTAGATTAGATGTAATATACTACATATGTATATAACTATAAACATATAGTTTAATAGAAATAGCATTAAATGTAGTATATTATAATATTTGTAAATATAGTACATATACAGTAGGTATAGATGTAAATATACATATGTATGCATGTAGTATAATAAATATAAATATGTAGTGTATTAGAGGTAATATACTAGTAAATATGTAATAGATGGTAACGTGTTATGAAAAAAATCAGGAAAGGGGGTAAGGTATTGGGGGTTGTGATTTTATTTGAATACATAAATATATTTATTTGTTCAAAAATTTTTATTTTAAATTTATTTTTAATTAAAAAATTTATTTTTAGAGATGGAGCCTCACTATGTTGCCCGGGCTAGAGTGCAGTGCATTCACAGGCATGATCATAGCATATTATAGCCTTGAACTCCTGGGCTCAAGTGATCCTCTTCCCTCAGCCTCCTAATCAGCTGGGATTAGGGGTATGTACCATTGCACCCAGCTATTTAAATACTTACTTAAAAAATAATTTATTGGCCAAACGTGGTGGCTCATGCCTGTAATCCCAGCACTTTGGGAGGCTGAGGCAGGTGGATCACCTGAGGTCACGAGTTTGAGACCAGCCTGACCAACATGGTGAAACCCCATCTCTACTAAGAATACAAAAATTAGCCAGGTGTGGTGGCGCATGCCTGTGGTCCAGCTATTTGGGAGGCTGAGGCAGGAGAATTGCTTGAACCTGGGAAGTGGAGGTTGTAGTGAGCCAAGATCACGCCACTGTATTCCAGCCTGGGCAACAGAGCAAGACTCTGACTCAAAAAAAAATTATTAAAGTGAAAATTCATGTAACATAAAATGAACCATGTGAAGTGAACAATTCAGTGGCATTTAGTACAATGACAATGTGGGGATTGTTATTTTAATGGGGTTGTTAGAGAGGCCTCCTAAAGTGACATTTGAGACAAGACCTAAAAGAGGTGAGGGGAGAGCTATGATGCAGCTCTCTGAGGAACAACATTAGAGCAGAAGAAATAGCAAAGCCATAGACCATGATGTGAGAGCACGTCTAGTCTGTAAGAGGAAGAGTAAAGAGGTCTTGAGGATGGAGTGGAATGCACTGGATGGTGAGCAGTGGATGATGAGATTGTTGGATAGGCAATGAGAGCCTAGATCAGTGATGGCCTATAACATTTTCCTCAATAATGGAAATTTTCTATATTTCTGTGTCATCCAGTATAGTAGCCATTAGCCACATATGGCTGTTGAGCATTTGCAATGTGACTGGTGTGACTGAGGAACTGAATTTGTAATTTTATTTAATTTTAATTAATTGAAACTTAAACAGCTACTAGTGGCTACAATTATTGGAAGGCTCAGGTTTTGATTGTGTGGGACATTGTAACAAGTTATAAAAATTTTGGTTTTCATTCTGCGTGATATGAAAAGCCATTGGAGGGTTTCAATCTGATTTTAACAGAACCACTTTGGCTGCTGGGTTGAGAATCGATTGAAGGGGACAATAGTAGAAGCAAGGGGACCATTTAGGAAGCTATTGACATTATTTCTGCTGAGATTATTAGAGACAATCTAGCATATAGTATGCTCTCAGGAAATAAAGTATTTGTATTACAGTATTCTTTCTTCCAAAAAATACTGAGTTACCTGTGGGCCAAATTCTATTTTAGATGATAGGGATACCTTAGTGAAAGAAATACAACCCTTGTGTACATGAATGTTATATTCTAGTTGGAGAGATTGACAATAAACAGATAAGCATCTGGGGTGGAGGAGTAGTTGAATGTTGGGACATAAGTTTAAAAGAGGATAAATGTCCTCTTATTTCCATCTTCTCAATGATATTTGCCTGTGGGTGTTACTTCATTTGGTGAAAGATAAAGTCTGAACCTGAGGTCATTTGTGACAGTGATACCCCTCTGGGCCTCTTAAACTCTATGTGGGGAGGGGCCTTCTAGGAATTGTATAGTGATGTGAACAACACATGGACCTCTGGAACCCAGAGCTCCACAGGGTGGGCTGGCCTCCAGTTAAGTTTCCATTCTGTTTCTTAGGCCTAGAGGCCTTACCTGGGGTGAGGCCAGAGCCTCTTGAGAGTTTATCTAGAAACTTGGGCATAGTTGCTGGAGACCTTAAAACTTATGATGACAAAAGTATATCCTGGGAGGGGGGGCAAAAAGACTAGAGTCAACAGAACTTGAAGCAAGGCCAGAAGGTGCAGCTGGGACCATAAATGGGGATCTAGTCGAGGGCAGGATGGCCCCTCCATCACAGCACTGCCCCTTTGGGTTGCGGGCCTGGTCTTCTCATCTCATGGTGTTTGCCCAACCACAATCTAGAGTGGATGGAGCGTGTCCAGAGTGCAGCTTCTGGTCCCTGAGTGGTTGGGGGAGCAGTCAGAGATAGGATTGGAGAAAATTTTATTGTTATTATTCCTATATTCCCCATCCCCAACCCCAAAGCTGTATTTTTTAGTAAGTTTACCTATTTGTTGAAATTAAATGAAATGTTAATACCTGGACTTAAATTTAGGAACATGGTTATGGCATCTGCTTTGAAAATAATGACTAAAACTATTTGTTGTAAAAAGCATGTCATTAGTTCTGTTAAGTTAGTGCTTAAAAATCCAAGTATTTAACTAATGTGACATAATCTAAATCTCACCTGTGTTTTCCAGTCTCTTTTATGGAAAAAATAATCCTCAAAGAAATGCAAAGGCTCCTTTATTCTTAGCATCTCTAATTTCTGCATGTCTTTGAATGGCTTTCCCATCACCACCCCATCCACATTAGGGAACAATGGAAAGATGGGTATTTTTGAATATGGGCTATCTGAACCGGAATTGCATCCTAAAAAGATAAAAACAAAAATGGTATCACAAACAATGTAAGAAGAAGTTCACATAAAAGACCAGCATGTGGTGCCTGTTTTGCTTTGTCTATTCTTCTCAGTGGCCATGGCCCTCATTCTTCACTCTCCTGCTCCCACCCCCCACCCATCCACAGACTCTAGGCTTCATCAGGTGTCTGAGGATTCAGTTACATCTACATTTGCTTTCAAATGACATCTATGTGACAGAGAGTGGTCACTCAGAATAGGCTGCAGTCCTGTTCTTATGCCATTTGGGCTCTAGTACTTCTTTCTGACCAGTCATATACAAATAAATCCTTTACAACAGTAGAGAGAGAACAAATGGCTCTTACTCTTGAGCTCTTCAAGAAATTTAAATAAATCCTTTTCTTTCATTATTGCAATCCGGGCAGCATTAGCAAAGGCAGCCATGCTTGAGCTTGGAGGTGTGCATATGTCTGGCTTAAGTGTCCTTTTTCCATAGCCCATAGTGTAGGGACTCCACAACATTCCTGGGCCAGTATGCTGGAATTTTCTTTGGAAATAGCTTTAAAAAAAAAAGTAATTCAGAAATGGATACAAAGAGACATAGGACAAAAATTTTAAAAAGTCAAGTTGCTAGTTACATATGCTGAAGAAACTTATTTTAAATCTAATTTGCATATTCATTCAATAATATTTGAGTGCCCATTTCTGTGATATTTATAGAATATTTACTGATACCTTCCACAGGCCATTTGACTATTTATATCTGTATTCCTTGGCTTTTGGTCTCCTTTTTTCCCCAAGGCTTCCCAGAGTTTTTGTTTTTGTTTTTTTTAGAGAGAGATGAGGTCTTGTTATGTTGCCAGGCTGGACTGGAACTCCTGGGCTCAAATTCTCCTCCCTCCTCAGCCTCCTGAGTAGCTGGGACTATAGGTACCTGCTATCATGTCCAGCTCTGACCTCCCTGTTTTGTTTAGAAAAATACTTATGAATTATGATCCTTGACAAACACTTAAGTGGTACCAGCTTGAATGCAAACATTAATTATTATTACTTTGTGTTAGGTTTAAAAATGCAACTTTTGTTTTAAATTAAAAGAAATTCTCATTGCAGAGAATTTGGAAAACATAGAAAAGTATAAAAAAGAAAAGAAAATACTACCAGTAAGCTTACGATCTGGAGTAAATCACTATTGATTGCATTTCTTTCCTATCATTTTTTTTGGAGCGTATGTGTATGAACAGACTTAGAAGATGTGTTACTGGGTGTTTTAGGTTATACATTCTTTAAGAATAAGTACAGCTGGCAGGCTGTATGTGATAAAGGACTCTGATCCATAGTATAAACATCTGACTTACAAACATGCATGCCTCGAATATCAGTGACTGTGGTGATCAGCTTCCTCCTTGCTGCCAGAACAGTGGACTTCTCTCTGCAGCTATGGTAGGGATCTGCTTACTGCTGCTGAGGTGGAAGGACTTGCTTCTCACTGCTTTGGCAGTGGAACCTCTCACATCTCAGTGTTCTGGGCAGAAGAGCATCACTTCATGCTGTCTCAGAGGACAAAGTGTAAGACCTTGCTTCTCATTAATACATAGGCTGATTTCTTGCTGTTACAGCAATGGGAGGCTTCACTACTCTCTGGGATGGTGACAGACAACCTTTTCTTTCCTCTCAGGAAGAGGGAAAGGACTCATTCTAAATGTTGGGGCTGAAGCAGTGGTTGGTAGGAAATGTGCCTATGGTGCTCTGATTAGAGTCTGACTTATGATCAGATACTTTCTTCCCTAGCCTTGAACTCAACCATCCACAATGTCATCACTTGCCTGTGAAAATGGCATAATGTAATTTAATTCCCACCAGGTCCTTCAAGACTCAGTTTTTCTTTCCCTCAGAGTATTCTCTATATACTCTATGGCTCTGAATGTGGTCTTCAGCACCACTGGGAAAATACAAATTGTGGGAAATACAAATTCTTGGCCCTGACTACACACCTACTAACTTAGAAATCCTGTAGCCTAGCAATGTGTTTTAACAATCACTCCAGCTGATTCTGACACAGTGCAAGTTTGAGAACTTTTGCTCTAGTCTATAGTTTCCTTTCTTCCTTGAAATTCTAATCTTTGCTTAACAATTTATGTCACATTATATTTTATAACTAATTGTTTCATGTATATTACATACCAAAACTAGTGGCTTGTGTTTGTATTTGCTGTCTTTATTATTATTATTATTATTATTTTTTGAGATGGAATTTTGTTCTTGTTGCCCAGGCTGGAGTGCAATGGCACGATCTTGGCTCACTGCAACCTCCACCTCCTGGGTTCAAACGATTCTCCTGCTTCAGCTTCCCGAATAGCTGGGATTAAAGGCATGCGCCACCATGCCTGGCTAATTTTGTACTTTTAGTAGAGACGGGGTTTCTCCATGTCGGTCAGGCTGGTCTTGAACTCCCAACCTCAAGTGATCCATCCGCCTCGGCCTCCCAAAGTGCTGGGATTACAGGCGTGAGCCACCGCGCCCAGCCTGTTATTTATTGTTATTATTTTAGAGACAGAGTCTCACGGTCTCCCAGGCTGGAGTACAGGGGTGCAAGGCTCACTACAGCCTTGAACTCCTGGACTCAAGCAGTCCTTCTGCCTCTGCCTCCTGAGTAGCTGGGACCACAGGTGCAAGCCACCCTGCCTGGCTAATTTTTAAGTTTTTTGTAGAGAGTTTCCCTACATTGCCCAGGCAGGTCTTGAACTTCTGGGCTCAAGTGATCCTCCTGCTTTGGGCTCCCAAAGCTTTGGGATTACAAGTATTTAACTAATGTGACATAATCTAAATCTCACCTGATTGGCATAGTGCACTATAGCCCAGAGCCCTTGGGGCTGAAGGGATCCTCCTGCCTCAGCCTCCCAAGTAGCTGTAACTACAGGCCTGCACCACCATTCCTGGCTGTGGTAATTTTTTATGACAGCCCTAGGAAACTGACTCACAAAGGGGGAAACTGTTTTAGGCAAATACCAGGAGGTGAGAGAGCATGGAGTATTTGAGGACCCGAGTTAAATGTAATCTAGGGTGTGAGAGGGGAAGTTACAAGAGATGAGGGCTGGGCACAGCTGCTCTCGCCTATAATCCCAGCACTTTGGGAGGCTGATGGGGGTGGATCACTTGAGGTCAGGAGTTCAAGACCAGCTTGAGCAATGTGGTGAAACCCTGTCTTTACAAAAAAATACAAAGATTAGCCAGGCATGGTAGTGCAGGCTTGTAGTCCCAGCTACTCCAGGAAGCTGAAATGAGAGGATTGCTTGAGTTTGGGAGGTAGAGGCTGCAATGAGCCTTGATCGCACCACTGCACTCCAGCACTCTAGCCTGGGAGATAAGAGAGCAAGACTCTGTGGAGAGACAGAGAGAGATATATGAGACTGGAGGTTAAGCAAAGGATATATTATGAAGGACCTTTGAAATGTCACGTTAAGTTAGAACTTTTTCATAGGAAACCTGAGAGGTCACTGTAGGCTTTTTAGAAGGTAAGTGATGTGATGATATGATTAGATTTGTGCTTGGCATTGTAGGCCACTTAAATATTTTCTAATATATTCAGTTATGATCTGGCTGCAGTGTGGAAAGTGGATGGAGATGGCAAATATGGAAACAGAGTGACAAGGCAGGATACTACAGTTAAGTCCAAGAAGATAGTGACTTTCTTACACTAGGGTGTTTCTGTGGGGATAGAGAGAAATGCATTGCTTTCATGTTGAGGAGGTAAGATAGACAGGGCTTAGTGATTGGTTGGATGTAGGGAATGAGAGAGCAGTGACAACTGGGGATTATGCTGCGCCTTTGGCTCAGACAGTTGGGTAAATACACTGAGATGGCAAAACCATGCACTGAGATCTGAAACTCAAGTGGAAGAACTATAGAAGTATGTGTGGACACAGATATACAAACTACCATCAGAGAATACTATAAACACCTCTACGCAAATAAACTAGAAAATCTAGAAGAAATGGATAAATTCCTGGACACATATACCCTCCCAAGACTAAACTAGGAAGAAGTTGAATCCCTGACTAGACCAATAACAGGCTCTGAAATTGAGGCAATAATTAATAGCCTACCAACCAAAAAAAGTCCAGGACCAGATGGATTCACAGCCGAATTCTACCAGAGGTACAAAGAGGAGCTGGTACCATTCTTCTGAAACTATTCCAATCAATAGAAAAAGAGGGAATCCTCCCTAACTCATTTTATGAGGCCAGCATCATCCTGATACCAAAGCCTGGCAGAGACACAACAAAAATAGAGAATTTTAGACCAATATCCCTGATGAACATCGATGCGAAAATCCTCAATAAAATACTGGCAAACCGAATCCAGCAGCACATCAAAAAGCTTATGCACCATGATCAAGTGGGCTTCATCCCTGGGATGCAAGGCTGGTTCAACATATGCAAATCAATAAACATAACCCATCATATAAACAGAACCAAAGACAAAAACCACATGATGATCTCAATAGATGCAGAAAAGGCCTTCGACAAAATTCAACAGCGCTTCATGCTAAAAACTCTCAATAAATTAGGTATTGATGGGACGTATTTCAAAATAATAAGAGCTATTTATGACAAACCCACAGCCAATATCATACTGAATGGGCAAAAACTGGAAGCATTCCCTTTGAAAACTGGCACAAGACAGGGATGCCCTCTCTCACCAATCCTATTCAACATAGTGTTGGAAGTTCTGGCCAGGGCAATCAGGCAGGAGAAGGAAATAAAGGGTATTCAATTAGGAAAAGAGGCAGTCAAATTGTCCCTGTTTGCAGATGATATGATTGCATATTTAGAAAACCCCATCGTCTCAGCCCAAAATCTCCTTAAGCTGATAAGCAACTTCAGCAAAGTCTCAGGATACAAAATCAATATGCAAAAATCACAAGCATTCCTATACACCGATAACAGACAAACAGAGAGCCAAATCATGAGTGTACTCCCATTCACAATTGCTTCAAAGAGAATAAAATACCTAGGAATCCAACTTACAAGGGATGTGAAGGACCTCTTCAAGGATAATTACAAACCACTGCTCAACGAAATAAAAGAAGACACAAACAAATGGAAGAACATTCCATACTCATGGATAGGAAGAATCAATATCGTGAAAATGGCCATATTGCCCAAAGTAATTTATAGATTCAATGCCATCCCCATCAAGCTACCAATGACTTTCTTTACAGAATTGGAAAAAACTACTTTAAAGTTCATGTGGGACCAAAAAAGAGCCCACATTGCCATGACAATCCTAAGCAAAAAGAACAAAGCTGGAGGCATCACGCTACCTGACTTCAAACTATATTACAAGGCTACAGTAACCAAAACAGCATGGTACTGGTACCAAAACAGAGATATAGACAAATGGAACAGAACAGAGTCCTCAGAAATAATACCACACATCTACAACTGTCTGATCTTTGACAAAACTGACAAAAACAAGCAATGGGGAAAGGATTCCCTATTTAATAAATGGTGCTGGGAAAACTGGCTAGCCATATGTAGAAAGCTGAAACTGGATCCCTTCCTTACACCTTATACAAAAATTAATTCAAGAAGGATGAAAGACTTAAATGTCAGACCTAAAACCATAAAAACCCTAGAAGAAAACCTAGGCAATACCATTCAGGACACAGGCATGGGCAAGGACTTCATGTCTAAAACACCAAAAGCAACGGCAACAAAAGCCAAAATTAAGAAATGGGATCTAATTGAACTAAAGAGCTTCTGCACAGCAAAAGAAACTACCACCAGAGTGAACAGGCAACCTACAGTATGGGAGAAAATTTTTGCAATCTACCCATCTGACAAAGGGCTAATATTCAGAATCTACAAAGAACTTAAACAAATTTACAAGAAAAAATCAAACAACCTAATCAAAAAGTGGGTGAAGGATATGAATAGATACTTCTCAAAAGAAGACATTTATGCAGCCAACAGACACATGAAAAAATGCTCATCATCACTGGTCATCAGAGAAATGCAAATCAAAACCACAATGAGATACCATCTCACACCAGTTAGAATGGCAATCATTAAAAAGTCATTAAAATCATTAAAGTCATTAAAAATCATTAAAAACAACAGGTGCTGGAGAGGATGTGGAGAAATAGGAACACTTTTACACTGTGTAAAACTGTAGTTTTACACTTTTACACTGTGTAGGACTGTAAACTGCTTCAACCATTGTGGAAGACAGTGTGGCGATTCCTCAAGGATCTAGAAATAGAAATACCATTTGACCCAGCAATCCCATTACTGGGTATATACCCAAATGATTATAAATCATGCTGCTATAGAGACACATGCACATGTATGTTTATTGTGGCACTATTCACAATAGCAAAGACTTGGAACCAACGCAAATGTCCATCAATGATAGACTGGATTAAGAAAATGTGGCACATATACACCATGGGATATTATGCAGCCACGAAAAAGGATGAGTTCATGTCCTTTGTAGGGACATGGATAAAGCTGGAAACCATCATTCTGAGCAAACTGTCTCAAGGACAGAAAACCAAACACCGCATGTTCTCACTCATAGGTGGGAATTGAACAATGAGAACACTTGGACACAGGGTGGGGAACATCACACACTGGGGCCTGTCGTAGGGTCAGTGGAGGAGGGAGGGATAACATTAGGAGATATACCTAATGTAAATGACGAGTTAATGGGTGCAGCACACCAACATGGCACATATATACATATGTAACAAACCTGCACGTTGTGCACATGTACCCTAGAACTTAAAGTATAATAAAAAAATAAGAAAAAAAAGAAGTATGTGTGGACAAAGAGATAAATTAAGTTTTTACCTTTGGTTTGAGGTGGCTGTGGGGCTTACACATGGAGATGCCCAGTAGGCAGATGGAAACCCTAGAGGGAAGATCTGGGCTGGAGATCCCAGTGTGATCTTCTCTGTGCCTCATTCTCCTTGCCTGTATACAAATGGAGGTAATAGGACCTACCTCACAGGTTTGATTTGGGGATTAAATGGAGGTCATTCAGCAAATAATTGCTGAGCTCCTGGTGTATATCAAGCATTTTCCTATAATAGATACTGGGAAGATAGCAGTGAATAAAACACACAAAAAATAATTCCTGTTCTCATGGAACTTACATTCTAGCATGAGAATACAGATAATAAAATAAATAAGTAAATTTTATTGCATATTAAAAGGTGATGAATAGTATGAAGAAAAATAAAGCAGAGAAGTGGGGACAGGGAGTGGTAGGAGGGTTGCAGTTTTAAACAGGGTGGTTAGAGAAGGCTTTGCTGAGATGACATCAGAACAAAGACCCAAAGGTAGTGAGAGTGAGTTGAGTGAGTCATGGTCTATCCAGGGGAAAAGTATCCAGATAGAGGGAAAAGCAAGTGCAAAGGCCTTAAGGTGGGAGCGTGTTTGATGTATATGAGGAAGAGTAAGGAGGCCAGCATGGCTACAGCACAGTAACAGAGACAAAGTCAAAGAGGTCAAAGGGGAATGCAGCGCACATAGAGGGCCAATATGTCATTGTAAAGGCTTTGGCTTGGGGCCAGGCGGTGGCTCACGCCTGTAATCCTAGCACTTTGGGAGGCTGAGGTGAGCAGATCTCTTGAGCCCAGGAGTTTGAGACCAGCCTGGGCATCATAGTGAATACCTATCTCCACAAAAAATAGAAAAATTAGCCAGGTGTGATGGTGCACACCTGTAATCTCAGGCATTTGGGAGGCTGAGATGGGAGGATCACTTAAGCCTGGGAGGTTGAGGCTTCAGTGAACCATCATGGTGCCACTGCAAGACCCTGTCTCAAAAAAGAAAAAAAAAAAAGACTTTGGCTTTTACTCTGAGGGAAATGGGAGGGTTTTGAAGGTTTTGAGCAGAGGAGTGATATGATCTGCAGCATTTGGAAGACTCATTTGGTGCTGTAGGAGTCAAGGAGTCAGCTAGGCACAGGGAGTGTTGTGAGTAGGCTGTTCAGCAGGCAGAGCAGGGGAGCAGCAGTCAAAGGTGCAAGCAGGAAGACCAGTTATTAGCCAGGGAAAAACTGATGTATGTAAAGTGCTTGCTCAGAGCTTTGCATTTATTACATATTCAATAAACGGTGTCAACTATGTGAATACCTATCAAATTCTACCATTAACCAAATCAAGACCTGCTTTCTCAGGAAATTAAATAATTATCTTTGCCACTTATTTGACATTTATTTAACGTACGTTGAATTATGTTACTTCCGTATATTTATTCAAATATCCACATATTTCTGACTTCTCTCTCCATTTATACATATATATATGTGTGTGTGTGTGTGTGTGTACATATATAATTATTATTTTTTCTTTCTTTCTTTTGAGACAGGGTCTCACTTTGTTGCCCACGCTGGAGTGCAGTGAGGTGAACATGGCTTACTGTAGCCTTGACCCCCAGGCTCAAGCAATCCTCCTGCTTTAGCCCTTTAAGTAGCTGAGACGACAGGCCTGTGCCACTATGGTGGCTAATTTTTTGTTTTTTTTTTTTTTTGCATATAAAAATTTATCACTACAGTTTTTTTTTTCTTTTTTTTTTGAGACTAAGTCTCACTCTGTTGTCCAGGCTGGAGTGCAGTGGTGCGATCTCAGCTCACTGCAACCTCTACCTCCCAGATTCAAGCCATTCTTGTGCCTTGGCCTCTTGAGTAGCTGGGATTACAGGTGCGCAGCACCGCACCCAGTTAATGTTTAAATTTTTAGTAGACACGGGGTTTCACCATGTTGGCCAGGCTGGTCTCGAACTCCTGGCTTCAAGGAATCCACCTGCCTTGGCCTCCCAAAGTGTTGGAATTACAGACGTGAGCCATCACGCCTGGCCCGTCACTACAGTGTTTTCACTATTAAAGTTTATGATCTTGGTCTTTCCTTCGTGCCTTTGTATAGGGCCAAAAGAGAGACATTGGGCACTTTGACAACCTTAAAGCAGACTCCAGGAATATCACCTTTTTTTTTTTTTTTTTTTTTGAGATGGAGTCTCGCTCTCATTGCCCAGGCTGGAGTGCAGTGGCATGATGTCGGCTCACTGCAACCTCTGCCTCCCAGGTTCAAGCGATTCTCCTGCCTCAGCCTCCTGAGTAGCTGGGATTACAGGCACCCTCCACCATGCCTGGCTAATTTTTTTAAATTTTTAGTAGAGACGGGGTTTCACCATGTTGGCCAGGCTGGTCTCGAACTCCTGACCTCATGATCCACCTGCCTTGGCCTCCCAAAGTGCTGGGATTACAACAATGAGCCACTGTGCTCGGCCCAGCATGACCTTTTTAACCAAATCCAGCAACAAGAACTTTATCGTTTTTCTCAATAAAGTTCAAGCAACCACCATTGGGTACAAAGGCTGTGATTTTCTTGCTATTCTTGATCAGCTGGATGCTGGCACACTTCCTGATGGCAGAATTTGGCTGTTTGGTTTCAACCCCTATTTTTTCCAGCACAATTCCTTTTGCATGAGAAGCACCTCTCATGCAACCCTCAAAAGGGTTGGCCTTCAGGGCTGTGCCCAAATGGGCTTTCTTGTACTGTTTTTCATGCCACTTCTGGTCTCGTCAGTGACTGTGGAGCTTCCTAGCCACACGAAGTCCATGACGCTTGCCCATCCTGCTGGCACCACGGGCCTGAGTGAAAGAGCTAATTTTTGTAGAGATGGGGTTTCACCAGGTTGCCCAGGCTGGTCTCAAACTCATGGACTCAAGTGATCCATGCACCTCAGCCTCTCAAATTGTCTCCATTTATATGTTAAATACTATGTCTTAAACATTTTTAATCTCCTTAGGTATCAGGCACTAGCAAGATGACCAGATAAATAATAACCAGATAAATAACAGCCACACCACAATAACAATAAAAATGCCAACATCAGCTAACATTTCCTAAGCACTTACTGGGTGTGAGAGGCAGTATAGGGAGATAGATAAGAGCCCGAGTTCTGGAATCAGACTGTGCTAAAATATAGGTACCATTCCCTCTTGGGCAAGTTATTTAACTGACCTGTGCTGCAGTTTTTTCATCTGTAAAGTGGGAGTGATGATAGTATATACTAATTAGGGAGGTGAGGATTAAATTAGATAATATGTATATTCTTTTTAAAAAAATTTTATTTTTATTTTATTTTTTTAGAGGAAGGTCTCACTCTGTTGCCCAGGTTGGAGTGTAGTGGCACAATCACAGCTCACTGTAACCTCAAATTCCTCGGCTCAAATGAGCTTCTTGAATAGCTTGGACTACAGGTATTCGCCACCATGCCTAGTTAATTTTTTTAATTTTGTAGAGAGGAGGGTCTTGCTATATTGCCCAGCTGGTATGGAGCTTCTGGCCTTAAGTCATCCTCCCATCTCAGCCCCCTGAGTAGCTGAGATTACAGGTGCGATCCATGGTGCCTGGCTATAATTTTTTTTTAAACGAAGCTTCAATTTTCTTTTTTTTTTCTTTTTTATTTTTTTGAGATGAAGTCTCACTCTGTTGCCCAGGCTGGAGTGCAATGGAGTGATCTCGGCTCACTGCAACCCTCCGCATCCCAGGTTCAAGCTATTCTCCTGCCTCAGCCTCTCGAGTAGCTGAGATTACAGGCACCTGCCACTATGCCTGGCTAATTTTTGTATTTTTAGTAGAGACAGGGTTTCACCATGTTGGCCAGGCTGGTCTCGAATTCCTGACCTTGTGATTCGCCTGCCTCAGCCTCCCTAAGTGCTGGGATTACAGGCATGAGCCACCGCGCCCAGCTGAAGCTTCAATTTTCAAGATAATATGTGTATGCTTAGTCTAGTTACTTCCACATGATAATAATAGCTAACATTTATTGAGCTCTTATAGTGTGCTAAGCACTTCACATGTATTGTCACATATCAGCCCCACAATTGTCCTATAAGGTAGGTATTATTATCATCATTCCCTTTTTATAGATGAGGAAACTGAGATTGAGAAGTTAAACAATGTGTTGAATTTGTGTACCAACAGCAGGCTTTACTAAGTGTCTTTGAGTTGGAATGAAAAGTAGAATTTTGTGCATCCTCTATTCTACATCTGACAGAGAGACAGGAGAGTATAAAGAGACTACTTATTGAGGGGCAGAAGAATATTTTTACATTGTTGGTGGAATTCTACACACTTAAGTCTCTCTAGGTGGGAGACTGGAATGCTTTGAAGGAGTATGAATTGAAAAGACTGATAATAGCAACATTTGTTTAAGATAATGATAAAAATAGATTGAGGTGATTTACTCTCAGCGCTACTTGCTGGAATAAATAATGCAGTTGGTGTGTGTTATTTATTTAAAGGATGAGAATTAAAGGTTTAAAGGATGAGAATGTTTCTTCATCCTTTATTCTCAAGTCTAATTCTGGCTCTGCTCTAGTCCAAAGGCTACTTTCGGAGGTCTGAATTTGCTGTACCTCATCTCTGAGTCAGAGATTTTTGAGAGCCCCTGGTAGTTTCAGCATGAACAAGAGTGTCTTATATTCCAAACTGGATTTCTAAGCCCACCCAAAATTATTCCTGGAAAAGTCTTGTTCTGCTGGAATTCTTTGGTCTGAGATAGAGGAGGCTAAAATTTCATGGTTGTCTTAGGTCCTCAGTGGGGCCCTTAGGTGGTCTGAGGTCAGCCTTGCAGTTTTAGAGCTGGGAAGGACTGTGGAGATGAGGGAATAAGGTCTCATGTTGTAGCACAAGGGCATTTGCCCAGATACCTTCTTCTCCTTAGTTTTGGACCAGACCCTGTGGAGTTGGATGTTAGTGGGAGCTGACTGCCATGTTAATATCTTCATAATGCTTCTGAGAAGGCTGTTTTTGCTCCTTTCCTTCTCACTTACCTTACTATTTCTATTATAGACTTTCTGGGTAGGGCTGAAGTCTCTAGAAGCCTTGATAGGATTTCAAACAATAGGATTCCTGGGTTGCCAGCCAAATCTAAACAGGTCTCCTTTTCTGGAACTATGGAGGGAAAACAAAAGATAGATTTTTAAATACCTTCTGAAATAAGAAATTGACCACCTCTTTACTGATTATTTACAATAATAATATCAAGTCAGGAACTAGAGGTACAGTAAAACATTAAAAGTCTGTTCTATTTGGTAGAAAGGCCATTTTGGGTACTGAGCAGACAGAATAAAATGGAATGTTAAAAAATACTTGTAGTTCAATAACTTCTAAGAAAACATAGTAATATTTTTAACACAAACATGAATTTTGTGTTAATGATTATTATCTGGTTCTAGGCAAAGATTCTAGGCAAACTCCCATTACTATAGTACTACTTGTAAGAAATAACTTTTCTTTATCCTAAGAACAGTTCATAGATTATGAATGAATATATTTTCAAAACTGTATACAGTATTTGGAATTTGGAATGTTTATCCTAGAAAACATGAATAATGGTTAGCTTTTCCAAGGCAGCCTGTTAAACTTATAAACAAACCATGAGGGGATTAATGACAATATTTCAAGTACAACTACACATCATTTATAACCTTGGGGGAGAAATAATAGAAAAATTATTTTCTATTAGTTAGTGGAAGCACGTGACACCTTAATGCTCTCTAACCTCCAGCAGACTCTCCAGCCCTAGCACTGAGGGTAGAGTCTTCATCAGTGTGGGGAAGGTATTTTTTCAAGAACAGTAAATTATCGACACCCTAGATTTACATGAGAGAGTACATTTTTCTTTTTCTGAAACATAAATTTTTTTTAAATAAAAGGAATGCCTCCCAAAGTACTGCATACACTTGGTAAAGAATTCAGACATTATAGGCTGGGCGTGGTGGCTCACGCCTGTAATCCCAGCACTTTGGGAGGCCAAGGCGGGTGGATCACGAGCTCAGGAGATCGGGACCATCCTGGCTAATACTGTGAAATCCCATCTCTACTAAAAATACAAAAAATTAGCCGGGCATGGTGGCGGGCGCCTGTAGTCCCAGCTACCGGGAGGCTGAGGCAGGAGAATGGCATGAACCTGGGGGGCGGAGCTTGCAGTGAGCTAAGATCGTGCCACTGCACTCCAGCCTGGGTGACAGAGCAAGACTCCGTCTCAAAAAAAAAAAAAAGACAAAATAATTCAGACATTATAGAAGGCAGCCAAATTTTTCTACACCAGTCACTCTTTCAGTGTTCTCGTTGGAGACCAAAGGGCAGTGTCTCTTGCAGTAGGTGTTTGGACAGTGCAAGTGCCTGCTTGATGTAGTTAACACTGTATCAATTTGTTTAGCAAATACTGTTCTGGAGAAGAGGTACAAAAGTAACTCACATCCCAGACTACACCTTCCTGACCTGTCTCCCGACTGGAAGCCTGTGAATGATGTTTGCTGTGCAGTGAGTTGTAGCTGCCCAACTGCCTTCTGTTCATAACATCTCTACTCACCCACTGCCTTGAGGAAGAGATTCTTATCTGTTAGAACCTTGATAAAGTCTGAGAAGTTCACCTTCCCATCTCCTGCAACAAAAATCTGAGACTCAGGACAAGGATAAGATGTATTTTAATTATCAGAGTATATATTAAATATAAAAATTAAAACACTCTGGATGATTCAATATTAAAAACAGAGCATTTGAGGGCTGGAAATATGCTCAGGTGAGCCCTGGTCTTCTTGAAGTGGTCTTAGCACCATTACATCAGTCCTCCACAGCCCACAGAAGCAACGGTGGTTGTAAACATCCAGCCAGGAGCACCCAGCCATTGCAGTCTGTCCACCTGCTCCTTTCTCAGAGACTGGCCATGTTTGCAAGGAATCTGTCCTGTCTTCCCATGCTATAACCACCCCTATTATTCCTATTATAACATCCCCAAGCTGTATTCCATTTCCTCTAAAATTGAAGGATGATGAGTATTATTAGAGGGGTATGTGTATGTTTCCATGAAATAATAGAAAATTTTGACACAGTTAGTAGAAGCAAGTGACACCTTAAGTGACACTGAATGACAGGTGGAACTGATGTTGATTGAGTAGGGCACTAGCAGTTGGGTGGAGAGAGGTGAGAGGAGATAATATGCTGAATATATTTTTCACACAGCATATCAGTTTGGGCTACTAATAATTCGGTCAGTATATTCACTAAAAACATTATCTATGGCTGGGCATGGTGGCTCATGCCTGTAATCCCAGCACTTTAGGAGGCCGAGGCGGGCGGATCACGAAGTCAGGAGATCGAGACCATCCTGGCTAACACGGTGAAACCCTGTATCTACTAAAAATACAAAAAATTAGCCGGGCATGGTGGCGGGCGCCTGTAGTCCCAGCTACTCAAGAGGCTGAGGCAGGAGAATGGTGTGAACCCAGGAGGCGGAGGTTGCAGTGAGCTGAGATTGCGCCACTGCACTCCAGCCTGGGCAACAGAGCAAGACTCCGTCTCAAACAAAAAAAAAAACATTATCTGTATGCTTTAAAAATACCAACAAAAGTGCTGTGGCATTTAAAATTCAATATAGGTGGGACTTGATGGAAAAAGAAAGATTTGTTCTGTTTTGATTCAAACAGAAACAAAAGGCTTGAATTCTCTTGGTAACATGTCATTATTAACATTGTTACTGCTTTTGTACATCAGGACAGGTAACCTGAATTTGATACTGAAATCAGACAATCACTCTTAGCTTCCACACAGTGTTTTTCAAATAGTCCATTTTCTAGGATTAATTTGATTTCACAACTTGTACACATACCTCACTGATCTCCTTAAAGGGACATACATACATACACACGCAGACACACACATATATGTGTGTGTCCCTTTAAGGCTATATATATATGTGTGTGTGTGTGGTGTATACATAGATATATGGATATATACATATATGTATATTTGTATATAGTATTCAAATATATAGTCTACAAACATATAATATACAAATATATATATTTGTACTATATATTTGTGTATATATATATTTAACATATACAAATATATATATACACACAAATATATATATATTTGGGGGGGCAAGTAAATAAGATTTGTTTCTCATGTTTATACAGTCATTAAAAGAAAACTATATATTCACAAAAATCTTTTATGAGAAAAACAATGAGAAGCCAAAGGACTCACGATCAATATCAGCACATTTCAATTCATTATAGACATCATGCTTGGTCAGATTCATTCCCAGCTTAGCTACAGTGCACATCAGTCCATGGAAATCAATACAGCCAGTTTTGTCCTTGTAGAAGAAGTTGTAGGCATCTTGGAAAGCTGGGGAGATAGGATTAAGTTATTCAGGACAGTTGTTCAAGAAGAAGTACATACACTAATAGGACTAGGACAGACAATATAGTTGACTGGAGATCATGTTCTAAAAAAAGGATTGCGAAAAAAATGAGTGCTTAATAGACATTTCTTATAAAGGACAGTATCCTTCCACGGAACTTGAACTGGAATGAACTAACTGTTGCAAAACCAAGTGTTGGTAGGTAAGATGGCTTTCCAAAGATATCCACACTGTAATCCCTTAACCAGTGAATATGCTATCTTACATGGCAAAAGGGACTTTGCACATATAATTAAGATAGATTATTCTGGGCTCAATCTAATTACGTGATCCCTTATATAGCTAGAAGCTGGAGAGACGTGGCAGAAATCAGAGAGGTTTAGAGCATGAGAAAGACCTGACCCACCATTGTTGATTTATCAGCCAGGAGCTTCTCTGCTTGCTAAAGAGGCTGAGAAGCTCCTGGCTGATAAACAGCAAAGAAACTGGAATGTCAGCCCTGCAAGAAAAAAGAACAGAATTCTGCCAAAAATCTGAATGAGACTGGGAGCAGATTCTCCTCCAGGAGATCCTCGTGGATCACGAGGTCAGGAGATTGAGACCATCCTGGCTAAGGACAGGCTGGCCAACACCTTAATTTCAGTCCTATAAGACACAGAGAAGAGAAACCAGCTGTACCCACCTGGACTTCTGACTTATAGAACTGTGAGATAATAAATTTGTGTTGTTTTAAGCTGTTATGTTTGTGGCAATTTGTTACAGCAGCAATAGAAAACTAATTTGTCAAATTGGACCCAAATCACATATGTGTGTATGTATGTTTTGTATAATCCAAAGTTTTTCAAAGAAATAGTCAAGGCACTAACTGGAGCCAAAATTAGGTATGTATTTTCTGAAATTAGAGAATGACGAAATAAACCTGGAACAAAATATATCCCAAATGACACCCGAATAAAACTTACTTCATATCACATTCAAGTCTCAGCGTCTCTATGTATAACAGTGATTAATCTCCTACAGAGATAACGATACCTGCTCTGTAAGTGTGTAATGTAAAAGGTAACATCTTTCTCCTTGATAAAAGGTAGGCTTCTCTAGGGCTGGAACCAAACTATCTCTGACTTGTTTCTGTTTTTCCCACTATCTCTTGCATGTTAGTAGGCAGTCAACAAATATTGATTGCATGCTTTCCATGGACCAGGTATTGCTCCAAGTGCTTTGGATATATTAGTGCACTAAATAGACAAAGATCTGTGCCTTCATATAAATGTAATAAATAGGTAAACTAGATGCCATTTTAGAAGGTGGTATGTACCATGGAAAAAAGAAAAAGTAATTCTGGGTGGATGATTAGAAAGAAGAGAAATAGAATTCCTACACACTCCCACCTCCATGTCTACTTCCTGACCAGCACCTGTACCTGCATGATCTTCCTTTCTCTCTGCGCTGCAAATAAACTGTATGCTCTTACCCAGAGCCAATCCCTCCCTTGTGGATTGGAACTCATCCCCTCTCTCATATTCAAAGAATTTACTGAAGAAAGGGTCTCCTCTTAGGTAAGGGAAATATCATTTTTTCATTTTCTATTATATCAATCCTATTGTTGTATAAACTTTTGCTGTTTCTCCCTTAAAAAGTACACTGTGACCCCATTTCCCCCTCCGGCTATTGCTACCTCTGCCATTTGTCTCTTCTTCCTATTGAAAATTTAATCATTTATGGCCGGGCACGGTGGCTCATGCCTGTAATCCCAGCACTTTGGGAGGCCAAGGTGGGTGGATCACGAGGTCAGGAGATCGAGACCATCCTGGCTAACATGGTGAAACCCTGTCTCTACTAAAAATACAAAAAATTAGCTGAGCGTGGTGGCGGGTGCCTGTAGTCCCAGCTACTCAAGAGGCTGAGGCAGGAGAATGGCGTGAACCTGGGAGGCGGAGCTTGCAGTGAGCCGAGATGGCACCACTGCACAGAAAAAAATAAATAAATAAATAAAAATTAAATAATTAGTCATTTATTTCTATCAGTGTGGATTCATGGATGTTTATTTTATACTTTGGGTTATAATCAATTCTATATTATTAATTTTTATTGCTCAAATAGAAAAAGTTGGTGGAAGGCAGAGTATATGGATACAGATGCTGGTAAGGAGGTAGACATGGAGGTGAGGGTCTACGGAAATTCTAATCTGATTGCTTCAGTTTTCTTTGGGAAAGTAAGCAGACCAATTGACAGTAAGGATGGGAGATGCTGGGGATCTTGAAGTATTCAATAAATATTTGTAGAATGAACAAATTAACCTCTCATAGGAAAGTTGTGAGGATTAAGCACTGTAACGAACACATTTTCTAGTTTCCATATTTGATGTTTTGATATCTGGGGCCTTGCTGGCCCTGGAGGGACTGCCCCTCTCAGGGCTGGTCAATTCCTAGAATAGTGACTACTAGATTGTGAGTGTGTCTTTCCTCTGCAAACCATCCAATTCCATAGACCATATTCCAGAGACCATATCCTCAACCACCTGCCTTCTCCACCTCTTACAGTCAGAGACACTACTTCCCTGCCCTAGTCATCCCAGGGCTAGGTACCAGACAACTAGGGACAGCCCTTACATGCCAGAGCCCACTGAAATTGTTTAAACTAGCTAACCCCATACCTGCTTACCCTGCCTTGTCCATTCCTTCTTGCAGAAACCACAATAGAGTTTCTTGTCCACATGCTGCCCCTGCCCACTTCCTGACTGACCCTGGTGCTTCCTCTTGTGGCCCCACATGCTTGGCATGCTGTGCCCTGTTTCTAGGGATCTGTGAGTATGAAAAACTTCCTTTGTGGCCATCATTTCTGCGTCTGCCTGTCTCACCATATCTGACTAAAATAGACCCCTTAAAATGAGTACCAAAGTATCTTAAGGCACTTTAGAAACCTTAAAGGTCTATAAAACCATAAGCTGTTATTATTAAGGCATTTAGCTCAGTTTTACAATGAAAAATGCCAATCTGATCATGACAATCCTTTGTGTTTTCCAAACCGAAATTCCCAGCAATAAAGGTTGATTGATTATAGAATGAACAAATTAACCTCTCATAGGAAAGTTGGGGATTAAGCACTGTAAAGAACACATTTTCTAGTTTCCATATTTGATGTTTTGCTATCTGGGGCCTTGGTGGCCCTGGAGGGACTGCCCCTGTCAGGGCTGGTCAAGGTGGATTGATTCTTTGATTCATTTCTGTCTCCTGGGTCAATTTCTAAATTGGTTCTAAATTTAGTGGGGTAAAGCATCAGCCTCTTCAGAAACCAGATGCAACCCAAACACAGCCACACTTGACTTCTTTGAATTTTTCTAGTGCATCATGCTTTCCCTTTTTTCTGGCCTTTGTAGATTCTGCTCTTTCTGCCTAGAAACTCCTGTCAGCGCTATTTGCCTGATTTACTCCTGTTCGTCATTCAGCCTTCTCTGGGACTCCCTTTCTTCCCTCACAAGACCAAATTAGGAGGCTTTCCTTTAAGCTCCTATAACACTCCATGCTTTTCCTATCATAACTTGTGTTATATTGTAATTTAAATGATTTATTCAGCAAGTTCATGGCTTTTTTTTTTCGAGACGTAGTCTCGCTTTGTCGCCCAGGCTGGTGTGCAGTGGCGCGATCTCGGCTTACTGCAACCTCCGCTTCCTGGGTTCAAGCAATTCTCCCTGCCTCAGCCTCCCAAATAGCTGGGATTACAGGTGCCCGCCACCACGCTCAGCTAATTTTTGTATTTTTAGTAGAGACAAGGTTTCACCATATTGGCCAAGCTGGTCTCGGACTCCTGACCTCAGGTGATCGGCCCGGCCTGCCTCAGCCTCCCAAAGTGCTGAGATTACAGGCGTGAGCCACCGTGCCTGGCAAGTTCATGGTTTAACAGCCTGTCTTCCCTATTAGACTTCCTATCAGGGCAGGGACCACATCTGACTTGTTTTGTTGTTTCCCACGCCTAGTACATTTTTGGCATTAAATAAATATTTGTTGTTTGGATGAATAAACTTTAGCCAGTGTAGCTCATTTTATATTGTTTTCTTTGAGAAATCCTAGGACTGTAGCTGTGTTTGTGTTCTTTATTACTTGATTTATATTTGTTCTTTTGTTATTTTTGTTCTTTTTGCGTTTGTTCTTTTCCATACCCACAAGTTCTTCTTTGAATACAGTTATTTGACCAGCACTGCCTAAATTCTAGGGAGATGTCCATTTAAAAGCAATTTCCCTCCTGTCCCACAAAAATGTAAGGTTTTTTTTCCTTTCTCTCAAATGATGGTGGTGTAGACAACCCTTGAAATCTCAGATCTTTCTTAGAGAAGAAAGGATCAGACATATTAAGGAGCTGTTATGCTTCAATTTTGAGGATGATTCTCATTACCTGCCATTTGTGAAGCACTTAGCTTCTTTTCTTTGTGTTGTAATTGGCATTGAAGAGATCCTGGTAAGTCTCTATCCCTGAGGAAAGATGTGAAAATATTTAGATTTACTACCTATGTGAAACCAGCAGATATTAGTCTTACTCATCAGTTTCTGCTTACTGGAATGACTGTAGCATCTCAATGTATCCAGTCTACTATCCTAAGGGATCTTCTATTTAGGATAGCCCATAGCTACAGGATGAACAGTGAGAAAATGTTGGCCACTGAGATCCTCCTCTGCCCTAAACTTGCCCATCACCCTTCCCTTAAAAAATTATAATTTCAGGCCAGCCATGGTGGCTCATACCTGTACTCCTACCCCTTTGGGAGGTCAAGGCAAGAGGATCGCTTGAGCCCAGGAGTTCAAGACCAGCTTGGGCAACGTAGCAAGACCCTGTCTCTACAAAAACATAAAAAAAAATTAGCCAGGTGTGGTGGCACAGGCCTGTAGTCCTAGCCACTCAGGAGGCTGAGGTGGGAGGATTGCTTGTGCCTGGGAGGTCAAGGCTGCACTGAGTCATGATTGCACCACTATGCTTCAGCCTGGGTGACAGAGTGAGACCCTATCTCAAAAAAAAACAAACCCCAAAAAACCAGTTACGATTTCCCCCATTTTACAAAATAAGAAACAGAAGCTCAGAGCAATTAAATAATTTGTCTCAGGTTATACAGATAGTAAATGGAAGACCTGAGATTCAAACCCAGATTTGTCTGACTCCAAAAGTCAAGGCCATAATGCTTTACACTATTCCTGTTGTTAGAAAGAGAAGTTGTTTCAATTTTCTTTTTTGCTGGCTCCAATTCTCAGCCTTGAGTTTCAAATTTTAAAACTGTATAAACGTTGTTGTGGTGAATACCCTTACAGAGAAACCTCTGTATCTATGACTATTTTACAACTTTTTTTTTTTTACAACTTTTACAACTATTTTACAATCGTCAAACTGTATTTTTACCAGCATATGTATGGGTGTATAAGAGAGTGAAATAAAGATAGAGAACACCTCTGAAAATTTGAAACCCTGGGTGACCTTTCATTTATTGAGGAAAGTAAAATCTGGAAAAGGCAGGAACATATTAATACTTTCAAGATACTTTGTACAGATCTGAAGTAATTTATTAGTTTAAGAACACAAAAATGTATCATGTAAAACTGAGTTTGCTTATAATATGATAAATAAAATTTAATTACATTTAAGTAAATGTGATTTAACTCCAAAATTTAATTATAACCAATTTTATAAATTTATTTAAAATGCATTTAGTTTTGATACTTGTAAAACTAAAAGTTTAAAAAATATGAAATCTCATAGTTTTGTGGCTTTATAAGAAGCAGTTTAAAAAGTAAAACTAGGCCGGGTGCGGTGGCTCATGCCTGTAATCCCTGCACTTAGGGAGGCCAAGGCGGGTGGATCACGAGGTCAGGAGATCGAGACCATCCTGGCTAACATGGTGAAACCCCGCCTCTACTAAAAATTAAAAAAAAAAAAAAATTAGCCGGGCATGGTGGCGGGCGCCTGTAGTCCCAGCTACTTCGGAGGCTGAGGCAGAAGAATGACATGAACCCAGGAGGTGGAGCTTGCAGTGAGCAGAGATCACGTCACTGCACTCCAGTCTGGGTGACAGAGCAAGACTCTGTCTCAAAAAAAAAAAAAAAAAAAAAGTAAAACTAGAAGAAATACTAAACATTGTAGTTAAACAAAAAATTATTATGGTTTATTAATTTAGTATCCCCTAAAGTACTTATTAGATTCAACTCATTTTCAAAGAGGGGCCTGGGAGAAAAGGAGGTGATAGTCTCAAAACTGTTCTTAACTTTTGAAAGTGGAATTTTATCTAACTTGTCTTATTTTCTCAGTTTTTACTAACATTGCTTTCTTCTTCTGGTGCTTCCTCTTTATTATCTACTTGAATTTCTTCTCTTTCTCTCATTCTTTCAAGACAGAGTCTCCCTCTGCAGTCCAGGCTGGAGTGCAGTGATGTGATCGTGGCTCACTGCAGCCTTGACCGCCCAGGCTCAAGGATCCTTCCACCTCAGTTTCCTGAGTAATTGGAACTATAGGTGCATGCCACCATACCCAGCTAATTTTTTATTTTTTGTAGAGACAAGATCTCCTTATGTTGCTCAGGCTGGTCTTGAACACCTGGGCTCAAGTGTTCCTCCCACCTCTACCTCCCAAAGTGTTGGGATTACAAGTGTGTGCCACTGTGCCCAACCTGTAATTTCTGAAGCTCAGGTTTGTCCTTATTCAGATAGGTTATTTTATATTTATTGTACAGATGTTCCTTGATTCATGATGGGGTTACCTCCTTATAAACCCATCATAAGTTGAAAATATTGTAAATTGAAAATGCATTTAATTTGCCTAACCTACATAGCTTAGCCGAGCCTACCTTAAATGTGCTCAGAACAGTTACATTAGCCTACAGGTGGGCAAACTCATGTAGCACAAAGCCTATTTTGTAATAAAGTGTTGAATGCCTCATGTAATTTATTGACTCCTGTACTGAAAGTGAAAAACAGAACAGTTGTATGAGTATTTGAAGTAGAGTTTCTACCAGATGCATATGGCTTTTGTACCACTGTAAAGTCAAAAAATGGTAAGTTGAACCATTGTTAAGTTGGGGACCATCTGTATTTCTAAATATAAACAAATTTCTTTTGCATGATGTAGAAGATGCAGTACATGGAGAAATACTATGTTCTCAAGAAGCAGGAGGAAAGTAGAATTCAAGGCAGTGTAAAGATCTTTTATTTTTCTTTCAAGACAGGGTCTTGCTCTGTTGCCCAGGCTGAAGCACAGTGGTGCGATCTCAGCTCACCCTAACCTCTGCCTCCTAGGCTCGAGCAATCCTCCCACCTCAGCCCCTTGAGTAGCTGGGACTACAAGTGTGCACCACCACACCCAGTTAATTTTTGTATCTTTTTTGGTAGAGGCTGGTCTCAAATTCCTAGGCTCAAGTGATCCACCCGCCTCAGCCTCTCAAAGTGCTGGGATTACAGATGTGAGCCACCGTGCTAGGCCAGGCAATGTAAAGTTCTTATTATCTGTCTTTAAAAAGACACTCTTGGCACAATTTCAGACCTTATCTTGGATCAAACATTGGAGAAAGACTTTATTTTTCAAAGTTTCAAATGACTGAAGAACCTTACATTTGGAATGAACCCAATCCAGCCTTCCATCTAATGTAGGAATTCCCTTTACATGTAGTATTGTCTAGTCTTTGCTTAACTACTTTCAGTGACAAGGAACTCACTCCCTCAAAAGACAGCTTGCATAGTCAAGGACACTAGAAAAGATACACTCAAAATAGAAAGTAAATGGATAATTGTGAAAGAGAAAAAAATGTTCTTCTTATGATCTGATAAAATATAAATCAGGCTCTCATTTTTGCTCATTAGTGGCTGTTAATTGAAATTTGTTGTTAGGTGACTGAGAAAAAGCCATTGTTAATGTCACAGGTAAATCTCCCTTCCCAATTTTAGCCCAGGGTCAGTCATGGCTAATTTACCAGCTTTCGTTTACCAGCTATATTTGAAATATAGACCCTTTTTCTACACTTTGACTTGGTTATGGGTTTAGGTCTTCTTTATGATCTTCTAAATTTTTTCTTCTTTAAACTGGCACTCAAAATATCTCAAGGTATAACTGATAACTTCTTGAGCCCCCTAGGGTATTTTGTATCCTAACATAAAAACAGCTTCTCCTTTGGGAGGACAGGAGGGAGAATTCTGCTCTTCCTATCAAAAAAGATGTATATCTTTTTCTTTTCATAAAAAATATTTCTCTTCAATTCCGATGTTTTGTTTTATAACTAAAGTTATCATATAATAAATATTTGAAGAGTATTTTAATTGTTTCATCATAATCTTTATGAGCATTTAATATATTAGTAATTTTTTTTTGAGATGGAGTCTTGCTCTGTCACCAGGCTGGAGTGCAGTGGCACAATGTCAACTCACTGCAACCTCTGTCCCCCAAGTTCAAGCAATTCTCCTGCCTCAGCCTCTCGAGTAGCTGGCACCACAGGCGCACACCACCATGCCTGGCTAATTTTTGTATTTTTAGTAGAGACGGAGTTTCACCATGTTGGCCAGGATGGTCTCGATCTCTTGACCTCATGATCCGCCCACCTCGGCCTCCCAAAGTGCTGAGATTACAGGTGTGAGCCACTGCATCTGGCCAATAATCTCAATAATTTTCTTTTTTTTAGGGGCTTCCCAGTAAAGATCGGAAAACCTGCTAGACAAAATTCTAAAAGAGCTGTAACACTAATAATTCTTTATCATAATACATTTATCACCCTTAATCATTCATTACCTACCTTTTATTGTGGGAGATGGGTACTTTTGTTAGAGGATTCAGCTTAAGTTTTGGTTTAATTTCTGAAACTGCCATGTGGCCAGTGACTCTGTCTGGAATTCAGAATATACAATTAAGAAATCAGTTTACAGATTCATTCTTTATATTCTTTTGCAACTTTTTCAGCTCAAAGCCTGGAGTTTGAAAAGTCTAGGGCCTCAAGAAATGGTAATAGATGCAAACTCAAGTTAGAGGTATGCATAAAGTTGGAATGCCATGTGGAAATTCCCCTTCGTTGTTCCCGATTTCTGAGCAAAGTTGCTTGTCACTGCTCCCCCTTCAATTAGTGTCACTCTGATCCTATGTAAGAATAAATGCTAAGTGAAATAAGCCAGACACAGAAAGACCAATGCTATATGATCTAACTAATATGTATAATCTAAAATAGTTTAACTCATAGAAGCAGAGAGTAGAATGGTGGTTGAGGAAGGAGATATGGGGAGATGTTGGTGATACAAAGTTTGAAGATGAATAAATTCTGAAGATCTAATGAACAGCATGGTGACTACAGGTAATAATACTACTGTAATGTATACCTGAAATTTGCTAAGAGATTAGATCCTAAGTGTTCTCACTACACACACACACACACACAAATAGTAACTAAGTGAAGTGATGAATATGTTAATTAGATTGATTGTGGTGATTGTTTAACAATGTATACATATATCAAATTATCAAGTTGTACACCTTAAATAATAAAAATGGTGCCATGTGACACAGATAATGAGCATTCTGGAAATATATGGAAAAAGTTATTTAAAGATGCTATTTTATTATGAAATCAGTAGAGCATTTCAAGTCATAATTGACAAAGAATAAAATGTATTTGCCTACTTGTTTACATCTTAGATACCTGCCTAGTAGTAAGTAGATTTTCCCAGGGTTTCTTTTGGGGAGACTCATCCCTGCCCTGTCACTTCTTGGGACCAACTGTTGTTTGTTTGTTTGTTTTTGTTTTTGGATGTGTAAAAGGCTTTATTTGCAGGGGAGCAGGAATTTAATAAAAGAGACCAAATCCCATGTCATCGTCTGACTCTTTGGACACCTCCTCCTCCTCCTCATCTTCTCCTCTGCTGCAGCGGGGGTGGAACCAGCAGCAGGAGCTGCACAGCCTGGGGCAGCAGAGACAGCCACAGCCCCACCGGCAGGTACACTGGCAACCTTGCCAATACCCTGGGCAATGACATCTTCAATGCTTTTTCCATTCAGCTCACTGATAACCTCGTTGAGCCGGTCGTCGTCCGCCTCGATGCCTACGCTGTCCAGGATCCTCTTGATGTCTTTGGCTCTGAGGGAGGTGCTGCCCCCGAGGGCAGCCAGCAGGAGGGAGGTGACCGAGCGCACTGGGGGCGGGCGTCTACGGAGGCGGTGGCAAGGCCTCCATGCGTGCGATCTTGGTGGAGTCAGGGAGGAAAAGCCCAGGTGGTCTTGGTTAACAGTAGGAATGGGGGTGGGATACAATGCAGTTCTGCTACCCTAGACCCCGGAAGGAACTTGTGAATTACCGTCGCCTTTCCACTTGGCATAGTTTGAGAAACAGGGCTTATGGACCAGAAGCTGGGTTGGTAGGGCTTCCCCCTCTCTTGTTATTTGAACCAAGCCAAATGTCCAACAATGATAGACTGGATTAAGAAAATGTGGCACATATACACCATGGAATACTATGCAGCCATAAAAAATGATGAGTTCATGTCCTTTGTAGGCACATGGATGAAGCTGGAAACCATCATTCTCAGCAAACTATCGCAAGGACAAAAAACCGAACACCGCGTGTTCTCACTCATAGGTGGGAATTGAACAATGAGAACACACGGACACAGGAAGGGGAACATCACACACTGGGGCCTGTTGTGGGGTGGGGGGAGGGGGGAGGGATAGCATTAGGAGATATACCTGATGTTAAATGACGAGTTGATGGATGCAGCACACCAACATGGCACATGTATACGTATGTAACTAACCTGCACGTTGTGCACGTGTACCCTAAAACTTAAAGTATAATAATAATAAAAAAATGTAGAGTGTATTTGATAGTTCACTGACAAGAAAACTAGGTTGCTGACTTAGGAATAATGGATAATTGAATACTATCCAACCATGAGGAAAAAAAGTCTCTGAATGTTTGGTTAGAATTTGATCCATTTTCCCAGGTCTCCACCTCAGAGCCCAGAAAGCAGTTGTTTCTAAACAACTCAATTACAAGTCCTCAAAATCTGAAAACCTGCCACAGAGCTGGGAACACCAGAATGGCTCAACAATTCAGGCATTTGAAAGGTGCTGTGAAATCATCCCCATACCTCAAAATAATCATTTCTTTAAAAAAATACCTTCAATTCTCATAGATAATAGATTTTTTAAAAAGGACTTAGCATAGAATCCTACAAAATCACGATATTTACCTACTTTTAAGCCGTGCTACCTACCACTTCTGGGCTTCAATCAGATCAGGAATCCAATAAAGGGTTTGTTCCATCACACAACTGTGACCTCATTCACTGCTCAGGCTCAAGCCTAGGGAGAGAATGACCCAGGAGCTCCTTCCAACCTTACAGCAAGTGTGTTTTCAGTGTGGTTCATTCAGCACCCTTGGTGTATATGAGGGTATGATTTATAAAATCTGAACATTTTGACACTGTTGGAATTTCAGGGAAGGGGGAGAATTTTTGTTTCAAGTTCTATATTAATATATTTTCATGTTAATGTCTTCATCAGGCTGGGTGTGGTGGCTCATGCCTGTGATCCCAGCACTTTGGGGGGCCGAGGCGGGCAGATCACCTGAGGTCAGGAGTTTGAAACCAGCCTGGCCAAATGATGAAACCCTCATCTCTATTAAAAATACAAAAATTAGCTTGGTGTGGTGGTGCACACCTGTAATCCCAGCTACTCAGGAGGCTGAGGCAGGAGAATTGCTTGAACTTGGGAGGCAGAGGTTGCAGTGAACTGAGATCACGCCCCTGCACTCTAGCCTGGGCGACAGAGCGAGACTTTTGTCTCAGAAAAAAAGAGAAAGTCTTCATCAGTCAGTTGAAAGTTGTTCAATTAAAACATTTTACTCAGCTGCCTTCACTGAATGGTGATTAAGAATCATTTCATTAATTGTTTAAGCCTAGAAAGAGAGGCAAAAAAACTCTCATAGGCTGTCTTTAGTATTATTGGGAAAAGTGCTTTCAAAAGAACAATTACAGAAAAGATTGTTTTAAGCAGAAACCAAGGTATTCATGATCTGACATGTCTCATGGCATTATAAATACTCTAGCGCAGGAGTTAGGAGTGTCTTTAGTCTATCATGGCTAAGTACAGATATCTCTGGCACCCAAGGCTTAGCTAGTTATATAGTTGGGCCCCTAAAAGTGCTTCAGGTTTCACTTGCAGCAGTTCTAGAGGTTTCCTATTCCTGCTCAGGGGGATTTGTTCATTATGAGCATAATTTGACTTTAACCTAATCTTTTTAAGCTTGGTACACTGCCTCCCATTCTGGACAGGAACACACAAGGAAAGAAAGGGAAGGCTTAATTTATAAATTAATTCAACAATTATTTACTAAGAGCCTACTATATTAAAGGCTACTTACTTAGATTTTTTTTTTTTTTTTTTTGGTGAGGTCTCACTATGTTGCCCAGGGTTGAGTGCAGTAGCAGGATCATGGTTCACTACAGTCTCGACCTCCCAGGCTCAAGTGAGTCTTCCACCTCAGCCTCCCCAGTAGCCAGGACTACAAGGTGCAGGCCACCATGCCCAGCTACTTTTTTGTATTTTTGGTAGAGATGAGGTTTCACTATGTTGCCCAGACTGGTCTCGAAATCCTGGCCCCCAGCAATCTCCTTGGCCTCCCAAAGTGCTGGGATTACAGGCGTGAGCTACCATGCCCAGCCTTATTGTTGTGTTACAGCATTCTTTATATATTTTGGAGACTAGATCCTTATCAATTACATAATTCACAGATATTTTTCCCTATTCTGTGGGTTGTCTTTTTACTTTATTGATAATGTTCTTTCAGCCACAGAAGTTAGTCCTGGAATTTTAAAGCTGAAAGATAACTAATAGATCATCAACCTAATTCTGCCCCCAACCCACCACATTTTTTTTTTTGTTATACTTTAAGTTCTGGGACACATGTGCAGAACGTGCAGGTTTGTTATATAGGTATACACGTGCCATGCGGGTTTGCTGCACCCATCAACCTGTAATCTACATGAGGTATTTCTCCTAATGCTATCTCTCCCCTAGCCCCCCACCCCCCTACCCCCCAACAGGCCCTGGTGTGTGATGTTCCCCTCCCTGTGTCCATGCCCATTTCATTTTTTTTAAAAAAGAGACAAGTTCTTTCTTTGTTAGCTGAGGCTGAAGTGCGGTGGTGCAGTGATGGCTCAATGCAGCCTCCAATTCCTGGGCTCAAGTGATCCTTCCACTCAGCCTCCCGAGTAGCTAGGACTACAGTAGGCAAGTGCCACTACAACTGATTAATTTTAAAATTTTTTATAGAGAGGGGGCCTCGCTGAATTTCCCAGGCTGGACTCATAGTCCTGGCTTCAAGTGATCTTCCTGCCTCCGCCTCCCAAGGCTCTAGGATTACAGGTGTGAGCCAGTGCTCCAGGTCCTCACCCATTTTATTTTACTGCTAAGGACACTAAAGCCCAATGAACTGAATTAATTTCCTTAATGGCAGAGTCAGGAACACCTGCTTTGTAAATTGTACTGTGATACCAAATAGGCTACAGTGTTCTTAGAGGTTAAAAAAATCATAAATGGAGCATTAGAAAAGAATATAAAATACCTGATAATCACATGTGATTCAGTGTGGTGTGGACTATAAAGGTACAAGGAACTTAGAAAGAAAGTTGGAGAGATAACGGTGTTCATTCACTTTATGGACAAGTAGATGGAGGATAGAAACTGACAAGACAATTAGGGAAAGTAACTAAGGTATTAAAAAATGTAAGTCAAAGTATTAAGCCCCATCTTTACAATGGCTTCACATCAGCTTTCACACTCACCTTTAATATCATTTGCAGTTTTCAACTTATGCAGAGTCACCATTCCTTTTGCTTAAAGACAAGATTAAGAATCAAAATTACATGAATTTCTGAAGTTATGGAAAGTAGACTAGGAGGGCATAATTTATCTTATTTTTTTCCCCAGATGAGTGAAAAAATTAAGAAAATGTCAAGGTTATATGGGATATCCATCTTTCATATTGTTTCTTTTGGTGCCTTAATGCATTGCACTCCAAAAGCAAAAATTGAAAAGCACTATAGTGTCAGCATTGAAATCAAGACTATTCATTTATCATCTTTTAGGATGTAAAGAAGTGGAATGACTTTGAAAATCTGTTGATTCAGGAGGAAGATGATCTGTTACCCACTTCATTTTCATGAATGCTTTGTTTAGGAAGGTATTGACTAATTAGATACCTTTTAATGAGATAGATATTTCTTTCTAGTGAATTATCCTATCAAATATGTGGGTATAATTAACTAACTGCAAAATCTCCCTTCACCCCACCCCTTTCTATGGCCAGAACAACAACCAATCAAAACCTTAATAGTACAGATTTAACTTTTTTTCTTTTCTTTCCTCTAAAAATGTGGGAGTAGTTTTGTTTTCTAAGCATGAGGAGATTAATACTCAGGAAAAAAGTGTGGCTATAATAACTCAGTTTCCTATGTTTGGTTTGGTTTGGCCTGGCCAGATAAACCAATAATGTATTATTTTAATATCAAAAAAGGTCCATGGCAGATGATGAAACACAGAAACATGGAAAATGCTTGGTGATCCCTTTAGGTTATAGAGGCTATATAAGGTAATATATAATGCAGAAAGCAATACATATAAAGAAGAAATATCTTTCCTATGGGGAAAGGATTAATTCTAATATGAAACACATAATCTGTAGAATTCAGAAAAACCTACACCTATGAAGCAGCTTTTCTTTTCCTGCCTCTGATCTGGTCACTCTCTCTCTCTCTCTCTATTGCTTGGCTCTTCTCCCTTCCTGGATATTAGTTTGCTAGAGGCACCCTATGCCATTCTTAGACACTGCACGTGGCAACATGATGGTTGAGAATGTGACTTAGAAGATGACAAGAAGCAGACTTTATTTTTATATGGCGACTTTTTTTCTAAATGTATGTTAGACTTTCTCTGTGTCCCTAGTAAGTAAAGTTTTAGAAATTCTCATGTGGAACCTTACAACCCCAGTGCCTCTGAAGGCCAGAGTGAAGTTCTGAATGTTCACCATCAAATAACATAAATTTTAGCAGGTCTTGAAGTTGTTCATATATGAATGTTATTTCCACGTTATCACGCTTAGGTAGCTGAAATTCACCTTTATTCTTTAGAAAGTAGAAATGGTGAAATGGAAATGGGAGAAAAAGATATTTAAGTGTGAAAAATGCCATTGCCATTATGCCTATGTCTGTCATCTGAAATTTGAGTGTGAAGACTTAAATCACAGTAGTATATTTGAAGGCAAATGTGTCAATATGGCATTAAGAAATAAAATTTGTCCCTTAATACTTATATAAAGAAAACTTTCTTTAAAAGTTTTTTTAGGCAGAGTCTCGCTCTGTCACCCAGGCTGGAGTGCAGTGGTGCGATCTCGGCTCACTGGAACCTCTGCCTCCCAGGTTCAAGTGGTTCTCCTGTCTCAGCCTCCCAAGTAGCTGGGAGTGTGCCACCAAGCCTGGCTAATTTTTGTATTTTTGTAGAGACGGGGTTTCACTATGTTGGCCAGGCTGGTCTCTAACCCCTGACCTCAAGTGATTCACCTGCCTCGGTCTCCCAAAGTGCTGAGATTACAGGCGTGAGCCACCGTGCCCAGCCAAAGAAAACTTTATAAGTGAAAATGTAGTATTATTGAGTGAATCTTTGAAATAGAAACCAGTATTTGAAATTTCTAAAAATATGAAACATACTTTAAAACATCTAAATTTTCTTTAAGGCACTGTAGACTTCACAGAATAAAATATATTTCAGTGGCAGTAGGTGGATTGGGGCTTATGAAGTGAAGAAAACATGTGGGCGAGCTGGGTAGCCATGTGAAATGTATATGTTTGATAAAGAGACTGGAAGAAAAAGAAAGAATAGCACTAGAAAAACAAGGGGAAGCTGGAGCAAAAGAAAAAAATATATTTTTAGAGATATGGAGAAGATAATAAAAGAGGAAAAAAGAAGAAGTGGAAGAGGAGAAAGAAGAATGATAGAAAAGTAAGCAAAGATATCTGAAGTGTTGTGCCTTCCTGGCTTTATAAATGGTTAAGAGCCAATTCTGATATGGGTGACTCGTTTATGTTACCTGGGGTTAGTTTTACAGAACTGTTTGTTCTGAGTTGCCCAGATAGGAGGGATTATCTTAAGAATGACCTTGATACAGCTGCTTCAGTTAGTGAATCTTCAATTATCTGAAAGCAGGAGACTAGAACCTCTATCAGGTAATCAACAAGTATTTATTGAGCATATACTGTGTACTCAAAAACTAAGCTTTTGTGAGAGTGGGAACCTTGCTTTATCTTTTGGTCATTGCTAAACTTTCTTGAACAGTGTCTGGGTGCTCAAAAAATACTTATTGGTGAACATAGAACTTATACATGGCCATGGGAGATGGTTTCCAGTATCTCCAATTGGCAGTATGATTTTAAAGGCTGGGGATAAAAACTACCAAGTGAACATTCCTGAAAGTTTTCTGGCACCAACAACAAAAGCAGCAATAGATGGGATAGACTGGGCTTATTAAAAGGTAGATATTTTTTCTTTTACAAATAAAATACAACAGGACTAACTTGGAAATATTAGGCATGGGTACCCAGAATTTAAATTTATTTTCTATTAAAATTCATTTTGTGGATACTTGCATAATATACCTTAAATTATTCTTACATCCTCCTTTTTTATTTCTTTTTACAGACAAGGTCTCACTCTATCATCGAGGCTGGAGTGCAGTGGTGCAATCACAGTTCACTGCAGCTTCAACCTCCTGGGCTCGAGCAATTCTCCGACCTCAGCTTCCTGAGTAGCTGGAACTACAGGTGTATGCCACCACACATGGCTAATTTTTGTAATTTTGTGTAGAGATGGAGTTTTGTCATATTGCCCAGGCTGCTCTCCAACTCCTGGCCTCAAGCAATCTGCCTGTCTTGGCCTCCCAAATTGTTGGGATTACAGAAGTGAGCCACCATGCCCTGCAACATCCTCCTTTTTGAAACACAGTCAGGCTTGCAGAGACACAGCAAATTTCTTTTTTGTCGCACTTGTTAGGAATGCAGATGCAGAGAATAAATCAAGATTACTTAAAAATGAACTCAAGATTGAGGTTGTACGTGTGTGGGAAGAGGGCAGAGACAAGTTTTACCTTGCCTCTGTTGATCAATTTCACAGCATAATGTTCAAATCTCCCATTCATTTGGAACATGGCATTTTGGCAATAAGAAACTTATTTTAGAAATAATTAAATATAAGGGGCCTACAACCAAAAAGTACTGAGATTATGTATTAAATTTCAGAGGCATCCAGAAAGGAACTTTAGATTATTAGCTATATTTATTTATTTATTTTTTGAGATGGAGTCTCTCTATGTTGCCTAGGCTGGAGTGTAATGGCACAATCTCGGCTCGCTGCAACCTCCGCCTTCCAGGTTCAAGCGATTCTCCTGCCTCAGCCTCCCGAGTAGCTGGGACTACAGGCACGCACCATGACGCCCAGTTAATTTTTGTATTTTTAGTAGAGATGAGGTTTCACCATGTTGGTCAGGCTGGTCTCAAACTCCTGACCTCAGGTGATCCACCCGCCTTGGCCTCCCAAAGTGCTGGGATTACAGGCATGAGCCACCGTGCCCGGCCTAGCTATATTTATAAAAAAGTAAGATTTTAATATGAGTAAGAAAAGGGAATGTAAATACATTGGACATGGATAAAAAAGCACAGAAATTATGTATGCATAAGGAAAAAATTTGTGGTGATAAAATTATGGATTATCATTGGAGGATAGAATTAAGAATTATTAAAATTTCCTTTTTTCATCTTTTCATTTGCTAAATATAGAAATTTTCTATAATGAACATATATTACTTTTATAACCAAGAAAACACAGATAAAAATACACATATAGCATCAGATTATAATTTTATATTGTATAATAAATTTTCACTTACGTTTAAACTTCTTCAGGCCCTCCATTATTGAATTAACATTAATCTTTCCATTTCCTGTAAAACATTTTGGTTTAGATACAGAGGCAGTCACATAAAAATTCATAACAGTTGTGAAATTATTAAAAACAATATAATAGGCTGAAATTCTTCCATGAGTTAGAAGAACTAGAAACATTGGTTTGCTTTGGAATTTGGATTCATTTTTCTGTCAGGTGAATATGATGGAAAAAAAAAGATGAACTTTTGTTTTGGCTCTGTCTGGCTCTGTCCTTCAGGCTGGAGTGCATGGCGTGATTATGGCTCATTGCAACCTTGACCTCCCTGGCTCAAGCGATACTCTCACCTCAGCCTCCTGAGCAGCTGGGACTGCAGGTGTGTGCCACCACACCCAGCTCATTAAACAATTTTTTTTTTTTTGTAGAGATGGGGGTCTCCCTATGTTGCCCAGGCTGGTCTTGAACTCTTGGCCTCAAGTGATCCTCACGCCTTGGCCTCCCAAAGTGTTGGGATTACAAGTGTGAGCCACTGTGCCTGGCAAGGATGAGTCTTTGAAAGAGATACCTATTTCTACATTTTTTTTTTTTTTTTGAGGCAGGGTCTCACTCTGTCACCCAGGCTGGAGTGCAGTGGTGTGATCTCAGCTCAGTGCAACCTCTGCCTCCTGGGTTCAAGTGATTCTCGTGCCTCAGACTCCCAAGTAGCTGGGATCACAGGCATGTGCCATCATGCCAGCTAATTTTTTTTATTTTTAGTGAGATGGGGTTTCGCCAGGTTGGCCAGGCTGGTCTCGAACTCCTGGTCTCAAGCAATCCACCCACTTCAGCCTCCCAAAGTTCTGGGATTACAGGCTTAAGCCACTGTGCCTGGCCCTATCTCTGCTTTTTAAAAAGCAGTTCATCTTTTCTGTGCTTTAGGAAATTGTATTAATCAAAGGGACAAAAATAAGAAGGAACAAGGTATTTTGAGGGAACTGTGGGTAGTTCAGTTGGTTTGGAGCATGACATGTTGGAAGTAGTGGAGGAGAAAGCTGAGAAGTACATGGGGGCTATGTTGCCGTGGGTTTTGTTTGGACTTTTTTGGGAACATAGGAAAGAGTCATGAAGGTTTCTGACCATTGCTATGTAAAGGTTGATCTGAAGGCAATCTGCCTTTTTAGAGGCAGGATACAGAGAGATAAATGAAACTGAATATGTTGGAAAGGAATTATTAAAGGAGTAATTTTTGGAAAGAGAGTAGATGAGATCAAGAGTAGTGGATTAAGAAGGGTTGTAAAGAATCTCTTCAACTGGCCGGGCGCGGTGGTCACGCCTGTAATTCCAGCACTTTGGGAGGCTGAGGCAGGCAGATCACTTGAACCCAGGAGTTGGAGACCAGCCTGGGCAACACGGTGGTACCCCGTCTCTACAAAAAATACAAAAATCAGCTGGGCATGGTGGTGTGTGCCTGTAGTCCCAGCTTCTTGGGAGGCTGAGGTAGGAGGACAGCTTGAACCCAGGAGACGGAGGTTGCAAGGTTGAGCCCAGGAGCTGATAACATGCCACTGCACTCCAGCCTGGGTGACAGAGCCAGACCCTGTCCCCAAAACAAAAAACAAAATCTCTTCAACTGAAGAGAGAAGAGGAAGAAAATATAGGCAAAAAAGGAAGAAATGAAAAACTAGAGAGAACAGAACATGGAGATATGTTTGCAACGGATTGGTTCAAATTTATTGCCATAAAACCATGATTTGAGAAACCTAATGGTTCAGTGTCTCATCTCCTACTTTCAGTTGGGCTTCGTAGAGAAAGCGAAGTATGTCTCCTTTCTTCATCCTTGTATTCCTAGTACCTAGTATAGGGCCTGACATATTCAGTGACCAATAAATATTTGTTGCTTGAATAAATCAATATACTCTTTTAAATTCAAGGCCAGGCTGAATGGAAACTCTCTGACAACATCACTGAAGCATTATAGTAAGAAACGTTATCCTCCGATGCACTTAGAACATCTTTTTCTGGGATATCAGAACAAAAAAGAAAGTGGTAGAAATAAAAAAGTATTTATATAGCACAAGGGCCAGTGAGTAAGCCATGTAAATAGACTCAATAAACAATAATAAAATTTCAATAAACAAACAACCCCAAATTCCCCCTCCTTCCCCTGTGTATCTCTTCCTAATACTCATTTTATTTTCTAGTTTCACTCGCTGTAATATTTTTCCTTATTTTTCAGGCTGGAATCATACCATCAGGCACAACTTAGCATATTGGTTGTATTTGTGATTTAAGAAATGAAAGTCATGCACAATCTTTTGTTTTCATTTTTTATTTTTGAGACGGAGTCTCACTCTGTCACCAGGCTGGAGTGCAGTGGCGCAATCTTGGCTCACTGCAACCTCCCCCTCCTGGGTTCAAGTGATTCTCCTGCCTCAGCCTCCTGAGTACCTGGGATTACAGACGTGTGCCACCAAGCCCGGCTAATTTTTTTTTTATTTTTAGTAGAGACGGGGTTTCACCATGTTGGTCAGGCTGGTCTCGACCTCCTGACCTCAGGTGATCCACCCGCCTCAGCCTCCCAAAGTGTTGGGATTACGGGTGTGAGCCACCGCGCCCGGCAAGTCAGGCACAATCTTAACATATCATGTCTTTTTTTCATCTTTTAGGTCTTTGATAGGCAAAAGGTGGCTCATGCACCAGCATCATTGGCATCACCTGAGAGCTTGTTAGGAAGGCAGAATCTCAGGCTCTACCCTATTCTTGAACCAAAATCTGCTCTTTTTTTTTTTTCTTTTTTTAAGGAGACAGGGTCTTGCCCTGTTGCCCAGGCTGGAATGCAGCGGTGCAATCATAGCTCATTGCAATCTCGAATTCCTGGGCTCAAGTGATTGTCCTGCCTCAGCCTCCCAATTAGCTAGGACTATAGGCATGTGCCATCACGCCTGGATAATTAAATTTTTTTTTTTTTGTAGAGACAGGGTTTCAGTCTATTGCTCAGACTGATCTTGAGCTTTTGGCCTCAAGAGATCCTCTTGCCTCAGCCCTCCAAAGCACTGGAATTATAGGTGTGAGCCACCACGTCTGGCCCCCAAATCTGCATTTTAACAAGACGACCAAGTGATTCATATGCACGTTTAAGTTTGGGAAGCTATGTTCTAGGTGTTACAAAGATAAGGATCATTTCTGAGGATGTTATGTACAGGATGACAAAAGTACACTTCTTCTTTTTTTTTTTTGAGACAGAGTTTCGCTCTTGTTGCCCAGGCTGGAGTGCAATGGCACAATCTCAGCTCACTGCAACCTCCCCCTCCTGGGTTCAAGCGATTCTCTTGCCTCAGCCTCCTGAGTAGCTGGGATTACAGGTGCCCACCACCACGCCCAGTTAATTTTTTGTAGTTTTAGTAAAGACGAGGTTCCACTGTGCTGATCAGGCTAGTCTCGAACTCCTGACCTCAGGTGATCCACCTGCCTTGGCATCTCAAAGTGCTGGGATTACAGGCGTGAATCACCATGCCCAGCCCAAAAATACACTTCTAAGAAGGTAACATAATTATAAAACATACACCTCACCGTTAAATGTCAAATGAGGCATCAACTCCTTCATTTCTTCTTCTGTGAGCTCAATCCCTTCGCTTGCTAGAAATTGTCTAAGTTCTGGACATCAATCACCTCTCCTTAGAAAGGGTGAGAAATGAATTGCAAAAATATTACAGAATTATTTGCAAAGGACAAAGAACACTATCTGTGCTTATATACATTATCATCCAGAATAGGAGAATCAGAAACAAAAATCTTTAATTCTGATTGAAAGAATCAGAAAGTGGCTACAAAGAAGAAAGTAACCAGGGGTTAGGAATTGACTGGTGGGTTGTTGCAAAATCCACAGCACATTAAAGTACATATAGGGACTTAGTTTTATGTAACAACATTACAGATTAATGTAACAGGGGAAAGATAGAATTCCATCACTCTAACACAGGAACCATTTTTAGTTTTTGATATTCCATTTTGGTCTTGGCAATAAGGCTTTACTTTTACAATGTGGAAATCTAATACATGTACACTTCTGTATTTTGCTTTTCCAACCTAAAATCATTCCTTCATAAACATGTTTCCAAGTTGCCATATAATCTTTACAGCTAGCATTTTAACATGGTATCCCATTAAACTGACATACCATGGTTTATGTAGTAATTCCTGTATGGTTAGATATTTCTAATCTGTTTCAATTTTCTCACAATTATGAGAATGAAACTATTTTTAAAGGATAAATTTCTAAGACTGGGGTTAGTGGGGAAAAGGGTATGAATAGTTCTGTGGCTCTTGATATCTATTACTACTTTGAAGAACTGTTTTGCTGAAAATTTTGGAGACTAGTATGGGCACTGATATATAAATACAGATTAGTTATTGTTTTTTTTTTAAGTTTTTTTTCTTTTATTATTATACTTTAAGTTTTAGGGTACATGTGCACATTGTGCAGGTTAGTTACATATGTATACATGTGCCATGCTGGTGCTTACTCAACTTCAGCAGCATCTACAAAAATGGAACATACGTTATATGAAAAATCTGAACACTTATGAATAGAAAATATTCTTCTCCAACATTAATAGCAAATATTAAGATATTACTTACAACATCTTTCCATTATAGCTTGCAACTCACCCTTGATGTAACTGACAGCATCCATTAAGTCATTCAGGTCAACTGCTGTCTCACCTGTAAGGCAAGAAAAGTATACCCCAGAGTCAGATGAACTGATGTTACTGAGACCCTCAACATTAATGCTGTGTGAAGTTCTGAAGTTATGAAGATCATAAGAATTCAGTAATCTTTTTCTTTTTTTTTATTTTTTTGAGGTGGAGTCTCACTCTGTTGCGTAGGCTAGAGTGCAGTGGTATGATCCCAGCTCATTGCAACCTCTGCCTCCCGGGTTCAAGTGATTCTCCTGCCTTAGCCTCCCGAGTAGCTGGGATTATAGGTGCACGTCACGACGCCCAACTAATTTTTTATATTTTTAGTAGAGATGGGGTTTCACCATGTTGGCAGGCTGGTCTTGAACTCCTGACCTCAAGTGATCCACCCACCTTGGCCTCCCAAAGTGCTGGGATTACAGGTGTGAGCCACCATGCCCAGCCAGAATTTACTAATCTTTAAATTTTTCCTTAGAATTGTATGGACTTATCCTCAGAGATAAGAGTGTTATCTTAGAAACAAAGAAAGCTTTAATTGTGACAAATCTATCAAATTTTTTGTTTTTCTTTGTGTTAGAGACCACCAGAGTGGTCTAAATTAAGAAGTGATTGGTTACAGTTAAGCATAGAGAGAGGATAAACGACTCTGACCCTATGTACTTTTATTTAGTCAATTAATCAACAGCTATTTATGTATCACCTTCTAGGTGCCAGGCACTTGGATAGGCTTTGGGGATACAAAAGTAGGCAAGGTGACAGAGTTCTGGCTCTTAAGGAGTGTACAATGTAGTGAGAGAGACAGATAATAAACATAAAAACAAAAAGGATAATTTGATGTACTGTTAAGATGCTATCAAAAATAAAATAGGGCAACATAATAAACAGTAATAGAGGATGGGATTGATTTAGACAGGGAGGTCAGGAAAGGCCTCTCAGAGCAGGGTCTATTTGGGTTGAAGGCTGAATGATGAGAAATGAGTAGCCATGTGAAGAGTTGGGGGAAGAGCATTCCTAGTAGAAGAACAGCATATGCAACAGTCCTAAGGTGGGAATGAATTTGCCATGATCGAGAGACAGAGAAGGTCAGTGTGGCAGGGGCCAGATCATGCAGGGCCTTGTAGAGCATGATGATAAAGTCTGCATTTTACTTTGATTGCAATGGAATGTCATTGGAGGCCTCAGAAAACTGGAGTGACTTGACCTGATTGCAGCTTTCAAAAGATCACTCTGGCTGGTGTGGATAGGATAAGGAAACTGGAGGAATGGAGACCAGAGAGGAGCCTGTTTCACTGGCCCCGTAAAGAGATGACAGTGGCTTGGGATGTAGTTGCAATAGTGGAGATAGTGACAAGTGATGGATTCAGGATGTATTTTTCAGTTTGAACCTAGATTTCTTTTTCGAAATTTTGTTTTCCCTTCTTTTCACAGGTGTTGATGAACCTAGATTTAAATGTGGGATATGAAGGAAGGAGAAATCAAAGATGAAACCTAGTCTACCATCCCCAATCAACAGGGTGGATGGGATGCCTTTACTGACTTGGGGAGGACTTGAGATATTTTAGGAGAATTAACCAATAATTCCATTAAATTGGTGATGACTTTTAGAAATTCAAGTGGAGATACCAAATAACTAGTTTGATATGCTATTGCTGACTTAGGGAAATTGAGCTAGAGATATAAGTTTACTCTACCAGCTTAGAGAAGGTATCTGACCCAATGAGACTAAATGCAATCTCCTAAGAAGAGAGTGTAGATAAAAAGACAGCCAAGGGTCTAACCCTGGGTCACTTCATTATTTAGAGATCTTGCAGGGGAGGAACAGTCAGAAAGAAAACCGAGAAGAAAATGTCAGTGAGGGAAGAAGAAAACCAGGTGAGTATGGGGCTTTAAAAGTCTAGAGAAAAACACATTTCTTTTTCTTTTTTTTGAGACAGGGTCTTGCTCTGTCACCCAGGCTGTAGTGAAGTGGCACACAATCACAGCTCATTGCAGCCTCCACCTCCCGGGCTCAGGTGATCCCCCTGCCTCAGCCTCCCAAGTAGCTGGGACTACAGGCACGTGCCACCACAGCGGGATAGTTACTTTATTTTTTGTAGAGACAGGGTTTCACCATGTAGCTTAGGCTGGTCTCAAACTCCTGGGCTCAAGTGATCCACCTGCCTCGGCCTCCCAAAGTGCTGGGATTACAGGCATGAGCCACCGTGCCTGGCTGAAAAATGTATTTTAATAAAAAGGGGGTGGCCACTTATGTCAAATGCTGCTAAGATGTCAAGTAAAATAAGAACAAAGAGTTGACTGTGAGCCTTGGCAAGAAGTAGATTGTTGACAGTCTTGTTGAGAGCTCATTTGGTGCCATTGTGGAGATAAACACCTAATTGGAGAATGCTGAAGGGTGAATGGGAGGCGAGGATATGGAAACGACGAGTAATGACAACTTTTTGAGGCAACTCTGCTGTGCAGAGGAACCAAGAGATGATGTGGTAGCTAGGAGGGAGCAAGTGTGAGAGAAAAGCATAGCTGCATGTCAAGAGAAATATAGATAGAGATACTTCAGAGAGGGGGAAATTGATGACGCAGGAAAGGGGAAATATTGCAGGAGTTAAGTTTTTGAGAAGGCAAGAGGAAATAGGATCCAGGGTGCAAGTGGAAAGGCTGGCCCATGAAAGGAGCATTCTTTCCCCTTTCTAGTAAGACAAAAGGCAGGGCATGGGGCATAGGTATACATAGGTTCATAGAAACGGAGGTAGGAAAATGAGGTCTTTCTTCTCTAACTGCATCTATTGTCTCTATGAAGTTTGAGGTGACATCATCAGTTGAGAGTTGAGGTGAGGAGACACTGGAAATTTGGACAGAGAAGGTGTGAAATTGTCTCTGAGAGTAAGAAAGTGAAGTTACTTGGAAAACGTAGCAGGGACTTTTTTGGCAGTGTTAAGGGCTAACTTGAAGTTTCTGCCCATTATGTGAAGTGAGTTCTATTAGCATGGCTTTGTGATCTTCTCCAGCAATGTTAAGCTGTTCAGGGGTAAGCATGGAGTAAAAAGATGGCCAAGTTTTTGCCAAGGAAATTTGAAGTTCAGAGAGTTTGTAAGCTTATATGATGTTGAGGCAGTGAATCTAATTTAAGGAAGGGAGAAAATTAAGAGAGGTGGTGGTGGGGTTGTTGAATAATAAAAGAATAGTAGGGTCAAAGGCATGAAGGTCTCCACATGGCTGGAATAGCTGGAGTTGGAGTTCTATACTCTGTTCTGGTACAACATATGATTCAGTAGCACTGTTTCATCATATTCAATTGGTAAATGGAATAATGTCACAGTAATGTGAACAGTGTGTTTGTTCATACGTAATTTTTCCTAAATAAGAAGGGAATTCTTTTCTTCAGCAAGCAAGAAAAAAAATCTTAGGTTGGAGCTACGGCTGGAGCCTTTCTGTTCCATATTTTAATAAAATTAAAAAATTAGTGCCCGTGATGCAGAAGGGGGAACCAGCTTCACTGGCTCAGAGCTCTACTTCCATCTACACTATTTCAGAATGGCAAGCCAGCTCTTTAACTCCTTTTTTGGTGTGTGTGTGTGTGTGTGTGTGTGTGTGTGTGTGTGTGTGTGTGTGTATGCATTTTTAATTTTTTTTTTTTGAGATGGAGTCTCACTCTGTCATCCAGGCTGGAGTGCAGTGGCGTGATCTTGGCTCACTGCAACCTCCGCCTCCTGGGTTCAAGCGATTCTCCTGCCTCAGCCTCCCGAGTAGCTAAGATTATAGGTGCCCGCCACCACTAATTTGTTGTATTTTTAGTAAAAACAGGGTTTCACCATCTTGGCCAGGCTGGTCTTGAACTCCTGATCTTGTGATCCACCCATCTTGGCCTCCCAAAGTGCTGAGATTACAGGCATAAGCCACCGTGCTCGGCCCATTTTTAAATATCTTACAGCTGCTCTGTGCTATTTGCCTGGGCTGTACAAGTTTCCTTGTGCTTTTGGTACTGTTCTGGTTACAAGCTGGCATAGATTTTGAACGTGCTTCCAGAATTTTCTCCATAAGCTCCATTACTTTAGTGGGTAATTTTACAGAACAGGAGGTTTTTCAGGAATTCCTATGTGGTGTTATGGCAAAAATGTCTGCATAGTAAATGAACTGGAAGGAAAAAGGTTAGAGAGTGAGTCTATGCAACAGAAATTTTGGAGGTGATGGAGTATTAGGGAAGGACAAGTTCTAGGTCATTACTATGTGAGTGGTAATCAAGATGGAAGGGAGGAAAAAAATGACTGAAGTTAAAGATATCAAGGAACAAGAGGTCAGAGTATTGGATGGGTGACCTGTATCAGTTTTTAACCTGGGTCTATTGACCCTGTATTGCCAGAATTCAGGGAGGTCTTGAGCTGGAATGGGAAAAAAAGACTTTCTTTTTTCTTTTATGTTTTGAGACAGAGTCTTGCTCTGTTGTCCAGGCTGGAGTGCAGTGGCGCCATCTCGGCTCACAGCAAGCTCCGCCTCCCGGGTTCACGCCATTCTCCTGCCTCAGCCTCCTGAGTAGCTGGGACTACAGGCGCCCGTCGCCACACCCGGCTAATTTTTTGTATTTTTAGTATAGATGGGGTTTCACTGTGTTAGCCAGGATGGTCTTGATCTCCTGACCTCGTGATCCGCCCGCCTCAGCCTCCCAAAGTGCTGGGATTACAGGCATGAGCCACTGTGCCTGGCCTTTTTTTTTTTTTTTTTTTTTTTTTTTTAATAGAGATAGGGTCTTGCTATGTTGCCTGGGCTGATCTTGAACTCTTGGCCTCAAGTGATCCTCCCACCTTTGCCTCCCAAAGTGTTGGGATTACAGGTGTGAGCCGCAATGCTTGGCCAAAAGTGTGTTTTTCTTTTCACTAACCATTAACTTAAATTTATTATTTTCTTCAATTATTAATGAAGGCAATAAACCTAAGAATAGTGGCATAAGTTGTGACTTTGTCACTAATAGAAATCACTGACATTTTCAAATCATAATATAGTTGTTCCAAATATGTTGAAATGTTGCTCGTGCTTATTATCACTTTATATTTTATTTATTTTATTTTTTTGAGATGGAGTGCAGTGGTGCAATCTTGGCTCACTGCAACCTCTGTCTCCTGGGTTCAAACAATTCTCCTGCTTCAGCCTCCCTAGTAGCTGGGATTACAGGTATGCACCACCACTCCCAGCTAATTTTTTTTGTATTTTTGGTAGAGATGGGGTTTCACCATGTTGGCCAGGCTGGTCTCAAACTCCTGTCCTCAAATGATCTGCCCTCCTTGGCCTCCCAAAGTGCTGGGATTACAGATGTGAGCCACCGCACCTGGCCTTCATCATTACTTTAAAATTATAAAAATAATTTTAACTCCCTGTAATCCCAGCACTTTGGGAGGCCAAGGCAGGTGGATCACCTGAGGTCAGGAGTTCAAGACCACTCTGGACAACATGGTGAAACCCCATCTCTACTAAAAATACAAAATTAGCTGGGCATGGTGGTGTGCACCTGTAATCTCAGCTACTGGGGAGGCTGAGGCAGGAGAATCATTTGAACCCAGGAGGCGGTGGTTGCACTGAGCCAAGATTGCGCCATTGCACTCCAGCCTGGGTGACAGGGCAAGACTCTGTCTCGAAAAAAAAAAAAAATTGATCTGCTACTAGAAAGTGTTAAATGTTTTAATAAATACTAATAATTTATATTTTAATGTTTTGATAAATTATATTTTAATACAATTAGCCTCTTTGTAATCCTATTATTTTATTTTATACATTTTAAAACATTACACTCGGAAGTGGTCCATTCAGCGGATTTACAGAGGGGTCATGGCACAAAGTCAAAAGCCCTTGATCTATATGAAAGATTTTGAAGAACAAGGACAGGAGTAGGAGAGAAGGAAGACAGTGATCCCAATGCTATTTCTTATAAGAGGTTTTAAATTACATATTGTCTTATTATTTATATAAAAGTAATAATAAATATGTATTGTTAGGAAATATTTTCATAACAGGAAAAATTGATTAATAGATTATAGAATTTCCTTTCTTTTTCATTCTGTTCTTTTTTATTATTATTATACTTTAAGTTCTAGGGTACCTGTGCACAACATGCAGGTTTGATATATAGGCATACATGTGCCATGTTGTTTTGCTGCACTCATCAACTCGTCATTTACATTAGGTATTTCTCCTAATGCTATCCCTCCCCCAGCCCTCCACCCCCCGACAGGCGCTGGTGTGTGATGTTCCCCGCCCTGTGTCCAAGTGTTCTCATTGTTCAATTCCCACCTGTGAGTAAGAACATGCGGTGTTTGGTTTTCTGTCCTTGTGACAGTTTGCTGAGAATGATGGTTTCCAGCTTCATCCATGTTCCTGCAAAGGACATGAACTCATCATTTTTTATGGCTGCATAGTATTCTATGGTGTATATGTGCCACATTTTCTTAATCCTGTCTATCATTGATGGACATTTGGGTTGGCTCCAAGTCTTTCCTATTGTGAATAGTGCTGCAATAAACATACGTGTGCATGTGTCTTTATAGTAGCATGATTTATAATTCTTTGGGTATATACCCAGTAATGGGATTGCTGGGTCAAATGGTATTTCTAGTTCTAGATCCTTGAGGAATCGCCACACTGTCTTCCACAATGGCTGAACTAATTTACAGTCCCACCAACAGTGTAAAAGTGTTCCTATTTCTCCATATCCTCTTCAGCATCTGTCGTTTCCTGACTTATTAAAAAGTCTGTCTTATTAAAACTTATTAAAAAGTTAGACTGTCATTCTAACTGGCGTGAGATGGCATCTCATTGTGGTTTTGATTTGCATTTCTCTGATGACCAGTAATGATGAGCATTTTTTCATGCGTCTGTCGGCTGCATAGATATCTTCTTTTGAGAAGTGTCTGTTCATATCCTTTGCCCACTTTTTGATGGGGTTGTTTATTTTTTTCTTGTAAATTTGTTTGAGTTCTTTGTAGATTCTTATTAGCCCTTTGTCAGATGGGTAGATTGCAAAAATTTTCTCCCATTCTGTAGGTTGCCTGTTCACTCTGATGGTAGTTCTTTTGCCGTACAGAAGCTCTTTAGTTTAATTAGATCCCATTTGTCTATTTTGGCTTTTGTTGCCATTGCTTTTGGTGTTTTAGTTATGAAGTCCTTGCCCATGCCTATGTCCTGAATGGTATTGCCTAGGTTTTCTTCTAGGGTTTTTATGGTTTTAGGTCTGACATTTAAGTCTTCAATCCATCTTGAATTAATTTTTGTATAAGGTGTAAGGAAGGGATCCAGTTTCAGCTTTCTACATATGGCTAGCCAGTTTTCCCAGCACCATTTATTACATAGGGAATCCTTTCCCCATTGCTTGTTTTTGTCAGATTTGTCAAAGATCAGATGGTTGTAGATATGTGGTGTTATTTCTGAGGCCTCTGTTCTGTTCCATTGGTCTATATATTCTGTTTTGGTACCAGTACCATGCTGTTTTGGTTACTGTAGCCTTGTAGTATAGTTTGAAGTCAGGTAGTGTGATGCCTCCAGCTTTGTTCTTTTTGCTTAGGATTGTCTTGGCAATGCGGGCTCTTTTTTAGTTCCATATGAACTTTAAAGTCGTTTTTTCCAGTTCTGTGAAGAAAGTCATTGGAAGCTTGATTGGGATGGCATTGAATCTATAAATTACTTTTGGCAGTATGGCCATTTTCATGATATTGATTCTTCCTATCAATGAGCATGGAATATTCTTCCATTTGTTTGTGTCCTCTTTTATTTTGAGGAGCAGTGGTTTGTAGTTCTCCTTGAAGAGGTCCTTCACATCCCTTTTAAGTTGGATTCCTAGGTATTTTATTCCCTTTGTAGCAATTGTGAATGGGAGTTCACTCATGATTTGGCTCTGTGTTTGTCTGTTATTGGTGTATAGGAATGCTTGTGATTTTTGCACGTTGATTTTGTATCCTGACACTGCTGAAGTTGCTTATCAGTTTAAGGAGATTTTGGGCTGAGACAATGGGGTTTTCTAAATATACAATCATGTCATCTACAAACAGGGACAATTTGACTGCCTCATTTCCTAATTGAATACCCTTTATTTCTTTCTCTTGCCTGACTGCCCTGGCCAGAACTTCCAACACTATGTCGAATAGGAGTGGTGAGAGAGGGCATCCTTGTCTTCTGCCAGTTTTCAAAGGAATGCTTCCAGTTTTTGCCCATTCAGTATGATATTGGCTGTGGGTTTGTCATAAATAGCTCTTATTATTTTGAGATACGTTCCATTGATACCTAGTTTATTGAGAGTTTTTAGCATGATGGGCTGTTGAATTTTGTCGAAGGCCTTTTCTTAATCTATGGAGATAATCATGTGGTTTTTGTCATTGGTTCTGTTTATGTGATGGATTACGTTTATTGATTTGCGTATGTTGAACCAGCCTTGCATCCCAGGGATGAAGCCGACTTGATCGTTTTGGATAAGCTTTTTGATGTGCTGCTGGATTTGGTTTGCCAGTATTTTATTGAGGATTTTTGCATCGATGTTCATCAGGGATATTGGTCTAAAATTCTCTTTTTTTGTTATGTGTCTGCCAGGCTTTGGTATCAGGATGATGTTGGCCTCATAAAATGAGTTAGGGAGGATTCCTTCTTTTTCTATTGATTGGAATAGTTTCAGAAGAATGGTACCAGCTCCTCTTTGTACCTCTGGTAGAATTCAGCTGTGAATCTGTCTGGTCCTGGACTTTTTTTGGTTGGTAGGCTATTAATTATTGCCTCAATTTCAGAGCCTGTCATTGGTCTATTCAGAGATTCAACTTCTTCCTGGTTTAGTCTTGGGAGGGTGTATGTGTCCAGGAATTTATCCATTTCTTCTAGATTTTCTAGTTCATTTGCATAGAGGTGTTTATAGTATTCTCTGATGGTAGTTTGTATTTCTGTGGAATTGGTGGTGATATCCCCTTTATCATTTTTTATTGCATCAATTTGATCTTTCTCTCTTTTCTTATTAGTCTTGCTAGCGGTCTATCAATTTTTTGATCTTTTCAAAAAATCAGCTCCTGGATTCATTGATTTTTTGAAGGGTTTTTTTGTGTTTCTATCTCTTTCAGTTCTGTTCTGATCTTAGTTATTTCTTGCCTTCTGCTAGCTTTTGAATTGTTCGCTATTGCTTCTCTAGTTCTTTTAATTGTGATGTTAGGGTGTCAATTTTAGATCTTTCCTGCTTTCTCTTGTGGGCATTTAGTACTATAAATTTCCCTCTACACAGTGCTTTAAATGTGTCCCAGAGATTCTGGTATGTTGTGTCTTTGGTTTCATTGGTTTCAAAGAACATCTTTATTTCTGCCTTCATTTCGTTATTTATCCAGTAGTCATTCAGGAGCAGGTTGTTCAGTTTCCATGTAGTTGTGTGGTTTTGAGTGAGTTTCTTAATCCTGAGTTCTATTTTGCTTGCACTATCGTGTGAGAGACAGTTTGTTGTGATTTCTGCTCTTTTACATTTTCTGAGGAGTGCTTTACTTCCAATTATGTGGTCAATTTTAGAATAAGTGCGATGTGGTGCTGAGAAGAATGTATATTCTGCTGATTTGGGGTGGAGAGTTCTGTAGATGTCTATTAGGTCTGCTTGGTGCAGAGCTGAGTTCAAGTCCTGGATATCCTTGTTAACCTTCTGTCTCGTTGATCTGTCTAATGTTGACAGTGAGGTGTTACAGTCTCCCATTATTATTGTATGGGAGTCTAAGTCTCTTTGTAGGTCTCTAAGGACTTGCTTTATGAATCTGGGTGCTCCTGTATTGGGTGCATATATATTTAGGATAGTTAGCTGTTCTTGTTGAATTGATCCCTTTACCATTATGTAATGGCCTTGTCTCTTTTTATCTGTGTTGGTTTAAAGTCTGTTTTATCAGAGACTAGGATTGCAACCCCTGCTTTTTTTTTTTTTTTTTTCTTTTTTGCTTTCCATTTGCTTGGTAGATCTTCCTCCATCCCTTTATTTTGAGCCTATATGTGTCTCTGCACCTGAGATGGGTCTCCTGAATACAGCACACTGATGGGTCTTGACTCTTTATCCAATTTGCCAGTCTGTGTCTTTTAATTGGGGCATTTAGCCCATTTACATTTAAGGTTAGTATTATTACATGTGAATTTGATCCTGTCATTATGATGTTAGCTGGTTATTTTGCCTGTTAATTGATGCAGTTTCTTCCCATCATCGATGGTCTTTACAATTTGGCATGTTTTTGCAGTGTCTGGTACCGGTTGTTTCTTTCCATGTTTAGTGCTTCCTTCAGGAGCTCTTGTAAGGCAGGCCTGGTGGTGACAAAATCGCTCCACATTTGCCTGTTTCTAAAGGATTTTATTTCTCCTTCACTTATGAAGCTTAGTTTGGCTGGATATGAAATTCTGGGTTGAAAATTCTTTTCTTTAAGAATGTCGAATATTGGCCCCCACTCTCTTCTGGCTTGTAGGGTTTCCACAGAGAGATCCGCTGTTAGTCTGATGGGCTTCCCTTTGTGGTTAACTCGACCTTTCTCTCTGGCTGTCCTTCACATTTTTTCCTTGATTTCCACCTTGGTGAATCTGACAATTATGTGTCTTAGGGTTGCTCTTCTCGAGGAGTATCTTTGTGGTGTTCTCTGTATTTCCTGAATTTGAATGTTGGCCTGCCTTGCTAGGTTGGGGAAGTTCTCCTGGATTATATTCTCAAGGGTGTTTTCCAACTTGATTGCATTCTCCCCGTCACTTTCAGGTACACCAATCAAACATAGATATGGTCTATTCATATAGTCCCATATTTCTTGGAGGCTTTGTTTGTTTCTTTTTACTCTTTGTTCTCTAACCTTGTCTTCTCACTTTATTTCATTAATTTGATCTTCAATCAGTGATACCTTTTCTTCCACTTGATCGAATCGGCTATTGAAGCTTGTGCATGCATCATGAAGTTCTCGTGCCATGGTTTTCAGCTCCATCAGGTCATTTATGGTCTTCTCTACACTGTTTATTCTAGTTAGCCATTCGTCTAACCTTTTTTCAAGGCTTTTAGCTTCCTTGAGATGGGTTCGAACATGCTCCTTTAGCTCGGAGAAGTTTGTTATTACTGACCTTCTGAAGCCTACTTCTGTCAATTTGTCAAAGTCATTCTCCGTCCAGCTTTGTTCAGTTGCTGGTGAGGAGCTGCAATCCTTTGGAGGAGAAGACGTGCTCTGGTTTTTAGAATTTTCAGCTTTTCTGCTCTGGTTTCTCCCCATCTTTGTGGTTTTATCTACCTTTGGTCTTTGATGTTGGTGACCTACAGATGGGGTTTTGGTGTAGATGACCTTTTCGTTGATGTTGACGCTATTCCTTTCTGTTTGTTAGTTTTCCTTCTATCATTCAGGTCCCTCAGCTGCAGGTCTGTTGGAGTTTGCTGGAGGGTCCACTCCAGACCCTGTTTGCCTGGGTATCACCAGCGGAGGCTGCAGAACAGCAAATATTGCAGAAAGTAAATATTGCTCCCTGATCCTTCCTCTGGAATCTTCATCCCAGAGGGGCACCCGCCTATATGAGGTGTCTGTTGGTCCCTACTGGGAGGTGTCTCCCAGTTAGGCTACACAGGGGTCAGGGACCCACTTGAGGAGGCAGTCTCTCCATTCTCAGAGCTCAAACGCCATGCTGGGAGAACCACTGCTCTCTTCGGAGCTGCATGGACGTCCATGTCTGCATGGACATTTAAGTCTGCAGAAGTTGTCTACTGCCTTTTGTTCAGCTATGCCCTGCCCACAGAGGTGGAGTCTGGAGGCAGTAGGCCTTGTTGACCTGTGGTGGGCTCTGTCCAGTTTGAGCTTCCTGGCCTACTCAAGCCTCAGCAATGGTGGGCGCCTCTCCCCCAGCCAGGCTGCTGCCTTGCAGTTCGATCTCAGACTGCTGCGCTAGCAGTGAGCAAGGCTTCGTGGGCATGGGACCTGCTGAGCCAGGCATGGGTGAGAATCTCCTTGTCTGCCAGTTGCTAAGACCTTGGGAAAAGTGCAGTATTTGGGCAGGAGTGTCCCATTTTCCAGGTAGTCTGTCAAGGCTTCCCTTGGCTAGGAAAGGGAAATCCCCTGACCCCTTGCGCTTCCCAGGTGAGGTGATGCCCTGCCCTGCTTCAGCTCACCCACTGTGGGCTGCACCCACTGTCCAACCAGTCCCAATGAGATGAACCAGGTACCTCAGATGGAAATGCAGAAATCACCCATCTTCTGCATCGATCACACTGGGAGCTGCAGACTGGAGCTTTTCCTATTTGGCCATCTGGGAGCGCCTCTCATTTTGTTCTGCTCTTTAACAACTTTTCTATCTTCCCCATCATCATCACCACCACACCATCATCCGTCATCACTAACATTTACTGACTATTCTAGACTGCATTACATGCATTACATATATTAATTTCAGAGCAAGAAGTAATCATAGAGCATCATTTAGTTCAACTTGAAGATATTTTACATATGAGGAAACTAAGATTAAGTAGGGTTAAATTATTTGTCAGCAAGTCTGTGGCAAAACAGGGACCAGGACCCAGCACAAAGAAATAATGTATACTGCGTGAGGAACGTAGGCTGGATTCACCAGGGAAAAGAGAAGACTTTCCCCCCTTAGACACTGTCAGGTGACTTTTCAAAAAGTATATATAGCAGTGGCAACTCTCACCCCAAATTTATCAGTTAGTCCCTTTCCTCATATTTTCATAAGAACTAAATATTATCAATCTTGTTAAGTTTTGCCAGTCCAATGAATGAAGATAGTGCTGTGTTTTATTTTGCATTTTCATGATCATTGGTGAGGTTAAACATCTTTCCATATGTTATTTGGGGATGTACATTGTATTTCCTCTTGTATGAATTACCTATTTGTGTTTCTGCCTATTTTTCTATTATCAGTATGTTTCTTATCAATGTACAAGGGCTTTTGCTACCTTAGGGATATTAGCTCTTTGGCTTGCAACTATTCATTTCTAATTTATCATTTGACTTTCAGGTTTCTTAATTTTTCTCTTAAATGTTCTCTTCAATTCATTTTTCTTTCAGCTCCTTAAGTGTGTGGCATTCCCAGGCATGACTGAGGCTTCAAGTGGCATACCTGACATATCTTTTCAAAAGCATTTTTGAAGATGGTATTTCATCAAGAGTCAGAATTAAGTTTTTACATTTACTTCATTATGATGCTAAAAAGGCTAATTTCAGCAGTTCTAATGGAAGGGCTTAAGGTTTTTCTGAAGAGGATAGAGATATTTGTAATACTCACCCTCAGTTGGTAGTTGGGTAATGAGTTCCTCAAGTTCCTCATCCTTGATTTTAGTTCCCATGTTTTCCAAAAAAATCTCCACCTTTTTTGTTTTGACCCTTGGCCCTTAAGAAAGAAGGGCATGGAATAAGAATATGAGTGTTATTGTTTAAGAGTGAAAAATGTTAATCGTGGTCATGCATCAGAAACCCCAGTTGGAGGGTAAAGTACAAGAATACAAAGAAATTATTAACATGTGTGTGTGTGTGTGTGTATCTCCTCAGACTGTGTGCGTATTTCCTTAGATTTAGATATGTCAGTTAAAAGTTGGAAAGAATTGAGAAAGATAACTGCTGAATTGTTAACAGTATTTACCTTTATGGGGAGGGGATTTGTGGAAGATAGGAGAACTTACATTTCTTTTTTTCTTTTAAAAACAGAGTTTTGCTCTGTAGCCCAGGATGGAACTGCAGCCTTGAACTCCTGGGCTCAAGCAATCCTTCTGCCTCAGCCTCCTAAGTAGGTAGTACTATAGGTATGTGTCACCATGCCCAGCTAATTTTAAAATTTTTTGTAGAGATGAGGTCCCACTATGTTGTCCAGTCTGGTCTTAAAATCCTGGCCTCAAGCGATCTGCCTGCCTTGGTCTCCCAAAGTGCTGAGATTACAGGCATGAGCCACTGTGCCAGACTGTATCAGTTTTTTTTTTTAAAGTGGTTAGAGTTGCATAGTTTTCTTGTATTATTTTAGTGTTCTAAAACATCTTTTTCTAATTAACAATTGAAATAATAATTACTTACACAGTGTTAGTATGGAAAGATAGGGTATTTCTCTTAATATTGATCTAGGGGGTTCTGCTTTGGTTTTCCCTGAGAGGTCAATAGAAAGGAGCAGGCAAGTCTAATGACTTATGGTTGAAACAACAACTAATTTACTTCCTATAGTGATATGATTTTTTAACTTATATCCCAAAAGGCCAATGCATCCAAAGAAGAATGGTAAGTTATGTCCTAACAATGAATCAGTAAATTGGCAGGAAGCGAAGTTGGAACATTTAAAAGAAAATACCAAACATAGGAATTTTTTTACTTGCTCTTCCACCATGCTTCCTACTCACCGTTGAGGGCCTTCACACCTTTGAGCAATCTATTCTTATATACCTTTCCACTAGTTGTAAGATAAGACACAATTCAGAATATGGGTTAAATGATGGGAAGACTAAAAAATCAGCACAAAGACAACACAACATCCATAATTTCAGGGAAAAAAACCCCTTTCAATTTGCTTGGAAGTTTCTTCTCTGTTACATTTAAGAATGAAACCAAAGATAAAGAACACTTTCCCTGTTATAAATCTATCCACTGGTTGAATAAAATACAGTATTTCCCTATTTCTGTCTTTTTCCTTCCTTTTCTTTCTTCCCTGGTTTCCTTCTCATCGGTCATGATAAGATTAGGCAGTGCTCCCAGGGGGACAGGATAATATAGCCCGGATGGTGGGACACCCCCGGTGAAAGATGTTGCTAGCTTTCGGTATTAAAATATAAGCAACAAAAACAGGCAACAAGATTTTTTTTTTTTTTTTTGAGAGACGGAGTCTTGCTCTGTCGCCCAGGCTGAAGTGCAGTGGCATGATCTTGGCTCACTGCAACCTCCATCTCCCAGGTTCAAGCAATTCTCCTGCCTCAGCCTCCTGTGTAGCTGGGATTACAGGCATATGCCACCATGCCTGGCTAATTTTTGTATTTTTAGTAGAGACAGGGTTTCACCATGTTGGCCAGGCTGTTCTCGAACTCCTGACCTCTTGATCCACCCACCTCGGCCTCCCAAAGTGCTGAGAGCCACCGCGTCTGGCCAAGATGTCTTTTAGTGTGATAACTGTGTTTTCTAGAGGAGGTTTACTGGGCATATACATGTATAATTTAAGAAGTTTTCACACACAAGCCCCTAAATCCAAGTCTCAAAGGATGTGGTAAATACTCACTGCGAATTGGCAGAGTTTTCAGCAGCTTCTCGTGCTCCTCATCAGTGAGTACGAGCCCCATTTTCCTCAGCTCATTCCCCAGATTACTGACATTAACTTTTTCTCCTTTGGAAAGATGGGAATTGTTAACATATAAGAATTTTAGGACGAGAATAATGATTTCAAATTATGAAAAAAATTACCGGCCAGGTGCAGTGGCTCACGCCTGTAATCCCACACTCTGGGAAGCCGAAGTGGGTGGATCACCTGAGGTCAGGAGTTCAAGACCAGCCTGGCCAACATGGTGAAACCCCATCTCTACTAAAAATACAAAAATTAGCCGGGTGTGGTGGCACACACCTGTAATCCCAGCTACTCGGGAGGCTGAGGCAGGAGAATCGCTTGAACCCGGGAGGTGGAGGTTGCAGTGAGCCAAGATCGTGCCATTGCACTCTAGCCTGGGCAACAAGAGTGAGACTCCGTTTCAGAAAAAAACAAACAAACAAACAAAAAACAAACAAACCTCTACATAATATAAGTCTCTACAGGAAAAATCCCAAATCAAAGAGTAAGATTATGAAACAAACATTTAACCGTTACATTTGTAGGGGTGTCAATTTAGCATGTTAGTAATAGTCTGAAGAGAAAACTGCTATTTAAATATATTTTTTATGAGACAGGTTTTTGCTCTGTCTCCCAGGCAGGAGTGCAGTGGTAATCATAGCTCACTGCAGCCTAAAACTCCTGGGCTCAGCTGCCTCAGCCTCCCAAGTAGTTGGGACTACAGGCACATGCCACCATGTCCGCCTAATTTTTTTTTTTTGTAGAGACATGGTATTGCTTTGTTGCCTCAGGCTGGTCTTGAACTCCTGGTCTCAAGTGATCCTCCTGCCTCAGCCTCTCAAAGTTCTGGGTTTACAGCCGTGAGCCCACATGCCCAGCCAAAATCTACTGTTTAAAAACATTTACATTTTTTTCTCTATAGAGCATTAAGGTCTTAGTTAAAAATGAATGCCCTTCTCACCATGACTTCTGACTCACCTGTAAAAGCTTTTGCTTCATCCATCACCACATTCACATCAACCATTTCATTTTCTGTGAGACGAGACAAGTCAGACATAGAGACCAAATCTTAGACAACTGACATGAAAATTTAAGTTGTAATATAAAGGTTGGAATTCAGCTATTTCTCCTAATTTTCTCTAGTAACTCTTTTAACTCAAAGTGAAGAAGAAACAGAGGGTAGAAAAAGATCAAGCCGTAAGTTTAAAGTGAACACCTACTTCATTAATACCACTTTCTATAAAGCATCAAATGACTCAACATTGAGATGAAGCAAGTTTAACAGTAATCCCTTCTATAGGCTTTTCTCTTCCTTCGGACCCATAAGGGGAGCATATTTTAATAGACATGATTGAATTTGAAACCTAGAAGTCACTTATGTACATAAACAGTGAACCTTTAAACCTTGAAGGAATGCTATCTTCTTAATCTCCAAATTTTGCTTATGTTCCCACCTCTACCCATCAAGACTGTAATCTACTTGAGTGCAGAAATTATGCCTTAATTTTATTATACTACTGGGTTTAAATTTTCCACTCTCTAGTTCATTATTTTGCATATAGTATGTGCTAGCTAAACAAATGAAAAAATTCAGTGGTATGGAAATAGTCACACTATTGGATGAGAAAAAAAATTGTCATTAAAAAAAATAAAGAATTCTAAAAAATACCTCATCAGTAACAATATTTTCCAGCAGGAAGCATTTTTGAGGACCCCCTAGCTAAACATGTAGGGACAACATTACAATTAAAAAGTAATTTATGGTGACTTTTTTCAGGATAGGAGGAAGGGCCAGACAAAATTATGGATAATTATCAATGTTGTTAAGCCTAGGGAGCGTGAGGTTTTAAACTACAAATTACGGCTGGGCAGGGTGGCTCATGCCTGTAATCCCAGCACTTTGGGAGGGCAAGGCATGCAGATCACTTGAGGTCAGGAGTTTGAGACCAGCCTGGCCAACATGGGGAAACCTTGCTTCTATTAAAAATACAAAAATTAGGTTGGGTGAGGTGGCTCATGCCTGTAATCCCAGCATTTTGGGAGGCCGAGGCAGGTGGATCACTTGAGGTCAGGAGTTGGAGACCAGCCTGGCCAACAAGGTGAAACAGCACAATATTATATTGTATTGTAATTATTATAAACAATACAAATAATTATTTGTATTTTTAAATACAAAAAATTAGCCGTGCGTGGTGGCGGGTGCCTGTAATCCCAGCTACTCGGGAGGCTGAGGCAGGAGAATTGCTTGAAGCTGGGAGGCGGAGGTTGCAGTGAGCTGAGATCGCACCACTGCACTCCAGCCTAGGCGACAGAGGGAGACTTCATGTCAAAAACAAAAGAAAAAACAAACAAACAAAAACGAACCCACAAAAATTAGCTGGGTGTGGTAGTGCATGCCCGTAATCCCAGCTACTTGGGAAATTGAGGCATGAGACTTGCTTGAACCCGGGAGGTGGAGGTTGCAGTGAGCCGAGACTACGCCACTGCACTCCAGCCTGGGTGACAGAGCAAGACTCGGTCTCAACAAAACAAAACAAAAAACTACAAATTAGGCCAAAACTGTTTTCTATATTAGGGCCAGCTACAGGTGAAGGTAGCATGGAAGATGTCTGCTGATAGCAGTGGCCTACTTTAGTTACACCTGCCCATTGCTAGTTGAGAACAGAAACCCTGAATTAGGGGAGAAAAATTATTTATTTTGGGTTGGCATGTGCTGGCTCTACTGAAAGATGTGCTGTCTGGCTGTCTGATGGAAGCTTGTTTTTGAAGGGGAAGAGCCATCTAATAAGGAAATCTTAGCCAGGGGCTCATTCCTTAGCAATTTCTTCCTAATGAATTATTCTAGCTTTGCCTCCGACAGTTTTGTCTAGTTAAAACGGTCTTACTGAGTTATTAATAAAACTTTGTCTTATTATAAAAAGGTTTACTTGGGAAGGAATTAAGGGAGGGAGGGAAGGAAACAGGGAGGGAGGTAGGAGAATGTATGAAGCAAGTATGGCAAAATAGTAGCATTTGTTAACTCTGGCCAGTGGGCACACAATGTTTGTTATGTTATTCTCTGTTTTTAGGTATGTTTGAAATATTTCATAAGCTTTTCAAAGAGGTTAAAAAATAGGTTTACTTTCAGAAGCCTTCCTACAGAAGCCCTGCGTTTCTCCTAGGTACAGTGGTATCTGAAACACTTACCATCAACTGGCAGATGGTTCAGTAGGTCCTCATATTCCTCTTTCCCAACTTCGATTTCTATATTATTTAGAAGAGTTTCCAGATTACTGACATTGACTTTTTTTCCTTAGGAATTAAGAGGATGGAATAAGAAAAACAAGTAATTTGAAGAAGTGGAAGATGCCAGCTTTATTATTATTATTATTATTATTATTATTATTATTACTATTTTTGAGATGGAGTTTCACTCTTGTTGCCCAGGTTGGAATGGCATGATCTCAGCTCACTGCAACCTCTGCCTCCTGGGTTCAAGTGATTCTCCTGCCTCAGCCTCCCAGATAGCTGGGATTACAGGTGTGTGCCACCACGCTCAGCTAATTTTTGTATTTTTAGTAGAGATGGGGTTTCACCATGTTGGCCAGGCTGGTCTCAAACTCCTGACCTCAGGTGATCTGTCTGCCTCGGCCTCCCAAAGTTTTGGGATTATAGGTGTGAGCCACTGCACCCGGCCCAGAAGATGCTAACTTTAAATATGCATTTATATCAAGTGGAGAATGAAATAATATATTGGCCACTCAGTGTCAGAGTTGAGAAGAGAAAATGCTCCCTCAACATTGAGCTATAATTTTCAATTGAAGTAATATGGATGAAAAAGAATTAGACAAATTTGATAAATTGTGGTAAAGATAACAAACCTAAATGAAAGCAGAATTTCTTTTTCTTTTCTTTTCTTTTTTTTTTTTGAGATGGAGTTTCGCTCTTGTTGCCCAAGCTGGAGTGCAATGGCGCGATCTTGGCTCACTGCAACCTCTGCCTCCCAGGTTCAAATGATTCTCCTGCCTCAGCCTCCCAAGTAGCTGGGATTACAGGCATGTGCCACCATGCCCGGCTAATTTTTGTGTTTTAGTAAAGATGGGGTTGCTCCATGTTGGTCAGGCTGGCCTTGAACTCCCGACCTCAGATGATCCGCCCACCTTGGCCTCCCAAAGTGCTGGGATTACAGGCATGAGCCATGGCGCCTGGCCCAGAATTTCTTTTTCTTTTTAAGATAGGATTTTTTTCTGTCGCCCATGCTGGAGTGCAGTGGCATGATCCTGGCTCCCTGCAGCCTCGACCTCCTGGGCTCAAGTGATCCTCCCACCTCAGCCTCCCAAGTAGCTGGGGCCACAAATGCATACCAGCAGGCCAGCTAATTTTTTCTTATTTTTTGAAGAGATGGGGTCTCCCTAAGTTGCCCAGGCTGCTCTTGAACTCCTGGGTTCAAGTGAGGGAATAATTGAGGAAAACTTCCCTGAACTTGCTAGAGATCCAGACATTCAAATACAAGAAGCTCAAAGAACACCTGGGAAATTTATTGCAAAAAGGTCATCACCTAGGCACACAGTCATCAGGTTATCCAAAGTTAGGATGAAGGAAAGAATCTTAAGAGCTGTGAGGCAAAAACCACCAGGTGACCTATAAAGGAAAGCCTATCAGATTAACAGCAGATTTCTCAGCAGAAACCTATGAGCTAGAAGGAATTGGGGCCCTATCTTTAGCCTCCTTAAAGTATACTATCAGCCAATAATTTTGTATCCAGTGAAATTAAGCTCCATAAATAAAGGAAAGATACAGTCTTTTTCAGACAAACAAATGCTTTGAGAATTCATCACTACCAAGCCAGCACTACAAGAACTGCTAAAAGGAGCTCTAAATCTTGAAACAAATCCTCAAAATACACCAAAATATACACCAAAATAGAACCTCCTTAAAGCATAAATCTCACAGGACCTATAAAACAATGACACAATAAAAACAAACAGACAAACAAACAAACAAAACCACACACGATATTCAGGCAAAAGCAGCACGATGAACAGAATAGTACCACACATCTCAACACTAATGTTGAATGTAAATGACCTAAATGCTCCACTTAAAAGATACAGAATGGCTAAGAATTCATCAAACAAGTATCTGCTGCCTTCAGGAGACTCACTTAACACATAAGGACTCACATAAACTTAAGATAAGGGGTGGAAAAAGATATTCCATGCAAATGGACGCCAAAACAGAGCAGGAGTAGCTATGCTTGTATCACACTAAACAAACTTTAAAGCAACAGCAGTTAAAAAAGGCAAAGAGGGGCATTATATAATGATAAAAGGACTTGTCCAGGAAAATATCACAATCCTAAATATATATGCACCTAACACTGAAGTTCCCAAATTTATAAAACAATTACTAATAGACCTAAGAAATGAGACAGACAGCAACACAGTAATAATGGGGGACTTCAATACTCCACTGATAGCAGTAGACAGGTCATCAAGACAGAAAGTCAACAAAGAAACAACGGGTTTAAACTGTATCCTAGAACAAATGGACTTAACAGATATTTACAGAACATTCTATCCAACAACTGCAGAATATACATTCTATTCATCAGCATATGGAACATTCTCCAAGTTGAACATATGATAGGGCATAAAACAAGTCTCAACAAATTTAAGGAAACTGAAATAGTAGCCAAGTACTCTCTCACACCACAGTGGAATAAAATTGGAAATAAACTCTAAAAGGGGTTTGATACACATACATGGAAATTAAATAACTTGTTCCTGAATGATTGTTGGGCTAACAATGTAATCAAGATGGAAATTAAAAAATTCTTTGAGCTGAATGATAATAGTGATACAACCTATCAAAAGCTCTGGGATACAGAAAAGGCAGTGCTAACAGGAAGGTTCATAGCCTTAAATGCCTACATCAAAAAGTCTGAAGGAGCACAAATAGACAATCTAAGGACACACTTCAAGGAACTAGAGAAACAAGAACAAACCAAACCCTAACCCAGCAGAAGAAAAGAAATAACCAAGATCAGAGCAGAACTAAATGAAATTGAAACAAAAAAATACAAAAGAATTACGAAACAAAAAGCTGGTTCTTTGAAAAGATAAATAAAATCGATAGACCATTAGTAAGATTAACCAAGAAAAGAAGAGGGAAGATCCAAATAAGCTCAATTAGAAACAAAATAGGAGATATTACAACTGATACTACAGAAATACAAAAGATCATTCAAGGCTACTATGAACACCTTTACATGAATAAACTAGAAAACCTAAAGGAGATGGATAAATTTCTGGAAATACACAACCCTCTTAGATTAAGCCAGAAAGAAACAGAAACTCTAAACAGACCAGTAACAAGCAGCAAGATTGAAATGATAATAAAAAATTGCCAAGAAAATAAAGTCCAGGACCAGATGGATTCACAGCTGAATTCTATCAGAAATTCAAAGAAGAATTGGTACCAATCCTATTGACACCATTCCACAAGATAAAGAGGGATTCCTCCCTAAATCATTCTATGAAGCCGGTATCACCCTAATACAAAAACCAGGAAAAGACATAACCAAATAAGAAAACTACAGACCAGTATCCCTGATGAACATAGATGCAAAAATCTTTAACAAAATACTATACTAGCTAACCGAATCCAACAACATATCAAAAAGATAATCCACTATGATCAGGTGAATTTCATACCAGGGATGCAGTGATGGTTTAACATATGCAAGTCAGTAAATGTGGTACACCACATAAACAGAATTAAAAACAAAAATCACATCCTCATCTTAATAGATGCAGAAAAAGCATTTGACAAAATCCAGCATCCCTTTATGGTTAAAACTCTCAGCAAAATTGGCATACAAGGGACATACCTCAATGTAATAAAAGCCATCTATGACAAACCTGCAGCCAACATAATACTAAATGGGGAAAAGTTGAAAGCATTCCCTCTGATAACTGAAACAAGATAAGGATGCCCATTCACACCACTTCTGTTCAACATAGTAATGCAAGTCCTAGCCAGAGCAATCAGACAAGAGAAAGAAATAAAGGGCATCCAAATTGATAAGAAGGAAGTTAAACTGTTGCTGTTTGCTGATGACATGATTGTCTACCTAGAAAACCCTGAAGACTCCCCCAGAAAGCTGCTAGAACTGATAAAATAATTCAGCAGTTTCCAGATGCAAAATTAATGTACATAAATCAGTAGCTCTCCTGTATACCAACAGTAACCAAGCTGAGAATCAAATTAAGAACTCAACCTCTTTTACAATAGCTGCAAAAAAAAAAAATACTTAGGAATATACCTAACCAAGGAGGTGAAAGAACTCTACAAGGAAAACTACAAAACACTGCTGAAAGAAATTATAGACAACACAAACAAATGGAAACACATCCCATGCTCATGGATGGGTACATTCAATATTGTGAAAATGACCACATTGCCAAAAGCAATCTACAAATTCAATGGAATTCCCATCAAAATACCACCATCATTCTTCACAGAACTAGAAAAAACAATTCTAAAATTCATATGGAACAAAAAATGAGTCCACATAGCCAAAGCAAGACTAAGCAAAAATAACAAATCTGGAGGCATCACATTACCTGATTTCAAACTATACTATAAGGCCATAGTCACCAAAACAGCATAGTACTGGTATAAAAATAGGCACGGAACAGAATAGAGAACCCAGAAAAAAGCCAAATACTTACAGCCAACAGATCTTCAATAAAACAAACAAAAACGTAAACAGGTCAGGCATGGTGGCTCACGCCTATAATCCCAGCACTTTGGGAGGCCAAGGTGGGCAGATCACTTGAGGCCAGGAGCCTGGCCAACATGGTGAAACCCCATATCTACAAAAAAACCAAAATAAAACAAAAAAACAAAAAACATGAAGTGGGGAAAGGACACCCTATTCAACAAATGGTGCTGTAAAAATTGGCAAGCTACACGTGGGAGAATGAAACTGGGCCCTTATCTCTCACCTTATTCAAAAATCAACTCAAGATGAATCAAAGACTTAAATCTAAGACCCAAATCCATAAAAATTCTGGAAGATGACATCAGAAAAACTCTTCTAGACATTGGCTTAGGGAAAGATGTTATGGCCAAGAACTCAAAAACAAATGCAATGAAAAGAAAGATAAATAGATGTGACTTAATTAAAAAGCTTCTGCACAGCAAGAGAAATAATCAGCAGAGTAAACAGACAACTCACAGAGTGGGAGAAAATCTTTGCAAACTATACATCCAACAAAGGACAAATATCCACAATCTACAGGGAACTCAAACAAATCAGCAAGAAAAAACAAATCCCATCAACAAGTGGGCAAAGGACATGAATAGACAATTTTCAAAAGAAGACATACAAACAGCCAACAAATGTATGAAAAATGCTCAACATCACTAATGATCAGGGAAATGCAAATCAAAACCCCAATGTGGTACCACCTTACTCCTGCAAGAATGGCCATAATTAAAAAATCAAAAAATAATAGATGTTGGTGTGGATGTGGTAAAAAGGGAACACTTTTACACTGCTGGTGGGAATGTAAACTAGTATAACCACTATGGAAAACAGTATGGAAACTCCTTAAAGAACTAAAAGTAGATCTACCATTTGATCTAGCAATCCCACTACTGGGTATCTACCCAGAGGAAAAGAAGTCATTATATGAAAAAGACACATGAACATGCATGTTTATAGCAGCACAATTTGCAATTGCAAAAATATGGAACCAGCTTAAATGCCCATCGACCAATGAGTGGATAAAGACAATGTGGTACATATATATACCATGGAATACTACTCTGCCATAAAAAGGATGAAATAATGGCATTCACAGCAACTTGGATGGAGTTGGAGACCATTATTCTAAGTGAAGTAACTCAGGAATGGAAAAATGAACATTGTATGTTCTCATTTATAAGTGGGAGCTAAGCTATAAGGATGCAAAGGCATACAAACGATATAATGGACTCTGGGGACTCAAGGGGAAGGTTAGAAGTGGGGTGAGGGATAAGGCTACACATTGGGTGCAGTGTACATTGCTCGGGTAATGGGTGCACTAAAATCTCAGAAATTACCACTAAATAACTTATCCATGTAACCAAATACCACCTGTTCCCCCAAAGCTATTGAAATAATAAAAAAATATATAAAAATTCAAAAATAGGAGATTGGTCTGTATCCTGATGGATATATCTTTTCATCTCTTCTTATACTTTTTATTTTCTCTTACCCTCCCCTCATCTCTTTCTGTAATCTCTTTCTTCCTTATCCTACTCTTTTATTCCATTTTTTATCTCTCAAATATTTCTTTATTCTATCTTTCCATTCTTTTGGTATTCTTGTCCTCATAGAGACACTCTGAGACACTGTTTTAACCCTGGTGATGATTCTCACGGTTTGATGTACCTTGTTTAAAGATGAATAACTAATAATTAGGGAATGCATTTTCAATTGTCTGATACTGAGTGTCCTATAAGTACCTCAATTCAACTATATTTCAAAGATTTTTCTTCATTCTGCTTCCTCTGCTATCCTTCTCCCTGTTCTTAAAAATGGTTTTTTGGCAGTCACATAAGTGATAAACTTCTGGTGCACACTTTAGTATCTCCCTCCCTTTCACCCACCACATCAAATCAGTCTTCCCCATGTATGTGTGGTTCCCAGGTAAGGCCCTTATCACCTGTACCTTATTAACAGTATCTTAAATTGTATCTCTGTCCCCAGTTTTTCTCTCTCCAACATGTCTTTACTCTTTGCTTTCACAGTAGACTAGTCATTATCTACAGGATAAAGGTGTCTTAAATGCTCACCAGTCACTGGCATGTGAGTCTTCAGGTCGTTGATTTCTTTTGCTTCGAGTCTGAACCCAGTGTTTTGTAGAACACTTGTTAGGTCATTGACATTAACCTGCCCTCCTTCATAGAAACAAGAAAAAGTAGATAAGGATGTCATAAAATGAAAAATGCATACTCTCAACCCCTACTCAGAAATGAAAGCAGAAAGAAGCTATTTACAGCAAGTCATGTGGGCGTCAGGAACAGAATATGCTTCCAAAATTAAACTTCTGGAAGAAGTTTATACTGGGAGGAGAAGTAAAGAGTTTGGCATTTCTGATGAATTAGAGATAACAACCAAATCATGTTATTCTGTCAAAAAGTAAGATTTGAAATTTGCTACAGTAATAATAAATTATCTCCCAAGTGTAATTGTACATAAAGGAGGACTCCAGTTAATGGGGAAAATTACTGAAAACTATTGGTGTAGTTTTGATCAAATCATTCTGAAACATGGGGATTTAAAAAGAGTCAATAAAGAGTCAATATATATTTCAGATAAATAATTAAATGTAAAAAGTGAAATAATAGAAAAACAAAGAAAACTAAATATATGTGATTCTTCACACACTGGCTAGCTTATAAAGGACTTAAAAGTCAATCACAGAAGAAATGACTGATAAAATTAAATACATAAACATGAAAAATGGCCATATATCAAAATACAACATAATGGATAAAAAGTAGATTTGTAGTTGCCTAGGTCTGCGAGAGTTGGGGGGTATAAGTAGTGACTGCTAATGGGTATTGAGTTTCTTTTTGCAGTGCTGAAATATTCTAAAGCTGATTGTGGTGATACTGCACAACTCTGTTAGTATACTAAAACCCATTGAATTATACACTTTAAGTAGGTTAATTGTATGGTATATGAACTATATCTCAATAAAGCTGTTGTAAAAATACAATAAAATAAAAAGCCGATAACGAATTCAGAAAATATTTACAATAGGTATGACAATGTGCTAATATTTAATCTATAAAGAGGTCATTCATATTAATAGAAACAATGTTTGGACTTCAATAGATTAAAAGATGTAATGATATAAAAACATTTTCTTTTTGAAAAATTTTTTCCTTTTTCATTTATGTTTTTAAAATTTTTAAAAATTTTTAAATTTTTTTTTTTTTGAGACGAAGTCTCGCTTTGTCACCCAAGCTGTAGTGCAGTGCCGTGATCTTGGCTCACTGCAACCTCCGCCTCCTGGGTTCAAACGATTCTCCTGCCTCAGTCTCCCGAATAGCTGGGACTACAGGTGGGCACCACCATGCCCGGCTAATTTTTGTATTTTTAGTAGAGATGGGGTTTCACCTTGTTGGCCAGGCTGCTCTCGAACTCCTGACCTCGTGATCCACCCACAGTGGCCTCCCAAAGTGCTGGGATTACAGGTGTGAGCCACCACGCCCAGCTTAAATTTTTTTCTTGCCCTGTCTTATGGTGCTGATCAAAATTTTCTATGAGTGATTTTATGTATATATTTTGTTCTCTAAGTAGATTATAAACTCTTTGAAAGTAAGAACTACCAGCCGGGCATGGTGGCTCACACCTGTAATCCCAGCACTTTGGGAGGCTGAGGTGGATGGATCACCTGAGGTCGGGAGTTCAAGACCAGCCTGACCAACATGGAGAAACCCCGTCTCTACTAAAAATACAAAATTAGCTGGGTGTGGTGGCACATGCCTGTAATCCCAGCTACTTGGGAGGCTGAGGCAGGAGAATCGCTTGAACCCAGGAGATGGAGGTTGCAGTGAGCTGAGATTGTGCCATTGTACTCCAGCCTGGGCAACAAGAGTGAAACTCCATCTCAAAAAAAAAAAAAAAAAAAAACAACAAAAAAAGAAATTAAAGAACTATCTTCTGCTTTTTGTAGCCCCTCCCCCACCACACTCCCCACACTATGCCAGTCTAATGTTTGATGAATGAAAAAATCCTCAAAATAAGCTTTCTTTTTCCATTAAAGAGAAAACAACCACTATCCTTGTGAGAATTCTGTGATTTAAATATAAAACAATTGATATGGTTTGGCTGTATCCCCACTCAAATCTCATCTTGAATTCCCATGTGTTGTGGGAAGGACCCGGTGGGAGGTAATGAATCATGCGGGCAGGTCTTTCTCATGCTGTTCTTGTGATAGTGAATAAGACTCACAAGACCTGATGGTTTTATAACGGGGAGTTTCCTTGCACAAGCTCTCTCTCTTTGCCTGCCACCATCCATGTAAGGTGTGACTTGCTCCTCCTTGCCTTCCGCCATGATTGTGAGGCCTCCCCAGCCATATGGAACTGTAAATCCATTAAACCTCTTTCTTTTCTAAATTGCCCAGTCTCAGATATGTCTTTATCAGCAGCATGAAAATGGACTAACACAACAATATAAAGCCGATTTAAAAATTGTTTTTATTTTAATATATTTTTTGAGACAGGGTCTGGCTCTGCCATCCAGTCTCACTGCAGCCTCAAACTCCTGGGCTCAAGTGATCCCCCTGCCTCAGCCTCCTGAGTAGCTGGGACCACAGCTACATATCACCAATATAAAAATATTTTCAACTTTATCGATAACAAAAAAATCAGAACAATAATTAGATTCAATATTTTCATCAAATTAATTCAATTTTTTCATCCATCAAATGAACAAGAATAAAAAATATAAAAATAATATACTGTGTTTAGGGCATGACGGTAATACTATGTATGGAGGTGCAAATTCCTGCTGGAAGAATATATCCAAAGAAAATGACTTTAAAGTTGGATCAAGATTTATGTATGAAGATCAGAGACACATAAGAGAAAAACACTAAATAAATGTTCAACAAGAGAACAATGATTAAGTAAATTATAATACAACCAGATGATATAGTAATTAAAATGATGTTTACAAAGAAATTTTAAATAACATGGTGAAATTATTACACTAAAATTTTAGGATTAAATGCAGGATACGTAACATTTCTAGTAAGAGTTTAATTAATAATACACATATATGCACAGGAAAAAGATCAAAGATATCTGTAATAGAAAAGGTAATATTACTTGAAATTGTGGGTAATTACATTTTTTCTGTATGCTACTATATATATTCCAGATTATTCTCAAATACCCAGCATCTAGTAGACACTTGAATATTTGTTGAATAAAATGCATAATTTTCTGCTTATTTATGTAATCAGAAAAAACCAATTAGAACAATATCAAATATTATTGTCCTTATCCTTTTCCTCACTTACCTCTGAAGGATTTCACACCATCCAATAATTCTTTCTTAAACACCTTTTTATCAGCTGTAGGATAAAACATGATTAATAATGCTTTCAGAGATTCATAAAAATTAAAATATATACTTACAGGAAGGGAAAATTTAGAAATTTATTACAATTTAATCTCAATGAAATGAAAGGTATTTGGAAAACTCAGTGTAGTGAACCTATCCACTGGATAGAATACAAACTATTGTTAGTGGTGCCCTACCGTGCTGAACTACACATAGCCTTTCTTTTCTTGTTTTCTCCTCTCTAATTTACCTTCATCTTTTCTTTCTTCACCTTTTCTACCCCTTCTGCTCTTACTTTTTTTCAGTTTATACCTTAAGTCTTATCTTTTTCCTAGGGGGGACAAAAGAAATTGCCTTATGATAGGACTTCTGACTGAAGAGGTTCATGTTTCCTAAACCAATATAATAATAACAGGATTTTTAGAAATGCTAGGACTGAGCCTTTTAAAAAATATTTTTAATTGAACAACTGTTTCAAATATTAGAATTTCTAATACAAAACCTTAAAACCAACCTCTTTGAAATTTTCAAGAGTGTAAGGACTTGGGGAATCAGACATGGTCCCTGTTCTCTCAGGTTTTAGATAGTGCCACACAGAAAATGATCTTCAGTAAGTGCTGAATGAATATATTTTTGGACATCAGTGAAGGAGAACACATGTAAATGCTTACCAGAAACTGGCAGAGTTTTCAGAAGCTTTTTGTGCTCCTTATTTGTGATCTCTATTCCCATGTTTTCCAGAACATTTTTCACATCCCCAGCATGAATCTGCTCTCCTTTAGAGGAAGGGAAATAGTCATAGGTAAGAATATAAGAATTATGTCATATTTTATATTATGACATTATAATTATGTATTAGTCCATTTTCATGCTGCTGATAGACATACCTGAGACTGGGAAGAAAAAGAGGTTTAATTGAACTTACAGTTCCACATGGCTGGGGAGGCCTCAGAATCATGGCGGGAGGTGAAAGGCACTTTTTACGTGGCAGTGGCAAGAGAAAATAAGGAAGAAGCAAAAGCAGAAACCCCTGATAAACCCATCAGATCTCATGAGACTTACTCACTGTCATGAGAATAGCATGGGAAAGACTGGCCCCCATGATTCAATTACCACCCTGTAGTTCCCTCCCACAACATGTGGGAATTCTGAGAGACACAATTCAGGTTGAGATTTGGGTGGGGACACAGCCAAACTATATCAAATTATATACATTATATGTAATTATAATTAACATATAATATATGTAATTATGATTAACATATAACATTATAACTACATATAACATTATATATCATATATATGTACCTGTGTTTGTATATATATAATTATATGTGTGTGTGTGTGTGTGTGTGTGTGTGTGTGTGTGTGTGTATAATCCTGAGCTGCTGGGGGAAGAGCAAAGCATAGTAAAAGCTTGTTTAGCTATTTATTTATTTATTTATTTATTTATTTATTTACTATTTTGAGACAAGGTCTCACTCTGCCATCCTGGCTGGAGTGCAGTGGCATGATCATGGCTCACTGCAGCCTTGACCTCCTGGGCTTAAGCCATCCTCCCACCCCAGGCCCTCGGAGTAGCTGGGACTACAGGCATGCAACAGCACATGGGGCTAATTTTTTGTACTTTTTGTAGAGATCGGGTCTCCCTGTGTTACCCAGGCTAGTCTTGAACTCCTGGCCTCAAGTGATCCATCTGGCTTGGCCTCCCAAAGTGCTAGGGTTACAGGCATGAGCCACTGTATCAGGCCTTGTTTAGCTATCTAGAGTCAAGGAGGGGAGTCAGAAATTTTTCTTTTAACCTAAGTAAAATAAAATCTCTTACAATGATAAAACAATATCATATAAAGTAAAACAGAAACTGTATAATTTCTCAATAATTTGGGAGCTGTTTCATGGTTAATATAAATAATACCACAAGAACACCTCTATTTTTAATTTTCTTTTTCTTCTTTCTTCTTCTTTTTGGTCTTCCCTATCCCCTTCCCTCTTGTTCTTTTGCCTTAATTATGGGGTAAGTTAAAAATGACAATAAAATCTGACTCCTTGTAATATATTTCACCTTGAGTGAATTTACATTTATATAATTACATTGTAAACTCGGGAAGTCAGGGATCATGTCTTTCTCTCAAAATCTAGCATAATGCCTGGCACATAGCCAGTGATCAACTAAATGCAGAATGAGTTAATTAATTGTTTGAACATCACCAAAGCAAAATACATTACTGATTGAAATTTCAGAGAGTTCATTCACTTGATCATTACTATTTACTATGTGAAGAAAACAAAATTTTTGAAGGGGTAAAACTGACATTGAAACTGCTCAATATATAAAACATAATTAGGCCAGGTGTGGTGGCTCACGCCTGTAATCCCAGCACTTTGGGAAGCTGAGGTGGGCAGATCACTTGAGGTCAGGAGTTCAAGACCAGCCTGGCCAACATGGTGAAACCCTGGCTCTACAAAAATACAAAAATTAGCTAGGTGTGGTGGCATGTGCCTGTAATTCCAGCTACTCAGGAGGCTGCGGCAGGAGAGTCACTTGAACCCTGGAAGCGGAGGTTGCAGTGAGCAGAGATCGGGCCTCTGCACTCCAGCCTGCGTGATGGAGTGAGACTCTGTCTCAAAAAAAAAAATCATAATTAACAAGCAGGACTATGACTTTTTTGGCAAATATTATTGCAACAGTTACTAAAATTGATCATGTTTTAAGACAAAAATTTAAATCTCAATAAATTACTCAAAGGCAAAAAGTATATTAGTCATATTCTAATTATAATTTAAAGTCAGCTGGGTGCGGTGGCTCACACCTGTAATCCCAGCATTTTGGGAGGCCAAGGTGGGTGGATCTAGAGATCAAGACCATCCAGGCCAACATGGTGAAACTCCATCTGTATTAAAAACACAAAAATTAGCTGGGTGTGGTGGTGTGCTCCTGTAGTCCCAGCTACTTGGGAGGCTGAGGCAGGAGAATTGCTTGAACCTGGGAGATGGAGGTTGCAGTGAGCCGAGATCGCTCTGCAGTCCAGCCTGGTGACAGAGTGAGACTCTGTCTCAAAAAAAATAAAATAAAATAAATAAAATAAAATAAAATAAAATAAAAATAAAAGAAGAAAAAATGTGAAATCAACCACAGAAAGAGATTTAAGAAATCCTCTCTACTTGGAAATTATAAATAAAATACTTTAAATAACTGCTGAGTTAAATAAGTTGAAACTGAGATCATAAACTACTTAGAAATTATGAACACAACTTCTTTTTCCAGCAAAACAATAGAGTAGGACATCCTACTTGCTACAAATATCTAAAATGGATTAAAAAATGACAAAATAATTGTAGATGGATGGCTGAGTTTGTCAGAAAGGAAGAAAAATTTTTGGTTTCAGGAAATAGAGAGGGTTTTAAGAGTCAAGTTGATATGTAGTCAATTTTTTTTCTTTCTTTTTTTATTAACCTTTCCTATGGTGCTGAGATAAATACTCAATTTGATGTGGAGATAACCCTAGTGGGTTATCTGACCAGATCTGGCAACAGCTTTGTTTTAATGCCCAAGCAGGAGCAGGGAGATAAGTTCCTGAGCACATGATAGGGACACAGATTTGAAACACTGCATATTTAAAGTCCATTAAAGAGACTGGGCACAGTAGCTCACATCTGTAATCCCCAGCACGTTGGGAGGCTGAGGAAGGTGGATCACTTGAGGCCAGGAGTTTGAGACCAGCCTGGCCAACACTGAAACCCTGTCTCTACTAAAAACACACACACAAAAAAAAAATTATTTGGGTGTGGTGGCACATGCCTGTAATCCCAGCTACTTGGGTGGCTGAGACACAAGAGTCACTTGAATTCAGGAGGTGGAGGCTGCAGTGAGCTGAGATCATGACACTGCACTCCAGCCTGGGTGACACAATGAGACTCTGACTCAAATAAATAAATTAATTAAATTAAATTAAACCTATTAAAGAGAAAGAAAGGGCATAGATAGAAGCATAAGAATAAAAAATTGAGGAAAAGAACAGGCTAGTGTGCAAAAGATGTAAAATGATATCTAGAAATAAAAAATTGTTATTGGCATTTTCAATAAACAGTGTGAGATGGAGTTGTAGAGAGAATTAGTGAACTGGAAGAGAGATTTGAGAAATTCTAAGAAAAAGGAGAACAATATAAAAAGTGGAAAATATGGAAAAAGATAGGAAAGACAGAATAAGAAAGTCCATCATATACATAATGGGAGTTTCCAAAAGTAAAAGAAAAAGAGAAGAGGCAATATTTGAAACATAAAGCCTAAGAATTTTCAAGAATTGATGAAAGGCATGAATTTTTAGTTTCAGGAATCACAAGTCTTGAGCAAAAAAATGAAAAGAAGTGTATATTTGGAGACATTATAATGAAAACTTCAAAGATAGAGATAATCTTAAAAGTTACAAGAGAAAAAGTAGCTATTAATAAATAATTAAGGCTGGGTGTGGTGGCTCACACCTGTAATCCCAGCACTTTGGGAGGCCAAGGCAGGTGGACCACTTGAGGTCAGGAGTTTGAGACCAGCCTGGCCATCATGGTGAAACCCCATCTCTACTAAAAATACAAAAATTAGCCGGGCATGTGGCTCATGCCTGGAGTCCCAGCTACTCAGGAGGCTGAGGCAGGAGAATTGCTTGAACCTAGGAGGCAGAGGTTGCCGTCAACTGAGATTGCGCCACTGCACTCCAGCCTGGGTGACAGAGCAAGACTCTGTCCCCCTCCAAAACAAACAAACAAACAAAAAAACCCAATTAAGACAGCTTATTTTTTTAACAGCAAAAAGAGTCCAGGAAACAATCAATACATAAATACATATATATGTAGTGTGTGTATATATGTATGTCTATGTGTATATGTGTGTGAGTGTGTGTGCGCACATGCACATGGTATATATTTTCTTTTCCCTCTTTCCATTTTTAATTTAAATATTAGTTTTGTTATATGTTAACTTTACAATTTAGGCTTTAGGTAACAGAATATTCAGATAGCACTGTAACTAAATTTGATAAGTAATTAACACAGCTCAGAGATAGTATGACTGTCTACCCGAGATGGACTGTTGGAACTTTGTTTCTCCTCATTCTGTGGAGAGGGTGAAAAAGAATATCTTCATTTATAAGAAGAATAGTTGCATCTTATTAGGTGGAAACAGAGGTTTTTTTTTGATAAATAGAAGTTCAAATACATGCAGAAGGATTGTAGCTGAGTAGCCAAAAGGGTACTCTTTCAGCTATTTAGTTATTGTCTCTCAGCTCCAATCCTACCGTTCTATACTTAGCTTTATGATGCTGAGCCTGAGACTCTGTAAACTATGTTTCTGGCTCCATGTTAAATTCTGCCAACGGAGAGTGCTAGAGGGAGTCTGAAAGGCTGGAAGATGCAGTTCCTTCCTGCAGTAGTGGCTGAATCCAGTTTTCAGTTTTTCAACCTTGTGGAACCAGCTTTATTATACTCTCCTCAGGGACAGACACCAGCATTAGTTTCTAGAGTTCTAAGATAGAATGACAATCTATAAGTCTAGATTCAGCCAAACTATGATTCAAAGATGAATCATGGCCAGGCGTGGTGGCTCACACCTGTAATCCCAGCACTTTGGGAGGCCGAGGTAGGTGGATCATGAGGTCAGGAGATCAAGACCATCCTGGCTAACACGGTGAAACACCGTCTCTACTAAAAATACAAAAAAATTAGCCAGGCGTGGTGGCGGGCGCCTGTAGTCCCAGCTACTTTGGAGGTTGAGGCAGGAGAATGGAGTGAACCTGGGAGTCAGAGCTTGCAGTGAGCTGAGATGGCGCCACTGCACTCCAGCCTAGGTGACAGAGTGAGACTCCGTCTCAAAAAAAAAAAAAAAAGAATCATTTGTTTCCAGAGTTCTAAGATAAAATGACAATCTACAAGTTTAGATTCAGCCAAACTATGATTCAAAGATGATTGTAAAATAAACATACTTTTAGACAAAGACTGGCTTTTGTTGATATCACTAAGAAGGATGAACCCACAAAGGACTAGGAAGTTAAAAGCATCAGTGAGTAAGGAAAGCTTTAACTGTATTTACATCTTGCAGAAGATTGGCTTTAAGTTACTCTGTTCTTGCTTTTAATATACTCACTTGACAAAATCCCACTGCTGGTTAAATGCAAGTCTCTACTACTCTGTGCCTACAGCCATGTAGCTAACTAGAACTAAAGCGAACTACGCTGACTACCCTCACTTTACATTGATGATGATGAACCTCAAGTGGGTCTTTACTGCTCTGGGGCAATCATACTATACTTTCCTGGTTCCTTAATTTTCCTACTCTTCTTTATGACTACTTCACACCTTCGTTCCTCTTTTCAAACCACTGTTTCCTCTTCTTTCACTTGATCACTACTTCTTTCCTCTCTTTAATTAAAAAAAGAAGCCGCCTCTTACCACCATTTTCACCACTTTACCTATGCCCTTATTCCACTTTGCTCTCTTTTGCAGTGAAACACCTTAGATATTCACACAGTTTCTAAATCCTATTTCCCATTATTTCGGACTCATTCCACTTAGGCTTCTTCTCATCCTCACTACCTGAAGTTGCTCTTTGGATATCACCAGTGACCTCCATGTGGCTATATGCAATTGTCAATTCTCGGTTCTCATGTTAGTTGGCCTATCAGCAGCATTTGACTATTGATTTGCCCTCTTGTCTGGTAACTGTAGCAGATGCTATAGATGTCCTGCTCATATCCCCTCATATCAATGCATGCTTTTCCACTTTCAGTTACTAGTATCTCTTTTTCTGAGGGATTTCTTCAGCTGCCAGAGTTCACTCTGCCTATGCTCAGATGGCTAGAAATGCCAGCAGAGTAATACTGCTTTCCCCTCCCTTAAGCAGTTTTTAACCAATGACTGATATGAGTTGGTGTGGAAATAACCTAGCTCTATTACCCCTCTCTTGAGGCCATGTCATTTACCAGATATTCTCCAGTGCGATTAAGCTCCAGTTACCTGCAATGGTAACTTGTTTGATAAACACTTTATTGGCTGCTATTATCTATGTCTCACTTCTCTGCTCCCCTGAGCTCACTTCCTAAGCAAACTACCTGTATATGTAATCCTCGTTTCAGGGTTTGTTTTCTGGGGGCACCCAACTTAATTTAATATTCCTTATCTGGTTTTCAGGGCACCTTATTATCTTGGTTTTCCACCTACATCACTGGCTACTCCTCATCTTCTTTGCTTTAAGACTTCTTAATATTGAAGTACTCCAGGTTTCCTTCTTTAGTCCTCTTCTCTTCTTCACTTATACGCACTCCTTGAGTGAATTCACTCAATCTCCTGGCTTTAAATACCATCTATATGCCTATGACTTTCAATTTTATATTTTTACCCAAGATATATTTCTTGAATTTGAGTCTGTTTAGTAAGTTTGTACTTGACACCTGCATTTGGAGGTCTATTAGTTATCTCAAAATGTCCCAAATTGGATTCCTAATTTTCTTCCACCCAAACTTGTACTACTGGTAACTTTTCTCATCTCAGTTAATGGCAAGACTACCCTTTTAGTTAGTTGTTCAAGACAAAAATTTTAGAATCATTCTTGACTTCTCCTTTTATCTAGTACTTTGTATCTAATCCTCCAGAAAATTCTTTTGACTCTTTAAAAAATATGTCCAGAATCCAGCCATTGCCTTCCACCCTGGTTGTGTCACCAGCATCCCTAACACTGATTACTCTAAAGGCCCTCAAAATGGTTTCCCTGTTTCCTCCCCTCCCCTCCCCTCCCCTCTCCTCTTCTTTTTTTTTTTTTTGAGATGGAGTCTCGCTCTGTCACCCAGGCTGAAGTGCAGTAGCGCTATCTGGGCTCACTGCAAGCTCCGCCTCCCAGGTTCACGCCATTCTCCTGCCTCAGCCTCCCGAGTAGCTGGGACTACAGGCGCCCTCCACCACGCCCGGCTAATTTTTTTGTATTTTTAGTAGAGACGGGGTTTCACTGTGTTAGCCAGCTCCTGACCTCGTGATCCACCCGCCTCGGCCTCCCAGAGTGCTAGGATTACAGGTGAGAGCCACTGCGCCCAGTCTCCTCTTCTTTTCTTTTGAGACAGAGTCTGCTCTGGAGTGCAGTGGCATGATCTTGGCTTACTGCAACCTCCACCTCCCAGGTTCAAGTGATTCTTGTGCTTCAGCCTCTCACGTAGCTGGGATTGCAGGCGTGCACCCCCACCCCCACCTAACTTTTGCATTTTTAGTAGAGACAGGCTTTTACCATGTTGACCAGGCTCGTCTTGAACTCCTGGCCTCAGGTGATCCACCCATCCCAGCCTTCCAAAGTGCTGGGATTTCAGGCATGAGCCACCGTGCCCAGCCAAATGGTTTCCCTATTTCTACTGTTGATTCCTTCCTCCCAGCCCACCCCCAGTCTATGCTCAAAACAAATCCGGAAAGATCTGATAAAAACATAGGTCAGATAATATTACACCTTGGTTTTAAACCCTACAATAGCTTTCTGTTTATCTCAGAAAATAAGCCCAAGTCCTTGCAGGGCTTTCAAAAATAAGTAATGCACCCATTACTTTTCTCTTCTCATCCCCCATTACTTTTTTTTGAGATTGGGTCTGGCTTTATCACCCAGGCTGGAGTGCAGTGGCCTGATCTCAGCTCACTGCAACCTCTGCTTCCCTGTTCAAGTGATTTTCCTGCCTCAGCCTCCTGAGTAGCTGGGACTACAGGCATGCACCACCACGCCTGGCTAATTTTTGTATTTTTAGTAGAGATGGGGTTTCACCATGTTGGCCAGGCTGGTCTTGAACTCCTGAACTCAGGTGATCTGCCTGCCTTGGCCTCCCAAAATGCTGGGATTACAGGTGTGAGCCACCGTGCCCAGTCTCCCTATTACTTTTTTACTTAGTTACTCAGCTTCAGCTACACCGACCTTCTTGCTGTTCTTTGAATATACCAGGCATGCTCCTGCCTTTGTCCTTGTCCCCTTTGCCTGCAACACTTTTTGTCTAGAAATCCCCACATGGTCAAAACCCTCACCTCTTTCAAGTGTTTGCTGAAATGTCACCTTCTCAAGAAGGCCTGCTTATCTGTTTAAAAACACACCTGCCTCTTTCCCCAACACTCCCTGCTCTCCCAATCTCCTTTATCTATTTTTCACTTATTTCCATAGCATAAATAACTTTCTAACATATTATATAATGTACTTATGTTTAATGTTTATTGTTTATTGCTTATTTCCCCTGCTAGAATCTAAGCTCCATGAGGCAGTGACCTTTGTAGTATTTACTGATGTAGCCTATATGCCTGGAACAATGCCTGGCATGTGGTAAATACTCTATAAATAATTGTTAAATAAATGAGTGGAAGAAACATTATTGTGTTAAAAATATAGTTCCATATAAAACTTTAAGATCACACAATGTAGTATTTACTGTAACATCTCACTCACCTGTAACATTTTTAACTTCATCCATCATCACATTCAAATCAATCTTCCCATTATCTTTAAGATAAAAAAGCATCAAAAAGATTTATGGAAAAATGATATAAGGTCCTTAAATTTTGAAATAGAAAATCAAAAGTCAATTATTCAAAAACATTTCCCTAGAAGTTTATTTTTCCAAGTCCAATGCTCATGAATTTAATTAATATAGCTACTACTATTTATCCTATAAACAAACAAAATCTACATTTCACAATGCAAGAGTAAAGTTTAAAGCATTCTTCTTTCCTTCAGGACAATCAATATATTATAGTAAGTTAGTCTATTCAGGGGTTGGAAATTTGAGAATTAAAAAATTTTGTTTAAAAATGGTATTTCCATTTTTGTCAACGCTGACTTTACCTTTAGGCTTAGGATGACTCTGGCACTAAGTTATCCACTAAAAGATGAGAGTGTTGGTATCCACATCTGGTTGCTTTTAGGTTGCCAACATAAGTGTCATGTTGATATATCTAGTTAAAGTCCATTTGTGATGACAAAACTTTTATTTTGCCATGACCATTCTCAATTAAAATATATTTTCATAGACCATGTACTTAGTTTCTTTGATCAGTATTTCTCAAATTAAAGTCTGAAGTCACTGGAAGTCAGCGGATAAATTTTAAGCAGTTTGTAAGATTGCAAGTTTGAGAGACACTGGATTGGCAGGTTAAGCTAGTAGTTAAGAGATGTTATTACTCTTATAGGCAAGATTCAGTTTGGAACCTTACAGCTGCTGAAGGACACACTCATTTTCTATTTATGACTTGGTCAAGGGTGTCAATTCATCACTGCTCAAATATGTTCACACTGTTGTATTATTTGTAATATTCCTAAGACTATAAGTTTATCTGAGGACAAGATACCAAGAATCACTTTGCATTCTTACTATCACCTAGGCATTAGTGTAATGGTTTGCACAAGATTGATGCTCCATAAATATTTACTAAATTATAGTAATAGCAAAATGCAAACATATTATAAATAATGAATTAGCTTTAAAATTATTACATTCCAGATTCTTAGATACAGAATTTATCTTTGTTAGTTCTTTTTAAATACTTTTTTGATTATGACAATCTTTTTTTTTTTTTTTTTGCACTGTTGCCCAGGCTGGAGTGCAATGGCATGATCTCGGCTCACTGCAACCTCTGTGTCCCAGGTTCAAGCGATTCTCCCACTTCAGCCTCCTGAGTAGCTGGGATTACAGGTGCCCGCCACCACGCCCAGCTAATTTTTTGCATTTTTAGTAGAGATGGGGTTTCACTATGTTGGCCAGGCTGGTCTCGAACTCCTGACCTCATGATCCACCCACCTTGGCCTGCCAAAGTGCTGGGATTACAGGCATGAGCTACCGCACCCAGCGATTATGACAATCTTTTACCGGTATTTTTTCTTCTTTTTTTTGAGACAGGGACTCATTCTGTCGCCTAGGCTGGACAATCCACCTGCCTCACTCTCCCAAGTAGCTAGGACTATAGGCACATACCAGCATCCCTGGAAAATTTTTTTATTTTTGAGATAGAGTCTCGCTCTGTTGCCCAGGCTGGAGTGAAGTGGCATGATCTTGGCTCACTGCAACCTCCACTTCCTGGGTTCAAGCAATTCTCCTGCCTCAGGCTCCTGAGTAGCTGGCATTATGGGTGTGTACCACCATGTCCAGTTAATTTTTGTAATTTTAGTAGAGTTGGGGTTTCACTGTGTTGCCCAGATTGGTCTCAAACTCCTGGCCTCATGAGATCCACCTGCCTCGGCCTCCCAAAGTGCTGGGATTACAGGTGTGAGCCACTGCGCCTGGCCGTTCCCGGATAATTAAAAGAAATAATTTTTAGAGGTGAGGTTTTGCTATGTTGCCCAGGCTGGTTTTGAACTTCTAGTCTCAAGAGATCCTCTCACCTCAGCCTCCCAAAGTGCTGGGATTACAGAGGTGAGCCACTGTGCCTGGACTGGTATTATTTTATAGTTTTATAATACCTTATTATTAGTAGTAATATGGTTACCATTATAACTTTTAAATAGGACAAGGAAGATCCTTTTTTTGGATAAAAGTCTGCCTGTAAATAACATGCCACCACACTCTTCCCTTTCTATGTCCCCAATTAGCTCCACTGAGGCCCATTAGGTTCTGAAACAATATTCTATCCTATCTCAGATGATTAAACAGAGGTACAAGGTATTCTACAAGAATTATGTTAAGGGCCTCACACTTTAAATCACTGTGCTGGTGATGTTCCAAGATACTAGGACAACAGGGCAACCGCAAGTATCTACGTTTATTGCACTGGTAGATTGAAAGAGCTATAGAAGGGATTTAAAAACAAAAGAAAAAGTCATGTTTTGAAAATTGCTTACTTATTAAAGCAAAGGTACCAAGGGCCTAGAACAGTGCCTGATGCATCATAGTTTTTAAAGTTGTTGGACTGGAAGAATGAAAGGTACCACTGATTTAGAAAAGCACATACAGTATTCACTGACTTGGATTAATTATATATTTTTACAATTTCCTCTAGGGAACAGTAGTCTCCCAAAATTTCCTGATGAATTTTTCTCAGTTTCACTAGCATGAGACCATCTAAAATACGCCAAGTTTAATTAATTTCATCTGTAACATTACTATATACCTTTTAAAATTCGTTAATTCTATTAGCTCACGGAAATACAGCATCGTGGTTAAGAGACAGTTTCTGGAGCCAGATTGCCTAGGTTCTTTTCCCGGTTCCATCATTTACTAGCTCTCTGCCTTTGGGCAAGTGACTTGACTTTTCTGTGCCCTTGTTTCCTTAAATGTAGAATGGGGATAAAAGCAGAACCTAGCTTTTAGGGTTGTTTACAAGATTAAATAAGTTGATATGTGAAAGTACTTAGAATAGTGCCTTGCATGTGTCAGGACCACACAGTGTTGGTCATTGCTATTAACGATGGATTACCAGCAGGGATTAGAAGATTTACGTCCTATGTATTCTTGTTAATTCTTGGCATTTCCTGTGGTGTTACATAGTGAGTTGACACTTGCCATTTATGTTGGCAGTATTCTTGGTGATTCTTCCCAAGCGGTAGCCATTGGGTTCAGTTTGGTAGCTATGGTGAAGGTCTTACTCTCTCATTTCTTTTCATATGTACCCTATCTTCAATCATTCTAGCCCCTTCAATCATTCCAGCCCCACTACTAGCCTCATGTTCAAAGGTTTACTAAGGGGTATACCGATATTAAAAACTCTCACCATCAAGTGGTAGGTGGTCATTCAGTGTCCGGATTTCTTTCTCCTTGAGATCAATTCCTATGCTTTTCAAGAAAGTTTCCTTCTTATCTGAAGACACTTTTGTTCCTTAAGAAATAAGGGGATGGATACAAGAAAATTTGTAATGATATAAAGAGTGGGTAATTCTAGCTCACACCTAGGCATCAATTCTATAAGCAGAAAGGGCAAAGAACAATTAAACTAGTCAAGTAAACATGGTTTTTGGTATGTAAGTAAGGAATTTCTAAACCCTGAGCTGTGGGATTCTGTTATTGCTTTTAGGAGAACTAAGACCAAAATCAACCTTTATAAATGTGTCTGCACAATAGGATCTGAAACTTGCTAAAATAACAGAGACAAATAAATAAATAAATAAAGTCTGTGGGTTTACTCCATCATAATCCCCTGGAAATATTTTTAAAATTTTTATATTTTTAACTGACAAATAATAATTGGGTATTTTAAAGGGTATGATGTGATGTTTTGATACATGTAAGCATTGTGGAATAATCAAATCAGTGTAATTAGCATATCTATCACCTCAAATATTAATCATTTCTTTGTGGTGAGAACATTCAAAATCCTTTCTTCTAGCTTGAAACACACAATACACTATTATTTATTATAGCCATCTTGTTCTACAATAGAACACCAGAACCTATTCCTCCTAACTATGACTTTATATCTGTTGACCAATATCTTCTTTTTTTTTCACTTTTCCTGTTCATTTTATTCTTTATTTTATTTTATTTTTTAATATTATTATATTATTATTATTATACTTTAAGTTTTAGGGTACATGTGCACAACATGCAGGTTTGTTACATATGTATACATGTGCCATGTTGGTGTGCTGCACCCATTAACTCGTCATTTAGCATTAGGTATATCTCCTAATGCTATCCCTCCCCCGTCCCCCCACCCCACAACAGTTCCTGGTGTGTGATGTTCCCCTTCCTGTGTCCACCTGTTCTCATTGTTCAATTCCCACCTATGAGTGAGAACATGCGGTGTTTGGTTTTTTGTCCTTGCGATAGTTTGCTGAGAATGATGGTTTCCAGCTTCATCCATGTGCCTACAAAGGACATGAACTCATCATTTTTTATGGCTGCATAGTATTCCATGGTGTGTATGTGCCACATTTTCTTAATCCAGTCTATCATTGTTGGACATTTAGGTTGGTTCCAAGTCTTTGCTATTGTGAATAGTGCCGCTATAAACATATGTGTGTATGTGTCTTTATAGCAGCATGGTTTATAATCCTTTGGGTATATACCCAGTAATGGGATGGCTGGGTCAAATGGTATTTCTAGTTCTAGATCCCTGAGGAATCGTCACACTGACTTCCACAATGGTTGAACTAGTTTACAGTCCCACCAACAGTGTAAAAGTGTTCCTATTTCTCCACATCCTCTCCAGCACCTGCTGTTTCCTGACTTTTTAATGATTGCCATTCTAACTGGTGGGAGATGGTATCTCATTGTGGTTTTGATTTGCATTTCTCTGATGGCCAGTGATGATGAGCATTTTTTCATGTGTTTTTTGGCTGCATAAATGTCTTCTTTTGAGAATTGTCTGTTCATATCCTTTGCCTACTTTTTGATGGGGTTGTTTGTTTTTTTCTTGTAAATATGTTTGAGTTCATTGTAGATTCTGGATATTAGCCCTTTGTCAGATGAGTAGGTTGCAAACATTTTCTTCCATTCTGTAGGTTGCCTGTTCACTCTGATGGTAGTTTCTTTTGCTGTGCAGAAGCTCTTTAGTTTAATTAGATCCCATTTGTCAATTTTGGCTTTTGTTGCCATTGCTTTTGGTGTTTTAGACATGAAGTCCTTGCCCATGCCTATGTCCTGAATGGTATTGCCTAGGTTTTCTTCTAGGATTTTTATGGTTTTAGATCTAACATTTAAGTCTTTCATCCATCTTGAATTAATTTTTGTATAAGGTGTAAGGAAGGGATCCAGTTTCAGCTTTCTACATATGGCTAGCCAGTTTTCCCAGCACCATTTATTAAATAGGGAATCCTTTCCCCATTGCTTGTTTTTATTAGTTTTGTCAAAGATCAGATAGTTGTAGATATGCGGCATTATTTCTGAGGGCTCTGTTCTGTTCCATTGGTCTGTCTCTCTGTTTTGGTACCAGTACCATGCTGTTTTGGTTACTGTAGCATTGTAGCATAGTTTGAAGTCAGGTAGCGTGATGCCTCCAGCTTTGTTCTTTTGGCTTAGGATTGACTTGGCGATGCAGGCTCTTTTTTGGTTCCATATGAACTTTAAAGTAGTTTTTTCCAATTCTGTGAAGAAAGTCATTGGTAGCTTGATGGGGATGGCATTGAATCTATAAATTACCTTGGGCAGTATGGCCATTTTCATGATATTGATTCTTCCTACCCATGAGCATGGAATGTTCTTCCATTTGTTTGTATCTTCTTTTATTTCATTGAGCAGTGGTTTGTAGTTCTCCTTGAAGAGGTCCTTCACATCCCTTGCAAGTTGGATTCCTAGGTATTGTATTCTCTTTGAGGCAATTGTGAATGGGAGTTCACTCATGATTTGGCTCTCTGTTTGTCTGTCATTGGTGTATAAGAATGCTTGTGATTTTTGTACATTGACTTTGTATCCTGAGACTTTGCTGAAGTTGCTTATCAGCTTAAGGAGACTTTGGGCTGAGACGATGGGGTTTTCTAGATATACAATCATGTCATCTGCAAACAGGGACAGTTTGACTTCCTCTTTTCCTAATTGAATACCCTTTATTTCCTTCTCCTGCCTGATTGCCCTGGCCAGAACTTCCACACTATGTTGAATAGGAGTGGTGAGAGAGGGCATCCCTGTCTTGTGCCCGTTTTCAAAGGAATGCTTCCAGTTTTTGCCCATTCAGTATGATATTGGCTGTGGGTTTGTCATAAATAGCTCTTATTATTTTGAGATACGTTCCATCAATACCTAATTTATTGAGAGTTTTTAGCATGAAGGTTGTTGAATTTTGTCAAAGGCCTTTTCTGCATCTACTGAGATAATCATGTGGTTTTTGTCTTTGGTTCTGTTTGTATGCTGGATTATATTTATTGATTTGCGTATGTTGAACCAGCCTTGCATCCCAGGGATGAAGCCCACTTGATCATGGTGGATAAGCTTTTTGATGTGCTGCTGGATTCGGTTTGCCAGTATTTTACTGAGGATTTTTGCATCGATGTTCATCAAGGATATTGGTCTAAAATCCCCTTTTTTGGTTGTGTCTCTGCCAGGCTTTGGTATCAGGATGATGCTGGCCTCATAAAATGAGTTAGGGAGGATTCTCTCTTTTTCTATTGATTGGAATAGTTTCAGAAGGAATGGTACCAGCTCCTCTTTGTACCTCTGGTAGAATTCGGCTGTGAATCCATGTGGTCCTGGACTTTTTTTGGTTGGTAAGCTATTAATTATTGCCTCAATTTCAGATCCTGTTATGGGTCTATTCAGAGATTCAACTTCTTCCTGGTTTAGTCTTGGGAGGATGTATGTGTCGAGGAATTTATCCATTTCTTCTAGATTTTCTAGTTTATTTGCGTAGAGGTGTTTACAGTAATCTCTGATGGTAGTTTGTATTTCTGTGGGATCGGTGGTGATATCCCCCTTATCATTTTTTATTGCATCTATTTGATTCTTCTCTCTTTTCTTCTTTATTAGTCTTGCCAGCAGTCTATCAATTTTGTTGATCTTTATTTTTTATTTTAAGTCCTGGGACACATGTGCAGAATGTGCAGGTTTGTTACATAGTATACATGTGCCATGGTGGTTTGCTGCACCTATCAACCCGTCATCTAGGCTTTAAGCCCTGCATGCATTAGGTATTTGTCCTAATGCTCTCTCTCTCCTTGCCCTCAACCCCTTGACAGGCCCTGGTGTGTGATGTTCCCCTCCCTGTGTCTATGTATTCTCATTGTTCAACTCCCACTTATGAGGGAGAACATGGGGTGTTTGGTTTTCTGTTCCTGTTAGTTTGCTGAGCATGATGGCTTCCAGCTTCATCCATGTCCCTGCAAAGGACATGAACTCATTTCTTTTTATGGCTGCATAGTATTCCATGGTGCCACATTTTCTTTATCCAGTCTATGATTGATGGGTATTTGGGTAAATAATTTCGTTATTTACCCAGTAGTCATTCAGGAGCAGGCTGTTCAATTTCCATGTAGGTGTGCAGTTTTGAGTGAGTTTTTTAATCCTGAGTTCTAATTTGATTGCACTGTGGTTTGAGAGACTATTTGTTATGATTTCTGTTCGTTTGCATTTGCTGAGGAGTGCTTCAGTTCAATGGGTTAGAACATGCTCCTTTAGCTCAGAGGAGTTTGTTATTATCCACCTCCTGAAGCCTACTTCTGTCAATTTGTCAATATCATTCTCCGTCCAGTTTTGTGCCTTTGCTGGAGAGCAGCTGTGATCATGTGGAGGAGAAGAGGCATTCTGCTTTTTGGAATGTTCAGTGTTTTAGCACTGGTTTTTCCTCTTCTTTGTGGATTTATCTACCTTTGAACTTTGAGGCTGATGACCTTTGGATAGGGTTTTTGTGTGGGGGTCCTTTATGCTGATGTTGATGTTGTTGCTTTCTGTTTGTTAGTTTTTCTTCTAACAGTCAGGCCCCTCTTCTGCAGGTCTGCTGAAGTTTGTTGGAGGTCCACTCCAGACCCTGTTTGCCTGGGTGTCACCAGTGAAGCCTGCAGAACAGCAAAGATTGCTCCCTGCTCCTTCCTCTGGAAGCTTCGTCCCAGAGGGGCACCAGCCTGATGCCAAATGGAGCTCTCTTGTATGAGGTATCTGTCGACCCTTGTTGGGCGATTTCTCCCAGTCAGGAGGAACAGGGGTGAGGGGCCCACTTGAGGAGGCAGTCTGTCCCTTACCAGAGTCGGTGCGCTGTGCTGGGAGAATCCCTCTTGTCGGGATCAGCTGCTCTCTTCAGAGCCAGCAGGCAGGAATGATTAAATCTGCTGAAGCTGTGGCCCACAGCCACCCCTTCCCCCAGGTGCTCTGTCCCAGGGAGATGGGGATTTTGTTTGTAGGCCCCTGACTGGGGCTGTTACCTTTCCTTCAGAGATGCCCTGCCCAGTGAGGAGGAATCTAGAGAAGCAGTCTGGCCACAGCTGCTTTGCCACACCCAGCCCAGACCTCCCAGCCTTCTTAGTACTGTCGGGGAAAACCACCTACTAAAGCCTCAGTAATGGCAGATGCCCTTCCCGCTACCAAGCTCGATTGTCCCAGGTTGACTTCAGACTGCTGTGCTGGCAGTGGGAATTTCAAGCCAGTGGTTCTTAGCTTGCTGGGCTTCATGGGAGTGGGACACGCTGAGCAAGACCACTTGGCTCCCTGCCTTCACCCCCCTTTCCAGGGGAGTGAATGGTTCTGTCTCACAGGGTTCCAGGTGCTACTGGAGTACAAAAAAATACTCCTGCAGCTAGCTCAGTGTCTGCTCAAACAGTTGCCCAGTTTTGTGCTTGAAACCCAGGGCCCTGGTGGTGTAGGCATATGAGAGAATCTCCTGATCTGCAGATTGAAAAAACCGTGGGAAAAGTGTAGTAATTCAGTGGGGTAGCACAGTCCCTCACGGCTTCCCTTGGATGGGGGGAGGGAGGTCCCCGGCTCCTTGTACTTCCCGGGTGAAGCAATGCCCTACCCTGCTTGTGCTTGCCCTCCGTGGGTTGGAGCCACTGCCCAACCAGTTCCAATGAGATGAACTGGGTACCTCAATTGGAAATGCAGAAATCACCCACCTTTTGCGATGGTCTCGCTGAGAGCTACAGACCAGAGCTTTTCCTATTGGGCCATCTTGGCCCCTCCTCCTCAAACTTTTTAATAACATGCTTCTAGGTACTAGCTCTAGAAATCCAAGATCAATATGACAGAAAAAGGGCCTAGTGATCTGAATGCTAAGACAGTGTTTTTTTTTTTTTTCCTGGTGATTCTGATGCACAACTTTATTTGGGAACCACTGTTTTTGAGTCTACTGTAGTTAAACCATTTTAGTGATTGCAGTGTGCCTAAAGCATATAAGGATAAACAATGAATTAATAAACAGTTGGGACAGCAGGATTAATAATCTGAAAATTGTAAAATAGGAAGGGTTTTTGAAAACAACAGTAAAGCTTGAGGAACTCAGTTTTACCTGCCTTTTTATCTTACTTCTCACTCACCTTCAAGACCTCTCAATTCTTTCATCAATCTGTTCACAAATACCTTTCCTTTGGCTGTAAGACAGAGAAAAATCCAAGTCTCAGGCAGCAATGTAGATATTTAAAAAATAGTACAAAACATACATAATTTCAGAATATACATTTTAAAATATTTTATTCCAGAAATTTATACTTTTTCATTTTCAAGAATAAAACTCAGGAATGGAAACAGTTCTCAATATGATGAAATCATTTTGTTGGTGGGACATGGAACATTCCTTACATAGAGAGTATTAGTCACAAAAGGTCATATGCTCGGCCTTCTTCAAAGAATCCTGTGATTTTGTTGTTGTTGAGACAGGGTTTTGCTCTGTCTCCCAGGCTGGAGTGCAGTGATGGGATCTCAGCTCACTATAGACTCCACCTCCTGGGCTCAAGTGATTCTCCCACATCAGCCTTCCAAGTAGCTGGGACTACAAGTATGTGGAGCCATGCCTAGCTACTTTTTAAACTTTTTTTTTGTAAAGACAGGGTCTCACTATGTCGCCCAGGTTGGTCTCAAACTCTTGAACTCAAGCGATCCTCTCACCTCAGCCTCCTAAAGTGCCGGGATTACAGGTGTGAGCCACTGCACCTGGCTTTACTATGATATTTTAAATTTAAACTTTTTGAGACAGGGTCTTGCCCTGTCATCCAGGCTGGAATGCAGTGGTGTGATCACTGCTCAAAGCAGCCTTGACCTCCTGGGCCCCAGCAATCCTCCCACCTCAGCCTCCTGAGTAGCTGGGACCATGAGCATGTGCCACCACGCCTGGTTGTGTGATATTTTTAATGCTTACCATCAACTGGAAGATTATTCAGCAGTTGCATTTCTTTATCTTCTGTGAGCTTTATCCCCATATTTTCCAGAAAATTTTCCAGGTTCCTAGTATCAACCTTTTCACCTTTAAAAAGTAAAAAGTGAAAGTGGTTTAAAGTTTGAAGAATGATGATTCTATATTAAGAAAAATGTTCATGTAGCATCATTTGCTGATTAAACATTAATGAAATAAATCGGCAAGAATGCCAGCTATTGCTCAGACATAATCTTCGAGCTGTTTTCTAAAACAATGGTGGTGAAAATTAGGCTGTAAGCCATTAGATGCAAACGTTCACCAGTAAATAGGTAGAGTGAGAGAATGTATCAAAAAGGGAAACATTGCATTTAAAATAGAATTTTGTGCAAACATTGGAATCTCGATTTTGCAAAATTTTCTTAATTGCATGTTTTGCCACCATACAGGGCCTATCTCTAGGGGCTTCTACCTTAACCTGGTCTGGCTCTCTATCATGCCTCAGGGATTTGGTGAGTCTGCTTTCCTCTTCTTGGTAGCTACAACACACAGTGCATTTCTTGTGCTTCCTTCCTTAAGGGTGGCTAGGAAGTCAGATGCAAACTCTCAAGTTCACCTCTTTTTGTGTGCCTCAGGAACACTAGCATGTAGAGATTTTTTATTCTTAGAACTTTAATGTAAAGTGCTAGAGGGAAACAGACAGGTGATAACCAAACTATCACAAGCATGAATAAGACACAAAGCTAACAAGTTTCTTTGGTAACAAACTTAGTTTTAGTTCCTGGTTATGAGAGTGGAAATCACCAGTTATCCCTGCCCCCTGCAACCATCTCCCAGTCTGCTCTTAGGATGACTGTGTACAATTTTCCTTCACCATGGCTCTTTTCTCTGCTTGAAGATGCAATTTCTTTCTTGTTTGAGCATAACCTCAAGATTGTATTGTTTTCTTAATAAAACAAAAGATGAAGCTCAGAACTGAATCACTTGGCCCTTTCTTGTTTTAGCTCCTTCCAGTTCTCTTTAATAGCCAGCATTCGCTGAGATCTGCAGTTGGACTCAATACACTCTTGTCTCAGCACAATCTTCTTTGTGGTTTAGCCTTTTCTGGAAAATCAGCTTAGTCTGCCCATCATAGCCACTCTGCTTCCTGTCATAACACTGCTTTCCCTGGGCATACAGAGAATCCTTGCCCTTCTTGCACTGTGTCACTTTGTGGGATTGGTGCTTGCCATACTTCCTACAGAAAGTCCAGTGGCTTTTATGAATGTTCATCATGTTTACAGTAGCTCTCTTGGTAGGGAACAAAAGCTAAAGATGCAGTTAAGGTAGACAAATCAGATGTCCTAATCCTTTCCAATTCCAGCAAAAGAAAATTCTTGCTTTTAGTCCTCTGGAACAACAATGCAGTGTTTCCATTGAGAGGAGAATGTCTTGAGAGTTAGCCAGTCATCTGCACAAGTGTCTAGGAGGAAATGTGCACAAGGGTTGTTTTCCCCAAGATGCTTCGGAACTCTCTTCACCACTGGGGCTTCTAATATCCCCGTCACCAGCCAAAGGAACGACTCTTCAGACACAAAAGAGCAAGCTCCCAGTCTGCTAACTTGATCAGGCTTTTGACAAGACATGGGAGCGTCTGCCTCAAGGGCATTGGTCTAACCATACCTTTTATCCATATTGCTCTCATTTTTCAGAATGAAAACCCCTCCCAATTTTCTGCCCTCTCTAGTCTATTCTGTTTTATTACTTGATATTTTTCTTTCTATTGCTAGCTTCTTTTCAACCCTTCTCTTAGAGTTGAAATAGAATATGAATTTCTCTGTATTTTTAGTCTCTTTACAGACTTTTAACCTTCCTTCTTAATTGAACTTTTCCTCTTCCTAATATAATTTTCTATTACTTGCTTTTATTTTTGAGATAAGACTGCTCATTTTTCTTTTTCTTTTTCTTTCTTTTTTTTTTTTTTTTCTGAGATGGAGTCTTGCTCTGTTGCCAAGACTACTCATTTTTCTATGTCCTAATTGTCTCAGGGCTTGGCATTCTCCTAGATTGCAACTGCTGATTTCCAACTAAATCCAAACCTCTTCTCTTTTGAGATTTATGGAATTTGGCTTTCTTTTTATTGCCACCCACTGGCTTCTTTGTCACTTCAGGAGCTTGTCCTATGACCCATAGTCTTCTCCTGCATCCAAAACTCCTGGCATTATTATAAGGAATTCCAGCCTTTATATGGATAACTCATTCAATGACTTCGCCTCCAAATCTCTTGACCTCCTTATCCTCAATGACTATCTCTTATTTTTATTGCCACCCACTGGCTTCTTGGTCACTTTAGGAGCTTGTCCCATGACCCATAGTCTTCTTCCTCCAAAACTCCTGGCATCATTATAAGGAATTCCAGCCTTTATTCAGATAACTCATTCAATGACTGGCCTCCAAATTTCTTGACCTTCTTATCCTCAATGACTATCTCTTAAATTCTACACTAGTTAACTCTCAAGCACACATTCTGGACTTTGTCATCACCTAGAAATGCTTTACCTCTAAAACCTTAAATTCTAACATGCTGACTTTTGGCCAATACCTTGTAATTCTTCCATTTATTTTACTTCCTTACTTATACCACATGTGTTATATCTTTATAGAGAATTTCATTCCTCTTCTCTCACTTTTCTCTAAGTTCACAACCTCACTTCTTTCTGCATCCACACTAGAACACTTACTCATTTTCTTGGACTACACGGTTAAGTCTCTATGCTTTCATTGTTTTGGTACATGAGCCTTAGAATCTCCTAATTTGGTCCAACTGAAGAATATCATATAATCATACGAAAGGTTGCCATTATGTTTTAATGGTATTTAACTATGGTTACCTCTTGGCACTTCTCAGCAATGCCTTCATGTATTCCTTATTAACTTTAGTTCATATTTTCTATCAAAGTTATACAAAATTAAATTAGTATAGCTTTTATGGAAAACGGCATGGAGATTTCTCAGGGAACTAAAACATGGAGCTGCCATTCGATCCAGCAGTTCCACTACTGGGTATATACCCAATGGGAAAAAAATCATTATATTAAAAATATATCTGCACTCTTTTGCTTATTGCAGCACTATAGCAGAGATGTGGAATCAATCTAAGTGTCCACCAATGGAGGACTGGATAGAAAGGATGGAGTATGTATATACCAAGGAATACTACTCAGACACCAAAACAATGATATGATGTCTTTTGCAGCAACATGGATGGAACTGGAGGCCATTATCCTCAGCAAAATAACTCAGAAACAGAGGGTTAAGTACTGCACGCTCTCACTTACAACTGGGAGCTAAACGATGAGTACACATGGACATACAGAGTGGAATAATGGACATTAAAGACTACAAAAGGTGGGAGCGTGTGGGAGCAAGGGTTGAAAAATTACCTATTGGGTACAGTATTCACTGTTTGAGTGATGGGTATACTAAAAGCCCAGACTTCACAACGATGCAATATATACATGTAAGAAATCTGCACTTGTATCCCCTACATATATAAAACTAAAAACAAAAACAAGAAACAAAGTTATGTAAAATCACCAATACTCTTCTTGAAATTCCCTACCCCACCACTGTGTCCTTCCTGTTAGTAGATGATCCTGTCTTCTACTTTACAAAGAAAATTGAAGCTTTTAGGTAAACTCCTTTGAATTTTACTCCCAAATCTACATAGATTCTCTATATCTGTGTCCTTCCTGACTTTAAGTCCGCTTGTCTTGGAAAAAGAGGTGGCTTCAGAATCTTTTTTTTTTTTTTTTGAGACAGAGTTTTGTTCTTGTTGCCCAGGCTGGAGTGCAATGGCACGATCTCGGCTCACTGCAACCTCTGCCTCATGGGTTCAAGCGATTCTCCTGCCTCAGCCTCCCTAGTAGGTGGGATTACAGGCGCCCACCACCACGCCCAGTTAATTTTTTTTTGTATTTTTAGTAGAGATGGGGTTTCACTATGTTGGCCAGGCTGGTCTCGAACTCCTGACCTCAGGCGATCCACCCGCTTTGGCCTCCCAAAGTGCTGGGATTATAGGCGTGAGCCACTGCGCCCGGCCCAGATTCTTATATATTCAATTGTGTATGGTTCAATTCTCTTTAGATGTCTCACAGGAACCCCAAATTCAATATGACCCCAAATGGTAACTACTTCTAAATCTTTTACTGAATTTCTTATTTTGGTGACTGTCACTATCACTCACCCAACTACCCAACTCAGAAACAAAGCAGTCATCCTTTACTCTTTCTTTTCTTCCAAACTCCATACCTGATCAGGAATCAAATCCTGTAATACTGTATCTGTAATATCTCTTATATATGTCCCTTCCTCTCAAGTCTCATTGATAATGATTACCTCTGTCTTTTATTGTCTTTTGCCTGGACAGTGACAATTTGCTTCCTAACTGCTCTCCCTGACTCCTCTCTTGCACACACACCTTCATCCATTGATCCATTCTCTATATTGCTGAAGCAATCTTTCTTTCTTTTTTCTTTTTTTTTTTTTTTTGGAGACAGGGTGTTGATTTGTCACCCAGGCTGGATTACATGGTACAATTGTAGCTCACTGCAGCCTCAACCTCCTGGGCTCAAGTGATCCTCCCACCTCAGTCCCCCAAGTAGCTGAGACTACAGGTATGTGCCACCACACCTGGTTAACTTTTTTTTTTTTACTTTTTTTTTTTTTTTTTTGTAGAGATGCAGTTTCACCATGTTGCCCAGGCTGGTCTCAAACTCTCGAGCTCAGGCAATCCACCTGCCTCAGCCCCCTAAAGTGATGGATTACAGTCATGATCCACTGCACCCAGCAAATCTTTCTAATTTGCACATCTAATAACATAGTCTGTAGCTTAAAATCCTGGAATGACTCCATACTCCACAGAATAAAATTCACACTCCTTTATTTGGTAGTCAAGGCCCTCTATGATTTGTCCCCTGTGTTAGTTCCTGTTGTTGCTGTAACAATTTACCAAAAACTTGGTGGTTTAAAACAATACAGCTTTTTTCTCTTAATGGTTCTGGAGAGTGAAAGTCTGAAATCAGTTTTATTGGGCTAAAGTCAAGGTGTCAGCAGGGCTGGTTTCTTCAGGAGGCTCTGGCAGAGAATCTGTTCCCTTGCCTTCCACTTCTAGAGGCCACTTATATTCTTTGGCTCATGTCCCTTCTTCCATCCTCAAAGCTCTCATTGTAGCATCTTGTGTCCATTGTCACACTGCCTTCTACTTTTTCTGTCATCAAGTCTCCCTCTTAAGGACAGTTGTAATTACATTTAAGGTATACTTAGATAAGGATAATCTCCCCATCTCAGGGTTCCTAATCATATCTCCAAAGTCACTTTTCCCATATAAGTTAACATTCACAGGTTCTGAGGATTAGGACCTGGGTATTTTTGGGAGCCTACCACATCTCCTTCCTTGCTCTTTACGTTTATTTCTTGCCAAACTCCTGATAGCATTTTATGATCCAGCTTATGCCAAATTATTTCTAGTTCCTTAAAGTTCCATACTGTTTCATTTATCATCTTGGTGCCGTTTATGCATTTTTTTTTTTTTTTTTACCAGTTGAGTCAATTGTCTTACATGGTTGCTGTTCATGGTACCCCATAACAATTACAGTAGTAACATCAAATATCATTGATCACAGATTACCATAATAGATATAACAAAAAAATTTGCAAGACATGACACATGAGACATGAAATGAGGACATGCAATTGGAAAAATGACATTGATAGGCTTGCTCAATGCAGGGTTTTGCAAACCTTCAATTTGTAAAAATCACAGTATCTGTAAAATGCAATAAAGCAGGGCATAATAACATGAGGTATGTCTGTAACTGAATTTCTTATTATAGGTGTATTTAGACTTTTTTTCTTGGTTGGGCACAGTGGCCCACGCCTGCAATCCCATCACTTTGGGAGGCCAAGGTCGGTGGATCACCGAGGTCAGGAGTTTGAGACCAGCCTGGCCAACACGGTGAAAGCCCATCTCTATTGAAAATACAAAAATTATGCTTTTTTCCCTCTATCAGGAACACTGTCTCCCTGACAAACATGGTTTCATTTTTTAAGGATCAGCTCATGTGTTGCCCACTCTACAAAACTATTTCTCAATTTCTTCTCCTTAGGTGCAAGTGACCATCTTGCCCCTTCTTTACCTTGCATAGGTCCTTTGCAATCTATAAAATTTTATTGCATTTACTTGTATGTATTTTTTCTGCCTCAACTACACAAGCTCCTGGAAGGTTGGGATATGATAGATGCTCAATAATGAGTTAGTAAAAATCCAACCTACCTGTAAAAAGATATCCTTCATCCATCATCACATTCACATTAACTCTCCCCTCATCTATAAGACAAGACAAAATCATAATCATAAAGACAATAATAGAATAGAAGACAGATTTAACAGTCATACATTGGCCAGGTGCACCTGTAATTCCAGCACTATGAGAGGCCAAGGTGGACGAATCATTTGAGGTCAGGAGTTTGAGACCAGCCTGGCCAACATGGTGAAACCCTGTCTCTACTAAAAATACAAAAATTTTTATATTTGTATAAAATATAAAGGAGGCTGAGCAGGAGAATCGCTTGAACCCAGGAGGTGGAGGCTACAGTGAGCCAAGAACATGCCACTGCACTCCAGCCTGGGGGGCAGAGTGAGACTCTGTCTCAAAAAAAAAAAAAAATCATACCTCGAAGGAAAACACAAAATTCAGCAAATTTGTATGATTTAGTCTAGAATTTCATCTTTTTGTTTTGATATTTATTTATTTATTTTGTGTCAGGGTCTCACTCTGTTGCCCAGGCTGGAGTGCAGTGGTGTGATCTTGGTTCACTGAGACCTCTGCCTCCTGGGTTCAAGTGATTCTCTTGCCTCAGCCTCACAAGTAGCTGGGATTACAGGCGCATGCCATCACGCCCAGCTAATTTTTATATTTTTGGTAGAGATGGGGTTTCACCATGTTGGCCAGGCTGGTCTCCAACTCCTCACCTCAAGTGATCCATCTGCCTCGGCCTCCCAAAGTGCTAGGATTACAGGTATAAGCCACTGTGCCCGGCCTAGAATTTTATCCTTTTAAAACTCCAAATGGAAAATGTGGAAAGAAAAAGCTCTGATTATAAAAAGGATACTTACTTCACACTTCTAATATCACATTTTATTTCATTAAGATAGTTAACCTCATGTAGTAGAATGCTGGGCTGACACACTGAAGAAGTAGCCCTCTCTACTTTGATATCTGGAATAACTCTATTTTATTGATTATAATACTATCAAGCAACTTAAAAAGCGAAAATGCTCCAGTAGGGAAGATTTGACTTGGAGCATTAACAGTCCACATATCTGCAAAAAATCCCTCCCCTAAACCAAAAAACAATGCATTTTTTTTGTTTGTTTTTGTTTTGAGATGGAGTCTTGCTCTGTTACCCAGGCTAGAGTGCAGTGGCGCGATATTAGCTCACTGCAACCTCCGCCTCCCGGGTTCAAGAGATTCTCCTGCCTCAACCTCCCGAGTAGCTAGGATTACAGTCACCTGCCACTGCGCAATTTTTGTGTTTTTAGTAGAGACGGGGTTTCACCATCTTGGCCAGGCTGGTCTCGAATTCCTGACCTCATGATACACCTGCCTCAGTCTCCCAAAGTGCTGGGATTACAGGCGTGAGCCACCGTGCCCGGCCACTAATGCCTATTTCTTTTCTTTCTTTCTTTTTTTTTGGAGACGGAGTCTCGCTCTGTCGCCCAGGCTGGAGTGCAGTGGTGCGATCTCGGCTCACTGCAAGCTCCGCCTCCCAGGTTCACGCCATTCTTCTGCCTCAGCCTCCCGAGTAGCTGGGACTACAGGCGCCCGCTACCACGCCCGGCTAATTTTTTTGTATTTTTAGTAGAGACCGGGTTTCACCGTGTTAGCCAGGATGGTCTTCATCTCCTGACCTCATGATCCGCCCGCCTCGGCCTCCCAAAGTGCTGGGATTACAGGCGTGAGCCACCACACCCAGCCACACCAATGCCTGTTTCTACACTCAATCCACACTTAGCTCAGGCTGTCTGTCCTTCTTCTACTACCCACTTCAATATCAAGAATTTTTTTATCAATCTAACTGAACTTTAACAATATCTTTTAAATTTTGTTTTTAAACTTTTTTTTGTATTTTTCTTTTTAAAACTTGTATAAATTTAAGGGGTACAATATTGTTATATGGATATATTGCCTTTTAAAGTGGGTCTTTAAAGACCCTTATAGGCCAGGCCCGATGGCTCACGCCTATAATCCCAGCACTTTCGGAGGCCAAGGCGGGTGGATCACCTGAGGTCAGGAGTTTGAGACCAGCGTGGTCAACATGGTGAAACCCCGTCTTTACTAAAAATATTAAAATTAGCCGGGTGAGGTGGTGGGCGCTGGTAGTTCTGGCTACTTGGGAGGCCCAGGCAGGAGAATCGCTTGAACCTGGGAGGCAGAGGTTGCGGTGAGCCAATATCAGGCCATTGCACTCCAGCCTGGGCAACACGAGCAAAACTGCGTCTAAAAAAAAAAGAGTCTTATAGATGGTCAGTGCCTTGGAGGAAGATGTCTTATCCATTCTCATGCATTTTATTTTATTTATTTATTTTTGAGACAGAATCTGGCTCTGTCACCCAGGCTAGAGTTCAGTGGCACAATCTCGGTTCACCACAACCTCCACCTCCTGGGGTTCAAGTGATTCTCCTGCCTCAGCTTCCTGAGTGGCTGGGACTACAGGCATGCACCACCATGCCTGGCTAATTTTCCATCCTAATATATTTTAATTATTCCCACAGAAGACTTATGAATAGCCTGAATGCTATTTATATGAATATTTCTAATGCTATTTCCTAAGAGCTCATTGACTTGAAAAGTAGTACTCAAGGAGATAGTTGACACTTCTACAACCAAAATCATCATGGCATTCCAGCAAAGTTTCAAGATACCTGGATAATGAATAAGAAAAAGTATCTACATCATTTTATAAGTAGATAAAAAATACTGGGAAATGATATATTTCCAATAATAAAAAAAATCCAATGGAAAATTCACTTTCTTCTGACCAGAGCAGAGCATAAATAGGTGGCATTGTGTTGAGATGAATGTATACTGATTTTTATTATTGCTACTAATAAAGCTAATTTTAAATGTTTACTATATGCTAAGGCCTATATTAAGAATTTATAACAATTATGAAAGTAGATATTATTTTCTTTTTGACAGAAGGGAACTAAGATTCAGAGTGGTTAATTTGACCAATCTTGCACAGCCAAGAGTTGTCAGAGCTGAGATTTAAATCCCTGTCTGGCTACTTCCAATTCCAACTTCATTCCACAATGCCATATAATCAGTGGAACCAGTGGGATGAATCCCAGGTTTTTGCTATTTTTTCCCTAGAGGGTTATTATTTTGGAAAATTTTCCTTTTGGATACTTGTAGGTCTCACTATGATGAGGCCATGCTAATGTATGGTAGATGTGATTGATGTTAAGGGGAATTATTACTATTCCCCATCTTAAACTTGTCATTTTTTGTAGGTCAGAATTCACTGTAGATAAATTCTTCTTTTCTGTCTTTCTCTTACTACTATTTTCCTCCTTATTTTATTTGTTTACTTTCAAACTTTCCCTATCAGACATTTTCTCCATTTATTTATTTGTTGTCTTTTCCTTTTGGTCTACTAATAATCTCATCAGTGCTCTGACACATTGCTAAAGTTTTGCTAAATTTGTGGACTGCTAACTTCCTAGTTAAAGATAAATAAGATGAATTATTAGAGTATTCATTTCCAACCATCTCTTAATTCATATTTCTAAGTCAATGTCTTACAAGTATCTCAAACTCTACCTGTCCAAAACTGAAACTACTCTCCTGACATTTTAACCTGAACCTCTTCCTGAATTGGCTTATGACTGATGACTTACTCATTAAGATATCCCTTCCTAAAATTCTTCGACTTTTTCATACCTCTCATGTAATCAGTCACCATGCCCTATTCACTTTACATTTTTATTAGTTTTAATAAATAAATATAAATTTTAAAATCTTTCCCAAATCACTCTGTTATCCATCACTAAGTTCACTTCCCTTCCCTAGGCTCTCACCGTCTCTTGTTGGATCATGGAAGTATCTCTCAAGTTCCAGTCTTTACTTCCAATAATGCTGTCTACATTGCCATCAGCACTGATTTTGCAAGAGAGAATACTCTAGATATACCACTACCTACAGTATGAAGGCTAAAATTGAAGGGAGAAATAGACAATTGAAGTATAATAGTTGGAAACTTCAGTACCCCACTCTAAATAATGGATAGAACAACCAAACAGGAAAATAAGTAGGATAAAGAAGACTTGAAGAATATTATCAACCATGGAACATTCACCAGGCTAGACCATATGCTAGGCCATAAAACAAGTCTCATCCAGTTTAAAAGAACTGAAATCATGAAAGTATATTTTCTGTCCACAAAGGAATTAATTCTAAATCAACAGCAGAAGGAAATTTGGGAAATCCATAAACATTTAGAAATCAAACAACACATTTCTAAATAACCCATGGATCAAGAAGAAATTACCTGGGAAATTAGAAAGTATTTTAAACTGAATGCAAATGAAAACACAAATATGGAAAATTTCAAAATGCAGCTAAAGCAGTGCTTAGAGGAAAATTTATACCTGCAAACACCTGTATTAGAAATGAAGAAAGGGTTGGGCATGGTAGCTCATATCTGTAATCCCAGCACTATGGGAGGCTGAGGTGGGTGGATCACCTGAGGTCAGGAGTTCGAGACCAGCCTGACCAACATGGTGAAACCCCTTCTCTACTAAAAATACAAAAATTAGCCAGGCATGGTGTTGCATGCCTGTGGTCCCAGCTACTCAGGAGGCTGAGGCATGAGAATCGCTTGTACCCGGGAGGCGGAGGTTGCAGTGAGCCAAGGTGCCATTGCACTCCAGCCTGGGCAACAAGAGCAAAACTCTGTCAAAGAAAAAAAGAAGAAGAAGGAGGAGGAAGAAGAAGAAGAAGAAGAAAGAGAAAGAAGAAGAAGAAGGAGGAGGAGGAGGAGGAGGAGGAGAGGAGGAGAGGAGGAGGAGGGGAAGGAGGAGGAGGAGCAGGAGGAAGGATTTTAAGTTAAGAATTTAAGTTTTCACCATAAGAAGAACAAACTAAACCTAAGGTAAGCTGAGAGAAGAAAATAATGAGGATTAGAGCTGAAATCAATGAAATGGAAAACAGAAAATTGATAGGAAAAATTGATGTTGGCTTTTTGAAAAGATCAACAAAATTGGCAAATCTTTAGCTAGTCTGACTAAATAAAAAAGATACAGATCAAAATCATGAGAAAGAAAATCATTACTGACTTCATAGAAATGAAAAAGGAATATAAAGAAATACCATGAACAACTTCATGCCAACAAATAAGACAACTTAGATGAAATGGACAAATTTCCAGAAAGGCACACATTACTGAAAGGCTCAAAAGAATGATGACAGCTAAACTACACAGCTTTCCAGTCTTGGCAATCTGCCTTTCCAGCCTTTTTTTTTTTTCTTGCCATGTTGTAACATGAAGAGTACATTCTACCCACAAGGAAATTCTTGCTGCTCTCCTAACAATTCTGTGACTTTGCATGCATTTATGCTTTTGTATGCATTATTTTCCTATCTGGAATGCCTTCATCTGGGAGAATTTCCACACATCTTCTGACAAGCCTTTCTCTGATTGCCTTCCTGGCAAACTTAGCTCTTTCCTCCTTTAGGATCTCACTGAATATATTTTTATATATTCACAACCACATAGCATTATGATGACTTGTCTGCATATAAGCTGTATTACTAGACTATGAACTCCTAGAGGTCAGAGATCCTGTCATCTTCATTTTTGTATTCCTAATAGTTTATATATATTAGATGCTCAATAAAGTCTACTGCATGAATTGATTAATTCTTGAGGACTGGACTCTTACCTTTTTATATATTATTTATTTATGCATTTATTTATTTATTTTGGAGACAGGGTCTCACTCTGTTGCTCAGGCTGGAGTGTAGTTCTTTTCATTTTTTAATGCTTCTGCACAACTCTAAATATACTATCAGAAGTTCTCATATATGAATCGAAAGTTTTGCTTAAAGAGCAGCTCACCATAAATGGGCAGGTTGTTTTTCAGATCTTGGTATTCCTCTTCCTCAAGCTCAAAGCCCGTATGTTCTATGAAGGGTTCTAGCTTATCAACACTAAGCTTCACTCCTTAGAAAAAAGAGGACAGGAATGAGAAATGCAAACAATAAGGATAAAGTGAAAAATACTAGGCATGTCCATGAGTTAACAGAGGGTAAACAATCAAAGAAACAATAAAGTTGTTTATATGAAAAGAATTGCTATGTGAATCGGGAGCAGAACGTGCTCTCCCATTTTTGTCTAGAGGATCTGACTATAGCTTTCATGGGACATTTATAAGGAAAAAACTGAAGAACTAGGCAAGTCTGATGAAATGTGGAAAGAAACTGCCTTTATAATTCTATTTGTAAAATAGATTTTAAATGTAGTGATAGAATAAAAAATCCTTTCCCCAAAGGCACTATGTTCAAAGTAGTAAATTATGAGACAAAAACACTTAGTAAACAGGTTAATTGCCAAACTTGTCATCACCCCAAATATATGTGGTTTTAAAAAAGTAAACGCAATCACTTTTACCTGATTTCTCACTTACCTTTGAGAGACCTTGTTCCATTCAGCAACTTACATTTATACAACTTTCCAGCAGCTGTAAGATATTAAAGCACAGTATAGAAACTGATAGAGAGGCCTGATAAAATATTTTAAAAACCAGCAATTTCAGAAGAACAACTCTTATAATTTTACTTAAATCTTTTCGTGTTTGTGTTTATACCTGAAATAAGAATTAGACCAACAGGAGAGCCCTTAAGATAATAAATCTACCTACTTTTTCTTTTTTGACAATCAAAACAATTAGTGGTAGCTTGCCATGCCTTTCTTATATCTCTCTTTGCTTCTGATTTCTCCTTTTCTTCTGAGTTCTCCTTTTCTACTCCTCTGCTTAAGATAATGCATATTGGTGTTTCCAAGTATAATGTGAGATATAGTTAGATTTAGCTCAGGTGATTCTTGAGCAAAAAACCTGATGATTATGACAAGATTTCTTTGAATGTTAGCATTGAGCATTTCCATATATTTTTCACATGACATCAAATGGATGCTTTGCTTTGTGTTTTCATTGACAAGCCCATGACAATAAATTCTTCTTCAAGGTAATCAGTGAGACGTTGTCTGCTGCCGTGACAGCTTTCATATTTACAGAAATTCATCTGTTCCCACATAGGTGGTGAAGTTCCATGGATTTCTGGCTTCCTCTCCACAAATCAACCCTGGAGTAACTGAAGTTTGAGCATTGGATTGTGGGAACCAAGTGAAAAGCCATAACAAAATTCTTGGGAAATGAAAAGCTGTATATGTGTGTGTGTGTGTGTGTGTGTGTGTGTGTTTACAGCCTGGGGTAGAGGGCTAGCAGTGGCAGTTGAAGCACCAATTAGGGAAACTTTTCTTTTTAAAAGATTTTTGCCTTTGCCTTTATGTACCATGAATCTAAGATTATCATTGCCTACTCCTTCACTATAGAAAGCAGCAACAAAAGGCTAGACCAATAGTCAGGTGTCTGGAAGGTAACATCAGGGCAGCACATAAACCCTTCACAAGTGAAGGACTAATGTAAACAAGAGAAGACTGATAAGCTGCCCTCTGGTATTTTATCTTCCTGTAACTTTTATGGTTGGTGGATTGCCTTCTTTCAGTTCTACGTTTCTCTGTGGTTAAAGGTGAAATTGATTGTCACTGTTTGCTGATAATATGATCGTTTATCTTGAGAACCCTAAAGACTCTTCTAGAAAGCTCCTAGAACTGATAAAAGAATTCAGCAAAGTTTCTGGATACGAGATTAATGTACACAAATCAGTAGCTCTTCTATACACCAACAGCAACCAAGCAGAGAATCAAATCAAGAAGTCAACCCCTTTCACAACAGCTGCAAAATAAATAAATAAATAAAATACTTAGGGATATACCTAACCAAGGAGGTGAAAGATCTCTACAAGGAAAATTACAAAATACTGCTGAAAGAAATCATAGATGACACCAACAAATGGAAACACATCCCATGCTCATGGATCAGTAGAATCAATATTGTGAAAATGACCATACTGCCAAAAGCAATATAAAAATTCAATGCAATCCCCATCAAAATACCACCATCATTTGTCACAGAATTAGAAAAAACAATCCTAAAATTCATATGGAACCAAAAAAGAGCCCACATAGCCAAAGCAAGGCTAAGCAAAAATAACAAATCTGGAGCCATCCACACTACCTGATTTCAAACTATACTATAAGTCCATAGTCACCAAAACAGCATGGTACTGGTATAAAAATAGACACATAGACCAATGGAACAGAATAGAGAACCCAGAAATAAACCCAAATACTTACAGCCAACTAATCTTCCACAAAGCAAACAAAAACATAAAGTGGGGAAAAACACTCTTTCTTTCTTTCTTTCTGTCTTTTTTTTTTTTTTTCAAGATTCTATCCAGTTTATTCTCTCTCAATTTTAGAAAAACAGCTTTCACACTTTCCCTCAAATATTGAGCAATATAAAATCATTGTTCAATTTAACTTTAAATTAACTTTAACAATGACAACTTAAGGTACTGTGTTAGATGCAGTAAACCAAATAGAGTCTTAAAATATAAAAATTCTTGACAATCGAGTAGGAATGACACACTTTTTTTTTTTCATTTAACATTTCAACCTAACCATGGCGATGTGGGGGATTTATGTTCTTTCCCTTTTGATTTTGTGTGTGTTCTGCAATTGCTTTAATCGACAGAAAACTACAGAAGTGACTCTGTACCTGTTTCTGTGCCTAGGCCTTATGAAACTGACAGCTTCCACTATCTGTCTCTTGGAACAATTGCTCTTGAAAACCAGCCACTGTGCTATGAGGAAGACGAAGCAATCCCGTGGAGAAGCCCACATAGAGAAGAACTGGAGGTCCCAGACTGAAGTCCTGCTGAGTTCCCAGATGACATTCAGTACCAATTTGCCATTTAAGAGAGTGAGCTATCATGTAAATGACTCCTCTGGATCCAGAAAAGCCTAGTTCTTGACCTACAAAATCATGAGCAAAATAAAATTGCTCTTTTAAGACAACCCACAGAGTGGGAGAAAATCTTCACAATCTACACATCTGATAAAGGGCTAATATCCAGAATCTACAATGAACTCAAACAAATCAGTAAGAAGAAAAGCAATCCCATCAAAAAGTGGGCTAAGGACATGAATAGACAATTCTCAAAAGAAGATACACAGATGGCCAACAAACATATGAAAAATGCTCAACATCACTAATGATTAGGGAAACGCAAATCAAAACCACAATATGATGCCACTTTACTCGTGCAAGAATGGCCATAAGAAAAAAATCCAAAAACAGTAGCTGTTGGCGTGGATGTGGTAAAAAGGGAACACTTCTACACTGCTGGTGGGAATGTAAACTATTACAACCACTATGGAAAATGGTGTGGAGATTGCTTAAAGAACTAAAAGTAGAACTACTATTTGATCTAGCAGTTCCACTACTGGTATCAACCCAGAGGAAAAGAAGTCATTATATGAAAAAGATACCTGTACACACGTTTATGGCAGCACAGCTCGCAATTGCAAAAAAGTGGAACCAACCCCAAATGCCCATCAATCAACAAGTGGTTACAGAAACTGTGGTATATTTATATGATGGAATACTATTCAGCCATAAAAAGGAATATTAACGGCATTTGCAGCAACCTGGATGAGATTGGAGACTATTATTCTAAGCCAAGTACCTCAGGAATGGAAAACCAAACATCGTATGTTCTCACTGATACGTGGGAACTAAGCTATGAGGACACAAAGCCATAAAAATGATACAATGCACTTTAAGGACTGGGGGGAAGGGTGGAAAGGGGATGAGGGATAACAGACTACAAATAGGGTGCAGTGTATACTGCCCAGGTGATGGGTGCACCAAAATCTCACAAATCACCACTAATGATCTTATGCATGTAACCAAATACCACCTGTACCCCAATAACTTATGGGGAAAAAAAGGTGAAATTGACCAGAGGAGAGTGTCAGCTCAAGAAAATGATTAAAAATTCCTGGGTCTCTCTGCCCTGGGACTCATCTTCTTCTTTGATTAAATTGAGTCAAATTAATAAATTTCTTCACATATTGTGAATATCACTGTGTACTCTATACTATCTCAACATGAAATTATACATGGTTCCTCAACCATGCCTTGGTTGAGTATGCCTCTGTGCCTTTGTTATGTTTTTCTTTTTAGTTCTTGCCATTTCCTACTGTTAAACTGTTCAGGCTCATTTGAAATAAAATTCACTCTGTGAAGCCTAGAGTTTCCAGTCATAGCTGGTCAATCTTCCCCTTTTACTTACATGGCAGTATGTATTTATTAATATTATAGCACTTACCATAGTGCATGGAATTTTTTTGGCATGTGCTATCTATCTATATATTGAATTCTTTTAGGACCTGGACATTGTCTTTTTTATTCTTTAAGACTCAGAGCCAAATATAATGTCTAGTACCTAACGGCAGCACATTAACTTTTAGTAAATTGATGAATAAATACCTCATCATAAATCAAATGCTTACCATCAAGTGGCAAACTTTTCATCAACACCAAGTTTTCCTTCAGTTGCAGTCTTAACCCTATGTTTTTCAGAATATTTTCCAGGTCTTCATAGTTAATTTCTTCCCCTTAAAAAAGAAAATAATCAAAAAAGATCACATTTCAATAGTAATTATAAAATCAATTATGTCTGTGTAGCATCATCCTCAAATATAGGATAAAAAGCAACAGAAACATCAGTGTCGTCTAATTACACAGAATGAGAAGGGAGACTTCAGAAATGAAACTTCTTTCTGGTAGAAGAAAGCTCTTCAATGTTGGGAACAAGAAACAAACACAGCACACAGAGTTCGCTAAATGATGTGGTATGAATAATTCTGCCAGCATGTAATATTTGCTCTATTGTTTCATTTGTGTTTGAATCATGAATTTGTTCTTGGTAGCCATATTACCTGTATGTGTAATTTGCATTGCTATTTTGCTATCAAAGAATGAAATTATATTATTGAAAAACTCCAAAGAATATAGGACATGTTATTTAGGCATTACAGTGTGGCCTTTTAAGTAAGATGTAGATAACAACTGATTATATTATAATAATTAATAACATTTAGTTTATAAAGCATGTCTCTTTAATTGTATATAAATTGCCAATAAAAACAGACACAATATCAGGATTAATATGTTATGGACCAGATAACATAAAATACTTTCAAAATAATTTATTTTGTTAAACATTTAGATGATTTTTATTGTCTTATCATCATTTCTTCTGACTCACCTAAAACTTCATCTACTTCATTCAGAAGTAAATCCAGTTTAACTCTTCTCTCATCTATAAGACAAGATATAATTTTGATATGGTTCTGCTATGGACTGACTGAATTATGTCCCCCATATAATGAATGATTCATATAATGAAGCCCTAATCCCCAATGTGACTGTATTTAGAGATAGGGTCTTTAGAAGGTAATTAAGATTAAATAAAGTTGTAAGGGTGAGTCTCTGATCCAATATGACGGTGGCCTTATAAGATGAGGAAGAAAGAGATCTCTTTCACCCTCTCCGTCATGTAAGGACATAGCAAGAAGGCAGCCATTTATAAGCCAGAAAGGGAGCCCTCCCAGAAACCAAATTGGCCAGCCCCTTGATCTTGGACTTCCTATCTCCAGAACTGTGGGAAAATAAATTTCTGTTGCTTAAGCCACTCAGTCTATAGTATTTTGTTATAGAAGCCCAAGCATACTAATATAGGTCCCAATTACATAAAATTCTTAAACTGTGAAGTAAAGTGCTAAGGATTTGGCAGTTGCCTAGAATTTCTTCTAATTGTATATATATTTAGAAAAAAGTGTGTGTGTATATACATATATATAATATATAAGTATATATATACACACTTTTTATGTATAAAAAGAATATATATACATATACTTTTATACATATAAAACTACATATATACACATATATATACTCTGTGTGTGTGTGTGTATATATATATATGTATATGCATATATATATATATATATATATATATATATACACTTCCTTTTTAGAAACAAGGTCTTGCTCTCTTGTCCAGGCTGAAGTACAGTGGCATGATCATGCCTCACTGCAGCCTCAACCTTCAGGGTTCAAGTGATCTTCCCATCTCAGTCTCCTGAGTGACTTGGACTACAGGCATGTACCATCACGCCTGGCTAATGTTTTACAATTTTTTTTTTTTTTTTTTTTTTTACAGATAGGGTCTCCCTATGCTGTCCAGGCTGGTCTTGAACTCCTGGGCTCGAGTGATCCTCCTGCCTTGGCCTCCCAAAGTGCTGAGGTTACAGGTACAAGTCACCCCATTTAGCTCTAATTAGTTTATTTTTACTTTATATAAGTATAAATTGAGAAAGGAAAAATAATCTAAATATGATAAACACATTTATTCTGTTCAATTTGTCCTGTTTTTGTTACTTCCTCACTAGTGTGAAAGAGGAAAAAAAAGAAAAAATATTTTCATTGTTAAATTCATCAAATATTTGATGGTCTAGAAAAAAAAATTCTAAAATTCACATGGAACCAAAAAGAAGTCAAAGCAATCCTAAGCAAAATAAAACAAAAAATCAAGAAACAAAGAAAAACCAAAACTGGAGGCATTGTATTGCCTGACTTCAAAGTATGCTACAAGGCTACAGTAACTAAAACTGCATGGTACTGGTACAAAAACAGACACATAGACCAATGGGACAGAATAGAGAATCCAGAAATAAAGCCACACACCTGCAACCATTTGATCTTCAACAAAATTGACAAAAATAAGCAATGGGAAAAAAAACTTCCTATTCAAAAAATGGTGCTGGGATAACTGGCTATCCATATGCAGAAGAATGAAACAGGACCCCCTACCTATCACCATATATAAAAGTTAACTCAAAAGATGGATGAGAGACTTAAATGTAAGACCTCAAACTATAAAAATCTTACAAGAAAACTTAGGAACACCCTTTCCGATATCGGCATTGGCAGGGAATTTATGGTTAAGTTCTTAAAAGCAATTGCAACAAAAACAAAAATTGACAAATGGGACCTAATTAAACTAAAGAGCACACAGAAGCACCACAAGAGAAACTATCAAGAGAGTAAACAGATAACCTACAGAATGGAAGAAAATATTCACAAACTTTATATCTGACAAAGGTCTAATATCTAGAATCTATTAAGGAAGTTAAAGAGCAAAAAATTATTACTCCACTTAAAAGTGGGCAAAGGACATGAACAGACACTTGTCAAAAGAAGACCTACAAGTGGCCAACAGACATGAAAAAAATGCTCATCATCACTAATCATTAGAGAACTGCTAATCAAAACCATAATAAGATATCATCTCACACCAGTCAGAATGGCTTTTCTTTTTTTTTCTTTTTTTGAGACGGAGTCTCACTCTGTCGCCAAGGCTGGAGTGCAGTGGCGCAATCTGGGCTCACTGCAAGCTTTGCCTCTTGGGTTCACGCCATTCTCCTGCCTCAGCCTCCTGAGTAGCTGGGGACTACAGGCGCCTGCCACCACGCCCAGCTAATTTTTTGTATTTGTAGTAGAGACGGGGTTTCACTATGTTAGCCAGGATGGTCTCGATCTCCTGACCTCGTGATCTGCCCGCCTCAGCCTCCCAAAGTGCTGGGATTACAGGCATGAGCCACCACGCCCGGCCCAGAATGGCTTTTCTTAAAAAGACAAAATATAACAGATGGTGGGAGAAAAGGGAACACTTACATGCTGCTGCTACTGCTGGTGAGAATGTAAATTAGTTCAGCCACTGTGGAGAGCAGTTAAGAGATTTCTCAGAGAACTGAGAGTTGAACTACCATCTGACCCAGCAATCCCACTACTGGGCATATACCCAAAGGAAAATAAGTCATTCTACCAAAATGACACATGCAATTGTATGTTCATTGCAGCACTATTCACAACAGCAAAGACATGGAATCAACCTAGATGCCCATCAGTCGTGGACTTGATAAAGAAAATATGGTACATATACACAATGGAATACTATGCAGCCATGTAAAAGAACAAAATCACAGCCTTTGCAGCAACACAGGTGCAGCTGGAAAGCATTATCCTAAGCAAACTAATACAGAAACAGAAAACCAAATACCATATGTTCTCACTTATAAGCGGAAGCTAAACCTTGGGTACTCGTGATCATAAAAATGGTAACAATAGATACTGAGGAATACAAGAGCGGGGAGGGTGGAAGTAGGGTAAGGATTGAAAAAAACCCTACCTATTGGGTACTATGATCACCACCTGGGGGACAGATTCATTCATACTCCAAACCTCAGTATCATATAATATACCTGTGTAATAAGCCTGCACATGTACCCCCTGATTCTAAAATGAAAGTTGGGGAAAAAAAGAGAAATCCAACAGGTAATATTTTGTAAGCACTGTAAAATGACAGTAAAAATGTCAGCGAAAGTGAAATCAACAAGGAATATCTAGCCACATACAAATTTTACTTAAAATCAATTTGAATAACAGTTCAAATTAAGAATATTTTACAAAAATCAGTGAAGTACTTAAGAGAAAGCCTTGTGATTGGAGTCAAAGGATTTGAATTTATCGAACCGCTACCAATACTAACCTAAGGTTATAGAAAAACATCATATCTGGCCTTGTCCACTACTATTCACTAAAGTAAAATATTTGAACATATTCAAAAATATGTTCAAAACATAAAAATGTTTTTAAATATTAATAAAATAATTACATTCTAAAAAAATATATTTGTTGGGTGCATACTACATGCCAGGCTCTGTTTCAGTACTGGGGATACAATAGCAAACAACAGGAAGTCTCTGCTTCTGTGACAGCAATCACTAATGTCAAAGCAACCACTGCGTTATGAACTATTTCAGATCCAACAATAGAGCAGTACATTAAAACATTGACACTTACTTGCTCCTACTTATTTCAAATATTTTAAATGGCTCTCTAGCTGTTTTTTATATCTCTTTGGTTTATTGCTGTACTTTTGTTTCTTTGGTTGTATTTTTGAAACCCAGCCTTCATAGAACAGAGGCAAACTCTAGTAATATTTATTTCAAAACATCAGCTGGTCTCTCTGGAAATTTAGAGTGGGGCCATATCCCCATTTTAACAGGAGCTTTACACACTCTTGGTTGGCTCATGTGTTACACAGTTTTATGAAAAAAGGATTAGAGGTTGGGCAAGAAATAGAAGACCATGTTTTTGGCAAGCAGAAAGTCTTATGGTTTCAAGCATGATCAGATCATGTTAGATAAGCTTTGGTAAATCAGTACTTCTGGGATGCTTGTCAAACTATTACATTATCGCAAGATGCTAAAGATGTTAAGATGCTCAAGATGCTAAGAGTTAAACAGAGCGCTTTGACGAGATCGTGTTGCTAAAGATCATGCAAAAAGGTAATAATACCAAATAAATATATCAACATATATTTTCTTTTATTGTAAAGGCTATTTCAACAAAATTAACTGTAGTGGGATTGCTTATATAAAATGAAGATTCATGGGCTCCATCCTAGACCTACTTGATCACAATCTCAAGGGAGCGGGTGATTTCTATGCAATCTAAAGTTTAAGACCTATGAATTTATTAAATGTGATTGTTAGAAATGTTTTGTACATTTTACAATAGTACACATAACTTTTAACAATTTCCACCACTTTCTTTTCTCTCTCTTTTTTCTGTTTATTTCTCTCTGAATTATTTCATAATTTTCTCCACCTTCTCCTCAAATATTCTTTTTCTGTTTACTTATATACTTGATCCCAACACTGGCCATGATCTTATTTTGGTGTTTTTTGGTATAGAAACTCTGGTAGCAGCAATATAAGGAAATATATATATATATATATATATACACACACACACACACACACACACACACACACACAATTGTGTGTATATATATAAATATTTATATTTATATTTGAGAGAGGGTCTCACTCTGTCTCAAAGAGTCATCCAGGCTGGAGCGCAGTGGCACCATCATGGCTCACTGCAGCCTTGACCTCCCCAGGCTCAGGTGATCCTCCCACCTCAGCTCCCCTAGTACCTGAGACTACAGGCATTCACCACCACACCTGGCTATTATTATTATTATTTTTTTGTAGTATATTTTTTGGTAGAGATGGTGTTTCGCCATGTTGCCCAGGCTGGTCTTGAGCTCCTGGGCTTAAGAAATCCGCCCACCTCCGCCTCCCAAAGTGCTGGGATAACAGGTGTGAGGCACTGTACTGGGCCCAATTATTGATATTTTATCTCAGGTTAATAATAAGGGACACTATTTCTTCACTCTTTAGGATTGGGTCTCTATATGCTCTATATGCTTCTGACTTTTTGCATGAAATTAATAAATATACTTGAGATGTTCTCATAGAAAAACAAAATTTTTCTTACAGGGCCCTGTATTTTTGAAATGCTCACCATCAATTGGTAAGTGTTCACACAGAATCTTGCTGTGTTGCCCAGGCTGGTCTCGAACTCCTGGTCTCAAGCAGTCCTTCTGCCTTGGCCTCCCAAAGTGCTGGTATTACAGGCATGAGCCACTGCACCTGGCTTGTAGTGTTGTTTTTATTTGATTTTTATTGCTCCCTCTTGATACTAAAAAAAAAGTTCTGTTGCAGAAGATATTGGTTATGAGAGTAAAGGAAAATAAAGCCTGGTCACCTGAGACTTAAAAGACTCTGTACAGAGTTTCTGTTTTCAAGAATTTCAGTGTTGGCTGGGCGCGGTGGCTCACGCCTGTAATCCCAGCACTTTGGGAGGCTGAGGCGGGCGGATCACGAAGTCAGGAGATCGAGACCATCTTGGCTAACAACGGTGAAACCCTGTCTCTACTAAAAATACAAAAACAAAATTAGCCAGGCGTGGTGGCGGGCGCCTGTATTCCCAGCTACTTGGGAGGCTGAGGCAGGAGAATGACAAGAACCCGGGAGGCAGAGCTTGCGGTGAGCCGAGATCGGGCCACTGCACTCCAGCCTGGGTGACAGAGTGAGACTGTGTCTCAAAAAAAAAAAAAAAAGGAGTTTCAGTGTTAACCCTGCTATCCTTTTAGAATATGAAATTGATCATGTACTACTCTTACAACAATATTTTGATAATTAAATGTTTTCCTGTGTCTGTGGGCTTATAAGCAGGTTACAACTACTTAAAAATCCTGTTCCAACAATGTGAAATCTGAGGTTTTTTTACATCCAAATTTTTTGTTTAAGTCATAGACAAAACATATGTGAACAGACTGGTTACGCAAGTAGAACGTAGTAAATTTTTATATGGGAACAGTTGCATCCTCACTACTAGTACAAAAAATAAAAATTTAAGCAATTTATAATAGTCTTCATATTAACGAAATGTGGATGTTTTTAAATGATGTCCAGTGATAAGGTTTTATGAGAGTAGTATACTTACACATTACTGGCAATAGTGTAAATTGCTAAACTTTAGATGGCAGCATGACTATATAGCTAATGAATACTTCCATAGTTTTTGACTTGTAACTCAATTTTTATGAATTTGTCCTTAAAATGTCAGTCATTTATATACATGAAATATGTAAAAATGAAAAGACTTATGGTGTGAGGGTAGTAGAATTATAGATAATACTTAGGGTTTTTTTTTTCCTCAGTGTTGTTACTTGCTTTTAAATAAAAGGGGAGAAGATATCTACAAGGAGTTATAATCTTAGGAAATGGGTTTCGGAGCAGGAATTTTAACAGTAATCAGATCCATGTAACTTAAATGTGTGAGTTTCAGTAATTACTGAAATGTAGCTAGTGAACTTGTTGGACATTTTGGTTTAGAAATAAATCTCAGAAGTTAGATTAAAATGGCAAGTTTTGTTTCTTTTTTTAGTGATCTCTTTTTATCTTTTAAAATAATAGGTTATCAAGAACAGCAAGACAGACATCCCAGAGCTGGAATTATTTCCCCGCTATCTTCTCTTCCTGAGACAGCAGCCTGCCACTCGGACACAGCAGTCTAACATCTGGTTGAATATGGGTATGATGAGCCTGAGAATGTTTCCTCAGCATTTACCGAGAGGTAACTTAAGAATGCAGCAAGAATACCATGCATTTCCTTAAAAAAAAAAAAAAAGGTGAAAACTACGTTGCTCGAAGTCTGGTGCCACTGTATTGATACACATTCCCATCAGCTTTCCTACAGACTCAGTAATTAATTTTTACAGGGCTTAGATCTGTGGTCATGCACAAGACTAGATGAGGGGTTGAAGCAAACATTCCAACAGCAAACTGAGATGGGATGTTTCCTTTTCTACTTACAAAGAAAATAAATAGAAATAGATTTTACATGCTTTATTTCTTTGAGACAAGCCATTGTAAATTGTTACTAGACTAAGTAGTAGTATACCAGTCATTGACTGGTCTTTTCAACTCCACTCAAATTTGTAAAAAGCAATTCCTTTTATACTATCATCTTTTTTGTTTTTTAAGGTTTTTGTTGTTGTTTGGTTTTTTGGCAAAACATGATACATTTCTCATGCTTGATCTAAAGAGGCTTTATATAAGAGACAGAGAGTACAGAGCAAAAGGCATATTTTTGAAGATTAAAGTGATATATTTGCTTTGAAAAAACATCAAGCCAATCAAAATGACATATAAAGTAGTTCCCATTTTAATGTATAACATGCAAAAAGTTCCCCTTTCATTTCTCCATAAGGTTAAACTTTATTGATGGGCAAGACTTGCTCTATGCTTTTGCTTTGCAAATGTTTGAAATTATTCTTCAGCAGTAAATAAATAATAAGCTGAGCACAGTGGCTCATGCCTGTAATCCCACAATTTGGGAGGCTGAGGTGGGCAGATTACTTGAGGTCAGGAGTTCAAGACCAGCCTGGCCAACATGAACCCTGTCTCTACTGAAAATACAAAAATTAGCTGGGCGTGGTGGTACTGTAATTTCAGCTACTTGGGAGGCTGGGGCAAGAGAATCGCTTGAACCCAGGAGGTGGAGGTTGCAGTGAGCCAAGATCACACCGTTGCACTCCAGCCTGGGTGACGGAGTGAGACTCTGTCTCAAAAAATAATATTAATAATCATGAGCAACCATTTACACAAATTCTCAGACTATGTTAACAATACCAGCATGTTATTATAATTTAAATAACTTAGTATGCAAGAACTACCTCTAAACCCTGACCAAAAGAAGTACTTGCTCTCCTTTGAAATTGAACAAAGTTAGTTTTGTATCTTCATTAAAGGTTATATTCATATAATATATGAAGATTCTTTTATTTTTTATTTTTTATTTTTTTCGAGATGGAGTCTTGCTCTGTCGCCTAGGCTGGAGTGGAGTGGCACGATCTCGGCTCACTGCAAGCTCCGCCTCCCGGGTTCACACCATTCTCCTGCCTCAGCCTCCCAAGTAGCTGGGACTACAAGCGCCCACCACCACACCTGGCTCATTTTTTGCATTTTTAATAGAGATGGGGTTTCACCGTGTTAGCCAGGATGGTCTCGATCTCCTGACCTCGTGATCCATCCACCTCGGCCTGTTTGGTAAGAATTCTTTCAATAGTGTTTCGTAATAATTATAGCAAAGCATTGGCCCCTGTCTACCAAACTTTGTCTTTGGGGAAAACAGCAAAACCAAAGAACAGTGAGGCTGGGCATGGTGGCTGATGCCTGTAATCCCAACAGTTTGGGAGACTGGGGAGGAAGATCATTTGAAGCCAGGAGTTTGAGACCAGCCTGGGCAACATAGTAAGATCCTGTCTCTACAAAAAATTGTTTAAATTAGCTGGGCAAAGTGGTGTGCCCTGTAGTCTCAGCTACTCAAGAGGCTGAGGTGGGAAGATCTCTTAAGCCCAGGAGTTCAAGGCTGTGGTGAGCTATGATTGTGCCACCATACTCCAGCCTGGGTAACAGAGCAAGAGCTTGTCTCTTAAAAAAAAATAAAAAGTGAAGGAAACCATTTTTTAAAAAAGGAACAGTGAGATAGAACCTTTATGAAACATTCTTGATTTAATTTTCCATTAGAAGGATTAGCCTTGCTTCCATGGCACCCATTACAACTTTTTCAATTCTCTTTGAAAGATAACATGAGGCCAGGTGCAGTGACTCATGCCTGTAATCCCAGCACTTTGGGAGGCCGAGGCTGCTGAATCACCAGAGGTCAGGAGTTCGAGACCAACCTGGTCAACATGGCGAAACCCCATCTTTATTAAAAATACAAAAATTAGCCATGTGTGGTGGCAGGTGTCTGTAATCCCAGCTACTCGGGAGGGTGAGGCATGAGAACTGCTTGAACTCAGGAGGCAGAGGTTGCAGTGAGCCGAGATTGCGCCATGCACTCTAGCCTGGGCAACAGAGCGAGACTCTGTCTCAAAAAAATATATAAAAGAAAGATAACATGAGAGGCAAGATGTGTTGTTGCACTTTTAGTAGGTATTCTTTGTAACTCTTGTGCTGATCCTAGATTTTTGCTGCTTCTATAAATTCCACTAGATTTGTTGGTGCTATTCAAAAGCACAAGAGTATGTATAGTAAGTGGCTACCTGCTTAATGAGCTATGCTATAAAAACTTTCTGAAACTCAAATTTTCATATTGTGGCTTAGGACAATAGAGATTGACTTGAATACTATACTTATATGCTTCTGAATCCTAGAACTGCATATTTCAGATGCTCCAAATTTGGTTTTAATTTGAAATTTTATTCCTTGCTAATTAGTTGTGAAATCAATCATTAATCATTTTAAAATTTATAAAAATATGCTTTCTTGCTGTAATCTTACAACTAATCCTAAAATGTATAATTGGAGAAATTTGCTCTTTTGTTTTCTTTTAGAGATTATCCTTTGCTTGCTGATTGTAAAAGATTTGCTTGCTATGTGTTTAAAAACTGATCACGGGTTGGGTTTTGTTCTGCCATAACATGATGTTCATCTTTCTCAAATACTCAATTTATTACAGCTGTTTACTAGGCTCTTTTATTCCTTTTGAAGTGACAAGTATTCAAACCTTCTTACAGTTACAATTACTTAAATGTAGGCTTTTCTACAGACAAGGCTATAGAAGTCATTGTTTTTTAGGTGATTTTTAGCCTGCCTTAGGTGAGGGAATTCCTTTTCTGAAGTTCTAAAAAAGTAGATGATGCACATATTTTCTCAGCTTTATTTAGTGGGGAAGACTCATTAAAAGCATGTTTCAGGAAGAAAGAAGCTAACTCATGATTGAATGGGTAGAAAATTATTTGGAATGTACATTATATTGATAAGTTTATATTTTTAAGTTGGGTTGCTCAATAAAATACAGCCTCAGCAGAGAAGACTATTTTAAGCCACAGTTTTGTCTAGATTTTTGGCGGAATAGTTAACCAGGGTTTAATGATGTTTTTTTTTTTTTGCCACCTCTCTTTGATTTCCATAATCTCTTGTCATTTCATACCCCTCCTCTTTTGAAGTATGTAGTGAGACTTGATATATTCTTCCTTCACTCTTTACTCTTTTCCCCTGTATTACCACTCTTCTTGTTTCTACCTTTAGCCCTTCAGGAATTCAAGGTCATGTCTGTCGTCAACTTACTGGGTGGACAGGCTAATACGATTTTTTTTTTTTCCTTATTGGGCACTTGTTTATTTGGCCATGGGAAACTTCTTGGCTTCAATTTGAAACTCTGTTTTGACCAGATGTGGTAGCTCACACACTTGTAATCTCAGTTTGTAATCCCAGAACTTTGGGGGGCCAAGGTGGGAGGATTCCCTGAGCCCTGGAGTTCAAAACCAGCCTGGGCAACATAGAGAGACCCTGTCTCTACTTGGGAAGCTAAAGTGCGAGGATCACTTGAATGAGGGAGGTTGAGGCTGCAGTGAGCCATGATTGCCGCACCGCACTACAGCCTGAGCAACAGAATGAGACCTTATCTCAAATAATGATAATAAAAAACTCTGTTTGGCTATGTAGAGTCTATACCTATTTAGAATTTTATGTCAAATTCTCTTTTTTTTTAATTGATATGTAATAGATATACATATGTTTTCTGGTGCAGTTGTACCACTGTGTCAGATAATTGAGCTACTTAATGACTGAAAGTGATGGGATTAGTGATTCAAAGAAAGTTTAGGAAAGTGGACCAGGTGAATCCAATTATCTATCTGTGGGATTCAAATCCCATCTCATTTTATCTCCTCCACTGAGTTTTGTTTTTTTTTTTTAACTCTGTCTTAATTTTTTTTCCACTGAGTTTTATTTCATTTTGCTATTGACTGTGACTCAGCTGAGTGCAGCCAGATATCAATGCCAATTGTTTTCTGGCATGTTCCTACTCTTCTTGGTATCCAAATATTGCCAATAATTTGGACCTTGGGCCTTGGGCCTTTGCTCATCTTTTCAAAGTTGAGGCTTTGGACTCACTTTAAAACACCTGGAAGGCTGGGCTTGGTGGCTCACACCTGTAATCCCAGCACTTTGGGAAGCCGAGGCAGGTGGATCGCTTGAGCCCGGGAGTTAGAGACCAGCCAGGGCAACATGGCCAAGACCCTGTCTCTACCCAAAAATGTACAAAAATTAGCCAGATGTGGTGGCGTGCGCCTGTAGTACCAGCTACTCAGGAGGCTGAGGTGGGAGGATTGCTTGAGCCCTGGAGGTGGAGGCTGCAGTGAGCCAAAATCACAGCACCGCACTCTAGCCTGGCAACATAACAAGACTCCATGTATTAAAAACAAACAAACCAACAAAAAGAACTTGGGTCTCCTGCCTGCATTTTAAAGCTTTTTGGTACTCTTCATTTATAAAATTATTACACCTGTAATTCTCATTTCTCATTATTATTTCCTAAAATAGTATGGTCCCCATTGCTGAGAGGGGTGCTTCTTTTTCACATCTGCCTTTTTTCCTACTGTGATTACTGTAACCATAGGAAATGTACCTTCTCCGAATGCACCTTTAAAGCGGGTATTAGCCTATACAGGCTGTTTTAGTCGAATGCAGACCATCAAGGAAATTCACGAATATCTATCTCAAAGGCTGCGCATTAAAGAGGAAGATATGCGCCTGTGGCTATACAACAGTGAGGTAAGAGGCATCTCAGAGTCATGGAGAGTCTGATTGTTGGTATTTGTTTAATTTTAAATAGTAAAAGAAATTTGCTAAACTTCTTTGTATTGTTCCAATTTTAGTACATATGTTGCCAAAGAGCACAAGGCTAATTAAGTGTTAAATCATATTTCATGAGTATGGGATTTTACCTATAGTAATTATGCTAAAAGCCATGTCTAGGATATCAGTGAAAAGTTCATCTTTTAAGTTACTATATGTATACTTGTAATATTTGTCTCTGAGATCCATAATAGCAATTGATCACCATGGACAGTACTATCTTTCAAAGATTATTGTTACATATAAAGATTACAGTTACAAAGATTATATGTTACATTATAAACTAATGGTGTGGCCGAGCACAGTGGCTCACGCCTGTAATCCCATCACTTTGGGAGGCTGAGGTGGCTGGAGCACCAGAGGTCAGGAGTTTGAGACCAGCCTGGCCAACGTGGTGAAACCCTGTCTCTACTAAAAATACAAAAATTAGCTGGGTGTGGCGGTGTGAGCCTGTAGTCCCAGCTACTCAGAAGGCTGAGGCAGGAGAATTGCTTGAACCCAGAGGCGGAGGTTGCAGTGAGCCGAGATAGTGCCACTATACTCCAGCCTGGGCAACAGAGCCAGACTCCATCTTTAAAAAAAAAAAAAAAAATTTATTCATGTAACCAAACACCACCTGTTCCCCAAAAACCTATTGAAATTTTAAAAAAGAGAAAGATAACGCTTATGAAGCACACATTGTCTTTCTCTCATACTGCCACCTAAGTTATAAATATTTATGAACAACTATAGTAGGCCAGATATTTGTGATATGTTATATAACTACAAAGAAGTTTTTTTTTAATTGTTACTCATTTTTATCTCTGTATTTGTTTCAAGTTTACTAACCAAATAACAAAAACATTTCCTCCTCCTTACACAGAACTACCTTACTCTTCTGGATGATGAGGATCATAAATTGGAATATTTGAAAATCCAGGATGAACAACACCTGGTAATTGAAGGTACAAGATGGAAGCATGCATCTATATTAAATTTTCAAGGGGAAGAATTTAAAGAGTTACTAATAACCCATTTTATAATTTTCTCCAAAACAACTATTATTTGATTATTATGTTTTTATGATAAAGAAACCCTTTGGAAAAAAAAGAAAAAGAAAACCCTTTGAACTCTTATGTAATCCTACCATACAATTTAGATTGCTTTAAAGGGAAAATATTCTGTTTTTAGTCATTGACTGACAAAGGATGGGAATGGTAGATAAAAAACAAGTGAATTCAGTTTACACATTTATAGTTCCTTAAAATTTTCAAGTTGCTGCTTTGAGTTTGAGTAAAAAGAACAACTTTCTTGCATAGTTAGTAGCACAGGCTTTCATTAGTCACCAACATTGGCTACTCACTGACAGAGCTACCTGTATATTCATAGATTTACACACTGGCATGCACATTCCATTAAAAACTTTTTAAGTGTATCTTTTCCCATCAAGTTTTGTGGCAACGTTGTTAGCTGCCTTTGTATTAAAATGAATAGGCCGGGCGCAGTGGCTCACGCCTGTAATCCCAGCACTTTGGGAGGCTGAGATGGGTGGATCACTTGAGGTCAGGAGTTCCAGACCAGCCTGGCCAACATGGTGAAATCTGTCTCTGCTAAAAATACAAAAATTAGCTGGGTGTGGTGGCACGTGCCTGTAGTCCCAGCTACTCAGGAAGCTGAGGCACCAGAATCAGTCAAGCCCAGGAGGCGGAGGTTGCAGCGACTCAAGATCACATCACTGCACTCCAACCTGGGGGACAAAGCCAGACTGTCTCAAAAAAAAAAAAAAAAGGAATAAATTACTCTGACAGTTGTTACAATTTAAGAAAGAATTGTAATTTCTAATGTTTTAAGTATAAGAAATTCCATTGTTTCTGAACTTTAATTACTTCTGTAGATGGTTGAGTATAATTTTACTTCAAGTAGGTAATTGAGGGATAAGATTATTCAAACCAAGTGACTTTAAAGTCCTCAATATGAAGAGTAGGAATGGTTTTAGAGCCAATTACAGGCATGTGCTGCAAAAAGATGTTTGTCAACAAAAGACCTGTATACAGCAGTGGTCCCATAAGATTATAATACTGTATTTTTAGTTGTGCCTTTTCTATGTTCTGACATGTTTAGATACACAAATACTTACCATTGTGTTACACTTGCCTACAGTATTCAATACAGTAACATACTGTACAGGTTTGTAGCCAAGGAGAGACAGCCTATACCATACATAGCCTAGGTTTGTGTAGGTACACTCTGTGATGTTCACACAAAGACAAAATCACCTAATGATGCATTTCTCAGAATATAACCTCGTCGTTAAGCGGTGCATATACTAAAATTAACTAGATTTTAAAACTTCTGATTTAGGAATAAGATGTCTTTAAAAAAAAAAAAAGCAATCGAATGGGTGTAAATTAGATAGATAAGAAATTAACACATTCGTATCTGTCCTTCCAGTTCGCAACAAAGATATGAGTTGGCCTGAGGAGATGTCTTTTATATCAAATAGTAGTAAAATAGATAGACACAAGGGTAAGTCTGCAGTATTATTTTTTAAAGAGATTATTTTAAATGTATTCTTTTTTTTTTCTTCTCTCAACTATTAAAGTGCTAACAACTTTTGGTTTTCTAGTTCAAAAGTAATTAGGGCCTTCTTCTTTTTCTTTTTTCCTGAAGCAGCATTTGATGTTGGCAAACCCACCATCAAATTATTTTCTAAATTTCTTTCTAACTCTGCAATTAAATAATTTATATGTTTTAAAAGACATACTAGAAGAAGAATTGTTTGAATTATTTTGAAAAATCATAGCAATTAAAAAGAATAATTGCTGCTTCTGGGTTACAAATGAGCATGGATCATCACTGTTGCCAGACACTCCATGAAAAGCCTTCTCTAGCATTTCAAAGACCTGCTAGAGAATTATTAGCACCATTTAGCTGATTATGAGAGTTATAAAAAACCTTTTCATTGAATATAAGTAACTGTTTGTGCCATGGCATATTACTACAGCTAAGCTTTGGTTCTCATACCAGTTCTCACAGAAAAGGGAGCCACAGGTCTAAGCAACCTGGGAAACACATGCTTCATGAACTCAAGCATCCAGTGTGTTAGTAACACACAGCCACTGACACAGTATTTTATCTCAGGGAGACATCTTTATGAACTCAACAGGTAATCTTTCTGGAGTCAGTGGCCTCTTAACCTGTGACTTTGATATAAACCCAATATCACCTAAATTTCCTCTTTTTTTACCCTGTGGGAGAAAGATTTTATCTTATTTGCCCTATTTAATATGAAATAGGCCAAGGAATACATCTCTTGTTTCAAAAAGAAAAGATATTTTGATGTGAGATGCTAGGCATTTTTGCACCCACATGATTGTGATTTATGAGAATCTTTGGCAACAAATTTTCCTCTCAGACTTCTAGGACAAATCCCATTGGTATGAAGGGGCATATGGCTAAATGCTATGGTGATTTAGTGCAGGAACTTTGGAGTGGAACTCAGAAGAATGTTGCCCCATTAAAGCTTCGGGTAAGCAGGTTAAAATAATATAAAAGTATTTAATTCCTAATAGTTGTTTAATCATTTTTCTCTACTTGTTTTTTGTGTTTAGCCTTTTAGCTTAATAAATGTTTTTGGATCCTTCACTTGGTATAAACAAAAGGTCAAATTCTTTTGCTTGTTTAAATATATGCAAAATACTACTGTATATGTAGTGGGTAGGATAAAGACCAAAGGTACACTCTAAAAGACCAAAGGTACACTCGGGATGTCATTCATTTTACTAATTTGTCAAACATCTTATATGAAGAGTAAACCTTTTTTGGTAATACTCCACTATTAGCAGTATTCTAACTGCAAGGTGGACCTCAGAGTCTTATTAATTACATCCAATCCAATCCATTTTCAACATAACTAAGATAGTTCTATCTGTAGAATACAAAGAAGTAGGCTGGGCGCAGGGGCTCACGCCTGTAATCTCAGCACTTTGGGAGGCTGAGGTGGGTGGATCACTTGAGGCCAGGAGTTCAAGACCAGCCTGGACAACATGGCGAAACCCTGTCTCTACTAAAAAAAATTAGCCGGGCATAGTGGTGCATGCTTGTAATCCCAGCTACTTGGGAGGCTGAGGCATGAGAAATGCTTGAACCTGGGAGGTGGTGTTTGCAATGAGCCAAGATCGCACCACTGTACTCCAGCCTGGGCAACAGAGTGAGACTCTGTCTCCAAAAAGAAAAAAAAAAGTAGAAGGATGAATGAATGAAACTAATGAATATAAGTTTTATATTAATATTAGATGTAGTAGATTTTAGTGAAGTTAGGATTATTCATTATTTTTATTTAAATACAAAGCAAAAGCTTTTTATATTACAAATTATTAACTATAACAGCTACACATTTGACTACTTACCTCTTGCCAGGCACTATTCTAATTAATTTATATCCTCAAAATAATTCTATAATATAATGCAGTTAATAAAAGTTAGGATGCAACAAGACCAGAAAATGTAATTGTTGAAGACAACATTATATTATATAAAATACTATATACACATATTATTTTATACATGTTATGTATTATTATATACACATTATTTTATGCATATGTTATGTATATACTATGTACCTATAAAATATACATATTTTATATGCATATAAAAATGTAAAACGTTATAGAACAGGATGTCTTTCAATGTGAGCAAATGCTGTTTTAATATTTCTGTCTTAAATAACATCTGTGTGCCTGAAGAACAGTTTGCTTACATGATACTGAACTGAGGACACAGTATTGCACAGTATTGGCCAAAATACTTCTCTTTTTTGGAGGGGGCGGTCATTTGACATTAAGATTCAAAAGATTTCATGATTATCCAAAATATATTTGTTGAAATAGAGGCAGACTAAGTACTATACTATTTATTTTCTTACAATGGCTCTGATTGGATTATAGGACATGTTCATTCCAAATTTTATGGGTAGGAAATAATGACTGTGACTTCTCTTATATTTATAGTGGACCATAGCAAAATATGCTCCCAGGTTTAACGGGTTTCAGCAACAAGACGCCCAAGAACTTCTGGCTTTTCTCTTGGATGGTCTTCATGAAGATCTTAATCGAGTCCATGAAAAGCCATATGTGGAACTGAAGGACAGTGATGGGCGACCAGACTGGGAAGTAGCTGCAGAGGTTTGTCAGTTTTGAGTTTCTAATGTAAGCAATAGACAAAATGTTCTGGCCACAAATACATGTAGCACAACTTAAATGCAAACTCAACTATTCTGAGATCAGAACTTTACTGCAAAAATGAATGAATTTCTATTTCTGTGCTTAATTCTTATGCAGTAATGCCAAAACAAAAATACGTTTAATGAAAATAGAAAACTGTTGCCATTTCATATTGTAAACTTTATGGGACTGGATGTAGGAATAATTATCCAGTGGAATTTAAAGAGTCCCCATAATTGCTAAAGTAATGGATACAGTGACCTATAGGCATGCTTTATACTTGTTAATGGACAAATAACTTTAATATTTACCATTGTTACCTTAATAAGAACAAATGAAAAATAGGATTTTCCATCTCAATTTAATATTTTATGTTAAATGAAGAGTAAGGATTATATTCTTTACATTTAAATCCAATATATTTAACTAGTTTCTTTGAATTTATATAGAAATGCCTCTCTTTTGGATTTTGAGAGAAAATTCTCATCTTTTTTATTGCTAGGCCTGAGACAACCATCTAAGAAGAAATAGATCAATTGTTGTGGATTTGTTCCATGGGCAGCTAAGATCTCAAGTAAAATGCAAGACATGTGGGCATATAAGTGTCCGATTTGACCCTTTCAATTTTTTGTCTTTGCCACTACCAATGGACAGTTATATGCACTTAGAAATAACAGGTAGGTCAGAAAGTTCTGAAAAATTACTTGACTCCATTAAATTTACTTTATTTAAATAGCCTGAGTTTGTAAGCGTAGTTATTTGCTTACAAATAAAGACCGGTAGTCAGCATATTATAATCGAGCAACCTAATTTTAGGCATGACTTGAGGTTTGAAAGATGTAGATTGGGGCATGTTTTTTTGGTTTCAAATATGCCAGCAACTCTCTTTAAAATCCTGCAAAGCCACTGATACTTTTATGTCAGATGAACACCAAAAAAATACTGATTTCACTTAATATTATCCCTAAGTACCATCTGTTTTAGTGTTTACACATAAAATAAAAATTCTAGGCTGAAATATTTGCTATTATATTTACAGGTCAGATATATCTGTACACAGCATTTAAGACTTTCAATGAAACCTGCATTTTACCGATAAAAGATCTTTTCTCTTTACTAGTGATTAAGTTAGATGGTACTACCCCTGTACGGTATGGACTAAGACTGAATATGGATGAAAAGTACACAGGTTTAAAAAAACAGCTGAGTGATCTCTGTGGACTTAATTCAGAACAAATCCTTCTAGCAGAAGTACATGGTTCCAACATAAAGGTAATATTAACTACTCTAAGAAACTTTTGATTCTATCCTTCAAAGATGACATTTTTCTCAATTATTATGATCAATTGTTAGGTTCTGTGACCAAGAGAGATACTAAAACATAACGAAAACTGAACAACAACAACAACAAAAAACGCCAAGTTTTCCAACCCAGAAACCTAAGAGTTTTCTACCAGAATAAAGGGATAATACTGATGGTGGTATTTTTGAAGAAGGGAAATATGTAAGGCTGCCTATATGGAGTGTTCTAGCTGTGTCACTATAGTATAGGTTTCCACCAAAGACTGCTGCTGTTACCAAAGACTGCTGCTATTAACCCTTGACAACTCTTCTGTATTACCGCTGTTACTAGAATTCTTCCTAGGTTAAAGTATTTTATGTATTTATGAATGTGTGTTTTTAGTATTTATGAATATATATACTTGGTCTTTTAACACACTAAGAAATTAAGAGTAAAGACAAATTGACACCAATCATGTCTTTCTACATACCAGCTGGGGAAACAAATAATCTAATAAATATATTGCCTACTCTAAATTAAGCTCCTGCAACTGGTATTATTTATATTCATCTTTGGGATTTCTGAACACACTCTCACCTCATTGACAGTTTCTTAATATGAAATGCAAAAATGGAGTCTCTGAGGGTTGGAATTTAGATCCCTGAAACGGACAAAACTGAAGTCAGTCATATATAACACACTTCTTCCTGTGAAAAGAGATAATAGTTCGAAAATTGAGGTTAGTTTTCTGTTATTTTTATCAAGCATTCATCCTTTATGTAGTTGAAAAATTATTCAATCATCTCGTTGGTTTTAAGAATGAAAGCGCCTAAGACATTCTTTTGAAATATGTTAGAGAGAGAACTTTTCCATTTTATCTGAAACATCTCCCCCTTCTCATCTTGCTTCTGTTTCTGTAGAACTTTCCTCAGGACAACCAAAAAGTACGACTCTCAGTGAGTGGATTTTTGTGTGCATTTGAAATTCCTGTCCCTGCGTCTCCAATTTCAGCTTCTAGTCCAACACAGACAGGTAAGATAGAACTAGAACTCCTTCTCATGATTGCTCCTTTAAATATTTGTCTAAGAGTTGTCATCTTTTTTATATTTGTTCATGCTGAGGATATTATAGCGGAAGAATTTTGGAACCCAAGGGAAACCTTACTGATTATTCCATATTTTTTCGACGAGAAACCTAAAATTTAGAGAACCCAAGTGACTTCAGTTAGATAGGTAGTCGTTAGCTAATATACCCTTGGAATTCAGATCTCTTTGAACTTGTATCTAATACTAACATGGCAACAGCTAGTATGAGAGGAACATACTACCAGAAAATATAAACAATAGATATAGCTAGAAAGAAATCCAATATTATATGTAATTTAATGTGGTCACTCACTGAGTCCTTTTAGCCACTAGTATGCTTTGTCTATTCTTTATATTACTTACAATTAGGTTAATTAGGCTAATTCCCCAACTATAAAGGGCTTTATGAGGCTCCCCTCATTGATGTGTAGTAGGTAGATAGTCCTGACGGTGAGTTGGTGGATGTTCTAATTTTAGTTTTAGTTTAGAGCATCACTGTCCAATAGAATTCTGCAGTGGTGGAAACTTCTGTGATCTTTGCCATCCAATACAGTATCCACCAGTCACGTGGACTGTTAAGCGCTCGAGATGTGGTTAGTGTGAGTGAGAATAATGCATTTTTAATTTTTATTTAATTTAATTTATTTATTTTGAGAAACGGTCTCACTCTGTCACCCAGCCTGGAGTGCAGTGGCATCATCTTGGCTCACTGCAGCCTCTGCCTTATGGGCTGAAGCAATCCTCCCACCTCAGCTTCCCAAGTAGCTGGGACTACAAACGTGTACCACCATGCCCAGCTATGGTGTATCTTTTGTAGAGATGGGTTTTCACCATGTTGCCTAGGCTGGTCACTAGCTCCTGGGTTCAAGGGATCTGCTACCTCAGCCTCCCAAAGTGCTAGGATTACAAATGTGAGCTGCCTCATCCAGCCTAATTTAAATTTTAAATGCAACATCTGGGTAGAGGTTACTGTATTAAACAGTGTCTTCAAAGGCGAAGAGAAGGAAAAGAAAACAAGTGGTAGAACTGTTTGTGTGCTACAACATGGTGCCGATACAGGTTTCTGCAAAAATTCTGCTTAATAGTTTCCAGCAGTTACTCTTTCCTTTTCATTTGGTCAAAAGTGTGAGTTAGGGAAGTAAAACTGGAAAATTAAAATCTTCCAATAAATCTATAATTATTTATACTGTGATTTCTCCCTGCCCTGTGTTAAGAGACTACACTGTCTCTGGTCCTCAGGATACTTGAGAAAAGAGCAAAGATGAAAATACCACAAGCTTATGATGCTGTACTTATCTTTGAATTTGTAGATTGCTCCTCTTCACCATCTACAAATGGAATGTTCATCCTTACTACCAATGGGGACCTACCCCGACCAATATTCATCCCCAATGGAATGCCAAACACTGTTGTGCCATGTGGAACTGAGAAGAACTTCACAAATGGAATGGTTAATGGTCACATGCCATCTCTTCCTGACAGCCCCTTTACAGGTTACATCATTGCAGTCCACCGAAAAATGGTTAGTTAAATGTTAGGCAACTCACTGCCAGTCTTGCTAGTGTCATTTGTGAAATAGTCATTTGCTGTCTTTGCAACATCATTGAATGCATTTTCTTCTCTTCTTTTCTTTAATTTTTTAAAATTTAATAATTTTACAAATTTTATTTTTTTACTTTTTTACCCTGTCCTCAAAATCTGTTGCTGTGAATGCATTTTCAATGTATTATATATGCTAATATAAGTGATCAGAGCCAGGATTTAGTATTACTCATGGTGGCTAATGTATGAAATGACATTCCTTATCCGTATATTAAGAGGCAACAGGATAGACAGTGCATCTGAGTACTACTTTCTTTAAAAATTTGTGTCTCCTGGCCGGGTGCAGTGGCTCACACCTGTAATCCCAACACTTTGGGAGGCTGAAGCAGGAGGATCACCTTAGCTCAGGAGTTCAAGGCTAGCCTGGGCAACATAGTGAGACCTCGTCTATTCCAAAAAAAAAAAAAGACTTTTTTTTTTTTTTAACTAAGCAGCCATGATGGTGTGTGCCTATAGTCTCAACTACTCTGGAGGCTGAGGCAGGAGGATCACTTGAGACTAGGAGGTCAAAGCTGCAGTGAGCCATGCTTGCTTGCTCCATGCATTCCAGCCTGGGCAAGACCCTGTCTCAAAAAGAAAAGAAAAAGAAAAAAAAGAAAGAAAATGGTCAGGTGCGGTGGCTCACACCTGTACTCCCAGCACTTTGGGAGGCTGAAGCAGGGGGATCACCTGAAGTCAGGAGTTTGAGAACAGCCTGGCCAACGTGATGAAACCCCATCTCTACTAAAAATAAAAAAATTAGCTGGGCATGGTGGCATGCACCTGCAGTTTCAGCTACTTGAGATGCTGAGGCAGGAGAATTGCTTGAACCCAGGAGGCAGAGGTTGCAGTGAGTGAAGATTGCGCCACAGCACTCCAGCCTGGGTGATAAAGTGAGACTTTGTCTCAAAAAAAAAAAAAAAAAAGTATCTCCTAAGCCAGGCATGTTTAGGAAGATCCCTTGAGGACAGGATTTTGAAGCTATAATATGCTATGATGCTCACACCTGTAAATAACCACTCCACTCCAACCTGGGCAATAAGTGAGACCTTGTCTCTAAAAAAATTAGAAAAAAACAAAAACCAACACACACAAAATTTATGTTTCCTGTGTGTTTGTGTAGGTATGTATATCTTCACTGCCACATAAATGCGGATGGCTTCGGAAAAGTTTTTTGTTTTGGGGTTGGTTTTTTTGTTTTGTTTTGTTTTTTTTCTTAGAGGATACAAGAATGTTCTTGAGGAAAATCAAGTTGTGCGTAATTCCTCTCTTGATAGTCTAATATATAACTATTGCATTAAAGGTTGACTCTTTGGTAAAAAAGAAAAAGGAAGGTTTGAAAACTGTGGTCAGTGGATAATTGTTAAAGAGGTAGTCTTCGGGTATAGTGGCAACTTGGTAGAGTAGAAAGGGCACTGAACTAGGAATTTAGCAACCTATGTTTTAGTTCTAATTCTGCCACTAGATAGCTGATTGAGCTCTTTGGACTTTAGTGTCCTAATTTTATAAAGTAAAGGAAAGGCCGGGCACAGTGGCTCACGCCTGTAATCCCAGCACTTTGGGAGGCCGAGGCGGGTGGATCATGAGGTCAGAAGTTCGAGACCAGCCTGGCCAAGATGGTGAAACCCCGTCTCTATTAAAAATACAACAATCAGCCAGGCATGGTGGCACACGCCGGTAGTCCTAGCTACTCAGGAGGCTGAGGCAGGAGAATCACTTGAACCTGGGAGGCGGAGGTTGCCATGAGGCAAGATCGTGCCATTGCACTCCAGCCTGGGCGACGAGCAAAACTCCGTCTTAAATAAATAAATAAATAAAATAAAGGAAAGCAGGGCTTCTAGATCAAGTAAATTGATTGTATAGCAGCAACAAGAGAAAATGAAATTGTAAAAAAGGTACTGTATTGGTTTCCTAGGACTGTTATAACAAATTACCATAAATTTGGTGGCTTTAAACAACAGAAATATATTCTTTTTTTTTTTTTTTTTTTTTTTGACGGTCTCGGTCTGTCGCCCAGGCTGGAGTGCAGTGGCGCGATCTCCACTCACTGCAGCCTCCGCCTCCTGGGTTCAAGCAATTCTCCTGCCTCAGCCTCCCAAGTAGCTGATACTACAGGTGCACGCCGCCATGCCTGGCTAATTTTTGTATTTTTAGTAGAGATGGGGTTTCACCATGTTGGCCAGGATGGTCTTGATCTGACCTCGTGATCTGCCTGCCTCGGCCTCCCAAAGTGCTGGGTTTACAGGTATGAGCCACTGCACCCGGCCCAGAAATTTATTCTTTCACCTTCTGGAGGCCAGAAGTCTGAAACTAAGGTTTCTGTAGGGTGGGGGCTTCCTCCAAAGGTTCTAGGAGAGAATGCTTTCTTGTCTCTTCTAACCTCTGGTGGCTCCAGGCATTCTTTGGCTTGTGACTGCATAACTGCAATCCCTGCCTCTTCATATAGCCTTCTCTTTCTCTCTGTCTTTCTCTGATAAGGATACTTATTGAATTTAGGGCCCACCCAGATAATCCAGGATGATCTCATCTTGACATCCTCAACTTAATTACATCTACAAACATCCTTTTACCAAATTAGGTCACATTTACTGGTTCCAGGGGTTAGAACATGGATATATGGATATACTGTTTTAGAGGCCACCATTCAACTCAACTACAGATATTATTTATCTTAGTATCAAAAAAATTAAATGCTGAGAAAAAATTAAGTACCTAGGAATAAACTTTAAAAATGACACATAAGACATCTATATAGAAAATAAAATATTGATAGAAATTAAAGAAGACTTAAATATTGGAAGGAATAAACCATGTTCATGGATTAGAAGACTCAATATTTTAAGATATCGGTTCTCTACAAACTAATTTACAGATGACTTAATGCACAATCCCAATAAAAATGCAAAGTCTGCATGTGTGTGTGTGTGTGTGTGTGTGTGTGTGTGTGTGTGTGTGTTTGTGTGTGGTGTGTGATTTGATAAGCTGATTCTCATATGTGGAAATACAAAGCACCAGGAATAACCAAGATACTCTTGAAGAAGAATAAGATATGAGGATATCATCAAGATTGGATATCATCCAGATATCAAGATTTATTTCACAAAGATATGATATTTAAAATAATGTCATATTGGTACAAGAAAAGACAAGTAGACCATTGGGATAGAAGAGAGAGCCCAGAAACCAGTTCACAAATGTATGAACACCTGATTTATAACAAAGATAACATTGCAGAGAGGTGAGAGAAAGATAGTTTTCTCAGCAAGTGGTGCTGGGACAATTAGATATCCATATGAAACTTGGCACCTACCTTTCACCACAATTCCAGGTGTTCTATAGAGCTAAATTTGAAAGCAAAACAATGAAACAGCCCTTGGAAGATAATACTGGTAAATACATTCCTGAGGCTACTCATATAAAAGAAAAGATTAAATTGGACTTCATTAAAATTGATAACTTGGCTGGGTGCGGTGGCTCACGCCTATAATCCCAGCACTTTGAGAGGCCGAGACGGATGGATCACAAGGTCAGGAGTTCAAGACCAGCCTGGCCAATATGGTGAAACTCCGTCTCTACTAAAAATACAAAAATTAACTGGGCGTGATGGTGGGCACATGTAGTCCCAGCTACTCGGGAGGCTGAGGCAGGAGAATCACTTGAATCCCAGAGGCAGAGGTTGCAGTGGGCCGAGATTATGCCATTGCATTTCCAGCCTGGGCAACAGAGCGAGACTCCGTCTCAAAAAAAAAAAAAAGTGATTAACGACACTAGTAATCAGTGAAATGTAAATTAAAACAATATTAGGATATCAGTGCACTCACCTGAACAGGTAAAATTAAACAGACTGACAGGGTTGCTAAGTAGAGCAACAGGAACTCTCATACCATGCTGATGAGAAAATAAATTAATACAACTACTTTGGAATACAATTTTCTAGTTAAGGATAAGCAGTTCTACCTGTAGGTATCCACCCAAGAGATATGTGTACTAGGAGATATGTACAAGAATATTTGTAGCACCATTATCTATAGTAGCCCCAAAATGAAAACATTACATGTCCATTAGTTGTAGAAGGGATTGGGAAGTTGAGATATATTAAGATAATGGAACATTATACAGGAATGAAAATGAATGGATTTGTAGTTATATCGAGTATAAATGAATCTCGTAAACCTAATGTTGATGGAAAGAAGCCAGACACAAAAGAATTAGGCTAGGCACGGTGGCTCACACCTGTAATCTCAGCATTTTGGGAGGCTGAGGTGGGCCGATTGCTTGAGCCCAGCAGTTTAAGACCAGCCTGGGCAACATGGTGAAACCCCATCTCTACAGAAAATACAGAAATTAGCCAGCGTGGTGCCACACACCTGTAGTCCCAGCTACTCGGGAGGCTGAGGCAAGAGAATCTCTCAAGCCCAGAAGGTGGAGGTTGCAGTGAGCTGAGATCACACCACTACGCTCCAGCCTGGATGACAGAGCTAGACCCTGTTTCAAAAAACAAAAAACAAACAAAAATGAATTAAGTAATTCTATTTATAAATATAAAAACTTTTAAAACAGGGAAAATGAAATCTAGTGTTTATTTACTTGTGCATAGGATATAAAACTGTAAAGAAAAGCAAGAAAGTGATTACTGTAACATTTAGAATAATAGTTACCTTTGTGAAGAAGGGAGAATTTGTGATTTGGAGGAAGCAAATGGGAGGCTTTTGAGTGCTCGCTATATTCTGTTTCTTAAACTCAGTGATAATGGAAAGCTAGTTGCTTTGTGATAATTATTTGAAATGTACTTTTTTTTTTTTTGCAATGGAGTTTCACTCTTGTTGCCCAGGCTGGAGTGCAGTGGTTTACAGGTGTGAGCCACCACACCTGGTGGGCAGGCCAAGATTTCTATGTTAACTTTGTCTATCACTAAGCTCAAAAAAAAAAAGAGAATTCAGGGCAGGGAAGGTGGGAAGCCCTGGGGGAAGGGGCGGCTGGGAGGAGGCCTCAGCCCCAGGGGAGCTGCAACATAGACTGAGACCCTCACATGTTTGGCTCTGTGTCCCCACCCAAAACTCATCTGGGATTGTAATCCTCCTGTGTCAAGGGAGGAATCTGGTGGGAGGGGATTGGATTTGGGGACAGTTTCCCCCGTGCTGCTCCCCGGATAGTGAGGTAGTTCTCAGGAGAGCTGATAGTTTCAAAGTGTGGCACTTACTGGTTCTCCACTCACTCCCTCCTGCCGTCTTGTGAAGAAGGTGCCTGCTTCCCCTTCCCCTTCTGCCATGATTGTAAGTTTCCAGAACTGCAAGTCAATTAAGCCTGTTTCCTTTATAAATTACCCAATCTCAGGTATTTCTTTACATCAGTGTGAAAACAAATGAATACAGTCCCCTTCCCTGAGGTGCCTTCCCCTTAGGCAACCAGCTGCCCCCATGCTCCTCTTCTGCCCCCTGGTATTTCCTTTCCCCTCATGAGGCCCAAGTGATCCACATGGCCAGCACCAGCCCCATCCTACTGCAGGCCTGTGTGGCTGCTGGAGAGGCCAGGCTCCTTTCCGCACCCCGAGGCTGCCCGATATGCTTTCTGGATCCTGTAGAAAACTGACCCACTATTCTCATACCGGTGCAACTTCTTCTAATACCTCAAAAATGGACAATGTGAACTTATCTTGTTTCTTGTCTCTTCTTGCTAGGGCTGTCATTGGGACAGTCCGAGATGGGGGAGTGGGGGGAGACAATGGATGAATGGATGGATGAATGGACAGTAGTCCAGGGAGATGTCCCTGTGTGTCCTGAACTGGGCCCTTCCTCCAATGAGAAGCCTTCCTGAGTGAGTTTCTACAGTCATCCCTTGGTATCCATGGATTAGTTCTAGGGTCCCCGGGGATGCCAAAATCCATGGATCCTCAAGTCTCTGACATAACATGGCCTAGTATTTACATATCAGCTATGCACATCCTCCTGTAGACATTAGACCATCTCTAGATTATTCAGGATGTGTAATACAATGCAGATGCTACATAAATGGTCGTGATACTGTATTCTTTAGGGAATAATGACAAGAGCAATTCAATAGAAACATAACCGTCCAATTTATTTTCTGAATATTTTCCATCTGCTGTTGCTGAATCCACAGATGCAGAGCTCCTGGATATGAGAGCCAAGTGTGCTTTGAGAGTAGGGTGGGTGAGGTTGCTAATGAGTACAGGGGAGCAGGTGTTGATCAGGAGGACCCTGCACTGGGGCATCTGGACGTACTGCCTCAGGACTTGAGACTCCAGTTGGATGGCACAGGCAGACTCGGCACAGGCAGACTCAGCCCAGGTCAAAGCCGTCCCCTTGAAGTTTCATTTTATCCCAAGCTCTTTCTGGACCCTGGAATTTGGCATCCCCTAGGCCCTGCGTGGAAGGACAGATGAACCAGGTTTTAGATAACATGTCTAGAAGAGTGAGCCCCTACTGTGTGCCCGGCACTTTCCTCACAAGATCCTCTAGCTAGAATATCCAAGGGTCATGGAGAGAAATACCCAGTTAAAATATCAGAAATGAAAAAGCGATACCATTAGAGACACTAAAAAGACCATTAGGTAATAGTATTAGCTTTTGTATTCTGAGATCCAGCAGCAGCAGTCACTTCCCTCCACCCCTATGTGTATCCCAGGACCACCCTGGGCAGGGAGGGCTGAGGTTAGGGAGCAGCCATGGATGCTCTGATGCTGGCCCTGGGCCTCGGGGGTGACAGTGATGAGGAACTGGGTGCACACATGAGTGGGGCAGCCGGGCCTGGCCAGAGAAGCAACACACACGTGCACAGATGTGTTTACCCACATACACATGTGCACGCACATGCACAAACACATTGCAGGCAGGCATGTTGACGCCTCAGGCAGCGGAGGACCCTGACTCTGGGCACTGCTGACCCGGGCAAGGCCCCATTGTGATGCGTGCCATGACCTCAGAATGTCACTGGTGCTTAGCACCTATCCGCTCTCTGGCCTGCCTCAGTGTTCTACAGCAGTTACACACAGGCAGTGGTATCTGTGAGCAGCTCTGTGGACTCAAAGGTTTTCTCCCTGAGAGGCATGACCCAGGCCAGCTGATTCATCAGAATCAGGTGAGCGTGACCTGCTCTCTTCCCTCCAGGCGGACCTGGGGACAGTGGCCACGGTGCGGGCGGTGTTGGCCTCTGTGGGGCAGCTACTGAGGAGGGTCATCCCTGAGCACTCACCAGGCGCCCGTTCTACACTGCCCGTGTAGACGATTGGCTCTTTCGTCTCCATGGTGGCTTCGTAGAGTGGGTGCTGTTCCCAAATGTCCCCATTCGACAGATGAGACATCTGGGGTCAGAGAGGCAGTAACCGGCCTGGGAATCCGGACATGACCCTGAGTTTTGCTCTCAGCCCTGCTGTGTGCTGTGCTGGAATTCAGGCCTGAACCCTGTGACCTCCCTGCCCTAGATCCCAAATCTGCCCAGGTTTCCGATCCCGATGGGGCAGAGCCTGGTCCTGGCAGAGCCACTGGTATAGATCCACTGGTATAGATCCACTGACGGTCCTCAGAACACCTCTGTGCCCTAAGCTGGGTCCCGATGGTCGCTGTGGGCCCCACTGAACACACATGGTCCCTTGTCCGGGGGAGCCTGCTGCCCTTGGGCAGCCGTGGAAAATGAAGGAGCCCTGGAGGGCTGGCTGAGGGGAGACTATCTTCCCTTCTGTTCAAAGGGGTCCGGGCACTAGGGTTCTCCCCAGGCATTTCTTGCTCTGTGTGGTCCTCTTGAGGCCTCGCCCTCCTTTTGCCTCGAGTATTCCCAGGAGGGACAGTCCATCCAGGTGTTCTCCAGGACCAAGGACCCACTGTTCTTCCTCAGTGACCCAAGAAAATGAAGCCTCCTCCTGTTGGGACGGCTCAGAATGGTGGACTCCACAGTCCCTCCGCGAGAGACATGGTTTCCATGCGTACAATAGATCTTTCTCATCCCCCAAACCGAACACCCTCCTGCTCAACAGGCGTTATTCCTAAAGTGGCTTCACTGTTCAGACTGAAGAGCCACGGTAGCCAAAGTGATCAGCGGAGTAGAACCGAGCAGTCAGGAGAGATCTTGTTCCCTGTAGGAAACTGGGCATCTCTGAGGCCCTGAGCATCCCAGGAGGCCGATTGTACAGAGACCTCTGGTCGCTGACCCCAGTCTGCCTCCACATCCCTGGAATAGCCCATCATGGGCCCTTCACCCTTGGCAGGTGGAAACCATTCAACCTGCTGGGGCCGGTGTGTCCCCATTTCATGGCACTGGGGGACAACAGGATTCTCTGTCTAGGTCCCACTGTACTCAAGTCCTTGGGAAGATGCCCACCCCTGCTTGGGACTTGAGACTCCAGAGACTCGAGCAGCTGTGGGCCACTGGGTCTGGCCCCTTTTTCCCTGGGGGCGGCGGTGGAATGGGGGTTACGCAGCCAGCCAGCATCTGGGAGCCCGGCGAGAGCGGTTCAGGTGTTCTCCAAAGCCGCCGCGTACAGTGTAACCTTTAGACAATTTTGTCTCATAGGATGGACGTGGTAGAGGTCGCGGGTAGTTGGTGGGCACAAGAGCGAGAGGACATCATTATGAAATACGAAAAGGTACAAGTCGGTCTGCTTCTTGGAGGGAGGCCTCTTCCAGTGTGCCCTGGTCAAAGGGTCCTGGGCTCGCTAGGAGCACAGGGCAGGGACGGGTGACCAATGCCCCCAGGCCCTTGCACCCTTTACCTTGGACCCCTCACCAAGGCTCCCTCTGGGCTACAGGGACACCGAGCTGGGCTGCCAGAGGACAAGGGGCCTAAGCCTTTTGGAAGCTACAACAACAACATCGATCACTTTGGGATGCAGCAGTGAGTCCTCTGCACTCCCCTCACCCCTAAAGCACCTGTCTCAGCTCAGGGATGGGTTTGCTTTTAGAAAGGCCTTTCTGATGCAGGACATGTCTCACCAGGTCGGGTCAACCTCCTTTCCAGGGACAGAACTCCTCCCTGACTCCCCTGCAGGTCCAGCCCGAGGTTGTTGTTAGGCCAGAGGTGTGGGGCCCATCTAGGGAGCCGGTGGGAATGGAGACTGGGCTAGGTCAGGCCCCTGGGCGCTCAGCAGTTCTGTCGGCAAGTGAGCACAAGAGGAGCGGGGCAGCCTGAGGGTCTGGCCCTGTCTACTTGGAGACAACCCCGGTGAGATCCAAGGGTTATGGCCACAGGGTGAGGGGACGCCTGGCCCAGCCTCAGGGCTGTTGTCCAGCAGGTCTCTGAGGGCCCACCTGCCCCTGTTCTCCCCCATGCCCCTAGAGCTACAGCCCTCACTGTCCCGTGAGGGGAAAAGGCATGGTGACAATGGGGGCTGTAGCCCTAGGAGAACGGGGGGAAGATGGGCAGGGCCCCGCTCTGGGCATCTCACGGTGAGGCCGGGGAGGCAGCAGGGCTCGCGGCTAAAGACCTGGGTCTGGTGCTGGGAAGGGATCTGGGGCCTGGTAAGAGGAGCCCAGCCAGGAGCCCATCCCTCAGGGATCACAGGATGGAGAGACAGAGGATCCCGGGGGAGGTAGGGTGGGAGGGAGCTGATGAGCCGTGCCACTTCTGAAACGCAGGGTGTGTGGCTCGGGAGCAGGGAGAGGCAGGTGGATGCTGGGAGGTCAGAACCTGCAAGGGCCTTGGGGCTGTCAAGTGGGATGGGCCCCTGGTGCACCCAGAGTACACGGGGCAGGTCTCAGGGCAGGCTCCCTTGACCCTGGCGGGGTGATGTGGTCACTCCCTGAGGGACTCCTGTCAGGGCCCGGTCACCCACCCTGGGCGGCCCCCATCCCATCTCAGGGCTAACCTTTCTCAGCTCCAGCAGAAAGCACCACCTCGAGTCCAGGACGGGCAGCCCCACTGGGCAGCCTGACCGCCCCCCACGCCAGGGGCCCCAGTAACCCCGGCCAGGCTGTCCCTACACTCCTTCTTCGCCCAGGTCCTGCCCCTCCTGGGAGTCAGCCCCACAGGAAGGCCCTTGTCCTCCCTTCCCTGTGCCTTCTCCTGGGCTGAGCCCTGAGCTGGAAAGGGACAGAGCCAGTCCTTTCTGGGGGTCGGCACCCAGGCTGGGGCCGCTCCAGGCCCCGTGCAGTTCCTCAGCTCTGCCTGGGTTGCCTTACAGTGAGACGGAGCTGCCTCCTCTGACTGCGCGGGAGGTGAAGGTAAGAGCCTGATGCATGGAGGGGCTGGTCCAGGGACGTAGGGACTGGGCGGGTGGTCAGTGAGGCAGAGGAAGCAGCTGGCCTGAGCGGTGGCGGGAGAGGGCAACGCGCTGTCACTGGGAGGGGCAGCAGTCCCTGCTGGACCTGACCCCAGGTTGCTGTTAACTTTGGCAGTTTGATAAAATTCCAAAAGGAGAACCACAGTCCTGGCTTGGGGGTGGCTGCGCGCTTGTGTCAGGACCCCACCTAGAGGCTGGGACCTAAGACTGGTGTGGCTGTGGCCTGAGGATGGTACATCCCGGGGTCCCAAAGCCAGCCCACTGGTGCTCATTTGCTCAAAGGCTCTCAGCCCTTGAGGTCTGCCCTTCCCTGGCTCCTTCCAGCTGGCTCCCACCAGGGCTCCAGAGCCCAAGACCCAGCATCCGCGGGCGGCTCTGGGAAGCCTGGCAGCTCTGCTAACTCCAACATGCCTCATTTGACAGCAAATTCGGCGGGAGATCAGCCGAAAGAGCAAGTGGGTGAAAATGCTGGGAGAATGGGACACCTACAAAAACAGCAGAAAGGTAATGTGTGGAGGGAGGAAGCACTCTCTGCAGAGACAGGGGACAGGCACCCATGGCTGTGGCCTGGCGCCGTCAGCCTCTCAGAGGGTGGGTGGCACGCTGTCCTCGCCCAGAGGACTGCAGGCCTGGTCGCCAGATTTCCTGCCTACTCGTGCAAGCGTCACCTTGCTGGGAGGGAATCTGAATCTAGGGCTGGGACTACCCGGAGCTCAAGGCTAGGGATGCCCTGGTGACCTGAAGGAAGGAAAAGGTTCAGATCAGAGTTTCGACTCTGAGTGTCCATCCACTCTTTCAGTCCTGGGAAGGGAGACCCTGTCCCAGCTTGATCTCACCTCTACTGAGGAATCACGGGGCCAAAACCAACAATTTCCAGAATCCCCGGGCTCTGGTCCTCACTGGGGTCACCCCGTGGCCTGCGACACCAGATTGTTTTCTGCCCACAGCTCATAGATCGAGCGTACCAGGGAATTCCCATGAACATCCGGGGCCCGATGTGGTCAGTCCTCCTGAACATTGAGGAAATCAAGTTGAAAAACCCCGGAAGATACCAGGTACACTCAGCCAGAGCACAACCAACAGGACAGGCCGTGTCAGGGGCCCAGGTCTCCAGCTGGAGGGAACGTCAAGACCACCCTGGGGAGCTGGGGGTGAAGGTCAGTTGAACACCCTGGGCACAGATGGTGACACAGTCACCACAGACAAACTCAGCTCTGGTGACCCTCCCTGGCTTCAGTAACAAGCCAAAATGCAGCTTTCTGCAGAAGGAAACCTTCCTTCTGTCCTTCCTTCCCGAAGTGCTGACTGTGGGCTGACTGCCACTGGGGGCAGGGAGTCTTCCATCTGTTCTGAGACTGCTTCCTCCTCTTGGCCCTGCCCTACAGATCATGAAGGAGAAGGGCAAGAGGTCATCTGAACACATCCAGCAGATGGACCTGGACGTAAGCGGGACATTAAGGAGGCATATATTCTTCAGGGATCGATACGGAACCAAGTAAGCCTACGGGAGCCACAGGGTCCCAGCAGAGATGGGGTGAATGAGAGGGATGGGGGCTTCCCCGGAACAGAAGCCAGGGTCACCCAGGAGGGATGACACAGCTGCCAAGAGCTCTCCTGGCCCAGGGAGCAGCCGGCACCATGAACCGAGCACCTCCCTGGTTCCAAACCCTGGGCCAGACTGGAACATGTGGGGCCAGAACCCAGGAGGATCCTGAGGAGATGGAAGGCAGCAAACAAAATCATGCACAATGGTGAAAGGTGCTCTCCCTGACCCATGGGGACCCATGGTAGGAGCCACGGGAGAGTGGCAGGATAGAGGGCCCATGAGCCCCCCCAGGCAACAGTGACAGCACCAAATGCTGGGAGAATTAGGGGTCCTGGAAACTCTCATCCAGGTCTGCTGGGAACATGACATGGCACAGCCACGTTGGCAGCCAGTTGGGCAGTGGCTCACAAAGCTCGATGGACTTGAACCACGCATCCCCAAAGTGTCACAGAGATTGAACCCACTGATTTGGAAACTGACATCCACATGAAACCTGCATGCCAGGTTCACTGCTTGACTCCTCGTCACTCACACACGGAGCCTTCGGGGACGGCCTTCAACACGGGAATGGGTAGAGCAAGGCTGGTCCTCCCTTCAAACGGAAGACCCAGTGAGAAAAGGGAACGAGCCAGTGATGCCCGCACGAACGTGGGTGGATCCTAGATGCATTTTGCTGAGGGACAGAAGCCAGACCCAATAAGCTACCACAGTAGGATTCCCATTCCTAGGCCATTCTGGAAAAGGCCAAACCACAGGGACTGGGAAGCAGTCTGGGTGGCCAGGGGCTGACGGATCGGGGAGAGGCTGGGTGCATAGGGGCCACCCTGGAGACTTGGAGGATGAAGGAGTCGCCCCAGGAGGGGCTGGAGCGGTGGCCGGGAGACTCTGCACATTGGTTTGGAACCGTGGAGGAACTGTACACCCACAGACCGAATTGGTGTGTGTGCAAACTGAAAAAAAAAAAAAATCATTCAGAGTGAAAAGGATCAGGCAAGTCACTGTACAACTGGGCTATTTGCATGTCACAGATGTGGATTTTACTGAAACATTTCTTCAAGAGTCTCAGGCCCTGAAGAGCTCACTGCTTATCTGGTGAATCATCTGAACCTGAAATGGGATTTGCTGTTAGGCTTTGTAGACAAAGTGAAATTAACAACATCTGCACAAAACAAACCAAAGCCCCCTTTCTCTGTTTCCTAGGCAGCGGGAACTACTTTACATCCTCCTGGCGTATGAGGAGTATAACCCGGTGAGTATTCCCGGCAGTGAGGTTCCCGGGCCATATTTCCATATTCACAGGAGTGGGTGTCTGGTGGGGGTGTCGTTGCTTCTTTTAAAATTAGTATTTGTGACCCACCAGGATATAGGAGGTAGGATGTGAGCTCACCGCTGGCATAAACCTCCAAGGAAGGGGGTGGTCTCAAGGGGTCAAGCTGATACACAAAGGAGTCAGGGCCTGGACTCCTGGTGTCACCTGGGCCTGACCACCACTTCTCAGAACAAGAAATGACGCCCTCCTCCTGGGGCTGCCCCAAAGCCCAGGAGCTTGGCAGCATCGCACACAGGATGGTGCTATCAGCAGACATTTTGGACAAGGTGCTGAAGTGCCTGATGGACTTGGCTCTTGTCATGAAATGAATGTGCATCCTGAGGAAGCCTCTTTTTCAGAGGAAGCCTCTCCTTCAGAGGAAGCCTCTCCAGTCACCTCTGCCCTCTCCAATGACATGAGTCCTCCCAGGTGACCTCAGCCCTCCCAGCTGATGTCCTTCCATGGTGACTCTGGCTCTTGCAGGAGGTGGGCTACTGCAGGGACCTGAGCCACATCGCCGCCTTGTTCCTCCTTTATCTTCCTGAGGAGGATGCATTCTGGGCACTGGTGCAGCTGCTGGCCAGTGAGAGGCACTCCCTGCAGGGTAAGTGAACAGCTGCCCCGGGGACCTCCTGCAGCCAGACCTGGGGATGGCCACCCTGGCCAGGTGATCACAGCTTTTAGCCAAGGCACCCTCCTTGTGTCGCCAGCTTGTTGGGAGACTTTAGGATGTCTCTGCTGAGGGTCCCACAGGAGTCCACGGCTGACCCCCAAAGCCCAAATCAGACGCCTCTCATCCCCATCAGCAGAGGGCATCTCATCCTCCCCGTGGCCACCCTCTGTGTCCTGGAGCCACGCCCTCCGGCTCTGATTCTGTGCAGCTGACTCTCCCCTCCCTGAGAGTCCTCCTGCCCTCCAGCTGCCCGGGCTCCTGCCGCCATCGGTGCCCACGAATGGGCCGACCAAGCCCAGGTGGCAGCATCTCCCCATCCCCTGTTCCCTGGCCCGACCCCACTACCAGGAGATGACCAGGAAGCCCAGCACCCACCCAGTTCCGGCTGCCCTGTGGTGGCCTGAAAGTCAGGCTTGCCCTTTTTGCACCCTGGCCCAGGAGGCCTCCAGGGGAACCTCCAGCCAGGCTCCAGGGAATGTTCCCGCCCCACCTCCCCAGGGTAAAGGCCGCATGTTGGGGTCACCAGATGGGAGGGTGGGAGGCCTTGGGGTTTGGGGGCCTCTCCAGCTGCCCAGCTCTTGCAGCTGATGGCTCCACATCTTGAGGGAAGGCTCTGATTTCACGATGGGCTGGGGGCTTCTCAGGATTTCACAGCCCAAATGGCGGGACCGTCCAGGGGCTCCAAGACCAACAGGAGCATGTGGTAGCCACGTCACTACCCAAGACCATGTGGCATTAGGTGAGTTTATGGTCCCCTCAGCTCTTCCCAGAGGCCCTGCCTCCCGTGGGGCTGTAGGAGCAGGGGGGCTGGAGCCCCTCGTGGGGCTGGTGACTGGCTGAGTCCCAGCCAGGGCCTGACCTGGGACGTCGGGTTCTCCATGGGCTGGGAGTTGGTTTCCTTTCCTGCCCTGGAGGAGACAGAGGCACAGGGATGGGGGCCCAGCTCCCGCAGAGCAGCGCAAAGGGCAGCGTGTCCACCGGGAGTGTGGGAAGGTGACAGTGTTGTGGGGAGCTCTGGACACCGCCCAGTGTTCTGCATTAGGGGAAGGGTCTTCAGAGGCCCTGGAAGAGGGAGGTTTTTAGGGCAGCCCAGTGGCCTGAGCACCTCTGTTGCTTCCATCAGGACAAGAAAGATCTATGTGGGCAGTGTTCGTCCTTAGGCTGCCTCATCCGGATATTGATTGATGGGGTAAGGAGGCATAGGGAGACCCTGGCTCAGGGACCCTCCTTGCCCTGCAGTGCCCTGCTTCCCCAGCCCGGGGGTCTGGCTCACTCCCAGCCCACAGGAGGCTCAGGCGGGTCCCCAAAGGACACACAAGCAAAACCCTCTGCCCAAGAGGGGTCATCCCAGGGCAATGGCTGGGGCTCAGGCCCAGCCTCATGGGCAGACTGGGCCAGGACCCGACTTGAGAGGGCTCAGGGAAGCCTCAAGCCCTGGGCAAGCCCCTCTCTCCAGGAGCCACATCCCCACTCAAATGAGTGCCCCCCATGAGGAGCTTCAAGACCTTGTCTGACCCAGCGTCCTGGAGGGCTCAGGCGACCCTCATGGGGAAGGTCACTGACTCTGGAGACTGAAGCCCCAGTGTGCGCAGCTCGAGCCACCAGCCCCAGCCTGGAAGGACCAGGTTCTTTCACACCTGCTGTCCCCACAGATCTCTCTCGGGCTCACCCTGCGCCTCTGGGACGTGTATCTGGTAGAAGGCGAACAGGCGTTCATGCCGATAACAAAATCGCCTTTAAGGTTCAGCAGAGTAAGTCTACGTGTGCCCAGCGGGGCCTGGGGAGCCCTGGGGTCAGACCCCGACTGGCCCGAGGGCAGCTTCCTCACACTGTCCTCATGATCCTCTGTTCTGGCCCAGAGGGAGGTCTGGCCAGGTGGGCTGGGCAGGACACTGTGACACTGAGCCCATCCCCCACATGACCCAGATGAAAGTCGAGAGTGTGGTGAGCACTTCCCTGTCCAGATCGCCCCCCAGCCACAGTCTCCTGTGTATATCTGGACGCCTGGGGTGGCCACAAAAGGATCCGGCACCGCCCAGTGGGAGACTGAAGTGGCCACGGGGTATGAGCTGTGACCATTCCCAGGTAACTCCCCTGGCCTGATATCCACCCTGTCCCTAGAGCGCCTCACGAAGACGTCCAGGTGTGGCCCGTGGGCACGTTTTTGGAACCGGTTCGTTGATGCCTGGGCCAGGGATGATGACACTGTGCTCAAGCATCTTAGGGCCTCTATGAAGAAACTAACAAGAAAGCAGGGGGACCTGCCACCCCCAGGTGGGCTCCAGTGCCATGTCCCCTCCCATGTCACCCTCTGGGGTAGTCAATAGTAGGGGAGTGCCCGGGACCCGCAACCCTACTACCTGGGCCTTCCTCTTCACCTTTTCTTCCTCCTCTTCCTCCTGGACTCTAAGAAAGTACAGGAGGCCCACCGGTCCTCAGGGCAGGCGCTCAGTGCGTGTATACTGGACATGCTGTGCACGCAGGAGGGGGATGTGGGCGAGACCCTCCAACAAGCCCCCTCCCACTTTCTGCGGTGTCTCCCTCTCCCCCTCGCAGGGCCCTCCAAGTTACTAGCCGAGCCCAGACCCATTTGTGGGAGACCCCGCCCCTCCCTGCAAGCACCCACAGCCTCAGAGAGCAGCAGAGGCCCCTCACTCCTGCACGCTCCTCCAAGCTTGCCAGGACAACGAGCCTGGAGCCAGGGAGACAAGGGAATCGGTGTCCCTGACCCACGGAGCTTTCAGGGAGAGGGCGCAGGCGGGACCCCGGGCCCAGGGCCAGAGCCAAGCGTTCAGCCAGAAGTGGGAACGGTCAGTCCTGGCATGGACTGGGCAGCCCAGGAGGGCAGAGGGTGACCCACGTCCGGGCCCAATCACCCACTGCGGAGAGGGGTCCCCACCTGAGGTGGCAAGGGGCTGGGTGACATCCAAGGCCCCTCCCACCTGAGTTCTGACTGGGGGCCGTATCCCAGGCCCAACAGCCCTGGGACGAAGGTGTGTGGCAGGAAGCCGCCAGCCAGTCTGAACCCTGGGGGCAGTCCCAGGAGCCACCCGCCATGCCACGACAGCTTCCCCACGCCAGGCAGCACGCACTCCTCCCTCTGGGATCAGCAGACTACAGGCGTGTCCTCAGTGTCAGGCCACGGGGGCCACACAGAGACCCCGAGGACTCCAGAGACGCAGGCAGGTGGGGCCCAGCCCGGAAAGGCCTGCGTGGGCTCACTGGAGATGCTGACCGCGTCTGTTTTCCTTTCAGCCAAACCCGAGCAAGGGTCGTCGGCATCCAGGCCTGTGCCGGCTTCACGGGGCGGGAAGACCCTCTGCAAGGGGGACAGGCAGGCCCCTCCAGGCCCACCAGCCCGGTTCCCATGGCCCATTTGGTCAGCTTCCCCGCCACGGGCACCTCGTTCTTCCACACCCTGTCCTGGTGGGGCTGTCCGGGAAGACACCTACCCTGTGGGCACTCAGGGTGTGCCCAGCCCGGCCCTGGCTCAGGGAGGACCTCAGGGTTCCTGGAGATTCCTGCAGTGGAACTCCATGCCCCGCCTCCCAACGGACCTGGACGTAGGGGACCCTTGGTTCCGCCGTTATGATTTCAGACAGAGCTGCTGGGTCCGTGCCATATCCCAGGAGGACCAGCCGGCCACCTGCTGGCAGGCTGAACACCCTGCGGAGCGGGTGAGATCGGCTTTCACTGCACTGAGCCACAACGTGGGCATGGACTTCCCGGCCCTGCAGTGCACCCAGCACTGATTCCGACCAGGGCACCCCCTTCAGAGCTAGGGACGAACAGCAGTGTGCTCCCACCTCAGGACCTTGCCTCTGCGGCCTCCACTTGGAAAGTTCTCAGTTCCCTCCAGGCTTCTAGAAGCATCTGGGCCAGGGCTCATGGCTGGATAATTTCCCTAGGCTTAACAACCCAAGCAAGCTTCGCCTCCTCGTTTTATTTTTTGTTAAACTTATGAGAATGTATTAAGAAAGAGTGCAGCTCGAGAGACATTCAGAGATGGAGCACACCAGACCCCAGATCACAAAGCCAACCATGCCCAGCCCCTCCCAACACCCCCAGCCCCACGACCATCGTTCTGAATTCTGACGACACCGTGAGCCTGCCTTTGTACTTTAAACTCATGGAAGGATAACCACCTTCACGTTTTGAAATAAATGTTTCCTGTTGAAATGATTTTAGATTTTAGACAGAAATATTGAAAAGGCACTATAGTGTCCTATACCTTCCATCCAGCTGCCCCTAATAATGATGTTTTGCAGTCCCATGGCACATAAGAAATTTAGGCCGGGTGTGGTGGCTCACACCTGTAATCCCAGCAATTTGAGAGGTCAAGGCGGGAGGTTCAGGTTCACTTGAGTCTAGAAGTCTGAGACCAGCCTGGGAAACCTAGGTGGACCCGGTCTCTAGAGAAAAGTCAAAGAAATTAGCCAGGCATGGTGGCGCGTGCCTATAGTCCCACCTAGTCAGGAGGCTGAGGCAGGAGGATTGCTGGAGCCCACGAGTTCCAGGAAGCAGTGAGCCATGATTGCACCACTGCACTCCAGCCTGGGTGACAGAGTGAGACTTTATCTCTTAAAAAAATTTAAGAAATTTAATGTGGGTACAATTCTATTAACTAAATAATAATGTGAACTATTATCTAAGGTTATGAAGGCTAGAATTATCCCATTTTTGCCTAACTTCTCGTACCTGTCCCAAGATCCCACCTTGGACTCACCCTCTGCCTTCTGCTCATGTCTCTTCAGCTTCCTCCACATGGTCCAGCAAACACACACCTGGGCTGAATGGTAGAGCTGATTGCTCATACACAAAGGTAGACCGGTGGGCAGGGATTTTCAGACTTATACAGTCAATGAGTTTTCCTTGGTGTTCTGGAGAGCACCGTTGAGAAACACTTTGACAGTGAATCTAGGCCTCAGGATCCATCAGCTGCTCTAGCTTGAATTTTGCTCAAGCTCAGTGAACACCTGCTCTGCCGGGTGCACGTGAAAGGGGCAAGGATGAGTAAGCTGTAGATAAAGAAGACAGGACGCAGGGGGTCTGTCTAAGCTCTATCCCCTGCCTTCAGCACTGAGGGATGAAATCCAACTCTTAGGGAACGGTGGCCACGTGCTGGGCCAGCCCCAGGCTCTCAGGATCTGACAGTGAGTGACGCAGAACCAGGCCTTGCCCCTGGGGAGCTCTCCAGCATACACCTCCCTCTCCCCTCCCAGCGTCCCGCAAAGCAGACGTCAACGCCATTGTTAATGCACAGAGGAGGAACCTGACTGTTAGACCTGGGTTTTCCAGGGTTGCACGGCTTCTGGGAGACGGATGTGACCCTGAGGACAGGGCACAGGCCAGTGTAATGCCAGGATGGAATGAGCTGTGATCTGTGCTGCACAGAGGCCTAGGCCAAGGTGGGACTGACGGATGACCAGGTCAGCCGGGTCACTGAAAACACTCTTGGGTCCTCACCTGCCGGTTCCCAGGAGTCCGGAACTGCCAGGAGAGTGGTGGCAGGTCCCCCATCCTCAGCTGGGTGGGCCTGGATAGAACAGCAAGGCGAGGGCACATTTCCCTGGCCGTTCCCTCCAGGCACAGCTGTGACCTGCTCATTCCAATTTTGGGGAAATATTTCCACACACACAGAACTGCAAAGAGCAGTGGACATGGTGAGAGGCGTTTGGACATGGGATAGGCAGGATTTTGGAGGCAGAGCCCCCAGGGCTTGCCGATGGGTTAGCTGCAGGGCTTGAGCGGGGAAGGAGAATCCAGGATGATGTGTTCACATCGGTCCATTCACCCCTTCCATTCCACGCCTGTGCTGGGCACTGGGAGAGACAGATGCGCACAGGAGCCCCGGCCGAGGGGAGGTGTGGGGGGAAGCCCAGAGTGTCTGGGCAGGGTAGGAAGCCCAGAGTGTCTACTGGGAGCTGAAGGCTTAGGTCCACCTGGGTGCCGTCCAGGTTCTCTGCATGTAGAAGTATAGGCTGAGCTGCCTGGAGGAGGAGCAGCTGCTGTTGCTGGTGACCAGCACGTTCAGGAACGGAGACTACTCTGTCAACAGACAGGGGGATGACCTGAGGTCTGGATGGTCTAGGGGGTGGTAGGGCCCAGGAGCACCCAGGAAAGGGTCTCGGGGATGCAGAACATCCTATGGAGGGCATTTGGGAGTCAGTGCTCAGGTCAGTCCGGGTCACTCAGGTCATTTGCCGGCCCCTGTCATAATTATTGCCATATGAGAGTGCCACCCATCCTATGACATATTTTATATATTTCTGTGAATGGCCTACTTGTTTGTATTTATGAATTTATGTTTAAAGGATGGGCAGGGGTGCTCGAGAGTTCCCCAGGAGTTTCCCTCTGGGGAGAGAGGGGCCCACCCCTTCCCAGCAGCCCTCTGAGCCCCCTGATCGCTTGGCCACAGCCTCTGCCTGGAGAAAGCATCTCCCTCGGAGATATATGGACATCAGAAGAAACCTTTCTCTGTCACCAGGACAAATCCTGTTCTTATTTGAACCAAGGCCAGTTTTCCTAATGAATGCAGGGAGGACAGCGCAGATCAATTAAACCAGCAGATAATCCACAAGACTGTTTCCCAGAGCTGGGAAATTTCCTTCCCTGCCAACACTTTTCCTGAAAGTTCTTAAGAATGAGGCAAACAGTTTAAGTCTCTCTTGCACTGTTCTTTTAGTGAAAGAGTTCAATGAGGAAGGAGAGGAAGTGGAGCATATGCTTAGTTTCCAAGCTGGAAAAGTGGCCCATGGTTAACCAAGACTAGATGTAAAAGCACAGGTGGCCGCGGGTCCAGGTGAGCTGGTCCTACGATGGCATGGCTGCTAATGCCAGCAGATGCTCCTGTCCTCTCCTTTCAAAGACTGACTTCTTCTGGTCTTTCATTCGTTAAAATAAAATTGACAGGGCATCATCCGAGAAGCTCTACACTTTCCCTTACTTGGATTTCAGACTCTAGATTCTGCTGAGATTTGAGCTTCATGGTGAACACATTCTTGGTGTGCTTGCTGCTGAGGGGTGTGGAGGACAGAGAGATGGTGAAATGGCAAAGTGGCTCTTGAGCATGGGTGGGGGAAGCCCCCACATGTCTGAGTCAGTGCCACCTGGACACTACCCTTGGAGCATCCTGCTGAGGTGGCCATTCGGGTTTTCTTTCCTTTCCTTTTATTCCACTGTTTCTGAATCACAAATAAAGATCCAAGGCAAACAGCACATTCAGATCCCCAAGCTCTCCACCTCCAATGTGACCAGGGACGTGCACCACTTCAGGCTCATGCAGGACCCACAGCCTTTGGACCTCAGCTAAGGGACCTGCTTCTCTTCAGCACACGGGGCTTGTTTGTGTTAGGGTCTGAGCCCTGAGCGCATGGTCAAGGAGACCCCCAGGTCTTTCTGAACAGAGACAGCTGGCCTGGCGGCCTCCCTCTCACTGCATGCAAGAGTCTGTTAGGGCAGCTGTCTTGCTTCTATGTGTTGGGAAATTCAATTTAGGTACCTAAAAATGAAAAGTCCCAGGACATCTCCATGGCTTGGGATCCACAGGAGAGCATCATTGATGCTGGGGATAACTTAAACATATAGAAACCCGCAGGGCTACCTTAGACAGGGCACAGGGCACAGCACCCGGGGATGCAGAGTGGAAAGTTCACCACTACAGCCTGGAATTGCCTCTGTGATGCCTTCTTCATGACACTTGGCTGCCTTCGTGGCTGGAAGGCTGAGGCCCAGATCCCAACATGGCCACAGGCTAGCAGCTTGCTTTACCTTCCTGAACTGCAATTTCTCCATCTGAGCCTTTCTCCTAAGAGGAGTGTGCAGGGTCACTTAGCCCATATGGGCCAGAAACCCCACACGGTGCCAGGCACACAGTAGGCCCTCGGCAGATGCTGCCCCCTTCTGTCTCCACCACCCTCCTGGGGCTCCCTCCTGAAACAGCCTCCCTCAGTGCCTTGAGTCTTGCACCCTAACAGCCTCTTGCATGCAGTGAGAGGGAGGCCCCCAGGCCAGCTGTCTCTGTTCAGAAAGACCTGGGGGTCTCCTTGACCATGGCTCAGGGCTCAGACCCCAACACAAACAAGCCCCGTGTGCTGAAGAGAAGCAAGTCCTTTAGCTGAGGTCCAAAGGCTGTGAGTCCTGCATGAGCCTGAAGTGGTGCAGGTGCCTGGTCACACTGGAGGTGTAGAGCTTGGGGATCTGAATGTGCTGTTTGCCTCGGACATCAAACATCTCACAGACTGCCTGGAAGAAGGTGGAGCAGACTGGGGTTAACGGTCAGCAGCAGCAGCATCCCCATCACTGGGGCTATCACTTTTTAGGCCCTTACCATGGGCCAAACACTGAGCCGTGTGCTTCGTGTAACTTCTAAGCACGCTTACCTGATAGGGTGACAGCAAAGACTCGAAGAGGTGCCTGGGCTTGGCACATAGTAGCTATTGCTACTATTATGAATGTTGTTTTGTCTTTGTTTTTGTTTTGAGACAGGGCCTCACTCTGTTGCCCAGGTTGGAGTACAGCAGTGCCATCATAGCTCACTGAAGCCTCAACCTCCCTGGGTTTGAGCAATCCTCCCACCTCAGCCTCCCAAGTAGCTGAGACTACAGGTGTGCGCCACCAAGCCCAGACAATTTTTTGTATTTTCTGTAGAGACTGGTCTTGCCAAGTCGCCCAGGCTGGTTTCGAACTCTGGGGTTCAAGCAATCTGCCCACCTCAGCCTCCCAAAGTGCTGGGATTACAGGCGTGTGCCACTGCGCCCGGCCATTATGAATGTCAATATTGACATGATCTTGTATCCTTATGCCCACACTGGGAGAGGTCTGATTGTCCCCATGTTCCTGGTGTGGAACCACATGGAAGAGGCCTATGTTATCCCAACAGTGCAGAAGCACAGCCTGAGTCTCTTCTTTGGCTGAGCCAAGGGCGTGCTGGAGAGGCCTGAGAGAAGAAGGAGCGGCCCTTGTGACCAGTGCCCTTTTGGTTCACAAGGAACGTCTCCTCTTGTTGAAGTGACTTGGCTGAGCTTGCTACTTCTGCTTTGAGAGTCAAATATCAGGATCAAGACTTTAATTATCCCCAATTTACAGGTGATGAAACCATATTGGGCAGGAAAGAAAGTCACCCCAGGAGAGCAAGTTGGACCTGAGCACTGACTGAGGACAAAGGGGAATGATAATTTGGGATGTAGCTTGTTAAGGGGTCTCACAAGTGTTCTTGTGATCCAGGTGTCGAGAGGATACAGCAGAAAGGTTGCCAGGGAGATGAGGGTAGGGTACACCGCAAGAGTGGGAGAAATTAAAGAGAACACGCAACAAAGCCTTGGGACACTGGGAGCCTGGGATGGACCACCCTGTTTTGTGCTATGGGAGAAGACAGCAAGAAGAGGAATCTGTGAATCTGTGTTAAATCCCGAGAGCCTGCAGGAGAAGCAAATGCCCTTCATTTTCTTCATCAGCGGCGAGACTGGCATCCCTGCAGCTTTGGGAAACCATGCTAGTGTAGATGCCAGCTCACGCCAGCGGGCCTGACTGGGAGACCTTGGGCTGGCGTTCTGGTCTGGGGCTCCTAGGCCTGATGGGAGGAGAGTTCAGCCCCAGGTTTCCTGTACTTCAGCTCATATCCAGACAATGGTAATTATTGAAATGAGAGACTCAAAAGAAGATGGAACGTGAACTTTTTTGTTGTCCCATGTGGACACCTGTGTTCAGTTTCCAGTTCTACCTCTTGCTGTCTGTGTGTTCTTAAGTAACTCACTTAAACCTTTCTGAGTCTCATTTTCTTCATTTATAAAATAAAAGACATAACATTTATGTCAGATATTGTCCTGAGGATTAAATGGGAGAATGAACAAGCCTCTTCTGCATTCCCCTGGCATCCAGTGGGTGGAGGCCAGAGAAGGTGCTAAACATCCTGCCAGGTGCAGGACAGCCCCCATCACAAAGAATTGACTGGATCCTGATGTCAGTAAGGCAGAATTGAGGATCCTTGGTGTGGGGGAAAAAGAATAAACTCAGAAGCCTGGCAGATCTCAGTTCAAACCCTGGTTGTATCACCTCTAGCTGAGTGACCTTAGGCAGGTCTGTGAACTCTCTGAGACTCGGCCTCCTCATCGGTAGAATGAGGTAGATAAAAATGCCAAGCTCACCCAGAAATAACCCCGTGCATATATGGTCAACAGATCTTTGACAAGGCCATCAAGGATATACAATGTAGATTCTTTTATTCCTTTACTTTCTTAATAGACTTGCTTTCACTGTACTGTAAAAAAAAAAAAAAAAGCACAATGTAGAAAGGAAACTCTCTTCAATGAATGGTGTTGGGGAAAGTGCATGAAAAAGAATGAAATTGCACACTTGTTTTACATCATATACAGAAAATTAGCTCAAAATGGATTAAAGATTTAAATGTAATATCAGATATTAATTCAGATATTAATGTAATTCAGATATTAAATGTAATTCAGATATTAAATGTAATATCTGAAACCATGTAAATCCTGGAAGTAAACATAGGGAAAAATCTCCTCGACATTGGTCATAATTGGCAATTTTTTTTTGATATAACACCAAAGCACAGGCAACAAAAGTGAAAATAAATAAATGGGACTACATCAATCTTAAAAGGTTTTACACAGCAAAGGAAACCATGACAAAATGAAAAGGCAACCTATGGAATGGAAGAAAATATTTGCAACCCATATATTTGATAAGGGGTTATTTGAAAAAATATAAGGAATTCACACAACTCAATAGCAAAAATTAATAAATACATGAATAACCCAATTAAAAATAGGCAAAGGACCCCAATGGACTTTTTTCCCCAAGGAAGATATACAAATGGCCAGCCAGCATATGAAAAGGTGTTCAACACCACTAATCATCAGAGAAATGCAAATCAAAACCACAATGAGATATTGCCTCATAGGATAGGACGGCTCTTATAAAAAAAACGACAAGAGATAACAAGTGTTGGCGAAAGCATAGAGGAAAGAGAACCCTTGTACACTGTTGGTTGGAATGTAAAGTGGTATAACCTTTACAGAAAACAGTATGGATGTTCCTCAAAAAATTAGAAGCAGAACTACCATACGATTCAGCAATCAGGTTAGAACCTTGAAGAGAGATCTGTGCCCCATGTTTATTACAACACTATTCACAATACCCAAGATATAGAAACAGCCTAAGTGTCCAGCAACAGATGAATGGATAAACAAAATATATATAAACAATGGACTATTAGCCATTAAAAAGAAGAAACTCCTGTCCTGGATAAACCTGGAGGACATTACGCTAAGTGAAATAAGCCAGACACAGAAAGACAAGTTTTGTATGATCTCACTTATATGTGGGATCTAAGAGAGTCAAACTCATAAAAACAGATAGTAGAATGGTGGTTGCCAAGGGCTGGGGTTGGGGAAAATGGGAAGCTATTAATCAAAGGGTATAAACTTTCAGTTATAAGATGAACAAATTCTGGAGATTTCGTGTACAGCATAGGTGGTAATGGATGTAATAAATTTGATTGTGATAATTAGTACACAATATATACATATATGAAATCATCACATTGTATGCATTAAATATACACAATCCTTGTCAACTAAATATTTTTTTAAAAATTTTTAAAATGCCTAGGTCATAAGAATTCTGAGAATGAAATACAACAACATACATGAATGGACCTGCTACAGAGAAGGTGCTAAATAGGTTTGTTTTGTTTTATTTTATTTCAACTCTGGCAGATGTGGACTTATTGGGAAAGAATATAGAATGCACTTGTGCACAAGGATTATCTATACGATGGTTAAATATCCTGCATACATGCCATGTCATTTCTATTCCTCAGTCAATGGATAATAAAAGCAGAACCAGCCTTCTGGTGGTCACAAAACATTTTGACATGAGAAAGGCTGATCATGAGCAATCTGGCAATGTACATCCCAGAGCGTGCATGCCCTTTGACCCACAGCTACCATGATGTCATGTCTAGCAATTAGTCCTAAGGAGATGATCAGAGATGTGTAAAGAGATTTCATTCTAACAGCATCCTCTGTAGTGGTATATGTCAGGGGCTGGTAAGCCATGTCCAGAGGAGCAGGCTGCATCTAGTCCACCACCTGTTTTTGTAAAGTTTATCAGAACACAGTCATGCCCATTCATTTACAAATTGTGTATGGCTTCTTTCCCTGCAACAGCAGAGTTGAGTGTTGCAACAGAAACCTATGGCCTGCAGAGTTTAAAATATCTACCCTTTGGCCTTTTATAAAAAAAGTTTACAGATTCCTGGTGAGTATATTAAAAAGTTAGGAAAACCTAAATCTTCAAGAGTGGAGAATTAGAAAGTAAGACGTGTTGTATATAAGACAGACAGTTTGTGTGTGTGTTTATTTATAAATATATTATTTTGAAATAATGTTGTCGACATATGTTGCAGGTCTTAAAAATTGTTCAATATATAGTGTTAATCAAAAAATGGCAAATTGTAAAATGTAGACAGAATGTGATTGTGTATTTTGTGCATACACCAACAGAAAAGGGTGCTAGGAAACCTGTGGACCAACATACTAAGTGCGGCTCTTTTGATGGTGGTATCATGGATTTTTAAAAATCTTCTTGGTTTTCTGTAGATTCTGACTTTCCTGTAATGAGTATGAATAAGTATGTATTTCTTGAGAAATGTGAAAATAACTTTATCTTCCCAGATTTCTCATAATTGAAAATGTTGGAATAAATGGTCCTGGGACAGATCTTTCCATTGAGAAGGGCAGAAGGGAAACCCTGGGGATTCAGCTGGGTTTCTGTTGCATTTCTAGTAACACACAGTTGTGAAAGGCCAGTGTTGGCCATTCCCCAGGACAGTATGCGGTAGGGGAGGTCAGGATTTAACTACTTGAGGGTCCGGGGAACAGATGTGGCCACAGTCCTTCGTGACTCACTGTTTTCCCTTCCACAGTCCCCGTCTTCTCTTCACTGATGCACATAGATGCCTGACCAGAGGAGAGATTTAGTTTTCATCCGAGGATTATCTGTTATGTTGCAGTTCTGAAATTCCCACAACGTTTAAGCTAGAACACAAGTGATTTCATTATCTCCAATGTGTATGGCTTGATAGAAATATATTCCATTATGTAGCACCTTAAATCCAGATAAAACATAAGGAATTTCTATTCCATGTTGGTATGATCAATGTTAAGAATATAAGAAAATCTAAAAAGAAGCTATTTCCTATATTACAGTATGAAATAAATATGCTGAATGATTTGTTTTGGGGGGTGGAAAGGTGTAAGACTGAGGAGGGTGCCTGTGGGGAACAGTGATAGGAATCCTTTCTTAAGGGTTGGGTTTTACATATGTCTTTTAAAATAGATGATATCATTAATAAATTATCTGTGGGCATCATGAAAAAAGTGTATAATGTACAACTTTATGAGCTTGACAGTTGGTGAAAACTCTTCTGTTTAAAATTTTATTTGGCCCTCCCCAAAAGAAATGTTTATTTATGAGTATTAGGATAGTTCCAGCAGTAATGCCTCAAAAGAACCAGGAGGTATAGTGTTGTCTAAAATGTGGACTCAGGAGCCAGACTGCCTGGCTGTGCAACTAGCCTTGTCACTTCCTAGATATGTGGCAAGTTAATTAACTCCTCAGTGTTCTTATCTGTAGAATGGGGATAATCCTAATATACATCCCAGGGTTATATTAAAAATTGAAAAAGTTAATTTTGTAAAGCATTTAGAATGATATCTGGCAAATAAAAGTGTTTATAAAAGTAAACCCTATAAAAGTGTTTACTCATTAAATACAATAATCTGAAACCATTAGTAATTTAAACATTTGTGGCTGACTTGGTAATATTTATGAAAATAAATACTGTATTTATAATCTTTGACCTTATTTTACTCCTAGGAATTTATTGTCCAGCAAACATTTTCACAGGCAGACAAAAATATTACTATAAAATCATGTTTATTACATCAATCTGTGCAAAAGGAAAAAATAGACAATTAAAATGGCCATCAAAAGGAGTATTGATTAAATGAATGATAGTAAATCCATTCAATAGTAATCATATTATCCAAAAACAATGAGGCATATTCATGTGATGTGGGAAGATCCACGACTAATGTTAAACGGTAAATGATATAAAATGTTATGCCCAATAAAATACTTTCTGTGAGAGAATATATGTTACTTTATGTGAGTGGCGCCAATGTGGAGGGTTTATGCTAATTTCATTATACCTCACAGACAGACCTGGGCTCTCCCACTCATTATCTATGTGGCCTGGGGTAAGTCATTTAACTGCTGTAAGCCTCAGCTTCTGCATCTGTCAGGCAGTGATACCCTGACTACTCTGCAGGGTAACTCTGAGATTTAAACGTGATCATCTCAGAATATGCCTGGCAAACAGTAGGAGCTCAGAACTTGATGTTTTTTTCCTACAGCAAGTGCTGTAGGGGATAGCAGCTAATGCAAGAGGTTGGTAAATCCTTATATATATCAAATATTGTAGAAACATAACTACATGCTACTATTTTTTCAAACCCTCCCCCCACCCCTTTTTTTTCCCTGAGACAGAGTCTCACTCTGTTGCCCAGGCTGGAGTGCAGTGGCGCCATCTCGGCTTGGCTCACTGCAACCTCTGACTCCTGGGTTCAAGCTATTCTTGTGCCTCAGTCTCCCAAGTAGCTGGGATTACAGGCATGTGCCACCATGCCCAGGTAATTTTTTTGGTATTTTTAATAGAGATGGGGTTTCTCCATGTTGGCCAGGCGGGTCTCCAGCTCCTGGCCTCAAGTGATCTGCCTGTCTCGGCCCCCCAAAATGCTGGGTCAAACCTCTTACATCCAGTAAAACAGCCTCACTGGGTCAATGGATATCATGTGGCTGCCTAACATTTTTACTTTATAAAAGGTCTTCCTGAGGCCATTTGAAAGTATGGATCAAAACACTTTATGAACAGGGCCACAGGTTTGCATGAGGCTTGTCAGTGGACCTCCAGGATGAAGACCAAAGTAACTGCGCAATTTCTAGTGGAATAATTTACACTTAAGATCTTATTTATTTATCAAAAGACCGCTGTGAGGTAGGAATTCTTAACCCCAATTTGCAGAAACAGACTTTGCCTGACACCACAGAGCTAGGAAAAAGTGGGCATAAGATCCTCACCAAGTCTGACTTCCAAAAGAAGATTCAAAAAGAAACCTCCTTGCTACCTGCCAAATCTCTGTAGAGCCAGCCATGTTCACACATGAAACAGGACAATGACAATAGCACCAGGAATAGCTACTCCTGGTCAGATGCCCTCATGAGCTCAACTCCGCGGGATGGGGACACTGGGCCCTGCTTAGGGGAAAGGAAGGAGGTTTGTAGAGGAAGCCCAGCCAGCCAAGCAACCAGAGATGGGAAAAACCTATTGGGAAGAACTTGCTTGCTCTAGCTGGGCTTTGCAAAGAACAAGAAAAGATGAGTCTGCACAGACAGAAATGGTCTAGAATGGCTGAATGTTTCATGTAGAAATTTTATTTTATGATTAATACACTCGTGCCATTTCTTGGAACCACTTGCTTGTTTAATTCTAGTCTATCAAGTGATAATTTTGTTGATATTTAGAGGCTCCTCAGTTAATTTCTGTGGGATTTTTGGTTATATTTAATAAGGAAAATAATATGAAATGTCTAAGAAAAAAAGAAACAAAGTCAATTATTCCTGAGAATGTTTAAATTTATTGAAGTACACTTGTTAATTGTTAGTATAGAACCTACATTTCATAATAGAAAACCTTGGACTTGCCAGTTGTAGCTGCTGGAATGAGTGAGGTGTTTGTCCAGTACATCCAGAACGTCGCCACAGATTAACTTTAGCTCAGTCTCAACCTGAAAAAATAAAAATAAATTAAAAAAATCAGATCGTTGAAGTCTAGAAATTCTGTAAATTATTACACATTCTATCTACCTCTGTTTTTGTGGAAGAGAGCTTAGTGTTACAGAGAATTCATTTCCCTCTCCAAACTCCCTTCCTCCCTTTTGACACAAAAGCAGAGAAAAGCTGCCTGTCGGTTATCAAAAGTATCTTTTCCTTCCTGCCTGCAATTAAGTGCTACACACACACACCACCCCCCACCCCAATACCCCCTCACAGTCCAACTGCAGAATCACCAATGACTGAAACTAAACACTGATGCTACTTGGTAAATGCTGGTCAATTACATGAATCTTTCACAAAGTAGCAACTATTGTGTCCATTTACTTGGGAAAACAGAAGCTAAGACATTTGCTCAAAGGTCATCCCTTAAAAGAACTTAATAAGCAGAGCTAGGATTTGAAACCAGGCAGGGTGCAAGGGACAGAACAAAATTCAAACCCAGGCAGTTTGCCTTCAGTACTTACATTCCTAACAAGGTTCAACAGGCAATGCCTTTAGTGGAAGAGACCAAAAACTAGTTAAGATACCAAAAATCTGTGGACCAAAGTAACAATTGCCACTCATTTATATTCATTTATAATGCTAAAAATGTGCACCACCTCTAAAGGCACATACCCAGTTTACTTCTTTTTTTTTTTTTTTTTGAGAGGGAGTCTGGCTTTGTCACCCAGGCTGGAGTGCAGTGGCGTAATCTCAGCTCACTGCAACCTCCACCTCCCGGGTTCATGTCATTCTCCTGCCTCAGCCTCCGGAGGAGCTGGGACCACAGGCGCCTGCCACCAAGCCCAGCTAATTTTTTGTATTTTTAGTAGAGACAGGGTTTCACCGTGTTAGCCAGGATGGTCTCGATCTCCTGACCTTGTGATCTGCCTGCCTCGGCCTCCCAAAGTGCTGTGATTACAGGCATGAGCCACCACACCAGGCCTATTTTTTGTTTTTTAGACAGAGTCTTCCCCTGTCACCCAGGCTGAAGTGCAGTGGCCCTATCTCAGCTCACTGCAGCCTCTGCCTTCCAGGTTCAAGCAGTTCTCATGCCTCGGGCCCCTGAGTAGCTGGGATTACAGGGGTGCGCCACTGTCTCGGGTTAATTTTTGTATTTTTAGTAGAGATGGGGTTTCACCATGTTGGCTAGGCTGGTCTTGAATTCCTGGCCTCAAGAGGTCCACCTACCTCGGCCTCCCAAACTGCTGGATTATAGCCGTGGGCCACACGTGGCCCAGCTCTACTATTTCAATGCAGCTCCTGTACCCTAGGTCATCACTGACTTCCCAGTTGCTGAATCCAGTTGTCTTTACTGAGTTGGTCCTTAATTTAACTTTCTTTTGCATTGAAGCTACTGACTGACCACAGCATTTTGAAACTCTGTTCCTCTTATTACTGTGACTCTACTTTCCTTATTTTTCATCTTATCTCTTAAGTCTGTGGCTTCTCAGACTTCCTCACAATTGATTGCTTATTTTAAAAATTCAAAAATTTAAACCTCCTGAGCAGTTCAAAAACAATATACCTTTGAAATTTTTTAAACTTTTCAGAGTTGCAAGAATAGTTCAGTGATCACCAGTTGTTACCATTTTGCCATATTTTCTTTGTCTGTGTGTCCCTCCCTTTCTACCTGCCCCCACATATATGTGTATCTATGAATATTGACATTTTTTAACATTAATAAATTTTCTTCCTGTACAGTTTGAGAGTTAACTGCAGATTTCATAGCACTTCACCCCTAATTTCTTCTATACATCTCCTAAGAATAAGGGCATTTTTTTTTTTTTTGAGAAGGAGTCTCACTCTGTCATCCAGGCTGGAGTGCAGTGGCGCAATCTTGGCTGACTGCAACCTCCACCTCCTGGGTTCAAGCGATTCTCCTGCCTCAGCCCCCCAAGTAGCTGAGATTACAGGTGCCTGCTATCATGTCTGCCTAATTTTTGTAATTATAGTAGAGATGGGGTTTTGCCATGTTGGCCAGTCTGGTCTCAAACTCCTGACCTAAGGTGATCCGCCCTCCTTGGCCTCCCAAAGTGCTGGGATCACAGACGTGAGACTCCATTCTCAGCCTCTTTTTCCTTTTGTAATTAACAAGTGATCTACGGCATGATAGAAACAGTGTGAATATTCTGTCCCATAATAATCTTTACTTAATGGTTTCATCTGGATTGCTTCTTGCCCAAATCAAATATTACTATAGTGATTAGAAAATGGAGACTTTTCTATTTTTTCTGTATTTTTTCTATATTGTCATTCTTCTGTAAAGATATTTTTATACTCCTTTTTTTTTTTTTTTTTTTTTGAGACGAAGTCTTGCTTTGTCACCAGGCCGGAGTGCAGTGGTATGGTCTCAGCTCACTGCAACTTCCGCCTCCCAGGTTCAGGCGATCCTCCTGTCTCAGCCTCCAGAGTAGCTGGGACTACAGTCATTTGCCACTGTGTCCAGCTAATTTTTTGTATTTTTAGTAGAGATGGGGTCTCACCATGTTGGCCAGGATGGTCTTGATCTCTTGACCCCGTGATCCAGCCACCTCGGCCTCCCAAAGTGATGGGATTACAGGCGTGAGCCACCGCGCCTGGCCCTATACTCCCTTTTTAATTTTTTTTTTTTTTTTGAGATGGAGGTTCACTCTGTTGCCCAGGCTGGAGTGCAATGATGTGGTCTTGGCTCACTGCAACCTCCGCCTCCCAGGTTCAAGCAATTCTTCTGCCTCAAACTCCTGAGTAGCTGGGATTACAGGTACATGCCACCACACTCGGCTGATTTTTGTATTTTTAGTAGGGATGGGGTTTCACTATGATGGCCAGGCTGGTCTTGAACTCCTGACCTCATGATCTGCCCGCCTCAGCCTCCTAAAATGCTGGGATTAAAGGTGTGAGCCACTGCACCTGGCCCTTTTTTTTTTTTTGAGACAGGGACTTCCTCTGTTGCCCAGACTTGAGTGCAGTGGTATGATCATGGCTCACCACAGCTTGGACGCCAGGCTGCCTCAGCTCACTGCAACCTCTGCTTCCCGGGTTCCAGTGATTCTCGTGCCTCAGCCTCTGGAGTAACTGGGAGTACAGGTGCCCACCACCATACCTGGCTAATTCTTGTATTTTTAGTAAAGATGAGGTTTCACCATGTTGGCCAGGCTGGTCTCAAACTCCTGGCCAACATGGTGATCCACCTGCCTTGGCTTCCCAAAGTGCTTCATATTGTTAGCCCTAATTCTAGTCAAATTCCATAGCGTTCTTCTTCTTTATTTTTATTTTTTTATTTTTGAGATGGAGTCTTGATCTGTCCCCCAGGCTGGAGTGCAGTGGTGTGATCTCGGATCACTGCAGCCTCCACCTCCCGGGTTCAAGCAAATCTCTGCCTCCACCTCCTGAGTAGCTGGGATTACAGATACCTGCCACCATGCCCAGCAAATTTTTGTATTTTTAGTAGACACAGGATTTCATCATCTTGGCCAGGCTGGTCTTGAACTCCTGACCTTGTGATCCACCCACCTCGGCCTCCCAAAGTGCTGGGATTACAAGCGTGAGCCACCGCTCCCGGCCACATTCTTCTTTCAGTTCATATTTGGATATCCTTTTTTTCTACAGTGAGAACTCTGGTAACATAAATAAATGCAGTCATTTGTTCAGTTGTACAATATATGCATAATGAAAATTATGATACCAATAGTATTTCCAGCTACAAACCTACTAAGTTTAACGTTTCTTTGCAATTTTTTGTGTGCTTACATATGGGCCCCTACGGGTGTGCAGTCTAAAATTACTTAAGTAGCTTTTTCTCACCGCGCACAGTGGCTCACGCCTGTAATCCCAGCACTTTGGGAGGCCAAGGTGGGCAGATCATGAGGTCAGGAGTTCAAAACCAGCCTGGCCAACATGGTGAAACCCCATCTCTACTAAAAATACAAAAATTAGCCGGGCATGGTGGCAGGCGCCTGTAGTCCCAGCTACCTGGGAGGCTGAGGCAGGAGAATCACTTGAACCTGGGAGGCGGAGGTTGCAGTGAGCCAAGACCACGCCACTGCACTGCAGCCTGGGTGACAGAGTGAGACTCCGTCTGAAAAAAAAAAAATCTTTTTCTCTTATATCTTTTTTCTCTTTCTCTTTCTGTGGTAAAGTTATTGGTGTAATAGTCAATTAAATTTATGTATTCCTATTGTATTCAGTTGTACTTCCCAGCCCTCATCCTTGTTGATTTTATTTTTGGAATATATTAAACATTAATATGGTTCAAAAGGAAAAATCTACATTTTATAATTGCAGGAATATTTGATTTAGGAAAGAAAAAAATGGATGATAAAACCATTGAGGTTTTACTCAGAAGGTATACTGAAAAGTCTTATTTCTTGTCCTTCCCTTCCATTATCATTAGCTTTTAGTTTATCTTAGTTGTCTTCATTTTTGCAGGTATAAGCAGATACATATTATATATATATTCTCATTTCCCCTTTCTTGTACAAAAGATAGCATTGTATCCATGCTGTTGTACTTTTTAAATACTCTTTTGTATCTTGTTTTTATAGAGATTTTTCTCATTTTTATAGCTTTGTTACATGTTGTGTAGATTCCATAGGTTTTGGGCCAATATCCTATGTCCCAGCATTTAGGCTGTTTCCAGTGTTTCACTTTCACAGATAATGTTGCAACCAATAACCTGTGTATTTGCTTTCCATATTACTTACGGAGATGTACCACAGGGTAACTTCCTGGAACTTATACCTGGCATGTCTAAAACGGCATCATTTTCCCAAAACTTTTTCACTTTCATTTGCCATTATTGAATGGCACCATTATCTGTCCTATTACTTATGCAGAAATAAAGGTATCATCATTTCCTCTCATACCTAGTTTGTCAGCAAATGCAAATTATGTATTCTTAGCCTTTCATTTTTTTCTACCTTCATTTCTTATAGATCTTCTTAGTTGGTTTATTATACTAGCCTCCTAACTAGTCTCATTTCTTTCCTAATACTCCCTACTGCTACTAGAAGTATCTGTCGTAAAGCCAAATATTTGTTCATTTCACCCAGACCTTCCTTTGTCCAGACTTTCCATTTCCTGGCCTCTACCTACTTCTCTAGCCTAATCTCTAACCACTTCTAACCATACTGAACTACTTGTAGATTCCCCAGACATATCCTGTCCTATCAAGCCTCTTTTGCACTGGAATGCCTTTTTTTTACCTTCTACATTTCTTTCTTTCTTTCTTTTTTTTACCATTTTTGTGGAGAATGGGGTCATGCTTGTTACCAGGCAGATCTCGAACTCCTAGGCTCAAGCGATCCTCCTGCCTCTGCCTACCTAAGTGCTGGGATTACAGACATGAACCACCGCGTCCAGGCCACCTTTCATTTTAATACCTTTCAAGCAAGACTTTCTGCTAGGTTAGATGTAGTTCCCCTGTTTACCCTTACCATCCTGAGCTTGCCTACATTGACTTGTCTTTTTTTCCCTGAGACTTTGGGATCCTGTGGACTTTTGGGCTCCTATGGACAGGGCATTCCTTCTATTCTGCTTTCTTGGCACAGCCTGGAGCATGGTAGACACTCAATAGTTTGTGAATATATGAATAAACTTGATCTGATTACAGATCTCTTTTTTAAAAAGTCTCTTCAGGTATTGATTTACATGTTCACTGCAAAAAATCCAAACTGCACAGAGGCATATATAAAGTGAATGTTTTCCATCACCCCATCTCAGTTTCTAGTGGGAACTATGGTTAATAGTTCAATATTGGCAAGAAAAGCACAAAATAGATTTTCCAGTTACTATAGAATAAAAATGTTCACTATTTTGTTCTTATAGATCATCTCTTTTCCTTTAGGCAATGATAGTAAGAAATGCTAAAGATACAGCTCATACAAAAGCAGAATGGAATATTCTGGAGGAAGTAAGGCATCCCTTCATTGTGGATTTAACTTATGCCTTTCAGACTGGTGGAAAACTCTACCTCATCCTTGAGTATCTCAGTGGTCAGTACACAGAGTTTGGTGTAATTATTTGCCTTTGCTCCAAAAACTGGTTCAAAATGTTATTTTTCAATGGAAAAATACTTTTTCCCATTATGATCAAATAGTGCTTAAAATTGATGAGTACACTGAAGTACAAAATTCAGATGTGACCAAATGTTTCTACTGGCAGACAAATACGGTGGAAACTAAAGATTTGCTTCCCTCATCTATAAAATTGTATTTTAATTCTTTTATAATCAGTCACTTAACAGAAAAACAAATACCTAAGTGATGCGGAGCCATCAAATTGTACTGGGGTAAGATACTGTAATTTAAATAATTGGGAGGATTATTTAACATACTGACTATTTTTGGAATTGAGTCTTTAAACAAGAGTTTTTAGTTTAATGTAGCCTTAGTGATGGAGTATGTAGCTTATAATGGAAATCATCCACATTTGCCAGGGCCTACCACCTCGTAGGAACTTGTTGATTCCATATCATTTCTAGATCACAGGTATCTATTTCTTTTTTTTTTTTTTAGATGGAGTTTTGCTCTTGTCGCACAGGCTGGAGTGCAATGGTGTGATCTTGGGTCACTGCAACCTCTGCCTCCTGGGGTTCAAGCGATTCTCCTGCCTCAGCCTCCTGAGTAGCTGGGATTACAGGCATACCCGGCTGATTTTTGTATTTTTAGTAAAGATGGGGTTTCGCCATGTTGGTCAGGCTGATCTCGAACTCCTGATCTCAAGTGATCTACCTGACTCAGACTCCCAAGGTGCTGGGATTACAGGTGTAAGCCACTGCGCCCGGCCACAGGTATCTATTTCTAGCAAACACAGTTCAGTTCTCTGAGAAAGATTTTGCAGTAACATGTAACATGGAACAGAAAGGTGCAGAATGTAGCAACTTTTTTGTGAGTATTGCCATTGGAAAAACTTTTTTTTTTTTTTTTTTTGAAGATGGAGTTTCACTCTTCTTGCCCAGGCTGGAGCAAAGAGGAGTGATCTCAGCTCATCACAACCTCCGCCTCCCAGGTTCAAGCGATTCTCCTGCCTGGGCGTCCCATTTAGCTGGGATTACTGGCATGCACCACCACACCGGGCTATGTTTTTGTATTTTTAGTAGAGCCGGGCTTTCACCATGTTGGCCAGGCTGGTCTTGAACTCCTGACCTCAGGTGATCTGCCCGCCTTGGCCTTCCAGAGTGCTGGGATTACAGGTGTGAGCCACCGTGCCCGCCCAGAAAAACTTTATTTTGACATAATTTCATACTTAAAAAGTTTTAAGAGTAGTATAAAGAATTCCTATGCCAGGCTCGGTGGCTCATGCCTGTAATCCTAGCACTTTGAGAGGCCAAGGCAGGTGGATCATGAGGTCAGGAGTTTGAGACCAGTCTGGCCAACATAGTGAAACTCTGTCTGTGCTAAAAATAGAAAAGTTAGCCGGGCATGTTGGTGTGCTCCTGTAATCCCAGCTACTCGGGAGGCTGAGGCAGGAGAATCGCTTGAACCTGGGAGGTGGAGGTTGTGGCGAGCAAAGATCGCACCACTACACTCCAACCTGGGCAACAGAGCGAGACTCAGTCACGAAAAAAAAAAAAGAATTCCTATATATCTCTCACCTGGATTCCCCAAATGTTACCATTTCACCACATTTATTTTGTTTTATCCTTCTATGTATATGTATATATGTGTATACATATATACACACATGCATACATAATTTTTTTGAACTGTTTAAGAGAGTGTTACAGACATGATTTCCCTTTACCCCTAAAATTTCAGTGTATGTTTTCTTTATTTTCTTTTTTTTTGAGATGGAGTATCACTCTGTCGCCCAGACTGGAGGGCAGTGGCGCAATCGCGGGCTCACTACAGCCTCTGCCTGCCGAGTAGTTGAGATTACACGCATCCACCACCACGCCCGGCTAATTTTTGTGTTTTTAGTAGAGATGGGGTTTCACCACGTTGACCAGGCTGGTCTCGAACTCCTGACCTTAGGTGATCTGCCCACCTCGGCCTCCCAAAGTGCTGGGATCACAGGAGCGAGCCACTGCGCCCAGCCTATTCAGTGTATATTTTCCAAAATCAAGGACAGTGTCTTACATAACTATACTAAAATGATCAGAAATAGGAAATTGACATTGATGCAATTATAACTCTCCTTAGTTTCCTTTAATCTGGAACATTTCCTCAATCTTTCTTTGACTTTCATGATGTTGACATTTTTGATTAGCACAGGCCAGTTAGTTTGTAGAATGCTTTGGGTTTAGCTGATGTTTCCTTAGTATTAGATTCAGGTTATGCAATTTTGGCAGGACCATTGAAGTGACATTGTGTCCTCCTTAATGCATCAGATCAAGAGGTACATGATATTTATATCTTTGTCCTATTACTTGTGATGTTAACTTCGGTCACATGTATAAGGTGGTGTCTGCCGATTTTTTCCCTGGTGACATTTTTGCCTTTGTAATTAATAAGTATCTTTTGAGGAGATACTTTGAGATTATTTAAGTCTCTTCCATCAAACTTTCATGTTCAGTTTTGTTGTTGTTGTTGTTGTTGTTGTTATTTTTTGAGACCGAGTCTCACTCTGTCACCCAGGCTGGAGTGCGGTGGCGGGATCTCAGCTCACTGCAACCTCTACCTCCCAGGTTCAAGTGATTCTCCTGCCTCAGCCTCCCGGGTAGCTGGAATTACAGGCAGGCACCACCACACCCAGCTAACTTTTTTAGTTTTAGTAGAGACGGGGTTTTGCCATTTTGGCCAGGCTGGTCTTGAACCCCTGACCTCAGGTGATCTGCCCACCTCGGCCTCCCAAAGTGCTGGGATTACAGGCATGAGCCACTGCACCCGGCCCACATTCAGTTTTGACATCCATTGATTCTTGTCTGCAACAATTAGTTGTGATGTTTGCCAAGTAATTTTTCTTACTCTGTCATGCCTTCTTCATTTACTACTTGGCATTCTACTGTAATAAGGAACTTTCTCTTCTTCCCCATTTAAAAAATTTATCTATTCATTTATTTATGTCATTGTGGACTTAGGGATTCTAATATCATTCAATGTGATATAACCCTTTATTATCATTATTTATTTTGATACTCAAATTGTGCCATGTTTTTTACTAGGACACTGCCAGGTTCATTCTGTTTATTTAAGGGTTCTGAAAATACGAAATACGAACATTCACTAAAATTAGTGAGGGTGATTTAATTGTAGACTATCATTTTTCTACCTATGGGTAAAATGTTAAAGAGTCTTTAATCAAGTTTTTTTTTTAACCTCACGTCTGGAATCTACAAATATTTCAAAGTTTATAGATATAAAACCTGGAATTCCAAGCCAGTTCTAGTTTTTAAACATATGTGTGTTACAGAAGAATAAGAATGCTACTAAAAATAGAATCCTGAGGACTTAGTTTTAAAACCTATAATTTTTAGGATTTGTTTTTCATTTTTAAGGGGCCGATGTCTTTTAATTATGGTTAGAAGGAAAGCACAAACTCTCTCATTAGAAGTGGGTTGGAAATAAATATTGTTTTATTGCTTTTTTTTCTTTTTCTTTTCTTTTTTTTTTTTTTTTTTTTTTGAGACGGAGTCTCGCTCTGTCACCCAGGCTGGAGTGCAGTGGCGGGATCTCGGCTCACTGCAAGCTCCGCCTCCCGGGTTCACCCCATTCTCCTGCCTCAGCCTCCCCAGTAGCTGGGACTACAGGCGCCCGCCACCATGCCCGGCTAATTTTTTGTATTTTTAGTAGAGACGGGGATTCACCGTGGTCTCGATCTCCTGACCTCGTGATCTGCCAGCCTCGGCCTCCCAAAATGCTGGGATTACAGGCGTGAGCCACTGCGCCTGGCCATACTGTTTTATTTCTAACATTTTTTCTTTTTCTTTACAGGAGGAGAACTATTTATGCAGTTAGAAAGAGAGGGAATATTTATGGAAGACACTGCCTGGTAAGTGAACTTTTTGCATAGATTCAGGTAATTACAAGCAAAGCCCCATTCCCACTGCGGGCAGCCACATGATTCAGTAAATTGATCTGGAGCCTGTCACTGACTCAGGACCTCAAGGGGGAGAAGCAGTTTTGGGACTGGGCAGCTATGGAGGTCACATCATTCCTTTGCCTTAGGCTTGAGTGGAACGCTCTTCACACCAGTTGTTCCTAACAGAAGCATTCTCATTGCGGCTTTCTTTCCTTGAATTGGTAAGCTGCCTGCCTTGGCTGTGGGTGAGTGTGGTTTCCCAGTGAACCTTTATGTGTGGAACAATGGAAATGATCAGAAATCATCCCTTTTTTTTTAGGCTATTTCTCAAGGTGCAGTCTTAGGGAGGTGATAAGCCTGGTCATATCATCTGTGGATTGATTATATAGTCAGGATGGGATTTACCCTCCTATTTCTAAACATGTTATCTGCTTCAGATTAAAAATATGCACATCCTTTTGTGAAGCAACAATATTGGGTCACAATAAATCAGTTTATCCTACACATTAATTTAATAGAAAACAACACTTAAATTTTTTTTTACCTTAATTACCAAAACTGTATTCCATTGTTTAATTTCAGGCCTTTTCTAACACAGAAGCTGCATTTAAGAGCCTTAGGGATGAAGTGCCCTTTTTTGGAGGAGGCTCACTGAGCCGTGTTGGAGGCTGTGTTTGTGGTCGTGCCGGCTGTGAAACTGCCTCAGTCCTCTAGGACACACCCTCTCCATCCTGGAGTAATCTGCAGGATTGCAACGTTGTTATGCAGCCAGTATTGCAGTGCCTTGTGCTTTTCGAATCCAGACGGTTGATTCAGCCCTTTATTCTTTTGAGGTAGATAAATTTGAGTGTCACACAGTTTATAGTTGTGGGCTGGCTGGCAGGAGGGAGGGCAGATACTGTGGGCCTGAGCTGTCTATAAATCCGTAGCTGTATTAAGTAAAGGATGAGTGGGCTTCTAAGGGTCAGGTTATAAGATACCTTTTGAAATCAAGACGTGATCTCTGAGAATAACAAAGTTCCTATTTCCTATGGGATTTTAAAGTTGGGTGTGGATGGGAGAAATTTGCTTGAAATGAATGGCTATTAGCTTAATTCCTACACAGACAGAACAAAACATGACCAATGGCAGTTTAGCATATTCTGGACATCTTTGCAATTTTAGCAGTATATTCTAATGGCAAAATAAAGCACTTTATAGTTTCACTAAAATGAGTGAAACATAAATGTCCCCATGCCTTTTGGCAGCATCCTATGCCATCTCTTTTTCCCATACATCCCCCTACCCCACTAATTTGGTGTTTGGTGCATGTCTGTTTCTTTCCAGGAATTTTGCTCCATACATAAACTGCTTTGGATAGATTACACTCTTTTTAATTTTATTAAATCACTTTTGTTTACAGCTTTTACTTGGCAGAAATCTCCATGGCTTTGGGACATTTACATCAAAAGGGGATCATATACAGAGACCTGAAGCCGGAGAATATCATTCTTAATCACCAAGGTGGAGACATACCGTAAACAATTCTATAGTAAATAATCATCTTAAAATCCTCCCACATAGGTCATGGCCATTTTCAAAGCCCCATACTCATCTCTCTATTTTGTATATTTCCTCCCTCAGAATTCATGGCATCATAGTACTTGCTGATATTTTAAGTCTTTAGGTAATTACGCTTGGTGAGAGTAAAAGAAGTTGAGGATAATAGTCACTCAACTGCCTTTTTTAGTTTAATCCTTACTCTTTATAGTTTTTCATGTTTTTGGAATCCTTACATCAAATGTTGTATAATGTTTTAGACTGTAAAAGCCAGTCTAAACATTAATTTTGGCTTGTTACTTAAATTGAAAAGTGAATCTCAATTATATAAGTTGAGTTTTAATAATGAAAATATGTAAATATTGGCTGGGCGCAGTGGCTGACACCTGTAATCCCAGCACTTGGGAGGCTAAGGTGGGTGGATCACCTGAGGTCAGGAGTTGAAGACGCCTGGCCAACATGGTGAAACCCCATCTCTACAAAAATACAAAAAAAAAAAATTAGCTGGGCATGATGGTGGGTGCCTGTAATCCCAGCTACTCAGGAGGCTGAGGTGGGAGAATCGCCTGAACCCAGGAGGCGAAAGTTGCAGTGAGCCAAGATCGCGACATTGTACTCCAGCCTGTGCGACACAGCGAGACTCCGTCTCAAAAAAAAAAAAAAAAAAGAAAAAGAAAAAGAAAAAGAAAATATGTATATTTTAGAAGCTATGCTTCTTACAGTAGGTTTTATTAATGCTGGAAAAAGGATTGAAATTGAACCAAAGTATTTGATAAAACTTTGGGAATATGATGTTTAGTACGCGTCGGGTTACTCTTTTTTTTTTTTTGAAATGGGGGTCTCACTCTGTCATCAGGCTGGAATACAGTGGCATGATTGCAGCTCACTGCAACCTCCGCCTCTCAGGCTCAAGTGATCCTCCCACCCCAGCCCCTCAAGTAGCTGGGGCCACTGTGGCACACCACCACGCCTGGCTAATTTTTGGTATTTTTTGTAGAAATGGGGTTTCATCATGTTGCCCAGGGTGGTCTCAAACTCCTGAGCTCAGTTGATCTACCTGACTTGGCTTCCCAAATTGCTGGTATTATAGGCATAACCCACCTCCCCCACTGCCAGAATCAGTTTATTCTTGCTGTTTGTTTGCAACAACAAACATAAACATCAGAGAGACTGATAATCTATACAACTATAGATATAGCTCAGTGAGCCTTGACTACAACTGCATGCTGCTACAGACAGCTCAATTTATGCTAATCTGGGCTGTGGGTAGACTTGGCAATTCGCTCATACCCCAAAGGAGCAACCAGCTGACCCAGGGTATCTAGAAGGTGGTAGCAGCTGTTAATCATTAGATGCCTACAGAGTAATCCATGAGGTAGTTAATTGTTTCAAACTCTTAAAAAATGATGTATGAACAACCGAAGCTCATATAAACATTCCAGATTATACTCCTCCACCTACCTTTTTTTTTTTTAAGGAGAAATGATATACTTAACTGAATATATCATGGGAATCAGTGTCTCTTCCTTCCTCTCATCAACACCTCCTCACTCCACAAAATCTGGATTCTGATCTAAATTCTAAGTCACAGGATAGAATAGGGGAGCGATAGAATAGTTAACTTCTTCTTTGATTTATAAGGTTGAGTGTATCAGATGGTTCTGTGAAAATAAAGGCCATTCTTCTTCTGTATCAGAGTGTAGCATATGTTTACATTTGAATCAATAGGTCATTGTGCCTTTTCTGTGAAATGAACCTCAAATACTAGAGTCCCTGAGGTTGTTGAACCACTTGTTATGACAGTCCAGTAAAGGAAGCTAAACTTGAACTGAAATGATCTTTGTATAAGGTGGTAAGTTTTTTACTTTCTGGATCAGCGATGATTGATTCATACTATCTAGCAATTTTATTTCTTTCCCCGAATTAGTAGCATTGGGTAGAATGAGCTACCTTATTACAGTGACTTTCTGAGACCATTTTAAGAACTCTTCACAGTTCACTGTGATAAAAGCTATATATTTGAAGTGCTGTCTCACACCTTTGTTTAAAAGGTACAGAATATGTTTATTAGGATCTGTGTACTTAAACTAGACTTCATAAAACAGTTTTATGAAAATCCTGTCTTCATAAAACAGGATTTTTCTTTTTCAGGATGGTCAAGGATTCTGTGTATACTTAAAGCTAGAGCCTTAAACAGGTTATTTCACTTTTTTCTCTATCTTTATTTTCTCTTTACTAGAGAGATTATGTTTGAGGCAAGAAAAGTTAAATGGAAGGATAGACTAAGGTGTTATATGACATGTTCAAACACTGCACATACTTGGAATTCTGAGAATAATCATGCTGTAATCTTTCATTGTAGGTCATATGAAACTAACAGACTTTGGACTACGCAAAGAATCTATTCATGATGGAACAGTCACACACACATTTTGTGGAACAATAGAATACATGTGAGCTGCATGTTAAACATAACTGGTTTGGGGGTAATAGCTAATTTTACCTGTTTTAAGGAATAGTATCTGTTTTCTGTAGCCTAATTGACTCTGTATTTTTTTTAATTCTAATTCAGATGATATGCAAATGGGTGCATTTTTAAGCATATTACTTTCCTTATTGTAGGGCCCCTGAAATCTTGATGAGAAGTGGCCACAATCGTGCTGTGGATTGATGGAGTTTGGGAGCATTAATGTATGACATGCTGACTGGAGCAGTAGGTGCACGGTTAAAAGCTGCATGTATTATGGTCTGTGCTGAGTCACTGTAGCGAGAGACCTGTCCTGTGCTTTGTGAAAATGTTGCCAATGGAGTTTTCAAAGCCCAAAGATTCGTTATTAGCAGTTTAACACTAATAATGCTGTATGATTATATGGGATCCCATACTTTCCGAAACATTTTCATTTAAATGATCTATGTCATGGCAGTCCTGTGAAATAGATGTTGAACAGATAATGCCCTTATTTTATAAATGGAGAAATTGAAGCATAAAATCACATAGCTCACTTATTATCACACAGCAAGTTAATGGTGGAAAACACAGGCTTCCTTCCAGAACACTGCTACTTCCCCTGTCCTGCTGCTTAAAAACTGCACATCTGCCAGGCACCAGGGTGCATGCATGTAGCCCAAGCTACTCAGGAGGCTGAGGTGGGAGGATCATTTGAGCTAAGGATTATTAGTAGAATCTAGCCTTGACAACATAGCGAGACCCTGTCTCTAAAACAAAATAAAGGTCTTTAGCAGTTAGCCCATTTCACAGCATACATTTCTGATCTCCATGCATAACTAATTCAGGAAATGGATATTGTTATTTAAAATTTGTTTCATATATACTAATATTTTTCACTCCCTGCTAATATTTTTCACTTGTCTTCTACTCTCAGCCCCCATTTACTGGGGAGAATAGAAAGAAAACAATTGACAACATCCTCAAATGTAAACTCAATTTGCCTCCCTACCTCACACAAGAAGCCAGAGATCTGCTTAAAAAGGTAAGGTTCTTAAATGGTCACTGACACTGTAAGATTCAATGTCTAGGATTTAACTAGATAGAATTTAATGTGTATTTTGAATAATATATATTGAACAAAAAAGTCTTTAAATTTTGAAGGCAAGGTACAGATTTGTTTAACGACTTTCTTTTCATATTCTTTTTTTTAATTCTTTTTTTTTTTTTTTTTTGAGACAGAGTCTCACTCTGTTGCCCAGGCTAGAGTGCAGTGGTGCAATCTTGGCTCACTGCAACCTCAGTCCTCCAGGTTCAAGCGATTCTCCTGCCTCAGCCTCTCGAGTAGCTGGGATTACAGGTGCATGCCACCATGCCCAGCTAATTTTTGTATTTTTAATAGAGACAGGATTTCACCATGTTGGTCAGGCTGGTCTGGAACACCTGACCTCAGGTGATCCACCTGCCTTGGCCTCTCAAAGTGCTGGGATTACAGACCCTTAAACAATTATTCAGCAGTAATTAGTAAACTATATTTTCTTTTCTTTTCTTTTTTTCTGAGATGGAGTCTTACTCTGTCGTCTAGGCTGGAGTGCAATGGCATGATCTTGGCTCACTGCAACCTCTGCCTCCCAGGTTCAAGTGATTCTCCTGCCTCAGTCTCCCTAGTATCTGGGATTACAGGCATGCCCTACCATGCCTGGCTAATTTTTGTATTTTTAGTAGAGAAGGGGTTTCACCATGTTGGCCAGGCTGGTCTCAAACTCCCAACCTCAGGTGATCCACCTGCCTCAGCCTCCCAAAGTGCTGGGATTACAGGCATGAGCCACCGTGCCCAGCCAATAAACTATATTTTCTCAAGGCAAAGTAGACAAGCAAAGTCTAAAAAGGAAAAAAATCAGTTTGACTAAGGTTCTTTATCCTCTTTAAAGCTGCTGAAAAGAAATGCTGCTTCTCTGTGAGCTGGTCCTGGGGACGCTGGAGAAGTTCAAGTAGAGATTGGCATCTTTGGTGTTTTGTGGGGAAGATAATGCTAGTTTTATGTATTTCTGAGGGTTATATGTAGTTGCTTATAAGTTTAGCTTATTTTTTGACTTGTAACTTCAAAAAGGTGATTAATTTATCAATCCAGCAAAGCCTATTCCCCTCAACTTTTCTTTCTGCTTTTTTTCCCTAGGCTCATCCATTCTTTAGACACATTAACTGGGAAGAACTTCTGGCTCAAAAGGTGGAGCCCCCTTTTAAACCTCTGTTGGTAAGTATACATGAAAGCGTATAATTGGGTGCAGTGGCTCACGCCTGTAATCCCCAAACTTTAAAGGGCCGAGGTGGGAGGATTGTTTGAAGCCAGGAGTTCAAGACCAGCATAGGCAACGTAACAAGACTCCATCTCTACAAAACATTTAAAAGTTAGTTGGGTGTGGTGGCTTGTGCCTGTAAGTCCCAGCTACTTGCGAGGCTGAGGCAGGAAGATCGCTTGAGATTTTTTTTAGAATAAGAAAAATCTCGGCCGGGCGCAGTGGCTCAGGCCTGTAATCCCAGCACTTTGGGAGGCCGAGGCGGGCGGATCACGAGGTCAGGAGATGGAGACCATCCTGGCTAACACGGTGAAACCCCGTCTCTACTAAAAATACAAAACATTAGCCGGGTGCGGTGGCGGGCGCCTGTAGTCCCAGCTACTCGGGAGGCTGAGGCAGGAGAATGGCGTGAACCCGGGAGGCGGAGCTTGCAGTGAGCCGAGATCACGCCACTGCACTCCAGCCTGGGCGACAGAGCAAGACTCCGTCTCAAAAAAAAAAAAAAAAAGAAAAGAAAAATCTCAGAGCAGACAGAAACATTATTTTTATTAGCGGTTCAAAGATCTCTGGTTTATCCTCTCTTCAGCATCTTTGTTTTTATTTTTTATTTATTTTATTTTTATTTTATTTATTTATTTTTTCCTGAGATGGAGTCTCGCTCTGTCGCCTAGGCTGGAGTGCAGTGGCGCCATCTCGGCTCACTGCAAGCTCTGCCTCCCGGGTTCGCGCCATTCTCCTGCCTCAGCCTCCCGAGTAGCTGGGACTACAGGCGCCCACCACCACGCCCGGCTAATTTTTTGTATTTTTAGTAGAGACGGGATTTCACCGTGTTAGCCAGGATGGTCTCGATCTCCTGACCTCGTGATCTGTCCGCCTCGGCCTCCCAAAGTGCTGGGATTACAGGCGTGAGCCACCGCGCCCGGCCTGTTCATTTTATTTTGAGACGAGGTCTCACTCTGTCACTCAGGAAGGAGTGCAGTAGCACGATCACAGTTCAGTGCAGCCTTGACCTCCCCAGATTCAGGTGATTCTCCCACCTCAGCTTCCCGAATAGCTGCGACTACAGACACGTGTCACCATGCCTGGCTAATTTTTTTGTATTTTTTGTAGAAACAGGGTTTTGCCATGTCGCCCAGGCTGGTCTCCAACTCCTGGGCTCCAGTGATCCACCCACCTCAGCCTCTCAAAGTGCCGGGATTACAGGTGTGAGCTTCTGCACCCAGCCAAGCATCTTTTATTTTTGTACTATCTTTTAAAGAACTAAAGCCAGTGGCAATTGACTGTATTAGATTTTTTTTTTTTTTTTTTTTGAGACAGAGTCTGGCTCTGTCGCCCAGGCTGGAGTGCAGTGGCGCAATCTCGGCAAACTGCAAGCTCCGCCTCCCGGGTTCACGCCATTCTCCTGCGTCAGCCTCCTGAGTAGCTGGGACTACAGGCGCCCGCCACCACGCCCGGCTAATGTTTTGTATTTTTAGTAGAGACAGGGTTTCACCGTGTTAGCCAGGATGGCCTCGATCTCCTGACCTCGTGATCCGCTCGCCTCGGCCTCCCAAAGTGCTGGGATTACAGGCGTGAGCCACCGCGCCCGGCCTGTATTAGATATTTTTAAGTCAGTTTCCTAAAACAATTAAATATTTCAGGTGGTTGGGACTTTTCTTTTTTTGGTTTGTTTTATTTTGCTTAATTTAACCATTTTAAATATGATTCTCTGGGAATTTTTTCTTCAAAATATAGAATATGTGTGCATTAGTTTGCTAGGCTTGCTGCAACAAAGTACCACAAACTGGGTGGCTTAGACAACAGAAATTTATTATCTCATAGATCTGGAGACTAGAAGTTCTAGATCACGTTGTTAGAGTTGGTTTCTTCGACAACTGTGAGAAACCTTATGTTCCATGCCTCTCCCCTGGCTTCTGGTGGTTTGCTGGTCATCTTTGGCATACTTTGGCTTGTAGGTGCATCACCTGGATCTCTGCCTTCATGTTCACATGGTGTTCTACCTGTGTGCATATCTGTGGACAAATTTCCCCTTTTTATAAGGATACCAGGCATATTGGATTAGGGTTCCTCTCTACTCCAGTAGGACCTCATCTTCACTAATTACATCTGCAATAACCCTTTCCAAATAAGGTCACATTCTGAGGAACTAGAGGTTAGAGTTTCAACATACGAAATTTTCTGGGGGGTGGGTAAGGGACACGATTCAATCCATAACAATATGTTTATGAGTAAATGAGTTAGTGTGCTATTGTCTTTCTGCCACCTCAGAATCTGAGAAAACACAGTTTCTTTTTCCATTCCTTGGGCTGTAGGTGGAGAAGGAGGAGGATGGTGATGATGATTATTTTTTGGTCATGGAGCATAATGTGACCCACTTTAAAAAACAACAAACAATTGTAAGGAGGAGAACTGTCATACACCTACTGCCCAGCTTAAAAATAATTAGATCATCTTCTTTAAACATAACTGTCATCCCATCATCACACCTAAGAAGTTGACAGTTTCCCCAGGTTTTTTTTTTTTTCTCTTTTTTTTTTTGAGATAGGGTCTTATCTCTGTTGCCCAGGCTGGAGTGCAGTGGCATGATAGTGGCTCATGGCAGCCTCAGCTTCCCAGGCTCAAGGGATCCTCCCATATAGCTGGGACCACAGGGGTGCATCACCACATCCAATTTTTTGAATTTTTCTAGAGATGAGGTCTCCCTGTGTTGCCCCACCTAATTTTTTTGTTGTTGTTGTTCCATTCTTTTTTTTTTCTCCTGTTTGTAAGGATTTAATCAAGGTCTGTATGTAGTTTGGTTACTATGTCTCTTAGGTCTCTTTTCATTTATAGATTCCCCTCGTGATTTATTGAAGAAACGGGGTCATTTGTCCTGTAGAATTCTCAAATTTTGATTTTGCTGATATTATCCCCAGAGTTTCATTGACCATGTTCATCTGTTCCCCAAATTTCCAAAAACTGGTATTTAAATTTAGGTGGTTGATCTGATTCAGATTACACTCTCAGTATCGCATATGCTTTGATCAGGAGGCATAATGTGTACTTGTGTGTGTGTATGTGTGTTTTTTTAGTTATGTTAGTGGTCACTGCCTGTGTCAGCATTTCACTACCAGGGTAATTTGGCAATGTCTGGAGACACACTGATTGTCACAGGTTGGGGGAGGGAATGCTATAGGTACCTTCAGGGGTAAGAGTCAGCACAGCACAGCCCCCTAACGCAAAGTATTAATAGGCCTAAAATGTCAGTAGCCCTGAGGTTGAGAAACTCTAGCCTACTTTTATAGTTTCATCAGGTGTTTGTGAAATGGTTTTATTCTAACTGTTACTTCTTCTTTCTTTGTTAGCTGGAATTCTTTCATAAAGAGAAACTCTTTGATCAGTTAGTTACCCAAGGTACAGTTCATACAGGAAAGGCAGGATGTATGTTTGATTCTTTCCTAGTTTTCAAAATAATGAATTAGTTCCCTAGCATCTTCCAGAATTGACCAATGAACTTTGTGTGTGTGTGTTTTTTTCTTTTTTAGTATATTATGAACTTACACGTTTTAACACATTTGTGTTTCATTTCATTGCAGTTATTTTTATTTTATTTTTATTTATTCATTTATTGTTTTGAGGCAGGGTCTTACTCTGTCACCCAAGCTGTAGTGCAGTGGTATAATCGCTGCCCACTGCAGGCTTGACGTCCCGACCTCCAGCAATCCTCCCACCTCACCCTCTTGAGTAGCTGGGACCACAGGTACACCACCATGCCCAGCTAATTTTTGTGTTTCTGGTAGAGATGGGGTTTTGCCGTGTTCACCAGGCTGGTCTTCAAATCCAGAGCTCAAAAGCAATCCACCTGCCTCTGCCTCCCAAAGTGTTGGGATGATAGGCATGAGCCACCGCACCTAGCAGTTATTTTTATTGGTGCTTATTTTTTCCCTTCGTTGAATGCTGGGTGCAGTGAATGCTGGGTGCATCTTCATGTTGGGTTCTGAGTCCTTTTGACATGAGCACATTGTCTGGTGTTGTACGAAAGAGCAAAATAAGGAAACTGGTGTTCTATGCTTATCTTGTACATTTTCCCCACACTTGGAATCAGCCATTCCTCCAGGGAGTGCAGGTTCACAGTCTGGGCTCTGAGAGAATTATAAGGTCAATGTGGTCATCATCTTTTAGTATTAAGTCAGATATTCTAAATTATTATTTACTTCTTACATTTGGCCCAAGAGTTTAACCAGATATTTTGGGAAAGAGAGAAGGAATTAAATAAATAAATCTCATGGTTAGAACTGAAGTGATAACTATACTTTCACAAGGAAATATAACTTATAACCCATGCAGAATAGAAAATTATTTTTGCTCCTTTAGTTTTCTGAAGGAATGAAATGAGCTGTGGGAAGAAACTTTAACTGGAGCATCTTGCCAGTATTATTCATGTTTTAACTCTGCTTCAGTAGTTTTTCAGGTTTATTACAAACCTGCAGTAGCCAACTGAACTAATTATCTCTAAACAGGGATTTAGCCAGTGGACTAGGCACACTGAAGCTTTGTGAGAGGGGAAATTGATATTCACATTTTTTCCAGCTTGTTTTGAGCTCGATATATATATATATATATATATTTTTTTTTTTTTTTTTAATTGAGACAGACTCTTGCACTGTCACCTGGGCTGGTGTGCAGTGGCACAATCTCTGCTTGCCGCAACCTCTGCCTCCCAGGTTCAAGCAATTCTCCTGCCTCAGCCTCCCGAGTAGCTAGGATTACAGGCGCCTGCCACCATGCCCGGCTAATGTTTTGTATTTTTAGTAGAGACGGGGTTTCGCTTTATTGGCCAGGCTGGTCTTGAACTCCTGACCTCATGATCTGCCCGCCTCAGCCTCCCAAAGTGCTGGGATTATAGGCGTGAGCCACCATGCCCAGTCAATATATTCACATTTTTAATAGGAATAACAGTATACTAAAATCTTTTTTAGCGCATGTTTAAGATTTGAAGATGTAATTTGACTCAGTACTTTCCACTTGCATTTTTTTCTTCCACTTGCATTTCTCCACTATTAGAATAGTGCCTGCTAAGACTATTCTAATACTTTATTATAGTTAACCCCTGCGAAAAGAGCTCCCAGAGCTTACAGTGCATTTGATTGATGTCATATGGACTATTCATTATTTTCTAAATTATTTTGTTTGTATAAAGCAATCTGAAGAGGATGTAAGTCAGTTTGATTCCAAGTTTACACGTCAGACACCTGTCGACAGCCCAGATGACGCAACTCTCAGTGAAACTGCCAATCAGGTCTTTCTGGTAAGTGAAAGAATTTCCATGTAGTCATGGGAAATTTTAAGTATGAGGATGGGCTCTTCGATAAGAAAATTCAGTTTGCTTGCTTTGCAGCTCATGTAGGTAACCTGGCCCACTTTTTTTTTTTTAAATAAGCCATGCTCTTATAACTTATTGATACCTACAAAATTGATTTTCATAATCCAACATTTTATTTTAGCAATTAGAGTGGGAATGTACAATTCTTTGGAGAGTATGATTCCCTTTTTTGGTTGGGCCACAGACTTAAAATGATGTTTGGCTTAGCATCTCAACCAAAAATTAAGTCATAGCAGTGGGAGAGAAAAACCTCACTAACTACATGTATTTTATTCCTGAAACAGCTATAGATTTTTGGTACCTTTTATTTATTTATTTTTTTTTGAGACAGGGTCTCACCTTGTAGCCCAGGCTGGGTGTAGAGTGTAGTGGTGTGATCACAGTTCACTACAGCCTTGACCTCCCAGGCTCAAGTGATCCACCCATTTCAGCCTCGTGAGTACCTGGACTACAGGTGTGTGCCACATCCAGCTAATTTTTTATTTTTTTGTAGAGACAGAGTCTCACTATTTTACTCCTGGACTCAAGCTATCTTCCCACCTCGGCTTCCCAAAGTGCCAAAATTATAGGCATGAGCCATCATTCCTGGCCCTATTTTTGGTACTCTTAACATAAGTAGGGGATTTTTTTTTTTTTTTTTTTTTTTGAGACTGAGTCTCACTCTGTCGTCAGGCTGGGGTGCAGTGGCGCGATCTCAGCTCACTGCAACCTCTGCCTCCTGGGTTCAAGTGATTGTCCAGCCTCAGCCTCCTGAGTAGCTGGGACTACAGGCGCCTGCCACCACGCCCAGTTAATTTTTGTATTTTTAGTAGAGACAGGGCTTCACCATGTTGGCCAGGATGGTCTTGATTTCTTGACCTCATGATCCACCCGCCTTGGCCTCCCCAAGTGCTGGGATTACAGGCATGAGCCACCGCGCCCGGCCAAGTAGGGGATTTTTTAAACCTAATTGTGAATATTTGACATCAAATTATATTGGTTCATATGTAATAGTGAATTCTCATTGTAGAAATATCCGTATAGATTTATAGCTTGTCTCCTCAGAAAAGTAAAGGTTTTAGATGTTGGCCAACAGAAATGATGGATTTATATCAGATGACCATCAATGCATACATACTATTTTGCTTAAATATCATATATGCTTGTTGATTTTATTACTGTACTTATATGTCACATGAACATCTTTCTCATTTTGTATCCTTTTTTTTCTTTTGTCATTCCTGTATGGACTACCTCTAGGGAGAATAGAATATGGGGAAAACAATTGTTTGGGAGTGTTTTTTTCCCTCTTTTTGAGTTCACTGGATTTGTCACTAACTTAATTCTATGCTTTTCTTCCCCACACTGCTCCCTATGTAACACAAGTAGTGTTGTATCTTATGGGATGGGAAATAAGCTCTAAAGTTAGCATGGAGTTGGGACATGGTGGCTCACGTCTATAACCTTGAGGTCAGGAGTTCGAGACCAGCCTGGCCCACATGGTGAAACCCCATCTCTACCAAAAATACAAAAATTAGCCGGGTGTGGTGGCATGTACCTGTGGTACCAACTACTTGGGAGGCTGAGGCAGGAGAATGACTTGAACCCGAGAGGCAGAGGTTGCAGGAGCCAAGATCGTGCCACTGCACTCCAGCCTGGCCAATAGAGTGAGTGAGACTCTGTATAAAAAAAAATTAATTAAAAAAATAAAGTTAGCATGGAATGCAAAAGTTGTGTATAGTACAGTATGGTTTCAAGTAAACAACACTGAATAGTAATAATCCTATAAATTAGTAATATAGAGCACGTAGGCAAAATATAATCTTACAGTATTAATTACATAAGAGATAAAAGATGAGTGAGTGCATGCATGTTTTTAAATTCAAGTTTGATGTGTGCATGATCAAAGTTACGGCATCTCTGTTAGTAAAATCTTAGGTTCAATTAGGGAAGTGGGCATGAATCACTTTAATTTTGGCTTTTTTTTTTCTCTTTCATATACTACTGATGTGGAATTTATACCTTTGATTTAACATAGAGACCTTTTCAACAATTGAACATTGCAGAATTTCAACTTATGTGACAGTTTCCCCCCACAAAATAGAAGCATTTTATTTAGCTACCAAGAAATCCTAAGTTGTGGTGGTAAATGTGAGATATTGATGCTTTCATTGCCAGTTAAAGTATTGTTGAGCTTTTCATAATTACTTAAATTGGCTATAACGGATGAACAGAGCAACTCATTTGTTAGGTTGTAGCCAGAATTCTGTACATAAAGTGGGTCTCTTTAAACATTAGTAAAAACGAAAATAGGCCAGGTGCAGTGGCTCATGCCTGTAATCCCAGCACTTTGGGAGGCTGAAGTGGGTGGATCACAAGGTCAGGAGTTCTAGAACAGCCTGGCCAATATGGTGAAACCCCATCTCTACTAAAAATACAAATATTAGCCAAGTGTGGTGGCACACGCCTGTAATTCCATCTACTCGGGAGGCTGAGGCAGGAGAATCACTTGAAACCAGGAGGTGGCAGTTGCAGTGAGCCAAGATCATGCCAGTGCATTCCAGCCTGGGCAACAGAGCGAAGCTCTATCTCAAAAAAAAAAAAAAAAAAAAAAAAAAAAAAAATTCCACATACATAAGAAGAGAATATGCATTAAAAAAATGAGCAGAGCCTCACATTCCAGGATTTTCTACACAAGAAACCATTCCTAAAATATGTGCTTGGAATTCCTAGGGTTTCTCTTGCAAACATTTTAATAACACCTCATTCATTTTTTTATTATAATATTTATTTAAGCAAATTTTTTTTTTATTTTTTTATTTTATTATTATTACACTTTAAGTTTTAGGGTACATGTGCACAATGTGCAGGTTAGTTACATATGTATACATGTGCCATGCTGGTGTGCTGCACCCATTAACTTGTCATTTAACATTAGGTATATCTCCTAATGCTATCCCTCCCCACTCCCCCCACCCCACAACAGTCCCCAGAGTGTGATGTTCCCCTTCCTGTGTCCATGTGTTCTCATTGTTCAATTCCCACCTATGAGTGAGAACATGCGGTAACACCTCATTCTTGAGGGGTGTGGTTATATGTGTCATGTTATTAGATCTTTACAGCAACTCTCCTGGGTAAAGCGGTTATTACTAGGTCATTTTATAGAAGGAAAAATAACCAGTACTTTTTTTTGCTTTACTTCAGTAGCTATTGCCTCCTTCAATTTGACATTTCAATCCTGGCACATAGTGGGGGCTCAACAAATATTTGTTGGAGGAATGCCATTTAAAATACAGTGATTGGATAGGAGAATATTTGAGGGCATTAACATTTTTTAAAAGCTAAAAAAAATTACAATTGGACTTAAGAGATTTTGATTTTTTTGTGTATTTTCTTTTAAAAAATAAGCTTCTCTAGGCTGGGCTTGGTGGCTCATGCCTGTAATCCCAGCACTTTGGGAGGCTGAGGCAGGTGGATCACCTGAGGTCAGGAGTTTGAGACCAGCCTGGCCAACATGGTGAAAACCCGTCTCTACTAAAAATACAAAAATTAGCTGGCCATAGTGGCACACACCTGTAATCCCAGCTACTAGGGAGGCTGAGGCAGGAGAATCGCTTGAACCCAGGAGGCAGATTTTGCAGTGAGCCGAGATCACACCACTGTACTCCAGCCTGGGTGACAGAGCAAGACTCTCTGTCTCAAAAATAAATAAATAAAGTATATAAATAAATAAATAAGCTTCTGTTTTGGCTTCCTCCAATGTAGTCTCTTTGAGTAGGAAGAAATTGTTATGATTTAAACTAGTAAATTCTTTTTTTTTTTTTTTTTTTTTTTTTGAGATGGAGTCTTGCTCTTATTGCCCAGGCTGGAGTGCAGTGGCGTGATCTTGGCTCACTGCAACCAGCTCACTTGAACCGGGTTCAAGTGATTCTCCTGCCTTGGCCTCCCAAGTAGGTGGGATTACAGATGCCTGCCATCACACCTGGCTAATTTTTGTAGTTTTAGTACAGATGGGGTTTCACCATCTTGGCCAGGCTGGTCTTGAACTCCTGGTCTTGATCTGCTGACCTATATCCGCCCGCCTCAGCCTCCCAAAGTGCTGGGATTACAGGTGTGAGCCATTGTGCCCGGCCGACAGGTAAATTCTTATACCAAAAAACTGAGTTAGACTTGGTCCCTGGAGCTGTTTTCCATCCCTAAAAAGATGATGTCAAGCTATCATGTATAGTAAATAACAACTCAATTGACCACATATTTTCCTTTAAGCCTAATGATGAAATAATATTATAATGAAATACTTAGAAGTTTTAAGGGAAAAAATCCCTTAAGTCATTAAATTAAAATTGAAACCAAAAGAATAACTTCACTGTTTTAGGATAAAATTGGCATATGAAAGGTTTGATAGTGAACGACAGTAAGATTAACCTACTACAGCATTTGCCTTTAGCTTTTACTGAGTAATACTTGGAGCTATATATTTATAGCATTTGCTATAAATGTGCAAATGAAGACATTATTTATTGTATTACTGCTGAGATTAATATTGTCTTTTTCAGATTTCTAAAACATTACAGCAAATGCGCACATGAGGGCGCTCTAATCAGCTAGATATGGAGAGGGTAGGCATTTGTTGACTGTTAAGTCAAAACTAGTTCTATACTTTTACAGATGGAAAAATCAAGGTCCACCAAAGAGGTTATGATTCTACACAAGTTATTCTCTAGAGGAAATAAATTGGGTATTAGAATTTTGAAAAGATTAAACAGAAATCCCTGTCAGTGAATTTATGCTGGAGAATTTTGGCTTTTATCCTAGCAACTCCTTATTGAAAATCTTTACCCATGCCATGATATAATTTATCTTCAATCTTAAATGGGTTTGGTAATAGTGTTTATAAGATGTAGGAGAGTTAATTAGAATATTTATTTTTATGAACTTTTGCTCTATAAAATTATAACACGTTAATTGTGCTTCATTTATACTTTTTTTTTTTTTTGAGACGGAGTCTCACTCTGTCACCCAGGCTGGAGTGCAGTGGCATGATCTCAGCTCACTGCAACCTCTGCCTCCCAGGTTCAAGCGATTCTCCTGCCTCAGCCTCCCGAGTAGCTGGGATTACAGGCATGCGCCACCACACCCGGCTAATGTTTGTATTTTTAGTAGAGACGGGGTTTCACCATGTTGGCCAGATTGGTCTCAAACTCTTCAGTTCAAGCGATCTACCTGCCTCGGCCTCACAAAGTGCTGGAATTACAGGTGTGAGCCACTGCACCCGGCCTCATTTCTACGTTTTCAAAGAAGTCAATTTTCTTTAAAAAATAAACTCTTTTGGTCACGCGGTGGCTCATTCCTGTAACCCTAGCACTTTGAGACTCAGAGGCAGACAGATCGCTTGAACTCAGAAGTTCAAGACCAGCCTGGCCAACATGGTGAAACCCTGTCTCTACAAAAAATTAGCTGGATGCAGTGGCACGTGCCTGTAGTCCCAGCTACTCAGGAGGCTGAGGCAAGAGAATCACTTGAGTCCAGGAGGCAGAAGTTGCAGTGAACTGAGATCACGCCATTGCACTCCAGCCTGGCTGATGGGAGTGAAATCTTGTCTCAAATAAATAAATAAATAAACTCTTATTTAAAAAAAAAAAAAGCAAATCATGAAACAAAACAAAACCCAGGGCTCTGAATGAAAAAGATCTCTCCTTTAGGGGGCTAGGTGATGGAAAAGAAAATATATCATGAATTTCATGTTCTCATTTGTCTTCGTTAATGACTTATATGTATATATATTTCCATTGAAGACATAGATATGCATTTGATCACCTACATTTGTTTGTGAGTCATAAATTAAGGCATTTCCTGTCCAGAAAGCACCTGACAATCTTATGATAAAAAACATGGAATTTTAAAATCACAAATGCAAATAACAAGCCAGGCACAGTGGCTCACGCCTATAATCTTAGCTCTTTGGGAGACCAAGGTGGGTAGATTGTTTGAGCTCAAGAGTTTGAGACCAGCCTGGGTAACATGGAGAAACCCTGTCTTTACAAAAAATAAAAAATTAGTGGGGCACGGTGGCATGTGCCTGTAGTCCCAGATACTCAGGAGGCTAAGGTGGGAGGAGTGCTTGAGCCCAGGAGGTCGAGGCTGCTGTGAGCTGTGGTGGCAACACTGCACTCCAGCCTGGGTGACAGAGTGAGACCCTATCTCAAAAAAAAAAAAAAAAAAGGAGTGCAAATAACAGATGACCTTACAAACATCAAAAGTTATGTCTTTATAATAAGTTTTGTCTACATTTAATGAAATATATTGGACAAGGAAAAAATGTAACAGTGTGCATATGGCTTTATTTTATCTTGGCCCTGCCCACTACTGTGCCCTCATCTCTTTTCCTTCCCACTGAGTCCTTCCACATTAGCCACACCACAGCAAACCTGACAAGCTTCTGCCTGAAATAGCACCATTGCACTTCTCTTCCCTTTGCCTGAAACATTCTTTTTTTTCTTTTTTTTTATGAGATGGAGTCTCACTCTCTCGCCAGACTGGAGTGCAGTGGCACGATCTCAGCTCACTGCAACCTCCACCTCCCTGGTTCAAGCGATTCTCCTGCCTCAGCCTCCCGGTGGGATTACAGGTATGCACCACCATGCCCGGCTAATTTTGTATTTTTAGTAGAGACGGGGTTTCTCCATGTTGGTCAGGCTAGTCTCGAACTCCCGACCTCAGGTGATCCGCCCGCCTCGGCCTCTCAAAGTGCTGGGATTACAGGCGTGAGCCCCTGTGCCTGGCCACCACAATCAATTTTAGAATGTTTTCATTTCTCCCCCAAAAAAATACCATACCTATGAGCAGTCACTCCCCATTTCCTCCATCCCTCAGTCCTAGGCAACCACTAATTTACTTTCTTTTAGGATGGGATTTGCCTATTTGGACATTTCATATAAATGGAACCATACAATTTGTGATCTTTTGTGACTGGCTTTTTTCAAGTAACCTAATGTTTTGAAGGTTCATTCATGTTATAGCATGTGTCAGTACTTATTTCCTTTTTTTTTATGGCTCAATAATACTCCGTTGTAGGAATATAACACATTTCATTTATCTGTTTATCACTTTTTTTTTTTTTGAGATGGCGTCTCAGTCTGTCACTCAGGCTGGAGTACGGTGGTGTGATCTTGGCTCACTGCAGCCTCCGCCTCCTGGATTCAAGCCATTCACCTGCCTCAGCCTCCCAAGTAGCTGGGATTACAGGCACGTATACCATGTCCCGCTGATTTTTGTATTTTCAGTAGAGATCGGATTTCACTATGTTGGCCAGGCTGGTCTCGAACTCCTGACCTCAAGCGATCCTCCCGCCTTGGCCTCCCAAAGTGTTGGGAGCCACCACACCCAGCTGTCTCCACTTTTTGACTATTATGAATAATGCTGCTATGAACATTCATGTATAATTTTTTGTGTGGACATATGTTTTCATTTCCCTTGGGAATATGATGAAGCCTGGCATTGCCAGGTCATATGATAACTCTGTGTTTAAGCTTTGGAGGAACTGCCAGACTATTTCCAAAGCAGTTCCAACTTCATTGCAAAGCATTTTGCATTCCCTCCAGCAACATATGAGTGTTTCAATTTTTCCACATTTTCTCCAACACTTGTTATTATCTGTCTGTTTATTATAGCCATTCTTGTGAGTGTGAAGTGGTATCTTAACATGGTTTGGATTTGCACTTCCCTGATGGCTAATGATGTTTCTATGGTTTGAATGTTTGTGTCCTCCAAAATTCATGTTATAACCTAAGACCTAATGTGACGATGTTAAGAAGTGAGGCCTTCAAGGTGGTGATTAGGTCATGAGTGTTCTGCCCTCGTGAATGAAATTAATGCCCTTATAAAAAGTCTTCACATAACATTTCTTCTTCTTTTTTCCTTTCTTCTCCTGCCGTGTGAAGATGCCACTGCAAGAACGGGAACAATGGAACAGGCCCTCACCAAATGCCAAATGTGCTATCACCTTGATTTTGGATTTCCCAGCCTCCGGAACTGTGAGGAATAATTTTTTTTGCTTATAAATTACTCAGTCTCAGGTATTTTGTTATAGCAGCACAAACAGACTAAGACAGAAATTGAGTGTATTTTCTGGTGCTTATTGGCCATTTATTTTCTTTCTTTTATTTTTATTTATTTATTTATTTATTTTTAGGTGGGGTTTTGCTCTGTTGCCCAGGCTGGAGTGCAGTGGTGCAATCTTAGCTCATTGCAACCTCTGCCTCCCGGGTTCGAGTGATTCTTGTGCCTCATCTGCCTGAGTACCTGGGACTACAAGCATGCGCCACGACACCTGGCTGATTTTTATATTTTTAGTAGAGATGGGTTTTCGCCATGTTGGCCAGACTGGTCTTGAACTCCTGGCCTCAAGTGATCCACCTGCCTTGGCCTCCCAAAGTGTTGGGATTATAGGCATAAGCCACAGCACCTGGCCCTTATAGACCATTTGTATATCTTCTTTGGAGAAATATCTGTTCAGATCTTTTGTCCATTTTAAAATTGGGTTATATCCTTTTTATTATCAAGTTGTAAGAGTTCTTTATGTATTCTAGATCCAAGTCCATTGTCAGATACTGTAGTCCCCCGTATGCTTTCTGCAGTTTCAGTTACCTGCGGGCAGCTGCAATCCCAAATATTACAGTATTTTGAGAGAGAGACAACTATTCATGTAACTTATATTAAAGTATATTCTAGCCGGGCACAGTGGCTCACACCTGTAATCCCAGCACTTTGGAAGGCCGAGGTGGGTGGATCACAAGGTCAGGAATTGGAGACCAGCCTGGCCAATATGGTGAAACCCTGTCTCTACTAAAGATACAAAAATTAGCCGGGCGTGGTGGCAGGCGCCTGTAGGCCCAGCTACTTGGGAGGCTGAGGCAGGAGAATCGCTTGAACCTGGGAGGCGGAAGTTGCATTGAGCCGAGATGGTGCCATGGCACTCCAGCCTGGGCGACAGAGCAAGACTCCATCTCAAAAACAAAAAGTATATTCTAATTGTTCTCTTTTATTATTAGTTATTGTTGTTATTCTATTACAGTGCCTAATTTATAAATTAAACTTCATCATAGGTATGTATGTATGTATAGGAAAAAAACATAGTACATATAGAGTTTGGTACTATCTGCAGTTTCAGGTATACACTGGAGGTCTTGGAACATATTTTGTTACATATATATCTATATATTTATAAATATATACTTATATATAGCTATATATTTATGTATCTATATATCTATAAATATATGTTTATATATCTATATTAATCTATATCTATATATGAATAGATAGATAGATAGATAGATAGATAGATAGATAGATAGATTTTTTTTTTTTTTGAGATAAGGTCTCGGTCTATCGCCCAGGCTGGGATACATTAATGTTATCTTGGCTCACTGCAGCCTCAACCTCCTGAGCTCACGTGATTCTCCCACCTCAACCTCCCAAGTAGCTGGGACCACAGGCACATATCACCACATCTGAGTAATTTTATTTATTTATTGTAGAGATAGGGTATCCCCATGTTGCCCAGGTTAGTCTTGAGCTCCTGGGCTCAAGTGATCCTCCCACCTCAGCTTTCCAAAGTTCTGGGATTACAGGCATGAGCCACTGTGTCTGGCTACATATTTTCCACAAATAAAGTGGGCCTACTTTGTATATAATTTGCAAGTATTTTCTCCCATTCTGTGGGTTGTCTTTCACTTTTTTTTTCTTGAGTCCTCCAAAATTCATGTTATAATCTAAGACCTAATGTGATGATGTTAAGAAGTGAGGCCTTCAAGGTGGTGATTAGGTCATGAGGGCTCTGCCCTCGTGAATGAAATTAATGCGCTTATAAAAAGGCTTCACATAGCATTTCTTCTTCTTTTTTTGCCTCAGCCTCCTGAGTAGCTGGGATTACAGACGTGTACTACCATGCATGGCTAACTTTTGTATTTTTAGTAGAGACAGGGTTTCACCATGTTGGCCAGGCTGGTCTCGAACTCCTAACCTCAGGTGATCGGCCCGCCTCTGTCTCACAAAGTGCGGGGATTGCAGGCGTGAGCCACCATGCCCGGCACATGCATCAGTTTTTATGCTTCCTTGCTTGGACTGATTAACCAGTCAACTACTGGTTCCAATAAGGTTGGATGAGGTGGCTTACACTCTACTTATTTGCCTCCCCCGCTTCTTCCTTTTTTTGAGACAGGGCCTTTGACGTGCTGGCTGGAGTGCCGTGGTGTGATCTTGGCTCACTGCAGCCTCAACTTCCTGGGCTCAAGCAGTCTTCCCACCTCAGCCTCTAAGTAGCTGGAACTACAGATGTGTGCCCCTATGCCTGGCTAATTTTTGTATTTTTGTCGAGACGGGGTCTGCCCATGTTGCCCGGGCTGTTCTCCAACTCCTGGGCTCAAGAGATCCGCCCACCTTGGCCTCCCAAAGCCCTGGGATTGCAGACATGAGCCACTCTGCCTGGCAACTTGTAACAATTCTTTGTATGTTCTTGATACAAGTCAGTTGTCAGACACAGTAGTAGTACATAATTAAACATAATTATATAAAACTATATTTTATGTAAGTGCAGCATTATATAAAATAGCAAAAATTTGGAAATAACCAAATGTCCAACAATAGGTAGTTAGCTAAGTAAATTGTGAAACATCCATGTAATGAAAGGTATACAACTATAAAAAATGATCTAGATGTATTTATACTGACATCGACAGATGTCTAACATAAATTACATGAAAATAGGAAGTGACAGAGAGCAGAGTATGGTATAATCTCATTTGCATTAAAGTAATCAAAAAAACCAGCTTATATAATAGATACAGGCTGGGCAGGATGGCTCACGCCTGTAATCCCAGCACTTTGGGAGGTCAGGGCAGGAGGATCACTTAAGCCTAGGAGTTCAAGATCAGGCTGGGCAACATACCCAGACCCCATATCTACAAAAAGTTTAAAAATTAGCCAAGTGAGCTATGATCACGCCACTGCACTCCAGCCTTGGGGACAGAGCAAGACTGTCTCTAAATAAAATAAAACAAAATAAAATAAAATAGGCTGGGCATGGCAGCTCATGCTGTAAAAGTGCTGTAATCCCGGCACTTTGGGAGGCTGGGGCAGGTGGATCACCTGAGGTCAGGAGTTCAAGACCAGCCTAGCCAACATGGTGAAACCTCGTCTGTACTAAAAATACAAAAATTAGCTAGGCATGGTGGTGCACATCTGTAATCCCAGCTACTCGGGAGGCTGAGGCAGAAGAATTGCTTGAACCTGGGAGGCGGAGGTCACAGTGAGCTGAGACTGCACCATTGCACTCCAGCCTGGGTGACAGAGCGAAACTCTGTCTCAAAAATAAAATAAAATATAATATAATAGATATAGCTACATATGTGTGAAAAGGACAAAAACATTAAATTATGAGTGTTTTCTGTTGCTGTTTCTGTCCTCCCTTGGGGGACCTTTCTAAGGGGGAAGCATTCTTCATTTACTTGACAAATTGTTCAACCATGGGGTCACTTAGGCTGAAAACTGAAAATGCCTATAGACTGCTTTACTTTTGAATAGGAAAACATAAAAGGAAAAGAAATAAGAGGAAGTAGGTTTGAGACAAGGTAGCTATGAGTTTGGAGGAAGGGAGAAAGGGCAGTTTTGTGAGATGGAGGGAAAATGGCTAACGTGGACATTTTGGAAGTTTTATTGCGACATGCATGCAATTTTCAGTTATTCATTTTCTCAAAGCTGTAATGAAGTTCTCCATTGCTCTCTAAGGCTTTTGGAGTTGTTAATTGTGTTTTATAAAAGCTATACCTGCAGATAGAGACTGACCTCATATATGAATAGAAAAAAATCTGAAGAAATAAAAATCATTGATAATGATAATCTCTGGAGAGAAAATTTTCTGGGGAACTTTTCCTTTTCCCTATTGTGTCTTTCCGTAAGGTTAGGAAGTTTCGTTATGAGTATACATTCCTTTAGTTACTAGGAAGTGAAATGTAATACTGTGGGGCTTGTTCCCTTATTTCAGGACTAGGGATTAAAGTAGTGAAATAAAAATGACTTTTTATTCCACCGGATGCCTTTAGATCACAGCTTTCGCACTGATAATATTGAAACAAGCAGCTGCTTTTATTTTGGAAGGCATTAACTTAAGTTTCATTAAAGATATTTGCGCAAGCACTGTAGCACTTGGGATTGTCTGCTCTGTAGGGTGGATGTATGTGTGTGTGTCCACATATTGTTTAATACTTTTTATCAACTTTAGTTCATAAGCCTTCTGCAAACATTTTCAATGACTGCCTGCTTGTATATAAGTTTATATGTTGCAAATTGACCTTAGAAATTGTAACAAATAATTCCATCAGTTCACTCTGCTATTTACACAGTAGAGACTAGTTTATTTAATTTGTGGGAACCAAGATTCAGAAAGCAGTAGGAAGGAGCTATCAGTTTTTCTTGTCTGAAAGGGCACTTCTTCCTGGATTTTAATGTTTTAAAGGAGAAAGTAATAACAAAGTTGCCAGATCCTGTTCTTTCTCTGCATTGAGGTCCTGTAACATGGTGGTTATTTGCATTGACTCTAGGTTCACGGCAAGTTCTTGGCTGCATGGGTTCACAGCATAGTTCTGTGACCTCAAGCAAGCCAGTTCACCTATTTGTGCCTCAGTTTTCTCATATATAAAATGAGGAGATAGGCCAGGCACCATGGCTCACACCTGTAATCCCAACACTTTGGGAGGCTGAGGTGGGTGGATCACCTGAGTTCAGGAGTTCAAGACCAGCTGGGTCAACATGGTGAAACCCTGTCTCTACTAAAAGTACAAAAAATTATCCGGGTGTGGTGGCAGACACCTGTAATCCCAGCTACTTGGGAAGCTGAGGCAGGAGAATCACTTGAACTCAGGAGGTGGAGGTTGCAGTGAGCCGAGACCATGCCGCTGCATCTAGCCTGGGCGACAGAGTGAGACTCCGTCTCAAAAACAAACAAAAAAACCAAGGAGCTAATGCCTTCCTTCACTGGGTTGCTGTAAACATTAAATAAGAAAATATATATAGGGTTGATAGCAATGCACCTGGCATAAACTGTGTGCTTAATACATGGAAACTAATAATAGTTTGTTATTATTGAATTTTTATCTAGAATTTTGAAACTATTTTAGAAATAACAAAGAGCTGTGAATTTTGCCAAAGCCTACACTGAATTCAATCTAATATAAATCAAGTTGCTATCATAGCAAACTTGAAGTAGTATTGTGAAAAGGTTTTGTTTGTTTGTTTTTTAAATTAAGGGTTATGGCCGGGCGCAGTGGCTCACTCCTGTAATCCCAGCACTTTGGGGGGCCAAGGCGAGCGGATCACTTGAGCTCAAGAGTTCAAGACCAGCCTGGGCAACATGGTGAAATCCCATCTCTACAGAAAATACAAAAATTATCCCATCTCTACAGAAAATACAAAAATACAAAAATTAGGTGTGAGGGTGCACACCTATAGTCCCAGCTACTTGGGAGGCTAAGGTGGGAGGATGGCTTGAGCCTGGGAGGCAGAAGTTGCAGTGAACCAAGATCACACTACTGTACTTCAGCCTGAGTGGCAGAGTGAAACCCTGTCTCAAAAAAAACAAAAATTAATTAAGCAATTATGAATGGAGTTCAAAGAAGTAACAGAATGAAGGGGCCAGGTGCGGTGGGTCAGTCCTGTAATCCCAGCACTTCAGGAGGCTGAGGTGGGCCGATCACCTGAGGTTAGGAGTTTGAGACCAGATTGGCCAAAATTGCAAAACCCCATCTCTACTGAAAATACAAAAAAAAATTAGTGGGGCATGGTGGCTGGCACCTGTAATCCCAGCTACTCGGGAGGCTGAGGCAGGAGAATCACTTGAACCCAGGAGCTGGAGGTTGCCGTGAGCCAAGATCAAGCCACTGCACCCAGCCTGGGAGACAGAGCAAGACTCCATGTTAAAAAAAAAAAAGAAAAAGGTATATTTAAGTAGTGGAACAATATTCTCTTCCGTCTACACCTCCATTCCTCTGCAGCCATCAGCATTCACTGCTTCAAGGAAAGCATGATAGAGGTGAAAAGCTTTTGTGTTATAAGAACCAACCTGGGCTTCTGAGTTTCACACTCCCAAGGCCTAGAAGATTCATGGTATAAAGTTCGTGCCATCAACAGTGATTTGGAGGAACAGATGGAGATCCAGGCTACCCACTCCAATCTGGACCAAGGGGTATCTCTGGACACAGCAAGACATGGGCACAGAGGAAGAGAATACACAGTACACGAGTGTGGACATGCAGCGTGCAGGCCACACTCCTGAGAGAGGGCGCAGAGGCTGCCTGCCCACCCTGCCCCGGCAAAGGGACCAGCAGATCTGAAGAGGCCCTGCAGCCAGGACCGGAAAGACTCCCCAGGAGCCAGCAGGCCCCACAGGGGAACGGTGGGGTCTCAGCACATGGTGGCCCAGATAAATGGCAACTAGCAGCCCCAGCATCACTTTGGCCTCTGGAACTTAGGTGCAGCGAGGAAAGGCAGGAGTAGGCATTCTTCATTCACTCAGATTGTTTCTTCTGCCATTGGGCAGAATGGGGGCTCAAAATAGAAATTAAGTGTGGGGATATAAAAATAAAAGTTAATCGTTTACACTCCTGAGTTAAGGCTTTAAGTATATGAAGATCTAAATACATTCCAAATGTTTTACTAGGATGTTTTGAAATGTCATGTATTTCTTGTACCAGAAAAACTGTAAGCTGCCTTCTTAACATCATGACTAGAAAAAATATATCATTGTTCATGAGGCTGAGCACACATTAGATAGCAGGTAGACATTTTAACCCTACCGCTGGAGGATTAAAATAGTACTTTGGTATATGCCCAACATAAATGCATACTTATATTCAGTAAAAGGCATGTTCTAGAATGTTCATGGTAGCACTATTTTTTTTTTTTTTTGAGACGGAGTCTTGCTCTGTCGCCCAGGCTGGAGTGCAGTGGCAAGATCTTGGCTCACTGCAACCTCTGCCTCCTGGGTTCAAGTGATTCTCCTGCCTCAGCCTCCCCAGTATTTGCGATTATAGTTGTGTGCCACCATGCCTGGCAAATTTTTGTATTTTTAGTAGAGACAGGATTTCTCCATGTTGGGCAGGCTGGTCTTGAACTTTCCACCTCAAGTGATCCACCTGCCTCGACCTCCCAAAGTGTTGGGATTACAGGTGTGAGCCACCACGCCCGGCCAGCAGCACTTTTTGTAATAGTCAAAATCTAACCAAGTAACTAAATGCTCAATTAACAGTAGCATGGATAAATAAATTGTGGTACATCAAGCAATGGAATAGTATACAACAACGAGAAGGAACAAACAACATGCAAAAGCATGGCTACATTTCACAAACCTAAATTGAGGGGGAGAAGTCATTCACAAAGGTCCTAATGTACTATCCCATTTACATAAAGTTTACCGCAGGCAAAACTAACCTATCAATTAGAAGTCAGGATATGGACTTAGCGGGTGTGGCTAGTGACTAAGAGCAAATATGAGGGGGGCTTTTGGGGAGCTAGTGACACTCTGTGTCTTGATCTGGCTGAGAATTATATGGATATGTTCAGTTTGTGAAAATTCATTGAGCTGTACACTTAACGATATCTGTGCCATTAAAAAATAAAGTTTCACACTCAAAAGCTACTATATTAGGGTGCTAGCTGATTTTGTGCCTTCAACTTGCTTAATGTTTTCATTTATATACTATAGAGTTTTACACCACGTCAGTCAAGCAATCTACTGCAAAATAATTTACAGTAAAATCATAATAAATTTATACAAAGTATTGGGTTAGCATTAATTTTCCAACTGTGAAAGTCAATGAACCATAAATCTGTAAACAAATTGGTGAAGTGAAAGACATAAGTGACAACAAAAATTAGTCACTGTGTTATGTGTGTGCTTTTTCGATGGCTATATAGGGAAAATATATGGGAAAAGTCTTCTTAAAATTTTAAATTAGTGACATAAAAATAATATAATGCACGAAGAAATAGACAAGCTCAACAAAATTGTGAAGAAAACCACCCTGGAATCTGGTTGATAATCTTGACATACTGGCATCACAATTGAGTTTCCCTGCAAGGGAAAGCATCGTCACACTCTTGTGCTTCCAAAAATGTTGGAGGCAAATCTATATAACACAGTCTATTTAATTCTTAGAATATCATGTTTCTGTTTATATGCATACGTTTGAATATCTTTACCATTTTAAAAGCCCACATTGCAGGCATCATCTTGGCAATATAATAGTTTAAGCCCCCAGTGGACATTTGTATCTCCTTGACTATGTGTTTTATGAGTGATTGCCCAGTCTGAGTTTGATCACCTGCAGTGATGGGAATGCACCACCTCCCAATACATCATGGCCTATTCTGTTCTAGCCTTGGCTGATTACTTAGAGATTATGGTGATTCTTGTAGTTCAGTCTCTGTTTTGGTCAGAGAAAAACATTTTTCTAAGAATATATTTACTAGACTCATTGCAGCTCCATCTCAATGGCATCAACTGAGCACCAGAGACCAGATAAGAGAGTGGCTAAGTTGGTAAAGATGCCATCATCAGTGCTTGGAGAAAAACATAAGTTCTTCATGTTGACACACTTAATTGATAGTTGCTGATATGGTTTGGCTCTGTGTCCCAACCCAAATCTCATCTTGAATTGTAATCCCCAGGTGTTGAGGGAAGGACCTGGTGGGAGGTGATTGGATCATGGGGGTGGTTTCCCCATGCTGTTCTCGTGATAGTGAGTGAGTTCTCCCAAGAACTGATGGTTTTATAAGGGACTCTTCGCCCTTCACTTCCTCTCTCCTGCTATGTAAGATGTGCCTGCTTTCCCTTCTGCCATGATTGCAAGTTTCCTGAGGCCTCCCCGGCCATGCAGAACTGTGGGTCAATTAAACCTCTTTCCTTTATAGATTACCCAGTCTTGGATATTTCTTTATAGCAGTGTGAAAATGGACTAATACAGTTGCTGTCTTCATTAGGTACTGTTAGTGTAAAAAAAAAATCAGTCTTTATTTGGAAAATTATGTCATAAGGCTGTACAATCACATTAAGAGTTCTGTGATTCAACTGAGTGGATTAGTTTAGGTTTAGTTCATGTGACCACCATTGACCCAGAGGCCAGAGGGATGGGATGCATTAGACCTAGTTACGTGTTATAACTCTAGGTCCAGTGGTAGTATCCTATCAGATTGTGTTGACTGTGAGAGGGTGAGCAGTGGATCCCAAAGGAAAATCAGGGCTGTGACCAGATCACTGGGAATGTGGTACAGACTGTGCACTGCACAACTCCAGGGTCACCATTCACATAGTCTGCAATGTGATTGGCATCCCTTGGAATTGTGCGGTGCACAACCTGTGCAGCTGTATGCAGTAACCCTTGGTGTGGCTCAGAAAAGGAATAATAAATGCTTTAGAGGCAAATTACAAATGTCCACTATTCTGACTGGCTACATTTGCTTATCTAGTTGTTCCCAAAAGGCTTAAGACAATATTTATGATCCCCACTCTTATTTAATTATCAGGTCTATTTCTATGTCCTGTCTCTGCAACAGTAGTTTTTGACTTTTTTTTCCTGCTACAATATACATAAAGAATGATTTTTATGTAAGTTTGTACTTAGGATAGGTATAATCCTGCAGTGTGTTCTGGATCTAATCCTTTGTCACTCACTCAAGAAAGCAAATATGTGGAGCCAGGCACCCATGGCTCACACCTGTAATCCCAGCACTTTGGGAGGTCGAGGCAGGCAGATCACCTGAGACCAGGAGTTCGAGACCAGCCTGGCCAACATGGTGAAATGCCGTCTCTACTAAAATTCCAAAAATTAGCTGGGCGTGGTGGCACACGCCTGTAGTCCTAGCTACTCAAGAGGCTGAGGCAGGAGTGTTGCTTGAGCCTGGGAAGTGGAGGTTGCAGTGAGCCGAGATCGCACCACTGCACTCTAGACAGGGTACAGGGTGAGACTCCATCTCCAAAAGAAATAGAGAAAGAGGAAGGAAGGAAGGAAGGAAGGAGGGAGGGAGGGAAGGAAGGGAGAGAGCGACAGAGAGAGAGAGAAAGAGAGAAAAAGAGAGAGAAAGAGAGAGAGAGGGAGGAAGGGAGGAAGCGGGGAAGGAAGGAAGAAAGGTGCCAGGCATGGTGGCTCACACCTGTAATCCCAGCACTTTGGGAGGCTGAGACAGGAGGATCACTTGAGCCAGGAGGTTTTGGCTGCAGTGAACCAAGATCATGCCACTGTACTGCAGCCTGGGCAACTGAGTGAGACCTGTCTAAAAAATAATAATAATAATACGCGTAGGAGTGTAAATTAGATCAACCATTGCTGGAAGACAGTGTGATGATTCCTCAAAGACCTAAAAACAGAAATACTATTTGACTCAGCAATCCTATTATTAGGTGTATACCCCCCAAAAATATAAATCATTCCGTTATAAAGACACATGCATGCATATGTTCATTGCAGCACTATTCACAATAGCAAAGATATGGAATCAACCTAAATGCCCATCACTAATAGACTGCATAAAGAATATGTGGTACATATATATCTTGGAATACCATGCAGCCATAAAAAAAGGCAGATTGGCTGGGTGCGGTGGCTCATGCCTCTAATCCCAGAAATTTGGGAGGCTGAGGCAGATGGATCACCTGAGGTCAGGAGTTCAAGACCAGCCTGGTCAACATGGTGAAACCCGGTCTCTATTAAAAATACAAAAATTAGCTGGGTGTGGTGGCAGGCACATGTAATCCCAGCTACTCGGGAGGCTGAGGCAGGAGAATCACTTAAACCCAGAGGCAGAGATTGCAGTGAGCAGAGATCATACCATTGCACTCCAGTCTGGGCCACAGAGCAAGACTCCATCTCAAAAAAAAAACAAAAACACTAAAAATATTTTTATTAAAATCAGGTGTGCAATAAAATTTTTAACTTCATTGTGATATGATATGATACATGCATTGGTTCTTAACCAATGCAATGATAACATAAATATGATCAGTTATAAAATTATGACACATCCATAAATAAAATATTTTGTAGACACTGGAATGATGTTTCTAAAAATTTTGAAAGAGATAAGGAATTTTTCTGTTACTATTGTGAATGAAAATGTAGGATCCATGCTCAAAGTTGACATCACCAGGAATGGGACAAATGGACATAATGTGCCTCCTAACAGGACACATTAAGTAGAACATGACATCACTTCTGTGGTGTTTTTGCCAGAAAAGCATATAACTTGACCCTAATCTTGAGGAAACATCAGGCAACTCCAAATTAAGGGACATTCTACAAAATAACTGGTCTTTATTCTTCCAAAATGTCAACATGAAGACACCGCAAGAAAGACTGAAAATTAAAAAGACATAACCAAACACAAAATATGATACGGGATTTTCTTTTTTTTACAAAGGGCATTGTTGGGAGAAATGGTGAACCATGAACAAGATTAGATAATAGGTTTGTATCAATATTAATTTCCTGATTTTGATCATTGTACTGTGGTGACTGCAACAGAATTCCTTGTTTTTAGGAAATACACAGTGAAGGATTGAGGTGTAAAGGGGCATCATATCTCTGAGTTACTCTGAAAAGGTTCAGAAAGAGGGAGACGAGAGAAAGCAAGTGTGATTGAATGTTCACATCTGGAAAATCTGGATGAGGGTTAGAGAGGAGTCCTTTGTACCATTTTCACAACTTTTCTATAAGTCTGAAATTAAGTAAAAAGAAATACTTTAAAGAAGAAAATGTGCAATATTTATTTAAAATATATATGATGAATATAAAATACTGGGAAGAGGTTAGGTGTGGTGGCTCACATCTGTAATCCCAGCACTTTGGGAGGCCGAGGCGGGTGGATCACCTGAGGTCAGGAGTTTGAGACCAGCCTGGCCAACGTGGTGAAACCCCGTCTCTACTAAAAATACAAAAAATTAGCCGGGCATGGTGGTGCATGCCTGTAATCCCAGCTACTTGGGAGGCTGAGGCAGGAGAATTGCTTGAACGCGGGAGGCGGAGGTTGCGATGAGCCGAGATCGCTCCATTGCACTTCAGCCTGGGCAACAAGAGCGAAACTCCATCTCGAAAAATAAAATAAAATAAAATACAAAAATTAGCTGGGTGTGGTGGTGGGCACCTGTAATCCCAGCTACTCAGGAGGCTGAGACAGAAGAATCACTTGAATGCAAGAGGTGGAGGTTGCAGTAAGCCAAGATCGCGCCACTGCACTCCAGTCTGGACAACAGAGCGAGACTCTGTCTCAAAATAAATAAATACAAAAAAAAAAAAAAGACTGTGAAGAAATGTACCACACTGCTATTTCTTAGCTGAAAAATTGTGAATGGTTTTTGGTATACTGTATTCTCTCTATTTACTGTATATATATATATATATATATATTATTTATGATTTTTAAACAGACCCATTTTTGCTAGCATTTTAATGTATATAAATAGGACAAATTGTTTTTTCTTCCTTAACCTCTTTGACTCTTTGATATTTTCAAGGTTGATAGCAATGTAATGATTAAATGATGTTTTTTATCTGAAACTGACTTGTAAATGATTGCCCACTTGCCTGCATCATATAAGTGTAATGAATAATGGAGAATTCTGATTTTACTCCACACATCCTGTAGCTTTATTGGAAAGGCTATATTTGTAGATTAGTAATTTCATATTTCCATATAAAAGAGCAACCTAAATTATAATGTATAATATCACGGTAATTCAGTGTGGTATTCCTTTAAGTGAAGGAAAGTACTAGATGTTGAGAACTATTGTTCAAACTGTTGCCCAGCCAATAGTTTGATCTCCAAATGAGTGTATTCCACTATATGCCTCATAAGTTTAAATTTAGGCCAGGCGCGGTGGCTCATGCCTGTAATCCCAGCACTTTGGGAGGCCGAGGCAGGTGGATCACCTGAGGTCAGAAGTTCAAGACCAGCCTGGGCAACATGGTGAAACGCTGTCTCTACTAAAAATACAAAAATTAGCCAAGCAAGGTGGTGGGCACCTGTAATACCAGCTACTCAGGAGGCTGAGGCAGGAAAATTGCTTCAGCCTGGGAGGCAGAGGTTGCAGTGAGCCAAGATTGTGCCATTGCACTCCAGCCTGGGAGACAAGAGCATACTTCCATCTCAAAAAAAAAAAAAAAAAGTTTAAATTAAAAACTGTGCAGGTTTTATATTTTTTTCAATAAAACTATAAAATCCTAGTGCAGAAGTCGTCAACTCAGCCTCATGCCTCTAGGCAGAACCATAATTAAGTTATCCTAGACAGGTAATTGTCCATTCCAGGGAGTCTGTAACAAGCTCAGTAATCAATTCCTGTAATAATTTTTCATCAGAAACTTCTTTATTTGGTCTAATTCAAGTATTTTCCTTTCAGTTTAATTTAATTTCATCTGACTTTCTGTTACATATAGGAATTTATTCTACTGTAGAAAATTATGTAATAAATGTCCTTGTGCTGTCATTTCATTTTATTCATGAACATCCTGATAAGAAAACATGGCTTCATTACATAGTCAGCATTAATATTATTTGTACATATTAACTTTATTTTCTTTCTTTTATGTCATGAGAGTATAATGATTTACTATTACATCACTCACTTTATTGATAACTGTATGTGGCACAGTATTTTGACAAGGCAAAAATGATCTTCATGCATTTATCTATAACCTCTGACTATACGATGGTATAGTAATTTCAGCTCATATAGATGACTTATGTTGAATTAAATTACTAAAGAATGTTGAAATGTAGCAGCCAACAAACATACGAAAAAATGTTCAACATCACTAATCTTTAAAGAAACAAAGGAAAAGCACAATGAGATACCATCTCATACCAGTCAGAATGGCTATTATTATTATTATTAATTTTTTTTTTTTGAGACAGGGTCTTGCTTTGTCACACAGGGTGGAGTATGGTGGTGTGAACATGGCTCACTGCAACCTCGACCTCCTGGGCTCCAGCGATCCTCCTGTGTCAGCTGCTCGTAGCTGGGACTTGCAGGCATGTGATACCATGCCCGCCTAATTTTTGTATTTTTTAGAGATGGGGTCTTGCCATGTTGCCCAGGCTGGTCTTGAACCCCTGAGCTCAAGCCATCCACCCACCTCGGCCTCCCAAAGTGCTGGGATTACAGGCATGAGCCACCATGCTTATCCCAGAATGGCTATTACTAAAAAGTCAAAAAATAATAAATGCTGGCAGGCAGGATGCGGTTGCTCACACCTGTAATCCCAGCACTTTGGGAGGCCGGGGTGGTCAGATTGCCTGAGTTCAGCAGTTTGAGACCAGCCTGGACAACACGGTGAAATGCCATCTCTACTAAAATACAAAATATTAGCCAGGCATGGTGGCTTGCACCTGTAGTCCCAGTTACTCGGGAGGCTGAGGCAGGAGAATTGCTTGAACTGGGGTGGCAGAGGTTGCAGTGAGCTGAGATTGCACCACTGCACTTCAGCCTGGGTGACAGAGTGAGACTCAGTCTCAAAAAAAAAAAAAAAAAAAAAAAAGGTGCTGGCAAGGCTGTGGAGAAAAGGGAATGCTTATACACTGTTGGTGGGAATGTAAATTAGTTCAACCTCTGTGGAAAGCAGTTTGAAGATTTCTCAAAGAACTTAAAACAGGGCTACCATTTGACTCAGCAATACCATTGCTAGATACATACCTAAAGGAAAATAAATCATTCCACCAAAAAGACACATGTGCTCCTATGTTCAGTGCAGCACTATTCACAATATCAAAGACATGGGATCAACCTAGGTGCCCAACTGTGATGGATTAGATAAAGAACATGTGGTACGTATACTCCATTCACTACTACACAGCCATAAAAAAGAATGAAATCATGTCCTTTCCAGCAGCATGGATGCAGCTGGAGGTCATCATCCTAAGAGAATCAAGGCAGGAGCAAAAAACCAAATACCACATGCTCTCACTTGTAAGTGGAAGCTAAACATCAGATACACATGGACATAAAGATGGGAACAATAGGCCGGGTGGTGGCTCTTACCTGTCATCCCAACACTTTGGGAGGCTGAGGTGGTCAGATCACATTAGGTCAGGAGTTCAAGACCAGCCTGGCCAACATGGTGAAACCCCGTCTCTACTAAAAATACAAAAATTAGCCAGGGGTGGTGATGTGTGCCTGTAGCCCCAACTACTCAGGAGGCTGAGGTACGAGAATCGCTTGAACCAGGGAGATGGAGGTTGCAGTGAGCCGAGATCGCACCACTGCACTCCAGCCTGGATGAAGAGAGAGACTCTGTCTCAAATAAATAAATACATTAAATAAATAAATAAATAAATAAATAAATAAATGGGAACAATAGACACGAGACTGTTGGGTGGTGGGACATGATTCTTGGTTGGAAGTAACAGAAGCCATCTCTGGCTGTCTTAAGAAGTATTTATGAAAGGTCTGTGAGAGAGTGCTAGTTGTTATTTAATTTCTATTCTTTCCTTTTTACTCAGGAAAGAGTAGAAAGCTTCCAGTAAGAACCCTTGGCACATAATACCACTTTCCCCAGCCTCCCTTGCAGCTAGGTCTAGCCATGTGACTAAGTTCTGGCCAGTGGTATATAAACAGAAGTAATGTGTGCAACTTCCTACACTTATCCTTTTTTTTTTTTTTTTTTGAGACAGGGTCTCACTCCATCATCCAGGCTGGAGTGCAGAGGCACAGTCTCAGCTGACTGCAACCTCTGCCCCACCCTGGATCTCAAGCAATCCTCACACCTCAGCCTCCTAAGCAGCTGGGACTACAAGTGTGTGCCATCATGCCTGGCTTTTTTTTTTTTCTTTTTCTTTTTTGAGATAGAGTCTCATTCTGTTGCCCAGGCTGGAGTGCTGTGGTGTGATCTTGGCTCACTGCAACCTCTGCCTCCCGGGTTTCAGTGATTCTCCTGCCTTAGCCTTCCAAGTAGCTGGGATTACAGGTGTGTGCCACCACACCTGGCTAATTTTTGTATTTTTAGTAGAGATGGGGTTTCACCATGTTGCCCAGGTTGCTCTTGAACTCCTGAGCCCAAGTAATCCGCCTACCTCGGCTTCCCAAAGTGCTGAGATTATAGGTGACAGCCACTGCACCCAGCCTAAACTTATCCTTGAAGGGTGAAGGTATATACTTCTTCCTTTTTCCCATTACTTATGTGATGGCTGTAGCTCCATCTTGGACCATGAGGAAGTCCATACCTTGGGGATGGCAAAGCAGACAGAGTATTCTGGGTTCCAGATCAACCAGAGTTCCTAAAATGCCTATGTTCAAACTTTTATGTGAAAGAGAAATAAACTTGTGCCTTAAGTATCCATTATTTTTGGTTTCTGTTACATGCAACAGAACCCATATCTCAATAACACAGGTAGGCATCAGAGACTCACCAACATGACAGAAGGCTAGAGGGCTTTGAATACAGTTGGATACAGGGGCACCATGGAGGTGAGGCAGCAGAGATGCCCAGCCTCAGTACCACGCTCCTGCCGCTGGGAGCAATCTGACTCCCAGATGGCCCCGGTCTGGTTCACTCGCTCAAGATGCAAAATCCTGGTAGGGAGCACTTTATTGCTCAAATTGGGTCATGTGTCTCCTCCCCAGGGGCACCAAAGGGCAGCTGGAGGAAGGACCTAGCCCTCTGCTTCTGTACTGGGCATGAGCATTGGGAGGTGTGTTCCAGGGATAGCCCATGCATTAACAAAACATACAACAGGAAATTCCTTCCAAGGGAAGATTGAGCTGCTGATAGGAAGGGGGAAGGGGAGGATGGTGGACAGCCAGAAAAACACAACATATGTCTACTACATTTAACTTCTCCTCACCCATACTGAATCATGGCAAATTAAGAGAGGCTATCATGATTTATTTTCCCATTTAACTTGAAGCTTTCTTACTTCAGTGGACCCATTTTGCCTTAAAACATTGCAGTTTTCTCACAATACCCTTTAAGTGGCACACATTTATCATTTCTTCTAAATTCTGTTGCAAGCAAAGATATTCACAGGCTGCTTATAGTACTCATATGCTATACCTTCCTTTTTGGCAATAGAATCATGGAAAATAATGGCAACATTGTATAAAAGCTACAATCAAAATTCTGTCTTTGGATCTTTAAAATACTTCTTAAGAATAGCAGGAGTATTTTCTATATATAAAAAGAAATCTTAGCAACTAAAATGTTATTAGTATCCTTTCAAAAGCCAGTATCAATCTTGGCAATCCTGTATTTTAAGAACATTTGTATTGCATTTCAGAAAAAGAAAAAGTTACAAAGAATTCAATCCCTTGATTTATTTGAAAAAAAAAAAAAAAAAAAACCCAAAAACTAAACTATTCCTCATTAACAGGAAGACTATCAGATAGGCCCAAAGTACAGTTGTTGAAAATGAGCATTTTTTGGTAATAAGTTCAGTCTCATTACTGTTCTGTTGCAGTTATATGACAATTTCTGGAAAATGACTCTTAAAACTTGTTTTTTAAATGTGTCCCAAATTAGTAATACTAGCTGAGATGCCAATAATTTGCAGATGAGACTTACTGTTGCTCAAAGTTAAGAAACCATTCAGTCACACCAAGTAAAACATCTAGTTTTGTAGCTCTAGTATTTTTATTAAAATACTTCACAGATAGAAACAGAAGTTTCTTCTTCCCTCTCTCTTCCTATCTTTCCTCTTACTCAATCAAATCTGATTTAATAGTTAAACACGAAGTTTTGCAATCATTTCTTTCTTTCCTTTTTTTTTTTTTTTTTTTGAGACAGAGTCTTGCTCTGTTGCCCAGGCTGCAGTGCAGTGGCGCGATCTCAGCTCACTGCAACCTCCGCCTCCCGGGTTCAAGCAATTCTCCTGCCTCAGCCTTTCGAGTAGCTGGGACTACAGGTGCCTGCCACCATGTATGGCTAATTTTTGTATTTTTAGTAGAGACAGGATTTCACCATATTGGCCAGGCTGGTCTCTAACTCCTGACCTTGTGATCCACTCACCTCGGCCTCCCAAAGTGCTGGGATTACAGGCGTGAGCCACCGCACCTAGCCATTTTGCAACCATTTCTAATGAAAAATCATGTGCCCTGTTAGAGCAAGAATTGTTCAAATATTTGTCTGTTATGCTAACGAAGAAATGTAAAGAATGTGGAAATTAGCCCTATGGTTCCTCCCTGAAGAGCTGGTATTTGTGTTTTATGTTCTATTATGCAATTGTAGCTGCTCTGACCACTGGTTCCATTTTAACAGAGTGATCTTTTATACAGGCTTTTCACACTGAAGATCAAGAAGCTACAAAGTTGGTAACAAACTGATATTTCTTTAATTGACTATGTTAAGTATTGTCAGATTATCCACCACAAGCAATATTTATTTCACTTGTGACATAAATTGTGGCAAATGTTATGTCTCTATAAAAATTGATGTCGAATTTGAATAGGTAATATATGCACATGATATAAAGTTAAAGACATATAAAAAAGAGTATACAATAGGAAGTTTCCACCTCCCATCTTTGTCACCCAGTCATCTAATTCCCCTTCCTAAAAACACTTACCAGGTTCACATGTATCATTGCTGATATTATCTGAGCATATACTAACACATTTTAAGATAGTCTTGGCCGGGCGTGGTGGCTCATGCCTGTAATCCCAGCACTTTGGGAGGCCGAGGCAGGTGGATCACGAGGTCAGGAGATCGAGACCTTCCTGGCCAACATGGTGAAAACCCCGTCTCTATTAAATACAAAAAAATCAGCTGGGCATGGTGGCACGCACCTGTAGTCCCAGCTACTCAGGAAGCTGAGGCAGGAGAATCACTTGAACCTGGGAGGCGGAGGTTGCAGTGAGCCAAGATCGCGCCACTCCACTCCAGCCTGGCGACAGAGCAAGACTCTGTCTCAAGAAAAAAAAATAGTAATAATAAAATAAATTAAGTAAATAAAATAGTCTCCTTTGGCCTGGTGTGGCGGTTCACTCTTGTAATCCTAGCTCTTTGGGAGGCTGAGGCGGGAGGATCACTTGAGGTGAGAGGATCACTTGAGGCGAGGAGTTCAAGACCAGCCTAGGCAACTAGTGAGACCCTGTCTCTACAAGAAATTTTTTAAAAATTAGATGGGTGTGGTGGCTTGTGCCTGCAGTCCCAGATACTGGAGGGACTGAAGTGGGAAGATTATTTGAGCCCAGGAGTTCAAGGCTGCAGTGAGCTGAGATTGTACCACTGCACTCCAGCCTGGGCAACAAAGTGAGACTCTGTCTCTTAAAAAAAAAAAAACAAAAACAAAAACAAAAAAACTCTCCTTTTTTTTTTAAATCAAATATACCATACTAAATACAATTTTTTTTTTTTGGAGATGGAGTATCACTCTGTTGCCCAGGCTGGAGTGCAGTGGTACAATCTCAGCTCACTGCAGCCTCCTCCTCCTGGGTTCAAGCGATACCCCCACCTCAGCCTCCCCAGTAGCTGGAATCATAAGCGTGCACCATCATGCCCAGCTTTTTTTTTTCTTTTTTTGAGATGGAGTTTTGCTCTTGTTGCCCAGGCTGGAGTGCAATGGCGCAATCTCGGCTCACTACAATCTCCAACTCCCTGGTTCAAGCGATTCTCCTGCCTCAGCCTCCCAAGTAGCTGGGATTACAGATGCCTACCATCATGCCTGGCTAATTTTTGTATTTTTAGTTGAGATGGGGCTTCACCATGTTGGCCAGGCTGGTCTTGAACTTCTGACCTCAGGTGATCCACCCACTTTGGCCTCCCAAAGTGCTGGGATTAGAGGTGTGAGCCACTGCTGGCTAATTTTTGTATCTTCAGTAGAGATGGGGTTTCACCATATTGGCCAGGCTGGTCTTGAACTCCTGACCTCAAGCGATTCGCCTGCCTCAGCCTCCCAAAGTGCTAGGATTACAGGCATGAGCCACCGTGCTCAGCTAAACATACATTCTTTAACCTCCTTTTTTTTTTCCACTTAATATATCTAGGAAATGTTTCATAGTCATTGTAATGAATTTAAAATGGCTGCAAAAATCTTTATCATTCTCCTCATGGAGTTTATTTCCCCTCCCTTTGAATCTGTGTGGCCCTGTATCTGCTTACCCAATAGAATGCAGCAAAAGTAACCCTGTGACAGTTCCAGACTTTAGAAGGACTGACAGCTTGTGTTTTCAACCTCTTGGAATACTTGCTCTTGAAATGGGTGTTCTGGGGGAATGCGGCCCCCTGTGTCAGAGGTCCAAGTATCACGAAGGCATCATAGCATGAGGAAGCCCAGGTGAGTCCTGTAGAGAGGCTGCATGGAGAGTGACAGATATTGTTTCCTGGCTAGTTTGTAGCTATTCCATATACTAAAACACAAGACGACATAAATGAAGAAGCCATCTCGGTCGTGCATTCTAGTTGAGCTTCGGATGACTCTTTTTCCAACCACCATCATGTTGCAGTTACGTGAAAGAATCTAAGAGAGAATTGGCCAGGTACGGTGGCTCGTGCCTGTAATCCCAGCACTTTGGGAGGCGGAGGCGGGAAGATCACTTGATGTCAGGAGTTCAAGACCAGCCTGGTCAACATGGTGAAACCCCTGTATCTACTAAAAATACAAAAATTAGCTGGGCATGGTGGCATGTGCCTGTGGTTCCCAGCTACTCGGGAGGCTGGAGGCAGGAGACTCGCTTGAACCTGGGAGGTGGAGGCTGCGGTGAGCCGGGATCACACTACCACACTCCAGCCTGGGCGACAAAGACAGACTGTCACAAAAAAAAAAAAAAAAAAAAGGAAGAATTGCCCAGCTGAGCAAATCAACCCACAGAATTAGTAGAAATTATAATAAATTGTCATTTTAAGTCACTAAATTTTGGGGTGGATTATTGTACAGCAAAAGATAACAGGAACAGTTGTATGTATGTAGAGCCTCCCTTTCTCTCTCTGTGGCAGTCAGGATCTTTTAATTTTTTGTTTACTTATAAATTTTTAAGAGATGGGATCTTGCTCTGTCATCCAGGCTGGAGTGCAGTGGCTTGATCCCAGCTCACTGAAGCTTCAGTTTCCTGGGCTCAAGGGATCCTCCCACCTCAGGCTCAGAAAGTGCTAGGATTATAGGCATGAGCCACTGTGCCCGACCACAGCCAGGATTCAAATTAAGGTCTGTCAGGCCCCAAATTCTGCTCTTGTACTGATGATAAGAGACTGGAAGTGGGTTGCCCAGCTTCAAACCACCATAACATTCAGTTTACCTGTTTAAAACAGGCATTTGATAACGACTTGATTTAATAAATTAATACAAGTCTCTTTTTAGCTTAAGAAATTGATAATGCGATTGGGCATGGTGGGTCATACCTCTAATCCCAGCACTTCGAGAGGCCAAGGTGGGTGGATCACATGAGGTAGGGAGTTCAAGACCAGCCTGACCAACATGGAGAAACCCCGTCTCTACTAAAAATACAAAATTAGCCGGGTGTGGTGGCACATGCCTGTAATCCCAGCTACTTGGGAGGCTGAGGCAGGAGAATTGCTTGAACCCAGGAGGCAGAGGTTGCGGTGAGCTGAGATCGTGCCATTGTATTCCAGCCTGGGCAATAAGAGCGAAACTCTGTCTAAAAAAAAAAAAAAAAAAAAAAATTGATGATGCTATTTTATGGCTCCAGAGAAAGGGCTTGTTGAGAAATAAGCTGTCTTGTGCTGCCAGGCTGCTAATGCTAGTGGGGAAGTACTCGTGGGTCACCTGTCATCTGTCCACAGTGTATGTTATCTCCACGGACCAGTCAAGATGGCTGACAAATGTGTCTGGTTAACAAATTACCTAAGAATGTTCAATTCAAATCCATTCCATTTATGGATTAACTTTCTTCATGAATGCTAACTAAACATACTCTAAATTTCAGTATTTTAGAAAAATTAGGCCAGGTGTGGTGGCTCACGCCTGCAATCTTAGCACTTTGGGAGGCCAAGGCGAGAGGATTGTTTGAGCCCAGGAGTTCAAAACTAGGCTGGGCAACACAGTGAGACCTTGTATCTACAAAATAATAATAATAATTGGCCAGTCATGGTGGCGTGCACCTGTGGTCCCAGCTACTAGGAGGCTGAGGCAGGAAGATCACATGAACCCAAGAAGTCGAGGCTGTGGTGAGTGAGCTGTTTGCCCCACTGCACTCCAGCCTGGGTGACAGAGCAAGACCCTCTCTCAAAAAAAGAAAGAAAAAAAAGAAAAAGGTAACATTTTACATATGTATCACACTTCGTAGTTTAACAGAAGTTACTTTGTTTGGCCGGGCATGGTGCCTCATGCCTGTAATCCCAGCACTTTGGGAGTCCGAGGCGGGTGGATCACCTGAGGCCGGGAGTTTGAGACCAGCCTGGCCAACATGGTGAAACCCCGTCTCTACTAAAAATACAAAAAATTAGCCGGGCCTGGTGGCAGGCACCTGTAATCCCAGCTACTCGGGAGGCTGAGGCAGGAGAATCGCTTGAACCTGGGAGGTGGAGGTTGCAGTGAGCTGAGACTATGCCATTATACTCCAGCCTGGGCAACGAGAGTGAAACTCCGTCTCAAAAAGAAAAGCAGAAGTTACTTTGTTTAATCCTCACAATAACATTGGGAGGTAGGTGTCATTAGCCTCAGTTAATTGTTGAGGAAAAAGCAAGCATAATATCACGTAATAGTATTAAATAATTTCATTCCTGGAAAACTGAACAAATCACCCAGGTTTGCACATTTCTACTTCCTTTTTTAAGTGTTCCTAATTCTTAGTTCTCAGTTTACTATCCAAATTCTTTTTTTTTTTTTTTCGAGACAGAGTTTCGCTCTTGTTGCCCAGGCTGGAGTGCAGTGGTGCGATCTCAGCTCACCGCAGCCTCCACCTCCCGGGTTCAAGGGATTCTCCCGCCTCAGCCACCTAAGTAGCTGGGATTACAGGCATGCGCCACCATGCCCAGCTAATTTTGTATTTTTAGTGAAGACGGGGTTTCTCCATGTTGGTCAGGCTGGTCTCGAACTCCTGACCTCAGGTGATCCGCCCGCCTCAGCCTCCCAAAGTGCTGGGATTACAGGAGTGAGTCACTGCGCCAGGCCCCAAATTCTTAAATCAGGAACACAGTGGCAAGTAATGGCATTAACAAGTCATTAATGTTAGTATATTTGTCTTAAATCTTAGTGATCTGGTTATAATTTGTTAATAGATTTATTTGTCATATTTCTTTTTCTCCTGTTCTTTTTTTTTAATTTTCCTTTTCTTCTTTTCATATAGAGGATACTCTTTTTTTTTTTTCTTTTTTGAGACAAGGTCTTGCTCTGTTGCCCATGCTGGAGCACAGTGGCGTGATCATGGCTCACTGTAGCCTCAACTTCCCAGACGCAGTCAATCCTCTTGTCTTGGCCTCCCATGTAGCAGAGACTATAGGCACACACCACCATGCTTGGCTAATTTTAAAAAATTTTTAGTACAGACGAAGTCTCTCTATGTTTCCCAGGCTGGTCTTGAAATCCTGAGGTCAGTCCTCCCACTTCAGCCTCTCAAAGTGCTGGGATTACAGGTGTGAGCCACTGCACCTGGTGAGAATAAGTATTTTAAATCAATATGAAAGGAAAATAAAGCACTGATGTGAGAAATGGACATTGTTAGCAACAGTACAGAAAGCATGACATTTTGTTAAGTATCATATTTGCCATTTATTATATACTTTATTAGTTATTTATTTGAGGTTGGCGCGGTGGCACATGACTGTAATCCCAGCACTTTGGGAGGCTGAGGCAGGTGGATCACCTGAGATCAGGAGTTCGAGACCAACCTGGCCAACATGGTGAAGCCTTGTCTCTACTAAAAATACAAAATTAGCGGGGCGTGGTGGTGCATGCTTGTAATCCCAGCTACTCGGGAGGCTAAAGCAGGAGAATCCCTTGAACCCAGGAGGCGGAGGTTGCGGTGAGCCGAGATCATGCCATTGCACTCCAGCTTGGGCAACAAGAGTGAAACTTCGTCTCAAAAAAAAAAATTATTTGATTTATAATGGGTCAGCAGATGGTAAAATAGTTTAAAATGTACAAATTTAAAATGATCTGGGAATAGAAAATCAACTAAGATATTTGTGCTAGAGAATCATTATTCAATGTAGTGTTCGATAAAGCAATTAGAATTTTAGTTGGGAAAAATCATGTAATTGTTTAAAACAGTAAATGCAAACAACAACTAAAAATCTAAGAGCTTGCTGGATTGCATATGGCAAGGTGCTAGTTTGCATAGTTTCTAAAGCTCTAGGATCTGGACTGAAACACATTGAAGACTTGGGCAAGCAGATGCTTTATATATCCTGGGATAGTTCTGTCGCCAAGTGTCTCCTTCACATCTGTCCCTTCATTTCCATTCTCGACGCTACTGTCCTATTTCGGCTCCTTATGCTTTCTCCCTCAGTCTATGGTAATAATCTTTTAATTGGTCTCTCTTTCTGGGAGCTTCCCCTTTTCTGACTTCTTTGCACAGACCTTCAGATTAATGTTAATACAGTTCTCTTCAGTTGTTCTTCACAACCTCTTGAATGAAATCCAAGCTTCTTAGTGAAGTATTGAAAATCCACTGTGAATCCTAGCTTCACTCCCTGTCTGGCCTGAATAACTCATGTCTCCTGAGGCCTCAGAGCCCTAAGGGTAAAAACAATGGATTTGGCTGGATGCAGTGTCTCAAACCTGTAATCCCAGCACTTTGGGAGGATGAGGCAGGAGGATTGCTTGAGCCCAGGAGTTCAAGACCAGCCTCAGAAATATAGTGAGGCCTCTTCTCTACAAAAAAATTATCTGGGCATGGTGTGCACGTCTGTAGTCCCAGCTATTTGGGAGGCTAAGCTGGGAGGATCGCTTGATCCTAGGAGGCAGAGGTGGCAGGTGAGTCAAGATCGTGCCACTGTACTCCATCCTGGGCGACAGAGCAAGACCTTGTCTCAAAACACACACACACACAAAAACAAAAAATGACAGATTCACTCTCACAGAAATAGGCAACATTCTCCTAGCTCAGCCCCACCCCCACTGCTGCAAAGACCCCTGTTATTTCTGAGGCTCCTTCCCATTCCCTTCTGCTCCATTATCCTTCACAGGAGTCTTCTGCTGAGGTCTCACATCCTGTCGAGCCCCTTAATAAGAACAGTAACACTAAAGAGAACTACAAGCAAGACACTGGGTTCAATCGTGCACCTGCATTACCTGAGCAAATCCTCACAACACCCCACAGAGAAGCCACCATTAGGGACTAGTAAGTAAGTGGTGATGCCAAGATAAAGCCCAGGAAGGCTAACTCCAAAAGCCATGCTGCTCACCACCACACATGAGGACCCCTCCTGGTGTCATCACGCACCACTGAGGATGAGGACTTCTGCAGAGGCCATGCCTCCTTGCTTCCCCCAAGCGGTGTTGCTCCCGTGGCTTTCAAGTCGTTGGTGCCTGGTGTCACCAGAACCTCAGGCCTGGACCTGCCCCATTCAAGCCACTCCTGAGCTAGAAGCTTTGATGATCAAAGCTTCACTCTGTCTTCTGGAGCCCTCCTAGTGTCACAGACCTGCAGGGTCCTTACCCAGGTGGGCAGAATACACTCTCACCCTTTAAGCTACACTCTGATACCAGGCCACCCACACTGTTCCTGTCAACATCATGTCTCTCCCTGTGCTCTCAGAGATGTTAATGAGGATACAACTTTCACTTTTAATGCTGGACCTTTTCTCTCTCCCTGGCACTGAAATGTGGGTCCATGGGCTGGGCTGGAAGGTCTAATGTGAGAAGTGGCCACAAGGATGTCCTCAAAAATCAGCCCCTGCCTCATGAGGGGTGTGGGTTGGAGGGAAAAGGGTATTTCGTTGAGTATCTCCATCCAGCCACCATATTTTCTTTATCCAGTCTATCATTGATGGGCATTTGGGTTGATTCCATGTCTTTGCTATTGTGAATAGTGCTGCAACGAACATACACGTGCATGTATCTTCAAAACAAAATGATTTATATTCCTTTGGATATATACCCAGGAACGAAAGTGCTGAGTCAAATGGTATTTCTGCCTCTAGGGTTTTGAGAAATCACCACACTGTCTTCCACAATGGTTGAACTAATTTATACTCCCAGCAACAGTGCACAAGTGTTCCTCTTTTTCCACAACCTCACCAGCATCCATTATTTTTTGACTTTTTAATAATAGCTATTCTGCGGCCGGGTGCGGTGGCTCACATCTGTAATCCTAGCACTTTGGGAAGCTGAGGCAGGCAGATCACCTGAGGTTGGGAGTTCGAGACCAGCCTGACCAACATGGAGAAACCCCATCTCTACTAGAAATACAAAATTAGCTGGGCGTGGTGGCGCATGCCTGTAATCCCAGCTACTTAGGAGTCTGAGGCAGAAGAATCACTTGAACCCGGGAGGCAGAGGTTGCAGTGAGCCAAGATCACACCATTGCACTCCAACCTGGACAATAACAGTGAAACTCTGTCTCAAAAAAAACAAACATACAACCAAACAAAAAAATAGCCATTCTGACTGGTGTGAGATGGTATCTCATCATGGTTTTTATTTGCATTTCTCTAATGATCAGTGATGTTGAGCTTTTTCTCATGTTTGTTGGCCGCATGTATGTCTTCTTTTGAGAAGTGTCTGTTCATGTCCTTTGCCCACTTTTTAATGGGGTTGTTTTTTTCTTGTAAGTTTGTGTAAGTACCTTGTAGATGCTTGATGTTAGACCTCTGTCAGAAGGATAGATTGCAAAAAATCTTCTCCCGTTCTGTAGGTTGTCTGTTCACTCTGACGATAGTTTCTTTTGCTGTGCAGAAGCTCTTTAATTAGATCCCATCTGTCAATTTTTGCTTTTGTTGCAAATGCCTTTGGTGTCTTCATCATGAAATCTTTGCTTATGCCTATGTCCTGAGCAGTATTGCCTAGATTTTCTTCTAGGGTTTTTTTGTTTGTTTTTGAGACGGAGTTTCACTGTTGTCACCCAGCCTTGAGTGCACCTCCCGGTTTCAAGCAATTCTCCTGCCTCAGCTTCCTGAGTAGCTGAGATTACAGGTACATGCCACTATGCTCAGCTAATTTTGTATTTTTAGTAGAGACAGGGTTTCACCATGTTGGCCAGGCTGGTCTAGAACTCCCGACTTCAGGTGATCTGCCCGCTTTGGCCTTCTAAAGTGCTGAGATTACAGGCATGAGCCATTGCGCCTGGCCCTCTTCTAGGGTATTTATAGTTTGGGGTTTAACATTTAAGTCTTTTATATATATATATATATACTTTTTTTTTTTTTGAGACAGGGTCTCACTCTGTCACCCAGATTGGAGTGCAGTGGCGCAATCTCGGTTTACCGCAACTTTTACCTCCCAGGCTCAAGCGATTCTCCTGCCTTAGCCTCCCGAGTAGCTGGGATTACAGGTACCTGCCACTACACCCAGCTAATTTTTATATTCTTAGTAGAGACAGGGTTTTACCATGTTGGCCAGGCTGGTTCCAAACTCCTGACCTCAAATGATCCACCTGCCTCAGCCTCCAAAAGTGCTGGGATTACAGCCATTGTGCCCTGCCTAATACATCTTGACTTGATTTTTGTATATGGTGTAAGGAAGGGTTCCAGTTTCAATTTTCTGTATATGGCTAGCCAGTTCTTCCAGCACCACTTATTAAATAGAGAATCCTTTCCTTACTGCTTGTTTTGGTCAGGTTTGTTAAAAATCAGATGGTTGGCCGGGCGTGATGGCTCATGACTGTAATTCCAGCACTTTGGGAGGCCAAGGGGGGTGGATCATGAGGTCAGGAGATCAAGACCATCCCGGCTAACATGGTGAAACCCCATCTCTATTAAAAATACAAAAAATTAGCTGGGCATAGTGGCACGTGCCTGTAGTCCCAGGTACTCAGGAGGCTGAGGCAGGAGAATAGCTTGAACCTGGGAGGCAGAGGTTGCAGTAAGCTGAGATTGGACCACTGCACTCCAGCCTGGGTGACTGAGTGACACTCCATTTCAAAAAAAGAAAAAAAAATCAGATGGTTTTAGGTGTGTGGTCTTATTTCTGGGTCTCTGTTCTGTTCCATTGGTCTATGTGTCTATTCTTGTACCAGTACCATGCTGTTTTGGTTACTGTAGCCTTGTAATATAATTTGAAGTCAGGTAGTGTGATGCCTGTTTTGGTTCCATATGAATTTTAAAATAGCTTTTTCTAATTCTATGGAGAATGTCAATGCTAGTTTAATGGGAATAGCATTGAATCTATAAATTGCTTTGGGCAGTATGGCCATTCTCATGAAATTGATTATTCTTATCCATAAGCAAGGAGTGTTTTTCCATTTGTTTGTGTCATTTCTGATTTCTTCGTGCAGTAATCCCCTTTGTTTCTTAAGTCTGTGTGAATTGGTTGCTACTGCTTGCCACAGAAAGAGCCTAGACTATATAGCAGAGCCTGCCCCTATTTCTGAGAGCGACGGGATAAAGCTGTATCATGCACCCACTCCTGATCCCACGGTACGGCTCAGGTAGACTTAAACTACACAGACTTATCCAGAAGAGCAATTGTGCAAAGAAAAATTATATCAGAAGATAGGAGCATGGACAGGCAAGTTCACCTTAGCCACATACTTTTAGTTAGATACAATTTTAAGTATTTTCTATGACCTGGGAACTATTAGGGATAAAAAAGTATAATATGCCTGTTCTCAAGAATGGAGAATCAAGACTTCTACATGGGAAAATAAATATAATGAGCAAATTAAGGCAGCATAATGTTAGCATTGAATTGGAGGTACAGGAAGCAGATGCTACGGTAGCAAGAGTTTGCTTCCTGAAGACTTTTGGCCATTTACCAAATGTGTCAAGCATTTTCAGGCTCTAGGTTTCAGTAGTCTGAAAAATGCCTTTTCCTCCTATCGAAATTCCGTGTATCCTGCAAGACTGAACTCAAAGACCACTTCCTTATGAAGTCGTCCCAGCTGGCCCCCCACCAAAAACTCTACCCTTCCACAGAACTTTCCTTGTGCTTCTGTAACATGGCATTTGTTATATTCGTCTGTATTTCCTACTGTCTTTCCCATCACCCCTCAAGAATAGGGATTGTGGGCCAGGCGTGGTGGCTCACACCTGCAATGCTAGCACTTTGGGAGGCCAAGGCGGGTGGTTCATTTGAGGTCAGGAGTTAGAGACCAGCCTGGCCAACATGGTGAAACCCCGTCTCTACTTTTAGTAGTTTTTGTATTTTTAACACAAAAATTAGCCAGGCATGGTAGATCATGCCTGTAATCCCAGCACTTTGGGAGGCCGAGGCAGGTGGATTGCCTAAGGTCGGGAGTTTGAAACCAGCCTGGGCAACATGGTAAAACCCTGTCTCTATTAAAAACACAAAAAATTAGCCTGGCGTGTTGGTGGGTACCTGTAATCCCAGCTACTCGGGAGGCTGAGGCAGGAGAATCACTTGAATCCAGGAGGCGGAAGTTGCCATGAGTCAAGATCACGAGCCAAGATCGCCCCACTGCACTCCAGCCTGGGCAACAGAGTGTGACTCCATCTCAAAAAAAAAAAAAAAAAAAAGAAAAGAAAGAAAGAAAAAAGAAAAAAAAAGAATAGGAATTGTGTAGCTTTCTTTATTTTTCTTCTCTGTGCTGTGAGGGTTAATTGTATGTGTCAACCTGGAACCCAGCTGGAGTATGGTACCCAGTCGATTGGTCAAATGCCAGCCTAGACGTTGCTGTGAAGGTGTTTTTCATGTGTGAGTGACAGTTACAGTTAGTGGGCTTGGAGGACAGCAGGTTGCCCTCTGTAATGTGAGTGGGCTTCATCTAAGCAGGTGAAGGCATTAAGAGCAAACACCGAGGTTTCCTGTAGAAGAATTTTCCTCAGGACTGCAACATAGAAGCCCTACCTGATTTCCAGTCTGCTGACCTCAGGAATTTGGACTCAAGACTGCAATGCAACACCAATTCTTCACTGAAATTGCAGCCTGCTGCTTGCCCTACATATTTCAGTCTTACCAGCCCCCAGTATCATGTGAACTGTTTCCTTAAAATAAATCTCTCTCTCATCTCTTCTTCGGAAATGCGGAACCAATAGAATTCAGGTGTATATACGCAGTTGTATACATATCCTATTGGTTCTGCATTACTTTGGTTCTGCATCTCTGAAGAACTCTAATACATATGTTTACCTTTAAAAAGAAATATATGCTGGGGTGCAGTGGCTCACACCTGTAATCCCAGCACTTTGGGAGGCCGACTTGGGGAGGCCGAGGCAGGAAGATCGCTTGAGCCCAAGAGTACAGGACCAGCCTGGGCAACATAGTGACAACTCCATCTCCATGAAAAATTAAAAAATTTGCCAGGCGTGGTGGCTCATGCCTGTAATCCCAGCACTTTGGGAGGCCGAGGCGGGCAGATCACCTGAGGTCAGGAGTTCGAGACCAGCCTGACCCACATGGAGAAACCCCATCTCTACTAAAAATGCAAAATTAGCTGGGCGAGGTGGCAGGTGCTGGTAATCTCAGCTACTCGGGAGGCTGGGGCAGGAGAATCACTTGAACCCGGGAGGCGGAGGTTGCAGTGAGCTGAGATGGCACCATTGCACTCCAGCCTGGGTGAGAAGGGTGAAACTCTGTCTCAAAAAAAAAAAAAAAAAAAAAGAAAGGCAAAGAAAAAGAAAAATTAGCTGAGCATGGTGGCGTGTGCCTATATTTCTAGCTACTTGGGAGGCTGAGGCAGGAGGAACCCTTGAGCCCAGGAGTTTGAGGCTTTAGTGATTTATGATCGTGTCACTGCACCCCAACACGTAGGTGACAGAGTGAGATGCCATCTCTCAAAAAAAAAAAAGAAAAAATTCTAATAATTCTTTTGAGGTTTTGCATTTCCTCCAATATTCAGTGAGGGTTTCTTATGTACCCGGCTCTGTTTTAGGGCCTAGGGATACAGCAGTGCACAAAACAGACAAAAACCCCTATGCTCATGAGCTTGCATTCTAGAGACAGAGGCAGATCATAAACAAAGATCTGCATACATAGTGCTTGAGATGGTGGCATGTGCTTAGAATAAAAAGAAAGCAGGAGGTGGGGGACATGTTGTGCTATTAAATAGAGCGGTCAAGGGTAGTCAAGGAGGGCTTCACTGAGAATATGTTGTTTGAATAAAAACAGGAGGGAGGTGAGGGATGAGCCACGGGGATGAATATTTGGAGGAGACTGGGTAAGAATGCTCCAGGAACAGGGGCAGATGTTCTCAGCAGAGAGAATAGCAAATAAGACTCTGAGGCGGGAACGTGATCATGTGTTTGAGGAATATTCAAGCGGCCAGGGTGGCTGGAGTGTAATGGACAGGGGGAGAAAATGAGGTTAGGGCTGGGTGTGGTGGCTCACGCCTATAATCCCAGCATTTTGGGAGGCCAAGGCGGGTGGATTACCTGAGGTCAGGAGTTTGAGACCAGCCTGACCAACATGGAGAAACCCCGTCTCTACTAAAACTACAAAAAATTAGCCGGGCGTGGTAGCGCATGCCTGTTATCCCAGCTAGTCAGGAGGCTGAGGTAGGAGAATCGCTTGAACCCAGGAGGCAGAGGTTGCGGTGAGCCAAGATTGTGCCGTTGCACTCCAGCCTGGGCAACAAAAGCGAAACTTGATCTCAAAAAAAAAAAAAAAGAAAAGAAAAGAAAATGAGGTCAGAAGGTCATGTGGGAGGACTTGTAGGCCACTGCAAAGATTTTTATTTTAACCTTAAGTGAGAGGGGGAAGTGACTGGAGGGTTTTGAGCACAGAAGGGGCTTTTGTTTGTTTCTTTTTTTGTGTTTTGAGACAGGGTCTCTGTTTTCCAGGCTGGAGTGCAGTGCTGTGATCATAGTTCACTGCAGAGCCTTGAACTCCTGGTCTTAAGCAATCTTCTAGCCTCAGACTCCTGAGCAGCTGGGACTAAAGTGCATGCCACCACACTCAGCTAAATTTTTCTTATTTTTTGTACAGATGCAGGGTGGTGGTGGTGGGCGGTGGTCTTGCTATGTTGCGCAGGCTGATCTTGAACTTCTGGCCTCCAGTGCTTCTCCTTCCTCAGAGTCCCAAAATGCTGGGAATATAGGCATGAACCACTATGCCTAGCCCAGAAGAGAGATTTTTTAAAGGAGCACTGACTGCTCTGTTGATTATGAATTCTAACAGACCAAGGACAGAAGCAGTGATGATGATGGTGGTAGTGGAGATGACAAGACATTATAAATTCTAGAAAAAAAATTTTTTTTTGAGACAGAGTCTCACTCAGCCACCCAGGCTGGAGTGCAGTGGCACGATCTTGGCTCACTGCAACCTCCACCTCTTGGGTTCAAGCAATTCTCCTGCCTCAGCCTCTCAAGTAGCTGGGATTACAGGCACACGCCACCACACCCGGCTAATTTTTGTATTTTTAGTAGAGATGGGGTTTCACCAGTTGGCCAGGCTGGTCTCAAACTCCTGATTTCATCCATCTGCCTTGACCTCCCAAAGTGCTGGGATTATAGGCATGAGCCACTGCAACCAGCCCTAGAAATCTTTTGACGGTTGAGCCAACAAGCTTTTCTAAGGTGGAGTATGAGAAAGAGTGGAGTGGTGGGTTTTATAATGAACATGGTAATAAATCAAATTGTATAGAAGATGTTGCTATGAAAAACCAGTGTCCCACCCCTCCACTCTCCACACACAGTCCCACTCCCAACAACCAACTTCTTTTTTAAAGGTTTCTGGTATTGATTACTTCCACAGCTCAAGATAAAATGTTTGTGGTTAACTTAGCAGCCATTCTCAACCCTCTTCTCACTTGCCACCTCTTACTATAAAGTTTAGATGACTAGACATCATCTTTCCAGCCTCCCTTGCAATGAGAGTGGTCATAAACTCTGTTCTGGACAGTGACATATAAAAATAAACCTGCAAACTTCGTTCCTTTAAGAAAAAAAAATAGCAGAAAACAAAACCCTAAGCAAAAAATTATTGTAGAAAATCATCAAGATGTGTTTTTTTGGCTTCTTTCTTTTTCTTTCTTTCTTTCTTTTTCTTTCTTTTTATTTTTTGAGATAGAGTCTCACTCTGTCGCCCAAGCTGGAGTGCAATGACATGATCTCGGCTCACTGCAACCCTGCCTCCTGGGTTCAAGCAATTCTCCTGCCTCAGTCTCCCAAGTAGCTGGGATTACAGGCATGTGCCACCATGCTCAGCTAATTTTTTGTATTTTTAGTAGAGATGGGGTTTCACCATATTGGCCAGGCTGGTCTCGAACTCCCGACCTCAGGTGATCGACCCACCTCGGCCTCCCAAAGTGCTGGGATTGCAGGTGTGAGCCCCTGTGCTGACCTGGTTTCTTTTCAAATAATAGAGTTGAAGGAGAAGTTAGTCAGATTTGGGCACCTTTACTGAAATATATGTATTTATTACTAATATGTATGTACATATTAAATATATGTACATATTATATGTGTATTTATATATAAATACACATATAATCATATTTGATTATTCCTCACTTGGGATTGGATTTATTTCATTTCCTTTCCTTTCCTAGGAATGAGTGGCAGTCATGAAGGGTAGTTTTTGGGGTTTCTGTGAAATTTTTAGTGAAGACATGGGTTGGTCTTGTCCTCTCTAAATTAACTCACTTCATGAATATATCACACATGCTTCTGAAATAATTAAAACGATATGGATTTATGAAATTAAAAAAAGAATCTGCAGGAGTGAGGGACTTCCAAAAATACTTTTGTTTCTTCAGAAAAGAAATAATTCACAGCTGGTGCTCGCCTGTTGCCATCCCTCATGCCTTGACCACGGATGTGATACCCGGAGTTATGGCAGCCATCTTGAAACCAGAAATGACCAGCATGAAGACAAAGGGCTAATATGCTAATGATGGCAGAGCATAAAGGGAAAAAGCCTGTGTCCTTGACAGCATTGTAGAGGAGCTGAACCAGCTGCAGTAGCCACCTGCCTCCAGGTTATAAGGTATTAGATGTCTGTATATTTGGAGCCAGTCGTTCTTCAAGTGTAATCCGTGAACCAGCAGGAGCTCAGTATCACTCGGGGATTTTTTTTTTTTTTTTTGAGACAGAGTCTCGTTCTGTCACCCAGGCTGGAGTGCAATGGTGTGATCTTGGCTTACTGCAACCTCTGCCTCCCAGGTTCAAGCGATTCTCCTGCCTCAGCCTCCCAAGTAGCTGGGATTACAGGCATGCACCACCACGCCTGGCTAATTTTCGTATTTTTAGTAGAGATGTTTCACCATGTTGGCCAGGCTGTCTCAAACTCCTGATCTCAAGTGATCCACCTGCCTCAGCCTCTCAAAGTGCTGGGATTAAAGCGTGAATCACCAAGCCCAGCCGGGAATTTTTTTTAAAATGCAAATCCTTGGACTTTAGACTTACAGAATCAGTAACTCCAGGGGTGGGGCCCAGAAAGCTGAGGCTTAAGCCCTCCAGGCGATTCTGATGCACACAAAAGTTGGAGAACCAGCCTTAAACCAATGCTTCTGAAACTTTAATGTGCATAAACATCACGTGGAGATGTTGTTAAAGTGCAGATTCTGGTTCAGTAGGTGTACTGATGCAATGGTCAGATCGGGATTTCCCCATATTGGCACTGAGGCAATCATTCCCCAGTCTGCTGGGGGTGTTGGCAGATGAAAGCCCTCAGCTGAATACCTCTAGGAAGAGAGCTATCTCACCCAAGATCATGTTCCCTGATATGAGGCAGCCTCCATCCAATGGCTGGTTGATGTGGGAAAATGAAGTCCTAGGCCCCCTTCCTCAAGGCAGGGCAGCTTTATTATTGTTCTTAATTTTATTTTATTTTTTTCAAGACAGAGTCTTGCTTTGTTGCCCAGACTGGAGTGCAGTGGTGCAATCTCCACTCACTGCAACCTCTGCCTCCTGGGTTCCAGTGATTCTCCTGCCTCAGCCTTCTAAGTAGCTGGGACTACGGGCACCCACCACCATGCCCAGCTAATTTTTGTATTTTTAGTAGAGACGGGGTTTCACCATGTTGGCCAGGCTGGTCTTGGACTTCTGACATCAGGTGATCCGTCGCCTCGGCCTCCCAAAGTGCTGGGATTACAGGTGGGAGCCACCGAGCCTGACCCAGGGCAGCTTGGAAGGGCTCTCCAACCTATAGACCTCACCATAGACTCAGCTGAAGCCTCTCCTCCAAATGCTTCATACTTCAACGTCTCCCCCTTCACAAGCTTGCCTTCCTCACTTCTCATAGGTGTTGTTCTTTAGACAGAAGTTGCCAGATTTGGCAAATATAAACACCGAACGTCCAGTGAAATTTGAATTTCAGATAAACAAGAATAACTTTTAATATAAACAGTCCCAAATATTGCACTCTTTGTTTACCTGAAATGCAAACTTCACTGGGCATGCTATATTTTATCTGGCAGCCCTGTTCCTAAAGCACTCCCAAATAAATTTCCCACATGACTCAGAGTAAACCTCAGACTCAGAGTCTGTTTCCCAGGGAACCTAATTTATGTCAGTTGGTATCAGGAGTTATCATGAGAAGCAAATTCTAAAATGGGATTATGGAGCTGTTTCACCCAACAGCTGGCTTACAATAAACACCTGATAAAACCCGTGGCAGGAGGTTGTGGTGTGATTATTAAAACTTCCGGCCAGATGCCAGCACTTTAGGAGGCCAAGGCGGGTGGATTGTTTGTGCTCAGGAGTTCAAGACCAGCCTGGGCAACATAGCAAAACCCCATCTCTACCAAAAAAAAAAAAAAAAAAAATTGCCAGGCACAGTGTCTCACGCCTGTAATCCTAGCACTTTGGGAGGCCGGGTCGGGTGGATCACAAGGTCAGGAGTTAGAGACCAGACTGGCCAACATGGTGAAACCCCGTATCTACTAAAAATACAAAAATTAACCAGACATGGTGGCGGGTGCCTGTAATCCCAGCTACTCGGGAGGCTGAGGCAGGAGAATTGGCTGAAACCGGAAGGTGGAGGTTGCACTGAGCGGAGATTGCACCATTGCACCACCAGCCTGGTCAGCAAGAGCAAAACTCCATCTAAAAAAAAAAAATTAGGCAGACATGGTGGCACACACCTGTAGTCCCAGCTACTCGGGAGGCTGAGGTGGATCACTTGAGCTTGGGAAGCAGAGGTTGCAGTGAGCCGAGATGGTGCTGCTGTATTCCAGCCTGGACAACACAGCAAGACTGTCTCAAAGAAACAAGAAAACCAAACCAAACCAAACCAAACCAAACCAAAACAGCAACAAAAAACCTCCCAGCAGCAGGGAACTGGAATGGGAAACTGATGGAAGATAATAGACTAGAGAGGAATTTGAGAGTTTCAAGGGCAATAGTAATTATATTAAGATAAGGACTTGAGAATTAGATGGCTGTTTCTTCTGGCTCTTGCTGCACTGGAGAAAGACATGAAAGGCTGAGGGTCATTAATCACCTGTAAGTTGAAGTGTGAAAGCCAGAGGCCCTCCTTGGCAGCATATAAAGAGACTCATCGCCTGCAACAGGCGAGCAGAAAAGGCTGAGGAACAGGAGCGGGCCTTCATTATAAGAGCAGCAAAGTTCCAAAGAAGGTTGGGTTCTCTATCATGTTCAGGTCCAGTATACGCCAAAGGAGCTGCAGGACCTAGATCATAGATTCCAGCAGGAGCCAGCAAAGTACATCTGGCACTATATCTTGAGGGTGGTGGATCAAGGAGCACTGAATAAAATTGGATAACAGAGTCTATCGATGTGGGGCCAATATCCCATAATACAAGATTTAACAACTATTGAAGATCCCAGGTGATGGTGCTCTTAAGCTGCTTGGTAGCCTCTCAAAGTTTGGAAAAAGCAATGATCCATTGTAAGTGAAGTAGAAATGCTAGAACTATCATGGACCATGGTGGAGGAAGGGATCAAAAGGCTGAATGCAGTGGGCACATTAGAGTGGATATTCTGCATAATGCCAGACTACTATGGCATGGGAGGGTCTAGAGGGCACTGTATTTAGAAAGCAATGAGGAATGCACTGACTGAGGGACACTGGCGTGTTGGGAAACTCACTGTAGCTGTTACATATGGGTCAGTGTTCATGGTAGCAAATGCTGCCACAGAACTGGGCTCCCTGAGAGTAACGGGCAGGATCCCAGGAGATAGCATTTAACCCTCAGATGCAAGCTGGGCACAATTAGCATAATGAGTGACACCAGGGAGGACCTGATCCAAGGAGAGCTATGGAGAAAATTAATAAGAATATGAAGTTTTGGCTGGGCGTGGTGGCTCACGCCTGTAATCCCAGCACTTTGGGAGGCCAAGGTGGGCAGATCATGAGGTCAAGAGATCAAGGCCATCCTGGCCAACATGATGAAACCCCGTATCTACTAAAAATACAAAAATTAGCTGGGCGTGGTGGCACGTGCCTGTAATCCCAGCTACTGGGGCGGCTGAGGTAGGACAATCGCTTGAACCTGGGAGGCGGAGGCTGCAGTGAATCAAGATCACGTTACTGCACTCCAGCCTGGCAACAGAGCAAAGACTCTGTCTCAAAAAAAAAAAAAAAAAAAAAAAAGAAAAAAAATTAATTGTTAGCATTTAACAAAAATGCCATTTCAAATCAATGGGGAACAGATGTACTATTCACTAAAAGAATAAATCCAGTGATGGAATCAGGTGATGGTGAAGCAATTGGAAAGCCATCAAGATATAAACTGGAGCCATGGTTCATATCACACCCCCAAATTACTCAAATGAATCAAACAGAAAAAGTGAAACAATAAAAGTGCCAGATGGAAAGAAAAAAGAACATTTTATTCCCGGGGGCAAGATCGATGGAGCAGCCAAAAAGCCAATTGTTCAATATGTACAACCAGAAGAAATCAAAGATGGGTGATTAGGAGTTTGAGGGCAGTCACCCCAATAACCCAGAACCCAGAACTTGACTGAAGGAGAGAGTAGGTTTCCAGGAAGAAGTGCCACAGCAAATGTATATGATCGTGATTCCCCCAATCCTTCTCCAAGGAAACCAATGGCCATTTCCTCAGGAAAGGGTAATTCCCAACCATTTTGAGGGCTGTTGGATATAAGGCCTGAGTTAACACTGATGCCTGGAGACCCAAAGCGTCACTGTGGTCTCCCTGTTAAAGTGGGAGTATATTGGGGCTAGGTAATACATGGAGCCTTTGACCCAGGTCTAGTTCACGGTGGGTCCAAAGACCCACCTGATTTTCTGTCTCCAGATGTATAATGCCAATGTAATATGACATGGAAATACTTGGGAGTTGGAAGAACCACCCCATCATTGCTGCTCCCCATCATTGCTGCTCCCCATCATTGCTGTCAGGGACTAGGATTTTACCCTCCTTACAAACCATTAGCCTGTTATTGTTTCATGTTTGTTGGTTGAATATGAGACTCTTGGGTCAGAGACAAAGGACTTTATCAGACCACAGCAAGCAGTATCAGTGTCATGTCTGCATCTGTTCCCCTTGCCCCCAGTTCCCATAGAGGCGATGCAGAGGATTTTTTTTCCTTCAACTTTTAAGTTCCAGGGTACATGCGCAGAAAGTGCAGGTTTGTTGCAAAGGGGAACGTGTGCCATGGTGGTTTGCTGCCCAGATCAACCTATCACCTAGGTATTAAGCCCAGCATCCATTAGCTATTTTTCCTGATGCTCTCCCTCCCAGAAACCCCCTCCAATAAGCCCCAGTGTGTGTTGTTCCCCATCATGTTTCCATGTGTTCTCATCATTCAACTCCCACTTAGAAATGAGAGCATGCGATGTTTAGTTTTCTGTTCCCGCGTTAGTTTGCTGAGGATAATGGTTTCCAGCTCCATCCATGTCCCTGTAAAGGACATGATCGCATTCCTTTGTATGGGAATCCACTTTTTTTTTTTTTTTTTTTTTTTTTTGAGACAGAGTCTCACTCTGTCGCCCAGGCTTGAGTGCAGTGGCTCCATCTTGGCTCACTGAAACCTCTGCCTCCCAGGTTCAAGCGATTCTCCTGCCTCAGCCTCCTGAGTAGCTGGGATTACAGGCACCCACCACCATGCCCAGCTAATTTTTGTATTTTTATTTATTTATTTATTATTTTTATTTTTTTTGAGACGGAGTCTCGCTCTGTAGCCCAGGCTGGAGTGCAGTGGCGCGATCTCGGCTCACTGCAAGCTCCGCCTCCCGGGTTCACGCCATTCTCCTGCCTCAGCCTCCCAAGTAGCTGGGACTACAGGTGCCTGCCAACACGCCCGGCTAATTTTTTCGTATTTTTAGTAGAGACGGGGTTTCACTGTGTTAGCTAGGATGGTCTCAATCTTCTGACCTCGTGTTCCGCCCGCCTCAGCCTCCCAAAGTGCTGGGATTACAGGCGTGAGCCACCGCGCCCAGCCTAATTTTTGTATTTTTAGTAGAGACGGGGTTTCACCATGTCGGTCAGGCTGGTCTCGAACTCCTAACCTCGTGATCCACCCGCCTCGGCCTCCCAAAGTGCTGAGATTACAGGTGTGAGCCACCGCGCCTGGCCGGGAATCCACTATTTTTATAAGCAGTATGCAAGTCTACTCTTTGTCCTGGAAGTAGATGTTAGCTCATCTCTCAAGGTTTATTGCTGTGTGTACAACCCTGAGAAATCTCCTAAGTAGAGAGAAGTCAAGGTCTTGTCTTCCCAGCATATTAGCAGGAATGTGCAGGGATACTCAGAATCCAGGGTAGATTGCTTCTCCCAATAATTTCTTCTTTAGACTATAAGAGTAGGGCTATCATAGTGGAGGAGGCCAAGTAGAAACCTCTAAAACTACTCCCTCCTCCTCCATCCAAGAGAGTAAATAAAAAACAGTATTACACTCCAGGGAACACAGCAGAGATTAAAGCCACCTTTGAAGACTTCACGAATGCAGGACTAATGTTTTCCCCACTTAATTCTGACCTTAACCAGAATGCAGTGGTCCACTGTTAAGTGAAATAGAAATGCTAGAAATGCAGGAACTTCAGATCCTGAAGGATGTGGCAAACTCATCCAAGGAGTAGCCCCAGTTGTGCTTGCTGGGTTACAAATGGTATTTTTGTTAGAGCAGATTAACATGGCTTTAGGTGTGTGGTATTAGCCATTAATCTGGCCAATGCATTTTGTTTGTTTGTTTGTTTGTTTGTTTTTGAGATGGAGTCTTGCTGTTTTGCCCAGGCTGGAGTGAAGTGGTGTAATCTTGGCTCACTGCAACCTCCACCCCCCGGGTTCAAGTGATTCTCCTGCCTCAGCCTCCTGAGTAGGTGGGATTATAGGTGCCTGACACCATGCCCGGTTAATTTTTGTATTTTTTACTAGAGACGGGGTTTTGTCATGTTGGCCAGGCTGGTCTTGAACTCCTGACCTCAGGCGATCCACCCGCCTCAGCCTCCCAAAGTGCTAGGATTACAGGCGTGAGCCACCACACCCGGCCGCATTCTTATCCATTCCTAACTGGAAGAAGTTCACATTCGTGTGAGATGGACAACAATATACATTTACAGTCTTGCCCTGGGGTTGTGTTAACTCTCTTGCATTCTGTAGAAATAAATTCTGAAAGGAACTTGACCATCTGAACACCCCAGAATATTACATTGGCCCACTATATCAATGACATTATATTATTTGGACCAGATGAGCAAGAAATACAAATACTTGTTGGAGGCCTGGATAAGACATGTGTTCCAGAGGGTTCTATAAAGATTCAGGGGCCTGCCACAGTAGTGACGTTTTAGTGGCTTCAGGCATACTAGGATATCTCCTTCCAAAGTAAAGGTCAAATTATTCCATCTTGCACTTCCCACGACTAAGAAGCAAGCATAATGCCTACCAGGCTTCTTTGGGCTCTGGTGGCAGCATATTACCTACTTAGGAACACTGCTTTAAACCTTACCAAGTGACAAGGAAATCTACCAGCATTGTATGAGGCCTAGGGCAGGAAAGGGCTCCATAGTGGTTTCAGGTTACAGTATGAGCAGTCCTGCTTCTTGGGCCATGCGACCCATTATATCATATAGTTTTAGAAGCGAGATCAGCCTGGCCAACATAGCGAAACCTCGTCTCTACTGAAAATACAAAAATTAGCCAGGTGTGATGGCACACACCTGTAATCTCAGCTACTTCGGAGCCTGAGACAGAATGGTTTGAACTCTGGAGGTGGAGGTTGCAGTGAGCTGAGATGGTGCCACTGCACTCCAGCCTGGGTGACAGAGCAAGACTCTGTCTCAAAAAAGAAGAAAATGCATTGGCCAGGTGAGGTGGCTCACACCTGTAATCCCAGCACTTTGGGAGGCTGAGGTGGGTGGATCACGAGGTCAGGAGATCGAGACCATCCTAGCTAACAGGTGAAACCCTGTCTCTACTAAAAATACAAAACAATTAGCTGGGCGTGGTGGCGGGCGCCTGTAGCCCCAGCTACTAGGGAGGCTGAGGCAGGAGAATGCCGTGAACCCAGGAGGCAGAGCTTGCAGTGAGCTGAGATTGTGCCACTGCACTCCAGCCTGGGCAACAGAGCGAGACTCCGTCTCAAAAAAAAAAAAAAAAAAAAAAAAGCGTCATGTGAGGTTTATGCCAGCCCCAATAACAGGCGCGCACCACCACACCTGGCTAATTTTTGTATTTTTGTGGAGACCGGTTTTGCCATATTGGCCAGGCTGGTCTTGAACTCCTGACCTCAGGTGATCTGCCTGCCTCAGACTCCCTTAGTGCTGGGATTACAGACATGAGCCACCATGCTGGCCAAGGAGGAACAATACCGAGACTGGTTCATGGATGGCTCAAGTTATACTCTGATGTGGTTACAAGCTGAAAACAAACTCTGCTAACTACAGTCTCTCTCAGGACTAGCCCTGAAATAAGAAGTGACAGGAAATCCTCCCAATGTTTAGAGATTTGGGGAGTGTGCTGATCATCTGCTTTGTGTAGAGAGAGACACATGGCTCGAGGCAAAAGTATATATGAGCTCATGGCAGTAGTGAATGTCTTCATTGGTTGCTCAGAGGCCTGGAAAGAGAAATATTAGAATATGGGAGGCCTGGGGTATGGGGAAGATATAGGTCCATAGATCTACAGGAATGGACATGAAATGTGAAGATCTTTGCATCACATGCTAATACCTGCTCCTAGCAGCCACCATGGGAGAGGCACTGAACAATAGGAGTGCACTAGGCAGAATGACCCAGCTAGCTGCTACCAGTCCCACAGGGCTGGCACAGTGTGCTCATAAATGGAGTTTATTAATCCACTTAGGCTACAGCAAAATACCACAAAAAATGTGGCTTAAGCAACAGAAATTTGTTTTCTCACAGTTCTAGAGAAAGTCCAAAAATCAAACTGCCAGCAGGGTTGGTGTCTGGTTGCAGATGGCTGCCTTCATCCTGTGTGCTCACATGCCCTTTCTTCAGTGCATGGGAGGTGGAGGGGAAGGCAGGCACATGCAAGAATAAGTGCTCTCCATGTCTCTTATAAGGGCACTAATCCTTTTGGATCAGGGCCCCACCCTTATGACCTCACTTAACCTTAATTACTTCTTTAGAGGCCCCATCTCCAAATACAGCTATATTGGGGGCTAGGGCTCCAACATACACATTTTGGGGGAAAATAAACATTTAGTCCATAGTAGTGAGTATCCACATTGGAAAGGATAGAAGCTACTCAAGGGCCCAACGTCATTTATAAAGGCTGCTGTAACTTACCCTAGTGCTGAATGTTCAGTCTGCAAGCAACAGAGACCAAAAATAAGCCCTCAATATCACAATATGCCTTAAGGAGACCAAGCAACCACAGTATTGATTGCCCTGCTATCCTAAAAGGGGCAATGAGCTGTCTTCTTGGCAATCAACGTATATCCTGGGTATGGATTTTCCTTCCTTTTTTTCTTTTTCTTTTTTTTTTTTTTTTTGAGATGGAGTCCTCTCTGTTGTCCAGGCTGGAGTGCAGTGGCACAGTCTTGGCTCATTGCAACCTCCGCCTCCCAGGTTCAAGCAATTCTCCTGTCTCAGCCTCCCAAGTTGCTGGGACTACAGGCGCATGCCACCACGCCTGGCTAATTTTTTTTGTATTTTTAGTAAAGATGGGGTTTCACCATATTGGTCAGGGTGATGTCAAACTCCTGACCTCAGGTGATCCACCCACCTTGGTCTCCCAAAGTGTTGGGATTACAGGCATTAGCCACCTCGCCTGGCTGGATTTTCCTTTCTTACTTGTGTTGCCTCATCTAGCACCACTGTCCAAGGGTTTATAGTGCTTCACTCACCATGATGGGAACCCATAAAACATTGTATTGGCTCAAGGGATCCACTTAACAGTAAAGGAGGTATGTCAGTAGGACACTTTACCATGGGATCCAGAGGTCCTATCGTATTCCATGCTACCCAGAGACATCTGGCCTGACAGTAATGGGATGGCCTTTGAAAGCCAGCTGAGACACCAGCTTAGAGTTGATAGATGGCGTCCTACAGAATGCAGTATATACCCTAAGTCAGTGCCCGTTATATAGTGCTGTGTCCCTAAAACGGTAGAATGTGTGAGTCTGGGAACCAAAGGGTAGAAGTAGGAGTGGCTGTTTATCATCCCTCCCAATAGCTCACTTAGGGAATTTGTGCTTCTAGGTTCTGTGGATCTAGAAGTCTTCAATCCCAGAGGGAAAATATTTCCACCAGGGGACACAAGAGTTCTAGTAAACTGTCAGTCACATTAGGCACTTTATACCAGGATACCAGCAGGCAAGGAAATGAGTCATCATCCTGTCAGGAGGAATTGCCCTCATCAGGAGGAGATAGGACTGCTGTCACATGATGGAGGCAGGGAAGAGTAAGTCTGGCACCCAAGTAATCCACTGGGGTTTCTCTTGATATTCCCCTGCTCAATCTTTTTTTTTTTTTTTTTTTTTGAGACAGGGTCTTGCTCTGTCGTCCAGGCTGGCGTGCAGTGGCACGATCTCAGCTCACTGCAACCTCCACCCACCAGGTTCAAGCAATTCTCCTGCCTCAGCCTCCCAAGTAGCTGGGATTACAGGCATCTGCCACCACGTCTGGCTAATTTTTGTATTTTTTGTAGAGACGGGGTTTCACCATGTTGGCCAGGTTAGTCTCAAATTCCTGACCTCAAGTGATCCACCCACCTTGGCCTCCCAAAGTGCTGAGATTACAGGTGTGAGCCACTGCACCTGGCATCCCCTGTTCAATCTTGACATTAACAGAAAAATGCAGCATCACAGCCTGAGAAAGAAAGATATAATAATCAGGGACTCCTACTGCTCATGGAAAAGGATCAGGGTCCATCTCTCAGATAGGCCAGTTAGACCAGAAGAGGTGCTGGTTGAGGGTAGAGGTAATCTGGAATGGGCAGTAGAGAAGGAAGATGATGAGTATTGATTGTGACCTTGACACCAGCTGTGGTATTGGCGGGGGCAAGGATGTGGTTCATCCCACTGTCTTTACAAGTTTCCTTAGGAAAAGAGACCAATAAGAACCCTGAAGGAACTCTTCCAAGATGGAGTGAACTTATTCTATGAAACAAGTGGACTCAAAAGGTGCAAGGAGTGCACTGTAGTGGGTGCTATGGTGAGTTGCCCAGATTCTCTTTTCAGGATGGAGGCTCTCATTTACCCAGCTGCCGGGAGTGTTGGCAGCTGATGGTTCTCAGCTGAGTCATTCTCTGGAAATTTCCTTCAGCTAAAGAGAATCACCTTGCCCAACCAAGGTCAGACCTTGGGGGCAGTCACATCCAATGACTGCTTGATGAGAGGGCCTACCCTGAAGGTAATTCCAGCTCCAGAGGTCCCTGTAGGCTCAGCTGAGGCTTCTGTCAAATTGCACTGCAGATGGATTCAATCCTACTCAATCCTACTTCGTTCCCTCTAAATTCTCCCCTTAATAAACCTCCTGTATGCAGCTTTCAGAATCTTAGGGCCTGTTTCCTGGGGAACCTGACCTACAACACAAGGTCTGCATGCAGATGGAGTTTGGGGTTCAGCATTTCTTACAACATCCCAGGTAATGCCAATGCTATCAGTATGCAGAATTCAATTTTGGAATCAGATTTATGGGGACATAATTTACATGGAGTTAAGTTGTACTCTTTTTCAGAGTATGTTTTAATGAGTTTTCAAAAATGTACAGAGTCACACAGTCACCACCACAGTCAAGATACGGAACATATCCATCACCCCCAAAAGCTCTCTCATGCTCCTTTGTACCCAATCCCCTATCCTCACTTCCATTTTCTGGCAATCATTAATCTCGTAACTGTCCCTTTGGTTTTGATTTTCTAGAATGTCATATAAATGAAATAATATTACATATAGCCCTTTGAGTGTCACTTCAATCACGTACCATGGTGTTTTGAGATTTATGTATGTCATTGAATGTATTGGTAGTTCATTCCTTTTTATTGCTATGTAGCATTTCATTGTATGGATGTATCACAATTTGCTTATCCGTCCCCAGTTGATAGACATTTGGATTTTTCCAGTTTGGGGTGGTTATAAACAAATCTGGTATACATTTGCTAGCAGTTCTTTCTATGGAAATGTATTTTCATTTATTTTGGGAAAACGCCTTGGAGTAGAATTGCTGAGTTGTGTGGAAAATGTATGCCCAACTTCCAAAGGAGCTGCCACACTGTCTTCCACAGAGAATATACTATTTTGCTTTCCCATCAGCAATGTCTAAGAGTTCCAGTTGCTCTACATCCTCTCCAGGACTTGGTATTGTAAGTTTCAAAAATTTTCAGTCATTCTAGTAGGTGTGTCATTATAGTGTGGCTTAAATTTGCCTTTACCTAGTAAATTATGGTGAAAGGCATCTTATGTATTTGTTAAACACTTGTTTCTCTTATTTTGCAAAGTGTCTGTTCAACTCTTTTGTCCATTGAGTGGGGTGGGGGTTGCCTTTTTTTAATCTATTGAATTGAAAATGTTGGCCGGGTGTGGTGGCTCCTGCCTGTAATCCTAGCACTTTGGGAGGCCAAGGTGGGTGGATCACGAGGTCAGGAGTTCAAGACCAGCCTAGCCAAGATGGTGAAACTCTGTCTCTAGGAAAAATACAAAAATTAGCCAGGCATGGTGGCGGGTGCCTGTAATCTCAGCTACTCCGGAGGCTGAGGCAGAGAATTGCTTGAACCTGGGAGGCAGAGATTGCCGTGAGCCGAGATTGCGCCACTGCACTCCAGCCTGGGGAACAGAGCGAGACTCTGTTTCAAAAAAAGAAAATATTATTTGTATATTATGGGTAAATATATGGGTAAAGTGTTGTTTATATATCCTTGATCAGCTATATCTTCGCAAGTTTTTTCTCCCAATTTGCTCTTTTATCTTTTGGCTTGTCTTTTTATTTTCTAACAATGTTAGAAATTTTAATTTTGAGACTGTGTCTCAAAAAAAAAAAGGTTCATGATTTATACTTTTTACAGCCTATCTATGAAATCTTTCCCTACCCCAAGGTCACAAGACTGTCTACTAGATGTTTTAGATTTTACATTTAGGCCTATAATCTATTCCCTAAAAATCTTAAATTTTGGGCTAATTTTAAAAACATGGAAAAGAATCAAAGTCAGCTTTTTGTTTGCTTGTTTGTTTTTGCAGGTAGATGTTGAATATTCCAGAACCATTTGTTGAAGAGACTATCTTTTTCCTATTGAATTATTTTGGCACTTTGTTAAAAAGCAATAGACCAGGTGGGGCATGGTGGCTCAAGCCTGTAATCCCAGCACTTTGGGAGGCCAAGGTGGGCGGATTACTTAAGGTCAGGAGTTTGAGACCAGCCTGGCCAACATGGTGAAACCCCGTTTCTACTAAAAAAAAAATACAAAAATTAGTCAGACGTGGTGGTGGGTGCCTGTAATCCCAGCCACTCAGGAGTCTGAGGCAGGAGAATAGCTTGAACCTGGGAGGCGGAGGTTGCAGTGAGCCGAGATCACACCACTGCACTCCACCATGGGTGACAGAGCGAGACCCTCTCTCAAAAAAAAAAAAAAAAGACCATAGATGTGTGGGTCTATTTCTGGATTCCCAATTCTGTTCCATGGATCTATATCTACCCTTATATCAATACCACACTGTCTTGATCACTGTCCAGCTTTATAGTAAATCTTGTGATCAAGTAGTGTGAGTCCTTCAACTTTGTTCTTTTTAATCCAAATTGTTTTAGCTATTCTTCCAGGTAGAATTTCTTTTTTTTTTTTTTTTTTTTTTTTGAGACGGAGTCTCACTCTGTCACCCAGGCTGGAGTGCAGTGGCACGGATCTTGGCTCACTGCAACCTCCACCTCCTGGGTTCACGCCATTCTCCTGCCTCAGCCTCCTGAGTAGCTGGGACCACAGGTGCCCACCATCATGCCTGGCTAATTTTTTGTATTTTTAGTAGAGACGGGGTTTCACTGTGTTAGCCAGGATGGTCTCGATCTCCTGACCTCGTGATCTGCCCACCTCGGCCTCCCAAAGTGCTGGGATTACAGGTGTGAGCCACAGCGCCTGGCCAGCTTATCAATTTCTACCAAAAAAGACTGCTAAGACTTTAATTGGAATTGCACTGAATCTATAGATCAATTGACATGTGAATATTGTATCTTCCAGCCTTTGAACATGGCATATCTTTCCATTTATTTAGGTCTTGTTAATTTCTGTGATCAGTGTTTTATAGTTTTTTGCAAAACATATTGCCCATTTTTGTTATATTTATCCCTAAATATTTTAATTTGGGGTGGCATTATACATGATACTTTATAAAATTTCAATTAATTTTTCAATTAATAAAATTTCATTGCAAGTACATAGAAATAGAATTTTTGTATATTGACCTTGTATCTTGCAACCTTGCTAAACTCTAAGAACTCTTTTTTTTTTTTTTTTTTTTTTTTTTTTTTTTTTTTTTTTTGAGACAGAGTCTCACTCTCGCCTGGGCTGGAGTGCAGTGGTGCAATCTCGGCTCACTGCAACCTCTGCCTCCCAGGTTCAAGCGATTCTTCTGCATCAGCCTCCCAAGTACCTGGAATTACAGGCACATGCCACCACTGCTGGCTAATTTTTGTGTTTTTAGTAGAGACAGGGTTTCACCATGTTGGCCAGGCTAGTTTTGAACTCCTGACCTCAGGTGATCTGCCTGCCTCAGCCTCCCAAAGTTCTGGGATTACAGGCGTGAGTCACTGCGCCCAGCCAATGCTAAGAACTCTTAAGAGGAGAAAGATTCAATTCATATGTCTGATCAGATAGTTTAAATAAGAACTCTACATTACTCTTTAAAGCAATTTTTTATTTTCATATTTATTTATTTTTGACATGGAGTCTGCTCTGTCACCCAGGCTGGAGTGCAGTGGCGTGATCTCGGATCACTACAACCTCCACCTCCCTGGTTCCAGCAATTCTTTTGCCTCGGCCTCCCAAGTAGCTGGAACTACAGGCACACGCCACAATGCCCAGATAATTTTTGTATTTTTAGTAGAGACGGGGTTTCACCATGTTGGTCAGGCTGGCCTCGAACTCCTGACCTTAGGTGATCTGCCCACCTCGGCCTCCCAAAGTGTTGGGATTACAGGTGTGAGCCACTGCGCCTGGCCAAGAACAGCAATTATATGTCACAATTATATATCATAAGAACAGTGTTAAGATGGCAACAAGGGGCCGGGCACAGTGGCTCATGCCTGCAATCCGAGCACTTTGGGAGGCTGAGGCCGGAGAATCACTTGAACCCAGGAAGCGGAGGTGGAGGTTGCCGTGAGCTGAGATTGCACCACTGCCCTTCAGCCTGAGCAACAGAGGGAGACTTTCTTCATCAAAAAAAAAAAAAAAAAAAAAGGATGGCATCAAGGGAATCCAAATAAAAGAAAAAGAATAACGTAACCTCCCACCACCCCACAAATCAACTGTTTCTTTAGTTCAACTGTTTCTTTAGTTCCCTTTCCAGGTTTCCAGATTTAATCACAATTTTATTCTCTGTTTTTCTTTAATTACTCATAAGCATTTTCATAAGCTATATAGTGCTTCTAGTTATAATTTTAAATAGCTGTATTCTATTTTATTAAGTACATGTACCATAATTGACTTAACCTTTCCTCTATTTCTGTTTATTAGAGAATAAATTCTCAAGAGTGGGATTTCTGAGCCCAAGGATTTGAACACTTCTATGGTTATTGAAATGTACTGTCAAATTGTACTGCAAATGAGTACAGGATTTCTACATTGTAAAATTCATTTCTGTGTGACACACAGTGCTAGCACACTACTCTGAAAGACAGATGGAACTCAGAGAAATGAAGGGAACAGAATGTAGATAGGTAAAGGTTGGAGTATTGATGTCAAGATAGGCATAACACACAGAACATTCAGGAACAATGGTTGGAATGAAGTTTGAGTAGTGAGTAGTTTAAGTATAGATTCACATTTTGGAATCAGATTGTGGAATGCCAACCTGAGGAACTGAGACTCCATTCTGTAGGCAATGAAAAGCTGCTGAAGATTGATAAAATAACAATGATGTTTTATTTTTTATTATTTTTTCTTTTTTTTGAGACAGAGTCTTGCTCTTGTAGCCCAGGCTGGAGTGCAGTGGTGAGATCTCGGCTCACTGCAACCTCTGCCTCCCACATTCAAGCCATTCTCCTGCCTCAGCCTCCTGAGTAGCTGGGATACAGGTGCCCGCCCCCATGCCCAGCTAATTTTTGTACTTTTAGTAGATACAGGGTTTCGCCATGTTGGCCAGGCTGGTCTCAAACTCCTGACCTCAGTTGATCCACCTGCCTCAACCTCCCAAAGTGCTGGGATTACAGGCGTGGGCCACCACATCTGGCTAACAATGATGTTTTATAACTATGACTATGGATGAATTAGAGGGAAGGGAGTTGAGAGAAGAAAGATGGGTAGATGAGGAGATAGAGAAATAGGGAGATCATTTTGAAATTATCACAATATTCCAGAGATTAGAAGCCAAGATTGATGACACATAAAATTGAATGAAAAGCTTCCAGGTTAATGATGGCAGATCAGTTGGGCTTGATGTACCTTCCCTTAATTTCTTTTGAAAAATGCCTGAAGAAGCCTGGGCGGGTTGGCTCACGCCTGTAATCCCAGCACTTTGGGAGGCTGAGGCGGGCGGATCATATGAGGTCAGGAGTTCGAGACCAGCCTCAACATGGAGAAACCCCGTCTCTACTGAAAATACAAAAAATTAGCCGGACGTGGTGGTGCATGCCTGTAATCCCAACTACTCAGGAGGCTGAGGCAGGAGAATTGCTTGAACCTGGGAGGCGGAGGTCGGTGAGCCGAGATCGTGCCATTGCACTCCAGCCTGGGCAACAACAGCGAAACTCTGTCTCAAAAAAAAAAAAAAATCCTAAAGAAACAAAAAAAAATTGTAAAGATATACACACAAAAAAACAAATCGGCATTGATACTGCAAATTGAAAAATGAAGACTACATGCCAAAATTTTAGGTTCTTTTTCCGGATTGCATCATGATTTGGTTGGACTGAGAAACTCCCAATGATTCTCTTTTGAACCTGTGTCCAAGAATAGAGGAAATATTGACTCATCCTCGCCATCTTACCCGTTATCTTCCTTTACCCCAAGAGGAAGAGGCTGTACTGGCCAGAAAAGCAGAAAGTTATCTCCCAAACACAGAATGACCCTTCTCTAGGGTGACTATTAGGATGGGGGGTGCTGGGGAAGTTGTAGGGGGAAAGAAATGGTCAAAGAGGACATTAGCCATAATTCTTTTGTTTGTTTGTTTTTTGAGATGGGAGTCTCGTTCTGTCGCCTAGGCTGGAGTGCAGTAGCGTGATCTCAGCTCACTGCAACCTTCACCTCCCAGGTTTAAGCGATCCTCCTGCCTCAGCCTCCCAAGTAGCTGGGACTACAAGCGCGTACCACCACAGCCAGCCAATTTTTGTATTTTTAGTAGAAATGGGGTTTCACCCTATTGGCCACAAACTCCTGACCTTGTGATCTGCGTGCCTCAGCCTTCCAAAGTGTTGGGATTATAGGTGTGAGCCACTGTGCCGGGCCCATTAGCCATAATTCTAATGCTTACTTTTTTACGATGAGAATGTATTTCAATGTTGCTTTAAAAATTATTTTATTTTTTGAGACAGGATCTCACTGTGTCACCAAAGCTGGAGTGCAGTGGTGTGATCATGGCTCATTGTAACCTTGCACTCCTGGGCTCAAGTGATCCTCCTGCCTCAGTGTCACAAGTAGCTGGGACTACAGGTGTGTGCCACCATACCCAACTAATTTTTTTTTTTTTTGAGGCAGGGTCTCACTGTGTTGACCAGGCTGGAGTGCAGTGGCATGATAAAGGCTCAATGCAGCCTCAAACTCCTGAGTTCAAATGATCCTCCCACTTCAGCCTCCCATAGTATTGAGATTACAGGTGTGAGCCACTACGCCCGGCGGACATTACTCATTTAATTAAAGATATCATTGGGAAAAACAAAGCTCACAAGTACCTGTGTAGACTTTACTACATTTTTCCACTAACCTTTAGCTTTATTGATCACTTAATAATCTTTGCCCGGGTTTCTTGCCATGCTAGAATGGAATACTCTTTTGTAACTCATCTTAAATCCTTGTCTTAGAGTAATGTCCATCTAAGGTTCACGTAGAACTTCAAGATATTTTCATATAGGACTTCAAAGTTCAGGACTTCAAGGTATTTTGCCACCAAAATCTCTGCTCTGGCGTCCCCTGTCACAGCTACTGCCCATGAGGTGACCCTGTCTGTGCCACGTAATAGGGTGTCCTGCCTCAGGTTTCACTTCTTGTTTCTCCCTTCCTTCCTCACAGCTGACACAACAGGAGAGCTCTTTCTGGTCCTCTCCTGGGTATCTCCACACAAGCAGTGCCTGAGGGAAAGGCAGCACTTCAGACAAGCATCCAGCTACCCAGCTACTGGCTCTCACACTGCATAAAATCACCCCATTAGGCCAGGAGCAGTGGCTCACACCTATAATCCCACCACTTTGGGAGGCCAAGGTGGGTGGATCACCTGAGGTCAGGAGCTCGAGACCAGCCTGACCAGCATGGAGAAACCCCATCTCAATTGAAACCAGGAGGCAGAGGTTGTAGTGAGCCAAGATCACGCCATTGCACTCTAGCCTGGGCAGCAAGAGCGAAACTCCATCTCAAAAAAAAAAAAAAAATCACCCCATTAGTCATCAGGAATCTGCCTCTGAGACAGCAAGTTACAAAATCCCCATTTAAACCAGAAACTGTTTTCTTTTTTTTTCTTTTTTTTCTTTTTTGAGACTGAATCTCGCTCTGTCGTCCAGGCTGGAGTGCAGTGGCATGATCTCGGCTCACTGCAATCTCCGCCTCCCGGGTTCAAGCAATTCTCCTGCCTCAGCCTCCTGAGTAGCTGGGACTACAGGCGCACACTGCCATGCCCGGCTAATTTTTTGTATTTTAGTAGAGACAGTGTTTCACCGGGTTGCCCAGGCTGGTCGTGAACTCCTGAGCTCAGGCAATCCACCCGCCTCGGCCTCCCAAAGTGCTGGGATTACAGGCTTGAGCCACCGTGCCCGGCCCAGAAACTCTTTTCTAAAAGGGCCAACATCTCTAGCAGAATAAATATTATCTATAAGCCCAAAACAGGATTTCAGAACAGAATCATATGATGTATTTTTATTACCGCTAAGACGAAAACAAAAAGAGATGGGTTTAGATTTGATAAAAGGAGGAAACTTCTCAAAATATAGATTTTATATATTAAAACAGCTTACTAGAGATTGCCTTCTTTGGGGATCTTTAAACATAGGATAGACAATCGTTCTCTTGAACGATCTGGCTGCAGACCTGCTTGGAAGCCAGAACCAAAATAAATGCTTTTCTGAGGTCCCCTCTGGTTTGTCTAATCTACAACTTGTGACAACCCTTGTCCCCACCCACAGCCTTTATCCCAGGTCATCATGACACGGCAGAGACGTGGCAGTTGATGGGGAAGTGAATGATGCTGGTGACATTTGGGATGACTTTACCATGGGAATTGTGAAGAAATGATTACAGTGCTTTGTCAGTCCACCAACTGAGCAGTTAATGAAAGCAGGCAGCATAGTACAGTCCTCCAGTTATTTCTAAAATTTTGATTAATTGGTCGATCCATTCTTGAACAAACTAAGGAAAATAGTTACCCCACCCCCGAAGAAATAGAGTGAAGCTGTAATTCCAGTCTGAAGGTGATATTGATCAGAAAACAACAAAGATGTTCTTTTCTTCACACTCCTGCATGATGTCCAACTCTTATTCAAAGTCTAATACTGTGACATTTTTTCAAAGTCTTTTTGCCTATGGTATACGTATATTGGAAATTCCATGGGATACATGTGACCACCATAAATCTCATGACATGAATCAGTTTTGCAAGAAATATACCTTTTTCCATTTTTCCAAGACTTAATTTCTCTTTTGCACTCGAAGAGTGTCATTCTGCTACGTGGCAGATATCAAATATTAGTCAGTTTAGGGTTCCCACTGCTCTTTTCCTCTGAGATCTGGGGACTTACCTAGTGGCACAGCATCAGGGTGGGGACAGGTAGTGTCTTGCCGTTGTTCATCAGACCATGCTGGCATCTGCCAACATGTACCACGTCCTATCTGATTCTTCTGTCTTTGGCCCAGGTGGCTATTTTTATTTTATTTTATTATTTATTTATATTTATTTAGTTAGTTATCTCTGAGACAGAGTCTCACTCTGTCACCCAGGCTGGAGTGCAGTGGTGCAGTCTCAGTTCACTGCAATCTCCACCTCCCAGATTCAAGTGATTCTCCTGCCTCAGCCTCCCAAGTAGCTGGGATTACAGGTGTGTGCCACCACGTCCAGCTAATTTTTGTATTTTTAGTAGAGACTGAGTTTCACCATGTTGGCCAGGCTGGTCTTGAACTCCTGGCCTCAAGTGATCCACCTGCCTTGGCCTCCCAAAGTGCTGGAATTACAGGCGTGAGCCACCACACCTGGCCTATTTTATTTTATTTTTATCCTCCTGCCTCAGCCTCCCAAGTACTTTTTTTGGCCTCTTCTAACTGCAAAGCCTCTCTTGATACACTCTTTTTCCCTACTTTCATGGTTCCCTCATCATTCCTGGACTGCAGAAAACTAGGTGGGGTGCATAAGTTCTTGCTCCAGGTCTGTGTTACTCTCAGGTGTGTGGAAAATGTTTTGCTTCAGCTGGGCACGGTGGCTCACACTTGTAGTCCCAGCACTTTGGGAGGCCGAGATGAGTGGATCACCTGAGGTCAGGAGTTTGAGACCAGCCTGACCAATATGACGAAACCCTGTCTCTAATTAAAAAAAAAATACAAAAATTAACCGGGTGTGGTGGCATGCACCTGTAATCCCAGCTACTCAGGAGGCTGAGGCAGAAGAATCGCTTGAACCCGGGAGGCAGAGGTTGCAGTGAGCTGAGATCGTGCCACTGCATTCCACCCTGGGCAACATAGTGAGACTCTGTCTCAAAAAAAAAAAAAAAAAATGTTTTGCTTCTCCCTGAACCACGCTGATGCCCAGGGGGCTGCTTGGAGGCTGCCTCTGTCTCACCTGCTGAGGTGCACAACCCAGATATTCCTTCTGTGTCCTCACCATGGTGGGTGAGAGGACTGTGGCATGTTGAAACCTGCCTGGGCTCTATTCTGGTTCTGGGAATGCATCACAGCTTCCCTCTACCTTGGTTTCTTCATGCCTGTTGGGTATGAGAGGAAGCTGGGGAAAGCCTTTTTTTTTTTTTTTTTTTTTTTTTTGAGACAGAGTATCACTCTGTCACCCAGGCTGGAGGGCAGTGGCACAATCTCAGCTCACTGCAACCTCTGCCTCCTGAGTTCAAGCGAATCTCCTGCCTCAGCCTCCCGAGTAGCTGGGATTACAGGTGCGAGCCACCGTGCCCGGCTTTTTTTTTTTTTTTTTTTTTAATAGAGACAGGTTTTACCATGTTGGCCAGGCTGGTCTTGAACTCCTGACTTAACCTCAGGTGATCCACTCACCTTGGCCTCCCAAAGTGCTGGGATTACAGTCATGAGCCACCGTGCCCAGCCTGAGGAAGTTCCCTGACCCTTTCTTAGGAACCTACTGCTATCTAAACCTTCTTTCCTTCTGATTCTCTCTCTCCATTCCTCCAGCCCAAGTAAACTTTATCTAGTTTCAGAGGTGGCGCTTAGCAATATTCTAAATTGTTCATGCTCTGAGATCTTCAGGATTTGGCTCATACTCAAAAATCCTTTTCTGCTGTAGCAACCCTTTCTCAAGGTAATTAATGTCTCATTGTATAGCTTTCAAGGGGGTATAAAGGAACTACCAGGAATTAGAAACATATCTGTTAATATATCAAAATATGGTGCCAGTACACTGCTGCAAAGGAAATTTAATGATGAGAGGCAGTGAGAATTGGGAGATTTCTTTTTTGTTTTTCTTGAGACAGAGTCTCACTCAGTTGCCCAGGCTGGAGTGCAATGGTGCGATCTTGGCTCATTGCAACTGCTGCCTCCCAGGTTCAAGGGATTCTCTTGCCTCAGCCTCCCCAGTAGCTGGGACTACAGGCACGCACCACCACACCCAGTTAATTTTTTTGTATTTTTATTAGAGATGAGGTTTTGCCATGTTGACCAGGCTGGTTTGAACTCCTGACCTCAGTTGATCCACCCGCCTTGGCCTCCCAAACAGCTGGGATTACAGGTGTGAGCCACTGCACTTGGCCGAGAATTGGGAGATTTCAGAATGAGGGGAGATGCAGAGCACCCCTTCTCACTCTCAGGGGCAGTGTGTAGCAAGCATCCAGCCCTTTCTTGTGGTTCAGCATGATTTTAGCTCTTAATGCACCCTCAAGCAAGTGTCTATTACTACAGGCATCTATCAGTTGAGGTCTACTTCATCTGCACCTGGAAAGCCCTCCCCAGGGGAAAGGAAGGCCTGTTTCTCTGCTTCTTCAGGGATTGAGTTAGGGCCCAAGACTCAACTCATGGGAGGGGGTGTCTCAGTGAGTGCATGATGGCTGCCCACATAGCCTTAGATTGGAAAACTGGGAAGAAAAAGTAGAAATAAATGAATCTCCCCTACCTTGGAAATTAGTTCTTTCAACAGATTGTGTTAGCACTTGAAATCACTGCTTTAACTACTAAAATTGATTAAATTAGCAGCTCTGTATTTTGCCAAGATTTTTATAGGCTTTTCCCCCTTCTCAACAAATTAAAACCTGGCTTGCAGGGGAGTGTAATAGACTGGAGACATTTCTCCTCCTGTCGCTGGATGCTGGTGTAGCAAGTTTTTGACAGTTTTTAACAAGAAAGTCTTAATTCTTGATTACTACTCCTTATGCGTCTTATTCTGGGACTGCAGTATGGGTGTGTGGGAGGAAAACTGATGTAACATTGAAGAGTTTAATAAATATTTGTGATATGGAGTTTTAAAATTATTGCTTCACTGAAGCCTATTATTATTATAAGAAACAATTATTTCAATTTAAAGATAATGCTAGATCTTTGGTAATATGTTAATAAGTCGAATAAAATATTTCTTGATATAAATGTCAGACCTGGTGCAAACGAATAGATTTAAAATAATGTTTTTGGCCAGGCCCAGTGGCTCACGCCTGTAATCCCAGCATTTTGGGAGGCTGAGGCGGGCAAATAACCTGAGGTCGGGAGTTCAAGACTGCCCTGGCCAACATGGTGAAATCCTGTCTCTACTAAAAATACAAAAATTAGCCAGGCATGGTGGCGCGTGCCTGTAATCCCAGCTACTCAGGAGGCTGAAGCAGGAGAATCGCTTGAACCCAGGAGGCAGAGGCAGAGGTTGCAGTGAGCTGAGACTGCGCCACAGCACTCCAGCCTGGGTGAGAGAGCAAGACTCAGTCTCAAAAAATAAATACAATAAAATAATGTTTTTAATTCCAATGTATTTTGTCATAAAATAACTGCTAGCAATCATATTCACTGTCCAAAACATAACATTATCCAAAATCTAGAAAAGATGTAATGTTCAACTTAAACAATGCAAAAGGGAATGGTGGAATGATGAAGAAGCATGTTGTATAATGTTCAAAGGAATATTATAGTCTTGACTCCAATTCAAATGAAACACATATTTTTACTAAACTCTGAACTCACATCAACTTTCAAAGTATGCATTTTTTGCTTATGTTATAATTGGAAGTGAAAATAGGACACAAAAGTATATACATACTATATAGAGAGAGAATGATCACAGCAATGTTTTTTTTTTTTAAACTGTGCATGAATAAAAGCCCAAAAGGAAATTGAAACATTATTAATGGCTATCTTTTGGGTGGTGGGTATAATGTGATTTTTTAAAATTTCTTTCATCTTTTTGACATTTTCCAAATCTCCTGTAATGAGCATGTATTTCTTCTATATTGACCAAATAAATTTAAAACACTACTTTTTTTTTTTTTTTTGAGACAGAGTCTTGCTCTGTTGCCAGGCTGGAAAGCAGTGGCGCAATCTCGCCTCAGTGCAACCTCTGCCTCCCAGGTTCAAGCAATTCTTCTGCCTCAGCCTCCCGAGTAAATAGGACTACAGGCGTGTGCTACCACGCCCAGCTAATTTTTGCATTTTTAGTAGAGACAGGGTTTCACCATGTTGGCCAGGCTGGTCTCGATCTCTTGACCTCGTGATTCGCCTGCCTCGGCCTCCCAAAATGCTGGGATTATAGGTGTGAGTCACTGCGCCCAGCCTAAAACACTACTTTTAAAAGGAAGTATATATTTCCCATGCTGTCACTTGCATTTATTAAATACAATATATTCTTTATTTACACTCCTCATGATTGTTTGGAAAGGTAGATGAGCAAGAATTAAATGCTAACGTAGATGCTGGAGATGCATCAGTGCACTTTATACAGTGTTACCAAGAAGCTGGTATTAGAACAAGGATCAAACACCCTTTGGTCTTCAAAGTAATAAAGACACTGTGTAGTCATAGTTTCAGTTTAACTCTCCTCCCTCTGTGACTAGATTGCTTTGCCTTTGAACTGCCCACTGGAAAGGGCCAGGTGTGTAAATGCTCAGATCTTTCTAAAGTTGACAACTGCTTCCCTTCACATTTCATTTTACATAATGATTTCAATGCAGGAATGTCATGGTGTAAAGTGACAGGGAAATATAAGGTGCTAAAATAAGGTACAGCAATATTGTTAAAAGGCTGTGGAGTTGCCTGTTGATAGCTGAGGTTTTTGCAGATTTTATCTATAGACCTAGTGAATTCTACCGATGAGGAAGGCAGTAGAAATCTGAACAACTAGGATCAAAAGGAGAGGATGTCTTTGATCATCTATTTGACTGAAAGTAATAGTCACAATTTACTTGAGTATTTTATAGGTGCTAAACACATCCAGAATAACTCTTTTTCCTCTACTTTTAGTGCAGCTTTTGGCACTGGTTTGTACAAAAGTTTGTTCAAGAATCTTTAGGAAAACTAGTATGCATTTGCCTGATTTACTTTTGTATTGGAGCAGAAAAGAAAAACGTCAGGCATGAAATCATGAACCCTATAGACACTGCCAAGGTAAACAGATTCATGAATTAGTTACTTTCACAAAGATCTTAACATGTTTATAAAAGCATTTCTTTGGGCCCTCTTCTGCCCCAGCCCTGTACTCTGAGACAAATGACTATTTTATTACACTTGTATTGAGAGCCTTAGAGGCAATCACTAGTGCTATAGGTGAAAGACTATCTTTAAAATTTTATAAATGAATGGTTAAAATGAATCTCCAAAGGTTGTTTCTTTTTTTTTTCCGAAATAGAGTCTCATTCAATCGCCCAGGCTGGAGTGTGCAGTGGCGTGATCTCGGCTCACTGCAACTTCCGTGTCCTGGATTTAAGCGATTCTCCTGTCTCAGCCTCCTGAGTAGCTGGGATTAAAGGCACCCACCACCACGCCCAGCTAATTTTTTGTATTTTTAGTAGAGACAGGGTTTCACCTTGTTGGCCAGGCTGATCTCGAACTCCTGACCTCAAATGATCTACCTGCCTTGGCCTCCCAAAGTGCTGGGATTACAGGCATGAGCCACCTCGCCCGGCCCCTCCAAAGGTTGTTTCAATGTTTCCCTGTCAGAGAGGAGACCTTGGGTAATTATTTAAGACATTAAGTAAAAGAAAGATCCAATGTATACAAGATGTAGAGTAGAAATCAGAAAACTTGAGGTTTCTGGGACAGAATGAGCCTTGTGGGATGCCCTACCTGAAAGCTTTCAAAATATGATTATAGCCCTGAACCCTGTCCAAAGAGACCCCCAAATTTACTAACACCTTTGTGCCTGTCAGAGTCCACATGCTAGGACTAAATTGACCAGAGCAGCAAGGAGAGAGAGGAGGCTGGGCTGGAATATTGGCTGAATAGGAAGCTTCCTGGCTCTGGATCATGGCCAGGAGTAGATAATGATCCGCAGGATCTGGCAGATCAGGAATGGGCTGCACAGGTGCTGGGTGGAGCAAAGCCTGTGTTTAAGTAAACACAGATAAGAAGCAGGCTGTGGTAGGTGAAGGGGCAAGGGTGGAACCAAGAGTAAAGAAATGGTAGAGTGGAGTTGGATAATAGGATTCCGGCTATAAGAGGTAGTGTTTCTAGGCTGGGTGCGGTGGCTCACACCTGTAATCCCAGCATTTTGGGAGGCTGAGATGGGTAGATCACTTGAGGTCAGGAGTTCGAGACCAGCATGGCCAACATGGCAAAACCCCATCTCTACTAAAAATACAGAAATTAGCTGGGTGTGGGGGTGGGTGCCTATAATTTCAGCTTCTAGGGAGGCTGAGGCAGGCGAATCCCTTGAATCCAGGAGGCAGAGGTCGCAGTGAGCCAGGATCGTGCCACTGCACTCCAGCCTGGGCAACAGTGCGAGACTCTGTCTCATAAAATAAAATAAATAAAATAATGCCTATCAATGGAAATTTGTTTTCATTTGCTTAGCATTAACTCCCATTGGGGAATAATCTTCTGGACAAAAATATCATTTCATACCTGATCATAGACTCTCAAAGTTAAAGGGATCATAAAAGACAAAATACTATGTTCCAACAAGATATCTGAACCATCTATGACATCCCTGTATTTGTTGTCTATTGCTGAAAAACAAATTACCCCCAAATATATCAACTTTAAAATGGTTTTGGAAGGTCAGGAATCCTGGTGCAATTTAGCTGGGTGGTTCTAATCCAGGGTCTTTGATGAGGTTGAAGTCAAACTGTCAGCTGCAGATGCAGTCAACTTAAGGTTTGACTGAGTCTAGAAGATCCACTTCAAGCTCACTCACTTGCTTGTTGGCAAGAGATTGCAGTTCTTCATCACGTGGGCCTTGCCATAGGGCTGCTCACTGCATGACAGCTGGCTTCCCCCAGAGCAAGTGATACAAGATAAAGGGAATGATGCCATATTGCCTTTAATAGCCTTGTCTCTAAGTTATATCCCAGCATACTGTCTTATTCTATTAATTAGAAGTGACTCATTAAGTCCAGTCCACAACTAAGGGACGGAATGACCCAAAGGCATGAATACCAGGAGGTATGGATCATGGGGCCATCTTGGAGACCGGCTACCACAATTCCCTAGAAGATGTCACCTAATTTTTGCCTAAATACCTCCAGAGATGGGTAGCTTGTTTGAGAGGCAGCCCAACCCACTTTTGAAAAGCATTATGGTTTAATTTATATTGAGTTAATATCTTCAGCAACTTCTATATATCAGTTCTAATTTAATCCCAAAATGTTCTTCCACAAGACAATCATTCATATAATTGGAAACATGTCACCTTTTCAGTCATTGGCGAGACAAGTAACTCAAATTCCTTTGACTCTTTTTTTTTTTTTTTTTTTTTTTTTTTGAGATGGAGTCTCGCTCAGTCGCCCAGGCTGGAGTACCGTGGCGCCATCTCGGCTCACTGCAACCTCCGCCTCCCGGGTTCACGCCATGCTCCTGCCTCAGCCTCCCCAGTAGCTGGGACTACAGGCGCCCACCACTATGCCTGGCTAATTTTTTTGTATTTTTAGTAGAGACGGGGTTTCACCGTCTTAGCCACGATGGTCTTGATCTCCTGACTTCGTGATCCGCCCGTCTCGGCCTCCCAAAGTGCTGGGATTACAGGCGTGAGCCACCGTGCCGGGCCTCTTTTTTCTTTTTTTTTTCTTCTAGAGATGAGTCTCACCATATTGCCCAGGCTGGTCTTGATCTTCTGGGCTCAAGCAATCCTCCTGCCTTGGCCTCCCAAAGTGTCCTTTGACTATTTCTTATGTGATTAGAGTTTCAGTCTGTTTCTTATTCTGATTGCCTGAATGTGGGCACGGCTTTACTCTTCAAGTGTGTGGGTAGAAGTAGCCTGGCACTTTACTGGAGGGCAGAAAGAAAGGAAGACCAGTTTTAACTTCAGCTGGAAGAGATTTTTTCTTTCTCTTTTTCTTTTCCTTTTCTTCTTTTTAGAGATAAGGTCTCACTGTGTTTCCCAGACTGGAGTGCAGTGGCGCAATCACAGCTCACTGCAACCTCGAACTCCTGGGCTCAAGTGGTCCTCCTGCCTCAGCCTCCTGAGTATCTGGGACTGTAGACACACACTACCACACCCAGCTTTAAGCTGGAAACTATTTACTTAGATTTCTTTATGTCTAGTTATATCACATCATTGATCATATCAAGCTTACAGTTCACTGAAACTCCTAAATCTGTTGCCCTTGTACTGCTGTTGATTATATGATTATACCCCTGAAGCCTGTCCAAAAAGACTCCCAAATTTACTAACACCTTTGTGCCTGTCAGAGTCCACATGTTAGGACTAATTGACCAGGGCAGCAAGAGAGAGAGAGTCTGGGGTGGAATACTAGCTGAATGGGAAACTTCCTGGCCCTGGAATATGACCACGAGGAGATAATGACCTGCAGGATCTGGCAATCGGGACTGGGCAGCGCAGGGGCTGCTGCTGCTGTTGAGCCATGTATCCCTCCTCTCGAACATATGTAGTTGATTTTTAGATCCAAATTCAGCATCTAATATTTATCCCTGTTAAATTGCTCTGCCTTTTCTTTTACTTGTTTAACAATTTCAATGACTTAGATGTATACCTCTCACATTTTCTGATGATACAAAACTTTGACAGCAAGCTAGTATTAGCAAGTTAATTTCCTGAGCTTTGAGATGTCAATGATTGTAAGATGCACCATTGATTTGATAAGTTTTTCAGAAAAAATAACACATTATCTGAATGAATCAACTATAAGAGATGCATCATGATTTCAGAAATATTATAATATGAAAAAATATATATTATAATTAAAGAAATAGAGATATTGGGTAGTGACATCAGCATTCAAAAAAGAGTCTACCAGGCTAGAAAAATTGGACATATCTGAATCAGGGCCAAGAACATAATCCTACTAAAAGTAATTTTATTGATTTAATTATTCCTTCATTCAAATGTTCATGGAACATCTGCTGTGTGTCAGATGTGGTGTAAGGCAAACATGAATAAGTCATGACCTCTGTCCCTCAGAGCTCACAGTTTCCATTTTCAAAAAAAAAAAAAAAAAGATGAGTTCAAACATTACAGCTTTAACTTCTTTTTGAACACAATACTATTGTTTCTCATTCATCTTCAATGTTTACACCCTGAGTCAAGTTTTTACCTTTTTGTTTTGCTTTTCTTTTTTGGAGACAAGGTTTTGTTCTGTCATCCAGGCTGGAATGCAGTGGCACAACCATGGCTCACTGCAGTCTTGACCTCCTAGGCTCAAGTGATCCTCTTACTTCACCCTCCCAAGTAGCTGGGACTACAGGTGCGCCTTGCTACCACCACACCTTGCTAATTTTTAAATTTTTTGTAGAGATAGGGTCTTGTTATGTTGCCCAGGCTGGTCTCAGACTCCTGAGCTCAAGTGATCCTTCCACCTCAGCCTCCCAAAGCGCTGGGATTACAGACGTGAGCCACCATTCCCAGCTAGTTTTTACATTATGCTTGGTAGATTCTGCCTGCCAAATGTATTGGCTTAGAGAATATGTGCTTAACAAAATCATGGTTTGAGTACATCTCCTTATGGGATCTTGGCATTCTAAATAAGTCATAAAATGAAAGGATTGAAGTAGACTTTTTTCCTAAGGTTTCTTCTGATTAAAAATATGTAGATGGAGGGATGGATTAGTGGATAGATGGATGAGTAGACAAATGGATAAACAGATAGATAGTAAGAGATGAAACAGAGAAATTCATTCTGCATTTTTCAGAGAAGACAAAACTCATGATGAAACTTCTGCATTAGTAGGAAAAGAGAAGTTCTTACTTAGGGAAGAGACAGAATGGGATGTAATGGACAGACCATCGTCTCTTTCTTTCTTTTTCTTTTTCTCCTTCCTTTCTTTCTTTCTTTTTCTCTCTCTTTCTTTCCTTCTTTCCTTCCTTCTTTCCTTCCTTCTCTTTCTTCTCTCTCTCTCTTTTTTTTTTTTTGGAGTTTCGCTCCTGTTGCCCAGGCTGGAGTGCAGTGGTGCAATCTCAGCTTACTGCAACCTCTTGGGTTGAAGCGATTCTCCTGCCTCAGCCTCCCGGGTAGCTAGGATTACAGGCACCTGCCACCACGCCTGGCTGATTTTTTGTATTTTAGGTAGAGACGGGGTTTCACCATGTTGGGCAGGCTGGTCTCGAACTCCTGACCTCAGGTGATTCCCCCGCCTCGGCCTCCCAAAGTGCTGGGATTACAGGTGTGAGCCACCGCGCCTGGCCATTTTCTTTCTTAGATTGTAAACTGAAGGCTTAGATCTAATGTTCTTGGATGGGCATGGTGGCTCATGCTTGTAATCCCAGCACTTTGGGAGGCCGAGGCAGGCAGATCAGAAGTTTAAGGTTAGGAGTTCAAGACCAGCCTGGCCAAGATGGTGAAACCTCATCTTTACTAAAAATACAAAAGTTAGCCGGGCGTGGTGGCACGTACCTGTTCTCCCAGGTACCTGGGAGGCTGAGGCAGGAGAACTGCTGGAATCCGGGAGGCAGAGGCTGCAGTGAGCCAAGGTGGCACCACTGCATCCACCCTGGGAGACATAGCGAGACTCCGGTTAAAAAAAATATATATATATGTACCAATTGTTGTGTGGATAAATGTTCTCATTTCTCTAGGGTGGAATGCTGGGTCATATGGTAGCTTTGTGTAACTTTTTGAGGAGCTGCCAGACTGTTTCAAAGTGGATACACCATTTTACATTCCCACAGGTAGCATATGAGAGTTTCAATTTCTCCACATCCTTATCAATACTTGTCATTATCTGTCTTTTTTACTACATCCTAGTGGATGTGAAGTAGTATCTCATTGTGGTTTTGATTTGTGTTTCCCCAGTGACTATTGAGATTGAGCATCTTTTCATTGTTTTTTGGCTTTGGATGACATCTTTGGAGAATGTCTATTCAGATCTTTTGTCCATTTTTAATTGGGTTGTCTTATCATTGAGTTGTAAGAGTTTTTTTTTGTTTGTTTTGTTTTGTTTTATTTGAGATGGAGTCTTGCTCTGTCGCCCAGGCTGGAGTGCAGTGGTGCGATCTCAGCTCACTGCAAGCTCTGCCTTCCGGGTTCACGCCATTCTCCTGCCTCAGCCTCCTGAGTAGCTGGGACTTACAGGCATCCGCCACCACACCCGGCTAATGTTTTGTATTTTTTAGTAGAGGCGGGGTTTCACCGTGTTAGCCAGGATGGTCTCGATCTCCTGACCTTTTGATCCACCCACCTTGGCCTCCCAAAGTGCTAGGATTACAGGCGTGAGCCACCGCGTCTGGCGAGTTGTAAGAGTTTTTAAAATGTATTCTGGATCCCAGTCTCTCATGAGATACAGCTGTGTGTTGCTTAATTACTGGGATATGGTCTGAGAAATTTGTTGTTAGGCAATTTTGTCATTGTGCAAATATCATAGAGTGTATTTACCCAAATCTAGCGGTACAGCCTAATACACACCTAGACTATCTGGTATAGCCCATGCTCCTAGGCTACAACCCTGTATATAGCATGTTACTGTACTGGATACTGTAGGCATTTGTAACACAATGTTATTCATGTATCTAGACATAGAAAAGATACAGTAAAAATATGATATTATAATCTTATGGGGCCACTGCTGTATAAGTGGTCTGTCATTGACCAAAATATCATTATGAAGTGCATGCATGCAATATGACTTGCAAATACTTTTTCCTAGTCTGTGGGTTACCTTTTATCTTTTTTGATGGTGTCTGTTGAAACACAACAAAATACTTAATTTTTTTTTTTTTGAAACAGAGTTTCGCTTTTGTTGCCCAAGCTAGAGTGCAATGGCACAGTCTTGGCTCACTGCAACCTCCACCTCCTGGGTTCAAGCGATTCTACTGCCTCAGCCTCCTGAGTAGCTGGGATTATAGGCATGCACCACCATGCCCGGCTAATTTTGTATTTTTAGTAGAGATGGGGTTTCTCCATGTTGGTCAGGCTGGTCTCGAACTCCTGACCTCAGGTGATCCAGCCCCCTCGGCCTCCCAAAGTGCTGGGATTACAGGTGTGAGCCACTGGGCCTGTTCAAAAGACTTAATTTTTATGAAGACCAACTTAGCTATTTTTTATCTTGTCATTTATGCTTTCAGTGTCATATTTAGGAAGGTTTTGACTAACCCACTACTGTGAAGATTTATTCCTATATTTTCTTCTAAGCATTTTATAGTTTTAGCTCTTACATTTATGTCTTACATTTACATTTATATTAGGTCTTACATAATCCATTTGAGTTAACTTTTGTGTGTTGTGTGAGGAAGGGGTTTGATTTCATTATTTTGCATGTTGACATTCAGTTGTTCTAGCACCATTTAGTAAAAAGACTTATTTATTTATTTATTTATTATTTTTATTTTTTTGAGATGGAGTCTCTCTCTGTCACCCAGGCTGGAGTGCAGTGGTGCGATCTCGGCTCACTGCAACCTCTGCCTCCCAGGTTCGAGCGATTCTCCTGTCTCAGCCTCCCCAGTAGCTAGAACTACAAGCGTGTGCCACCAGGCCTGGCTAATTTTTGTATTTTTAGTAGAGACGGGGTTTTGCCATGTTGGCCAGGCTGGTCTCAAACTCCTGACCTCAGGTGACCCACCCACCTCGGCCTCCCAAAGTGGTGGAATTACAGGCATGAGCCACCACACCCGGCCTTGTTTATTTTTAAATTGGAGATTAGTTTGGGTAAGTATTAACAGCAGCTAATAAATTATGTCTTTTTCTCCCTATTGGGAAATGACTGGGGAGAAAAGTATGGAGAGAAAAATAAAGTTGAATGTTAATTTCTTCTCAGTGGCAGAAAGAACTGGAAGGAAGTTATCCAGTTATTTTATTCTTTTGGGTGTGGTGGCTCATGCCTGTAATCCTAGCACTTTGCAAGGCTGAGGCTGGCAGATTGCTTGATCCCAGGAGTTCAAGACCAGGCAACAAAGTGAGACCCTGTCTCTATTTTAAAAATAAGAAATACTATCAATGGCAGTGACAGAGAAAGGAAGAAGGGACCTACTCCAATCCTATGTTGCTGCTTTTCTGACCAGAAAATGTGACAAAATAGTTAAGAGACAAGCAAAGCTCTTGACAGAGGAGATGTTGTTTAGAGAATACTGGATATTCCCATTGAGTTTAAAGCTCCTGGCCCAGAGGGATTAAAGCCAAGAATAAAAAGTCTCACGGATGATATAACTCATTTGTTGCTATCATTTTTCACCAAAGTGTGGACAACAGAAGTGCTGGAAGACTGAAGACTTGTTGTTGTTGTTGTTGTTGTTTTCTTTTTTTCTTTCTTTTTTTTTGAGATGGAGTCTCACTCTGTCGCCCGGGCTGCAGTGCAGTGGTGCAATCTTGGCTCACTGCAACCTCCGCCTTCTGGGTTCGAGCGATTCTCCTGCCTCAGCCTCCCGAGTAGCTGGGATTACAGACACCCTCCACTATGCCCAGCTAAGTTTTTGTGTTTTTAGTAGAGATGGGATTTCACCATGTTGGGCAGGCTGGTCTCAAAATCCTGACCTCGTGATCTGCCTGCGTTGGCCTCCCAAAGTGCTGGGATTACAGGCGTGAGCCACTGTACCCGACTGCCTTGTGTTTTTCAAAATGAATAAGGCTGGCTGGGCACAGTGGCTCACGCCTGTAATCCCAGCACTTTGGGAGGCTGAGGCAGGTGAGTCAATTGAGGTCTGCAGTTCAGGACCAGCCTGGCCAACATGGTGAAACCCTGTCTCTACTAAAAATACAAAAATTAGCTGGACGTGGTGGCACACACCTGCAGTCCCAGCTACTGGCAAGCTGAGGCAGTAGACTCTCTTGAACCCAGGAGGCAGAGGTTGCAGTGAGCAGAGATCAGGCCACTGTACTCCAGCCTGGGCAACAGAGTGAGACTCTGTATCAAAAAAAAAAAAAAAAAAAAAGGGGGATAAGGTGCTCAATTCCTCTAGAAGAGAGCTTGGCACTCACTGCAGCAAAATCCTAGAATGGCTTTTTTTTGTTGTGTTTTTTTATTTTATTTTATTTTATTATTATTATTATTTTTTGAGACGGAGTCTCGCTCTGTTGCCCAGGCTGGAGTACAGTGGCGCAATCTCAGCTCACCAAAACCTCCCCCTCCCAGGTTCAAATGATTCTCCTGCCTCAGCCTCCTGAGTAGCTGGGACGACAGGCACATGCCACCATGCCTGGCTAGTTTTTGTATTTTTAGTAAAGACAGAGTTTCACTATGTTGGCCAGGCTGGTCTCGAACTCCTGACCTCATGATCTAGCCACCTCGGCCTCCCAAAGTGCTGGGATTACAGGCATGAGCCACCATGCCCAGCTTAGAATGGCTTTTAAAGTGGTCACTTTGTGATTATTTAGGAAGAGAAGAGGTGACTACTAGGAGACACATTGGTTTACCATTCAAACTGACAACATCTTGTTAGTAATTCTCTGTCTATATATGTGCTAATTCCATTTAATAGTTTGTAGTAGCAGCTCTCCATAAATTATATTTTTAGGTTAATAAACAATATTTGAAGGGATAGGATTGTCATAATAATTTGGAGAATTAATAACTATTTCCCAACAATGGCTTGGTACTTTGAATTTGAATAAGGATTAGAAAAAGATTTTATTGCTATAAGTGCAGCACCTTGTTAAATTGATTAATTAGATCTGTTCTGTTTACCTAAGAACATATTTTAGAGTAAAACTCAATTTAATAAATGAACAAACTTATTTAGGAGTAATTACTTTTCTAAGTTCTATGTTTTATAAGTCATAATTAGAATATGGATTACAAACTATTCTACATGGAACCTTCAGGGAGATTTGTCTTATCTTACAGTAATTATTGGTTTAAAGCTAACCATGTGTTGGCCAGGTGCAGTGGCTCATGCCTGTAATCCTAGCACTTTGAAAGGCCGAGGCGGGATCACCCCACTGCATCCAAGCCTGGGCAACAGAGTGAGACTTGTCTAAAAAACAAAACAAAACAACTAACCATGTGTTAATGTGGAATGCAAAGTTTATAACTGGAGTCATTTCATTTTGATAAAGCAAAGTTTTATTAAAAACAAATGTAGGCTGGTGTGGTGGCACACACCTGTAAAGTCAGCACTTTGGGAGGCCGAGGTGGGCAGATCACCTGAGGTCGGGAGTTTGAGACCAGCCTGGCCAACGTGGAGAAACCGTATCTCTAAAAATACAAAAATTACCCGGGCATGGTGGCATGCACCTGTAATTCCAACTACTTGGGAGTCTGAGGCAGGAGAATCACTTGAACCCGGAGGCGGAGGTTGTAGAGAGCCGAGATTGCACCACAGGACTCCAGCCTGGGCGACAGAGCGAGATTCCATCTAAAAACAACAACAAAAACAAAACAAATGTAGTATTATTGTTTAAGATGGGAAAATGGGGAAGAAAAGCATTCCAAGTAAAAGGAATTTCTGATTAGGCTTTGTGTTTCCCCACACAAAAATAGCCGTATATGTTATTTCTGAATGTAAAGTATAGATGTAAGCATGGAGATTTAAAGTACAAATATAAGTAGGAATAGTACAAAAGCGGGTATGGAAGTGCTACAAGTGAGCTTTAGGATAGTTATCTCTGGGGAGAAAGGTAAGGGAAGAGCAGAGGTTAGGGCTTTAGTTGTACCTGTAAGATTTCACTTTTTTTTTTTTTTTTGAAACAGCATCTCGCTCTCTCGCCCAGGCTGGAGTGCAGTGGTTCCATCTCGGCTCACTGCAACCTCCACCTCCTGGGTTCAAGCGATTCTCCTGCCTCAGCCTCTCCAGTAGCTGGGATTACAGGTGCATGCCGCCATGCCTGGCTAATTTTTGTATTTTAGTAGAGACAGGGTTTCACCCTGTTGGCCAGGATAGTCTCAATCTCCTGACCTTGTGATCCACCCACCTCAGCCTCCCAAAGTGTTGGGATTACAGGCATGAGCCACCACGCCTGGCAAGATTTCACGTTTAAGAAGAGTGAGGCCAGGCACAGTGGCTTACGCCTGTAATCCCAGCACTTTGAGATGCCAAGGCAGGTGGATCACCTGAGGTCAGGAGTTGGAGAACAGCTTGGCCAACATGGTGAAACCCCATGTCTACTAAAAATACAAAAATTAGCCAGGCATGGTGGCATGTGCCTGTAATCCCAGCTACTCGAGAGAATGAGGCAGAATTGCTTGAACCTGGGAGGCAGAGGTTGCACTGAGCCCAGATCACGCCACTGCACTCCAGCCTGGGCAACAGAGCAAGACTCCATCTCGGGAAGAAAAAAAAAAATTGAAAATTAAGAAGAGTGAGAAAGAGGGTGAGTTTCTCTTGTTATTTCCTGTATATTAGAAATATTTTATTAATTGAAAATTGGAAAACTAAAAATTAGCTTAATTCTCTGATGGCTTTTCTAAATGATCGAAGTATTTACCTCCTGTTGATTTGAGAATACGTAATGTTTAAAGGGTATCAAGGAAGTTTATTTTTAGATTCTTAGCATATATTAATAATAACAAAAGCTAAAGCTTAAGTTTATTAAGCACATAATACACACCATACTAGGTGCTTTAAATATACTCTGCTTCTTTGATGTTTTCTTCATTCCCATTTAACAGATGGCAAGGTGAGCTGTAATTTCAATCCATTACTGGTGATAAAATATGCTAAGTGAAAACTCCGATTCTCAAATGTCAAGTTTAATATCTCAAAGATCATTTCTTATGCAATAGCTTTCTGTTTCCCAAGAGTTATCTCTACATTTTAATATGTTTATTTGAGAAAAATCAGAAAATATGGACAGGGAAAAGGAATATAAAATTGCCTATAATTTCACTATCACTGGGAGGTAATTACCACTAGCATTTTGATGAGTGTCCTTTCATATATTTTCCATGCATAAATTTATATGAACTTTCAAATGCTTTGAGAAGAAACTGTGTCAAGAATTTCTCTGTTAGTATTGCTTCTGACGTATAATATAGAATAAATCAAAAGCTTGGCTTTGGGCCGGGCATGGTGGCTCATGCCTGTAATCCCAGCACTTTGGGAAGCAGAGGCGGGCAGATCATCTGAGGTCAGGAGTTCAAGACCAGCCTGGCCTACGTGGTGAAACCTCGTCTCTACTAAAAATATAAAAAATTAGCTGGACATGGTGGTGGGTGCCTGTAATCCCAGTTCCTCTGGAGGCTGAGGCAGGAGAACCGCTTGAACTCAGGAGGCAGAGGTTGTAGTGAGCTGAGATCACGCCATTGCACTCCAGCCTGGGCAACAAGAACAAAATTCCGTCTCGAGAAAAAAGAAAAGCTTGGCTTTTATTCCATACTTGTCTGTATTTATCTTTTTAAAGCACAGTTTAATCTGGAAACAAAAAAGAAAAACCTCTTCACTTTAAAAAACCTATGTAACATATAGGGGGAAAAAATAAGCTACATAGGTTTTTCTGATTCTGATATTTATTATAGTGATGTATCTATTACAAAAGACCAACTGAGAAATTACTACATTATATTTACCAGTAAATGATAGAATCCATAATGAGCATATTACCTTTGTGGATGGTTTCTTTTCTTTTCTTTCTTTCTTTTTTTTTTTTTTGTGAGATGGAGACATGGAGTCTCCCTGTGTTGCCCAGGCTGGAGTGCAGTGGTGCGATCTTGGCTCACCGCAACCTTTGCCTCCTGGGTTCAAGCGATTCTCCTGCCTTAGCCTCCCTGAACAGCTGGGACTACAGGCATGTGCTACCATGCCCAGCTAATTTTTTTTTTTTTGTATTTTTAGCAGAGGAAGGGTTTTACCATGTTGGCCAGGCTGGTCTCGAACCCTTGACCTCAGGTGATCCGCCCACCTCAGCCTCCCAAAGTGCTGGGATTACAGGCATGAGCCACCTTGCCCGGCCTGTGGACCTGTGGATGGTTTCTTTAAAAGAACAAGTAGCCCTTCATTTTAAGAAAAAGGGAAAAAGGAGCAGGTGCAATGGCTCACGCCAGTAATCCCAGCACTTTAGGAGGCTGAGGCAGATGGATCACCTGAGCCAGGAGTTTGAGACCAGCCTGTACAACATAGGGAGACCCTGTCTCTATAAAAAATTAAAAAAAAAATTAGCCAGACATGGTGGCATGCGCCTGTGGTCCCAGCTACTCTGGAGGCTGAGATGGGAGGATTGCTGTAGAGGCTGCAGTAAGCCATAATCACACCACTGCACTCCAGCCTGAGTGACAGAGCAAGATCCTGTCTCAAAAAAAAAAAAGAAAAAGAAAAAAGAAAGAAAAGAAAAGAGAGAAAAAGGAAAAAGGGAAAATGGTTATATTAAATATGAAAACCAATATTTCAAAACTTAAAATCCTGTCATGCAGTTGTTAGCCAGAATGCTCAAAAAGGAAACAAAAGTTAAACTGAGAAAAGGTACAACTTTCCGTATTGTTTTCAAAACATTATATAGATATTTCATATTTTCCCAAATATCTTTGCTCACTTCAGAAAATATGACATTTTTTTTCTGCCCTTGATTCCTGGCAAACGTCCCCATGAGAAACTAAATGTTCATTAACAAATATTTATTAAGTATCCTCATGTACAAGACATTAATCCTTCATCAATTACATAAGCCCAAAGTAACAGTGCAATTTTAGACTTCCTGATACTATTTATGCTTTGTGTCATGCACGGAAAACACTGATTTCTACCATTTTTTTAATCTGTTGAGTACTTACTATGTACCAGGTGCTAGTCTTTTTTTTATTTATTTATTTATTTATTTAGAGACAGAGTCTTGCTCTGTCTCCCAGGCTGGAGTGCAGTGGCACGATCTCAGCTCACCACAACCTCTGCCTCCTGGATTCAAGTGATTCTCCTGCCTCAGCCTCCCAAGTAGCTGGGATTACAGGTGCCCGCCACCATGCCTGGCTAATTTTTTTGTATTTTTAGTAGAGACAGAGTTTCACCATGTTGGCCAGGCTGGTCTCAAACTCCTGACCTCAGGTGATCCACCTGCCTTGGCCTCGCAAAGTGCTGGGATTACAGGCGTGAGCCACTGCTCCTGGCCCACCAGGTGCTATTCTAAGTATCAAGGCTGCAGTGGTTTATTGGGCCTTCTTTTCTCATTTGAATAAACAAACATACATATTTATATCTAATTTTGTTCTTGCAATTTTGCCTTATTTTTCCCAAGGAAGGTCCCCAGTACCATATAGATTTCAAGCCATGCAAAGCTTGAATCTGCCCCTGCTATGGTATCAATAAGGTGACATGCTTCAATTCAAAACAATCCCTAAGGTGTCTAATATTCAATGAGGCTGCTGTCCGACTCTCATTTTTGCTTCTAAAACACATCATCATCCCAATCCTGCTCTCTGCCAGCAGGAACAAGTTATAACAAGATCTGGAAGGCAAGCTCATCAAAACACAAGTCACCTTTTCTCCATTGATGAGTGAATTTCTAGGGTTGCCAGATTTGGCGAATAAAAATACAGGATGCCCAGTTACATGTGAACTTCATATAAATATCACATGGGACATACTTATACTAAAACATGGTTTGTTGTTTGAAATTCAGATTTAAGTGGCAACCTATATTTTATCTGGCAACTCTATGAATTTCTCAAAAATGATTCCTCCTTCATTTTTCTCTCTGTAGAACTAGAACAGTTCTCAGATCGATCATAGTGGTGTCAAGTACTAACATCAGTGGCTCTTCTTAACCTTTTCTGGGAAATAACAATGTAATGCAACTTATAGATCTTCTTCCCAGAAAAATGCACGAACACAAAACACTTTGCCTACAGTTTCAGGGCCCTAAAGCTCAACTGTGTAAACCATCCCTTCCTACTGTTTCCCAACCTCAGACCTCTCTTGTAGATCTCCTTGTTTGTATAATGCTTTATGATTTACCCAGTGCTTTCACCTTCACAATAGCCTTATAAGAAAACTAGATTATAGATTAGTTTAGAAAGTAGGCTGGGCACGGTGGCTCATACCTGTAAATCCCAGCACTTTGGGAGGCCAAGGCGGGTGGATCACCTAAGGTCAGGAGTTTTGAGACCAGCCTGGCCAACACGGCAAAAACCCTTCTCTACCAAAAAATACAAAAATTAGCCAGGCATGGTGGTGCATGCCTATAGTCCCAGTTACTTGGGAGGCTGAGGCAGGAGAATTGCTTGAACCGTGAGATTGCACCACCGCACTCCAGCCTGGCCGACTGGAGTGAGACCCTGCCTAAAAAAAAAAAAAAAAAAAAAAGATAGTAGATTAGAAACTATAGATTAATCTATAGATTAAGACACTGAGACTAGGGTTCAGTAACAATTACATACTCAGTAATTGTAATTATGATTAAGACTCAAATTCAATTCTCTTCACTTGAACTGCTGGGCTCTTTTCATCATTCCAGCCTTCCTCATAAGTCCTCCTCCTTATAATATTCTCATTTCCACAAGCATATTTGGATGGAAGTCAGAATGAAAGAGTGAAAAGGGCATTCAGACGAGGAGTCCTGGGAACTGGCCTTAGTTTCTTCACTAAGAGGCCAAGACACTTCACCTCTCTGGGCCTTAGCATCTATGCAGGGAGGGAGCTGGACAAGATCCTCTGAGAAGAACTAACATTCTGCGATTCTAAAGCACCCCTTTCATTGTCCCTTTCCCCTAGCAGGCTGCAGTAACCCCTATTTTTGTGACTTCTAAAGTGCAGAGATGACAGGTGTTCCTGGAGGATTTTGAGGTTGAAAAGGCGTAGGACTCAGGGAGATAGAAATTGCTCTACTTGGGGGTTTCAAGACCTGTAACGGAAAAGAGTTCCATCTCCACCTAGCTAGGGTGTGATGGGGGTGAGGGTGTCTAATGACACAGAGCAATGGGATGAAACCTCCAGTGCAGACCCCGGGTTTGCAGGAGAGCACAGCATCGCAACAGTCAAATTCCAGGCTTTCTTTTTGCTACTGACCTTTGACTGAGCTTGGAAGAGACAGAGCCTGCAACTGGGGGGACCCCACTCAGACCATTAGTCCTGCTCACCTGTCCTTATCTACTTTCCACGGAGCAAAGGGCTTGGAGCCACTGATACCTGGAGGCTCTTTCCCCACTTCTGGATTTAAAGGGAAGCTTTTACTTGGAAGCTCAAGGGAAGAGGATCCTGGATTCCACTTCCTGGTGCCCAAAAGGGAGACAAACTGAATTCCTGTGCCAGTGGCTATATTCTCTTCTTCTCTTCCCTGGATGTGCTGGATTCAGATATTTCAAAGCCCCATGTGCCTGAGCCTAATAAACATCTGATACCTAACAGGAATCCTAACTAATAACCTGAAGTCAAAATAATGTGTCAAGAAATATCTTGGCAGTTATCTTGGTGGGTTTGCCAATTTGGGAAGATTTCTAAGAGATGCTAACAAACTTCCAGCCTGGGGGACAGAGTAGGACTCCGTCTCAAAAAAAAAAAAAGAAATGCTAACAAACTAAATGATATGCTTCCCCAGCATGGTATGAAGAAGTGCCTGTGTAACTTCCAGGAAAAGTCAGAGAGGGAATCTGCTCTCAGGAAGCCCAAGTCCACAACGGTAACTTGATTCATAGTTATCTGAACATGAAGCTTTTTGCATAATAAAAATCAACTTGTAAAATACAGACATGGGCTGGGCGCAGTGGTTCACGCCTGTAATCCCAGCAATTTAGGAGACTGAGGTGGGTGGATCACCTGAGGTCAGGAGTTCGAGACCAGCCTGACCAAAATGGTGAAACTCCATCTCTACTAAAAATACAAAAATTAGCTGGGCATGGTGGTGTGTGCCTGTAATCCCAGATACTTGGGAGGCTGAGAGAGGAGAATCTCTTGAACCCGGGAGGCAGAGGTTGCAGTGAACGGTGGTCATGCCATTGCACTCAGGCCTGGGTGACAGTGTCAAACTCTGTCTCAAATAAATAAATAAATAAATACATGTGTGAATTATTCCCAAGACACAAGAAGCTAGCTCTGGTTCTGTCTGTGGACTTGGTGGTCTCCATCCTTGCCTTGCTACACACTTGCCCTGCTTCAAAAGTCCAGTTGTTTTACTTCCTATTCTCAAAGCATGGAAATATATGAAAGTGTCTGTCACGTGCGTCTGTGTGAAGAGACCACCAAACAGGCTTTGTGTGAGCAATAAAGCTTTTTAGTCACCAGGGTGCAGGGGGCTGTGTCCGAAAAGAGAGTCAGCAAAGGGTGGTGGGATTATCATTAGTTCTTATAGGTTTGGGATAAGCCGTGGAGTTAGGAGCAATGTTTTGCGGGCAGGGGTGGATCTCACAAAGTACATTCTCAAGGGTGGGGGGAATATTACAAAGTATCTTCTTAAGGGGGGATGGGGCGGCCGGAGGGGGGGGGGTTGGGGGAAGAATATTACAAAGTACCTTCTTAAAGGCAGGGCAGGATATTACAAAGTACCTCCTCAAGGGTGGGGAGGGTGTATTGTACAAAGTACATTCGCGGGGGTGGGGGGGGTGCGGGGGGGGAATGGGGGGGCAGAGAATATCACAAAGTACATTATGGCAAGGGGGGTAGGGTGTATTGTTACAAAGTCAATTGATCAGTTAGGGTGGGGCAGGAACAAATCACAATGGTGGAATGTCATCAGTTAAGGCAGGAACAGGCTATTTTCACTGCTTTTGTGGATCTTCGGTTGCTTCAGGCTATCTGGATGTATACATGCAGGTCACAGGGGATATGATGGCTTAGCTTGGGCTCAGGCCTGACAGTGTCTTTTTATAGACTGTCAGACTGTATTGTAATTTGTTCAGTATCTCACAAATAATTGACTACCAAGACACTTATAAGTATCAGAGACTGGTTTGTTGCCCATTGTAAATTTGTAAATACAAAAGTGAATATAACCTTGGGCATAAATCTTACCTGCAAGGAACTTAGAGTCTCCTGAAGGAAACAGGTAAATATGCAGTACAATCCATTTATTTTATTCATTTGTTAAATCACTCTAGGTTCCAGGTATACAACTGAACAAAACAAATGGAAATCCCAATTTTTTTTTTTTTGAGACAGCATCTCACTCTGTTGCCCAGGCTGGAGTGCAGTGGTGCAGTTTCAGCTCACTACAGCCTCAACCTCCTAGGTTCAAGAGATCTTCCCATGTCACCCTCCTGAACAGCTGGGACTATAGGCACGAGCCACCACACCCAGCTAATTTTTGTATTGTTTTGTAGAGACAGGGTTTCACAATGTTGCCTAGGCTGGTCTCAAACTCCTGGGCTCAAGTGATCCTCCCACCTTGGCCTCCCAAAGTGCTGGGATTACAGATGTGAGCCAGACCTGGCCAGAAATCTCTCTTTTTTTTTTTGAGACGGAGTTTCACTCTTGTTGCCTAGGGTGGAGTGCAATGACACGATCTCAGCTCACTGCAACTTCCGCCTCCCAGGTTAAAGCAATTCTCCTGCCTCAGCCTCCCAAGTAGCTGGGATTACAGGCATGCACCACCATGCCCAGGTAATTTTTTGTATTTTTAGTAGAGACGGGGTTTCACCATGTTGGCCAGGCTGGTTTCAAACTCCTGACCTCAGGTGATCCACCAGCTTCAGCCTCCCAAAGTGTTGGGATTACAGGCGTGAGCCACCGCGCCCGGCTACTGAAATCTCTATTTTTTAATTTTTAAATCCCTATTTTCATTTTTAATGATATCCCTGTTTTTTAAATCCCTATTTTTTTTCTAGTTGGGCTGGAGGGGAATAGACTATAAATAAATAATAAATAAGTATAAAATATATAGTATGTTAGCAAAGGATAGGTTCTATGGGTGGAAAAAGGCTGGAAAGAAGGATACAGTGTAGGCATTTGGGTGGAATTAACTTTTAAATAGGATGATCAGAGAAGGCCTCTTTAAGAAGATATTTGACCAATGACTTAATAGGGGTAAGGGAAGGAGCCCTGGGGAGCTGGTGCCTGCCAGAGGGACTGCAAGGAGGCCCCTGAGGCTGTGAGCAGCTTGGGCACTGGGGAGAAAGTAGAAGGAGATAAAGTTAGAGAGAGGTGAGGGGAGAGCACAGGGCTTTGTCCTTGCCTAAGGACTTTGGCTTTTACTTTGCTTGAGATAAGAAATGATCAGAGGCTCCTGAGTAGAGGAGCATCATTATCTGAATTAGATTTTTAACAAAAAAGGAATCAAAGACCTAAATGTAAGAGCTAAAACTATAAAACTCTTACCAGAACACATAGGAGGAAAGCTTCATGACATCGGATTTCATAATTTCTTAGATATGACACCGAAAGCACAAGCAAAAAAAGAAAATAGATAAATTGGACTTCATCAAAATTAAAAACTTTTGTGTATCAACGGACACTATCAACAAACTGAAAAGGCAGCCTTAGAGGAATGATTTGCAAATCATATATCTGATAAGAGATTGATGTTCAGAATTTATAAAGAACTCCTGGCCTGGCACTGTGGCTCACGCCTGTAATCCCAGCACTTTGGGAGGCCAAGGCAGGAGGATCATGAGGTCAGGAGTTCGTGACCAGCCTGGCCAAGATGGTGAAACCCCATCTCTACTAAAAATACAAAAATTAGCTGGGTGAGCTGGCGGAAGCCTGTAATCCCAGCTACTTGGGAGGCTGAGGTAGGAGAATCACTTGAACCTGGGAGGTGGAGGTTGCAGTGAGCCAAGATTGGGCCACTGCACTCTAGCCTGGGTGACAGAATAAGACTCTGTCTCAAAAAAAACAAAAACAAAAACAAAACAAAAAAAAACTCCTACAACTTAAAAACAGCAAAACTAAACAACCTGATCCAAAAATGGGCAAAGGAAGTGAATAGACATTTCTCTAAAGATTTACAAATGGCCAATAAGCACATGAAAAATGCTCAACACGACTAATCATTAGGGAAATACAAATCAAAAGCACAGTGCGATACTCCTTCACACACATTAGGATGACACTTATAAAAACAAGCAGGAGCCAGGTGCGGTGGCTCACGCCTATAATTCCAGCACTTTGGGAGGCTGAGGCAGGTGGATCACTTGAGGTCAGGAGTTCCAGACTAGTCTGGCCAAGAGACCAGCCTGACCACTATAGTGAAACCCTGTCTCTACTAAAAATACAAAAAAAAATTAGCCGGGCATGGCAGTGGGCACCTGTAATCTCAGCTACTCAGAGCTGAGGCAGGAGAATCGCTTGAACCTGGAAGGTGGAGGTTGCAGTGAGCTATCACACCACTGCACTCCAGCCTGGGCCACAGAGCGAGGCTCCATCTCAAGCAAAACAAAACAACAAGCAGGGCTCAGTGGCTCACACCTGTAATCCCAGCACTATGGGAGGGTGAAGGGGGAGGATTCCTTGATCCCAGGAGTTCAAGATATATCTGGGCAACACAGCAAAACACTGTCTCTACAAAAAATAAAATAATTAGCCGGGCGTGGTGGTGTGTGCCTGTAGTCCCAGCTACTGGGAAGGCTGAGGTGGGAGGATCACTTGAGCATGGGAGGTTGAGGCTGCAGTGAGCCATGGTCATGCTGTTAGTGTCACCGATGTGCCACAATGTAGCAGTCTCTTGTAGTCCAAGGTATCACCCAAAGTTCTTTGTCTCACAACCAAGAAAGTTGAGTATGGACATGAAGGGTGAAGTTGGAGCAAAAATTTAATAAGCAAAAGAAGAAAGCTCTCTGCTGCAAAGAGGGGACTTGGAAGAGGGTTGTCATTTTTACAGTTGAATTCAAAGGCTTTTATAAGAAACTGATGAGGGCTGGCTATTGCATTTGCATAAGGCATGAATTTGTGGTAGCTCCACGCTGTCCTCCTAGTTAGCATGCGGGTCCTTAGCTTGAATTACTCTATATTCCTTTGTTCCCTTTACTGCGCATGTGTCAGGGGATGGAATTTTCCATTGTGGGCATGTCTGGGCAAGTCACCTGTATAGCTTTTTTGTTTGTTTGTTTGAGACGGAATCTCGCTCTGTCGCCCAGGCTGGAGTGCAGTGGCACCGCCATCTTGGCTCACTACAACCTCCACCTCCCAGGTCCTGGTTCAAGCAATTCCCCTGCCTCAGCCTCCTGAGTAGCTGGGATTACAGGCACGTGCCACCATGACCAGCTAATGTTTGTATGTTTAGTAGAGATGGGGTTTCACTATGGTGGCCAGGCTAGTCTTGAACTCCTGACCTCGTGATCCGCCCGCCTCGGCCTCCCAAAGTGCTGGGATTACAGGCGTGAGCCACCGTGCCCCGCCCTGCATAGCCTTTCTTATCTGTGCAGCTGTGGGCATGTCTTAGGCAAGCCCCCCTGTGCAAGTTCCCTTATCTGTGCCTGCAAGCTGTTCTTTTGTTTGAAAGAATTCAACCAAGGATCCACCCTAACTGTGTGCCTGACCGGTTTCTTCCTTTCTCCTCTTTCAATGTCACTGCCCTCCAGCCTGGGTCACAGAGCAAGACTGTCTCAGAAAACAAACAAACAAAAACAAGCATTGGTGAGGATGTAGAGAAATTGGAAGCTTTGTGCATTGCTGGTAGGAATGTAAAAGGGTGCAGCCATTATAGAAAATCATATGGGCCAGGCAAGGTGGCTCACACCTGTAATCCCAGCACTTTGGGAGGCCGAGGCAGGCAGATCACCTGAGGTCGGGAGCTCGAGACCAGCCTGACCAACATGGAGAAACCCCATCTCTACTAAAAATACAAAAATTAGCTAGGTGTGGTGGTGCATGCCTGTAATCTCAGCTACTCGGGAGGCTGAGGCAGGAACATCACTTGAACCTGGGAGGGGGAGGGTGTAGTGAGCCAACATCATGCCATTGCACTCCAACCTGGGCGACAATAGCAAAACTCTGTCTCAAAAAAAAAAAAGAAAATAAAATCATAAGGTGGCTCCTCAAAAAATAAAACAATTTCCACATGATCCAATAATTTCACTCGTGGATATAGGGTATATACCCAAAAGAAGTGAAAACAAAGACTCAAACAGATGTTTGTACACTTGCGTTCACAGAAGCATTATTCACGATAGCCAAAAGGTGGAAGCAACCCAAGAGTCCATCAAGCGATGAATGAGTAAACAAGATACAGTTTATCCATACAATGTAGTACTACTCAGTCTTAAAAAAGGAAGAAAATTGTGACATGTGGTACAACATGGATGAACATTGAGGATATTATGCTAAGTGAAGGAAGCCAACACAAAGACAACTGCTGTGTGATTTCATTTATATGCGGTACCAGATTCATAGAGACAGAAAGTAGAATGGTTGCTGCCAGGGTCTGGGTGAAGACTAGGGAGTGAAGATTTAATGTTTAATGGGTATAGAATTTCAACCAGAGAAGATGAAAAAGTTCTACACATGGATATTGGTGATGGTTGCACCATTCGGCAACACAAATGTGCTTAATGCCACAGAATAGTACGGTTAAAAAATGGTTTAAATGGGGCCAGGCATGGTGGCTCATGCGTATAATCCTAGCACTTTGGGAGGCCAACGTGGCTGTATCACTTGAGCTCAGGAGTTTGAGACCAGCCTGGCCAACATAGTGACACCCCATCTCTACTAAAAATATAAAAATTATCCAGGCGTGGTGGCACATGCCTGTAATCCCAGCTGCTCGGGAGGCTGAGGCAGGAGAATCGCTTGAACCTGGGAGGCAGAGGTTGCAGTAAGCCAAGATCGCAACATTGCACTCCAGCCTGGGCGACAGACAGAGTGAGACTCCGTCTCAAAAAACAAACAAGCAAAAAGGTTAAAATGGTAAACCTGGGCCAGGCATGGTGGCTCACACCTATAATCCCAACACTTTGGGAGGCTGAGGTGGGAGGATCGCTTGAGGTCAAGAGTTTAAGACAAGCGTGGGAAAGATGGTGATACCCCTCCTCCCTTCTCTAAAAAACATACAGAAATTAGCTGGGCATGGGGGCAGGCACCTGTAGTCCCAGCTACTCAGGAGGCTGAGGCGGGAGGATTGTTTGAGCTTGGGAGGTCAAGGCTACAGCGAGCCATGATGGCACCACTGCACTCCAGCCTGAGTGACAGAGTAAGACCCTATCTTGAAAAAAAAAATTATGTTGTGTGTATTTTACCAAGCTTTTTTAAAAGTTAAAAAAAGAAATATTTAGGGTTTCAAGGTGACAAAATTTCATATTTGATTATAATGGACAGGTTGGGGGTGGAGGAGAGAGAATAAACAATTTGAAGGAGACCTCCCGGGTTTCTGGTGTGGTCAACCAAGTTCATGGTAAAGTTATTTAATAAGCTACGTAACACTAGAGGAGAAACAGATGTTGAGGTGAAAGGATGTGTTCCATTTTGGAGCTTGGGGTGCCTATAAGTCATCTAGGTGATATCTAGAAGGCAGATGAATGTCGCATTTGGGTCTCACCAAAGGAATCAGGGTAGATATGATAGATTTTTTTTTTTTTTTTTTTTTTTTTTTTTTTTTGAGACGGAGTCTCGCTCTGTCGCCCAGGCCGGACTGCGGACTGCAGTGGCGCAATCTCGGCTCACTGCAACCTCCGCCTCCCCGGTTCAAGCGACTCTCCTGCCTCAGCCTCCCAAGTAGCTGGGATTACAGGTGTGTGCCACCACGCCCGGCTAGTTTTTTGTATTTTTTAATAGAGATGGGGTTTCACTGTGTTAGCCAGGATGGTCTCGATCTCCTGACCTTGTGATCCACCCGCCTCAGCCTCCCAAAGTGCTGGGATTACAGGCGTGAGCCACCGCGACTGGCCAGAGATGATAGATTTTTGAGTCATTTGTTTCTAAAGAGTAAAGAAAGCCATAAAATGAGATGTCTGCAAGGCTCTTGTATCGTTCGAACCGCGAGAGCAGAGCGCGCCAACAGACAACGTGAGGCGGTGTGGAACAACACGCTGTCTCAATAAGCGCCTGGGTGCTGGTGGACTGAGGCCTAAAATGGCGTCAGCTCCAAGTGAGTCCGGGGCAGGGGTTTTATAGTCCTCTGTAAACAGGCAGTGTCCCAGTCTGACGTGTCTGCTATGTAGTACCCGTACGGCCTCCCTCTCAATCTTCCGGCGTATGTGTCCTCCAGCCAGCTGTCTTCCTGCTTCTGCTATCTTGCTGACGCACGCTGCTGGTACAAGTGGCCTTGAGCCTTGGCACTGGGCCTGAGTAAGGAGGAGTTATTCATTCCCTTAAGTTTTCAGGCCCCGGGGAGAATCTTTCAATGTCCATGGTTGAGGGTGAAGGTGAGAAGAGTAGAGACTTAGGACCATCTCTAAGAGCTCGAACATATAAGGGTCAGGCAAAGGAAAAAAAGCCCAAGAGGAAACTAAGAAGGAGCAAGCAGAAAGAGGAGACTATGGTTCCACGCAGCCAAGAGAAGCAAGCATCTCAGAAAGAGGAAGCAATCAGAGTATAGAAAAATCAATTAAGATCTGAAGAAATGCCCCCTGTATTTACCAACAAGAAAGTTGTGGAGCGGCGGGGCTCAAACGGGCCCTGCGGCCTTGCGGCCGCCCGGGACTCCCCGCCAAAGAAGGGACCGTCGGTGGCGTCTGCGGCCCCAGGAGGAGCTCATCCGCCAGCCCCCAGGAGCAAGACCAAGACCGCAGGAAGGACTGGGGCCACGTGGAGCTGCTGGAGGTGCTCCAGGCGCGGGTGCGGCAGCTGCAGGCTGGGAGCGTGTCGGAGGTGGTGGTGAACAGGGTGGATGTGGCGTGGCTCCCAGAATGTGGCAGTGGAGGTGGTAGCCTCCAGCCACCCAGGAAGGTCCAGATGGGGGTCAAGGATGCCACCCCGGTGCCCTGTGGCCGCTGGGCAAAGAGACTGGAGAAGGATAAGCGGACCCAGCAGATGCGTATGCAGCGGTTGAAGGCGAAGCTGCAGATGCCATTCCAGAGCGGGGAGTTCAAGGCGCTGACCAGGCGCCTGCAGGTGGAGCCCCGGCTCCTGAGCAAGCAGATGGCCGGGTGCCTGGAGCACTGCACGCGCCAGGCCCCCCGAGAGCCCCTGGGAGGAGCAGCTGGCCCGGCTGCTGCAGGAGGCCCCTGGGAAGCTGAGCCTCGATGTGGAGCAGGCCCCGTCGGCGCAGCACTCGCAGGCCCAGCTCTCAGGTCAGCAGCAGAGGCTCCTGGCCTTCTTCAAGTGCTGCCTGCTCACTGACCAACTGCCCCTCGCCCACCACCTGCTGGTGGTCCACCACGGCCAGCGGCAGAAGCGGAAGCTGCTCACGCTGGACATGTACAACGCCGTGATGCTTGGCTGGGCGCGGCAGGGTGCCTTCAAGGAGCTGGTGTATGTGTTATTCATGGTGAAGGATGCCGGCTTGACCCCGGACCTGCTGTCCTATGCGGCTGCCCTCCAGTGCATGGGGAGGCAGGACCAGGACGCCGGGACCATCGAAAGGTGTCTGGAACAGATGAGCCAGGAGGGGCTGAAGCTGCAGGCACTCTTCACCGCCGTGCCCCTGTCTGAGGAGGATCGGGCCACTGTTCTGAAGGCCGTGCACAAGGTGAAGCCCACCTTCAGCCTCCCGCTGCAGCTGCCGCCCCCGGTCAACACCTCCAAGCTGCTCAGGGACGTGTATGCCAAGGATGGGCGTGTGTCCTACCCGAAGCTGCACCTGCCCCTGAAGACCCTGCAGTGCCTCTTTGAGAAGCAGCTCCACGTGGAGCTGGCCAGCAGGATGTGCGTGGTGTCCGTGGAGAAGCCCACGTTGCCAAGCAAGGAGGTCACGCACGCGCGGAAGACCCTGAAGACCCTGCGGGACCAATGGGAGAAAGCACTGTGCCGGGAGCTACGGGAGACCAAGAACCGCCTAGAGCGCCAGGTGTACGAGGGCCGGTTCTCACTGTACCCCTTCCTGTGCCTGCTGGACGAGTGCGAGGTGGTGCGGATGCTCCTGCAGGTCCTGCAGGCGCTGCCCGCCCAAGGTGAGTCCTTCACCACCCTGGCCCGGGAGCTGAGTGCGCGCACTTTCAGCCGGCACGTGGTGCAGAGGCAGCGGGTCAGTGCCCAGGTGCAGGCGCTGCAGAACCACTACAGGAAGTACCTATGCCTGCTGGCCTCCGACGCCGAGGTGCCCGAGCCTTGCTTGCCGCGGCAGTACTGTGAGGCGCTGGGGGCGCCCGAGGCCCTGCGGGAGCAGCCCTGGCCCCTGCCAGTGCAGATGGAGCTGGGCAAGCTGCTGGCGGAGATGCTGGTGCAGGCTACGCAGATGCCATGCAGCCTGGACAAGCCGCATCGCTCCTCTCGGCTTGTCCCTGTGGTCTACCACGTGTATTCCTTCCGCAACGTCCAGCAGATCGGCATCCTGAAGCCGCACCCGGCCTACGTGCAGCTGCTGGAGAAGGCTACGGAGCCCACGCTGACCTTCGAGGCGGTGGATGTACCCATGTTTTGCCCCCCGCTGCCCTGGACATCGCCGCACTCTGGTGCCTTCCTGCTCAGCCCCACCAAGCTGATGCGCACGGTGGAAGGCGCCACGCAGCACCAGGAGCTGCTGGAAACCTGCCCGCCCACCGCGCTGCATGGCGCGCTGGACGCCCTCGCCCAACTGGGCAACTGCGCCTGGCGCGTCAACGGGCGCGTGCTGGACCTGGTGCTGCAGCTCTTCCAGGCCAAGGGCTGCCCCTACCTAGGCGTGCCGGCCCCGCCCTCCGAGGCGCCCCAGCCGCCCGAAGCCCACCTGCCGCACAGCGCCGCGCCCGCCCGCAAGGCCGAGCTGCACCGGGAGCTGGCGCACTGCCAGAAGGTGGCCCGGGAGATGCACAGCCTGCGGGCGGAAGCGCTGTACCGCCTCTCGCTGGCGCAGCACCTGCGGGACCGCGTCTTCTGGCGGCCGCACAACATGGACTTCCGCAGCCGCACCTACCCCTGCCCGCCGCACTTCAACCACCTGGGCAGCGACGTGGCGCGGGCCCTGCTGGAGTTCGCCCAGGGCCGCCCGCTCGGCCCGCGCGGCCTGGATTGGCTCAAGATCCACCTGGTCAACCTCACGGGGTTGAAGAAGCGGGAGCCTCTGCGGAAGCGCCTGGCCTTTGCGGAGGAGGTGATGGATGACATCTTGGACTCCGCGGACCAACCCTTGACGGGCCGAAAGTGGTGGATGGGCGCGGAGGAACCCTGGCAGACGCTGGCCTGCTGTATGGAGGTGGCGAACACTGTGCGCGCCTCCGACCCTGCCGCCTATGTCTCCCACCTCCCCGTCCATCAGGACGGCTCTTGCAACGGCCTGCAGCATTATGCTGCTCTGGGCCGCGACAGCGTGGGCGCCGCCTCCGTCAACCTGGAGCCCTCGGATGTGCCGCAGGACGTGTACAGCGGCGTGGCTGGGCAGGTGGAGGTGTTCCGTAGGCAAGACGCCCAGCGGGGCACGCGGGTGGCACAGGTGCTGGAAGGTTTCATCACCCGCGAGGTGGTGAAGCAGACGGTGATGACCATGGTGTACGGGGTCACCCGCTATGGCGGGCGCCTGCAGATTGAGAAGCGCCTCCGGGAGCTGAACGACTTTCCCCAGGAGTTCGTGTGGGAGGCCTCCCACTATCTCGTACGCCAGGTCTTCAAGAGTCTACAGGAGATGTTCTCGGGGACCCGGGCCATCCAGCACTGGCTGACCGAGAGCGCCCGCCTCATCTCCCACACGGGCTCCGTGGTGGAGTGGGTCACACCCCTGGGCGTCCCCGTCATCCAGCCGTATCGCCTGGACTCCAAGGTCAAGCAAATAGGAGGTGGAATTCAGAGCATCACCTACACCCACAACGGAGACATCAGCCGAAAGCCCAACACACGAAAGCAGAAGAACGGCTTCCCGCCCAACTTCATCCACTCGCTGGACTCCTCACACATGATGCTCACCGCCCTGCACTGCTACAGGAAGGGCCTGACCTTCGTCTCTGTGCACGACTGTTACTGGACGCACGCAGCTGATGTCTCTTGTCATGAACCAGGTGTGCCGGGAGCAGTTTGTCCGCTTGCACAGCGAGCCCATCCTGCAGGACCTGTCCAGGTTCCTGGTCAAGCGGTTCTGCTCTGAGCCCCAGAAGATCTTTTAGGCCAGCCAGCTGAAGGAGACACTGCAGGCGGTGCCCAAGCCAGGGGCCTTCGACCTGGAGCAGGTGAAGCGTTCCACCTACTTCTTCAGCTGACACCCCACGAGCCTTGTGCCAGTGTGTAAATAAAGCTCTTTTGCCAAAAAAAAAAAGAAAAAGAAAGTTGTTGGTGAAGTGGAAGGAGCCTTTACCTGGTGTGGCGCAGGCAGCAGCCATGTTGTGGTGAATTGAGGAATGGGTAGAAAGTGAGACAGCAAGTGTAGACAGACCTTCAAAGAAGTTTGAGAAGACTAAGAAAAATAAATGCTCTCTATTCACCCAGATTCACCGTGCCAAGGGTCTTTTTTTTTTTCTCTTTTTTCTTTTCCTTTTCTTTGTGTGTGTTTTGTTTGTTTGTTTGTTTGTTTGTTTTTTTGAGACGACGTCTTGCTCTGTCACCGAGGCTGGAGTGCAGGGGTGCCATCTCGGCTCACTGCAACCTCTGCCTCCCCAGTTCGAACGATTCTCTGCCTCAGCCTCCCTAGTAGCTGGGACTACGGATGTGCGCCTCCACCACGCCTGGCTAATTTTTGTATTTTTAGTAGAGACGGGGCTTCACCGTGTTGACCAGGCTGGTCTTGAATGCTGGCCTCAAGTAATCCACCCACCTCAGCCTCCCAAAGTGCTGGGATTACAGGCGTAAGCCACTGTGCCCAGCTTCATTTTTCTATAATTCTTATTCTCATTTCTTTCTATCTTTCTCTCTCTCTCTTTTTTTTTTTTTTTTTTTTTTTTTTTTGCAATTTACTGAATCAGACCATTTGGGAGATGTACCAAAGGATTTAAAATTTAGACTTTGTTCAACAGTTTAAAATTCATTCCAGAAAAAAACAGCTTGGTGCTATGCATGATTTGATTTCAGAATTTCAGTTGACTTCATCTGCAGCTGCTCATGATAAAACTAATCAACAGACATAGGTCAGCTCTAGAGAGGAGGTTTTTGTCTTCTGTTTTGTTTTGTTAATTTCCATCTGAAAGCATTGTCTTCTTTGGTGCAAGCAGAAGCAAATTATCTTTTACTAGCAAGGTAAAGAGTTTTGTACAGAAACCTGAGTTAACCAGCACATTTCTCATTTTCGTGGCATCCAGTATGTCCTGGTGCCCTGGGTACCTGGATTTCTTATTCCTTAATATGCTTCTTTCCCCTACCTAAACAGAACTGTGTACTCCCTCTGACCTTCCCCCACCCTTTAACTTGTCTTGATTAGAGGTAATACTTACCATGACATTGTAATTGTTTTTGCATCAATGTCCTTTACAAGACTATGAGCTTGTTTAGGTCAGACACCATATTGCCTTTATAGTGCCTAGTGGGCCCTCAATAAATGAGTGAATAAATGCCATGGGCAGATAGGAAAGATCGACAGGCACTAGACCTGCATATGGGACCTGAAGTCTCACTGGGCAAAGCTTGCTTTCTTTTTTTTTTTTTTTTTTTTTTGAGACTGAGTTTCGCTCTTGTTGCCCAGGCTTGAGTTCAATGGCTCGATCTCGGCTCACCGCAACCTCCGCCTCCCGGGTTCAGGTGATTCTCCTGCCTCAGCCTCCCAAGTAGCTGGGTTTACAGGCATGTGCCACTATGCCCAGCTAATTTTTGTATTTTTAGTAGAGTCGGGGTTTCTCCATGTTGGTCAGGCTGGTCTTGAACTCCCAACCCCAGGTGATCAGCCCACCTTGGCCTCCCAAAGTGCTAGAATTACAGGCATGAGTCACCGCACCCAGCCTACTGGGCAAAGCTTTCTATGTGATGGTAAGAAACACTAAGCAATCTTTACTTGCCAAAAATTTAAAGAATTTAGGCACACATTGGCTTTTTTTGAGCATAGCCCACACCAAGCACTTACTATCTCTAATTTGATGCAAAGAAGAATTAACTGCAATCCAGGAATTGACCTAGCATTTTTACACATTTTTAAAAAATTGTCATAACTCCATGAGGTCATTTTTATTAGCTTCTGTTTTACAGGTTAAATAACTAAATTCGAAGAGGCTAAGTAAATCCATGATCCTTGAGCCAGGAAGAGGTGGAACTGGCCTTTGAATCCACCCCTGCTTTCTCCTTCCACCATGTTTCCTATTATCACTACACATTACATATCTCAATACGGAGCTATAAGGAACAAGGGACACTCAAGCATTACAGTAATTAGAATTTTCATATAATATTCCAGAAATCAGAGACTAATTCTCTCCAGTTTCAGCCCTGAAATCGAAATACAGTAATGTTAGAAATAAAAATGTCTCTTGATTTTCCCCCAAGGAATTTCCCTCTCTTATCCATGCAGTGAGCATTAACAATTAATGGAAAATGCTTTCTAAACCTTATAGCATCGTTCTTAATATTTATGATGCCCACGAAACATACAAACATCTGTTCCGTAGAGTGATAGCTATTAAAGCATACTTAAGTGCCAAGCACTCTCTCTCACGTAGATGAGTCAATACTTTAAGCATTTGCCCCTCTGGAGTTATCTAAATAGCAAGGATTCCAAGAAGATGGGGAGAAGACAATTTTAGACTCAACTGAAGGAATACTACTTCATTTTATCATGGCTGAAAGTACACAGTAATTTTAAATTGAATAAAGTTATTTGTAAATGGTTGACATGATCTTTCATATTAGCAATGACTGCACCCCTAAAGCTGAAGTTGAGGTTTCTCTCTGAGAAATAAAATTAGAAAACACTCAAAAGGTGATGGATGAGATTATCCATCAGCAGGAATGACAGAGCTGAGAAATCTGCTGTTAAAATAAAACTGAAGGGTTGGGCACACCCAAAATCCAATCAAGGTGACCTGTAAGCACCCTCAGGGAGCAGGCCTAGAGAGAGGTTACTACTATTTTTTGGCCATGCGTGGTGGCTCACGCCTGTAATCCCAGCACTTTGGGAGGCCGAGGCAGGTGGATCGCTTGAGGTCAGAAGTTTGAGACCAGCCTGGTCAACGTGGTGAAACCTTGTCTCTACTAAAAATACAAAAATTAGCTGTGTGGTGGGTGCCTATAATCCCAACTACTCAAGAGGCTGTGGCAGGAGGATCGCTTGAACCTGGGGGGCGGAGGTTGCAGTGAGCTGAGATTGCGCCACTGAACTCCTGCCTGGGCGACAGAGAGAGACTCTGTCTCAAAAAAATTTAAAAATAATAATATTTTACAGTGCTTGTAAAGAGAATATGTTAATGGGAAGAGAGTGGTCTGCTTGGGTCTCTGATAGCTGCGTCAAGTCAGTGGAGCCAATACCTTCACCAGAATGTCCTGTGTGACAATAAAATTTGTTGTGACAAAATAACTGGCACATTGATATATATGTGCTAGTATGACTCATGTGAGCTGGTCTCTGTGTATACTAACAAAATTTAGTTTAGCAAAGCTGAGGACCAGACTTTAAATATGGAAATCACACGCAAGTACCGCTACCCAGACTTTCCCAGCTGACACTTCTTCAAATTGCAACACACACAAGATTAACATAACAGCCACAGCGATAATCAAAATGGCAACTAACAATTGATGAGTACTTATTAAATGTCAGGTATACTTCTAAAGCTCTACATATGAATTTCCCATTGAGTCTTCACAGAAATCCCATGAGGTAAAATAAAAAACAGAAGCAAACACAGATTATGTAATATGTTCTAGGTCACATGTTAATGAGTGATGGAGACTAAATTTAACCTAGGTAAGCTGTCTGCATTTTTAGCCACACCTGGGGAGGGAGGAGCGCCACACTAATTTTGTAGAATACACACACACACACACACACACACACACACACACACACACACACACACATATATGTTAAGGTGGCTCATGCCTGTAACCCAACACTTTGGGAGGCTGAGACAGAGTCTCACTCTGTCACCCAGGCTGGAATGCAGTGGGGCGATCTTGGCTCACTGCAACCTCCGCCTCCCAGGTTCAAGCGATTCTCCTGCCTCAGCCTCCCGAGTAGCTGGGATTACAGGCATGTGCCACCACACACAGCTAATTTTGTATTTTTAGTAGAGGTGGGGTTTCTCCATGTTAGTCAGGCTGGTTGCGAACTCCCGACCTCAGGTGATCCTCCCACCTCGGCCTCCCAAAGTGCTGGGATAACAGGCGTGAGCCACTGCACAGGACTGGGTTTTTTTTGTTGTTGTTTTTTCTGGGTTTTTTTTTTTTTTTTTTTTTTTTGAGACGGAGTCTCACTCTGTCACCCAGGCTGGAGTGCAGTGGCGCAATCTCAGCTCACTGCAACCTCTGCCTCCCAGGATCAAGCAATTCTCCTGCCTCAGCCTCCTGAGCAGCTGAGACTCAAGGCATGCGCTGCCACGTCCGGCTAATTTTTGTATTTTTGATAGAGACGGGGTTTCACTATGTTGGCCAGGCTGGTCTCAAACTCCTGACTTCAAGTGATCCGCCTGCCTTGGCATCCCAAAGTGCTGGGATTACAGGTGTGAACCACCGCACCTGGCCCAAGCAGATTCTTTTGGTTGCAAGATACAAAACTCTACTTAAACGATTTCAAATAAAATGTTTGGTGAAGTTCACCATAAGCCAAGTAAGATATTCTTCTCTCAGCTGGGCGTGGTGGTTCACACCTGTAATCCCAGCACTTTGGGAGTCCAAAGCGGGTGGATCACCTGAGGTCAGAGTTCAAGACCAGTCTGACCAATATGGTGAAATCCCGTCTCTGCTAAAAATACAAAAATTAGCCAGGCGTGGTGGCAGGCGCCTGTAGTCCCAGCTACTTGGGAGGCTGAGACAGAAGAATCGCTTGAACCCAGGAGGTGGAAGTTGCAGTGAGCCAAGATCACACCATTGCACTCCAGCCTGGGCAACAGAGTGAGACTCTGTCTCAAAAAAAAAAAGATATTCTTCTCTCATAGTACCTTGGGCTTATTGCATTCACTACACTGCATTATAATTATGTTTATATATTCATTATAATTATCCCACTCGACCCCAATAAATTCATGATTTTTCTCTCTTGTATTTACTACTATATCCTTGGTACAAAGAACAGTGTCTGACAAATAGTAGATGCTGAAGAAATATTTGTTCCAATAAAAAGTAGGATTGGAGGCTGGGCACAGTGGCTCATGCCTGTAATCCCAGCACTTTCGGTGGCCGAGGTAGGCAGATCACTTGAGGTCAGGAGTTCGAGACCAGGCTGGCCAACATGGTGAAACCCTTTCTCTCTTTTTTTTTTTTTTTTTTGAGACGGAGTCTTACTTTGCTTCCCAGGGTGGAGTGTGGTGGCGTGATCTCGGTTCACTGCAACCTCCAACCCCCTGAGTTCAAGTGATTCTCCTGCCTCAGCCTCCCAAGTAGTTGGGATTACAGGCGCCTGCCACTGCGCCCGGCTAATTTTTGTATTTTTAGTAGAGACGAGGTTTCACCATCTTGGCCAGGCTGGTCTTGAACTCCCGACCTCATGATCCACCCGCCTCTGCCTCCCAAAATGCTGGGATTATAGGCGTGAGCTACCGTGCCCAGTGAAACCCTTTCTCTATGAAAAATACAAAAAGTAGCTAGGTGTGGTGGTGCACACCTGTAATCCCAGCTACACATGAGACTGAGGCACAAGAATCATTTGAACCTGGGAGGCAGAAGTTGCCGTGAGCAGAGATTGCACCACTGCACTCCAGTCTGGGCAACAGAGTGAGACTCTGTCTCAAAAAATGTAGAATTGGGGCAACTGGGCAGGGACAGGAGTGTTAGTTAATTACCTGAATGATTTTAAAAGTAAGAAAGTCAGCCAGAGTTCACAGAAACCGAAAATTCAAGAACAGAACTCATTTTTCTATCATGCCCCTCAACCAGCATCTTTTGCTTCTGCTCTTGTTGGCATATATATTCCATTTTCCTTTTTTTTTCAAGTGGGCTTCCTTTGATTATTTATACTTTCTGCTTCCCCATAATTTTGGCTTTTGTTAAACTTTGGTTAGCCGTAGTGCCAACCTCAGTTCCAACTCTAGTTGGCCTTCCAGTTCTAGAGCCCACCACTACCTACAGACTTAAGGCTTTCTGATTAAGGTTCTCAGGATAAAGATTCTCATTGGTTCAGCTTAGGTGAAGACATCTTCAATTGTCCAATACACCATGGTAGGAGTGGTTGACAAAAATGACTGTCTAGGCTTGCCCTTTTGTCAAGAGGCAGTTTCCACAGAAAGGATGGGGGGCTGAGTATGCACTCCCAAAATAAGACTCCTACAGATGTTAAACTGATATTTCTCTCTTTTTGAATCTAGACAATTTTTTTAACCTACCAAGGAGAATGCTTTAAATTATATTGAAAATTTATAGTCATATGTTTACTGTATTTTAACAGAGAATTTCTAGGGACTGCCATTTTCCAGTTGCTTGCATTTTCAATTTTGTTCTTTGATTGCTTAAAACACAGACATCTTTTCTTTCTTGCCATGCAACGAAAATGTTCTATTTTGATATGGTGTGTGTTAGTCATAGTGTTTGCCTTTTCATTATGATATCAAGAAGTTAATCTGTTCCACTCTTTTTAACTAGTGTAGTTAAGGGCTTTTGACAGTTTCTTGTGATAATTGCATTATGATTTTCACCCTTTTATTTTTTAATCTTATTTTATTTATTTGTTTATTTTTGAGACTGAGTCTAGCTCTGTCACCCAGGCTGGAGTGCAGTGGCGCAATCTCGGCTCACTTCAAGCTCCGCCTCCTAGGTTCATGCCATTCTTCTGCCTCAGCCTCCTGAGTAGCTGGGACTACAGGCCCCCGTCACCACACCCGGCTAATTTTTGTATTTTTAGTAGAGACGGGGTTTCACCATGTTAGCCAGGATGGTCTTGATCTCCTGACCTTGTGATCCGCCCACCTCGGCCTCCCAAAGTGCTGGGATTACAGGAGTGAGCCACCACGCCCGGCCCTTTTTTTTTTTTTTTTTTGAGATGGAGTTTTGCTCTTGTTGCCCAGGCTGGAGTGCAATGGCACGATCTTGGCTCACTGCAACCTCTGCCTCCCAGGTTCAAGCGATTCTCCCGCCTCAGACTCCCGAGTAGCTGGGATTACAGGCATGCACCACCACGCCCAGCTAATTTTGTATTTTTAGTAGAGACGGGGTTTCTCCACGTTGGTCAGGCTGGTCTCAAACTCCTGACCTCAGGTGATCTGCCTGCCTCGGCCTCCCAAAGTGCTGGGATTACAGGCGTGAGCCACCGCAGCTAGCCTTATGTTTTAGACACTATAATTTCCTAAGCTTTAAGAGAATCACCTGAAATTTCACTTGTACTTCATGATTGAATATTGATGCTGAAGAGCCATAGATTGCCCATAATTTACAAATGAATTCCAAAAGATCACATGAAAATCAGTTGTTTTGGAACTTGAAATCCAGTTTCCTAGTGGTCCACAAGAGGTTATTTAACCTATAATATATTAACTCAGTTATTCATTCCATTAAAAGCCATTACATTTATTGCCTGGCACTGTGTTAACTATGTGTACACCATGAACAAAACAGATTAGTGTTAGACAACTGTGTGTGCAACAGGAACAAAACAGATTAGTCCCTGTCCCCATGAAGCTTATAGTCTAGTGGGAGGAATGAAACAAAAATTGGCAAACAATTAGGTTAGCACCAAGAGTAATAGCTGAGTGCCTGATGAATAGTAGGTTCTCCAGAAATTTTCACGGATGCGTAACTAAATAGGTTAAAACTGGCCGGGCACGGTGGCTCACGCCTGTAATCCCAGCACTCTGGGAGGCAGAGGCGGGCAGATCACAAGGTCAGGAGATCGAGACCACCCTGGCTAATCCGGTGAAACCCTGTCTCTACTAAAATTTAAAATACAAAAAATTAGCCAGGCGTGGTGGCGGGTGCCTGTAGTCCCAGCTACTCAGGAGGCTGAGGCAGGAGAATGGCGTGAACCCGGGAGGCGGAGCTTACAGTGAGCAGAGATTGCGCCACTGCACTCTGGCCTAGGGGACAGAGTGAGACGCCATCTCAAAAAAAATAAAAAATAATAAATAAATCGGTTAAAACTAATTTCCATTCATTTTTCATTAGTTATTCATTTAATCTTCACAATTCTCAGAGTATTTAGCCTTTTAAAATCTTTAATCCTACCTAAACTGGTTAGTTCTGCTCAAAAAGATAAATTTACAATGAGTATATTTTGAAACTTTTTATTGATGTATAATATATATATAGAGAGAAATATGAATACTTCAAATATGCATACAGCCAGTGCATCTTCACAAACTGAACATATCTGATGAAGAAACAAACAGTATCAGCATCCCAGGAACTTCCTTGTGCCTCTTTACAGTCACTACACCCGCAAAGGGAAAGGATATTATTATTATTATTATTATTATTATTATATATATTTTTTGAGATGGAGTCTTGCTCTGTTGCCCAGGTTGGAGTGCAGTGGTGTGATCTCAGCTCACTGCAACTTCCACCTCCCTGGTTCAAGTGATTCTCCTGCCTCAGCCTCCCAAGTAACTGGGACTACAAGCACATGCCACCACGCCCGGCTAATTTTTGTATTTTTAGTAGAGACAGGGTTTCATCATGTTTCCCAGGCTGGTCTCAAACTCCTGGTTTCATGTGATCTGCCCGCCTTGGCCTCCCAAAGTGCTGGGATTACAGGCATGAGCCACCACACCCGGCCGGGAATAGATATTATTTAAAAATTAAAATAGACAGGCTTATAGTCATTTAATAATGTATTTGACAGACAGAAAAATATTTAAGTACTTCCTAATTTGTCCATTTAAAACTCAATAAAAATGTGTTACTAGGCCTGTTTATTTTGTCAGTCATGATTAGATTCAGCTGCATATAATTGAAAATGTAAAATAACAATGGATTTTAAAAAGAATGAAATCATGTCCTTTGCAGCAACATGGTTGGAGCTGGTGGCCATTATCCTAAGTGAAATAACTGAGAAACAGAAAATCAAATACTGCATGTTCTCACTTGTGAGTGGGAGCTAAAAGCGGGTACAAATTGACATAAAGATGGAAACAATAGACACTGGGGACTCCAAATGGGGGGAGGGTGGGAATGGGAGTGAGGGTTGAAAAATCACCTATTGGGTACCATGGTCACTATTTGGGTGATGGGTATACTAGAAGCCCAAGCCCCATGATTATGTAATATATCCATGTAATGAACCTGCACAAGTATCCCCTGAATCTAAAGTTTTTTTAAAAAAATGGCATAACTAAGGTAGTTCATTTATCTTTCATATGGATGAGGTGTTCAGGGCTGGTTTGGTAGCCTCACAGTTATTAGACCCGGGTTCCTTCTGTCTTACAAATCAACCATTCTAGTGTATAGCTAGTGATGGTTCAAGATGGCTATTGGAAATCCAGCCATCACATCTGTATTCCCGGCAGAAAAAAAGGGGGAAGGGCAAAAGGATCACATCTCCCAGCTGATTAAGTTTACCTCTATGGAGTCTGTCCCCAGGTCCTTCATAACATTTCTGCTTTTATCTAATTGTTCAGAATTTAGTCATTAGGCCATATAGTTTTTGTTTGTTTGCTTGTTCTGAGACAGTCTTGCTCTGTTGCTGGACTACAGTGGTGCAATCTTGGCTCATTGCAACCTCTGCCTCCCAGGTTCATGCCATTCTCCTGCCTCAGACTCCTGAGTAGCTGGGATTACAGGCACCCACCACCATGCCCAGCTAATTTTTGTATTTTTAGTAGAGATGGAGTTTCACCACATTGGTCAGGCTGGTCTCGAACTCCTCACCTCGTGATCCGCCTGCCTCGGCCTCCCAAAGTGCTGGGATTACAGGCATGAGCCACTGTGCCCGGCTGAGGCCATATAGTTTTAAAGGGAATCTGGTCTTTTAGCTGGGTGCATTGATGCCCTCAGTAATAAAGGAAGTAGGGAAGTAGCAAGGAAGAAGGAGAGAATGTACTTGGGGTAGGCAACTGGTATGATCTGCTATAGTTATGTTGATTTCCATTATAATAACTTACCCTACATCACATTGTCAATGTTCTTCCTAAGAAGGGGAATTTAGGCATCATATGTAAGAAACTGAGAATTTGGCTAGGAGATCATTTTGTAGGACCTTGTTTGAACTCTTCATTGTACTGAATCAGTGGAGCAGATTCAGTTACTTTCTTTAGGACCTTGAACCAGACAGCAAACCTCTTTAAGCCCAAGAATCTCATTGGTAAAACATGACAGGTACACCTTTCCTCTAATTACAGCAGAGTCATGTTTAGAAAAATTTCTCTAAAAAGCTCTTTGTGTGTGTGTGTGTTTCATTGATTAGAAAAATTCAGACTATTCAGTCCTCACAGGCATATTTTCTTCTTTGAAGTTTAGTATTTTGAGATCAGCAAAAGGGTAAATGTAAGTTACAGTATATCACAGCTTATCATTACATGGATTCATATGTAGAACAAGTTAGATCTTGCCTCCCACAAGAAAAACGACCTACATTAAAAGTCTAATGTACCATGATTATAAGGCAGGTGCTACTCTTGCCTCCCCATTTTACCGTATTATTAATGTTGGGCTCAGTTCCAAGAAGAGTCCTTCCTAGGGCTGGGTGAGCCTGGGAGCAAGTTGAGGTTTGAGGTCTTCCTGCCTATCATTTTGAACAGGTGAAATCTGGTTAGTGCAAACTTCTAGAGCAGCCGATATCAGCAGAGCTAAGGGTGTAAACATCAGGAAGAGCAGGAGGTAGAAGGAGAGTTCACAACTGCCAAAAGGGCATATCATTGCTTTATTTTTATTTTATTTTTATTTTTGAGACAAAGTCTCACTGCATCACCCAGGCTGGAGTGCAGTGGCACGATCTCAGCTCACTGCAACCTCTGCCTCCTGGGTTCAAGGGAGCATGTTGGGCTAATTTTTTTGTATTTTTAGTAGAGACAGGATTTCACCATGTTGCCCAGGCTGGTCTGAAACTCCTGACCTCAAGTGGTCCGCCCGCCTCAGCCTCCCAAAATGCTGGGATTACAGGTATGAGCCACCATGCAAAAGGGCTTATCTTTTTTTTTTTTCTTTTTTTTTTTGAGACGGAGTCTCACTTTGTTGCCCAGGCTGGAGTGCAGTGGCGCAATCTCGGCTCACTGCAACCTACACCTCCCAGGTTCGAGCAATTCTCCTGCCTCAGCCTCCCAAGTAGCTGGGATTACAGGCGCCCACCACCATGCACGGCTATTTTTTTCTATTTTTAGTAGAGACAGGGTTTCACCATGTTGTCCAGGCTGGTTCCGAACTCCTGACCTCAAGTGATCCGCCCACCTTGGCCGGACAAAGTGCTAGAATTACAGGCATAAGCCACCACGCCAGGCCAAAAGGGCGTGTCTTTAAAGGAGCATTGCCGGCTCCTTTAACTAGGAGACCAGGCAGGGCAGCAGGGGTGGAAGATGGAAACTGTGGCAGAAAAGAACAGGAAAGGACAGGAGAGGGGCAGAGGGAGGTTCCAAGTAGGCAAGGGAGTTGAAATGAGCACACGCAGAGCCCCAGACTCTAGGGGAAGGCAACTGTAGTGGAGTAAGGGCCAGGAGGTTGACTCAGAGTACATTATCACACATCTGCAATGGAAAGGACACTGTGTTAGGTGCCGGTGGGGAGAGCGGGCATAGGTATAAACCAGACAGGGATCCTGCCCAGCTGGTGGTCACCCACCTCTGTCAAGGGCAATGAGGCATCCGCTTAAAGTATGCCACAAGGCTCAAGGTGATCGGTGCTGTAACAGAAGGGTAAATGAAATGTTCCAAGAAACTCAGGGGTGGGGAATAGTCCAGCTGAAATAATAGTGAAGGTGAGGTGAGGTGAGGTGGGGAGAGGTTTAGAACCTTGGAAGGTGGCTGGGTGCAGTGGCTTATGCCTGTAATCCCAGCAGACTGAGGTCAGAGGATCGCTTGAACTCAGAAGTTCAAGACCAGCCTAGGCAAAATAGTGAAACCTCATCTCAAAAAAAATTTTTTTTAAAGAATCTTGGAAGGTTTGAAGATGATGCGTTCTTTCAGTTGGATCTTGAAGGCTGAGCCATAGGGATGGGAGCCTTCATATAAGAATAGAACTTTTGTACAAAAATTAGCCAGGCATGGGGTAACCCCAGCTACTGGGGAGGCTGAGGCAGGAGGATCACTTGAGCCCGGGAGGCAGAGGTTGCAGTAAGCCGAGTTTGGGCCACTGCACTTCAGCCTGGGCGACAGAGGGAGACTCCGTCTGAAAAAAAAAAAGAGAGTGAGAGATTGGGAAGGTGGATCTTGAGAGACACAGAGGAACTGTGGAGAAGGTAAGGCTGAGGTATGGTATGATGACAAATTATCATTGTCCTGCAGAAAATAAGAGGGCACCCAGAACCTCAAAATCTGGGGAAGAGCCTCTCAATGAACAGCAAAACCAAAAACAAAAAACCACCTGCTCTCTCTTGGTCTAGAGTTTCCATTTCTCTCCTAATTTCCCTGCCATGCCTCACTAGCCTTCCCAGCTGCTGCTGTCATCACAAAGAGGCTTGAGAATGTGGGACACTCTGCTTCTGTGACCTCTCAGCCTAGGTGTGGAAGCTGCAGACCCAACTGAAGATGGAGTGAATTAGAGAGAGACATGGATGAAAAGAAAGGGAGAAAGAGAGTAGGATGATTGCAACAGTTGTACCTTTATAATATGCCTGGTGGATTTCTTTACAAGACTCTCTGGATTTGTACCTTGGAAACGCTTCCCAAGGGTGTCATTTCTTTCAAGGGGCTATAGTAGGAGACTCATAGATACTGAACAAGCAGCAGGTTCAAGTGGGGTGGCGATGGCTGGGGTAGGGCAGGAAAGGAAACTTAATATAGATGCAGGAGAAGAGGGAGCTGTGATGCTCGGGAGCCTACCCCGTTCCCATTTGATAATGTGCAGAAAGGCAGAGGGGCAAGTTAGGAGAGGAAAAAGTGGATACTAGTACGGCAAGATAACATATTTTAAATTTTAATTACTTTTTTTTTTTTTGAGATGATGTTTCACTCAGTTTGCAACCAGCCTGGCCAACATGGCAAAACTCCGTCTTTACTAAAAATACAAAAGTAGCTGGGTGTGGTGGCGCATGCCTGTAATTCCAGCTACTTGGGAGGCTGAGGCAGGATAATCGCTTGAACCCAGGAGGCAGAGGTTGTAGTGAGCCGAGATTGAGCCATTGCACTCCAGCCTGGTGACAGAGAACTATTCTATCTTAAAAAGAAAAAGAAAAGGAAATATATCTTTTTTTTTTCTTTCTTTCTTTTTTTTTTTTTTTTTGAGACAGGGTTTCGCTCTGTCACCCAGGCTGGAGTGCAGTGGCGCAATCTCGGCTCACTGCAACCTCCACCTCCCAGGTTCAAGCGATCCTATTGCCTCAGCCTCCCTAGTAGCTGGGACTACAGGTGTGTGCCACCAGTCCTGGCTAATTTTTGTATTTTCAGTAGAGACAGGGTTTCACCCTGTTGCCCTGGTTGGTCTCAAACTCCTGACCTCAGGTGATCTGCCCACCTCAACCTCCCACAATGTTAGGATTACAGGCATGAGCCACCTCACCCAGCCACTGAAACATTTCAAAACGTCTTTATTGTAGTTAAAATGTAGTTAAATGATATACTTCCTGCCAGGCACGGTGGCTCATGCCTGTAGTCCCAGCACTTTGGGAGGCCAAGGCCAGCAGATCACTTGAGCCCAGGAGTTTCAGACCAACCTGGGCAATAGGGTAAAACCTTGTCTCTACTTAAAATACAAAAATTAGCCAAGTGTGGTGGCGTATGCCTGTAATCCCAGCTGCTCAGAAGCTGAGGCAGGAGAATCGCTTGAGCCCAGGAGGCGGAGGTTGCAGTGAGCTGAGATTGCAACTCATTCCAGCCTGGGAAACACCTGTTTTGTAATCATTAAATTAAATATTTTCTTTCTTTCTTTCTTTCTTTTCTTTCTTTCTTTCTTTCTTTCTTTCTTTCTTTCTTTCTTTCTTTCTTTCTTTCCTTCCTTCCTTCCTTCCTTCCTTCCTTCCTTCTTCCTTCCTTCCTTCCTTCCTTTCTTTCTTTCTTTTTCTTTCTTCCTTTCCTTTCCTTTCCCTTCCTTCCTTCCTTCCTTCCTTCCTTCCTTCCTTCCTTCCTTCCTTCCTTCTTTTCTCCTTCCTTCCTTCCTTCTTCCTTTCTTCCTTTCTTTCTTTTTTTCTTGGAGATAGGGACTTGCTCTGTCATCCAGGCTCGGGTGCAGTGGCACAACCATAGCTTGCTGCAGCCTCAAACTCCTGGGCTCAAGCAATCCTTCCAACTCAGCCTCCTGAGTAGCTGGGACTACAGGTGTGCACCACCATGCCTGGCTAATTTTTATTTTAATTTAAACGTGTTTTTTAAAGAAATGAAAGAAAATTCCAATAAAAATTTACAGTTATGAAAAAATTAATAAAGTATGAAGCAGAGTGATAAAGATCAGCAATGAAATAAATGGACGTGATTCTGTACCAAGAAGTAAATTATAACAAAAATAAATCTCAAATCATAATGAAAGCAATGATTCATTAACAGGCCAAGCTAAATTTCAAAGAAAGGTAATAGACTTTTGGATTGTTTTGACCATCCAATTAATAAAGAGAAATAGAGCATATGAACACATTGGGGAAAATATTTAAATTTCTTTAAAAAAAAATTCTTTTAAGGCTGATCAATTGAAGCAGTGGGAGTGGAGAAGGAACAAAGAAATCTGTAACCGGTTGTGATCAATTAGTTGTAAACACCACTGCACTCAGACCAGCCAAAACATTTAAATTTCTCAGATATGACACAAAGTGCCAACATTGAGAAAAATAGCTTAAAACTTGTATGACTGCAATGAGGACATCGACGATAAACTGGTTAATCAGCTAATCAATTCAAAAATTGAGATTAATATTTCAAAAATCTTATAGCTACTTGATGAAAAATACTTGGTAGAAGTTTTACCAGACTTGACAATTCTAAATTTTTTTTTTTTTTTTTTTTGAGACAGAATCTCGCTCTATTGCCCAGGCTGGAATGCAGTGGCACGATCTTGGCTCACCACAACCTCCACCTCCCAGGTTCAAGCAATTCTCCTGCCTCAGCCTCCTGAGTAGTTGGGATTACAGACTTGTGCCACCATGCCCAGCTAATTTTTGTATTTTTAGTAGAGACAGGGTTTCACTATGTTAGCCAGCCTGGTCTCTAACTCCTGATCTTGTGATCTGCCTGCCTCAACCTCCCAAAATGCTGGATTACAGGCGTGAGCCACCACACCCGGCTGGAGAATTCTAAACATTTACATGACATTACCAATTATGAATTATGAAGCTGAAAAACACCATAATAAAAATATCATGTTTTGATATTTTGTGGTGGTTTTTTTCTCATTCTAAATAAAAATTCATATTTGCATCTCATTTTGTATTTTTTTAATTGTTTTTAATAGACTCCCTCCTCCCCAGCTGCATAAACTTCAGGTCCCATAAAAACTGAATACGCTCTCCCTTCCACCCACTGCCTCAGTGCCTGACAATACATACATCGCCCAGAACTCATTTGTTACCCAGGGAAAGAGTAAAGGATCATTGAATTAACTGAGATTAAATTTCCACCATGTGCCAGATATTGTCTGTTGGTACTCAGAAACATCTCTATTCTTGTAAGCATCTCTATTCTTGTAAGACTCCCAGTACTTGTAGTGACTACTTTCCCCAAGCTCTCCTGATAACAACCTTGTTTAGATTCAGTCAATGGGAGGCATTCCAGTAAGGTTTGAAAGGTGAAAGAGAAGCAGAAGCCACCATTGTTCCTCCAACATCAAAGGCACGTGGGCCTCTGTGAACATTTTACAGTGGCTTCTGGGTGTCTTGCTGAATTCCCTCTGCTTTGACTATGCAGGCAGCTGAGATAGCTTTTTAAGATTTCTGCAACTTCCTTATTTCCTCAGATTAGTGGTGGTTTTCCCGGACCTTTGCTCTCCCAGCCCTTTCCAAAGAGTGATAAACATCTTATTCCTCATATTAAATCCCTTCCTGCCTGAAACATTTGCAGCAGTTTCTGTTTTCTGCTTGTTTGTTTGTTTTTTGAGACGGAGTCTCGCTCTGTCACCCAGGCTGGAGTGCAGTGGCGTGATCTCAGCTCACTACAACCTCCACCTCCGGGGTTCAAGCGATTCTCCTGCCTCAGCTTCCTGAGTAGCTGGGACTACAGGCGCCTACCACCACGCCCAGCTAATTTTTGTATTTTCAGTAGAGACGGGGTTTCACCATGTTGGTCAGGCTGGTCTCAAACTTCTGTTCTCAGGCGATCCGCTCGCCTTGGCCTCCCAAAGTGCTTGGATTACAGGCGTGAGCCACCGCACTCGACCTTTCTGTTTTCTTTCCACATCCTGATTGATGCACTTGATAGAATGGAAACCTGTAATAGAAACTTAGTATCATAGGAAAATAAATGTACATTCCCAGAACACCAGAAGTTGTGGTTGAGATACACACACATGCACTTCACTAATAAGATATGGACACGAGCAACTGAATGATGGACCTTTACCTAACAGCAATGTCTCTTCCTCCATCTGTGCTCACTGCCATCCTGACTCACTGAAATCCACATAGCCCCAGAAGAGTGGGACTCGGGAAATTTGCCAATGTCTGTATTTTACGTATAACTGTATTTAAAGATGAACAAAATTATATTTCATCCTTGCCCACATGTCTTTTCCATGTTTTCTTAGCCCTGGGCTCTGCCCATTTACTAAGTCTGAAATCACATACTTTCCATGCTGTTTCGTCTCTTCCCTTCTGGCCTACCTGTCCCATTACTGTTATTAATCCAACTCCCCTCACTACTAAACAACTCTCCAACTCACCCCAGCAGACGTTCTGGGGAGCAAAAAGATATGAAAGATATAGTCCTTGTTCTGAGGAGCTTACAGATTCTTGTAAGACACTAATTTCAATCCTGATGTTGCTAAAATGTTAATTATAAAATGTATACGCTTTGAGTAACTCTTACAAAACATAGATTTAGATATGGTAAAACTTTAATCCATAGATTTAAAACTTAGCAGGCTCTTGAATATCAGGTTAATTTAAAGCATGCTCACTCAGTTATTAGTGGACTGTTCTTAATGGAAAGGAGTTGCATTAATTGATTTATTATACATAGGGAAAAATCCAAGCATTGTGTCTAAATTTGATTCCAAAAGAGTAACCAGGTGAAAGACTTTTTCAGATGAAAGAGAAAAATTCCAAAGAACACACATGATAGAGTCACAAATACTTATGTTAGTCCTAGGCAAGCAAAGTTTATGCACTACTTCATTTGAATATTTATTCATTTTGGGAATGGTTTAAATTAGTACTTTCATTCAAAGCCCCAAAGGCATTATGTTTTCAGCAAAACTAATAATCACTTCCTGATAACACTAACTGACTTATATATGTTTTTCTTCTTATCTTGTCATTTGAGAGAAGGAAGTCATAAAACTGAGCATCTGGTTTCAGTATTAGGCTTCAAAGATACAGATATTACTTATATTGCAGAGAGCTGCTACATTAACATCCTTTTGCTTTTTAAATTTATCACCTAAACCTAGTTGCACTGTGTAACCTCTGAAACCCCCAATAGGAAGGGGTAGGCTTCTCTAACGGACGCCATTTCCTTGATGTGCTCATTGAGTCTTGAAATCTTATTTGCAAAAGTAATATTAAGCTTGTTTAGGTACCTTTCTTTAACGAAAGTATTCTTTTTTTTATATAAGTGCTTTTTAAAATTTTTCTAAACTTTTATTTTAGGTTCAGGGGTACATGTGAAGGTTTGTTATATAGGGAAACTCATGTCACAGGGGTTTGTTGTACAGATTATTTCATCCCCCAGGTACTAGGTCTAGTACCCAATAGTTTTTGTTTGGTTTTTTGTTTGTTTGTTTGTTTCAAGACAGAGTCTTGCTCTGTCGCCCAGGCTGGAGTGCAGTGGCACGATCTCGGCTCACTGTAACCTTCACCTCCCAGGTTGAAGCAATTCTCCTGCCTCAGCCTCCCAAAGCGCTGGGATTACAGGCACCCACCACCACGCCTGGCTAATTTTTGTATTCTTAGTAGAGTCAGGGTTTCACCATGTTGGCCAGGCTGGTCTCAAACTCTTGACTTCGTGATCTGTCCACCTCAGCCTCCCAAAGTGCTGGGATTACAGGCACCACACCCTGCCCAATAGTTATTTTTTTAATCCTCTCCCTCCTCCTATGCTCCACCCTCAAGTAGGCCCCAGTGTCTGTTTTTCCCCTCTTTGCGTTCATGTATAAAGAAATTCTTAATACCATAGCATCAGTAAGATATCAAGAAGATTAGTTGAGAATCACTGGGCCCAATACAATGGAATGAATTATTATCTATATTACCAGGTAGTTCAGCATAAATATGTGTATAAGGATTCTTCTTTTTTTTTTTTTTTTTTTTTTTTTGAGACAGAGGAGTCTCACTCTGTCACCAGCCTGGAGTGCAGTGGCACGATCTTGGCTCACTGAAACCTCCGCCTCCTGGGTTCAAGTGATTCTCCTGCGTCAGCCTCTCAAGTAGCTGAGATTACAGATGTGTGTCATCATGCCCAGCTAATTTTTGTATTTTTAGAAGAGACATGGTTTCACCATGTTGGCCAGGCTGGTCTTGAACTCCTGACCTCATGTGATCCACCCACCTCAGCTTCCCAAAGTGTTGGGATTATTGGCGTGAGCCACCATGCCCAGCCAAAGATGTTTTAATGACAATTATAAACTATTAAAGTATGAAGGAAATGCAGGTAATAGGAAAAATCATTTTAAATTAGTCTAGTAATTTTTAATTTATTAAAAGGATTGAAAAATAAGACAATACCATTTCAAAGAGTTCTTTCTCTAAGATGAAATGTGAAAATATCTAACAATTTTGATTTTGCTTCCTAATTGTTAATTAGTGATTTTCATTTGGGCACTTTCTATTAAGAAAAATATTTAAATAGTAGTAAATATATTTGCATAAAATTGATCTAGAAAAGCAATTCGAACTTGATTAATATGTAAATTCAGTCCAGTACAAATACATTCATGTAGAATTTATTGAGTAAATCTCTTACTATGATTGAAAACCAGGTGTATTTATTTACGTTAAAACTGAACTAATTGGTTCATAAAATATTGATATGAGAAAAGTGAATTTTTTTTTTTTTGAGAGGGAGTCTCACTCTGTCGCCCAGGCTGGAGTGCAGTGGCACTGTGTCGGCTCACTGTAACCTCTGTCTCCTGGGTTCAAGCAATTCTCCTGTCTCAGCATCCTGAGTAGCTGGGATTACAGGCACCCACCACCATGCCTGGCTAATTTTTATATTTTTAGTAGAGATGGGGTTTCACCATGTTGGCCAGGCTGGGTCTTGAACTCCTGACCTCCTGAACTCCTGACCTCAGGTGATTTGCCTGCCTCGGCCTCCCAGAGTGCTAGGATTACAGGCGTGAGCCACCATGCCTGGCCAAAAAGTGAAGTTATTTATAATCCTACCACCAAAAGAAAACAATTTTGTTATATGGTTGTTTTTTTTTTTTTCAGACGGAGTCTCACTCTGTCACCCAGGCTGGAGTGCAGTGGCGAGATCTCGGCTCACTGCGAGCTCCGCCTCCCGGGTTCGCCAGGTTCACCGGGTTCACGCCATTTTCCTGCCTCAGCCTCCCGAGTGGCTGGGACTACAGGCGCCCGCCACCACGCCCGGCTAATTTTTTGTGTTTTTAGTAGAGACGGGGTTTCACCGTGTTAGCCAGGATGGTCTCGATCTCCTGACCTCTTGATCCGCCTGCCTCAGCCTCCCAAAGTGCTGGGATTACAGGCATGAGCCACCTCGCCCGGCCTGTTATATGTTTTTAATTTGACTTTTTGTAATATTTTAGCAGGACAGTAACCAAAAGAAAAAAATGACACCAACTTTTTTCATTTATTACCAACTTTAATTACATGACACCAAATGCAAAATGAAACTAATTATTCCTAATGCAGTTGTCCTATAAATATATTTTTTTCTATGTAGAATTTTTTTTTTTTTTTTGCCATCTGGAATATAAACTTGAAGATACCCATTCAAATGATGTGAATAGCATACCTGTTATTAAAGCTGTATGAATAGACCATTCCATTTGGGGAGAACATACAAGAGCAGTGATTTAAAATCCCAGGCCAGCAATGACTTGCATCATTGTCTTCAACTAATCAAAAAAAAAAGGAAATATAACCATAGTTTATCAGTGCTCATGACAACCCTAGGTAGTAATTGCTTAGCTCCTTTTTCAGGCTCATTTGCTTTTGCTTTTTGTTGAATGATTCCAGTGGTAAATAAAGCTTTTAATAATTTTGTAGAAAAAAATTATGTAGCAAGGCTTTTCAAGATTTGCTACAAAAAATTGGCAGTTAAGTTCTACAGTCTGATTATATCCCTCAACCATCAATCAGAAGGATGAACCAGTGTTTTCAAATGTATGTTTTAGGAATCCAGTTAAAATTAGTCCTTTGGTAGTTTGTTTTATTTTTATTTTCTTTTTTCTTTTTTTTTTTTTTTTTGAGACTGAGTTTCGCTCTTGTTGACCAGGCTGGAGTTGGAGTGCAATGGCATGATCTTGGCTCACCACAACCTCTGCCTCCTGGGTTCAAGCGATTCTCCTGCCCCAGCCTCCCGAGTAGCTGGGATTACAGGCGTGTGCCACCACGCCCGGCTAATTTTGTACTTTTAGTAGAGATGGGGTTTCTCCATGTTGGTCAGGCTGGTCTCCAACTCCCGACCTCAGGTGATCTGCCTGCCTTAGCCTCCCAAAGTGCGGGATTACAGGTGTGAGCCACTGCTCCCAGCCTTATTTTATTTTTTTATGTGACATTTGATGCATATGAAAGAATACAGGTGATGTGTAAATGTGAAATATAATAAAATGAGTCCCTGTTCCCTGCCACCCAGTGTAAGAACTAGAACATTACTTTTGCCTTTTTACCTTGTTCTTGTTCTTCTCCCTATCCCACTCTTCTATCCCCCTTGTCAAGAGGTAACCACTATCCTGAATTTTGAGTATTTCACTCTTGCTTTGTGTGTGTGTGTGTGTGTGTGTGTGTGTGTGTGTGTGTGTGTGACAAGTTCCTGCTCTGTCGCCCAGGCTGGAGGCTGGAGTGCAGTGGCGCAATCTCGGCTCACCGTAACCTCCATCTCCCGTGTTCAAGCATTATCTTGCCTCATTCTCCTGAGTAGCTAGAATTACAGGCTTGTGCCACCACGCCCAGCTAATTTTTGTATTTTTAGTAGGGAGGGGGTTTCACCATGTTGACCAGGCTGTGCTCAAACTCCTGACCTCAAGTGATCCACCTGCCTGGGCCTCCAAAAGTGCTGGGATTACAGGCCTGAGCCACCATGCCCAGCCTCACTCTTGCATTTTAAAAGTAATTTCATCATGCACAGTCAATATTTCTTTTTTTCTTTTCTTTTCTTTCTTTCTTTTTTTTTGTGGGGGGGGGATGAAGTCTCGCTCTGTAGCCCAGGCTAGAGTGAAGTGGCATGATCTCGGCTCACTGCAGCCTCAGCCTCCTGGGTTCAAGCAATTCTCCTGCCTCAGCCTCCCAAGTATCTGGGATTACAGCCACGTGCCACTGCACCCAGCTAATTTTTTGTATTTTTTAGTAGAGATGGGGTTTTACCATGTTGGCCAGGCTGGTCTTGAACTCCCAACCTCAGGTGATCTGCCCACCTAGGCCTCCCAAAATGCTAGGATTACAGGCGTGAGCCACCACGCCCTGCCGCATGTCAGTATTTCTAACCAATATATTATTTAGTTTTGTTTGTGAGCATTATAAAAATTATACTCTGTATGCAATCTCCTGCCGTCTGCTTTTTTCACTTAGCAGTGTTTCTAAGATTCATCAACTTTGTTACATATGGCTGAAGCAGTGTTTTATTACCTGCTTTTTCCTCTCAGCATTGTGTTTCTAAGCTACATCCTTGTTGCTGTATATCTGTAGGCCCTTGGGCTTTCTCTCTCAGCCAGTTTCCTTATCTTAAAATAGAAACAATAATAGTAATTACTACGTAGGGCTATTGTGAGCACTAATATAACTATTGTTATGTTTCCTTTTAAAAAAAAGTCTTCTGGTAGCTTCTTTGTTCTTTTTAGGTGCTCTGGCTTTTTTTCTCTGGGACTTTTAAGGTGTTAATTTTTGGCATTGGTGATGTTTCATCACAATATGTCTAGGTGTAGAGTTCTGTTTGTCATTCTTGATATGTGCTGTGCTTTCTTTGTCCATGGATTCATCTTTAATCAGTTCAGTAAATCTTTTCTTTGGAGATGGAGTCTCATTCTGTCACCCAGGCTGGAGTGCAGTGGCATGATCTCAGCTCACTGCAACCTCTGCCTCCTGGCTTCAATCAATTCTCTTGCCTTAGCCTCCTGAGTAGCTGGTATTACAGGTGTCCATCACCACATCCAGATAATTTTTGTATTTTTGGTAGAGACGGGGTTTCACCATGTTGGCCAGGCTCGTTTTGAGCTCCTGACCTTAGGTGATCCAACTGCCTCAGCCTCCCAAAGAGCTGGGATTATAGGCATGAGCCACTGCACCTGGCCTCAGGAAAATTTTTGAACTGATACTTCTCAATATTGCCTTTTTCCTATCTATTCTTTCCCTTTGGAACTCTAATTAGACATATGTTAAATTTTGTTCTGCCTTCCATGCCTTTTAACCTCCATGCCTTTTAACTTGCTGTGCTGAATTTTGGGTGATTTCCTCAGATATAAATTCCTGGTCACTAATTCTGTCTTTAGCTATTTTTATTCTATTTTTAACACATTCACTGAGTCACTAATTTCAAAATCTATATATATTGGTCCTAAAAGTTCTATTTGGTTCTTTTTCTAATTTTTCTGGTCATTTTAATAGTTCCTTGCTTCTTTCTCTATTTCATTCCATATTTGGTTTCTTTAAGTTGTTCATAAATCTTACTTAATAATCTGTATATGACAATTCTGATTCCAATTCTTCATTTCTTACAGATACAAATTTATTGTTTGTTGTTTCTATTCATCCTAACTCATGATGTCTTATAGGGCAGTGGCATGACCTCAGCTCACTGCAACCTCCACCTCCTGGGTTCAAGTGATTCTCCTGACTCAGCCTCCCGAGTAGCTGCGATTACAGGCACATGCTACCATGCATGGCTAATTTTTTGTATTTTCAGTAGAGACGGGGTTTCACTATGTTGGCCTGGCTAGTCTTGAACTCCTGACCTCATGATCTGCCCACCTTGGCCTCCCAAACTGCTGGGATTACAGGCATGAGCCACTGCGCCCAGCCAGTGATTCCAATGATTTTTTTCTTAATTGTGAGCTTATATTTTATTTAACTTAATTGTGGAAATCCCAAGGACACGCACTGAGAGTTGCTTTCCTCCAGAGAGTACCTGCATTTGATTCTGTAGGGAGCTCTCAGATAAAATTGATCAGGGATCTCTGAAGCTCCCTTTGCAGAATCAGGCTCAATGACTCAGGTGTAATTGCCACACCTTGCAGTGCACTTCCAAGCTTAGTCTCCTTGTTCTAGGACTGGTACTGGCTGGTACTGGCCTTTCCGACTTTTATGCTTATTGTTTCCCGTTCTTGTTTGAACTCACTTTTTAAAAAATTTTTGACCCCTTTCATGAAACCCTAGAAAAAATTAAAAATGTATGTTAGTTGTAATTCAAATCAAGATTTAATATATCTTAGCTAATGGGCCCTTTATCCAGCTTTCCAGGTTACCAAAAATAGATGTTCACACAATATTTCTAGCCAAGTAACAATTATTGGATAAAAGTTGTGGAGGATTCTTCCTTTAGTATAATTTTTTTTTTTTTTTAGATAGAGTCTTGCTCTATCACCAGGCTGGAGTGCAGTGGCACCATCTCTGCTCACTGCAAACTTCACCTCCAGGTTCAAGAGATTCTCCTGAGCCTCAGCCTCCTGAGTAACTGGGACTACAGATGCCCACCACCATGCCCAGCTAATTTTTGTATTTTTAGTAGAGGCGGGGTTTCACCATGTTGGCCAGGATGGTCTCAATCTCCTGACTTCGTGATCCACCCGCCTTGGCCTCCCAAAGTGCTGGGATTACAGGTATGAGCCACCGCGCCCAGCTGCTAAGCTCTTTATAAACATTGTTTCATTGGCTACTTACAACAACCCTGTAAGATGGGTATCAATATCCCAATTTGACAGTCGAGAATACTGAGAGTCACAGAGACCAAAGTGTAAGATGTTGGTACCATTATTGAGGAACTCCTTATTTTCACTGTGAAATAATATACAGTTATATATATATATCTGATGATGAAGGGCAGAGGGTTCCTCAAGGTGAATTCAGAACTACCATATCTCAACTACCTGGAAGATTTTATTGCAAGTAATGAGCAGTATTTTATAAGGATGCATGCATGTCCCCCAGGGTGCCTGCTATGCTAAAACCTCCACCTTGAAGAAGCAATGTGCTTTTGATAAAAGCAACTTTAGCTATGAAGACTCCATTGCAATTTGTACAGCTGTGTAATCGAAACTACTAAAAGGCAAGTTAATATATTATTCTACTCACAGAATAGCAGTTTGATTCCTATGACTTCTTGGCACATCTGTTTGGGATATAAATCCTAAGCAGACTGAGCTGTCACTTTCTAAATCTTCAAAATGCTTTACTAAGCAAAGTCTTTAGTGTGGTTAAGGGGAGAAAAAAAATTAATAGACTCCCAAGTGAGTGGAGTAGTCTAGCTCACTGCACAGTGTTTAAGGCAGGTGCAGGCGAGACTGGGGACTTGAAGAAGGTGCACTTTGAGTTAGAGAATACACACATGCCTACAAGCACCAGAAGGTGAGTCCTCTTGCCAACTAGATAATTAGAGAGGGTCTTTGGGGAATAGGTTGCCCATGTTTACAACGTGTTTAATTTTTCTTACTGGCAAGAGTTAAAATTACAATTAAGTAGGCTTGATTAGAGATGCCAATTATTACTGGCCTTCCCCATATCCCTTTGGAGTAAAATCCCTACCCACTCAACTTACTGAGTGGGCAATGGGCCACATGACCATGACTGCAGCGAATTGGTCACCTGGTCCACGGGTGTGGCCTTAAGCTGTATCCAGTGACCTATGCCTCTTGAGCTTTGGTTTAAAAAGTTAAGCAGAAGTCAAATCTTCCCTCTTGGGAACTCACAATAAAGTGTCACAAAGGAAAGCTTTGATTTTTTATGAGCTGAAACTGAAAAGCCACAGAGCTTCGGGAGCTAGAGTGGCTTTTTTTTTTCTTTTTTTTTCAGCCAGGGGCAACGGGAATAAGCTGAAAAGGCTGGTCCAGAGAGGGTGGTGCTGATTCACTGAGAGGTTAAAAAGCCCCTAGAGGGCCGGGTGTGGTGGCTTATGTCTGTAATCCTGGCACTTTGGGAGGCCAAGGCGGGTGGATCACCTGAGGTCAGGAGTTTGAGACCAGCCTGACAAACATGGTAAAATTCTGTCTCTACTAAATACATAAAAAAAATTAGCTGGGCATAGTGGTGCATGCCTACAATCCCAGCTACTTGGGAGGCTGAGGCGGGAGAATGGCTTGAACCAGGGAGGCAGTGGTTGCAGTGAGCCAAGATTGTGCCATTACACTCCAGCCTGGGCAGCAAGAGCAAAATAAAATTCCATCTAAAAAAAAAAAAGCCCTAGAGAAAGGAGGCAGTGGCTGTTCCCTAGTGCTACTGCTGTAGTTCCAATCCTTTCCAACGCTGTGAGGTTCAGTTGACTCAGGGTGTGGTACACATTTGTTTTTCCTATGAACCATCCTTTTGAATTGTCTTTGAGTAATGAGTAACTTGTCTCTAGTAAATTGACTGTCTGTTTCTTGCAACCAAAATAACAGTGTGGATCAGACTGTGGATCATCAGTATCCTGTCTAATGCTGCTGTGGGTGTTAGTACGTAGACTGTATTCCAAAGTCCCCTACTTCTTTCCTGTTTTAGTAGGGCTCTTACATTACAAGTGGCAGAAAGCCACATCAAACTGGTCTATAAAGGGGAATTTATTGGAAGGGCTGGAGTATCTGATGAAAAAACCAAGTCTGGAAAAGGACAATGGTATTCTTGGGCCTCAGGAACAACTAGAACCGAGAGCTCAAGCCCTGTCAGGACTCTAGCTCTAACTCTTGTCTCTGCTTCTCTCTACATATTTTTTTATAAGTTTAGTTTGTTGTTGTTTTGCTTTGTTTTCAGAGATAAGGTCTCATTCTATCACCCAGGCTGGAGTGCAGTGGCACTCATCATAGCTCACTGCAGCCTTCAAGTCCTGGGCTCAAGGGATCTTCCTGCCTCAGCCTCTCGTGTACCTCGGGACTACAGGTGTACGCCACCATGCCCAGCTTTGAAAAATTCTTGGCTGAGGTCAGTGGCTCACGCCTGTAATCCCAGCACTTTGGGAGGCCAAGGTGGGCAGATCATGAGGTCAGGAGACCTCATGGTTAACCAGGAGACCAGCCTGGTTAACATGGTAAAACCCCGTCTTTACTAAAAATACAAAAATTAGGCCGGGTGTGATGGCTCATGCCTGTAATCCCAACACTTTGGAAGGCTGAGGTGGGCAGATCACGAGGTCAGGAAATCGAGACCATGGTAAAACCATGGTGAAACCCTGTCTCTACTAAAATACAAAAAATTAGCCAGGCATGGTGGCACACTCCAGTAGCCCCAGCTACTCAGGAGGCTGAGGCAGGGGAATTGCTTGAACTCGGGAGGCGGAGCCTGCAGAGAGCTGAGATTGTGCCACTGCACTCCAGCCTGGCGACTGGGCAAGACTCCATCTCGGGGGAAAAAAAATCTTTCTTCTTCATACAGACTAACTTCTATATATATATGATGATCTTTGAGAGCATCCCAATGTCCTAAAGAGACTGTATGGCTTGTTAAAGCATAGGACCTGAGTCAGCTTGAGTCAGGTTGAGCTGGTTTTAAACCCAAGCTAAGCCATCAACTAACAGGGAACTGTTGGCCTTTTAGCTTAACCTTGACTTCTATATAACCGCCCCCCAACCCCATGAGCCTTGATTTCCTTTTCTAGAGGGTGGAGATGAAAAATAGGTGCCTACCTTCCAGGGTTGTTGTGAAGATTATTTATGATAATGTTTATAAAGCATTTAGTTCAGTATCTGGCATTCAGGTTAGTACTTATGACTTTCCTGCCAAATTCAAAACCTCAAAAGCCTTCTCCTTTAAGAACATAGATCTTAGTCTATCTTGATACATCAGCAAGTTGCAGGAGGTGAATTGAATTACAAGGGACCCTGCAGAAGTAAGGCATGCCAGGATCTGATAGCAGCTCTCTGAAGTAGCTCCATTAAACTGTCACTGGAGGGTGCTAATACGCCTGGGGACATTTTAGCAGGCTCTAGCACTGAAACTCACTGCTAGGCTAGGTGCACCCACCCATGGCCACCGGAGGGTGCCAGATCCTCAGGATGGGGAGCTGGCCCAGACACATTCTCAACTGGCCTAGAAGACTGTTCTTGGAGAACTAGCTGAGCTAGGGTAAGCAAGGAGGACCAATCAAGGAGCAGGTGCCTTACTAGCTTATTGGGGGTGCCATGCCAGGCAGGAACTCTGGAGACCTGGGACAAGACTCTAAGCAAACACTGAGCCTCAGGAAATTCTCTACATGGTCTTGGTCTAGGTTGCAGTCTCAAACTATCATGTCAAAGGGATCAAGCTGAAGAATCAGGGAACTGTTTTGTTTGTTTGTTTGTTTTTTGTTTTGAGACGGAGTTTCACTCTTGTTGCCCAGGCTGGAGTGCAATGGTGTGATCTCTGCTCACTGCAACCTCCGCCTCCTGGGTTTAAGCGATTCTCCTGCCTCAGCCTCCCAAGTAACGGATTACAGGCATGCGCCACCATGCCCAGCTAATTTTGTATTTTTAGTAGATATGGGGGTTTCTCCATGTTGGTCAGACTGGTCTCAAACTCCCGACCTCAGGTGATCTGCCCGCCTCGGCCTCCCAAAGTACTAGGATTACAGGCGTGAGCCACCACGCCCTGCTAGAAGAAGGGAAGTGTTAAGACATCAATACAAGAGCGCTGGGGATATTAGGAACCTGATTTGAGTTGAAGAACCTATACGGAAGTCAGACATGGCCAAGAGAGTGAGATAAAGGATGGAGCCCAGAGATATGACCCAAGACAAAGGTAGCAGAGGCCAGGAACCTTTGACAGACCATCTGTCCTGCAGGCTGCCATCTGGGAGGGGTCTGCTTAAAGTGTTGAAGTCATTCAGACTAAACTGTACAATTATTATTTCAGTCTAAAGTAAACTCTACTGATTAACTCAGTTATCCTCTAAGATAATAGATATTAAAACACAAAGGTACTTAATATGCAATTATCTAATGAGTAAAAATGATTTGTCACTTATTATATAAACTGCAGGTCTTTGTGCACCATCAGAAATCTCATTATGGTATAAAGTTGTAGAAAAAAAAGCACTAGTAGTAAAAGTTCAGAGGTGATTTTAAAAACATTTATTGGGCTGCAAAAATATAGAAAATATAGAAAAGGATAAAGAATAAAACAAAAAAATTATTTCTACTCTCATCAATTTTAATTGGTGTTTTTTTTTTAAGAGACGGGGTCTTACTATGTTGCCCAGGCTGGTCTCAAGGGATCTTCCCACCTCGGCCTCCCAAAGTGCTGGGATTACAGGCATGAGCCACTGTTTCAGCCTTTAATTGTTCTTTTAATTTTATTTTAAAAATGTAGTTTATGATTTATTCAGTTTGCTATTTTGCCTTTTTTTTTTTTTTTTTTTTTGAGACAGAGTTTTGCTCTTGTTGCCCAGGCTGGAGTGCAGTGGCACAATCTTGGCTCACTGCAACCTCCGCCTCCATGGTTCAAGCCATTCTCCTGCCTTAGACTCCCGAGTAGTTGGGATTACAGGCACCTGCCACCATGCCCAGCTAATTTTGTATTTTTAGTAGAGACAGGGTTTCTCCATGTTGGTCAGACTGGTCTCGAACTCCTGACTTCAGGTGATCCACCCGCCTCGGTCTCCCAAAGTGCTGGGATTACAGGCGTGAGCCACACTGCACCTGGCCCTATTTTGCCTTTTACACCTACCATTGTCTCATAAGTATCTTTATGTAACAAAATTATTTTTAATGACTGCATATGGGAGCCATGAATTTCATCTATATATATCATAAATTACTATAACACTTTCACCATTGTTGAATATTCAGTTGTTTCCAATTCTAAATTACATTATGATAAATACTTTTGTGCACAAAACTACATTCACATTTCTGATTAGTTTTTTGTTGTTGTTGTTGTTGTTTTGAGAGGAAGTTTCGCTCTTGTTGCCCAGGCTGGAGTGCAATGGCACAATCCCAGCTCACCGCAACCTCTGCCTCCCAGGTTCAAGTGATTCTCCTGCCTCAGCCTCCCAAGTAGCTGGGATTACAGGCATGTGTCGCCATGCCTGGCTAATATTGTAGTTTTAGTAGAGACAGGGTTTCTCCATGTTGGTCAGGCTGGTCTGGAACTCCCGACCTTAGGTGATCCACCTGCCTCGGTCTCCCAAAGTGCTGGGATTACAGGTGTGAGCCACTGTGACTGGCCTCTGATTAGATTCTTAAAATTAGTAGTTCAAAGAGTCTGAGCATTTTTTTTTTCAGATGGAATTTTGCTCTGTTGCCCAAGTTGGAGTACAGTGGTGTGATCTTGGCTCACTGAAACCTCCACTGCCTGGGTTCAAGCAATTCTCCCGCCTCAGCCTCCCTAGTAGCTGGGATTATAGGTGTGCACCACCATGCCTGGCTAATTTTTGCATTTTTAGTAGAGACAGAGTTTCACCATGTTGGCCAGGCTGGTCTTGGACTCCTGATCTCAAGTGATCTGTATGCCTTGGCCTCCCAAAGTGCTGGGATTACAGGCATGAGCCACCACACCCGGCCAGCATTTATTTTTATTATGATAACTTGCTGTAGCTAATATATTTCTTTTATGTAACTGAATTTATTTATTTTGGCATTTTTTTCTATTGACTTAATGATTACAATGTTTTTCTTTAAGAGCAAGATGAATATCATATTTTCTTCTAGTATTTTAAGATGTTATCTTCTTATATTTAATGCTCTAAATCAGCAGGGTTTCCTTCTGAGATATATGAGGTGAGAATTACAGTATTCTTATGGAAAGGCAAAGTACTTGTGACAGGGCTCCCTGCTTGTGGAAAAACAGCCACTGGTCTGGGTAAAGAGGACTCATGGTGTGTCCCGACTTACTCCTGGGTGACTCTAGCTCTATGCTAGGTGCCTGTACTAGGCACTATGAACCGCAGACATTTGGATTTTGCTTTTATTTATTGTAGCTACAGGAGGATTTCCAAGAATAGAAATGTTTCCTCTACTCCCTAGTGTTTTGAAATAGAGAAGTCACCTGGCCATTTCACTGCCAAGTTTATGAGATAGTAAAATCCAAACACTTAAGTGTTCATCTAGGTCTGTCTGAACAGCACCAGGCTCTAATGTTCCAAACACATTACTACAGGATGCTGGATACCTGGAGATGATGCTTCCAGACCACGAAGGTGGCCATGGTAAATGATAACCCATTCTTATGTCAGCTAGTTGATATCAACCAGCCTAGCTTCTTCTGCAGAGACTGACTGTTGCCCGAGCCACAGATCACTTATCTTGGGGCCATATGACCCTGCTGCACTGTTAAAGGTGTTGGTTTCAATGGTGTAGGGCTTTTTGCTTCCAGGTAAGTCAAAGCTGGGAAAGAGACAAGTAAGTCTTCAACTGCTAGAGTGCTTTATCTAACTCTATAACTAGGGAAACTTCTTCCTTTTGAGAAGGTAAATTTTGGTTTAGTAAAAGCAGAAGGCTGTAAGAATCCCAGGAATAATTGTACCTGGCTGGGTACAAAGTTTACAGCCATGATGTAGATAACCATGGGGCTCTCTAGCCCAATTCTTGGAGTTGGCTTGGAGTGACGCTTTGGCCAGTGGTCAAGGAACCTGGCTCCTGGGCTTATGTTCAGATTGGGAAAGTATTTCAGGAGATTGTGCAGGTACATATGACCTCCCCAAAGTCACACACAATGCTATTCCTTAAATGACTGAGACTCTACATAGGCAAAAGGCAATGCCATGATTTAGACTTACCAATCTATAAGGCAGTTTTTCTCTCATTTTCCTTCCAAATCTGGATAAAGTTGTAGGCTCCTTGAAGTTTTTATTTTGTAAAGACCTGTGCTAGAAGTTAGAAATCAGAGCAGACAGAGATCTCAGATAGAGGACTCAGAAGTGGTAATTCCATAGAGGCAGAAAGCCTCTTAAATCAGCCTCTCCACCTCCCGCATCCCAGGCCCATACCCTTTCTTTATCATAAAGGGCACTGGGGCTGGGAAGAAGGAGGTGGAGAGGCTGACTAAAACTGTCACGAAAAGGAGGGGGTCAATGACAGCTGCTTAAGGTCTCTGCCTCTGCCTCTTAAGGGACTATATGGGGAGGGTTGTCACATGGCACCAGATCTATTGTATCATCCCATTTACATAACAGGGAAGCTGCTTCACTTCTGTGTCTAAAAGCACTTTGCTCCAACTTGTGCTGAGCCAGAACTCTGGAAACAGAGATCATGGGTGAGATAGGGTTTGGTTGGGGGTGAGGGTGAGGGAAGGCACACGCTATGATGATGGCAGAAACATAGCAAAGGGGAGAAGGAATGGGGTTTTTCCAGGACAAGGGTGAGTCCTGGGCCTCCAGTGGAAGATAAGAATTGAGAGGCAGCATGAACATTGAGTGTCCCTAGTTTTTATCTATGCTGCAGTGGCCTCAACTCAGGTGGGAGAGAGACAAACTGGATCAGAGAAAGCTGCCTGAGCCCCCTGAGTCCATTGTTGTTTAGATCTCAAGAGTGGAACCCACAAACCTGAGCTCCCCTGGGATGGGAAACATGTCCTGTGACTAAGGACCAGGCTGCTCCATGGGCCGAGGATCAGGCTGTCCCATAGCCTGAGGCCCAGATGATCATCCGGTGCAGTAGATGGCATGTCTTTGCACCAGGCATTGATGGACAAAGTAGCCTGCCCTTTCTCAGACAAGCTCCGCCACCCGGTCTGCTAATCATGGAGCAAATAGAAAATGCCTACAAAATTAGCTGGGCATCATGGTGCAGGCCTGTAATCCCAGCTACTTGGGAGGCTGAGGCAGGAGAATTGCTTGAAACAAGGAGGAAAACGTTGCACTGAGCTGAGATCACGCCATTCCAGCATTCCAGCCTGGGTGACAAGAACAAAACTCCATCTCAGAAGAAAAAAAAAAAAAAAGAGAAAAAAAAAAAAGAAAATGCCAACTAGTTGAATTGAAACATACTTCACTTCATTTGGCCAACTGGCCATTTCCAGACACATTTTTCTCCATTGTTATTTTTAAACTACCATTGAATCTTAACTCAGTTATTTTAAATGATAACAAAGGAATGGAATTGCAATTTGCCTGTTTTCCTAAAAATCTTTCTATTAATATAAATGAATATATTTATTTCCCAAAATAAATGAGACAAAACCATAGTTACCATTGAATACAGCCAACATATTTATCATGTCATCAGAGTAAATTGCATGATGCAGGGCTAGGAATTCGTAACTTGTTCCCAGAATAATATTTATATTAACCTTCCCTCTACCCATCCATCTTTGCCTTCTCAGGTAAAAAAAAAAAATAGTTTTTAGAGGTCTCACTCTAAACAACAGAGAACTCTAAACAACAGAGGTCTCACTCTAAACAACAGAGGTCTCACTCTGTTGTTCAGGCTGGACTGCGGTGGTGTGATCATAGCTCACTGTAACTTCAAACTCTTGGGCTCAACCCATCCTCTCACCTCAGCCTCCCAAGTAGATAGGACTACAGGCACATACCACCATGCCCGGCTAATTTATTTTTATTTTAATTTTTTTAGACGGAGTCTTGCTCTGTCACCCAGGCTGGAGGGCAGTAGCATGATTTCAGCACACTGCAACCTCCATCTCCCGGGTTCAAGCAATTCTCCTGCCTCAGCCTCCCAAGCAGCCGGGACCACAGTCACGAACCACCACGCCCCGCTAATTTGTTGTATTTTTAGTAGAGACGGGGTTTCACCGTGTTGACCAGGCTGGTCTCGAACTCCTGGCCTCAAGTTATCTGCCTGCCTCGGCCTCCCAAAGTGCTGGGATTACAGGCATTAGCCACTGTGCCTGGCCAAAAGGGTTTTATTGTTTGCTTGTTTTTTGTTTTTTAAATTTGAACTTGACATTGTGAACATATCAGGTAAAGTTGAGCTCATCACATCTGAAAGATATGAACTGTCATTTTTGTATCTGAAGATGATATGCTATAACTATTCCTTCTGCTGATTTAGGCTTTGAGTTGCTTTACAAATTGTACTGGCAGATTTTCCTTGATCAACCTTCTGCCATCAGAGTCTGTATTAGTGAGAGTTCTTCAATCATACAAAACAGAAACAGACTGGATGACTTGAGTAGGAGAGAACTGTTTTGGGAGGATAATAGGTAGCAGATGGGACTCATGGGAAAGCTAGAGAGTCTGCTTGGAGGACAGGAAGCCGGGCAACTCTAGAGGTTAAGGTGGCTGGGGGCACAACGCTGGGACAATAGGTGCCAACCAGCTTTTAGTGTCTAGGTCGTGCCATTCAAGATTCAAATCTTTTTTTTTTTTTTCTGAGACAGCGCCTCACTTTGTCACCCAGGGTGGAGTGCAGTGGTGTGATCTCGGCTCACTGCAACCTTGACCTCCTGGGCTAAAGCGATCCTCTCACCTCAGCCCCGCAGGTAGCTGGGACTACAGGTGCACGCCACCAGGCCCAGCTAATTTTTTTGTATTTTTTTTGTAGAGCCAGGGTTTCGCCATGTTGCTCAGGCTGGTCTCAAACTCCTGTGCTCAAGTGATCCATCAGCCTTAGCCTCCCAAAGTGCTAGGATTACAGGTGTGAGCCACCGTGCCCAGCCCTAAGATTCAAATCTAAGGAAACAGTCTGTTCACCTCGCTCCCTGGCTAGGAAAGAACAAGGCAGTTTGATTTCTAGTCCCATCAAGACTGTACACCATAGAGGAAAGGTATTGTCCCAATCAGAGTGCTTTACCAAAATAAGCCCTGTGTGGCACTAGGGCTCGAAGCCCCAACTGCCCAAAGTGGATCTAGTCCTGAGCGTCCCAGGGACTCATGCTGTCCTTCAACGGCCTCTGTGACTATCCCAGGCTCTAATCTTGAATCCTCGCTACTCCTCCAGGCCAACAGGACCACCACATGTCATTGTCCTCTACCACTGAGGCTGGGGCTCTGGATATAGTGAGAAAGTTTCCTACAATTACAATCTTCATAGCCAACAGAAAATATCTTTTGTCTATGAAGAAATCATAGTTTTTAGGCCCCCAGAATGTCATGTGGATCTTTCAGATTTCAGTTCTCCACCTGAACTCTCTAAGTGAGAGTATTTGAGTGTCTGTATCATACTCAGAGATACTTGTCCTTGCCAAAGACACCAGTGTTCTAAACTTAGGGACTCTTTTTTTTTTTTTTTTGAGCCAGAGTCTCGCTCCGTCACCCAGGCTAGAGTGCAGTGGTATGATCTGGGCTCACTGCAACCTCTGCCTCTTGGGTTCAAACTATTCTCATGCCTCAGCCTCTCAAGTAGCTGGGGTTACAAGCGGTCGCCACCATGCCCAGCTAATTTTTGTATTTTTAGTAGAGATGGGGTTTCACCATGTTGGCCAGGCTGGTCTCAAACTCCTGGCGTTGTGACTCCTGACCTCAAGTGATCCGCCCACCTCGGCCTACCAAAGCACTGGGATTATAAGCGTGAGCCACCATGCCTGGCCTCCTTAGGGACATTTTTCATCTCCTTTCAGTCAACATCAGGTGACTTCTCCGCTTGATTATACAAGCCCCTCTTCAAAAGCTGTCCCTTTCCAGTGTCTCAGGGATTTTACTAGTCCCAAAATTTTCCAGACCATTTTCCTCATGAAACGAAGACTCCCGCTCATCTTTGGCATTCCAGAAACATCCAAATTGAGTCCCTAATGTGACAGAGTTTATGTATCAGCTTGGGATAGGGTGCACAAAGCATGTTTTGCATAAGAGGCTCTTTGTTGTGTTTAAAAGGCTAAACTTAGATCACAGGCCAGGGTACATGGTAGGGGTTGGGGTCAGCTCAGTGAAGATGAATTGCTTGAAACTTCAGCTTGAATTCTGTAGCAACAGAAAGCAACTAACTTGCCTTCCTGCTGCTTATGGTGCCAGCGCTTATGGTGCCATTCTGATAAGAATCAGCACAGTGGGAGTAAGGTCAAGAGTCCAGAGGACTCACAGGGCTGAGGAATATGTGTTACCGGCATTAAAACTCGAAATGCACTTTCCCACAGAAACACTTTTATAAATAGTGGTCAGGATCTTTAGTATTATGAGTACAATATTTCAGGTACATTACGGTTCTGTGAGCTTTTGTGGGCTGGCCTTGGGGCAGAGCCACCATTTGTAATATTGTTTCTATAGGAAAACTTGTTCCCAGTTCCAGACAACAGACCAATAAATAAACTAATAAGCTGGGGATTGCCTATTTTGAAGATTTTTGCCAGTGAATACAATAGATTCACAGGCTTTTACAGTCAGTCAAACTCAGCTTATAGACTTGTGGTCCAAGATGTTGGCCCTGAGCCCAGAAGCCCTCTACTGCCCCTTTGTCCTCTCTCTGCTGAACACTTTGATTTAATTCCCCTAAACCCCTAGAGTCCATTAACCACTACTGTCTCTATCCCCAGGTCCACCTGCAGGCATTCTGCTAAGGCAAAAGCTGAGTACCTCTCATTCTAAGCTTTGTCATTGAAATGTTTCAGGATTACAAAACATTTATGCCAGGTGTGGTGGCTCAGGCCTGTAATCCCAGCACTTTGGGAAGCCCAGGCAGATGGATTACTTGAGGTCAGGAGTTTGAGACCAGCCTGGGCAACATAACAAAACACCATCTCTACTAAAAAAATAAAAATTAGCTGGGCTTGGTGGCGCACACCTGTAATCCCAGCTACTCGGGAGGCTGAGGCAGGAGAATCACCTGAACCCGGGAGGTGGACATTGCAATGAGCAGAGATCACGCCATTGCACTCCAGCCTGGACAACAGAGTGAGACTCCATCTCAAAAAAAAAAAAAAAAGAGATTTAAGGAATCACGAATGAGTATGTACCCATCTTAGAAATAAAATATCACCCGTACAGTTGAAGCTCCCGTAGCCTGTGCCTGCTCTCATGTCATCTCCCTGCTATTCCAGAAGTAATCCCTTTCCTGAAATCAGGCATTATCATGGCCATGTAACTTCTCAGCCACTCTGTTCACTAAACCTGGGCTTCCCTTCTGCTAGGATGGTAGATGTGTTGAAGGTGGGAAAAGACAGTCTGGGGAATATGGACCAGGTGATCCTGGCCCTAACCCAAGTGTTCAGGGATGGGGACTCAGCCTATATTATAGAGATGTCATTTTAGGAAGTAGAGAAAACATTCAATATGTCTCAGACCCATATTCTAGGAGGATCCTGGGAGGAGCAGGCCAGGAAGAATTGGGACAGGGTATCTCTCAAGCTGGGTTTCTTTAGCCCAGCAAATGGTCTATGTCTGGCAAGCATGAAATCAAAACCAGGAAATCAGATAAAAGGGTGGGCAAGAAAGGGAAAGTCTTGCCAGAGAGGGTACCTCTGAGTCTAACATTTCTAGACTACAGGAACAGGACAATAAGAGATCAAAGTCCATTCACTCACTCAGTCATTCAGTCAGTCATTCGACAAGTCCATCCCTGCCTGGGTCACAAGCAATGTGCTAGACATTACAGGGGAGGACTGTAAATAAGAACAAGAAATAATGTCTGCTCTTGAAGAAACTCATAGATTAGAACACAAGAGAGACACAAAAATATTACAATATAATATGGTAAGTTAGAAGATGGTGGGGGCTTCACAGGGCTCAGTAGAGCAGGCTGGGTCAGCATCCAACCCGCACAGTGGGTGTTTAAGAAATAATCCAGGGTGCAGCTTCTTAAGGAGGTAGCAGAAGTCGTGGTGGCACAGTGAAGCTCTAAGAGATGTTCTGGGGCAAAGAAAGGGGATGAGGCAAAGAAAGTCAGAAATTCAAATTCAGCCGGGCTCATGCCTGTAATCCCAATACTTTGGGAAGCCAAGGTGGGAAGGTTGCTTGAAGCCAGGAGATCCAGACCAGCCTGGACAACACAGTGAGACTCCCATCTCTACAAAATTTTTTAAAAAAATTAGTCATGTGTGGTGGTGCCCCTGTATATCCAGCTACTCAGGAGTGTGAGGTGGGAGGATTGCTTGAGCTCAGGAGTTCAAGGCTGCACTGAGCTATGATTGCATCACTGCACTCCAGCCTGGGCAACAGGGCAAGACTCTGTCCCCCCACCCACCCACACCCACACACACACAAAGGAAAGAAACTCTAATTCAATGGATGAAGACGAATTAGGGAGCAGACAGATATTTGGAATAGAATAGGGGCTAGACAGACACGACAAATGTCACCATGTGCTTGTAGGTCCTCCTGTACCTACCATTCTAGATACCACCTTCCTGATACCACCACTTGGAACCCACAGACCATTCTAATCCCCATATTTCTCTGTACTTCTGTTTCTCTCTACTTCCCCAGACATTCCATTAATATTTGTGTCCTATGGAACCCCTGTCTGTTGGTGAATTCTCCTACTTCCTTAACTTCTTCACAGAACTATCTAAAGTGGACACCTTTTTGGAGTGTCTTCCCAGCTCATCAAGACCATCATAGCATCTTCTCACCCATAATGATAGGCCTGTGGCTACCATCTTGTGCAACTGTCCAAGATACCCAACTCCCTCAACCCGTCACTCACTACTGGCCACAGATAGCTGGAGCTGATTTCTGTTATGTGCAACCAGACACCTTGCAAACTCCCTCACCTTCTAGTCTGAACTGAAACCTGGCTTTCCCCTGAGGTTACCACTTCCCCTGTACTTCTTTCGAGTAGAAGCTATTTATTCTTTCATGCCCCCAATACAGGGAGGCATTAGCAACAACATTCTTCCAGTTCCCTAAGACCCTTCTAACAATTTCTTCCCTATGAAAAACCTCTGCCCCAATGAAGTCCATGACATCCAACTTGTCATCTTCTCTCCTTTCATCTCTGTCATCCATCAGCCATATTTCTTAAATACCTGTCTCACTTCTTCTTCCTGGGCGGAAGGGAGATTTTGCTGACTTTGTAGGCCACCCACTCAATGACCCAGCTTCTTAGTTTCCTGACCTTTCATACTCAGCGTCTTCACTTCCAGTTCTCTTCAGTGGACTCCTATGGCCACACCCTGTACTTTGTCACTACCAGAACAGTTCCACCCTGCAAATCTTAAACTCTTTATCACTGTAACTATTCATCCAGCGCTCTCCCCTGACACCATCTGATGGGTTGAGGCCTCTACAAATTTTCTTTTCTTTTTTGAGACAGACTTTTACTCTTTTACCCATGCTGGGGTGCAGTGGCATGATCATGGCTCACTGTAGCCTCAAACTCATGGACTCAAGCATCCTTCTGCCTCAGCTTCCCAAGTAGCTGGGATTACAGGGGCACACCACCATGCATAGCTAATTAAATTTTTTTCTTTTTTCTTTTTATAGAGACAGAGTCTTGTCATGTTGTCCAGGCTGGTCTCAAACTCCTGGGATCAAGCAATCCTTTCCCCTTGGCTTCCCAAAGTGCTGAGACTACAGGCCTGAGCAATGTGCCTGGCCGCCTCTACAGATTTTTAGCTGTGTTCTCAGCCTATTGAATAGGCATTTTTCCTATCAGCATTTCCTTCCCTTTCATCCCCTAGCCGTCATTGCAAACTTTCAGTACCCTTCCCAAGCTCCTCACAATCAAGTGAAACTCTGTGCTGTTGTTCTCTTCATCTAATAATTTAATTATTAATATTATTCAGCAAACATTTATTACACATCCACTAGGTGCTGGGTACCATGGGTACAATAACACAGCTTTGCCAGTGAGGAGCTCACAGTTTAGGAAGGAGGCAGCTGTGATAAGACCTGGAGTTGGGGCCGGGAGGTAGAATGGGACATTTCATGAAGAAAAAAACAACATGAGCAAAACTCTGAGACAGAATTGAGTGTGGCTTGAGGGATTGAAACAAAAAGACCTGTATGGTTGGAAACAGAATGCTAGATAGTGGAACAAGGTGAGGCTGAGTGAGGGGAGAGACAGAAGATCTGCAGTTTTGGAGGTATGTTTTGCTGTAATAAAGATCTGCATTTTGATTTTTTTTTTTTTTTGAGATGGAGTCCCATTCTGTTGTCCAGGCTGGAGTGCAGTGGTGCAATCATGGCTCACCGCAGCCTCGAACTCCTAGGCTCAAGCAATCCTCCCACCTCAGCCTCCTGAGTAGCTGGGACTACAGGTGCACACCACCACACCTGGTTAATTCTTTAATTTTTTGTAGAGATGGGGTCTTGCTATACTGCCCAAACTTCCCTCAAGTGATCTTTCTGCCTTGGCCTCCCAAAGTGCTGGGATTATAGGCATGAGCCACCGCACCTGGCCACAGGATCCACTTTTGAAACAATCACTGGTAAGGGATGTGAAGTATGAGGGATTTTTAGAGCAGCGAAACTATCCTGTATGATACTGCAATGGTGGATACATGTCATACATTTATTATACAACAGGAGACTAAACCATAATGTAAGCTTTGGTTCATAATAACAGTCTTCGGTTAATAATAAGTATCAATATTGGTTTATCAGTTGTAAGAAATGTACCACACTAATTCAAGATGCTAATAATAGGGGGAACTGTGAGTGGCATAGAAAGTGGGTATAAAGGAACTCCCTGTACTATGTGCTCAGTTTTCTGTAAACCTATGAAACTGCTCTAAAAATAAAGTTCATTAATTAACAATTAAAAAATAGGCCGGGCGCGGTAGCTCATGCCTATAATCCCGGCACTTTGGGAGGCCGAGGCAGGCAGATCACCAGGTCAGGAGATCGAGACCATCCTCGATAACACGGTGAAACCCATCTCTACTACAAATACAAAAAAATTAGCCGGGCGCGGTGGCGGGCGCCTGTAGTCCCAGCTACTCGGAAAGTTGAGGCAGGAGAATGGTGTGAACCTGGGAGGCAGAGCTTGCAGTGAGCCGAGATCGCGCCACTGCACTCCAGCCTGGGCAACAGAGCGAGATTCCATCTCAAAAAAATAAAATAAATAAATAAATAAATAAATAAATAAATAAATAAGGCTGTAGAGGGAAGACCATCAGCTGCTGTGAGAAAAGTAAATTGCAGGCAGTGGAAACGTGGGCAGACCATTAGAACACTGTCCCAGAAGCCCAGGCAAGAGAAGATGATAGTGAGCCCAGTTCTGAAGAAAAAGAAGTAGATAGAGGCAGTATTGACAAGACTTGGTGATAGACTGGATTTGGGCAGGGATCAAGGGCCACTGGGGCTTCTGGCTTGCCTAATTCCATGATTAAATGACACCATTCACCAGTCATTACCGAGGACCTGGGACTTTATCAACACCCTCGCTACATGCTGGCGACCTGTTGAACACATGGATTCTCAGCATGTGTGTAAATGTGATGCTCACACAAAAGACATTTCAGCTCTGACCATGATCATTTCCTGCCAGATCTCATTTAAAAAGGAGGTTGTCCCACGAGTCTTATTCATGTTTCAACCATTAATTGAAGTAGGCAAGGTTTGCTAGTTTCTCTGGGACTTGGTATTTATTATACCAGTAACACGAGAAAGCTGAACCAGACAGCCTCTAAGGATCCTACGAAGAGGGGATGGTCTCTAGCAGCTAGAGGTCTTCCAGACACTGAAATATCTTTCATGCTTGTCTTTCCTCAACCCCTGGGCTCTCATAATGAAGAATAATACATCCAATTTGCTGGTCCATGTTCTGTTCTTGGCAGATCTGTAGTTCTGGATTCCTGCTTCGGCGTTCCAGGACTGTGACTTGGGTCTGCATAAACCACAATAACCACAAGCAACTTTGTTGTATTTCTTTCCAAGTACTTCTTTCCAAGTCAACTTTGGGACACACCACCTGATGGTCTCAGAGGAAACTTAGTTCTCTGTGTGTTTCTATTTCAAAATGAAGGCTATCTTCGGACAACAGAACAAACGTGCCAACGTTTTATTCCCAAAAGCAGAGTACACAAACTCCCAGGAGCTGCCAGCCCTTTAGTCAATCTGCCTCTTAGAAAATGCTGTTACTGTGGCCGGGCGCGGTGGTTCATGCCTATAATCCCAGCACTTTGGGAGGCCAAGGCGGGTGGATCACCTGAGGTCAGGAGTTCGAAACCAGCCGGCCAACATGGTGAAACCCCGTCTCTACTAAAAATACAAAAAAATTAGCCAGGTGTGGAGGCACATACCTGTAATCCCAGCTACTTGGGAGGCTGAGGCAGGAGAATTCCTTGAACCTGGGAGCTGGAGGTTGCAGTGAGCTGAGATCGCACCCTTGCACTCCAGCCTGGGCAACAAGAATGAAACTCCGTCTCAAAAAAAGAAAAAAAGAAAAGAAAAGAAAAGAAAGAAAATGCTGTTACTATTCAACACTCCTGGAGCCTCACCTTCTTTCCAGCCACGGCAGTGACATGACACAGAACCTATAGCTAACTGAGCCATGCCAACTTTGTTGCCAACCCACAATCAACAGTGTAAGGGGCTGCCTTTGAATCTGACCTTCTCTACATAAACTCCTAACTGTGGGTTCCAGAAGGAGAACTCAAGGTCATGTGCTGTAGTTGTGCCTTGATGCCTTTGTATGGCTTGTCTAAAATACCATGGCATCTCTAAAATTCTTGGTTGAGAACTGCCTAAGGCTTAACCTGGCATGGTGGCCTGTACCTGTAGTCCTAGCTACTTGAGAGGCCGAGGTGGGAGGATTGCTTGGGTCCAGGAGGTGGAGATTACAGTGAGTTATGATCATGCCACTGCACTCCAGCCTGGGCGACAGAGGGAGATCCTGTCTCAAAAAAAAAAAAAAAAAGTTAATTAAATTCAATTTTTTTCTTTTTTCTTTCTTTTTTTTTTTTTTGAGACAGAGTTTTGCCCTTGTTGCCGAGGCTGGAGTGCAATGGTGCGCTCTTGGCTCACTGCAACCTCCGCCTCCCAGGTTCAAGCGATTCTCTTGCCTTAGCCTCCTGAGTACCTGGGATTACAGGCACATGCCACCATGTCCAGCTAATTTTTGTAGTTTTAGTAGAGACAGGGTTTCCTCATATTGGTCAGGCTGGTCTTGAACTCCTGACCTCAGGTGATCCACCTGCCTCGGCCTCCCAAAGTGCTGGGATTACAGGTGTGAGCCACCGCACCCAGCCTAATTCAATTTTTTTGTAAAGAAAATTGCTTAAGATAAACATGACAACCTGGAGTCTGGCATAAGAGTCAGTGCTGTGTTGAAACATATGCACTTGGGCCCAGACCAAGGACTGTCCCAGAGAATCCCTGAGAAGCAAACTGCATGAAAACTATAACTGATTTAATCCTAACTAGAGCTATGATACTTTCCTGCAAAGAAAGTGGCACAGTTTCCCTAAGCCTCACTCTGGCCATCATTTGAGTGATAAACACAGCCCTGTGCTCTACGCAAAACCAACCCTGCTCTCTGCCCTTCTCCCTGCTTCAAGTTCCTGAATCAAACAAGTGCCCTCTAACTTTCTCTTTCACAACGAGAAAGTTCTCCATGGATGAATTCCTTCTACATTTAGATTATGGCTCTGGAATATAAAATTTATCCCCCTGTGATAAACAGGTCCATTCTGTATAATGTCTGTTATGCTGTAATTTTTTCCTTCTAAGGGAAGCTTATTAATTTGAATTAAACTGCTGGTTGCTGGCCAGCCAATGTATTAATTGTCCTTGGTCAAATGCCAATCTGTAGTTTCATTAGCTGTATCTGGACTTTGCGGGGAGGGAAAGGTCATGTGGTATTAAACAGGATGGCCAGTTCATTGCTGCTGCTCCTGAAGGCAGCGAGTTCACAGAGCATGCAGCAGCACATCCTAGGGCTTTGTTTAAACAAATGGGCTGAGTACCCCAGAATGTACCTGCAACACTTTTGTAATTATTTGATTGTTGCCTCTCTGACTAGATAATCAAGTGCATGGGGGCGCATTATAGGTGCTGCATATTTTCAAATTAACAAATAAATGCATAAATAAAGTTGAAAGGCTATGGGGTCAAGAGAAGCTGGGGAAGTCAAGAGAGGACTTGAATGAATCAAAGGTTTGGCTAAAGTCAGGTTATGAGTAAGCCTAGTTATGAGTAAGCAGAACCTATGATGCAGAAAAGACACAGATGAGATGGTATGAACGCCAGTCTGTTGTGAGCACAGAGTGTGGCAGACACAAAGGGAGTGTCTGAGTCACATAAGAGTAAAGATTCACAAAATCCCACAGCTAAGGTCTTGGAACTGCCTTGAATTGATAGCCACCTTCTTAGCCCTTTCTTCCTGACCCTGATTGCTCAGCCTTTTCTGGGTTTCCATGAATATGTACCTTTACAATCAACCATTTATTACTAAAGGTGACTTGAATGAATTGCCATTTCCTGGGAGTCTCAGTTTTAGGCACCCCTAGGCACAGCACATGAGCCCTGAGGAATCCAATTATTATATATCCCATGAAGCACATTATCCGTTTCTGTGGCTAGAATCATGGCCAGCTCATGAGATGGCCCGACATATTTGAATTCAGTGTGCAGACACAGCTTAGGCTCAACCCAGAACCCCTGCCACACATACCGTGTTTTATCACCACACATTTTAAGAAAATGCTCTTATCACTCTTGAGCAAGAGCAAATAGGTTTGTTTGGCCAAATCTGTATTTTTAAATTGAATATCATGAATAAAAAATAAATATTATTTTGGAATAATACTTAAGAGGAGTTAGGAAGATAGATCATTTTTTATCAAATCATCATCCACACGTATTGCTTGGTTATGAATCATCTAGTCATACTGTCAATTACCCTCATGGCCTTGAGCCCTTTTCAGTGCCTGTATATGTTAGTTTTCTGTTGCTGCTAAAACAAATTGTCACACATTTAGTGGCCTAAATAACACAAACATATTATCTTGGTGTTCTGTAGGTTGGAAGTCCGACACAAACCTCACTGGGCTAAGATCAAGGTATTAGCAAGGTTTCATTCCTTTGCAGAAGCTCTAGAGAACCTATTTCCTAGACTTTTTTTTTTTTTTTTTTTTTTGAGATGAAGTCTCACTCTTGTCCTTCAGGCTGGAGTGCGATGGCGCGATCTCGGCTCACTGCAACCTCTGCCTCCTGGGTTCAAGCGATTCTCCTGCCTCGGCCCCCCTGAGTAGCTGGGATTACAGGAGCCTGCCACCATGCCCAGCTAATTTTTGTATTTTTTTTTTTTTTAGTAGAGATGGGGTTTCACCATGTTGGCCAGGCTAGTCTAGAACTCCTGACCTCAGGTGATCCACCCGTCTTGGCCCCCCAAAGTGCTGGAATTACAGGCGTGAGCCATTGTGCCCCGCCGACTTCTTTATTTTTTGAAGAAATGGGGTTTCTTGCTGAAGTGCAGCGGCACAATCATAGCTCACTGCAACCTGGAATTCCCGGGCTCAAGCAATTCTCCCCCTCAGCCTCCCGAGCAGCTAGGACTACAGGCACACCATGCTTATTTTTACAGAGACAGGGTCTTCCTATGTTGCCCAGGCTGGTCTTGAGCTCCTGGGCTCAAGCAATCCTCCCACAGCACTGAGATTTCAGGCACGAGCCACCAAACCCGGTCGGTTCCTAGCCTTTTCTAGCTCCTAGAGGATATTTTCATTGCTTGGCTCATGGTTCCTTTCTGTTTTCAAAGCCAGCAGCAGTGAGTCCTTTTCACATACACATCTCTTTGACCCTTCTCCAGTCACATCTCCCTCTGACCTCAGCTGGGAAAGGTTCAGTGCTTTTCAGGACTCATTGGTTAGGTTGGGCCCACCCAGAAAACCCCATGTCAAGGTCCTTAACCCTAACCACATCTGCAAAGTCCCTTTTGCCAAGTAAGGTAATATATTCACAGACTCCAGAGATTAGATCGTGGCTGTTTTGAGGGAGCAATTACTCTTTCTACCATACCATAATTGCAAATTTCTCTATGTTCTTAAGAGAGCACCTAGGATCAAGATAGCAGCCAAGTGTGTCTAAAAAGTCCAAGTAGGTTGCTAGATGGAGGGAACCTCACAATAAGAAATAAGATACAGCTCTTTCTTTTTTTCTTTTTTTTTTTTTTTGAGACGGAGTGTCACTCTGTCGCCCAGGCTGAAGTGCGGTGGTGTGATTGCGGCTCACTGCAACCTCTGCCTCCCAGGTTCAAGAGATTTTCCTGCCTCAGCCTCCCGAGTAGCTGGGACTACAAGTCCACGCCACCATTCCTGGCTAATTTTGTGTATTTTTAGTAGAGAAGTGGTTTCGCCAAATTGGCCAGGCTGGTCTTCAACTCCTGACCTCAGGTGGTCTGCCCACCTCAGCCTCACTCCCAAAGTGCTGGGATTAGTGTGAGCCACTGCGCCCAACCAAGATACAGCTCTTTCAATCAAGGATCAGCAGAAAGAAAATAGAAAGACCACTTACTGAGTGTTCTTAGCTTCAATGTGTCAGGCATGGTGAGATGTATCTCATTTAACCTTCATAACAACTCTTTCCAATAGATATTATCTCCATTTTTCTAGTGAGGAAACCAAGACTCAGACTGGTTAAATAATTTGTACAAGTCCGGGCATAGTGGCTCGTGCCTGTAATTCCAGCACTTTAGGAGGCCAAGGCTGGTGGATCATCTGAGCCCAGGAGTTTGAGATCGGCCTGGGTAACATGGCAAAAACCCGTCTCTTCCAAAAAATACAAAAAGTTAGTCTAGCGTGGTGGTGTGCGCCTGTGGTTCCAGCTACTCGGGAGGCTGAGGTGGGAGGATGGATTGAGCCGGGGAGGCCAAGGCTGCAGTGAGCTGAGATCGTGCCACTGACCTCCAGCCTGGGTGACAGAGGGAGACCCTGTCTCAAAAGTAAATTTAAAAATATACATTTGGCATTGCACATCTAAAAGGAAAACTTGACCCCAGCACAGAATATTTCCTCTATTTCCCTGTTTGGACTATAACCAGGAAGACTGCTAGATACACCACATAATTTTTTCAGAAAGTGACCATGGATAATCCTACTGTTTTATTAACTGGGAAGGCTATGGACCTGAGGACTGCCCATGGGGGATTTACTCATCAGATCCATGCTCCGATCAAGTCCTCTCTTTCTATCAACGACACACAGGTAAACCTGGATCCAAGAAGCCTGTGAAGACTGTCCTGAAATATTTTTCCTGAGACCCTTGCAATGTCTCAGCCCCACTCCTATCCATCCAATTACTATTGCCTGCAAGATTATAGACCGGGCTCGCTACAGATGCATTCTTACCAAGTGAGAGAAATAAATAGCTATTGAAGCTGAGAGAGGATATTGCTTCTGCACTGCGAGCTCTCCTCTCCTGGCTCTGGGTACCTTGCTGCTCTCCCTCCAATTCTACCTCTCCTTCCACATTTTCTGTGACCCTCTCTGAGGCCAGCTCTTTGACGGATCAATAGCTCTGCTCCCTGCAGACTGTTTGCATGTACTTTGGTCACACTATCTTGTTCTGCCCTCTGATATTTATTTACTCCTGCTTTCTGTTGATTAATTGGCCTTTGTGTTATTGCTGCTTAAACCCTTGCGTTTCTTTTTGAGGCCTTGTGCTCTCAGACCCTCAGCCTGCTGCCACATTCAACATAACTACCATCTCCTTCTAGAATTCTATATAGGCAGATCCAACATATACTACTTGGAACTAGCTTCTCTTAGGGCCTACTACAATCCAAAGCTGTTTATTGAGACCAGCAATACTCTAGGACTGTGACTTTCTTTTTATTATTTCAATTTCTTAATATTTATGCCTTTTATTGTGAAATGCAATTTTGGTGTTAAATTTGTTTTCTTTTTTTTTTTTTTTTGAGAAGAAGTTTCACTCTTGTTGCCCAGGCTAGAGTGCAATGGCACGATCTCGACTCACCACAACCCCCACCTCTCTGGTTCAAGCAATTCCCCTGTCTCAGCCTCTCAAGTAGCTGGGATTATAGGCATGCACCACCATGCCCAGCTAATTTTGTATTTGTAGTAGAGACGGGGTTTCTCTATTTTGGTCAGGCTGGTCTCAAACTCCTGACCTCAGGTGATCTACCCGCCTCGGCCTCCCAAAGTGCTGGAATTATAGGCATGAGCCACCGTGCCCGGCCTAATTTGTATTCTTGAATTGCATTCTTCTGTACATCAGAATGTGCTTCTTTGCAGAGTTTGCTATTTATGCTTCTCTTGGCTGACACTCATAAAGAGGGATTCATTTATGTACTTCTCAGCAAATGCATTCATTTTTTTTTTTTAGATCAGCTGGACTCCTTAACACCATTCAGTAACTGGGAAGGTAGATAATGACTGTTCTTATAACAAAGAGCCCAACAATAACAGCCAGCATTTGTTAAGTCGCTCATATGGGCCAGATGTTATCTTCACATAATATTACATAAACCTCTCAACAACCCTTCAAGACTTGATCCCTGTTTTACAGATGAGGAAACTAAGGCTTAGAAAGGTTAAGTAACTTGCACAAAGTCTCCTAGCTAATAGGTGGTAGATAGATGCAGGATTTCAACTCCATTTTGTTGGTTTCCAAAATGCAGACTTCCACCACCCTTTATTGCTGCTGTTGACTAAGATCTGTTTGCAACATTTTAGAAAGAGAATATCAAATAGCCAGGTAAGCAGCAAGAAAGAGCATAGAAACAAAGGAATTCTGATTATCCTCTCCTGATGGTATAAAATGAAATAATGATGGCCAAGTAGGGTGGCATCCTAGAGCAACCAGGGTAGGGTGCCTGTTGTCCTTACTGTCCTAGAGGGGTGCCAAAGTATAGAACCAACATATATGGAAAAACAACAGGATTAGAAACAAAGGCTAAAGAAAAAACTAAAGCCTGCAGGAATTCCCAACATGGAAGACATACTAGGGATCTCTTTATAAGACTCCCAAGCTGGCCGGGCGCAATGGCTCATGCCTGTAATCCCAGCACTTTGGGAGGCTGAGGCGGGCAGATCACCTGAGATCGGGAGTTCGAGACCAGCCTGACCAACATGGAGAAACCCCGTCACTACTAAAAATACAAAATTAGCCGGGCATGGTGGCGGATACCTGTAGTCCCAGCTAGTCAGGAGGCTGAGGCAGGAGAGTCGCTTGAACCCGGGAGGAGGAGGTTGCGGTGAGCCAAGATCGTGCCATTGCACTCCAGCCTGGGCAACAAGAGCAAAATACTGTCTCAAAAAAAAAAGAAAAAGAAAAAGAAAAAAAAGATTCCCAAGCCAACTTGCATGGATTTGCCAAGTACAATAACATAGTCCAAAAGGGACCAGACTAGAGCAGGGATGGAGTGTCAGAGAAGGTGTACAGGGGCTTCAGCAGCAAAGAAATGATCTTGAATTCTGAAGCAATAGGCTTGCTTGTTTCCAGCTGCTGCTGCTGCTGCTGCTGCTGTTGCTGTTGTTGTTGTTGTTGTTGTTGTTGTTGTTGTTGTTGTTGTTGTTGTTGTTGTTTTAAATCCAGGATCCCCATCCTGGTGGGGTGACGGTGACTGAAGGAGAGGAATATAGTTAACCTATAAGGCGTTGGGAGTCATGGGTTGGGGCTGGGATGTCGTTGGCTAAAGTATAAAATTTTTCACCCCAATAGGAGGCCCAAACTGTAGAAGCCAGAGAGCTGAAAAATATTCAAGGAAACAAAATTCTAGAAGCTGGAAGGAGAGTCTGGAGGTAAAATGTGAATGGAGAATGTCACCAAAACAAACAGCCCAGAAAGGAGAGTAGTGGAAACAGTACAGAACTTTTGTCTATAGCAGCTCAGAACTTTTATAGCTCTTGCCCATTCCATAGAGGCTAAAAAAAAAAAAAAAGCCCTATAGAAAGCCTGTGATTGTTCATTCCCAGGCTCCATTTTCTTCCAAAACCACTCACTCTGTCCCAATGGCCTCCATTTCCATCCTGTTGTCATGTACCTATCTTCTGCTGTTCTGCCTAACCCTTTTGGTGAAGTAGTTCTCTAAGATACTCTCCCTGTTCTTCTATTCCATCTTCAGACCTTGACAGTGTCCTTTAAATTTTCTGTGGCCCTATGCTCTGCAGCCTGCAAGCTGTCTCATCCAGCCAATCTGGTTAACTCATCTTAGGACACCCTCCAGATCCTTCTCAGAGCTAGGCCCACAGTGATGTTCCTTCCGGTCCACCTGAGAACCAAGAGTTGGAGAGCCGTATAATGTTGGCTGTGAACCATCCCACTGGTCATGTCCCACCAAATATCATGATGTCCACTTGTACAGGGGACAGGTATCCATTACAGCAGAAGAATCACACATTGCTAGGTTTTCCCGAATGACAAATGGGAAACAAGAAAATTCATTTACTCAGTCACTAACCTTGGGTATCCTTTATAGCTACATTTTCAGGAGAAAGCAAGGACATTTTTCTTTCTGTCATTCACTTTATTCATGTATATCCATATTTAGAAAAGTACATGAATTGCAAGTATACAGCTGGATGAATTTTTGCAAAGTGAATGCACTGATCAGTACCCAGATCAAGAAACACAACATTACCAGCACCCAATCGTCTGATGCCCCCACCTGATTACTACTCCCCGTATGATAACCACTATTCTGACTTGTAATAACATTGATTCATTTTGTCCGTTTTAGATTTCATACAAGTGGAATGTATATTATGCATGCTTTTTTGTGTGGCTTTTTTTGTTGAGTATTGTGTTTGTAAGATTCATCCAGGTTGTGTATAACACAGTTCATTCTTTTTCATTACTATATAGTCTATTGTATGAATATGCTATTTTTAATCCATTCTACTGCTGTTGGACATTTGGAGATTCCAGTTTTTAGCTATTATGAGTAATCCTTCTATGAACATTCTTGTGCATGTCTTTTGATGAACATATGTGCGCATTTCTGTTGGGTATGTATCTAGGAGTAGAATTGTTGGGTAAAAGTATATGCATATGTTCAGTTTTAGTAGATACTGCCAAACAGTGTTCCAAAGTTGTTGTAACCAAGGAGATTTTCTTATACTTCCAAATCTCCTGGAGTCAGAGGAAAGGAGTACAGAGGCGGGCAGGTAAAAATTTTGCTGGTAGTGCCAGCAAGTACAGTTTAAAAGCAACTCTTGGCCAGGCGTGGTGGCTCACGCCTGTAATCCCAACACTTTGGGAGGTCGAAGTGGGCGGATCACCTAAGGTCAGGAGCTCGAGACTACCCTGACCAACATGGTGAAACCCTGTCTCTACTAAAAATACAAAATTAGCCAGGTGTGCTGGCACATGCCTGTAATCCCAGCTACTCAGGAGGCTGAGGAGGGAGAATTGCTTAAACTCAGGAAGCGGAGGTTGCAATGAGCCAAGGTCTCGCTATTGCACTCCAGCCTGGACAACAAGAGCGAAACTCCGTCTTGGGAAAAAAAAAAAAAAAAAAGGCAACTCTTCTTTCATCCCTGCCATTGTTTTTTCCAGATAGAGTTTCTTTCCCAATGCATAGGGCTTAGACATTACATGCCACCCAGGTCCAGTTGGCTGGTGCAATTCTGCAATACTGGAACTTAGTATGGAGAACTTCAGCTAGTCAATATGGGATACCAAGCCAGAGGAGTTAGTATAGCTGAAAACTGGGCAAGGATCAAAGTCCAAGAGGCCTCAAGAGAGGTCCAACAGGTTATGTAGTGAGGGTGACAGGAACAAAAGAGGGAGATGTATAGATCCAGCTGGATTGTAGAGCCACAGATCCAGGGAGAGGAGCAAAAAGAACAAGCAGGTGAAGAGTGAATGGAAACAGGTTTGTGGTTCATGACTGGCCTGTACGCACCATCTGGGGGTGGAATGGCAATGGTCAGCCAAGTTTAAAGAAATGAAAAAACAAAACAAAACAATCTCATCCCACTGAAAACCAAAGCTGAGTAAGCCTTGTCTGGAAACTTCTTTTGAGGATAATTGCAAACTTCTGGGAACTTGAGTGGAGAATGTGGGGGTGGAACAAATATAGTTTTTCGTCAGAGATGTAATGTTTGGGTAACACACGTTTCTCCAGGCCAGTCTAGTGTGGCAGTACAATTGGATACTACGGACCATAGCAGCCCTTACAAGGAGGTCATTAACACCACAGGTCCCTTCTGTATCTCTCAAGGATATACGGAGGTAGGGGAAGCCTCTTGTGCACTTCTGAGTGGCTACTTCCTGACTCTTATCACCAGTCACATCCGGCGTGCAGCCACTTCTCTGCTGAAGTGGAAAGAGATACTTTCCCTCCACCTGTTCTACAATCAAGCCACAAAAAAGACTGACTTTGGGCCATCTCTCCTTGGGTGCCTCTAATGGTACAGCACTTTCTTTTTTTTTGTTTGAGGTGGAGTTTTGCTCTTGTTGCCCAGGCTGGACTGCAATGGCGCGATCTCAGCTCACTATAGCCTTTGCCTCCTGGGTTCAAGTGATTCTCCTGCCTCAGCCTCCCGAGTAGCTGGGATTTCAGGCATGCGCCACCATGCGTGGCTAATTTTTTTTTGTATTTTTAGTAGAGATGGGGTTTCTCCATGTTGGTCAGGCTGGTCTCGAACTCCTGACATCAGGTGATCTGCCCGCCTCGGCCTCCCAAAGTGCTGGGATTACAGGCATGAGCCACCGCGCCTGGCCCTACAGCATTTTCATTTGATTTGGTTTTTTACTTTAACAAAAAAAACAACTGAGGGAACAATGTGAGTGAATTTACAATGTGCCATGCTCCAAAGGCATCTCTTCTCATTTTTGCCAGGTAACTCCCCCCACCCACCCCTGTGATTCCAAATACTTACTATGTAACCTTGAAAAAGTTACTCAATCTCTCTAATATTTAATCTTCTCATGGATACTAGGGTAAGAAAAATATCTACCTTTTGGATTTATCATGAGGATTAAAAAAGACAATGTGTACAGGGTCTAGGAAAGGGGACACTTTCAGTTTCTTCCTTATCTTCCTCTTGTTCTCCCTCCTCTCCATGAGAGAAGTGGCTAATCTGATTGGTCAGATTCTAAGACATTAACTGGGCTATTTTTTCCCAGTGTTCAGCATCATGCAGGATGTGCTTAGGTCTTGCACGTGGGTGTGGCTCCCTTTGGGCCTCTTCTTCCTTCTTCCCCATGATACTGCAGTGACACTCTAACGTAGGCCTGTTCTCAGGCTTCGAGAGAGGGAATAGCCAGGTGGATAGTCATACTGTGAAGGTGCAGCCTGTTTCAGTGGGTGTCCTTTTTTTTTTTTTTTCTTCTTTTTTTTTTCTTGAGATGGAGTCTTGCTCTGCCCAGGCTGAAGTACAGTGGTGCTATCTTGGCTCACTGCAGCCTCCGCCTCCCAGGTTCAAGCAATTCTTGTGCCTCAGGCTCACGAATAGCTGGGATTACAGGCTCCTGCCACAAAGCCCAGCTAATTTTTGTATTTTTAGTAGAGATGGGGTCTCACCATGTTAGCCAGGCTGGTCTCGAACTCTGACCTCAGGTGATCTGCCCGCCTTGGCCTCCCAAAGTGTTGGGATTACAGGCGTGAGCCACCATGCCTAGCCTGGTGTCTATTTTGACTAAGCAGGGTTCTGGCTGCCCTGGTGGTGGTGGTTTTAATTTACCTTCTCCACTGTCTCATGTGTGTAGATTTCTCCCTCTAGACCTTGGTGAGGGTGAAGGAGGAGGTAATGGCTGTAGTCTAAGGTAGGATTCTGATATGTTTGGGCCTCTTGACCTAATATTATCTAATAGGACTCCAAACCAACCATAACCTTTAACATTATTAACATTAGTAGTGTTTTTGTTATCTATTGCTGCTTAATAAAAACCACTCCAAAATGTAGTGGCTTAAAACAACAATCTTTTTTTTTTTTTTAATTTCTCATGATTGTGTGGATTGACTGGTGGGTGCTGTGCTGTTCAGTTCTGCTGGTCTCATTTGTGTGTCTCACATAGCTGTAGTCAGGTGGCGGTCAGGGCTGGCATCTTCAGGATGGCCTTGCTCACATGTCTGACACTTTATCAGTGACATTTGGAATGCTGCGCTCAGCTGGATGCTGGTAAGGCTAGACCTTCTCTCTCACAGTATACTCCCAGGGAATCTGTTTCTCCACATCAGTTTCTCAAATGGTAGCTCAGGGCTCCTAAAAGCATAAAAGTGGAAGCTGTTGGGCCTTCTTAAGGCTTAGGGCTGGAAGAGGCAACGAGTCACTTCTGCTACATTCTGACTGGCCCTTATTCAAGAGGAGGGGACTACTTAGGGTGTAAGTGCTAGTAGGTGAGGTTGATTGGGGGCTGCAAGAAATAGTATTATCTGGCCGGGCACGGTGGCTCACGCCTATAATCCCAGCACTTTGGGAGGCCGAGGCAGGCAGATCACGAGGTCAGGAGATCAAGACCATCCTGGCTAACACGGTGAAACCCTGTCTCTACTAAAAATACAAAAAAAAATTAGTCGGGCGTGGTGGCGGGTGCCTGTAGTCCCAGCTACTCGGGAGGCTGAGGCAGGAGAATGGCGTGAACCCAGGAGGCGGAGCCTGCAGTGAGCCGAGATCTCACCACTGCACTCCAGCCTGGGTGACAGAGTGAGACTCCGTCTCAAAAAAAAAAAAAAAATTGTAGTATCAGTTTTATCTGTAGTTCCTAGGTTTAGTAAACATATGCCAGAAGTTTCCTCTCTTACATCTTCGTGTATAGGGCTAGTCATATACCTTAACATATCCGGTCACTGTCTTTTGTAAATGGTTTAATTTATAATAATGCAGATAAAGCCTCTGTAGACCTGTCTGCTCAAATTTGACCTCCTATGGTTGTGGAGAGGATGAAATCAAATAATCTATTAGAAGATACCAAGAAACCAATTTAAAAAAAAATCATCTATGTAAATTGCTTAGCACTATGGGCCAGTAAATGTTCAATAATTATATTTATTATTATTTTATTATTACCAGAGTCCCCAAGGTATGGTGCTGGCTATGGTAAAAATGTAATAAGATGTCTTTGAGAAGTCATAGTTCCCCAGGGCACTTGATGATTAATATAAGAAAGTAGGTGGAATTGTTTTGTTTTGTTTTGTTTTGTTTTGTTTTTGAGATGGAGTCTCGCTCTGTTGCCCAGGCTGGAGTGCAGTGGGGCAATCTTGGCTCACTGCAACCTCTGCCTCCCAGGTTCAAGTGATTCTCCTGTCCCAGCCTCTGGAGTAGCTGGGATTACAGGTGCCCGCCACCAAGCCCGGCTGATTTTTTTATTTTTAGTAGAGACAGGGTTTTACCATGTTGGCCAGGCTGGTCTCAAACTCCTGACCTCAAGTGATCTGCCCGCCTTGGCCTCCCAAAGTGCTGGGATTATAGGCGTGAGCCACCGCGCCTGGCCTTTTGCTTGTTTGTTTGTTTGTTTTTAAGACAGAGTCTTGCTCTGTTGCCCAGGCTGGAGTGCAGTGGCGTGATCTCGGCTCACTGCAACCTCTGCCTCCTGGGTTCAGGTTCAAGTGATTCTCCTGCCTCAGCCTATGGAATAGCTGGGATTATGGGCACAGGCCACCATGCCAAGCTAATTTTTGTATTTTTAATAGAGATGGGGTTTCACCATGTTGGTCAGGCTGGTCTTGAACTCCTGACCTCGTGATCCACCTGCCTTGGCCTCCCAAAGTGCTGGGATTACAGGCATCAGCCACCATGCCTGGCCAGTAGGTGGAATTGTCAACCTGAGATAGTGGAGACTGAACAGGTTATCAGCTGCCCACACATAAGATGAAAAGGGAATCAATGAGTGCAGTGCAGGAAGTGTCAAAACAAGAATAACAACAACAAGAAGAAATAAAAATAGTTGGCCGGGCACAGTGGCTCACGCCTGTAATCCCAGCACTTTGGGAGGCTGAGGAGGGTGGATCACCTGAGGTCCGGAGTTCGAGACCAGCCTGACCAACATGGAGAAACCCTGTCTCTACCAACAATACAAAATTAGCCACGCATGGTGGTGCACGCCTATAATCCCAGCTACTTGGGAGGCTGAGGCAGGAGACTGGCTTCAACCTGGGAGGTGGAGGTTGTGACGAGCCGAGATCACACCGTTGCACTCCAGCCTGGGCAACAAGAGCAAAACTCTGTCAAAAAAAAAAAAAAAATCCTTGTCTAATTCTAGAACTGATACTTTGCATACACCATAATGCCTCTGTTTTCAAATCACAGATGGAAAGTGCAGTCCTTTGTCTTTGGAATAATCTCATAGTGGGGAACTATATAAAGTTTGAGGTTGTTCCTGTGAGAAGAATACATCCTTTTGTTAATTAAAATGTAACATTGATTTTGGTCCTATACTTTTAGTAATTTATTCCACATTGAAAGATAAAAGTTTTGAATGGATGCAGCCTGGGCTTTTTTACAGAAAACAAAAGTTATTAAATATTTATATTGTTTCCATGCTTTAAAAAAAAAAAAAGTCTTCTGGCCAGGCACCGTGGCTTATGCCTATAATCCCAGCACTTTAGGAGGCCAAGGTGGACAGATCACATGAGGTCAGGAGTTTGAGACCAGCCCGGCCATCATGGTGAAACCCTGTCTCTACTAAAAATACAAAAATTAGCCAGGTGTGGTGGCATGTGCCTGTAGTTTCAGCTACTTGGGAAGCTAAGGCAGGAGAATCGCTTGAGTCCGGGAGGCAAAGCTTGCAGTGAGCCAAGATCATGCCATTGCACTGTAGCCTGGGTGACAAAGCGAGACTCTGTCTCAAAAAGATAAAAATAAAAAGACATCTTCTAAAATCAAGCATGTGGAATATTACACATACCTATCCCAGAAAAAAAAAAAAAACAGATGAATTTATTAACGGCGAGTAGAGAATGCCAAAACTAATATCAGACACTGCTTTTCTCCATTAATGCTGTATTTTCAGCCTTTGGACCGGTCCTTGTTCTTGAGAGATTCCTGACTTGCTTATTTTTTGCAACAGGAAAGCCGTACATTTTTCGAAAGACAGAAAGCCAGATGATTGGCTGAAATTACACTGAAATTTTAAAAAATCTGACCAGATACTGTGACGTTTTCAGTATGGTGTACTTGATTTGGCTACCCAAGATGTATCTATTTTGTAAGTTGCTTTATTGAGGAAAAGAGTATCAGCAAAGGAACCTAGAAAGGTAAAAAACATGATGTGGAAGGTAGCCTCCAAAGTAACCTTGAATGATCTTTACATCATAGTATTCCCCTTCCACATTGTATCAGGGCTGATTTGTATGACAAATAGATTACTGCAGAAGTGACAGTGTGGGACTTCTGAGGCTAGATAAAAAAGGCGACTGTAACTTCCGCCTTGGCATCTTGGATCCCCTCCTCTGGGGAAAGCCAGCTTCCGTGCACTCAAGGACCCCTGGAGATAGATCCATGTGAAAAGAAAATGAAGCCTCCTGACAATAAACAGCACCAACTTGCCATTTGTATGAGTGAGCCCTCTTGGAAGCAGATCTGCTAGCCTGACTCAAGCCTTCAGATGACTGCAATCACAGCCAACATCTGAATGAATCCTAGGAGAAATTCTAACTTAGAACTGTCCAGCCACAGAAACTATGAGATAGACATGTTTATTGTTGTGACCTGGCGTGGTGGCTCACACCTGTAATCCCAGCACTTTGGGAGGCCAAGACGGGCAGATCACTTGAGGCTGAGTTCAAGACCAGCCTGGCCAACATGGCAAAACCCCGTCTCTACTAAAAATACAAAAAGAAATTCGCTGGGTGTGTTGGTGCGTGCCTGTAGTCCCAGCTAGGGAGGCTGAGGCATGAGAATTGCTTGAACGTGGGAGGTGGAAGTTGCAGTGAGCTGAGATAGTGCCACTGTACTCCAGCCTGGGCGACAGAGTAAGACTCTGTCTTTAAAAAAAAAAAAAAGTTTTTTGTTGTTTGAGCCACAAATCTTTGACATAATTTGTTTTGCAGCAATAAATAAGTCATATATGTGCTGCCATGTAAATGTTAGTTTTCAGAAAGGATGTTTGTTCTTTTCCTAATCACTAGCTAATTCTTCCCCTGAGATATACTTCCATCTTCCTTTCTTATCACCAATTATTTTGAAAAGAATTCCTTCATCTTTTAATTCCACAGACAATGCTGTGTTTTAGGGGGTATGTTGAAATATTTTCTCTCCCAAGGGTCTCCCCATTTTTTTTTTTCTGTTTCTTCTACCATATTGAAAACATAAGGCAGACAATATGAGGCTTCTAAAGTTTGGACCAAGGGTCTTCAACCCTATTGAACCAAAGGTAAAGGCAAAAGAAAGAGAGAGGTTTAAAATGTAATTCTCAGCTGGACATGGTGGCGTGTGCCTGTAGTCCCAGCTACTTGGGAGGTTGACACAGGAGGATCATTTGAGCCTAGAAGTTTGAGGCTGTAGTGCACAATGATAACCCCTGGGAATAGCCATTCCACTCTAGACCAGGCAATACCATGAGACTCTGACTCAAAAAGAAAAGCAATTTTCCTTTTGTATTAAGTAGTTCAGAGTATAAAAGAAAAATAAAGTGTATATTACTGTGGTTAAATGATTTAGCTCAACAATTCTATCTTTTAACTTAGCAGGAGGCAACCTTCATTGACTCTCCAATGCCTATAGGATCAAGTGTAAACACGTTACTCTGTATGGTTCAGCATCTACCCCCTACCTTTTTTTTTTTTTTTTTTGATACGGAGTTTTACTCTTGTTGCCCAGGCTGGAGTACAATGGTGCGATCTCGGCTCACCGCAACTTCCGCCTCCCGGGTTCAAGCGATTCTCCTGCCTCAGCCTCGTGAGTAGCTGGGATTACAGGTATGCACCACCACGCCCAGCTAATTTTGTAATTTTAGTAGAGACAGGGTTTCTCCATGTTGGTCAGGCTGGTCTCGAACTTCCAACCTCAGGTGATCCACCCGCCTCAGCCTCCCAAAGTGCTGGGATTACAGGCATGAGCCACCGCACCGGGCCTCTACCCTCTTTTCATCATATTTTGTACTCTTTTCCTTCATATACTTATTGTTTCAGTCAAACTGAACTGCGATGTTTCTAATTTATGCCTTTTGCATGCTAGCTATTAGTTGCATGAAAAAAAACAAAAGAGGACTGTGACCAAAACAGTATGGGAAATGCTGCATGTTATAGATTCCTCTGGGAGATTTACAATGCGCATTAAAAGCCCTGAGAAGTTCTTTTGTAAGAAATCTGTTTAACTTTGTTCAGCTCAATAATACTTAGTTAACTATTATATAATTCAGGATCCAGAAAACAGTACCTATGCCAAAGAGTTTAATACAAGGAATAAAATAATGAGAGAAACTAGTTTAAAATGTAGGGGAGGAATTCAAAGGGCAAACAGAGGGATGGTGGGACAACCCAGAGATGAACAACATGAGGGAGATGCCGCAAGGATAAGGGAAGAGGAATTGTTACTTAGATGTGCTACAGATTTTTCTCACAGATTCTCCAGTCCCAGGAAAGCCTTGAGATAACTGTAGCCCTAGGTGACAATTTGACTGCAACCTTATGAGAAACTTTGAGCCAGAACTGATGCAGGGCAGCAAGCCCTAGAATTCGGGCTTAGCCTGGGAGGGTTCTTTGCTTGACACAGGAAAGAATTCAAGGGTTGGCCAGTGGTGTTAGCAACATTTTTTGAAGCAGCAGTGTACAGCAGCAACAGAGGCACACAATAGCAGCTCAGAGGCAGTTCTGTAGTCACATTTACATCCACTTTTAATTACATGCAAATTAAAGGGTGGTTTATGCAGAAATTTCTAGGAAGAGGGTTGCCACTTCCAGTCACCAGGTCATCATGCCATGGAAAAGGGTATAACTACTTCCGCTTGTTGCTATGGCAATGGTAAACTGATATGGCACACTGGTGGGCATGTCTTATGGAAAGCTACTTTTCCCTTCTCCCCCTTCCTTTATATTTTTAAAATGTATTTAATTTATTTAATTTTTTATTTTTTTCTTGAGATGGGGTCTCAGTCTGTCACCCAGGCTAGAGTGTAATGGCACGATCTCAGCTTGCTGCAGCCTCCACCTCCTGGGCTCAAGCAATCCTCCCACCTCAGCCTACCTAGTAGCTGAGACCACAGACTTGTGCCACCACACCTGGCTAATGTTTTTTGTATTTTTTTGTAGAGATGGGTTTTGCCATGTTGCCCAGGCTGGTCTCCTGAGCTCAATTGGTTCACCCGCCTTCGCCTCCCAAAGTGCTAGGACTACAGGCATGAGCCACCACACCAGCCAACCCCCTCCCTTTAAGGTAGTCCTCAATCTGGTCCAGTGTCCGAGTTTCCAACTCTGGAGTTAAGTCCTGCTTCCTACCTCAGAACCACTGAGCTAATCCAAGTCCCAGATTCCCAGTTCTCAGAAATTGTGTGAGATAATAAGTATTTGTTGTTTTAAACTGCTGAATCTCAGAGTAACCTGTTACACAGAAATATAGATAACTAATACAGATTTTGGTACCCGGAAGTAGGGTTTTGCTGGAACAAAATTCTAAAATGTGAAAGTGACTTTGGAACTAGGCAGTGGGCTTTGAGCAGAATATTAGTCAAAGTCTAAAGTACCTCACAGAAGCTATTAATAGAAACATCATGATCTTTGAAATGGCTGCAGGTGAAGGCTTGCAAGAAAACGCGGTAACATTGCCCCGTGCTGTTGCTCACGTCTGTAATCCCAGCACTTTGAGAGGCCATGGGGGAGCGGATTTCTTGAGCCCAGGAGTTTGAGACCAGGCTGGACTACATGGCAAAACCCCCTCTCTATGAAAAAAAAATACAAAAAATTGGCCAGGCACACTTGTAATATCAGCTACTCGGGAGGGTGAAGTGTGTGGACTGCTTGAGCCTGGGAGATAGAGACCAGCCTGGCCAACATGGAGAAACCTCATCTCTATTTTAAAAAATACAAAAATTAGCCGGGTGTGGTGGTGCATGCCTGTAATCCCAGCTACTGAGGAGGCTGAGGAATGAGAATTGCTTGAACCCAGGAGGCAGAGGTTGCAGTGAGCCGAGATCGTGCCACTGCACTCCAGCCTGGGTGACAAAGACTCTGTCTCAAAAATAAATAAATAAACAAAAATCAAATCTCAGGATGATTTAAGGTTGTGCCTCAGAGTATTATTCAGTGAGACAAAAAGCTCTGAAAGAGAAGAAATGTGTGCCTCCCATACAGTATTCTCTTAGTAAAATGACAAAACTGCTAGAAAGCTTAAGGGCATCTTATCAGAAGCTCAAGGTGTGGAGTAGAGCTTACCTGAAAGAGATTTGTGGGTATAACTTTTGTCTAATGAAGTGAACCCCAGTAAGATTCACAGACCTACATGGGTGGTGGGGTGGTATTTCAGAATTAAAATGGGCCAGTTACTCCTTGGCACCTGCCATTTCCCCCCCTTTTTGAAAAGGAATAACTAAGCCTCTATCCTGCTACACCTGTCTCATCGTTGTATGTTGGGTATATAGAGGGGAAGATAAATTGTCTCTTCGGTGTCACAGGTGGAGAGGAACTGTACTCAAGGAGCTCTGCTTAAGGAGTTTTACCCGAGGAGCCTCATCTGCACCTGGACTTCAAGCTGATGCTGTAAAGAGGGGAGACTTTTGGTGACTTTGGGAAGAAGTGAGTGTAACTTGCATGTGGGAGCAACAAATCATTGGGGACAGATGGTGGACTGTGGTAGCTACCCTCCAAAATAGCTCCCTATTATTATTATTATTATTTTTTTTTTTTGAGACAGGGTCTCACTCTGTCACCCACCCAGACTGGAGTGCAGTGGTGTGATCTCAGCTCACCACAACCTCTGCCTCCCAGGCTCAAGTGATTCCCCTGCCTCAGTCTCCTGATAGCTGGGATTATAGGCGTGCACCACCACTGCCCAGCTAATTTTTGTATTTTTAGGAGAGATGGGGTTTCACCATTTTTGTATTTTTAGTAGAGATGGGGTTTCACCATGTCAGCCAGGCTGGTCTTGAACTCCTGACCTCAAATGATCCACCCTCCTTGGCCTCCCAAAGTGCTGGGATTACAGGCATGAGCCAGCGCGCCCGGCCAGCTCTCAGTTATTTTTGCCTCCTGGTATTCACAGCCTAGTGTAGCCCCTGCACACTCTGTATCACAGTTGGTCTGTGACCAATAGCATGTGGCAGAAGTGATGGTATATAACTTCTGAGATTAGGTTACAAAAAGACTGCAGCTTCCATCTTGGTCTTGGACTCTCTCTGTCTCCCCCTTCTTCTTCCTAGTGGAGAAGCAAGCTGCGTTGTTGTGTGCAGCTCTGAGGAGAAGCCCACCTGGCAGAAGGAAACTGTGTCCTGGCCACAACCGTGTGAGTGAGCTTGGAAGTGAGTGCCTCAGTCCTACGTTAGCCTTGAGAGGCCTGCAGCCCCAGCCCACATCTTGACTGAAACCTCATGAGAAACCCTGAGCCAGAACCACCAGCTGAGTCACTGACAGGTTACTAAATCTCAGGAACTGTGTGAGATAAAATGCTTGTTGTTTTAAGCTGTGATGTTCAGAGATAATGTATTATATGGCAATAGATAACAAACATACTATACCCCAGGAGCCAGGACTGCCCAACAGAGTTGGGACTGTGGAGAGAAGAACTGTTCATTTGCAGTTCGCGCCATAAAGATACAGCCAATACTGAGGCACAGGGAGAGGGAAAATCCTAGCTTCCTCATGGCCCCTCATTTGCCACCCTTGCCTCCATTGGCCAAACCAAACCACAAGGAAATTGATAAGGGAGCCTGAGAAATGTCATTTCCAAGGAGCAGCCTCTAGCTACAGTAAGCCTGGACAACATGGTGAGACCTTGTCTATACAAAAAATTTAAAAAATTAAGTGGGCATGGTGGTGCACGCCTGTGGTCCCAGCTATTCAGGAGGCTGAGGTAGGAGGATTGCTTGAACCCAGGAGGTCGAGGCTGCAGTGAGCCATGTTTGCACCACGGTACTCCAGACTGCACTCTAGTGTGGGTGACAGAATGAGACCCTATCTCAAAAAAAAAAAAGGTCAGTCATGGTGGCTGACACCTGTAATCCCAGCACTTTGAGGGGCTGGGGCAGGCAGATCACTTGAGGTCAGGAGTTGAAGACCAGCCTAGGCAACACGGTGAAACCTTGTCTCTACTAAAAATACAAACATTCAAAAATTAGCCGGGCACGGTGGTGGGCACCTGCAATCCCAGCTACTTGGGAGGCTGAGGCATGAGAATCGCTTGAACCCAGGAGGCAGAGGTTGCAGTGAGCCAAGATCACACCACTGAACTCCAGCCTGGGCGACAGAGCAGGACTCTGTTTCAAAAAAAAAAAAAGAACAGAGGCAAATTAACAGCACAGCCAAGAACTCTTTTACATGGAATTCCCAGTAGCATTCTTCAAAACCTTGTCCTCAAACTCCAGTTTGGGAAACACTAGCCTAAATTGCTCTTTTCCACATCTCTGCAAGTTCCAATCTTATTCATTAATTCGTATCTATTTAAAATGCAAAGTTTTTCTCCACTAACCTTTTCTTCCTTGTGACTTGGGGTAGCCCCCTCTTCTTTCAATTCCACAACATTTGATCTATATCAATTTTTCGCATTTTCAAATAAAAATTGTAGTTATTTATTTCATATCTTATCATCTGAGAATTAAAAATCTTCTTGAGAGTCAGCTCTATTTCTGATGCATTGTTTCATATTGCTCAATCATCACAGTACCTAGCATAGAACCTTGCACATAGTAAACATAAATATTATTAAATGAATGAATGAAGTAATGTCAAAACCAGTGGTAGAAATGTTATATAACTCTAGTACTTTTGTTTATGTTACTATTTATTTATTTATTTAGAGATGGAGTCTTGCTCTGTCACCCAGGCTGAAGTACTGTGGTGCAATCTCGGCTCACTGCAGCCTCCACCTCCCGGGTTCCAGCGATTCTCATGCCTCAGCCTCCCGAGTAGCTGGGATTACAAGTGTGCGACACTACACCTGGTTAATTTTTTTTTTTTTTTTTGCAATTCACCACATAAGTGTATTAAAAAACAAACCATATGGTTGTCCCAATAGATACAGAAAAGGCATTTGAAAAAGTTCACCTTCGGGCCATGATAAATATAGTCAGCAAACTAGGAATAGAAGGGAACTTCCTCAAATTGATGAGGGCCATCTACAAAGAACCTATAGATAACACCATTCATAATGGTGAAAAACTGAATACTTTCCCACTAAGATTGGAAACAAGGTAAAGGTGTCCACTGCTACCATTTCTTTTTTTTTTTTAGTATTTATTTATCATTCTTGGGTGTTTCTCGGAGAGGGGGATTTGGCAGGGTCATAGGACAATAGTGGAGGGAAGGTCAGCAGATAAACAAGTGAACAAGGGTCTCTGGTTTTCCTAGGCAGAGGACCCTGCGGCCTTCCGCAGTGTTTGTGTCCCTGGGTACTTGAGATTAGGGAGTGGTGATGACTCTTAACGAGCATGCTGCCTTCAAGCATCTGTTTAACAAAGCACATCTTGCACCGCCCTTAATCCGTTTAACCCTGAGTGGACACAGCACATGTTTCAGAGAGCACGGGGTTGGGGGTAAGGTTATAGATTAACAGCATCCCAAGGCAGAAGAATTTTTCTTAGTACAGAACAAAATGGAGTCTCCTACGTCTACTTCCCTCTACACAGACACAGCAACAATCTGATTTCTCTATCTTTTCCCCACATTTCCCCCTTTTCTATTTGACAAAACCGCCATCATCATCATGGCCCGTTCTCAATGAGCTGTTGGGTACACCTCCCAGACGGGGTGGCTGCCGGGCAGAGGGGCTCCTTACTTCCCAGACGGGGCGGCCGGGCAGAGGCGCCCCCCACCTCCCGGACGGGGCGGCGGCCGGGCGGGGGCTGGCCCCCACCTCCCTCCCGGACGGTAATTTTTTGTATTTTTAGTAGAGACGGGGTTTCAGCATGTTGCCCAGGCTGGTCTCGAACTCCTGAGCTCAGGCAATCCACCTGCCTCGGCCTTTCAAACTGCTAGGATTATAGGCGTGAGCCACTGTGCCCAGCCTGTTTATATTACTATTACATCCCTTTAAACTCTTGGTTGAGTCAAGAGATTCTAGAATAATCTTTCTATTTTATTGGCTGGTCACATCTTTTGAACTCCTTTGAACCTTTTCTTGGGGGGAGAGAACAGTAAAATTACAAATCAGTTTGTATCTGGGCAGGAATAATTATCCTGTGAGACCAAAGTTCTGCCTGGAACTTTTTAGCAGGAGGAGCACGTTCAAAGAACTACACTTGTCTCCTCTTTCAGCTTTGGTCACTCTTAGAAAAATCGTCTGCTCAGTAAGAAAAGCATACTCAGCCTTTGCAAAAGTGATTTCTTCTACTTCCATATCTTCCTTGTCGATGCCTTGACTGAGGGAATAGATGCAAAACAGAAAGGATGTTTTTAGACCAGCTCTTCTTAATTAGCTCAGGTCTCTTCACTTCCTGCCTAGATTACCAAAATGTCCTCAACAAGTTTCCTGGTATCTTGTTTCTAAAAACAAATCTTAGCTCATCACTCTCATGTTTAAAGTCTTTCAATGGTTTCCAACCTAGGCAATATACCGAGACTTCATCTCTACTAAAAATTTTTAAATTGGCCAGGCATGGTGGCTCATGCCTATAATCCCAACACTGGGAGGCCAAGGCGGGTGGATCACCTGAGGTCGGGAGTTCGAGACTAGCCTGGCCAAAACAGTGAAACCCGTCTCTACTAAAAATGCAAAAATTAGCCAGGCGTGGTGGCGGGCGCCTGTAATCCCAGCTACTTGGGAGGCTGAGACAAGAGAAACGCTTGAACCCGAGAGGTGGAGGTTGCAGTAGGCCGAGACTCCATCTCAAAAAAAAAAAAGTTAAAAAATTAAGCTCAGGAGTTCGAGACCAGCCTGGGCAACACAGTGAGACCCCATCTCATTTTATTTTAAATTATTTTTTAAAAGAAGAAAAGAAAAAAAATTTTAATTAGCTGGGCATCGTGGCACTCGCTTGTAATCCCAGCTACTCAGGAGACTGAGGTGGTAGGATTGCTTGAGCCCAGGAGACTGAGGCTGCAGTGAGCTATGATCGCACCAGCCTGGGCGACAGAGACCTTGTCTTAAAAAAAAAAAAGTTGTTTTTCTCTTCCGGATAAAATCCAAATTCTTCATGATTTGTTCCTGGGGTTACTTCACCAGCCAAATCATTTCCTACCAACACCAAGCTGTTCAGGCCTCCCCATCTTCCTTCTGTGCCTGTCCTTCTTCTCCCTTTCAATCTTTTCCTTGCTCAACCCAACTCATCCTTCAAGACTTGGTTTCAACTGTTTTCCCTAAGAAGTTTCTTTAGAGCTTCTCTTGGTAGATGAGGCTTCCTTAGCATACTTTACAGACCTCTTCGGCCTGAGGCCAAAGAGGCAGGGTGCTATCTAAACCTCAGTATCTCAAGCTAGAAAATTGGGATAATATGGTACTTACATCAGAAACTGTGGCAAAGATACTTGACACCGTGTCTGATATATATTGTCACATATTAGGTGTTAAATCACAGCAATTACTTAAGCCAATCTCTTCCTCATGTTTGAGAAAATAGATCCAGAGAGGTCAAATGACTGGCTCAAGTAGGAGAAAGATAGGGGAGGGGAATTTCTGATTTGCATATGGTTTACAAACGTAATTTCAAAGTAAGAAAATTAGGGGAAGTAGACTTTAATATTAAAATGAAACAATTAAAATGAAATAAAACTTGAGGTTGAGGGTGGATGCTACACTACTGAGAAAAATGGCAAGTCAGCAACTTTTGAGACAACTCAGGATATTCGATGCTTTGAATTAAAATGTTTTTTTAAGTGTCTCAACCTGCTGATTTGTTTTAGGTCTGTTTATTTCTATATTCAATGAAGTGGTGTCTGTGCATTCAAGAAATAAAATGGTTTGTAACTTCTTAACCTTTTTTTCTATTGAATTAAGTACAACATTAAACCATTAAAATGACCTTAAGAAAATCAATATTGTCCCCAGGCTCAAGACCACTCACTCCACAGCTTAATTGGTCCTTAGCTTTCAGCGTTTGACTCTAGACTTGTACTCTCCAACACAGTAGTCACTAGTTGCAAATGGCTAATGGCCACTTGAAATCTGCTAGGTAAAACTGAAATGTGCTATAAGTGCAAATAAGTGTGGATTTTGAAGGTTTGGTTAAAAAAAGGAATGCAAACTATCTCAACAATTTTTATATTGACTACATGTAAAATGATAATGATTCTGACATACTGAGATAAATAAAATATGTACTTCACATTAATTTTTACCTTTTTTTTTTTTTTTTTTGAGACAAAGTCTTACTTCGTTGCCCAGGTTGAAGTGCAGTGGCATGATCTCGGCTCACTGCAACCTCCGCCTCCCAGGTTCAAGCGATTCTCCTGCCTCAGCCTCCTAAGTAGCTAGCTGGGACTACAGGCATGCACCACCACACCCAGCTAATTTTTGTATTTTCAGTAGAGACGGGGCTTCGCCATGTTGGCCAGGCTGGTCTTGAACTCCTGACCCCGTGATCTGCCCACCTCGGCCTCCCAAAGTGCTGGGATTACAGGCATAAGCCACTGCGCCAGGCCCTAATTTTTACTTCTTTAACAGGGCTACTGAAAAATTTCAAGTTACTTATTTAGCTCTCATTGTACCTTTTTTAAAAATTTATTTTTCTATTTCAATAGGTTTTAGCTCTCATTGCATTTCTATTGGACAGTGCTGCTCTAGACCTTGCAGATTTTTCAGAATCATCTGATTCTGAATCACAATATGGAGCATCAGGGGCCCTTTCCTGGACTTGTCTGTCTCAGGTGATGTAACTCTGTCACCTTCCTGGAGGCTAAGTGGTAGTTTGTAAGCCAGTGCCTCTACCATCTCATTCAGAATGGAGACCCTACAAGACAGAAGGGGTTACAAAACAGTTTTAAATGCAGATCATTGAGTGAATCCATATTTCAAAGAACAGAAGACAGTCGGTGATTATTGACCCAGATTATTGACCCAAAGTAACCTCTAAAATTAACCTTAAAATTCCTGATTGGCTCCTATTTTACTTGGATTATCTCTTTTAATCATTGCAACAACTCTGACATTTAGGTGCTATTATTACATACACATTCAACAAAGGGGTAAATTGAAGTTAGGGAGCTAGCAAGCATGGAGTTCTGCTTGTTTGCTTGCTTTTTGAGACAGGGTCTCACTCTGTCACCCAGGCTGGAGTGCAGTGGTGCAATCTTAACTTCCCAGGCTTAATCAACCTCCCCACCTCTACCTCCCAAGTAGCTAGGACTACAGGCACGTGTCACCACGCCCGGCTAATTTTTTTATTTTTTTTGCAGCGGGGGGTTTCGTCATGCTGCCCAGGTTGGTCTCAAACTCCTGGGTTCAAGCAATCTGCCCACCTCAGCCTCCCAAAGTGCTGGGATTACAGGCATGAGCCACCGTGCTGGGCCAAGTATGGAGTTTTGACCCCAGTTGGTCTAACTGTTCAAGTGCCATTATAAGCAAGATTATGAGCTGCTTGTATATGCTGTATTTTGTCAATACATGACCTGACACATACTAGATGGTTAATACATGTGGGTAGTTAAGTGGTCATATAGTATGATCTCAACCATGTAGGAAAAAGATACATAGGGAAAAGTCAATACATCAAAATGTTAAAAAGTGATTAATTATGAATGGTAATGATACGGACTTTTTTGGGTAATGTACATTTAAAATTTTCATCTTTACGCTTTTATGTATCTGCCAAACTTTTGACAATGTGTGTGTAATGTTTTTATTTATTTATTTTGAGATAGAGTCTCACCCTGTCACCCAGGCTGGAGTGCAGTGGCGTGATCTTGGCTCACTGCAACCTCTGCCTCCCGGGTTCAAGCAATTCTCCTGTCTCAGCCTCCCAAGTAGCTGGGACTATAGGCATGTGCCACCACGCCTGGCTAATTTTTGTATTTTTAGTAGAGATGGGGTTTCACCATGTTGGCCAGGCTGGTTTTGAACTCCTGACCTCAGGTGATCCACCTGCCTCGGCTTCCCAAAGTGCTGGGATTACAAGCGTGACACAGCACACCTGGCCGACAATATGTGTGTAATGTTTTTAGTTATTTCCATTACTTTTTAAAAATCCCATATAACTCCTGCCCCCACACATACACAGCCTCCCTCATTATCAACATCCCCCACCAGGATGGTATACCCAAAGTCCGTATTTCCATTACTCTCTTTTTCTTTTTTTTGAGAACGGAGTCTCACTCTGTCGCCCAGGCTGGTGTGCAGTGGCGCGATCTCAGCTCACTGCAAGCTCCGCCTCCCGGGTTCACGCCATTCTCCTGCCTCAGCCTCCCGAGTAGCTGAGACTACAGGCGCCCGCCTTTTTGTGTTTTTAGTAGAGACAGGGTTTCACCGTGTTAGCCAGGATGGTCTTGATCTCCTGGCCTCATGATCTGCCCGCCTCGGCCTCCCAAAGTGCTGGGATTACAGGCGTGAGCCACTGCACCCGGCCTCCATTACTCTTTAAATCACACAAAATGTCATTTTTACCGAATGTAAGTGGTTACTGATACGTTCTTTGTGGGCTGAAAATATTTATTTCTTCTCTTTCCCTTCTCCCAATGATTCCATTCCCCTCACAACTGGGATCCCCCCCATTCTAATCTGCTTCTCCATTCTCTCAGTCCTGTCTTTCTCTCTCTCTCCTGCTCCCTTCTGCGATCCTCCATCAGACTTTTTCTTCTGGGTCTTCCTCCCTTCTTCGCTTCTGTCTCCTTGTCTCCCTCTTCTTTTTGAAAAGATTGACATTCAAACAGAAAGGTCAATCAAATGTTACCTCCTACTGGTAGGTTTCAGGTATATTCTACCTGCCATTGGAATCCTGAGGATGGTGCTCAAGTCAGGGGGTGGGGGCAATGGGAGGGCAAGACTTCTAAGGAGAATGGAGACCCCTTTAGATGTGAGGAGGGCATTTCAGCCTGAGGAAAGCAGCGGAACAAAGATCTGAGGAGTTTTTCAGGGAACGGGAAATGGGCAGAGGAGCGCTTACCTCATTGGATCTGGGGATTGCTGTCTCCTGGTGCTGGCACTCGGTTATAAAGGATGCCAACCTTAGTTGATTTGAGCTCCTGGATTGAATTAGTCCTGGTTGCATAATTGACTTTGATATGTGGACTTTGGGTTCGAATTAGGTTTAATAAGATTTAACTGCTTCAAAGGGCTTTATAAGAATTCATTTTATCCTTCAAATCTGATTTCAAATGCTACCTACTTTATGACAACTTCTCTAAGTTTGATGCTCTTCTTCTAGTGCACTTACTATGCCATAGTAGGTACATACTTTATTCAAGCAATTACCCCCATTGTATTTTACCTTATTCTGTAGGAAATGTTTCCTTTAGTGCCTCTCTTCAGGAATCTTGAGGGACAGGCAGGTATCTTATTCCTATTTGTATCCTAGGCCTAGCACAGAGCAGGAACACACTCAATTGAGCCAGCAGGTTCTCAATGATTTTTAAAATTACATTAATAATTAACATTAAGTAAGCACTGTGGCAAGCACTGTATCTACATTGTTTCATTCACCAGTCATTTTAGAAGAAAAGTACTTTTATTACCCCCATTTTACAATAACCGAGAGAAAGCAAAATTAATTTGATCTAAGGTCAAATATGATCTAAGACTAACTAGTGAGGGGCAGAACTTTTTCTCCAGGCTTTGGGCTTCAGATCTGGGCTCTTCACCACCACAGATGAACAAGTGGATAAATGAGGACTTCTTTTCATTCCGTGGCTGAAGAAGTGACATGGAAGAGTCTACCATTCATTTTACAGATACAATTATGTATCTGTAATACATAATACATAATTATGTATCTGTAATACATAAAATTACAGTAAGTCCTAACTCACTGATGTTTCTAACTTCTGAATCATCTTTTTCTTCTTCTTTCTTTCTTGCAATCCTAAAACCGTCAGAGAAACTGTTTTGAACTCATATTGAAGTGTAACCCATCCAAGCACTGGGTGTTTTATGGGAAAGAGAATAAACCTTTTGTTTGGTTCTTACTTCTTACCACCCATTCATTTGTAACTATACAAATATCAAGCACCTACTGTGTGCTAGGAACCTTTTTTTAGGCACTAGAGAGACAGAAGTAAACAACAAAAAAATAGTGAGACCTTTACATACACTAGTTCTCCTGCTCGTCACAATAACTATATGAGGTAATGATGACAACAATAATAGTTAACTCTTAACAGTGCTTATCTGTGCGGGGCACTGGGCTACCTGCTTAATTTGTATTAACTCATTACAATAAGCTTGTGGGGTAAGGGATATGTTTTCCCCATTTTACAGATGAGTAAAGACACAGAGCAGGAAGTGATTTGCTCAAGCTTGGAACCCAGGCAGTGTGGCTCTAATTCCCAGTCTATTAACTACAGGGCAATATTTTGTTTCTTAAATTTATATCTTCATATCACAACTTTTAGGTTGAGGAGTCTTATCCCCATCCAGATCATCTGACTCCCAAATCCAGAGGTTTGCACCTGCACCCCAGCGGCCTCGCGAAATAAATGAGAATGTCTTGGAATTTTTGCCAATACTTTCTCTTCCAAAGAACTCAAACTGATTTCCACGTAATTCTCACTGATTTGTGAAATGAACCTTCCTGGACTGTAAATTTCCCCGCAAAGAGAGGGCCAGGGCCCCGGGTCGTTTTATACTGGCCGGGGCACCCAGCAGATGGCGCTATGTTAGTGGCCACCAGCTGGCTGCCCCGTCCCCCGAGCTCACCGCCTCCGCCGAAAGCTTCCCGGCCCTCCCTCGCTCACTTCTCTCTCCCCCTCCCAACCGAGCCCGGGCCCACGTGACCTCAAGGCGGCCAATGGGTGAGCAGAGAGGGCGAGCTGGTCCCTGTGGCCGCCATTAAAGCGAAGGGAAAACCCGTGAATTCGGATTAAAGGGGGAAAAACACCGCCCGCTGGGCCCACAAAATGGGGGAGACTACGGCGTCCAGCCGGTGAGGCCACAGGAGGGCAAACTTTAGGCCGGCTTGGCCCAGGAACGACACGAAGACAGAGCCAGAGAATGGTCTGAGCCCGCAGACGCCGCCACCACCTCCGCCGCTGAGGAGACTCTGGGCTTAAGGACATCGCCGCTGCCGCGCCGGGGGCCTGGGCTTCTCTCCCGGTTCTCGCCCTTCCCGCTCCTGTGCGGGCGCCTCTCCGCCCGGGAGAACCGTCCTGGGCTTGGGCTCTGCCGTCTCGGACTTGATTTTGATTATTTATTGTGTAATTTATTATTTTTCTTGTGGTAGGGGCACACATCCCCTCCGTCCCCCAGAGAGGGACGAGCGTCTGCGGGATCCGCAGTCCGGCCCGCCAGGCGAGCGCGGCGCGGCCCTCCCGCCTCCGGCCCTCGGCCCCGGGCGGCTGGGTGCCGGCCGGGCGGCGGGGGCTGCTCGCGGCGGCGGCGGCGGCGGCGGCGGCGGGGGGGTGGGTGGGGAGGGCGGGCGCCCGGCGGCCTCCTCTTCCACCGCCCCCCCAACCACTACCCCCCCCCCGGCCCTCCCCGGTGTCTGTGTTTCTCTCTCTGGTCGGAGGCGGCGGTAATGGCGGATGGTGGGTTGTGGCGCCGGCGGCGGCTGCTGTGAGGGACGATGAGTGCCTCCTTCGTGCCGAACGGGGCCAGCCTGGAAGATTGTCACTGTAACCTCTTCTGCCTGGTGAGTGCCGGGGCCGGCGGGCGCCGAGGGAGGGGGGCCGCGAGGTGCGCCCTTGGGCCGTGGGGGAGGGGGCCGGGTCTGGTCCAGATGCCCGAGTTCCCGGGCGAGGCCCAGCCGGAGCCGGCGCCCTGCGAAGCTCCGCGGCCAGCCCCGGGAGGCGGCGTTCGCTCTCCTACGGTCCCGGGCTCTGTTTAGGGGAGTGTTGGCATTTTTTCTCGTCTTGTTTCGGACTCTCCTTCTCACCGTAGTCTCGTCCTCAACTTGAGCTCCTTATCTGGCAGGACAGTAACCTTTCCCTCTTGTCTTGCTTAACTGTTGCTTTTCTCCTTATTGGCCCTGTATCCCTGCTTCACACTTTACATTATTGCCCCTGCTCCCCACCGCCTTTATGTCTTACCCTTTTAATTTGGTTTCCCCATGTAAACAGGACCCCAGAACTTAAGCCCTAGAAACCTGTCTTGGTTTTACATTTTTTTTGTATGAGTCAAACTAACGCCAGGTTAGTTTCTTTCTTGGGTGACTTAAGATCTCTCTGTAAAAGCCAGTAGGTGCCATTTCATATGTTTTCTTTTTAAACTTTGAAAACAGTTTGCCATTTTTGACAATTTCTAGCCATCTTGCTTTTATTAGAACATGATGTTTTTGTGAGAGTGAAGGGGGCTAGTGGACGAGGTGCTGTGGTTTTGCACTGTTTCTATATTTATTGTGTTTTGGTTGCTTTTTCAGAATGTTTTGAGCAGGCTGCTCCCTTGTTTGATTGAAATGGAAAGTCGAGAGAAGCGGGATGTAGGGATGATCATTGTGTAGGTTAGCCCAGGTCTGGTAACATCCAACAGTTAAGGCTTTCAGAAGTACCAACTGTTGCAAATAACTTGTCCTGTATGGGACAGTAGCTGAGCTTCATCAATGACTTTAAGTTTGGGTGACTTTACTTTTTCATTTTCTCCTTTGTGCTATGAGAAATATTAAGAGTATATGATAGGTAAGTGAGTTAAGTGGGAGGAGCACAACTAGTTGGCAAGTGTAAACTGCCAGTCATGTATCAGCAGTTTCATTTTTGGCACCTTATGCTTTGCTCCTTTAAGTTAGATTAAATTACTGAATTCCTCTTGTCGAATTTCTTAACGCCCATGCTAAATTGAGATCTTTAATACTCTATCCTCGTCTACAGTATGTTTTTCTTTTCAATGTCCATTAATCAGCATCTCTTCACATGTAATAAGACATACACCAGGTTTTATATTTCTATCTTATCCAACTCAGTCTATTTTTGGTACTTTTAGGATCAGTTCTTTGAAGATAGACTAGCACAAATCTGACAGTTCTTTGTGAGTAGCTATTTGACTTTTCCGACAGGGGTGTGTGTGAAGAATTAACATAGATTTTTTCAGAACTTGTTCAGATGTCTTTTCATTAGAGACGTTACTTCTGTAAATGTGGAATAAAAACCCATGATAGGGTCTTTAATAATTGATTTTCAGTTAAAAGTTTGACACCAGTGAACAAATGTGACCAGTTAGGACAGAGAAAAATGTACTCTGTTTGCATATTGAAGTGTGTGTCTATATTTAACATCATTCAGTTTCTTCTGTTTCTACTTGGAGTACATATTTGCTTGCTATTCAGTGACATGGTGGTGGTAATTTTTAACTGTATTCTTCTCCCTAAAATTCTTGGTTGTTGAATTATAAAGTCTTTTTTTGTTCTAATTTGCAGTCAATATCTCAAGCATACATTGAAAAATTGTAATGTCTTAATGAAATAAGAGACATCATATTGAGTACTTTTGACTTTGAGTGAATATGCAGTAATAAAACTTAATGCTTTCTTTCCTTCAGGCTGACTTGACAGGAATTAAGTGGAAAAAATATGTATGGCAAGGCCCAACTTCTGCCCCTATTCTGTTTCCTGTGACAGAAGAAGACCCCATTTTGAGCAGTTTTAGTCGCTGCCTTAAGGCAGATGTACTTGGTGTTTGGCGGCGAGATCAAAGACCTGGAAGAAGAGAATTGTGGATATTTTGGTGGGGTGAAGACCCCAGTTTTGCTGACCTTATTCACCATGACTTATCAGGTGAAAGAAACTTTCCATTTCTAACTAATGATATAGCAACATTGTATACTTCTCCCAGAATGTCATATGTATTACAAATTAAGTTTGTTTTTGTGGGAGACTTAGGAGGCCAGATAAAAATTCAGCTTCATTGTTTTATTTCACCATGATTATTTTATTTTACTTAAATTATCCATGTTGTTATAGCTGGGTTTTTAAGGCGTGAATGACTTTCTCCTTCCACCACCTCTCTTCTTAATTTCTCACAGGTAGTTAGGGCCCGAAGAAGGCATGTTACATTAATCTAAAAAAATGGAATCAGGAAACAGAGTTCCTAACAAAGTCGTGTAATAGTTTAGAAGCCAGATGTAACTTTTGAGTCACTTCAGCCACTGCTGAAGTTGAGTCTTTTGCATTGAATAGGCAGATGATTCTAAAAGTACTGGAAATGTAACTATCCGTGTGTGTGTGTGTGTGTGTGTGTGTGGTGTGTGTGTGTGTGTGTGTGTTTTAAGGCATGTATTTTGTTATTGTCATTTGTGCTATTTGATTAACTTATGAAGGCATATGTTAATTTAGTTATTTTTGGAAAGTGACTCATATACTGTTCTGTCAAACATAATAAGAGAAAAGTGCCAACTTGTTTAGCTTTTATGGGACATGGGATCATAATCTAAAAGGTTACACAAACAATTTTATTGTGAGCAAATCAATGTGATTACTTCCTTATTTTCTTGACTTTTAGGACCAAATGCTACTTTAGAAAGAGAAACTATAGCTTTTCATATAATTACTGAAGCTTTAAATTGTGAAAGTCAGTATTAACTGAATCTTAGATAATAGGAATATAAATGATTGGTTGTATGCTATAAGGTTCCAAAGACTTCAGTAAGATAGTTTGATAATGATTTTTGACAGATAAACTTAGGATTTCTAGATAATTTTTTTTAAGTTCTTATTTGAAATTGAGTACTCTGAAGTTTTTGTTATTGTATCTCTGACCTATAGGATCTATTTTATTTTTGGATAGAATGTATTCTAGGTGTCTGTATCTTGAACTGGTACTTAGTAAGACCAACATTTATGTAGGAATGTACGTGTTACATTTGTATGTTTTGATAATTGCTTTTCACATTCTAATGAACATACTCTCCAGTGTTAATTGTTATTTTTGAGAGTGACTGCAATTCTTCAAGAAAGCTTTCCAGCTTTTGTAGTTTTTCTAATAAGATGCCTGCTGCAGAGTCCAGTCCTTAGTTGTGTGTATTTAATGTAGTTCTAAATGTGTAAAGTGATGTGTATATGTATATACATATATGTACATATACATGATGTATGTATATATGGTAGTTTTAGCGAGACAATACTTTCTAATTATGCCAAAAGCTAAGTCCGCCAGCCTCCTTTTTCTTTCATTGTTTTGGATATAGTATTTGAGTTATTTTAATCGTTAAGTGGTCATAAAAATCACCTTACTAGAATGTTTGGAGACTGTATAACATTGTTGAAAAACTATAAACTATTGATAAAATATATTTGTTGATAAAACATAATTATTGATAAAACTATAATGGTGACTTAGGGGCTTTGGTCTTCTTAATAAAGTTGGCAGAGCATCTAAACAGACTAAACAGATCTTTTTTTAAGATTCCATGAAATACACTTTGTAGAATCAAAGATAATTTTAAGAGATACATAATGTTTAATTTTTTTTTTCTTTTTTTCTTTTTAAGTAGAGATGGGGTCTTGCTGTGTTGACCAGGCTGGTCTTGAACTCCTGAACTCTAGTGATCCTTCCATCTTAACCTCCCAAAGTGCTGGGATTACAAGTGTGAGCCCCTGCACCTGGCCTAGTTTTACCGTAATAGAAAAAATATTGTGAAAGTTAAAAGACTATTAAAGTTAGATGTGAGCTGCTTTGATGGATATTGTTAAAAGTCAGTTTTGTCTTCTAGGTTTCATGTTACCAGTCAGATATGTTTTCTCCACTGAAACTAGGTTACAGTCTTAAACATTTTTCTCTAGCTTTGATTTTTAGCGTAATTTTCAAAAATGGTAGTTACTTGTACCTTTAAAATAGTGATCAGCTGGGTGCCATGGCTCACTCACGCCTGTAATCCCAGCACTTTTGGGAGGCTGAGGCAGGCAGATCGCAGGGTCAGGAGATAGAGACCATCCTGGCCAACATGGTGAAACCCCATCTCTACTGAAGACACAAAAATTAGCTGGGCATGGTGGCACGCACCTGTAGTTCCAGCTACTCAGTAGGCTGAGGCAGGAGAATTGCTTGATCCCAGGAGGCGGAGGTTGCAGTGAGCCGAGATCTTGCCACTGCACTCCAGCCTGGGCGACAGAGTGAGACTCTGTCTCAAAAAAAAAAATAGATAGTGATCTTGAACGTGAATGAAAATAATTTTGGGAGGTTGGTTTTTTTTTTTTTTTTGAGACGGAGTCTCATTCTGTCCCGCGGGCTGGAGTGCAGTGGCGTGATCTCGCTCTCTGAGTGCAGTGGAGCTTGCTTGCTGCAAGCTCTGCCTCCTGGGTTCATGCCATACTCCTACTACCTCAGCCTCCTGAGTACCTGGGACTACAGGCGCCCACCACCACGCCCGGCTAATTTTTTGTATTTTTAATAGAGACGGGGTTTCACTGTTAGACAGGATGGTCTCGATCTCCTGAGCTTGTGATCCGCCAGCCTTGGCCTCCCAAACTGCTGGGATTACAGGCAGGAGGTAGGGTTTTAACTGCTGTCAGACTTTACTGAATGCTAATGAATGGTAAATAGCTTTTTTTTTGAGATGGAGTCTTGCTTTGTCGCCCAGGCTGGAGTGCAGTGGCGCAATCTCAGCTCACTGCAACCTCCACCTCCTGGGTTCAAGCGATTCTCCTGTCTCAGCCTCCCGAGTAGCTGGGATTACAGGCACATGCTGCCACACTCGGCTAATTTTTTGTATTTTTAGTAGAGATGGGGTTTCACCGTGTTCGCCAGGCTGGTCTCGAACTCCTGAGCGCAGACAGTCCACCCGCCTCGGCCTCCCAAAGTGCTAGGATTACAGGCGTGAGTCACTGCACCTGGCCGTAAATAACTTAAAAATTTATCAAAGTGAAGTGATTGAAATAATAAACTGAAATACAATTAGGAGTGGTATATGATCATATTTATTGTTCCAAAGCTTGTCCTGTACTGTTTTAGTTTGCATAGTCAGTGTTATTTATATAATATTTTAGCTTTTCTTAAAAATAAAACCTGTTATTTACTTAAGAATGTTGTTACTTAAATCAGACGTATCTTAAAGCATAATAAGGTTTTTTCAGATGGAATATATTTGTCTTGCCCTTTTCTTTGCTCTAGGGACAGCGTCTACCTCCCTCTTGGGGTAATTAGTCTGCCTCTGTCTCTCTAGCTAACCCCTTTTTCATTTCTTCCATCTGTGGCACTCTATTTCCTTCTTCTAAGCTCCCCTGAGAAGAGAGCAGCTGGACAGTACAGGGTAGCATCAGCTGCTGGAGGCAGTCCTGAGTTCCAAGTGGAGGTGTAGCACTGAGGAATGGGGTACCGGAAGGACCCAGGTGGTAACTAAAAAGCTGGTTAATTTAGCTTGAGCCTGCTCTTCACAGGCAGTGTCCTTCTGTTTGGTTCAGCACACACCACATCTTGTTACTGAAGTGTTTTTTATTATGGTGATAATATTGCCCTTGTTTTTCTTGGTAGTGAGGGAAGAGGGAAAGCATTTCTTTTTTCAAAGATTAGAATTCTCAGTTTTTCTTAACTGGAATATTCAGTAACAGAAATACAGAATTGCCTTTGTTTAACCCCCTTAGCTCCTTTGTGTCATGCAGTGTATTTTTAAAAATTAACTAATGAACCAATATTGATACTTTATTATTAACTAAAGTATATATTTGGATTTCCTTTATTTTTTTGCCTAATATGTTTTTCTTTTCTAGGATCTCATTTAAGATACCCCTATTACATTTAATTGTCATGTCTCCTTAGGCTTTGTTAGACTGTGACAGTTTCTCAGACTTTCTTTGGTTTTGATGATTTCGACAGTTCTGAAGAATCTGTTCAGATTCCATAGTGCATTTTAAATTTCATTTTCTCTTATGTCACTTAGCATTTGTTTGGGTTACCTTCCTTTCAAGTTTAGCTGATGTGTAGAAATAGAATGTAAACTTATTTTATTGCTAACTGGCAAAGATCAGTTACAGCAAATCACGTCTGATTTAATACATACTTTAAACCCTCAGTTACTCATTTTGTAGCAGTAAGTCAATACCGTTGAGCAAAGTAATTTGCAAAGGCTGGATGATTTTTGGATCAGGATTTGTGCTAACTAGTATTAGCCAAACTATAACATTCCAGAAGGTTATTTGTTCAAAAAATCTCTTGAATTCCAAAGCCAAACATAGATGATTTTCTTACTTTTTGCTTTATCCTCTATAGGATAATGATTAGTTGAATCGGGGTCGATATGTTTTGATACAAAAAGGATTAGGGAATAAAACTCCTTTGGGGTTACAGCTTTTTTCTTTCTTTCTTTCTTTTTTTTTTTTTTTTTTTTTTGAGATGAAGTCTCGCTCTGTCTCCCAGGCTGGAGTGTAGTGGGGCGATCTTGGCTCACTGCGACCTCCGCCTCCCAGGTTCAAGCGATCCTTCTGCCTCAGCCTCCCGAGTAGTTGGGACTACAGGCATGTGTCATCACGCCTGGCTAATTTTTGTATTTTTGGTAGAGATTTTAATAGGAGTTTCGCCATGTTGGCCAGGCTGGTCTGGAACTCCTGGCCTCAGGTGATCTGCCCGCCTCAGCCTCCCCAAGTGCTGGGATTACAGGCATGAGCCACCATGCCTGGCCCCTTTTTTTTAAAAATTGTATTTTGTAGCTTTGTTTAGTGGTTGTGTGATAGTGGGTGAAAGAGGTATAAAATGGGTGATGGGAAAATCTTAGCTCAGTCCCTCTGGTCAAGAATCTCTGTGGTGGGTAGGACTGGTACTTTTAAGTGTACTGTTAATTTGCTTCAGAGCAAGATTGTATCATTTTCATTAATGTGGTCTTGAAGGAGAGTTTTCTGTGTATTTTTATTCTGTGTTCTAACATTTTTGGAATTCAATTGCTGTCATCATTGGCTTTTATTCTTTCCCTTTAAATAAAAATAAAAGCAAACACTGCGTCCTCTCCCATTTGTCATCTTAAAAAAATCATAGCAAGTTAGACTGTGATGAGACTCTTTGAGAAAACTGATACCTTGTGAACTAAAAAAACTCAGGGCTAAAAATATTTGTTCTTTTTCCTGGCTCCTGAGGTCTGTAAAGTAGATTTTAGTAACATGTTCAGATAGTTTTATTATACCAGAATTTTATCATAATGAATAGTGCTCAAACTAAGTGGACTATTGTTCTGAATTTAATTTTGGATGTTTTAATTGAAGGATATTAACTGTAGTGGACTTTAACCTTAAATGACAGCTGTTAATAGGATTGACAGATAGATAAACAGCCAGGCATAGGAATCTAGTCCCAGCCAAACTAAAACATTGTTGTGTGCCCCACATAGTCTAAAGAGAGTAATTTATTTCTACTATTGTAAAATTTACTTGTGATGTGGCCCGACTCTTTAAATTGGCTAGTCTCCTAGGTGACAACTTCATTTGCTGTATTTCTTCTGCATACTGTTTTTTTGATCAAGTGTATCTTCTAAGTTTTCAAGCCAAACATAACATACTAGGCTGTTTTTAAATCAGTTTTCAAGTTTTGCCATAGATAATGATGCGGCCAACTTAAGGCTCTCGGTATATTTGTTGAATGTATAGGTTATTAATGATTATTCAGGAGAAACACTGATCTAGCATTTAAACATTTCTCTTTATTTCAGGAAATACATGGTATTTTCTACCATGTTAATTTTTGAGCCATTATTCATTAGCATATGTTACATTTTAATAGTTTTGCAAAATTGTATTGGAGAAGATTCATTTTTTACCACCGTGGAGATATTTAAAGATGCCATTTTTTTGAGAAAAATGTTGAGTGCAGGGTGTGTCTGCTTTTTTGGTTGTGATTTTTTTTCCCCATTGATAGAGAATTATTTTGATGACTTATCACATACTTTGGCACTACTGTAATCTGCATCTTCAGGAAAAAAATATGGTAATCAAATTTAGCATTTGTGTTTTCTTCCAATAAATAGTCCATAAAAATTTCAAGAAACACTGATGATTAAGAACTGTAATGCTAATAGTAACAGAAAAGTACTAAGAATGCAGAGTTGAACTTTATTTTCTCTGGACATAGAGCTACAAGAGAAGGAATTTTTTTTTCTTTTTTTTGTAGGGATGGAGGTCACACTTTGTCTCACTCAGCCTGCAGTGCTTAATCATAGCTCACTGCAGCCTCCGACTCCTGGACTCAAGCAATCCTCCCACCTCAGCTTCCCCAGCAGCTGGGCCTACAGGCATTGCCACTATGCCCTACTAACTAAAAAAAGTTTTTTGGAGTCAGGGTCTTCCTGTATTGCCAGGCTAGTCTTGAACTCCTAGCTTCAAGTGATCCTTCTGTCTTAGCTTCCCAAGTAGCTGGGATTACAGGCATGAGTCATTGCACCTGGCTAGAGGAGGAAAATAGTTATATAGATTAAGCAGACTTTTTCTATTAGGCTCTGGTTAAGTTCAAAAGAGATAGGTAAAGATTTGCCATATGTTCCCTTCTCCTTCCCCTCCCTATTATAATGCTGGTGTTGAGATTCAAGAACTTGTTTCAATTAGTGTAAATAGTGCATATCACTATGCCTTGAGTGGGTTGGTTGTACCATTTCACTTTTCGTATCTGAATACAACGTGTAGAAAGTACTTTTATTACAGTTATTAGATTGTCAGGATATTAGAAACTTGGCTCAGTAGGCTTCTTGTTTCTAAGTGATTCCCAACAAAACCAAAAACCTTCAGACTTTATTGAGCGTTATTAGGACTTACTCTCGTTTTTCTCAGCAACAAAATATGAAATTATATTACTTTAGTGTAATGGTTGCTTAGTTGCTTGCCATATAGATGAGGACATACTTCAGAGATACGTTGGATTTAGAAAACCTCAACAGGTGGTCTCTACTTGTTTGTTTTATGCATAGCTCCTATTTAGTGTTAATGAGAATTGTGGGCACTGGGGACATAAGATGCCCACCCCCTCTGAAAGCATTAGAATAATGAGGGAGAAATGCTTCAAGATTAATACTGATTACTTTTCTAAACCACATTCAATATTCTTTTTTTTTTTGAGATGGAGTCTTGCTCTGTCACCAGGCTGGAGTGCAGTGGCGTGATCTCGGTTTACTGCAGCCTCTGCCACCCAGTTCAAGTGATTCTCCTGCCTCAGCCTCCCGGATAGCTGGGACTACAGGTGCATGCCATCTCGCCCAGCTAAGTTTTGTATTTTTAGTAGAGATGGGGTTTCACTATGTTGGCCAGGCTGGTCTTGAACTCCTGACCTCAGATGATCCACCTGCCTCGACCTCCCAAAGTGCTGGGATTATAGGCATGAGCCACCGCACATGGCCTCACATTAAATATTCTTAAATCATTTGACTGCAAGTTTAACTAAAATAGATTTTACAAAATAAAACCATAAAATTTTCAGAATTTCATGTGAAAATTTATAAATTGTGCTTTAGCTTTTACTATTGCAAAGGTTTTTTTTTTTGTTTTTTTGAGTCAGAGTCTCGCTATGTCGCCCACAGTGGAGTGCAGTGGTGTGATCTCAGCTCACTGCAACTCCCATCTCTTGGGCTCAGGTGATTCTCATGCCTCAGCCTCCTGAGTAGCTGGGACTACAGCCGTGCCATGCATGGCTAATTTTTATATTTTTAGTAGAAATGGGGTTTTGCCATGTTGGCCAGGCTGGTCTCGAACTCCTGGCCTCAAGTGGTCCACTTGCCTTGGCCTCCTGAAGTGCTGGGATTACAGGCATGAGCCACCACACCTGGCCTCAGCCTCCCGGATAGCAGGCGTGAGCCACCACACCTGGCTTCAGCCTCCCAGAAAGCAGATTTTTTTATTTACTATTTTTGCGAAGGAGACAAAGTCATTTTCTAGTTTTAAATGACTAATTTATTTGAAGTTTATAACAACTGTACAACCTTGATACTTACAAATGGTAACTGTGTCTTGGGTCTTTGATGCTTTAAAACTTAGGAGAAATATGTTGGTAGTGGTTTCTTATGTAGAACAAGTGTTACAACCATCAGAAGGTAGGGATTTTTGAAATAAAAGGTAATAAAAATAAAAGATACTAAATTGATTGTAAAGAGGTGAAGAATTGGAAGATATTCCTAACATAATTCTGTTGGAATTAAGAACATGTATATTCTAGTAGTCATAAGTCTCATAATTTGAGGTAAAAGTCTTAATGTAGCTATTTAATTTTGAAATGGTAGGACCTCATTAAATTGAAAGCAGATCAATTGAGATTCTTTTCTCTTTTTTTGTCATCAACTCACAAATATGCTTGTGATCTAGACCTTTAATTAATTAAAGTGAAGTCACTTTGTGCTGCTTCTCTATTCTCCTAGCCTAATACTTTCTTTAATGAAGTGAAACCCATAAACGTTTTGGTTTTAAATGGAAGTAGATAACGGTGTCTTTGATATAATAGAATGTGAATTTTTCCTATTTAATATTTATGATTAATATTAGACTTAAAAAATTATTCTATACCAATTCTGAAATATTGTCATTTTCTCAAGCTTATTCTACTTTTTTTTCCCTAAGCTTACCTTTTTTTTTGTTTGTTTGTTTTTTTGGAGACTGAATCTCACTCTGTCCCAGGCTGGAGTGCAGTGGCACGATCTTGGCTCACTGTAATCTCTCCCTCTTGGGTGATTCTCCCACCTCAGCCTCCCGAGTAGCTGGGATTACAGGGCTGCACTATGACGCCTGGCTAATTTTTGTATTTTTAGTAGAGATGGGCTTTCATCATGTTGGCGAGGCTGGTCTTGAACTCCTGACCTCAGGTGATCCGCCCACCTCAGCCTCCCAAAGTGCTAGGATTACAGGCGTGAGTAACTGCGCCCAGCCTAAAGCTTATTTAAAATAAAATTTAAAAAAAAATTAGTTGCTTTGAAAGACTTGACTATCATTTAGGAGAAAATATAAAACCAACATTAATCTTTGTAGTGGCACAGAATTTCTAGTGCAGTTAAAGTCCACTATCATACTTTTTAGTTAATGTTTATTCTACCCATTTGTTGTATAAATTGTGCATATAAACCATGTGTAACTCTTAATACATGTCTTTGCTTTTATTCAGAAGCTCATATTGTGTCTGTTTTTCTGTGGGTATAGTGTATGCATTTTTGGTGTTGAATTGAGAAACGTTTGTCTTTTATTTTTACTTAAACATTGAACACAGATGACCCATATTTACAAAATGTTTATAAAGGTATATAGGCTATAGAAGGAGAGTTAATTATATTTAGACTAAGCAATTTAAAATCTTGTAATGAAAGTTAGAGTGCTGAAGTGGTATCATTATTTGTAGCACGATTTGTTGGATGCTTTGTGACAGATATGAAATGGATAGAGTACACAAAAAAATTTTTCTGACCTACATCCAGACTTATCTCAAAATGACTGTGTTAATGTTTTTTTGGTAAATTAACTTGGAGTGATTAATAGATTTGTTGGCAAAATTGAAGCTATATAGTTAGTGAAGATAGCTATAATTTTATTTGACAGAAGTGCCATTTACAATTTAAGTCTTTAAATTTTTAAATTTCTCCCCCAAGTAAAGGGTCCTGTACTGAATAATAATCATGGGAATAATTTGTTTGAAATGAGACCTAAGGTGGCTGATAGTGCACCGCTTGTTAGGCTCTGTGCCAACAGCTTCCTTTTTATTCATCACTTAGTGTTGTAGTGGAGTCGTGGATTAGAATGCTGATGGACATGAAATGTTTTGACTTTAATTATTAACTGGCTAGTTTTTTTGGCAGGTTGAATGACTAGGGGAATTAGGACAAAGTAACAAGTGAGCCAGCTTAGAAATTGGCATCATAGGTGTAGAGTGTGTTTAATATTTTCCAGGTTATACAAACAAGTGTCCTTTTCATTAATACAGGAACCAATTCAGTATGTTCATGATGTCATTGAATTTTATAAGGTGGAAAAATACTTTTCAGGTAATTTAATAGAATATGTGGCACTTAGACCTTTTATTCCTTGTGGAGTAACTTTGAAACCTGATAATGTCTAGAGATACATTGAAGTGATTGTAGCTTAATATTCTGGGGTAAGCTAGTGTTGATGAATATAGAGTTTAAACTGTAACCTTTTTTACTTGGCTCTGAATAGATTATAGTGTCACTATTTTATTATTTCCTTCATTTCTCTTTTAGAAGAAGAAGATGGAGTGTGGGAGAATGGACTTTCCTATGAATGCCGTACTCTGCTTTTCAAAGCAGTTCACAATCTATTGGAACGGTGTTTAATGAACAGGAATTTTGTACGTATTGGCAAGTGGTTTGTAAAGCCTTATGAAAAAGATGAAAAACCTATAAATAAAAGGTAAGCTATCTTAAATTCTGACGTGATATTTCTTTAGATTTGTTCCTTTTTGTGTCTTAACAGAGAATGTGGGATAAAACAAGCTAATATACAGACATATTCCAGAGGTTGTCAGTGACAGAGTACTAGATACAGTCAGGTTTTTTTTTTTTTTAAACCACTTTACAAACTTCCCTTTATACACTTTAAGCATTTTCTTACTGTAGGAATAGGCTGTATTTTAATACAGTGGCCTAAATTTTGATTTGTGATGATAGACTTAATGTGGGATGAAAGCAGAGACTTAGGCTTGGAAGTATCTTTTTTTTAGTATTTGTGGAAATATATGCACAGCACTCTGATATTAAAATTAAGTAACAACACCTGTTAAGGATAGTGATCTGTGAGTATGTTTTGGATCAAGTTAACCCTTCTTATTCCCAATCTCTCAATTCCCTTTAATTAAAGTAATTTAAATTTGTGTTTTCTATATAAGACCATTTACTCTTTGAGAGCTTATAATTTTCTTGAGCAATGAATTAAGCAAATTTATGACACTACTTATTAGACTAGTTGCAGATAGAGGCACAGAAGACTTATGATAGATACCTCCTTCTCCTATGCAATTAAAACCTTCAGGTTACTCGCTTCTCCGTGATTTAGATAATATAAGGCATAGTCTCTCAAAAGATTTAAGTTCCCAGCAGTCATTGAGTTAGTGAGACTTCAAGAGAGATGAACCAGTGGCAAGTAAGTTGGGATGTGGGGAAGAGAAAACTAAAGGGAACTTACTAATTTTTCCTGAAAGATGTGAGAGGATGTGAAGTGAACATTTGGTTGAGATTGTAATCATTTTGAGGTCTTTGATGTCATATATGCACATCTTTTTTCATGTGCACCTGGAGTTTTTGTTTGTTTGTTTTTTCAAACTTTTTAGTTTTAGTAAGACTGGATGAGTAGATAAGCCTGGATAAATAAAGGTGCTTTCATTTTTTTTCCTCTTTGAAAATTAACGTAAACCTTTATTGTTAACAAAATACTTGTGTAAGTTCAGAATGCATTCAGCTGGAAATGACAGAACAACATTAACTACTTGGCTTATGTAGGGATTGATTTTTCTCAGTAGCAAGCAGTATGGAGGTCGATAGTTTAGTACTGGTATAGCTGTTCAATAATGTCATCAAGGATTCAAAGTTCCCCAGAGTTTTCTCTGTGCCATTTTTACATCTTCATGGTCCTCCCGTGTGTTGCACCTCCAGACCTCACAGTGGATTCCAGGCAGGAAGAGAAAGGAAGGGAGGAAGTAAGGAAGGTGTGGCACCTGAGTCAGAAAGTAAATTATTTTCTGGAAACTTTAGTTGACATATCTTTGGCCATACTAAGAGAAACAAATATCTTTTATTTGGAAACAGCTGCTCTGAACAAATGAAGTTTTTGTTAGTAAGAAGAAAGGGCTGATAGATATTAGATAGATACCAAAGATCAAAGAAGTGGAAATGGATATTGGGTAGGCAGTTAACAATATCTGCCATATACATTTATTTATTTATTTTGAGACAAAGTCTCACTCTGTTGCCCAGGCTGGAGTGCAGTGGTGCAATCTCAGCTCACTGCAACCTCTGCTTCCCAGGTTCAAGTGATTCTCCTGCCTCAGTCTCCCAAGTAGCTGGGATTATAGGCGTGTGCCACCACACCTGGCTAATTTTGTGTATTTTTAGTAGAAACGGGGTTTTGCCATGTTGCCCAGGCTTGTCTTGAACTCCTGAGCTCAGGCAATCCACCCGCCTCGGCCTCCTAAAGTGCTGGGATTACAGGCGTGAGCCACTGCTCCCAGCCAGGCATATAGATTTATGTAGTTTTAAGAAGTCAAACAGATTACCAAGATTTAAAATGAAAGGCTGCAATCCTGAGCCCCAATGAATAGATTTGCTCCTCAGAAGCAGCCCTTTTTAATTCTTCTGTTTCTTTTAAGTTACCTGTTTAAAAATTTTGAAAGACATAACATGCTTATTCTTGAGTTATCATTTAGGATTAATCTAGTGGACTTTTTTTTTTTTTGGTCACAACAGCCTACCATTGAAATTCTATTGACTTTCTATTGAGAGGTTAGCTATCTTACTTCCCCCGACTCAACACTTGGATATTGGCACTTTTGCACACACTTCTTTTCCCTCTCCTTTTCCTTTTTTTTTTTTTTCTGATACGGAGTTTCACTCTTGTTGCCCAGGCTGGAGCGCAATGGTATGATCTCGGCTCACTGCAACCTCTGCCTCCCAGGTTCAAGTGATTCTCCTGCCTCAGCCTCCTGAGTAGCTGGGATTACAGGCGTCTGCCATCATACCCAGCTAATTTTTGTGTTTTTAGTAGAGACAGGTTTCGCCATGTTGGCTAGGCTGGTCTTGAACTCTTGACCTCAAGTGATCCACTCACCTTGACCTCCCAAAGTGCTGGGATTACAGGCATGAGCCGCTGCACCTGGCTTCCTCTCCCTTTCCTTATCTTGCCAATATAGTTATAAGTTTTGGTAAAAACAATATTTGTTTATACTCTTATAATTTTATAAATATTATTTGTAACTGAGCCATAGTATATTGAAACACATTTCATTTCATTCTTTTTTTTTTTTTGGAGACAGAGCCTCACTCTGTCACCCAGGCTGGAGTGCAGTGGCGCGATCTCAGCTCACTGCAAGCTCTGCCTCCCTGGTTCACGCCATTCTCCTGCCTCAGCCTCCCGAGTAGCTGGGACTACAGGTGCCCGCCACCACGCCCAGCTAATTTTTTGTATTTTTAGTAGAGATGGGGTTTCACCATGTAGCCAGGATGGTCTCGATCTCCTGACCTTGTGATCCGCCCACCTCGGCCTCCCCAAGTGCTGGGATTACAGGCGTGAGCCACGGCGCCCAGCCTTCACATTTCATTTCTTGTACATCGTTTTGTTTTCCCAGGTGTTAATGATTATCCCTTTTTTTCACTTAATTATTAATGTTATGAGTTAGTAAACACCTGCCTGTACTCTGCCACTTTTTTTGTAAATAAAGTTTTGTTGTAACACAGCCATGCTCATTCATTGATAGATTGTTTTATGCCTGCTTTCACACTAGAGCAGAGTTAAATAGTTATGATAGAGACAGATGGCTTGCAAAGCTGAAAATACTTAGCCTGAAATATTTTCTAGCTGACTTTTTGTAGTTTGCTGACTCCTGATCTGTGTACCTGTTGGTAGTTCATCAGTAGACTATCTATTAGAAGTATAAATCACTTCTCCCTACCTTCAAGGACTTTGTATAATCTTATGAGTTTCCCTTTTTTTCTCCTCTTGTTAATTAATATCCCTGTTGTTACCCTTCATTCTTCTTTTCCGATTTGGATTAGTAGTTCTGTAGTCCTGTTTCACAGTAGTCATCTTGGGGATTCTCTTTGCTTTTCCCTTCTTGTTGGATCCCTCATTTCTCATTTCTCCTTTTTTTTTTTTTTTTTGTCTTATTTACTGTTATGGTGGTGCCCAACCTGAGAGTAGTTTCCTGAGAGTGCAAGGATGGTGATACTTTTGAGATCCTCTGTGTTGGAATTCTGAGTCAAACCGCAGAATTGCAGGCTCTTAAGTTTCTTTCTTTTCTATCCTTATAATTGATAGTTTTGACTGGGTATAGAATCTTTGATTAGCAACCCTCTTAGACTTCTGGGTACTAAAATGCTAACTGGAGGTTCTGTGTATGTGAGTAGCTTATGACATTGCAGGCTTTACTAGAGTGAATGATCTGGGGACTTGACTCTTTTTATTGGGTGCCTGTCACCCACCTGCCAGTATTTGTACGCTCTGTCACCTGCTTAAGTAGTTTTCCCAGAGGAGACTTTCAGTACTCTGACTAGAGGGTATAAGCTGGGCTGCCAGTGTTTAGTGAACCTATTGGGGAAAGGAGGTTTGGAGGTGGGGCTCACTTACATAGTGGTTAAATTTTCACTTAATCTTTTAAATACATCATCTCAGCTGTATCTGAATATCTCTAATTCTGAGTCCCTCTGTTTCAACCATTTCAAAGAGTGGACCTCTTAAGTTTTTCACTGATCTGGAAGAAAGTGGAGAGGCTCTAATATCTTTGAACTTTCATTCCTTCTGCTTTCTTTTTCTTTCCTTTTTTTTTTTTTTTTTTTTTTTTGAAACAGTCTCACTCTGTCAGGCTGGAGTACAGTGGTGCAATCTTGGCTCACTTCAACCTCCACCTCCCAGGTTCAAGCGGTTCTCATGCCTCAGCCTCCCAAGTAGCTGGGACCACAGACACTAGCCACCACGACTGGCTAATTTTTGTATTTTTAAGGAGACGGGGTTTCGCCATGTTGGCTAGGCTGGTCTTGATCTCCTGGCCTCAAGTGTTCTGCCCACCTCAGCCTCCCAAAGTGCTGGGATTACAGGTGTGAGCCACTGTGTCCAGCCCCTTCTCTTTTCAGTTACACCTATATATCCACCTTCAGGGATATATATATACATATATACATATATATATATATATATATGTATATGTATATGTATATGTATATATGTATATATACCAGTACCTTCAACTTCTGAGCCTTTCTGGGATTCTGTGGTTTGACTCAGTTTATAACTTTGTAAGTTTAACCACTGCACCCGGCTTTCTTTATGAAAAACTCTTAAAAGGCTATTGATAATTGAAAATATAGGCTCACACCTGTAATCCACCACTAAGGGGCCGAGGTGGGAGGATGGCTTGAGACCAGGAGTTTGAGAGCAGCCTGGGAAACATAGCTAGACCCCCGTCTCTCTCTCTCTCTCTCTTTTTTAATGATCTTATTTTATTTATTTATTTGTTTGTTTATTTTTACTTTAAGTTCTGCAATACATGTGCAGAACGTGCAGGTTTGTTAATAGATACATAAGTGCCGTGGTGGTTTGCTGCACCTATCAGCCCGTCATCTGGGTTTTAAGCCCCATATGCATTAGGTATTTGTCCTTATGCTCTCCCTCTCCATGCTCCCTATCCCCTAACAGGCCCCAGTCTGTGATGTTCCCCTCCCTGTGTCCATGTGTTCTCACTGTTCAACTCCCACTTTTGAGTGAGAACATACAGTGTTTGGTTTTCTGTTCTTGTGTTAGTTTGCTGAGGATGATGGTTTCCAGCTTCATCCATGTCCCTGCAAAGGACATAAACTCATTCTTTTTGTTTTTGAGATGAAGTCTTGCTCTATCGCCCAGGGTGGAGTACAGTGGCATGATTTCAGCTCACTGCAACCTCCACCTCCTGGATTCAAGCAATTCTCCTGCCTTAGCCTCCCGAGTAGCTGGGATTATAGGCACCCACCAGCACGCCCGGCTAATTTTTGTATTTTTAGTAGAGACGGGGTTTCACCATGTTAGCCAGACTGGTCTCGAACTCCTGACCTCAGGTAATCCGCCCATGTCGGCCTCCCAAAGGCCTGGGATTACAGGCGTGAGCCACCATGCCCAGCCGAACTCATTCTTTTTTTATGGCTGCAGACCCCCGTCTCTTTAAAAAAAAAAAAAAGCTGGGCACAGTGGCACACACTCTGAAGTGGGACTTCAGAGTCCCAGCTACTCTGAAGACTGAGGTGGGAGGATCACTTGAGCTCAGAAGATTGAGGCTGCATTGAGTTAGGATTGTGCTGTTGTACTCCAGCCTGGGCAACAGAGCAAGACCCTGTCTTAAAAAAAAAAAATTGAAATTATAACTTTTTTTTTTTGAGATAAGGTCTCTTATTTTGTCACCCAGGCTGGAGTGCAGTGGCACAATCATGGCTCATTGCAGCCCAAACTGCCAGGCTCAAGTAGTCCTCACACCTCAGCCTCCCATGTAGCTGGGACCACAGGTGCACGCTACCAAGGCTGGTTAATTTTTGTAGATTTTGTAGAGACAAGATATCACCATGTTGCCTAGGCTGGTCTTGAACTGAGCTCAAGCTACCCACCATCTTTGGCCTCGCAAAGTGCTAGGATTACAGGCATGAGCCAGTGTACCTGGCCAAAAATACAACTTTTAATTGGATATTTTCATGAATCCAACAGATGCTGCTTGTTATTTAACCATGTAATTGAGCACTAGTGTTTTTCCATGGGCTGACCCATTTAGGAGGGGAACTAAATTAAGATTGTATTTTATTAGTGAAGTGTTACCAGAAATAGTATATGCTCTTTCGAGTTACTCTTGAACCATAGTTGTGGTATAATAACTGACTTTATTCTGGAAAGATAAATGCTGCTCCTCAAATCTCTTTTTTACAGGAACTTTCTTACCCTTTTTCCTTCTTTGGAAAAGCAAGTAGGACAAAAATCAAGCAGCTAAGTCTATCTTTAAGTTATTACTTCGGACTTCTTTTCTGTTGAATTCAGTGGAATGATATAGGGAAGGTAGATAAAGATTGATTATAAATTAATGCATTTCTAGACCATTCTGAAACATAAGTATTATATAGACTGTTTTTGTTGACTAATCAATTCACTTTTGGTATAAGTATTCTGAAAAAAGAACAAGAGTTGTAAAGAAAGAAAATTTATGATGTGAAACTACTTTGACCTGAACAAAGGAGAAAATAATATTGCTTACCTTTTTATCTTCTTTTTCCTTTCTTTAAAATTTTTAAAGAAAAAAATCTCATTTTCTGATAATCTGGACCTACATGTAGTTGTGTGTTTAACAGTCTTTAGGGACTGAAAGAGAGGAAATAGAATCAAATTCTAGGGATACAGCTAGGTTACCTGTAAAGAATCCCGCAAGTGTAAGAGTAACCACAGGAACAAACCAGTCTTCAGATAATTGGTTTAAAGAATGATGACCAGTGTTTTCTTGAATAGTTTAGGTGTTTTCCTACATTGCTGGGGACTGGATCACATGACAGGCATTGAGTTTTCTAGTGAGCCCACAAGCAAATGGGTTGTAGTAAGTACCACTGACTTAATGTAGGTTTTAGTCTCTTCTATAAAAGATATTCTGAACTTGCCATGTTTGAGAGTGCATTTGAAAAAGATTATCTTGAATAAGAACTTTTTTTTTTTTTAAATAGAGACAGGGTCTTGCTCTGTGCCCAAGATGGATGGCAGTAGCGCAATCATAACTCATTGCAGCCACAAACTTCTGGGCCTAATTGGTTCTCCCACCTCAGCCTCCAGAGTAGCTGGGACTACAGGCACACACCAACCACGCCTGGCCAAGAACTTTCTTAAGATTGTGTTTGGTTAAGCTTTTTGTCATGTTGAATCTGTTGTAGCCATTTAGCTGAGTGTGCGGTAAAGTTTGTGTATTTAGCAAAAGTTTTAAATGCTTCTAGGAGGGTATACAGAATAGAAACATACTAGTAAAGAATTCTTTTTTTAGACAGCTAGTTCAGTATCTTACGTATATAGTGACATAGGAGGTTTTGTTAAGTGGCAGATGAGATTGTGTATAGGAGGGAAATAGTTAATAGGGAACATGTTTGATTTTAATACATACTTTAATCTTACCCCATTCCCTCAACTATATATAATTGATTTCTATGGAAAAAATATGTTGTTAAATCTTTTTTGATATATTTACTGTATGTAAAATAGTTATCTTTAATTCCAATTTTAAAAGGCAATATAGGCCAGATGTGGTGGCTCATGCCTGTAATCCCAGCACTTTGGGAGGCCAAGGCAGGCAGATCACTTGAGGTCAGGAGTTCGAGACTAGCCTGGCCAACATGGTGAAACCCTGTCTCTACTAAAAGTACAAAAATGAGCCAGGTATGGTGGCATGTGCCTGTAATTCCAGCTACTTGGGAGGCTGAGGCAGGAGAATCACTTAACCCGGGAGGTGGAGGTTGCAGTGAGCAGAGATCGTGCCACTGCACTCCAGCCTGGGTGACAAGAGTGAAACTCCATCTCAAAAAAGGCAATATAGAGTATTACATGTTATATATGTGTGTTTGTATGTCTATATTACATTATGTGTATACATATAGACATGTACATATAGGATATAATAAATCCTTGCTGGATATAACATAAAGAAAATAGGATTAAATATTTGGTTCAATATGTTCTAAGCCTTTGTATTAGAATAATTAGAGCCCTGGAATTAGTAGTAAAAAACTTAGTCCATAGAGAGTGATAAATTTTTGATTTTGTGGGATAAAGCAGTAAAAGTTCACAGGAAGGAAAGGATGGCTGTTGTTAATGGCCATTGTATTGGGCAGTGTAGATGTAGAACATTTTCATCATTGCAGAAAGTTATTTTTTTGGGTGGTATTGCTTACACAAGAACCTTTATATTTATAATTAAAACAGTACTTTTGGTGCTTCAATAAAGAAATTCATCGATTTTTTTTTTTTAAGGAAGTAAATGAAAGAATATGCTTTAAATTTCACCCATAAAGCTGTGTTTATTTTCTGCCATATGTATGGCTTTTACATTATCTCGTGCTCTCCAAAACTGATTAAAAATAGGCACCATGAGATGTAAGTCTCCCCTGAAAATGTATTATTAACCATTAGTAGCGTTAGGATGTCCTTTGGTTAGGTTTCTCACTGTCTCCGAAAAGGCAAATTTCTAGAGAAGCTAGGAGCTATTGCTGTTAGGTTTTTTATGGACTCATTTCCTCTCTTCCTGTCATCTAATGTACTGTCCAGTAGAAGTATAATGTGAGCCACATAGGTAATTTAAAATTTTCTACTAGGCACATTTAAAAAGCTAAAAAAAAACTAAATGTATAGGCAAAATTAATTGTAATATATTTTTTAATTCAGTAAGTCCAAAATAATATCATGTCAGCATATAATTAACTATGCAGAAGGTTTTAATGAAATAGTTTACTTTTTGTACTGCTTTTGAAATTAGGTGTGTGTGCTGTGCTTAGAGTATATCTCAGTTTGGATTGGCCACATTTTAAGTCACCAATAGTTATATGTGTGTATTGGCTATTGTATTTACAACACAGTTCTAGGGGTTTAAGCCCAGTTGAACTTGGTAGTGTTTATTAGTGAAAGGTACCTTCTCTGGTGGTCAGTGAACCCTTCTGGAATTGTATGCTAAATTGTGAGTATGCTTTAGAATCTCAAAGGCAAGAAGAATCCCGTACCTTGTATCAGTCAGGGTATGAACTCTCTGCTAAATTAGGTGTAGTTACTTCAGCAGACTGGATGTGCCTTTTTATTGTTTTCCCTGTAGCCTGTCTATAATGTTTTGTCCTTAATGTCTGTCATCAAGATTATTATGTATCATTTCTGAAATCTTAAATGATGATGTCACTAGAATTTGCATGGTCAATTTTCTACATTTTCATGCTTTCTAGAACGTTTATGAGAAAAATGCTAAGACTTCTCCTATTTTTCCTCCTTGTTGAGGTTTTCTTACAATAATTTTTCTTTCTTTCTTTCTTTCTTTTTTTTTTTTTTTTTTTTTTTTTTTTGGAGACAGGGTCTTGCTTTGTCTCCTAGGCCAGAGTACAGTGGTGTAATCTTGACTCACTCCAACCTCTGCCTCCTGGGCGCAAACAATTCTCCTGCCTCAGCCTCCCAAATACTCAGGACTTAGGAGTACACCACCACACCTGACTAAGTTTTGTAATTTAGGTAGAGATGGGGTTTCTCTGCTGGCCATGTTGACCAGGCTGGTCTCTAACTCCTAGCCTCAAGTGATCCTCCAGCCTCAGCCTCTCAAAGTACTGGGATTACAGGTGTGAGCCACCATGCCCAGCCTTTCTTACCGTAATTTCTTTCTATAATTCTTACTGTAGACTCTTACAAATCTGTCCAAGCTCATACAGCTATCAAGTGTTGGAGCTGCATTTTAGGCATGAAAAATATGAGGTAGATTATGGACCCCTATAGACCGATATGTCTCCTACACATGTATTTTTTTTAAGTTACAGGAAATAGTAAAAACCATAATACTTAAAAACAACAATAAAAAGCAGCATTTTGCAGAACACTTGAAGTGGTAAACCAGAATAATGTTGTTGCTAAGTTTTGTGGGGTTTTTTTGGTTTTTTTTTTTTTTTTTTTTGAGATGAAACCTTGCTCTGTCACCAGGCTGGAGTGCAGTGGCGCAATCTCGGCTCATTGCAACTGCCACCTCCCAGGTTCAAGCGATTCTCCTGCCTCAGCCTCCCGAGTAGCTGGGACTACAGGCGTGTGCCACCATGCCCAGCTAATTTTTATGTTTTTAGTAGAGTCGGGGTTTCACCGTGTTAGCCAGGATGGTCTTGATTTCTTGACCTCATGATCCACCCGCCTTGGCCTCCCAAAGTGTTGGGATTACAGGCATCAGCCCCCGTGCCTGGCCACTTTCTAAGTATTATTTACTGTATAATGTAAGTAATATGTTCACTGAGTGAGCAGAAATATGTACAGGATTCACAGGTAAGATGTTAACTTCTGGATTTTAGTATAGATCTTTTGTTCATGGAGCTATGTTAATAATACCTGATACTGGTATTATACCTGTAAATTTAAAAATTTAAAAGTTACTCTGAAGGCTGTAGAAATACAGATTAATGATTCCCAAACTTGTCTGGATGTGGGAATCACCTGGAGAGCTTACAAAAAATTATTGATGCCTGTGTCTTAACCTGGGACTGTAATCTGGGCTTTGGAAATTTTAGAAGATCCTAATGTAAGACAAGTTTGGAAACTTTTGAATTCACGGAATAAAAATAATCTCAGAATTAAGATGGCTAGGGGAGGCTGGGCACAGTGGCTCATGCTTGTAATCCCTGCACTTTGGGAGGCCAAGACAGGAGGATTGCTTAAGCTCAGGAGTTCAAGACCAGCCTGGACAACATAGTGAGACCTCATCTCTACAAAAAATAAATTCTAAAAATTATCTGGACATAGTGGCTCACACCTGTAGTCCCACCTAACTTCGTTGGCTGAGGCAGGAAAATCGCTTGAGCTCAGGAGGTGGAAGCTGCAGTGAATTCTGATCATGCCACTGCACTCCAGCCTGAGTGACAGAGCAAGGCCCTGTCTCAAAGGAAAAAAAAAAAGATGACTACAGTTTCTTTTTATTGTGGTAAAATGTACGTAACAAAACTTAATAATTTTTCAGTGTACAGTTCAGTGGCATTAAGTACATTCACATTGTTAACCATCACCACTATCTATCTGCAGAACTTTTTCATCATCCCAAACTGAATGTGTACTCATAAAATTTTATGAGTGGCAGCTCTTCAATTTTTCTTTTCTTTTCTTCTGCTTCAGATAACCACCATTCTACTTTGTCTGTCTAGAAACTTGACTATTGCAGGTACCTCATATGAGTGGAATCATGTAGTATTTGTCCTTTTTTGTCTGGGTTATTTCAGTAAGCATAAAATCTTCAAGATTCATTTATGAAGCATGTGATAGAATTCCCCTTATTTTTAAGGCTGAATAGTATTCCGTTGTATGTATATACTACATTTTGTTTATGTATTAATCTGTAAATGGTATTTGGGTTGTTTTCACCTTTTGGCTATTGTGAATAATGCTGCTATGAACATTGGTCTGCATATCTCTCATCAAGTCCCTGCTTTAAGTTCCTTTGGGTGTCTACCCAGAAGTGGAATTGCTGGATCATATGGTAATTTGAAGTACAATTTTTGGAGGAATTTCCATACTGCTTTCCATGGTGGCTGCACTATTTTACATTCCCAAAGGCAATGCAGAGGAGTGCCATTTTCTCCACATCCTCATCAACACTTGTTATTTCCTGTTTTTTTTAAAGCTATTTTTATGGGTGTGAGGTGGTATCTTACTGTGTTTTTGGTTTGCATTTCCCTAATGATTAGTGATGTGTTGAGCATGTTATGTGTTTATCGGCCATTTTTATATCATTTTTGGAGAAACGACTTTTGAAGTCTTTTGCCCATTTTTTTAATTGGTTGATAGGGTGTTTAGAGTTTGAAGTCAGCATTCTCTTTACTAGTATTATGATTTTAACACAAGCCATTTAACCTCTTTGTGCCTCGGATTCTCTACTGGCAAATGGGATATCATTTTTCTGTAGCTGCTTAATACAAATGCTAGAAATAGGTTTGATGTGGCACTGCCTAATCTAGCATACATATGGAATTGTTGCTGTTAGAGCAGCCAGCTTTAATCTATAAGCACGTCTTCATTTTCTGTTTTAGAAATAATCTTTTGATTAATTTCAGTACTTAATTTGAGGAACTTTTTTTTCCACGATGGAAGATTGTTCAAGTTTCATTTATAAAATTCTGCCTCATTCATAACTTTTTGTTTTAGATATTGTAGTGTGAGCTCATGGAGAGCAACAGTATTCTCTGCAATCCTTTATAGTAACTAATAATACTTCGAATTGTTATTGTGGTGACATGTTTTTGTTTTAACTCACTTTTCTGAGTGTTAAATACCAAAAATGTTTGATGGGATGATACAAATAACATTTCTCCTTGGAAAAAAAGCAAGTCTGAATTTACTATGTTAGTATTTTCTAATTGTTTTATAATATTCTCTGACTAGAATATTGCCTTTAATATAAGGATTTCGGAGATTTGGGTGTGGTGGTGCACACCTGTAGTTCAAGCTACTTAAGAGGCTGCGGCAGGAGGATCACTTGAGGTTGGGAGTTTGAGGCTGTAGTGCTCCGCGACTGTGCCTGTGAATAGCCACTGCACTCCATCCTGGGTAACATAGGGAGACTGCCATCTCTTAAAAAAAATTTCAGGCCGGCACAGTGGCTCACGCCTGTAATTCCAGCACTTTGGGATGCCAAGGTGGGCGGATCACCTGAGGTTAGGTGTTCAAGACCAGTCTGGCCAATACATGGCAAAACCCCGTCTCTACTAAAAGAATACAAAAAAAACTAGCCGGACGCAGTGGCAGGCGCCTGTCATCCCAGCTACTTGGGAGGCTGAGGCAAGAGAATTGCTTGAACCCGGGAGGCGGAGTTTGCAGTGAGCCAAGATCACGCCATTGCACTCCAACCTTGGTGACAAGAGTGAAACTGTCTCAAAAAAAAAAAAAAAAAAAAAAATCTTGGCTGGGTGCGGTGGTTCATGCCTGTAATTTATAGCACTTTGGGAGGCCGAGGTAGGCAGATCACTTGAGGTCAGGAGTTTGAGACCAGCCTGGCCAACATGGTAAAACCCTGTCTCTACTAAAAATACAAAAATTAGCTGGGCATGGTCATGGGTGCCTGTAATCCCAGCTACTCAGGAGGCAGAGGAAGAAGAATCGCTTTAACCTGGGAAGTGGAGGCTGCAGTGAGCCAAGGTCGCACCACTGCACTCCATCTTGGGCAACAGAGCAAGAAACTTGTATCACATATTTAGAATATTGTTTCCCTCCAGTATCACATACAAACTTGGTTTATTTTAAACCACTGAATGTTACAATAAGATCAGACTATTGTATATTGGGATTACATGCTAGCAGTATAGGAGGTAGTGATTCTTTGATCATAGACTGCTGGGATTGAGTGTTGTTAGTAAATAGGGTAGTGGCAGATAAACAGTGGGAGCTGAGACCATTGGTTACATGTTTTGTACTTTGGAATACTGGATTGCTACAAAGACTCCTTGGAGACCAATTTATCCCTTTATATCAAGAAGCCAAATTTTATTTTCTTATTTAACAGATAAAATGGGGCCAGATGAGGTTAGCTTATGCTTGTAATCTCAGCACTTTGGGAGGCCAAGGTGGAGGGATTGCTTGAGGCCAAGAGTTTGAGGCCAGCCTGGGCAACATAGTGAGCCCCCCCGCCCCTGCCATCCCTAGGGGGAAAAAAAAAATTAGCTGGGTGTGGTAGCGCACACCTGTAGTCCCAGCTACTCAAGAGGGTGAGATGGGAGGATTTCTTGAGTCCAGTAGTTTGAGGCTGCAGCAAGCTACGATTGTATCACTGCACTCCAGTGAGAACCTGTCTCTAAACCATAAAATTAAAAAATGAAGTGGGTAAGTGCTCATTGGAAAGACTGTTAGGGAACTTGAAAGATGACTTTTATGATTTTATACATACTAGAGTAAACTTATTTTCCTAAATAATATTTAAGATAGGTCAAATTAATGTATATTTAAACATTTCCCATATTATAATATTTTCAGGAAAATAGATTTTTAAAATGTTAAAAATGCTTTTAAAATAATTTTTAAAATCTTTTAAAATGTTTTTAAAATAATTTTTAAAATTATTTTAAAATGCTTTGTCATGAGAAAAATCCATTTTAAATATCTTTTTTTGTTTGGAGACTGGAGGGCAGTGGTGTCATCATAGCTCACTGCACCCTCAACCTCTCAGGCTCAGATGTTCCTTCTACCTCAGCCTCAGCCTCTCGAGTAGCTGGGACCACAGGCATGCACCACACCCCACCTAGCTAATTTTTAATTTTTTTGTGGAGATGGGGTCTTATGCTGCCTAGGCTGGTCCCAAACCCCTGGGCTCAAGCCCAACTCCTCTTGCCTCAGCCTCCCAAGTGCTGAGATAACAGGCATGACTGGCTGTTTTTAAATTCTCTTATTTAATATTTCATGTATGAAATGAAACAGTTGAAAACTGTGTTTTTAAGAACTATACTCCACTGATTAAAGGAACAGTAGATAAAAGGTTATAAAATTCAGGTCTCCTAGCCGCTGTGTCTTTTTTTTTTTTTTTTTTTTTTTTTTTTTTGAGATGAAGTCTCACTCTGTTGCCCAGGCTGAAGTGCAGTGGCAAGATCTCAACCCACTGCAATCTCTGCCTCCCTGGGTTCAAGTGATTCTCCTGCCTCAGCCTCCTTAGTAACTGGGATTACAGGTGTGTGCCACCACACCCAGCTAATTTTTGTATTTTTAGTAGAAACAGAATTTCACCTTGTTGGCCAGGCTGGTCTCAAATTGCTGGGCTCAAACGATCCACCTGCCTTGCCCTCCCGAAGTGCTGGGATTACAGGCCTCTTTGTCTTTTTTTTTTTTTTTTTGAGATGGAGTCTTGCTCTGTCACCCAGGCTGGAGTGCAGTGGTGTGATCTTGGCTCACTGCAACCTGCGTCTCCTGGGTTCAAGCGATTCTCATGCCTCAGCCTCCTGAGTAGCTGGGATTACAGGCGCATACCACTGCACCTCCGGCTAATTTTTGTATTTTTAGTAGAGATGGGGTTTTGCCAAGTTGGCCAGGCTGGTCTCAAACTCCTGACCTCAGGTGATCCACCCACCTCAGCCTCCCAAAGTGCTGGGATTACAGGCATGAGCCACCACTCCCAGCCATTGTCACTGCTTTCTTAACAAGAATGATAAGGTTTTTGTTTGTTTTTTGTTTTAGTTATATTATTTTTAGTTTTTCTGTCAGTTACATTAATTTTTATTTTATTTTATTTTTATTTACTTATATGTTTTTTGAGACAGTCTTACTCTGTCGCCCATGCTGTAATGCAGTGGTGTGATCTTGGCTCACTGCAGCCTCCACATCGTGGATTCAAGCGATTCGCATGCCTCAGCCTCCCAAGTAGCTGGGATTACAGGCACCTGCCACTGCGCCTGGCTAATTTTTTGTATTTTTAGGGAGATGGAGGTTTCACCATGTTGGCCATGCTGGTCTTGAACTCTTGGCCTTAAGTGATCTGCCTGCCTTCCAAGTGCTGGGATTACAGATGTGAGCCACTGTGCCTGGCCTAAAAAAAATTTATTTCGATTAAAAGCATTTTTTAGACTAGTCACATATGCAGTAGTGGAAAGAGGGGAAAGAGTAGAACAAGGAGTTTGATCTGCAACTAACTGAACAGTCAACTGAGGTAACTCACTACCTTCAGACTAGCCTCTGTCAGTTACATTTGTAACTTGAATAACATGCTTAAATTTCTATTTCTTGTTCTATCAAGTTTAGACATTTTGTATTGACTCCATATGTATAAGATACAGAAATTCTTAGCTCTGTATTGCTTTTTGCCTCTTTTCTACCATCTATTTTCCCACTTCTGTTAACTCTAGCATTACTTTTACTATAATTTAATTTTAATTCACTATGTTCTGCTTATCCAGAAGAAATTCAAGAGGGCTTATACATATATAAAACAGGTTCTGAGTTGATTAATATCATAGTTTAAAAAACTTTTAAGGATGAATTCTTAAGATAAATGTGTGGAGAAGGAATAAAAAGAGTTTATTTTCTTAGTGTACACTCTTATCCTCCTCTGCGCAACTTGACCCTTCTAAATTGTATCTTGAAGATACCTCTGATGTCCTTGGGAACTTTTATTTTCCAACCTGTATACCCAGCCATACCTGAATTTCATTAAGGTGTACTGTTTTGCATATATTCTTGATTCTAGGATGCCTTCAACTGTAAGACCCATTATTGCTTTAAAATAATGTTATTGGTTGGGAGGGGATTGCATTAAATGATTAGTCCAATTAATTAATAAAGTGAGAAAACATTTATAGTTTCTTATATAGAGGGGAAAATAGGCAAAAATAAAAATTAAGTCACTGTTAATTCTGTTGTCCGCCTTTATTTTCTTTATCCAAATAAAACTTTTTTTTTCTTTAAAAAAAAAAAAAAGAGCTGGGTACAGTGGCCCACATCTGTAGTCCCAGCTGCTTTGGAGGCTGAGGTCAGAGGATCCCTTGAGCCCAGGAGTTACAAGCCACCCTGGGCAACATACTGAGACCCTCTCTCTTTCTTTAAAAAAGAAAAAGAAAAAAAAAATTGACCCTACTATTTTGGTAGCCTATCCCTTTCCAATAAACCTACTCTTCTATTTTAACTTATTTTTGTGGCTATATAATAATTCTATGTGTGAATGTACCTAACTCGTTTAACTGGTTCCTGTATTTGCAGCCTTTCCTACTATAAACAGTGTTGTAAAGAACATTTCTTATAGCTAAGTCTTTGCTCATATCCATGATTTTTTTTCTTCTGATGAAGTAGAATTTTTGGGCAAAATAGGGTATGCATTTTTGCATACTTCCTAATAAAGAAAAGCAAGTTAACATTTTTGGCCACTAGTCATCACTAAGATAAAACTTTTTCTTCTTTTTTAGTGAACACTTGTCCTGCTCCTTCACCTTTTTCTTGCATGGAGACAGCAATGTTTGTACCAGTGTGGAAATTAACCAACATCAACCTGTATACCTTCTCAGTGAAGAGCATATCACCCTTGCTCAACAGTCTAATAGCCCATTTCAAGGTAGATTATTTTATTATATTAGGTATTTGATCTTTTATTGAAAGATCCTTATTTGACTTCATAATTTTACATTTGGGGATTGATGGAATTCCCCCTGATCTTTAGCCTAATGATGATTTTGATGTCATTTACTTTTTCCTTCCCCATTACAGTGTTAAGTCAGTGAAATAAATTTTTAAATACAGGTATTACCAAAAAATTCTTGACCGTGAATGGTGAAGTAGTTTAAAGTGTTCTTTTAGATAGCATAATGGATTTATATGTGTTAATGTTTTCAAGGTTATCTTGTATGTCAGGTCATATAAGCCATATTTTGTTTGTTTGTTTTTGTTTTTGTTTTTTGAGACGGAGTTTCGCTCTGTCGCCCAGGCTGGTGTGCAGTGGCATGATCTTGGTTCACTGCAACCTCCACCTCCCGGATTCAAGCAATTCTCCTACCTCAGCCTCCTGAGTAGCTGGGGTTACAGGCGCGTTCCACCAAGCCTGGCCAATTTTTGTATTTTTTTTAGTAGAACTGGGTTTCATCTTGTTGGCCAGGCTGGTCTTGAACACCTGACCTCAAGTGGTCCACCTGCCTCGGCCTCCCAAAGTGCTGGGATTATAGGTGTGAGTGAGCCACCATGTCCGGCCAGAGCCATGTGTAACATAGCTACAAAGGGACTTTTGATACTATTTATACTATGAAAAAAGTTGAATTCTAGAAGAAATATTTTATAAGATTGCTGAATTGCCTCTAAGGCTTGGCAGTGTGTTCTTATTTTAACTTTAAACCTAATATTTGCTTTTTAAAGTTTACATGGCAGTACATTATAAATATTTAGATTTATATATCTATATTGTTTTTCCTCAGATTGCTTTTTCTTAGAATGCTTTTTCTTAGTGGGAGTCAAAGTAAATTGAAGGATACACAAATATTCCCAGCTTCTGTTAAAAATCTTAAGAGTTTGGGCAGACAATTTTTTTTTTTTTTTTTTTTGAGATGAAGTCTCCCTCTGTTGCCCAGGCTAGAGTGCAGTGGTGCCATCTTGGCTCACTGCAGCCTCTGCCTCCCGGGTTCAAGCAGTTCTCCAGCCTCAGCCTCCCGAGTAGCTGGGATTGCAGGCGTGTGCAACCACACCCAGCTAATTTTTTTTGTATTTTATTAGAGACAGGGTTTCACCATGTTGACCAGGCTGGTCTTGAACTCCTGACCTCAGGTGATCCACCCGCCTCAGCCTCCCAAAATGCTGGGATTACAGGCGTGAACCACTATGCCCAGCCTGGGCAGACAAATTTTTAACAGTTTATATAATAAACTCAGTGTCATACTTTATCTTCACAGTAACGAAGTATAATAAGTTGATTTTTCTCTGGAATGGTTATTACTGGTTTCCTTTTCTTTTTTATAATTGCACGATTATTTGCCACATTTTTCACTGTGTTCTTATTTGGTAAAACAGTCTTTTGTTACTTATTTGATGTCTGCTTTGGGTTTCTAGTTATCTTATGCCCATTTGGACTAAATGGCACTCTCACAGGACAGGCATTCAAGATGTCTGATTCAGCTACAAAAAAATTAATTGGTGAATGGAAACAGTTCTATCCTATCTCATGTTGCTTGAAGGAGATGTCTGAAGAAAAACAGGAAGATATGGATTGGGAAGATGATTCTTTAGCTGCAGTAGAAGTTCTTGTTGGTATGGATCCTGAGTATTATTCCTAAGGGGAAAATGCATGATTGTATGTGTTAGTTATATTTTGCTGAATAACAAACAAGTCTAATAACTCAGTGGCTTTCAACACCAAAGATTTATTCCTTAATTTCCTGCCCACATTACTTAAGGGCTGCATCTTAGCTGGTTTGGCTCCATGTATCTGCTCATTCTGTAACCTAGGTTAAATGAATATCCCAGTAGCTAGGACATGCTGTTCTTATGAGAACAGAAGAATAATAGGGACTGAACCTAACCATGTAAGTGTACTCAGAGCTTCTGCTGGGATATGGTGTATGTTACATCTGCTCACATTGCATTAGACAAAGCTAGTTAAATGGCCAAGCCAAAGTCATTGGGGCAGGGAAATATATTCTGTCTAGAGGGAAGCATGCTTAGGATGGGACAGTTAATTGTGAATGAATTAATATTTGGAGGCTGAAAAGTTGACAACCTGTGTTGTATGATGTTTTAACATTTGGTAAAACTACCACTTCCAATAACTTAAGAGACAGAAAATGTAACTAAAGAATTTATGACTTTGGCATGCTCTGCCTGCCAAAAGGGTCAGATTTTTTTATATTTTTTTATTATTTATTTAATTTATTTTTATTTTTTTGAGGTGGAGTCTCGCTCTGTTGCCCAGGCTGGAGTGCAATGGCGCGATCTTGGCTCACTGCAACCTCCTCCGCCTCCCAGGTTCAAGCGCTTTTCGTGCCTCAGTCTTGAGAGTAGCTGGGATTACAGGCGCATGCCACCATGCCCACCTAATTTTTGTAATGCTAGTAGAGATGGGGTTTTGCCGTGTTGGCCAGGCTGGTCTCAAATTCCTGACCTCAAGTGATCCACCTACCTTGGCCTCCCAGAGTGCTGGGATTACTGGCGTGAGCCACCGTGCCCAGCCTAAAAGGGTCAGATTTTTTCAGATTGGCTGTATTCTCTATGTCCTCTCATTCAGGGACCCAGGTTAACAAAGTACCCACATCTGGGACATGTTAATCTCATAGCAGAAGACAGAAGTGAGAGAAGCTGCACTGACCCTGCAGGCACATTTAAAGCTTCTGTTAGGATGTGGCTTATATCACATGCTTACATTCCAGAGCAAGTCACACAGCCTGACAATGGAGTGAAGACATATACTCTACCTCAGAGAGGCATGAGAGGAGGCATGGAGAAAGTATAATTTAGGAGATAATTGGAATTAGAATCTACCATATTGTATTTAAGGGAATCTAATGGTAATGTTAGACGTGAAGATCACCTTATTTCATCTTTTTTTTTTTTTTTTTTTTCCTGAGACGGAATCTCGCTCTGTCGCTGCTCAGGCTGGAGTGCAATGGCGTGATCTCTGCTCACTGCAACCTCCACCTCCCGGGCTCAAGCAGTTCTCCTGCCTCACCCTCCCAAGTAGCTGGGATTACAGGTGCCTGCCACCACGCCCAGCTAAATTTTGTATTTTTAGTAGAGATGGGGTTTAGCCATGTTGGCCAGGTTGCTCTTGAACTCCTGACTTCAAATGACCCACCTGCCTCGGCCTCCCAAAGTGCTAGGATTACAGGTGTGAGCTACCACTCCTGGCCTGTTTTTTTTGTTGTTGTTTGTCTGTTTTTTTTTTAAGAAAAAGATTACCAGTGCTCACTTTAAATAAACCCATTACTACTAGAGCAGTTGTGACAGAAACAGAAAAAACACACATTTTTTAGGCTTTTAAAATAGAGGCATATAGAAAAGTAAGTAGAAAATGGTTCATAATTCTAGTGTCCAGATTACCTTTGTTAAACTTAAACAATAAAATTGAAAAAGTAATACACATTAAGTTGGTCAGAAGTGCACATAAAGATTTAAAAAACACATTTCTAGAAATCTAAAAAAAGGAAAGCTGCCTTTTTCCAAATCTCTCTCAGCAAAGATAACCACCACTGACAGCTTATTGTGGTTTATTGTGGTTTCTTCTAAAAAAGAGAAAAAAAAAAAAGAAAAGAAAAACTTATGCCAAAGAAGCTTATATTTATAAAAATGTATTTTTATTTGTATAAATGTGATACCTACTTTTCCATTATAGTACTTTTGAGTGAAACTAATTCACTAGTCACAAAGGTAATTGGTTTTCCTGTCCCATTTTTTTCCTTTCAGCTGGTGTCCGAATGATCTACCCAGCATGCTTTGTTCTAGTCCCTCAGTCAGACATTCCTACTCCTAGCCCTGTGGGATCCACTCACTGTTCATCTTCTTGCTTGGGTGTCCACCAAGTGCCTGCTTCCACAAGAGATCCTGCTATGTCTTCGGTTACGCTTACACCACCTACGTCTCCTGAGGAAGTCCAAACAGGTATAGCAGTAATTTGTCTCATCAGCTCTGGTAATTTGTTATTTTGTGTACAGTAAGTACTTAAGAAATAATTTATTTTGAAATAGTTTCAAACTTCTTGAGAATTTACAAGTGTAGTACAAGTAATTTCCTTAGCCATATTTCCAAACTGTTATTATTTACTCCATCACCCTGTCTGTATGATGTACATTCATTATCATTGGTCTTTTTCTGAACCATTTGAGAACAACCTACAGACATGATGTCCCATCACTCCTGTGTACTCAGTGTGTTTCCCAGAATTAAGGACACTCTCCTATACAACTATTACTCGATCCTCTTAGTCAGAAAATCAGCATTGATACACTGCCATCCAGTTTGCATTCCCTGTTTTAGATATTTTGCTTTCTGTATTTAAAAGTAGCGTGCTTTTATTTTTAAAGGTTTATGTGTTTATCTATAATTAAAATTACTCCAACAGAGCAGCCCATTGCTGTGTTCTAATTCTTAGCCCTTAAGTCCTACAAAAATAAACCCAAGCTTTTACAGTAACTGTCAATACAGAACTAAAGCGTTTTAGCTATTAAAAGGGGTTTAGTTACCAAGGTGCTTATTTTCAGCAAAACGCCCTGTTACTCAGAAGAACATACGCATATACTAAAGTTCTGACCCATCGATTCATGCAACAGTTTATATCTCTGCCCTCCCTCCATCTACCTTTAAAACAAAAACACAGAAGAACTTTTTACAATGGAGGAGAAACGTATAAAAACACAGAAGAGCTTTTTACAATGGAGGGGAAATATGCTCATGCTCAGCTGACCTTACAAAAAAGACTGTCTAATTTCCAACTAAATGAGAACACTAAAGTGTTTGGCTAAAATCCAGCAATGATTGACTGACCCAGGTCAGAGGCTGGCAGGGACAGAAGGGCCAGAGTGCTGCCGCTGCAGGGGCTCATCCTGGCCTCCAAACCCCACCTTGATGTGGAAGCCAGGCTCTGTGCAGCAGCTCCATGGCTGGTGTCCAGGGCCCCTTCGCACTACTCCGAAGTCCTTCCAGTCTCCCCACCTCTGGCCAGCCTCTGACCTTGATGATGTCACTCTGGGCATCAGGATAGTCTGGTTTGCTTATACAGCATGATCCATGGGACACCTCCTTCCTTGCCCTCAGCCCACCTCCCCCGACACGCCACCGTGTGCTGGCCCTGCCTGGCTCCTGAGAACCCCACTCTTGGTACTGAGAGTGGTAGGTTACAGAGATGTACTTGATTGCCACATTTGCCTAATGAGATCTGGTTCCAAAAAGTAGCATGCTTTTTATCTCAAAATATAAATAATTTTACCAGATAGCTGGAGCAGCTTGTATCACAAATTAATAAAAAACCCAAATAATGTTACTTTAAACCTACCTTTATTCTCCTACAGCCTGTTTTTTTGTTTTGTTTTCAGTTGATCCTCAGTCTGTCCAGAAGTGGGTCAAATTTTCTTCAGTATCTGATGGCTTCAACTCCGATAGTACTAGCCACCATGGTGGGAAAATACCCAGAAAATTAGCAAATCATGTGGTGGATAGAGTTTGGCAAGAATGCAATATGAACAGAGCACAGAACAAGTGTGTATTTTCATTTATAAGTTCAAAAATTGCATGTTGATAATTACTTATAATTAGAAGATATCTAAAGTATAAACAGTCATTTGTTTGATTTTTCTTTAACTCATAATGTTGATCTTTAAAATTAATTTCAATGCTACATTGAGGTTTGATAGAAAATTTTATGAATTTTAAAGAATTTTGTAACTTTAAATCTTAGGAGGAAGTATTCTGCTTCATCAGGTGGTCTATGCGAAGAAGCGACAGCTGCTAAAGTGGCATCCTGGGATTTTGTTGAAGCCACACAAAGAACAAATTGCAGTTGTTTGAGGTAGATTATTTCCCGATCGATTGATGCCTATGTGTGATAGTTTGTTACGCCACTGAATGCTTATGCCCACTTTATTTGAAACAGCTTACATGAACATATGTCAGGATTTTTTTTCAAAAGAAAATTCAGGAAAAATATTTCAGGAATTTGAAGCTGATTATAGAAGTACATGTAAATATAAGCTTTCAGTTCATTCACTGTTACCAGAGGCAGACTCTGAAAGTTTTGTTTCCTAGTAGCTAAATAAAAGACAATTTTATATGGAGCTATGGTATATATAGTATCTATAAGCTATACAGCCATATAAATCTCTTGAGAAAAGCATTCCTTCCTCAATGGCACTACCTGAGAAATTTATCCCAAGAGTTCTTTCTTTTTTTAAAAAATGAAGAGACAGGGTCTTGCTTTGTTACCCAGGCTGGAGTGATCATGGCTCACTGCAACCTCAAACTTCTGGCCTCAGTCGATCCTCCTGCCCCAGCCTCCCAAGTAGCTAGGGTTATAGGCATGTGCCACCACACCTGGCTAATTAAAAGAAAAAAAAATTCGTAGAGAGGGGATCTTGGTATGTTGTCCAGGCTTATTTCGAACTCCTAACCTCAAACAGTCCTCCCCTTGGCTTTCCAAAGTGCTATGATTACAGGTGTGAGCCACCATATCTGGCCTACAGTAATCTTTTTTTATTTTTTATTTTTTGAGATGGAGTCTTGCTCTGTCCCCTGGTCTGGAGTGCAGTGGCGTGATCTCGGCTCACTGCAAGCTCCACCTCCCGGGTTCACGCCATTCTCCTGCCTCAGCCTCCCAAGTAGCTGGGACTACAGGCGCCCGCCACCATGCCCAGCTAATTTTTTTTTTTTTTTTAAAGTAGAGACAGGGTTTCACTGTGTTAGCCAGGATGGTCTCAATCTCCTGACCTCATGATACAATCTTTTTTTAATAGTAAATACAGTGTTGGGTTTTGAAGAGTAATTTCATTTCTTTTTTTTTAAGCTTTTATTTTTGGTTCAGGGTTACATGTGCAGGTTTGTGAAATAGGTAAAGTCATGTCACAAGGGTTTGCTGTATAGATTATTTTGTCACTCAGATACTAAGCCTAGTACCCAGTAGTTACTTTTTCTGCTCCTGTTGCTCCTGCCAGCCTCCACCCTCAAGTAGACCCCAGTGTCTGTTGGACCCTTCTTTGTGTCCATGAGTTCTCATCATTTAGCTACCACTTATAGGTGAGAACAGGCAGTAATTGGCTTTCTGTTCCTGTGCTAAGGATAATGACCTCCAGCTCATCCATGTTCCTGCAGATGACATGATCTCATTCTTTTTTTATGGCTGCACAGTATTCCATGGTGTATATGTACCACATTTTCTTTATCCAGTCTGTCATTGATGGGCATTTAGGTTGATTCCATGTCTTTGCTATTGTGAATAGTGCTGCAGTGGACATTTGCGTATATGTGTCTTTATGGTAGAATGATTTATATTCCCTGGGTATATAACCAGTAATGGGGTTGCTGGGTCGGATGGTAGTTGTAGCTCTTTGAGGAATCACCACTGCTTTCCACAGTGGTTGAACTATTTTCACTTCCATCAACAGTGTATAAATGTTTCCTTCTCAACCTCGCCAGCATCTGTTATTTTTTGACTTTTTAATAATAGCCATTCTGACTGGTGTGAGATGTTATCTCATTATGGTTTTGATTTGCATTTCTCTAATGATCAGTGATGTTGAGCTTTTTTACATATGCATGTTGGCTGCACATATGTCTTCTTTTGAAAAGTTTTCATGTCCTTTGCCCACTTTTTAACAGGATTTTTTTTATATATAAATTTAAGTTTTTTTAGATACTGGATATTAGACATTTGTCAGCATAGTTTGCAAAACTTTTCTCCCATTATGTAGGTTATCTGTTTAGTCTGTTGATAATTTCTGTGGCTGTGCAAATGCTCTTTAGTTTAATTAGATCCCATCTGTCAGTTTTTGCTTTTGTTGTGATTGCTTTTGACATCTTCGTCATGAAATTTTTGCCCATTTCTGTGTCCAGAGTGGTATTGTCTAGGTTGTCTTCCAGGGTTTTTATAGTTTTGGGTTTTACATTTCAGTCTTTAATCCATCTTGAGTTGATGTTTATGTATTAAGGAAGGGGTCCGATTTCAGTCATCTGCATATGACTAGCCACTTATACCAGCACCATTTATTGAATAGGGAGTCCTTTCCCCATTGCTTGTTTTTGTGAGCTTTGTCAAAGATCAGATGGTTGTGGCAGTGCAGCCTTATTTCTGGGCTCTCTATTCTGTTTCATTGGTCTATGTGTCTGTTTTAGTACCAGTACCATGCTGTTTTGGTAACTGTAGTCCTATAGTATTGTTTAAGCCAGGTAACATGATGCCTCCAGCATTGTTCTTTTTGCTTAGGATTGCCTTGGCTATTTGGGCTCTTTTTGAATTTCATAGAAATTTAAAAATAGTTTTTCCTAGTTCTGTGAAGAATGTCATTGGTAGTTTGATAAGAATAGCATTGAATCCAAATTGCTTTGGGCAGTATGGCCATTTTAAGGATATTGATTCTTCCTATCCATGAGCATGGAATGTTTTTCTGTTTTTTTGCATCATCTCTGATTTCTTTGAGCAGTGTTTTGTAATTCTTATTGTAGAGATCTTTAACCTTTCTGGTAAGCTGTATTCCCAGTTATTTTACTCTTTTTGTGGCAGATGTGACTGGGATTGCATTTCTGATTTGGCTCTCATCTTGGCTGTTGTTGGTATATAGGGATGCTAGTGATTTTTGTACAGTGATTTTGTATCCTGAAATTTTACTGAAGTTGTTTATCAGCTGAAGGAGCTTTTGGGCTGAGACTGTGAGGTTTTCCAGGTCTAGAATCATGTTGTCTGCCAACAGGGTTACTTTTGTTTCCTTTCTTCCTATTTGAATGCCCTTTATTTTTTTCTCCCTGATTCTTCTGGCCAGGACTCCCCATACTATTTTGAATAGGAGTGAGAGGAGGCATTCTTATCTTGTGCCACTTTTCAAGGGGAGTGCTTCCAGCTACAGTCTTTTTTTTTTTTTTTTTAATGATAAATACAGTGATGGATTTTGTGGAGTAATTTCTTATAACATTCTTTGGGCAGCTGTAGGTGAAATGTTGAAATAAGATTCAGAAAATAGGATTCTGTAAGGGAAGAACTGTCACAAGGGAGCAAAACTCAAAGCATGACAAAACTGTCACGCTTTCTAATGGATTATATTGGTTGAATGATTGGTAGAAGAATAGATGAACGTGGAATTCTTTAGAAATTTATTTAGTTTATAAAGGCCTTTTGATAAGGTTTGGTTATGAGAAGTTTTAAAATTATGTTGCCTAGAGTTTATTATTTTATCCTGCAGATTAAACATAGATCATAGGCTTTTGCATTCAAGTAAACAGTAATGGCCTTGACATCCCTAGTCAGAACTTGTGATGGAATAGATGGTCACCTGTCTTTCTCATGGAAGTGAACCAAACAAATGGAGTGCCTGCAGGTTAGGGCCAAGGTTTTTCTTACATTTGCTCTGTTGGTTTGAATATATAATAACAGACTCTCTCAAGTGTGCTGTTATGTTTTTGCATAAATTGAATATTCTTATGGAGGCTCTTTGGATTAAAGAATACGTAATTTTTAAAAGTCTGGCAACTTTGTTGAAAATTTACCTCTGTTAGAGAGATTGGAATAAAAACAAGGATATATTTAGCTATTGTTTAGCAGTTTAAAATAGCTAAAAAAACCACACCTAATCTGAACATAATTTGTATAAGAATGGGGGTCAGCAAACAGTGATGAATTCGCCATATTTGGCCCACTGCCTGTTTTGTATGGCCTGTAAGCTGAAAATGATTTTTTTTAATTTGTTTGAGACGATATCTCGCAGACAGGAGTGCAATGGTGTGATCTCGGCTCACTGCAACCTCCGCCTCCCAGGTTCAAGCAGTTCTCCTGCCTCAGCCTTCAGAATAGCCAGGACTATAGGCACGCGCCACCATACCTGGCTAATTTTTTGTATTATTTAGTAGAGACGGGGTTTCACCATGTTGGTCAGTCTGTTCTCAAACTCCTGACCTCAGGTGATCCATCTGCCTTGGCCTCCCAAAGTGTTGGGATTATAGGTGTGAGCCACCATGCCCAGCCAACTGAAAATGATTTTTACGTTTTTTAAAAGTTGAAAAAAATAAAGAATGTTTTATGGTATGTGAAAGTTGTGTGAAATTCGGATTTCAGTATTGATAAATAAGGATTTATTAGAACACAGCCACATTCATTTATTTACATATTGTCTGTGGTCACTTTTACCCCACAATGGCAGAGTTGAATAGTTGTGACACAGTCTGGCCCCCAGGGGATAAAATATTTACTCTCTGGTTCACTACAGAAAAAGTTTGCTAATCCCTGGTCTAAGACTAAAAGAATGCTTAAATGTAAGTAAGCTTTTCCCAAACTACCATTTGACCGAGCAATCCTATTACTGGATATATATACCCAGAGGAATATAAAACATTCTGTCATAAAGACACATGCACGGGAATGTTCATAGCAGCACTATTCACAATAACAAAGACATGGAATCAACCTAAGTGCTCATCACTGACAGCCTGGATAAAGAAAATGTGCATGTACACCATGGAATACTGTGCAGCCATAAAAAAAAATGAGATCATGTCTTCTGCAGGAACATGAATGGAGCTGGAGGTCATTTTCCTTAGCAAACTAATGCAGGAACTGAAAATTAAATATTGCCTGTTCTCACTTATAAGTGGGAGCTAAATGATGAGAACTCATGGACACAAAGAAGGGAACAACAGACACTGGGTCCAGTGGAGGCTGGGAGGAGGGAGAGGAGCAGAAAAAATAACTATTGGATACTAGTCCTTTAATACCTGTGTGATGAAATAATCTGTAAACAAACCCCCATGACATGAGTTTACCTATATAACAAACCTGCGAATTTACCCCTGAACCTAAAATAAAAGTTGAGAAAAAAATAAATTAGGATTTTCTTTCCCACTAGTGGAATTTTTATCAAATAGTTCTGTTTTAGTTCCTAAACTAGACTTTTTTATTCTTTTTGAAAAGGTGGATTTTAAGTATTTTGTCTAAAATGGTTTTAGAGGAAGGCATTAAAATATGCATGTTGGCAACACAGGTTTAAATTCTTGGTCTTTAAGCTGAACTTTTATTTTTAAAAAGTTGTTTTCTCTTGTCCAGGCGCAGTGGCTTATGCCTGTAATCCCAGCACTTTGGGTTGCTGAGGCAGGTGGATCACGTGAGGTCAGGAGTTCAAGACCAGCCTGGCCAACATGGTGAAATACCATCTCTATTAAAAATACAAAAATTAGCCAGGCATGGTGGCACACGCCTGTAATCCCAGCTACTCAGGAGGCTGAGGCAGGAGAATCGCTTGAACCCGGAAGGCAGAGGTTGCAGTGAGCCAAGATGGCGTTACTGCACTTTGGTGTTGGTGGCAGAGCGAGACTCCGTCTCAAAAAAAAAAAAGTCATTTTTAAAAGTATTTTCAGAAATTTCTCAGAGGCATATAGAGATTTAATATGCTAAAATTTTACATAATCGATACGTGTGACTTGCTTTGGTTAGTTTGCTCCTTTAGTAAATACAGCATTTCTAATAATTTACTTAAAAAAATTAGTATTACATTTTGTACTTTAGGTCTTCTGCCCACCACAAATCTAGCTTATTTCTTAAGTGAAGGTAAGACAGATAGACAGTGAGCTACTACATGTGTATCCTCTTTGCCATAGAATATATAGGAGGTTGGGGGGCATACATTGATAACTGACTCTGTTAAATCGGCCTCTAGCTCGCTCTCAAATCCATTTCTGCTTTTTCTCTGTTCTGTTCTGTATTGCAGGGAATTAAATTTCCTAGACTCGTTTGCTTTCTGGAGTTGGCTAATAGGAGGCACTAACAGAAGATTGGAGGGTGAGAGGAGGGAAGAAGCCAGGGTCTTTCCCCAGTCCCTTTTTGAGCCAACTCCAGCAGCAGCTCCCTTGTGTCCTATTAACACAGCCCCTTCCTCATGGTCCCAGTTACTACTGAGCAGATCCTGCTATGGTTCTAGCACCATCCTGAGCTTCTGGGATATGGTGAGACTACATCATCTTATTGTCCTTTCAGTGCTAGAAGTCATAGAAGCTCCCTGCTATTACTAGTCTCTGGGTTTCCTCACTTTCCTCTGTTTTGTATAACCGGTTCTCTATAGTGAATTTCTTCTGTGTGAAAGATAGGTCTGGACCCTGCCTGATAACATTGGCTTCTCTTAAAAATTGATTTGGGAAGAAAAAAAATTCATAACTGTAACAGACAATTTACATGAATAGAAATTATTTTAAGAAATTTAAAGTATATGAATAAAGCCTAAGTTCCCCTTGACCATCCTTTCTCTCCCCCAAGCCTACTCACTCTCCCTAGAAGTGGCTAGTTGCCAATTAGATACTATTTCTCCATACTTAATTTTATGTATTCTCCTCTCAACACATAAATATTATTATTTTTTTAGAGACTAGCTGTGTCGCCCAGGCTGGAGTGCAGTGATGAAATCATGGCTCATTATAGCCTCAAACTCCTGGGCTGAAACGATCCTCCTGCCTCAGTCTCCCAACTAGCTAGAACTACAGGTGTGTGCCTCAATGCTCGGATAATTTTTAAATATTTTGTAGAGACGGGGTCATGCTATGTTGCCCAGGCTGGTCTTGAACTCCTGGGCTCAAGCGATCTTCCTGCCTCAGCCTCCCAAAGTGCTGAGATTACAGGCATGAGCCACCATGCCTGGCCTCACATAAGTATTATTCTGATTTATTTTTCACAGCTAATTTTTTTCACTTAATGTGCCTCAGATCTTTCCATATTAGTTACTTATATAGCTCTGCTTCATTGTTTAAAAATTTTCCTGTGGCTGGGTGTGGTGGCTCATTCCTGTAATCCCAGCAGTTTGGGAGGCCAAGGGAGAAGGATTGCTTGGGGCCAGGAGTTCAAGACTAGCCTGGACAATGTAGTGATAACTCTCTTTTTTAAAAGAAAAATGAAAAAAATGTTATTAATATTCCACTGAATGGAAGTATCATAGTTTATGTAATCATTCTGGATTTGATGGACATACAGTTTGTTTCCATAGGTGTTTTTTGCTTGTGCTTGCTTTAAAAAAAAAGTAATACTGCTGTAACTATCAATTATTTAGTAGGTTTTTTTGAATCCTTACTCTGTGACAGAAGGTGTCCTAGGCTCAGAATACACTAGCTAACAAAGCTCCTGCTATTATGAAGTCTGCATTCTCTTGGAAGTGAGGCAGATAATTTGTTTTTAAGAATATATATATATATATATATATTTTTTTTTTGAGACAGTCTTGCTCTGTTGCCCAGGCTGAAGTGCAGTGATGCCATCTCAGCTCACTGCAACCTCCGTCTCCTGGGTTGAGGGGATTCTTGTGCCTCAGCCTCCTGAGTAGCTGGTGCTACAGGTATATACCACCACATCCAGATTAATTGTTGTATTTTTAGTAGAGATGGGGTTTTACCATGTTGGTCAGGCTGGTCTCAAACTCCTGACCTCAAATGATCCACGTACCTTGGCCTCCCAAAGTGCAGGAATTACAGACGTGAGCCACTGTGCCCAGGCTTTAGAAGGATTTTAAATCCTTTTTAAATTTGAATGAGTGCTGGGAAGGAAATAAACTAGGTGGGTGATGTGATAAAGAGTTGTAGGCGAGAGGGCTATTTAAGTACGTGTGACATCAAAAAAGGTTCTACCGATTTTACTCACACTTTTTGCATATAGAAAATGTTGGTTTTTCTTGTGATTTCACTGATCTGAGAACTATCCTCAAAATTATTTTTTGCCATTATAATAAGTGAGAAGCATAAAATTGTTTGTCGCATTTTTCATTAGCGAGATTGAATAGCGCACATTTACTGATATTAGACTTTAGTGTGGTGGAATGTTCATAGGAAAACTGCACATAGAAAGCAGGCTGCTCGCCCCGTCCGGGAGGTGAGGGGCGCCTCTGCCCGGCCGCCCCTACTGGGAAGTGAGGAGCCCCTCTGCCCGGCCAGCCGCCCCGTCCGGGAGGGAGGTGGGGGGGTCAGCCCCCTGCCCGGCCAGCCGCCCCGTCCGGGAGGGAGGTGGGGAGGGGTCAGCCCCCCGCCCGGCCAGCCACCCTGTCCGGGAGGGAGGTGGGGGGGTCAGCCCCCCGCCCGGCCAGCCGCCCCGTCCGGGAGGTGAGGGGCGCCTCTGCCCGGCCGCCCCTACTGGGAAGTGAGGAGCCCCTCTGCCCGGCCACCACCCCGTCTGGGAGGTGTACCCAACAGCTCATTGAGAACGGGCCATGATGACAATGGCGGTTTTGTGGAATAGAAAGAGGGGAAAGGCGGGGAAAAGATTGAGAAATCGGATGGTTGCCGTGTCTGTGTAGAAAGAGGTAGACATGGGAGACTTTTCATTTTGTTCTGTACTAAGAAAAATTCTTCTGCCTTGTGATCCTGTTGATCTGTGACCTTACCCCCAACCCTGTGCCCTCTGAAACATGTGCTGTGTCCACTCAGGGTTAAATGGATTAAGGGCAGTGCAAGATGTGCTTTGTTAAACAGATGCTTGAAGGCAGCATGCTCATTAAGAGTCATCACCACTCCCTAATCTCAAGTACCCAGGGACACAAACACTGAGGAAGGCCGCAGGGTCCTCTGCCTAGGAAAACCAGAGACCTTTGTTCACTTGTTTATCTGCTGACCTTCCCTCCACTATTGTCCTATGACCCTGCCAAATACCCCTCTGCGAGAAACACCCAAGAATGATCAATTAAAAAAAAAAAAAAAAAAAAAGAAAGCAGGCCAGGTGCAGTGACTCACGCCTGAAATCCCAGCACTTTGGAAGGCCAAGGCGGGAGGATCACGAGGTCAAAAGATCGAGACCATCCTGGCCACCATGGTGAAACCCCATCTCTACTAAAAGTACAAAAAAAAATTAGCCGGGCGTGGTGATGCACACCTGTAGTCCCAGCTACTTGGGAGGCTGAGGCAGGAGACTCGCTTGAACCTGGGAGGCAGAGGTTGCAGTGAGCCGAGATCGTGCCACTGCACTCCAGCCTGGCAAAAGAGCGAGACTGTCTAAAAAAAGAAAAATAAAAAGCAAACTACAGTATAAAGTGGGTTACAGAAAGTCTCAATGATGTATTCATATGTAAAAAATTAAAGGAGCTGCACACTTAAATGTGCACTATTTATTGTAAGTTATACCTCAATAAAAGGTTTTCTTTAATCTTCATAAAAAAAAAAAGAAAGGCTGCTAAGTAAAAAGCAATACATTAAATTTCTCATGTTAACATTAAAGTACTGCATACCTAACATCAATAGGAAAAAATAATCTAAAAGGATTACTCTGTTGGTTTGTGCTTTGAGGACAATTTCTTTTTTTTACAAAGATTGCTCAATGTGGTTGTGTTCTAGCATGAAGTTCAGTTGTTTGGCCTTGCGCAGTGGTTCACACCTGTAATCCCAGCACTTTGGGAGGCCGAGGCGGGCGGATCACAGGGTCAGGAGATCGAGACCATCCTGGCTAACGCAGTGAAACCGTGTTTCTACTAAAAATACAAAAAAATTAGCCAGGCTTGGTGGTGGGCGCCTATAGTCCCAGCTACTCGGGAGGCTAAGGCAGGAGAATGGCGTGAACCTGGCAGGCAGAGCTTGCAGTAAGCCGAGATTGTGCCACTGCACTCCAGCCTGGGTGACAAGAGCGAGGCTCCGTCTCAAAAAAAAAAAAAAGAAAAAAAGAAATTCAATTGTACTCTCTAAAGAAACTAGCTTTTAGAAAGAGGTCTGTATAGAAGAAAAGGGCTGATTTAATGTTGTCAAAAATTTAGAGAACTGCTGCTATTAGTATGTAGCCCCAGTTAATAGTTTCTTACTCTTAATAGCTGGGTAAGTGAATGTATGGCCATTTACTTTTCACATCCCTTGTACACTTGGGACATAACTAAATAGTTCACCTCAGATGAATGGAGATCCTATTTCTCCTACTGCCTTGCATAAAATAGACTAATTCTCAAACTTTTTTGTCTCAGAACTTATTTACAGTCTTAAAAAATTACCGAAGACTGCAAAGTACGTTTATTACATCTATTTATATTTTAGAGAAATTTTAAAGCACCACTTATTAAAAACAATAATTTCAGTGCATATTAACATGAATAAAATAGACATCCACTATATTTTCCAAAACAGTAGCCAAAAAGCTAATTGAGTGGCATTGTTTTACAGTTGTGCAAGTCTCTTTAATATTGAGTGTAGTAAGATAGTTGAATTCTTATATCTGCTTCTGCATTCGGCCTATTGCTGGATATTGTCTTGGTTGAAGTATATGAAGAAAATCCAGCCTCATGTAGCTATGCAATTGGAGAAGGGAAGAGAGTATTTTAATAACTTTTTCAGATAATTGTGGATATTCTTCTTTGATACTACACCAAAAATTGACAAGTGGTAGTTTCTTAAGGGTTGGTTGGAATGTGGAATCTAAAGCCCTGTCAGTGGTTGTACTTCACTAATAACTGAATGGATCTTTCGATTTTGTAACATCATGCATTGGTCATTTGAAAAATATCAGTTCACTGGGTTATATAGATCTGAATGTTGGCACATTTTGTTATATATACTCATCTCTAAATATCCGTGTAGGATCGATATTCTAGAACCCTCACAGATAACAAAATCTACGGATGCTCAAGTCCTTCATATAAAATGAGTTAGTATTCATATAACCCGTATGCATCCTTCAGTATACTTTTTTTTTTTTTTTTGAGATAGGGTCTTTGCCTCTGTTGCCCAGGCAGGAGTGCAGTGGTGTCATCTTGGCTTACTGCAACCTGCCCCTCCCTGGCTCGAGCGATTTTCGTGCCTCAGCCTCCCAAGTAGCTGGGACTACAGGCATGCGCCACCACGCCCAGCTAACTTTTTGTGTGTGTGTATTTGTAATAGAGATTGGGTTTCACCATGTTGGCCAGCCTGGTCTTGAACTCCTGGCCTCAAGTAATCCACCCACCTCAGCCTCCCAAAGTGTTGGGGTTACAGGCATGAGCCACTGTACCTGGCCCTTCAGTGTAAACAATCTGTAGTTTGTTTATAATACCTAATACAATGTGTTACGTAAATAGTTGTTATACCGTATTGTTTTTACAATTTATATTATTTTTTATTCTTGTACTGTTAACTTTTCATTTTTGAAAAATAATATTTTTCATCTCTGGTTGGTTGAATTTGAGGATGTGGAATTCAGCCAATGCAGAGTATCAAAATATTTCATTCATTAATATTGCCAGTGATCTCACCTGAAAAGTATTTAAGTATTAGAAAGCTCAAGCACTGTGTCAGATAGTTTTCCAAAATTCTAAATATTGCAGTGGTACCAACTGTATTAGCAGTAGTAGTCATTGTTTAGCAGTCAAGCTCAAAATGATTAGTTCTTCCTTAAATGACAAACTCATTTTGTTCATGTTTGATAACCTAATAAACAAATCTGCCAAATGACCAAATATGGATAATCTTAGTTTATCTACCAGTCCTTTGTTCTTCAAATGGTGTTTCATGAAAAAAGCTAGTTTCAGCTTGTAACTCAGTCGTACAAGCGCTTTTCCTCAAAATAGCCATTGTACTTCAAATCTATAGCAGAAATGCTTTATATGCACTACCTATTTCTTTATACAGAGTGTAAAAAGATTGTATAAGGATTGAGATTAATAAAAATTATTTTTGCTGTCTTCATGAAGGACATTCTTAAGTGATACTATCATAAAAAACAACAAACTGAATGTGTGGTGGTGGAGAAAGCAGTGACTACTACTGCTAGTACAGTTGGTACCACTCCCTTTGATTCATGTTCAGTTGCTAGAAGTTTTGCTGCCTATTGTTTTTGCACCATCTTTGTAAATTTCAACATAATAAAAAAGTCAGATACTGTTTTGATGCTATTATGAAAATAGTTTTGAACCCCTGTAGCCCCTGAAAAGGAGGGTTCATAGACCATACTTTGAATTTAGTAGACAAATATTTGAATAATTGATGAGTTAATGATACTGTTATTTTTTCCTTTTTATATTCTTTTTTTCAGTTTCTTCTCTTGATTTAGAAGTTTGGTGTTCTATTTTTGTTCTTTTGTTAATTGAATTAATCATTTATTATGCCTGCTTTCCTTAAAGTCTAAAGTTAGAGTCTACGCTCTTTTTATGGAATGAACAAAGACCTTGGAATACTTTAATCTTGCTCCTCAAATCTTTCATGCTTTTTTTTTTTTTTTTTTAGCATTTTAGTTCTACTCTGTTTTGTTATTAGAAACTTCAAACATGGACAAAAGTAAGCGAATTGGGCAATGAATTCCTGTTTATCAACCATTCGTATTCACTTACTGTGTTTGCTTCAACTAGACCTTTTCTCTTGCTGAAGATCTTTAAAATTTGTTTAATTTACTTTATTTATTTATTTATTTATTATTATTATTATATATTTTTTGAGGTGGAGTCTCATTCTGTCACCCAGGCTGGAGTGCAGTGACGTGATCTTGGCTCACTTGCAACCTCCACCTCCTGGGTTCAAGTGATTCTCCTGCCTCAGCCTCCTGAGTAGTTGGGATTACAGGCGCCTGCCACCACACCCGGCTAATTTTTTGTAGTTTTAGTAGAGACGGGGTTTCACTGTGTTGGCTAGGCTGGTCTAGAACCCCCGACCTCAGGTGTTCCGTCCGCCTTGGCCTCCCAAAGTGCTGGGATTACAGGCATGAGCCACCATGCCCAGCCCAATATATTTTATTGAACTTGATTTATCTAAAATATTATTTTGACATACAGTAATTGTGATGAAACATTAGTGATATTTGGCATTTCTTTATTTTATAACATGTCTTGGAAAATTGGTATTTTACATCTATAGCACATCTCAATTTGGACTAGCCACTTGTCAAGTGTCTAATAGCTACATGTAACTTGTGGCTACCATTATTGGATAGTGCAGCTTTATAAATTAGGTAGAAATAGGACTGAAGGGCTGGAAGATACAGAAAAGATGAATTTCTATTCAATATTAAGAATTTACCTTCTAGCAGTTGGAGCTATTTGATGAGGGGGATGCATCTCCTTATACAGTAGTATGGTCCTTGTCATTGAAAGTATTCAAAAAGAACCCATTCAAGCCAATGAGGTGGCTCTTGCCTGTAATCCCAGCTACCTGGGAGGCTGTAGTGAGCGCTAATCGCGGCACTGTGTTCCAGCCTGGGCAACAGCATGAGGAAAAAAAAAGAGAAGGGATTATTCATACGTTGGGTAGGACCTGCTGGGTTTTTTTTTTTGTTGTTGTTCTTGGTTTTTTGTGTTTTTGAACAAATTTCTGTGTTTAAAAAAAAAAATGCTCTTTTACAAAGTTCAGGCTGGGTGAGTGGCTCATGCCTGTAATCCCAGCACTTTGGGAGGCTGAAGTGGGTAGATCACTTGAGATCAGGAGTTTGAGACCAGCCTGGGCAACATGGCAAAAACCGGTCTCTACTAAAAAAAAAAAAAAAAAAAAAAAAAAAAATATATATATATATATATATATATATATATATATATATATGTGTATAGTGTGTATGTGTGTGTGTGTGTATATATATACACACACACATACACACTATACACATATATATAGTGTGTGTGTATATATATAGTGTGTATGTATATATATAGATATATATAGTGTGTGTGTATATATATATAGTGTGTGTATATCTATATTATATATATATATAAAATTAGACTGATGTGGTGGCAGGTGCCTGTAATCCCAGCTACTCGGGAGGCTGAGGTGGGAGAATCATTTGAACCTGAGAGGCAGAGGTTACAGTGAGCGGAGATCACGCCACTGCACTCCAGCCTGGGCAACAGAGCGAGACTGTCTCAAAAGTTAAATAAATAAAATTAAAAGTTCAAACAGTACACAAGAATATAAAATTAAAAATTAACAGGTTCCCCTCTTATGTATGTAGGTCTGCCTGTTGCTTTCTTTCACACAAATGGAATCATGCTGTATTTCTGCAACTTATTGTTTTTTTGATAAACAGCCTGGGTGTTTATCCATGTTAGCACTTACAGATTCATTCTTTTTAAAAAGTTCATAATACTGCATTTTATAGATATGTAATACTTTATTTGGCAAATCCTTATGCTATGCTCTTGATAAAGGTTTTTAAAGCAAATCTTAAATATTACACTTCTGCAGTACTTCAGTATGCGGCTCTAAAAAATACGAATATCTTCTTACATGAATATAATTCTACCGTCATACCTAATATTATGATACCTTGTCCAGATTTTCTCAGAAATGTCTTTTTGTAGATAGTTTATTTGACTAGGATTCAAACAAGGAGTAAACATTTGGTTGTTATGTTTTCTAAATCTCTCCTTTTAGTTGTCTCCTGCTCCCTTTTCATGACATTGACTCGGTTGGTAAAACTAGGTCAGTTCCTCCTATAGAGTGCCCCACATTCTGGATTTTTCGTTTTACTTGTCATGTAATTTTACTTCTTTCAGTGTAATTTAATTTCTTCCTTTTTCCTTTGCATTTCTATAAATGGAAGGTAGCTGTAGAGCTGAGCTATCCAATACTAGCTGTGTTAGTAACTACTATTGGCTATTTAAATTTACAGTAATTGGATTTAAATACAATTAAAAATTCAGTTCCTCAGCTGGGTACAGTGGTTCATGCCTGTAATCTCAGCACTTTGGGAGGCTCTCTTGAGTCCAGGAATTTGAGGTTACAGTGTGCTATGATTGTACTGCATTCCAGCCTTTTAAGAGACAGAGCAAGACTTGTCTCTTAAAAAATTAGTTCCTCAATTGGACTAGCCACAATTCAAGTACTCAAGAGCCATATACAGGCTGGGTGCAGTGGCTAATGCCTGTAATCCCAGCATTTTGGGAGGCCGAGGTGGGTAGATCTTTTGAGGTCAAGAGTTCAAGACCAGCCTGACCAACATGGTGAAACCCCACCTCTACTGAAAATACAAAAATCAGCCCAGTGTGGTGGCGGGCACCTGTAATCCCAGCTACTTGGGAGGCTGAGGTGGGAGAATCGCTTGAACGCAGGAGCCAGAGGTTGTGGTGAGCTGAGATCGTGCCACTGCACTCCAGCCTGGGTGACAGAGTGAAACTGTGTCTCAAAATATATATATATATATATATAAAAACATATACAGAACTTCCCATCATCATAGAAAGTTCTAGACAGTGCTCAGTGCTGATCTGGGGGCTTGATTACTTGATTAGACTCAACTTCAATATTTTTGGCAAGAGTACTTCATAGATGGTGGCTGTGTTGCTTTGTATTATGTTACGTCAGAGAGAGACAGTATCTGGTTGTCCCATATCTAGTAATGTTAAGATTGATTAGGTGGGGATCAGCCTGACCCTTTCATTGTATACTTTTTTTGTTTGTTTGTGTTTTTGGTGGGGGGTGGGACAGAGTCTCGCTATGTCGCCCAGGCTGGAGTGCAGTGGTGTGATCTCAGCTTGCTGCAACCTCCACCTCCTGGGTTGAAGCGATTCTTCTGCCTCAGCCTCCTGAGTAGCTGGGATTACAGGTGCCCACCACCACGCCCAGCTAATTTTTGTGTTTTTAGTGGAGACGGGGTTTCACCATGTTGGCCAGGCTGGTCTTGAACTCCTGACTTCATGATCCACCTACCTCGGCCTCCCAAAGTGCTGGGATTACAGGTGTGAGCCACTGCATCTGGCCTTATTGTATAGTTTGTAATAATGTTGACAATGAATAAAGACAATTTATCTTCTTCCTCCGAAATCTCTGACCTCTTTCTTGCCTTATTGCATTGGGTAAAACGTTCAGTAAAATGTTAAATGTTGAGAGCTAATATTCTTGCTTTGTTCTTAATCTTGAGAAATTATTCATGCTTAAACATCAAGTAAGATATTAGTTGTAGTTTTTCATAGATATCCATCAGATCAAGCAAATTTTCTTTTATTCCTTGCTTGCCGAGTGTATATAAATAGGGGTTGAATATATTAATAGTATTAATAGGGTTTTTTCTATAGTTATTGAGATAATATGGTTTTCTTTTATTCTGTTAATGTGATGCATGATATTTTTTTCTTTTGAATGCTACACCATACATTCCCAGAATTAACTTCATTTGGTCATGATGTGTTATTCTTTTATATTTTGCTGGTTTGAGTTGCTGATATTTTGTTAATTATTTACATCTGTGTTCTTAAGAGATAATGGTCTATGGTTTTCTTTTTGTGTAATATCTTTGATTTTAATATTAGGATAATGGTGGATTTCTCCTATGTCCTTTTGAAACGAGTTTGGTTTTTTTTGATAACTTTGGTTCTTTTTTTTCTCTATGCACAATAAGATATCTCAGGCTCTGTACAAAAAGGTGTCTCGGCCGGGCGCAGTGGCTCACGCCTGTAATCCCAGCACTTTGGGAGGCCAAGGTGGGCGGATCACGAGGTCAAGAGATCGAGACTATCCTGGCCAACATGGTGAAACCCCGTCTCTACTAAAAATACAAAAATTAGCTAGGTGTGGTGGTGCACGCCTGTAGTTCCAGCTACTTGGGAGGCTGAGGCAGGAAAACTGCTTGAACCTGGGAGGCGGAGGTTGCCGTGAGCCAAGATTGCACCACTGCACTACAGCCTGGCAACAGAGTGAGACTCGGTCTCAAAAAAAAAAAAGTGTCTCAGTATGTCTTCTCAACAGAGTTTTTCAAATAAGTGCCTGTCACTGCTTTTTAATACTCTTTCTGGATAGCTCTGATTCAGCAAAAAAGTAAAATTTAAAAAGTAAAACCTAATGAATACTGAATGTGTAAACTCCATATCTTACCACATTTTAAAAGTTTCTTGGCCAGGCACGGTGGCTCATGCCTGTAATCCCAGCACTTTGGGAGGCCGAGGTGGGCAGATCTCCTGAGGTCGGGAGTTCAGGACCAGCCTGACCAACATGGAAAAACCCCGTCTCTACTAAAAATGCAAAATTAGCCGGGCATGGTGGCCACATGCCTGTAGTCCCATCTGCTAGGGAGGCTGAGGCAGGAGAATCGCTTGAACCCCGGAGGTGGAGGTTGCGGTGAGCTGAGATCATGCCATTGCACTCCAGCCTGGGCAACAAGAGCGAAACTCCCTCTCAAAAAAAAAAAAAAAAAAAGTTTCTTAGTGTAAAAATAATGTTATGTGTATATATATCTCTCATTGAGTGGAAATCTCAGTGCGCACTGAAAGAAATCTTTTTTTTGTTTGTTTTTGTTTTTGTTTTTTTTGAGATGGAGTCTTGCTCTGTCACCCAGGCTGGAGTGCAGTGGCGTGATCTCGGCTCACTGCAACCTCTGCCTCCTGGGTTCAAGCTATTCTCCTGCCTCAGCCTCTCGAGTAGGTGGGACTACAGGCGCGTGCCACCACACCTGGCTAATTTTTTATTTTTTGTAAGGACGGGGTTTTACCATGTTGGCCAAGCTGGTCTCGAACTCCTCACCTCAGGTGATCCGCCCACCTCATCCTCCCAAAGTGCTGGGATTGCAGGTGTCAGCCACCATGCCCAGCCTAGAAATCTTAAACTTAACAAAATTGTTTGATTTTTAGGTGTATCATTTAAGTTCTTCGTTTTAGAATTGCTTCAAATTATGAGGAAGAAATTATTTTAGGCATTTTCTTTCCCTTTTCTAGTCAGTTTATTCTTTTTGTAGTGCTAAGTATTTGGAGAAGGTAGGTATGGTGTGAGGCCCATCAATCAGTCAATTCTAGCACTTTCCAGACTGATGTAACTTCTATTTAGTAGAGTAGAATACGCTTTCTGGCCAGTTGCTGTAGGATTGTAGGTGATGACTAAGCTTAGCCAAGCCATTAATTTATAATAATTACTAACAGGAAATATCAGGTACATTTAAAAATGAGTAAATTTCAAGCCTTGTTATACCTTTTAACCTTAACTAGAATCTTACCTCTATATTTAAATTAGATACTAAAATATTTAAATCATGTAAGACATAATCTTTGGCTGTCTGATCACATGGCTATTAAATGAGCATGAGATAATTGGCTTTTATGAATGTTTCTGCATGCCCTTATATTTTATTTAGGTCACGAGCAAAGTATTTTTTTCCCCTTTCAAATTCAAATTATTTTACTTTTAGTATTACATGTGAAAAAGAAATGATAACCGAAGTGTCTAATACTATTAACTGGTATTATACTTCGCCATAATAGTGATACTGTAAATATGAAACCTTTATTTTCACTTTTCAGGCACAAAAATCTCAAGTCAAGAAATGCTGGACAACAAGGACAGGCACCATCTTTAGGTCAGCAACAACAAATACTTCCTAAGCACAAGACCAATGAGAAGCAAGAAAAGAGTGAAAAGCCACAGAAACGCCCCTTGACTCCTTTTCACCATCGTGTGTCTGTTAGTGATGATGTTGGCATGGACGCAGATTCAGCCAGCCAAAGACTTGTGATCTCTGCTCCAGACAGTCAAGTGAGATTTTCAAATATCCGAACTAATGATGTAGCAAAGACTCCTCAGATGCATGGCACCGAAATGGCAAATTCACCTCAACCACCCCCACTTAGTCCTCACCCTTGTGATGTGGTTGATGAAGGAGTGACTAAAACACCTTCAACTCCTCAGAGTCAACATTTTTATCAAATGCCAACACCAGATCCCTTGGTTCCTTCTAAACCAATGGAAGATAGGATAGACAGTTTGTCCCAGTCTTTCCCACCTCAATATCAGGAAGCTGTAGAACCTACAGTATATGTTGGTACAGCAGTAAACTTGGAAGAAGATGAAGCCAATATAGCCTGGAAGTATTACAAGTTCCCAAAGAAAAAAGATGTAGAGTTTTTACCACCTCAACTTCCAAGTGATAAATTCAAGGATGATCCAGTTGGACCTTTTGGACAGGAAAGTGTAACATCAGTTACAGAGTATGTATTTTTTTTAATAGTCACCATTATAATTTAAGGGTGGAAGTGATGCAAGTTCTTAATACTAGGACTCAGTATTGGATTCAAGGTAGGATTTACAAGAATAAATTCATTGAGTATTAACTTTGCATTATTCCTTTACTGTGTTTTTTCCTCAGGGAACTTCTTCATTATGAAATAACTTTAGCCACAAAAAGTGGAGAAAATAATGTGTAAACACTTGTACATCAGCCAACTTAAGGATTTTACATACAGTTAGAATTCCCATGTACTGTTTTTCTTCTTCCAGTCTTCCTTCCACTGTCCTGAATTTGGTACCTTTTTTTTTTTTTTGAGACAGAGTCTCTGTCACCCAGGCTAGAGTGTAGAGGCACGATCTAGGCCCACTGAAATTTCCGCCTCTGGGTTCAAGCGACCCTCCTGCCTCAGCCTCCCGAGTAGCTGGGATTACAGGTGTGAGCCACCACACCCAGCTAATTTTTGTATTTTTAGTAGAGATGGGGTTTCACCATGCTGGCTAGGCTGGTCTCGAACTCCTGACCTCAAGTGATCCACCCACCTCGGCCTCCTGAAGTGTTGGGATTACAGGCATGAGCCACCGCACCTGGCCTCAATTTGGTACTTATTATTTCAGTACATGTTTTTATACGTGTAGCTCTAGTTATTCATTTTAATTGCTTTATGGTATTTCCTTATGAATATATAGTAAATACCTAAACTCTTAAAGATGGATATGTTGGTTATTTTCAGTTTTTCACCCTAACATTTTCCATTTTGTTTGGTACACATTTCCTTGTTTACTTGTATAAGAATTTTTTTAGGAAATACATCTAAAAGCCATTTTCAACATGGCTATGTCCATTTTCAACATTAAGGGTTGTTGCCCAGTTGCAGTTCAGCAACTGGTATATAGTTTAAACCCTCATGAACCAGCAGTGTATGAGAATGGCTGTTGCACTATATTTTCCTCTATAGTTGGTCTTACAAGATTTAATTTCAGTAATTTACAGCATGCAAAATGTCATCTCATTGTCTAAATATGTGTCTTCCAGATTTCTAGTGAGATTGAGCATCATTTAAAATGTTTTGGGTGTATTTAGGTTTCCTGTTCTGTGACTTGCCTAGTCATCGTATTTTTTAGTCCATTTTTCTTTTTTTTCTGATGTATTATTTGCATGCTCTGGGTATTAATCCTGCATTAGTTTTATGTGCTATAGGTTTCTTCCTCCATTGGTGGTTTGCCTTCTTTGTCCACTGTATTAATGTTATACTTTGGGCAGAAGAAGGCTTTTTTCCAGGTATCCCTTGACTTTCTATGTTGTTATTAATACATTTATAGTCTGTCTAATAAGCCTTTTACATATAAATTTTTCTAAAAGGTGAAAATCAACCAGTAAAATACCATTATGCTCAATAGAACTGTCTACCTATTTATTAGTACAAGGCCAAGGAATGTACAAAGATTACGATTCCTTCCTTATCAGATCATTGTCAGTGAATTACCTTTTTTTTAGTGAATTACTTGCTTATTGCTTAAATGCTACTAATAGGTTAAATAATGTCTTAGACTTTATTTGCTTAAAATGTCACATTTTCATTATCGATTTATGTTTATTTTTTAATGTAGCTTTTTTTCTCAACATCAGATTGCTCCAGATAATGTAACTATTATATGGAGTTTAATACTTTCTTATTTCTGTTATAATGTGAACCAGTTGCTTTCTAGACTTGTTTTCAGCTCTCTAGGATTTCATTTTGATTAGACTCAAGTTAATACCACAATTTTTTATAACTAGTGGCTTCTTTTTGGTTTTGCCTTTATTTTCTTGGTGAATATCTTTAGCTCCCTCGGGGGGAGGGGGCGGCGGGGGGAAGAGTGGGAGATAAATTTGGCATCCTTTGTATTTCTGAAAATGACCTGATTTTTTTGCCCTCATGCTTGGATTGATAATTTGGCTACATGTTGGTTTCATAATTGAAAATAATTTCCCCCTTGAACTCATAGGCATTGCTTTACTGTCTTCTGGTATCTTCAGAAGAAATGTGTAATAATGAGTTTCATTCTTGCTCATTTAAAAAAACGCGATCTCTTCTGTGAGGCTTTTAAGGTCTTCTCTTAGCTTTAGAAATGTCACAAGAATCTGTGTAGCAGGTATAATGATCTTTTTTCCAGTCCTTGTGCTGGGCACTTGAAAGGCTAACTCAATTTTTTTTTTTTTTTTTTTTTTTTTTGAGACAGAGCCTCGCTCTGTGGCCCAGGCTGGAGTACAGTTGCGCGATCCCTGCTCACTGCAAGCTCCGCCTCCTGGTTCACACCATTCTCCTGCCTCAGCCTCCTGAGTAGCTGGGACTACAGGCGCCCACCACCACTCCTGGCTAATTTTTTATATTTTTTAGTAGAGACGGGGGTTTCACCGTGTTAGCCAGGATGGTCTCGATCTCCTGACCTCATGATCCGCCCGCCCCGGCCTCCCAAAGTGCTGGGATTACAGGCGTGAGCCACTGCGCACAGCTTTTTTTTTTTTTTTTTTTTGAGACAGTCTCGCTCTTTCCTCCAGGCTGGAGTGCAGTGGCGTGATCTCGGCTCACTGGAAGCTCTGCCTTCCGGGTTCAGGCCATTTTCCTGTCTCAGCCTCCCGAGTAGCTGGGACTATAGGTGCGCACCAGCACACTCTGCTAATTTTTTATGTTTTTTATTTTTTGAGACGTAGTCTCGTTCTCTCGCCCAGGCTGGAGTGAAGTGGCGCGATCTTGGCTCACTGCAAGTTCCGCCTCCCGGGTTCACGCCATTTTCCTGCCTCAGCCTCCCAAGTAGCTGGGGCTACAGGCGCCTGCCACCATGCCCGGCTAATTTTTTGTATTTTTAGTAGAGACGGGGTTTCACCGTGTTAGCCAGGATGGTCTGGATCTCCCGACCTCGTGATCCGCCCGCCTCGGCCTCCTAAAGTGCTGGGATTACAGGCGTGAACCACCACGCCCGGCCAAGGTCTAACTCAGTTTGAAGGCCTTTGTTCTGCCATTTGGAAATTCTCTATTTCTTAGGTAATACCATCTCCTAAAAAATTCTTTTTAAAACTTCCATGATTCAGATGGTGCTCTGTTTTCTCAGGGGATTCTCAACTTTCTTGAATTCTGAATTTTTCTTTCTCATGTTTTAAAAACATTCTCAACTGATTTTTTTTAAAAATAACATTCCGTTGTTTGATGTTCTGTGATTTTATTTTTCTCTAGAATTACTTTATTTTGGTCTTGTTCTTTACTCGGATTCTTCTTGTCGTATTTCTGGTTGTTTTTTGTTTTTTTGTTTTTGAGATGGAGTCTTGCTCTCTTGTCCAGGCTGGAGTGCAGTGGCGCTATCTCGGCTCACTGCAACCTCCGCCTCCCAGGTCCAAGCAGCCCTTCTGCCTCAGCCTCCAGAGGAACTGGGACTATAGGCACGTGCCACCACGCCTGTCTGATTTTTTGTATTTTTAGCAGAGACGGGGTTTCACCTTGTTAGCCAGGATGGTCTTGATCTCCTGACCTCGTGATCTGCCTGCCTTGACCTCCCAAAGTGCTGGGATTACAGGCATGAGCCACCACGCCCGACTTGATTGTTACTATTATTTTAATTTTATTTTTTTGAGATGGAGTCTCATTCTGTCTCCTAAGCTGGAGTGCAATGGTGTGATCTGAGCTCACTGCAACCTCCACCTCCCGGGTTCAAGCGTTTCTCCTGCCTCAGCCTCCCAAGTAGCTGGGACTATAAGTGCGTGCCACCATGCCCGGCTAATTTTTGTATTTTTAATAGAGACGGGGTTTCACCATGTTGGTCAGGCTGGTCTCGAACTCCTTACCTCAAGTGATCCACTGGCCTCGGCCTCCCAAAGTGCTGGGATTACAGACAGGCATGAGCCACCACACCTGGCCTGTCTAGACGTATTTTAATGTGAGAGAATAGATAGACTGATTGGAAATGTTGTATATAGGTAGAGCTTGTTGACTGGTGGTCCTTGCTCATTCAATAAATACTTTAGTATGTAATGTGTATAGGTGTCAGATAATTCGCTTTATGATAACTGGATGGGGAATTTTTGGAAGGGAAGGCAACCATTCCTAAAATTCCAGAATGAAAAGGATGTTATACTTATTTTGACAGGTAGTTTATTCATTTTCCTTAAAAAGGAATCTTTCTTGTTGTCCCATTTTCAGCTCTTTTTCTCACTTTTGTTTTTCTTCTCCTTCCTGTCTCCCCTTCTCCTTTTTCTTTTTCCCTCCCCCCCCCCTTTTTTTTTTTTTTACTGCTCCTTGCAGAGCAGGGCTACACCCATAGGCAGTGTGACCAAAGTAACCCCTTCTTCTCATTTCTGTCCGGATTTTTTCTCACTTTTCCAGGCAGTTAGACTCTCCTGTTGTTTATGTAGTTGGGCTATAATCCCTTCTTTTGCATATTGTAGGCTGTGAACTTTTTCTGCTGTATTTTATCTTATTTTGAGCTTCCCTGAGACTTAGTGAAACATCTGGTCCATTTATAGCCTCTCTCTCATTTTTCCTACTGTTAGAGATTTATTCTCTGTTAAAATACCTAGCCGAGTGCTCTGGTTGTGTCAGGAGGATTGCTTGATCCCAGGAGTTCCGGGCTGCTGTGCACTATGCCGATTAAGTGTCTGCATCAAGTTCAGCATCAGTATGGTGACCTCCAGGTTGCCTGACGACTGGTGAACCAGCCTAGGATGGAAATGGGCAGGTCAAAACTCCTATGCTGATAGTGGTGGGATTGCACCTGTGAATAGCCACTGTACTCCAGCCTGGGCAGCAGTGAGACCCTGTCTCTTAAAAAATAATAGTAAATTAAAATGCTTTTATCGTCATTTTAGCAGATAAGTCCTGTGCTTCATCTGGCCCTTTGAATCTAAAAGTATTTTAGTATGATTTTATTTTGTTTTATTTTATTTTATTTATTTTGAGACAGAGTCTTACTGTGTCATTCAGGCTGGAGCGCATTGGCGCAGTCTCGGCTCACTGCAACTTCCACCTCCCAGGTTCACGCGATTCTTGTGCCTCAACCTCCAGAATAGCTGGGATTACAGGCGTGCACCACCACGATCAGATAATTTTTGTATTTTTAGTAGAGATCAGGTTTCACCATGTTGGCGAGGCTGGTCTTGAACTCCTGATCTCAAGTGATCAGTCTGTGTCAGCCTCCCCAAGTGCTGGGATTACAGACACGAGCCACTCTGCCCATCTATGATTTTATTTTTAATTAAAATTAATCTGGATTGTTAATTAAGAGATATCAGTATACTCTTAGGGATTGTGGAAGACAGTGAGCTTATTTAATAGTCAGCAGGTCTCTTGAAAGTAAATGATATCTTAGGGCTGGGCGTGGTGGGTCACGCCTGTAATCCCAGCACTTTGGGAGGCCACGCGGGTGGATCACCTGAAGTCAGGAGTTCCAGACCAGCCTGGCCAACATGGTGAAACCCTGTCTCTACTAAAAATACAAAAATTAGCTGGGTGTGGTGGCGTGCGCCTGTAATCCCAGATACTTGGAGGCTAAGGAGAATCGTTTGAACAAGGAGGCGGAAGTTAACAGTGAGCAGAGATCACTCCACTGCACTCCAGCCTGGGCGACAGAGCGAGACTCCGTCTCAAAAAAAAAAAAAAAAAAAAGTAAATGATGTCTTAGAAACAAGCCTTAAAAGATCTTAATCTTACTCTTGCTAAATGTAGTATAAGTCTAAGCCAGCCTCAGCTCTTGGCCTGAGATTACTAGTCTCCTTGTTTCTATTCTACATGTATTCTCTACACAGCAGTGAGGGTAATCATTGCAAGTAAAATATTGTCTTACTTATTTGCTTAAATCTCTCCCATAGTTTCCCTTTACACTTAGAGTAAAATCCAGACCCTTTCTCCTGATCTGTAAGATTGTATGCAGTCTCTTGCCTCCCTAGTTCTTCACCCATGTTACCTACTGGTATCCTACTTGTCTCCTGATTTAGCTACACCAGCATCCTTGATAAATTATTCAAAAAGCCAAGCTCATTCCTCATGGCCTTTTAGAATTGGATTATAAAGAGGGTGAACTGCTTATCCCTTCTTATCATTCAGTGCTGCTCAAAAGTTATCTTCTCAGGGAAGATTTTCCTCACCATTTTATCTAAACTATGGTCTTTCTCTCCCAAATCACTGCCTATCCTGTATGCTGCTTTTAATTTCTTCTTAGCATATATCTGAAATTATATTATGTATTTGCTAATGGTCTTTTCCCTATTAGAATGTAAGCTCTATGAGGGCAAGGACTCTTGTCTTGTTTACTGCTGTATTCTTCTAGCATAAACACACACACCCCCTTAGAACAATTCTGGATACACAATAGAAATTCAGCAAATGTTTGGGTGAATGAAATGGCCCTAAAATACTATTTTAAAACTTGTTTTCTTTCCAGGTTATATTTTCTTATTTAATGTGTGTAAAAATGTGGTGGTATGAAGTTTTTTGGTTTTAAAACCTTCAATAGTGAGTTTTTGTGGGCACATTGTATTCATAAGAGCTGTTAATTCTAGCCATAACTTTAAATAAATGTATTGGTTGCTTGTGTACATGACTATCTGTAAGTAAAATGAAGGTCTCTTAGAAGTTAATACAGTTTAACCTTAAAATCTGTTCTAAAATTATTTGACATTTTTCTCACTGAATAAGAATGAGAAGGAGGAAGCATAGTGTAGAAAAGTAGCGTGCAGGGTAGAGTGGTACTGGATTGTAATTATGTAAGTTAAGGAAATAACATGCTTTGCCTATTCCTTGTCACCCTTTTTTTCTGCCTTATAGACAAGGGAAAAAAAAGATTGAATAAAAGAGTTTTAATTTTAATCATATGTCTTATGTGAATATTGTTTTGGTTATACTAGTTACTGAAATGTGTATCATGTCACAGTTCACTTTTTGCTTTTTTTTTTTTTTTTTTTTTTGAGTTTTGCTGTTGTTGCTCAGGCTGGAGTGCAATGGCACAATCTTGGCTCACTGCAACCTCTGCCTCCTGGCTTCAAGCAATTCTCCTGCCTCACCCTCCCAAGTAGCTGGGATTACAGGCATGCACCATCACGCCTGACTAATTTTTTGTATTTAGTAGAGACGAGGTGTCACCATGTTGGTCAGGCTGGTCTCGAACTCCTGACCTCAGGTGATCCACCTGCCTCAGCCTCACAAAGTGCTGGGATTACAGGTGTGAGGCACTGCACCTGGCCACAATTTGCTTTTAGATATAAGCCTTGTTTTTGTAGTATGATAATAGATTAGATGATAAGGTAAATATCCAGAAGGTGAACCATCAAAGGCTTAGCTGCTATGTTAACTAAGAAGCATTTATGGAATATAAATTGTTCTATAGTTGGTAGGTTAAAAGTTTGCTTTTAAAAATAATCATCTGGATGATTCTATCCTTTTCCTGGAATTATTGTTCTGTGTAGTATTTCTCAACTGGGGCAATTTTATATCCCTCCAGCCCCATCCCCAGGTAACATTTGCCAATGTGTAGAGACATTTTTGGTTATCACCTTGGGGTGTGCTACTGGCACCTAGTAGGTAGAAATTAGAGATGCTGCTAAATATCTTACAGTGCACAGGATAATCTCCCATAACAAAAAATTATCCAGCTCGAAGTGTTAGAAGTGTTAAGGTACTTTAATATAATGAATAACTTGTAACAGAAAATTGAATTCTAAAGTAATAGTTATTAGAAAGATCAGCGTGTTTACTGATTGACTTCATTGGGGAGATTCCCCATACTATTTCAGTCACTCCAAACTAGAGTGAGATACTTGACATGGTCTTTTATATGCTGAAACAAAAATGCTTTTTTTTCTTATAGTGAAAAGGATTTTGTTGGAATAATTGGATAATTTATTACCTGCTGTTAATATTGCTTCAGATATGATGTGACAAGGATCAAAATAATAGTTGTCTCCTTGTAGAAAGTGGTACAGCCAATTGACAAAGTTAGATGATGTTCCCTGTCATTAAAATAAATTCCATGAATTACTGTTATTCTCTTTTGATGGCTTTTTTTTTTTTTTTTTTTTGAGATGGAGTTTTGCTTTTGTTGCCCGGGCTGGAGTGCAGTGGCGCAATCTCGGCTCACTGCAACCTCCGCCTCCCAGGTTCAAGTGATTCTCCTGCCTTGGCCTCCCGAGTAGCTGGGATTACAGGCGTGTGCCACCACACCTGGCAAATTTTTGTATTTTCAGTAGAGACGGGTTTCGCCATGTTGGCCAGGCTGGTCTTGAACTCCCTACCTCAGGTGATCCGCCCACCTCAGCCTCCCAAAGTGCTGGGATTACAGGAGTGAGCCACCGTGCCCAGCCCTCTTTTGATGGCATTTAAACAACCCTCTTAAATTCTTTCTGGAAGCACTTACAATTTTAAAGATGTAATATGATCAAACACCTCTTTAGTCATAGAGTAATTCATTCAGAAGCCTGGTTTGTTTATATTAGTAAATTGGTGAATTTCTGTCACCTAGTCATTGTAAATATCTATTATTATTTTTCCATTCTTTGAGTTTTGAAAGTGCATTTAAATGTTTAGCAGTTAATTTTAATAAAGTTAATTACAGGGCTGTTGCAAGTCCTCTGCATTTTGTATCTCTTCTTAGGAGTATTATTTTTCTTTTTAAATTCATATTCTTAAAAGGTATTTTTAAAATCAGTTTCAATAAAACTGAAGTTTCTCTTACGCAGGATGCTGTGGGGCACTGTTAGTGTATAAAATAAATTTACTCTTGACCATAAATGAAATTGTAGTCTAATGGAAAATAGCATATTATCTGATAGAGGTATAAATAAAATATAGTACAGACACAGAGTGGGGAATAATTTAATTCCATTTATGAAGCTCCAGAAGCTTTATGTAGTTTGGTATGGTTAGATTATAGGGGTGCTCCTTAGTAGTTTGGTGTGTCATGATGAGAAATGAGACCTGAAAAGCGTAGGACTATAGAATGGAATAGCAGAATAGTATTCATAAGTTTGTATATTATCCTTGAGATGATGGAGGGACTATTGCAAGTATTGAGTGAGATAAAATGACAAGTTTTAGAAAATAAGGATTTTGGAAAAACTCACCAAGTAATGTTATTGAAAGGTTGCTTGAAATGAAAAGATATGTCTGTGTGAAAGGAGATCAGTTTGGACAACTCATATAGAAAGTGATGTGAGGCCGACACTGGGAAATTAGAAGTAGCAGGGATGTATGAATGTTATAGATGCTGTGGAATATATTTTGAAGAACTTTGCAGCCAGTTAAACAGTAAAGTAGGAGAATAACAGGAGAGTTTAAGGCCAAGCGTATTTAGTTCATGAGGTAGAAAGATGAGAAAGAATAGGTTTGAAGGTGTCTGTACCATTGTTTTTACCCACTTTAGGCTAAATCTTACCAAACTTAATTTTTCTGATTTTTTTAAAGTAGCGTTTCTAAGTAGAAGTACCTTGGAATAACTATTGAAATACCTAGGCTGGGCGCAGTGACTCACGCCTGTAATCCCAGCACTTTGGGAGGCCGAGGTGGGTGGATCACGAGGTCAGGAGTTTGAGACCAGCTTGGCCAACATGGTGAAACCCTGTCTCTACTAAAAATACAAAAAATTAGCTGGGCGTGGTGGCAGGCGCCTGTAATCCCAGCTATTCAGGAGGCTGAGGTAGGAGAATCGCTTAAACCTGGGAGCCAGAGGTTGCAGTGAGCCAAGACCACGCCACTGCACTCCATCCTGAGCAACAGAGCAAGACTCCATCTCCAAAAAATAAAACAACAAAAAACAAAACTATTGATACACCTTATGAAAGTAAGGTCTTGCTAAATAATGAAGGTCTGGCTAAATAATAATGGCATATCCACTTAAATAAGCAAAGGAAATCTGTATAGGCTGATATGAGAAGCTCTGTATGTAGATGAGGAACCAAAGTACATATGTGCATACATATATGCTGGCATATACCTAGGTTTTTTTCCACCTTAATTAGATGATAGAAATAGTACTTGTTATCTTGAAGGAGAGAGATTGATACTTAGGCTTTTCATCTTTTTGTACTACATGACTTTAGCTATGTACATGTAATGTGAGTACATCGTAAACATGTGAATGCAGTTTGAGGTGCCTGCTGAGAGATTCCATCAGGCGGTTGGGATCATGTCTGAAACTTAATAGAGGGGATTGCTGATAACCCAGTTAGAGTAGATATACAATGCAAAAGGACAAGAATGCATCAGTAGAAACAGAGAACTAGTGGATTTATAATAGTGGAACTTTTACAGGTATGTGACTTCATAGAAAATTACGGTAGGAGAAATTCAAAGCTTTGTTTTATTTGTGTTAAGTGAAACTCCATTTTCTGTTTGGTGTAAATAAATGTTTCCATTGATTGCTATTGAAAGGTGGCACTGTCCTTCCATAGTAGTGGGTTAGTGAAAGAAATTAATACTCTTGATTTTTATTTTTTCTTTTTATGAGAGAGGATCTTGCTCTGTTACCCAGGCTATGGTGCAGTGGCATGATCATGGCTCACTGCAGCCTTGAACTCCTGGGCTCAAGCCATCCATCCTCCTTAGCCTCCCAAGAAGCTGAGACTACAGACATGTGACAATACCGCTTGGCTAATTAAAAACATTTTTTTTTAGCCAGGATTTTAGACAGGATCTCGCTATGTTGTCCAGGCTGGTCTTGAACTCCTGGTCTCCGGTGATGCTACTACCTTGGCCTCCCAAAGCGCTGGGATTACAGATGTGAGCCACTGCACCCAGCCCTCTTGATTTTTCTGATTAGCAGTTTCAGGTGGTGATGGCTACCTAACTAGTATAGCATTATAGAATTTATCATTTCTGAGTACCTTTTTTATTCTTAGACTTTCATGTGTAGCAATTTTATGTTTAACTTTTCATTGACTATGTTTGTAAAAGTAAAATTTCTCTAATTTGTTAGAATTTACTTGTGGGGAAGGAGAGGTTGGAGTGGAACATAGCATAACCCATATATAAGATACACGTGGCAAATATCTTTTTTTCTAATTCTTTTTAGTTTATCTATTAGTTAATGATAGCATGTATTTCAGAATAGAGGCTAAGAACCATATAGATTTTAAAGATAGCAAAATTTCTGGCAAGAAACATTATATCTTTTTTTCATGGGTTTAGCACTTAGTTTTAGAAGAATTTGTGATTGTTTAGTCTGTGATTCTGATTCAGAGGGAAACCTGTCTAAACCCTGAGCAAAGAAAGAACTGTATTTGAGCATAGTTCTTTACATGTTTTATTCTGTAGCCAAAGTATATCAGGATATCTTAGCCATGATATTCATCAATAGAATTAACTCCTATGTTGTGTTAGTGGTATACCAGATTTGTATGTATATAGTTGTAGAATACATTATTTGATCTCTAAAACATAGTTCTGAATGCCTTTGATTCACAGAAAGAAGTCTGTGATGAAATAAACTTGTTTTGATTTTTCTGTACTCTAAATCTTTTAAGTAAGTCTTCTATATTTGCTGTTTTATTTTAATGCAAATAAAGCTTTCCTTTGACAGTGACCTTGGCTCAGTTTAGGGATTGATTCTGAATATAGGAGACGGTAAAAAAAAAAAAAAAAAAAAAAAAGTACCATTTAAAAAGTGGGAGATTTTAGGCTGGGCTCAGTAGCTCACACCTGTAATCCCAGCACTTTGGGAGGCAAACATGGGAGGATCACTTGAGCCCAGGAGTTCAAGACCAGCCTGGGCAATATAGTGAGATCCTGTCTCTACAAAAAATAAAAAACTAGCCAAGTGTGGTGGTACACACCTGTAGTCCCAGCTACTCAGGAGGCCGAAGAGGGAGGATACTTTGAACTCTGGAGGTGGAGGTTGTAGTGAGCTGAGACCGCACCACTGCATTCCAGCCTGGGTGACAGCAAGACCTTGTCTCAAAAAAAAAAAAAAAAAAAAAAAGGCGGTGGGAAGATTTTGACATTATTGCATTCATTTGTTTCTTAACTTTCCGTCTGTAGCTTATCTGCTTCTATAATTGTCATCTTAAAAACTGTCATACCTCATCTGGAAGAATTTTTATTGAATAAAGGCATAACAGCATATGCTACCATAAGCTATGTTAAATTCTATATGAGTACATTTCAGGATAGTATGTTATTGTCATAGTAAAAGGAAAGAGTTGCAATTAATGAATAATATAATGCTTTGGGCCTTGCAGCACTTCCTGTTCATGGCTGTACCTGATCTTTTTGCAGTTTGTCTGTATTTAGCTTTATGTCTAATTGAAACTGTGTCTGTAGTTAATTATTTGGCTGTATGTGAAAGTTCGTTTGAGGAAAGGAGAGGGTTATTCGTATTCTAAAAGTGTATGTGTACTATATAATTGATGTTGACAGTATGGTAATTAGAGTTTTTTTATCTGGCATCTCTTAAAAGTAACAATTTTTAATTCTATTATCAGCTTTAAATATAGAATGTATAATGTAAATGAATTTATATTTTAAAATTTATTGTGTCTTGATACTCTTGAAATTGACTACATTTAAATTCTTTGCACATGCTAATGTCTGTGAGAATGATTCAATAAAATAACAAACAGTCATATTTAGGTAATGCATTTGGTTTACTCATTTTTTATTTTAATAGAGCCCTGTGCAGTAGAGTTGGTTTTTTTAATAATGTTACTGCACAGTAGTCTAGCAACTACTTATGTAAACAGTGTGAAGGTTTTTATACTTCTGCCAGAGGACAACGTAATATGAAACACCGAGTTTTATTTGTCTCTACAGAGAGTAGTAGTGTCTTTCAGGCTGGGGGAAGGGAGATTTCTTATACTTTATTCCCTAAGGATAGTTATTTGAATATAAATACTTAAAATCTTTTCATTTCTGACTTTGCCACTATGTGACCTCAGCAAAGCCCTTGATTTTACATAATTTCCACATCAAAGTCAGGGATAATACCCTTTGCTTCTTATCTTAAAATATTATTTTAAGTATTAAATAAGAAAAGTACATATCAAAGTAGTTAGAATTACTATTTTAAAAAGATTTGCATTAGTGAATATTTGGTAGACAATTCAGCTAACCGTTATTTAGAGTCTAATGTGGTGAGGTAAAAAACTACACTTGATACTCAGCTGTTTATAGAACAGAACTATCCTGATGATTAATTATAAAACATATCCCCAATGACAGTGTGCTAGCATTATATTCCCACAGCAGAAAGTTTTTGTATGCTTGGGATTTTAGTTTTTGCAATAAATCTGGGGCGTATTTGGAATAATAATGATATGTATTTGAGCATTTGATAGCATGTTTAGAAATCAGTTTTTGTTTTGATGGCCTACTTTGCCCCGAGTTTGTAAGAGATCAAGTGCTACTAGTGTTAGGCATTAGTGAATAGATGAATGAGATAAGATTTGCCTGTGAGTCAAAGAATGTACGATCTGCAAATACCTTCATTGCTACCAGACCTTACATATCTTACAATTTTTGTCTTAGTACTCAGAGTAGATAAGCAGTGGCATTGGTACCTTCTAGTGTGTAAAAATTGTTTATTTCAAAGTACAAGATAGTGTATTTTAGTAGTACTAATGCAAAAACATCTCAGTCTGTGATTTTTAGATTTCATTTATTCACTAGCAAGTATTGACACCTATTATGTACCAGGTACTCTAGGCATCTGTGCTAAATTAGTGAACAAAGGTTAGACCCCTGTCCTTGTGGAGCTTTTATGTTCTAGTGTGAGTGACAGTCAACTATGAATATAATAAATTATGTAATATGTTAAAAGATAAATGCTATGCAGGAAAATAGAGCAGGGTAAGGGGGATTATTATTGAGGCAAGTGGGCATGGGCATATTGCTATTTAAAATAAAGTAGTTATGGGCTCATAGGTGACATTTAAGCAAAGACTTGAAGGAAGTGAGCGAGTTGGCCATGCAGATATTTGGAAGGAGAATGTTCCCCATAAAAGAAATAGCCAGGAATGGGTCTGGAACCCATTGAGGAACATAAAGGAAGCCCTTGGAAGCAGTATAAGAGAGGACTAGAATAGTAAAAGATGAAGAGGAGAAGAACAAGATGATGGGAAGTTTTCATAGGATGGTATAAGGACTTTGGTTTTTTTCTCAGAGTGAAATAGTCATTGCAAGATTCTGGCCATGATCTGACTGCAAGCTTGGCTGCTAGCTACTGTTAGGACAACCTGAGAACCTTAGCTTTGTAAACCCGAGAGAATAGGAATTTGAGAGTCTAAACATGTCTTATGCAAACCAGAAGCTAATGATTCTGTGTTCACACTCACCGAGCAGTCGGGTCTTCAGAGAGAAAAAACTCCTGATGCTTTCCAGGGTTCTTTGGTATAGATCAGCTTGCTTCTTGTTGTGGCATCCCTCTTTTATCCTTAGATTTCAGCTTTCTGTGGTCTGTCAGTTTCCACTAGCTCATCTTTCCAACTTCCTTGTTGTCTTCTCTTTTATTCTGTCATCTCCTGTCATTTTATTGGTTATTTTAGGAGAATAAAGAGAAACAATTTCTTAGTTGCTGTGTTGAACCAGAAGACTAATAACTTAAAAATTGATGTGCCAATGTGATTAGAAAACTCAGATACTTGCACTGAAACTTCACTTTCCATTGTGAAACATCTTGCCAGAATTAATAGTAATAATGCTATTTTCATGAAACACAAATCAGGCCTTCAAAAATTTAAAACTTAAAGTATATCTACTCATGGCAGTAAAAAAAAAATACATAATCACTTTCCTTGTATAAATGTATAAATTGTTTAAAAGTATTTTACTCACTTTTATAAAGCTCCCACTTTGAGTCACTGTACTGGAGCAGTTTAGATTTAAGAGCCCCTTTCAGGGAATGGATTTGTACAAAATAGTGTGCTTGAGGACTTGAGAACCGTGAGTTACCTAAACCGTGAATTACCTAAAGACAACATATTTTGGTAGAAAGATCATATAGTTAGGAAACTTGGATTTTGGCCCCATTTCTCTATGGCTAAATTTTAGACTTCAATAAATTATTTAATATTTTCATGCCTCCTCATTTCTGAAATAAGGGATTGTAGGTTAGATAATCTTTAAGTAATTCTAAAAACATTATGATACTTAACGTCATTTTGGAAATTTTTAATGCTTATGTGGATAATTAATTTTTTTTAATTTTTTTATGCAGGTTAATGGTGCAATGTAAGAAACCTTTAAAAGTTTCTGATGAATTAGTGCAGCAATATCAAATTAAAAACCAGTGTCTTTCAGCAATAGCATCTGATGCAGAACAAGAACCTAAAATTGATCCATATGCATTTGTTGAAGGAGATGAGGAATTCCTTTTTCCTGATAAAAAAGATAGACAAAATAGTGAGAGAGAAGCTGGAAAAAAACACAAGGTAAGAGAAATCACAGTACACCAAAGGGTCACTGTTGATTTTGTAGCACTGCATATAGTAACACTCTTACTACCACAGTTATCTCACTTCTTTTGTCTTAGAATAGAAAGAGTAATCATTTATTTAGAAAAACTTATTTTTGCCCGGCTGCGGTGGCTCATGCCTGTAATACCAGCACTTGGGGAGGCCGAGGCAGGCAGATCACCTGAGGACAGGAGTTTGAGACCAGCTTGGCCAACATGGTGAAACCCTGTCTCTAATAAAAATACAAAAAGTAGCTGGGTGTGGTGGTGTGCGCCTTGTAATCCCAGCTATTCGGGAGGCTGAGGCAGGAGAATCCCTTGAACCCAGGAGGCAGAGGTTGCAGTGAGCCAAGATCAGGCTACTGCACTCCAGCTTGGGTGACAGAGCGAGACTCCGTCTCAAAAAGAAAAAAAGAAAAATGTATTTTTTTGAATGGGTAAATCAAGCACATGGTACCAATTATAGCTGACCTCTGATAATGAAAATATTTTGTTGTTTAAAAGTTTCTGGGTTGGATAAAGGGCATATTAAACTTGTCATAATTGAAATCAGGACATTTAGGTAGGCTATTTTGACAGTGATTTTAAAATATGTTGTAAGTGAATTACCAGTTTTCAAAGATACAATAAAATATACATCACTGAGTTTAAAAAATATGTGCTATTTTTGAATATGTGATTCAGGAACTTACAGTGCACCTAGAAGTAAAAATGAAGTGCAAGATATATAGTTATTAGAATAAAATTTAAAAATCAAATATATGAGAATTTGTTAAGATTAAGATAACTTTGCTACACAGGAATTATGTCTTATATACAAAATATGAAAATAGGCTAGACACAGTGGCCCACGCTTGTAATCCCAGCACTTTGGGAGGCTGAGGTGGGTGGATCACTAGGTCTGGAGTTCGAGAGCAGCCTGGCCAAGATGGTGAAACCCCATCTCTACTAAAATCACAAAAATTAGCTGGGTGCGATGGCGGGCGCCTGTAGTCCCAGCTACTCAGGAGGCTGACACAGGAGAATCGCTTGAACCCAGGAGGCAGAAGTTGCAGTGAGCTGAGATCATGCCAGTGAACTTCTGCCTGGTGACAGAGCAATACTCCGTTTAAAAAAAAAAAAAATTGAAATCTGTAAAGTTATGAAAAGGATCCAATAATACGTGTGAGTTTTTTTTTTTGTTTGTTTGTTTGTTTTGAGACGGAGTTTCGCTCTTGTTGCCCAGGCTGGAGTGCAAAGTTATGATCTTAGGTCACTGCAACCTTCGCCTCCCTGATTCAAGTGATTCTCCTGCCTCAGCCTCCCTAGTAGCTGAGATTACAGGCATGCGCCACTACGCTCGGCTAATTTTGTGTATTTTCAGTAGAGACGAGATTTCTCCATGTTGGTCAGGCTGGTCTTGAACTGCTGACCTCAAGTGATCCGCCCGCCTCGGCCTCCCAAAGTGCTGGGATTACAGGCGTGAGCCACCGTGCCTGGCCCCCAATAATATGTTTAATACAAAATTAGTTTCACAAAGTTTTACTTAGCCCTACTATATGCCAGGTACTTGAAATTTTGTCTTTTTGGAAGTATGAGAGTAGTGGTAGTTGGGAAGGCTGCAGGTATAATAGAAAGAACGTGAACCGGCTGGGTGCTGTGTCTCACGCCTGTAATCCCAGCACTTTGGGAGGCTGAGGCGGGCAGATCACCTGAGATCAGGAGAGCGAGATCAGCCTGGCCAACATGGCGAAACCCCATCTCTGCTAAAAATACAAAAATTAGCCAGGTGTGGTGGTGCATGCCTGTAATCTCAGCTGCTTGGGAGGCTGAGGCGGGAGAATCTCTTGAACCCAGGAGGGGGAGGTTGCAGTGAGCCAAGATCATGCCACTGCACTCTAGCGTGGGTGACAGAGTGAGACTCTGTCTCAAAAAAAAAAAAAAAAAAAGAAAGAAAGAAAGAAAGAACATGGACTTTGGAATTTGACAGATTTAGGATAAAATTTCAGCTCTCACTGTTTATCAGCCATATTTTCTGGGGCACATTAGAGTCTCTACTTTTGTCTATAAGATAAACATACCACAGGCCAGGCGTGGTGGCTCATACTTATAATCCCAGCACTTTGGGAGGCTGAGGTGGGCGGATCACAAGGTCAAGAGATTGAGACCATCCTGGCCAATGTGGTGAAACCACATCTCTACTAAAAATACAAAAATTAGCTGGGCGTGGTGGCATGTGTCTGTAGTCCTAGCTACTTGGGAAGCTGAGGCAGGAGATCACTTGACCTAGGAGGCAGAGGTGCAAGTGAGCCGAGATCGTGCCACTGTACTACAGCCTGGTGATAGAGCGAGAGTCCATCTCAAAAAAAAGTAATAATAAGCATACTACTTACTTGTTACTGTAAGAATCAGTGATAATGTATGTTAAACACTTAGCTGGATGCCTGACACACAGCTCCTCAATAATTGGTAGATTTTATTGTTGGTAAATTATATATTTCAGCCTAACATGAAATATTTGTTTGCAGGTAGAAGATGGGACATCTAGTGTAACAGTGTTATCACATGAAGAAGATGCTATGTCATTATTTAGTCCCTCTATCAAGCAAGGTAAAATCTTTATTTCCTAATGAAAATATTGCATTCCAGGATTGTTACTACAGACTGATCTGATATTGTTGGACTTCTAATGTTCCTTTTTGTATAATTCATTATGTTTCATAGAAAGGAATCTTTCTTAAATGATGGGTTTATTGGTTATCTTTTATTGGAAGAAGCAAGTTCAGGTGATAGAATTTGTGTTTTTAATTGTTGCAGCCTCTTTCCTGTTTTTACATATAAAAATAGTTTTCTATTAAAAACTCAGTTTTATGTAATAGATTTCTCACCCCCTTCTACTGGGAATTACGTGAAAGGAAGTAAAAGAATGAAGGCACATATTGACTGGAAAGTGATTGAGAAAAGGCCATTGTTATACTATGCCAAGGCTATGGTTATACTCTCCAGGAAAAACACACTTGAAAAAAATGGGAGAAAGATACTGATGTCCAGTTGGTTGACAGTAGAGTGTTTCATCATCATAACTCCAAGTGTTTGCTCTCTGAAGACACTACTTTCAAGCCTATAGCAATGGGGGTTACAATTCGAAGACTATCAGTTCTCTTCATACCTGTCTCCATTGTTTAAATTATAATTGAAAAATGGATCTGGGCACCGTGGCTCACGCCCGTAATCCCAGCACTTTGGGAGGCCAAGGTGGGTGGATCACTTGAGGTCAGGAGTTCAAGACCAGCCTGTCCAACATGGTGAAACACCATCCCTACTAAAAAAATACAAAAATTAGGCCGGGCACAGTGGCTCACACCTGTAATCTCAGCACTTTGGGAGGCCGTGGCGGGCGGATCACGAGGTCAAGAGATTGAGACCATCCTGGCCAACATGGTGAAACCCCGTCTCTACTAAAAAAATAGAAAAATTAGCTGGGCATGGAGGCACGCGCCTATGGTTCCAGCTACTCGGGAGGCTGAGGCAGGAGAATGCTTGAACCTGGGAGGCAGAGGTTGCAGTGTGCCGAGATCATGTCACTGTACTCCAGCCTGGCGACAGAGCGAGACTCTGTCTCAAACAAACAAACAAACAAAAATTAGCTGGGCGTGGTGGTGCATGCATGTAGTCCCAGCAACTTGGGAGGCTGAGGCAGCAGAATCGCATGAACCCAGGAGGCAGAGGTTGTGGTGAGCCAAGTTGGGCTGGGCACAATGGCTTACACCTGTAAGGCCGAGGCAGGTGGATCACCTGAGGTCAGGAGGTGAAGACCAGCCTGGCCAACAAGGTGAAACCCTGTCTCTACTAAAAATACAAAAATAAAGCATGTGTGGTGCCAGGTGCCTGTAATCCCAGCTACTTGGGAGGCTGAGGCAGGAGAATCGCTTGAACCCAAGAGGCAGAGATTGCAGTGAGCCGAGATTGTGCCACTGCACTGCAGCCTGGGTGACAGAGCGAGACTCTGTCTCAAAAAATAAATAAATAAATAAAAATTGAAAAATGATTTAGAATAAGCTCAACTATGATTGTGTTGTGACATAGAATAAATAGGAGTAAAATGTTTTAAAGTTTTCACCTGTAAAATGAGGAGATAAGGTCATTGCCTAAGGTCCTTCAGATCTAAAACCACAATTTCTAAATTAAACTTTACTGGAATTTTGCTGTCATTTTCTTCCCACACACACAAGTTAAGAGAGCTGTTCTGAGGCCACTAATTCAACAAATACTTAGTTAGCACCTGTTATGTGTAGGTACTGTTTGGGTATTGGGGACACAGTGGTCAAGACTCCACTTTGAATATGTCTGACTTAAACTCCTTGTGAATGGAATAGAGAGACATAGTATAGTAATTCATTTACAAAACCCATTTAACTTGTAAAATAATTTTTTTAATTGACAAGTAAAAATTATATATATTTATGGTATACAACATGATGTTTTGGGGGGGAGTGTGTATATATATATATATATATATATACACAGTGCGCCAAGTGTGTGTGTGTATATATATATATAGTGAGACCCTATACATATATACACACATACTAAAAAATATATATATATTTACATTTTTTTAACATTTTACTCATATTCTGTGTCACAACACAGTTACAGTTTATCTTATTCTAAATCATTTTTCAGTTATAATTTAAACAATGGAGACTGGTATGAGGAGAATTGTTAGTCTCCTATTGTAACCCCACAACTATAAGCTTGAAAGTACTGTCAAGTCTTCAGTGAGCAAACACTTGGAATTATTTTACATATATATGTGTGAGTGTGTATATATATGTGTGTGTGTATATGTGTGTGTATGTATATATAGTGGAATGGGTAGATCAAGCTGTTTAACATATGCATTACCTTACATACCTTTTTTGTGCGTGTGGGTGAGAATACTTAAAATCTACTTTCAGCAATTTGCAAGTATACAATATGTTATTATTCACTATGATGTACAGCAAAATCCATTTAACTTTTGATGTGGGCAAAGTAAGTCATCTTCTGGTGTGTGTTTTCGATGACAAAGTTTTAATATTTGGAATAAATAGAGGGTCAGTCTGTGGATAACCAAAAATAAGAAAAAAATCTATCTGAACAATGAACAAATGGTCTAGGTAGCTTGAAAATTCAACAGTTTGGATTCTTTGCCGGAGTGATCTACAGATTCAGAGCAATCCCTATCAAAATTCCAATGACACTTTTCACAGTAATAGAAAAAACAATCCTAAAATGTGTATAGGGTCACAAAAGGCCCTGAATGGCTAAAGCAGTCTTGAGCAAAAAGAACAAAGTTGGTGGCATCACACTACCTGATTTGAAAGTCTGCTGCAAGGCCAAGTGTCATGGCCCATGCCTATAATCTCAGTATTTTGGGAGGCCACAGTAGGAGAATTGCTTGAGGCCAGGAGTTCAAGACCACCTTGGCCAACGTAGTGAGACCCTATCTGTGTAAAAACAATAAATAGGCCAGGTGCAGTGGCTCATGCCTGTAATCCGAGCACTTTGGGAGGCCAAGGTGGGCAGATCACCTGAGGTCAGGAGTTTGAGACCAGCCTGGTCAACATGGCAAAACTCCGTTTCTACTAAAAATACAAAATTAGCCAGGTGTGGTGGCGTGCACCTGTAATCCCATCTATTTGGGAGGCTGAGGCAGAATTGCTTGAATCTAGGAGTCGGAGGTTGCAGTGAGCCAGGATCGCTCCATTGCACTCCAGCCTGGGTGACAAGAGTGAAACTCCATCTCCAATCAATCAATCAATCAAATGTTAAATATTTTAAAAATTAAAATATATGGCTGGGCGTGGTGGCTCACGCCTGTAATCCCAACACTTTGGGAGGCCAAGGCAGGTGGATCATGAGGTCAGGAGATTGAGACCATCCTGGCTAACACAGTGAAACCCCGTCTCTACTAATAATACAAAAAATCAGCCGGGTGTGGTGGCACACACCTGTAGTCCCAGCTACTTGGGAGCTGAGGCAGGAGAATCGCTTGAATCCGGGAGACAGAGGTTGCAGTGAGCCGAGATCACGCCACTGCACTCCAGCCTGGGCGACAGAGCGAGACTCTGTCTCAAAAAAAAAAAAAAAGCTGGATTCATGGAAGTAGAAAGTAAAGTGGTGATTACCAGAGACTGGGGGTAGGGGAATGGGGATGGCCAGGGGACACAAAATTTCAGTTGGGAGGAATAAGTTCAAGAGATCTATTGTAAATTGTGGTTACTACAATTAATAATAGATTGTATATTTGAAAATTCAGAGTAGATTTTAAGTGTTCCCAACATAAAAAAAAGTACCTGTATATGAGGTAATGAATATGTTCAGTAGCTTGATTTAGTCATTTCACAATACATACATTAAAAAAAAAAACGAAAAAACTCGGAAACAAATTGGGTTGTTTGGGCTACTTACCTATGCTAGGATGTTCCCTGGGATATAGGAAACATGTAAGCCCCTTCTTGTGCCTGTAGTTCAGCTTTCTCAAAATGTGAGACATATGCTACATTCTGGAGTATCTCCAAGGTGGAGCTTCAAAATCTTGGTTTTTAGTAAGTATCTTAGATGATTTTTACTTTTAAAATTTCAAAGGCACAACTCTAGTGAATCTTTAGAACTGACACACCAGAGACACTGGGGAAGTGACTTTTATCTTTCTGAAAACGAGGACTCTCAAGTCAGTTAACAGAGAATGATTTGGAAGGTTATGTATCAAATTGTTTTTCTTGTGCAGGAATATATTGGGAGTTTAATTTTCATTGTAATTGGTATCATGTTTTTGTTACCCTAAAACAGGGCGAGAGGGTAGGAAAATAAAATTGTAGTACGGTAACTAAGCGGTAATATTTATCTAGTACTTAAGCACCTAGTACTGGGCGAAGCACATTACCAACATTCTATTACATTTTATTCTTGGTATTGAGGCACAGAGACATTAAGTAATTTGTCGAGGGTCATACTGTTAGTGGTGGAGCTGGGATTCAGATTAAAGTCTGTCTGGCCCAAGAGTCAGCTCTTGATCATTGTTCTGTTCTTCGTTTACATTTCAGAAAGATAGAAAAATACAGGCCAGGTGAGGTGGCTCACACCTGTAATCCCAGCACTTCAGAAACAGAGGTGGGCAGATTGCTTGAGCCCAGAAGCTCAAGACCAGTCTGGGCAATATGGCAAAACCCCAACTCGAGGAAAAAAAAAAAAATTAACTGGGCATAGGGTCACGTGCCTGTAGTCCCAGCTACTGGGGTGGGAGGATTGCTTGAACCCGAGAGGTCAAGGCTACAGTGAGGTGTGATTGCACCACTGCATTTCAGCCTGGTGGTGACAGAGCGAGACCCCGTCTCAAAAAAAAGAAAAAAAAATTACAAGTATGTGTATGTGTATTTAATTGTTTTTCTAATAGTATTTATATTTTTATTTGATGCATTAATTATTCATGTAGAGTACTTAGCTATTTTATGGATTACCTGACCTTATAGTGAGCTTCCTGGGAAAGATATAATCATTTATTTATAACTTTTTTTTCTATAAAAACACTTTCTCGATTTTAAACAATAAAGTACAATTTCTTGTTGCATAATCCCCTTATGACCTTAAAGTTATATGTCTAATTTAAAAAGAATAGTACTTATGTGGTCATTAGTAGCAGGTTTTTTTTTGTTTTTTGTTTTTGTTTTTAAGATGGAGTCTCGCTCTGTCTCCCAGGCTGGAGTGCAATGGTGCTATCTCGGCTCACTGCAACCTCTGCCTCCTGGGTTCAAGCAGTTCTCCGTCTCATCCTCCCAAGTAGCTGGGATTACATGCGCCTGCCACCACACTCAGCTGATTTTTGTAGTTTTAGTAGAGACGGGGTTTCACCATCTTGGCCAGGCTGGTCCTGAACTCCTGACCTCGTGATCCACCCTCCTCGGCCTCCCAAAGTGCTGGGATTACAGGCATAGTAGTAGCAGTTTTAATTTTATTTTTCTGATTGACTTTTGTAGATGCTCCACGCCCTACTAGTCATGCCCGTCCTCCATCAACAAGTTTGATTTATGACTCAGACCTGGCTGTCTCTTATACTGACCTTGATAATCTCTTCAATTCTGATGAAGATGAACTAACAGTGAGTATCTCATTAATGAATAGGATTATAATTTGTTTTCCTTGATTTTATTATTTTTTTATTTTTTAGAAGTGATTTGTGAGTTTAATACTATGTTTTAGCCCTGAACAATAGGAAATATAGTAAAACCTCATTCATTGATTTCTTTTTTAAATCTCATGTTTGAGTAGTCTTGCCATAGTGTCATCTATAAACTTTGAGGGTTTTGTTTCTCCTTTTGTTTTTACATTTGGGGGACACATGATTAACCTTAATTTGAGCTCTGCCGTATGTTCTGTTTTGTAGTTTTAGGAAGCAGAATTATTTTCCTATTTGATTCTGTAGTTTGAGAAATGACTCTGGAATTTACTCATTCAGAGAACACATACATAATTGACATTAAAGTTATTTGCTTTGTCAATTTATTAAGGAATACCAGCTCTTTTGAATTTGTTTTGCATCACAGCTATTATAAGACAGATACATGATATAACAATAAAAGAGGAAAAAAATAATATTTAATCTTTAACACCCATTTGCAGAGAAAGGTGAAGATAAAAGAAATTAAAGCTTAAAATGAGATTCCCTAGAATGTCAAGTCTCTGTCAAATTAATGAATTGGGTGCTGCATTATCATAAAAGGGAATTCCTTTTCATCTGCATAAAGGTAGCTTGGAAACTTCTATGGTACATTTGATCTTTCCTTTCCTATATAATATGCATTTAGTCCTCTCTCAACATATATATCTCTATATGTGTGTATATGTGTGTGTGTACATATACATATATATATATTGCAGATACATAAACTTTTACTGTGTATCCCATAATGTAGTACATTTTAGGGCACCCTTTACTAGGCAACTATATCCTTGAATGCTTTGGCACATTCATACTTTCTCTCTACTACCATTCCTGTATCAGCTGTGGTTCCTCTGAAATAAAAGATTGTAGTCAGAACGTGGTCTACATATTAATATTTATCACAGACTGTCTAACAGAAGACATGGAACAAATGTTAGCTCTGAAAACACTGGTAAGAGCTTGGAGATAGTAAAACTTGTTTGTTCAATCTACTAAAAGTTAGGAACTCTATTGCTTTGTCATTAGATCTTCTGAAGTTTGTACTTAGTTTTACCTGTTAACAGTATTTTTGCAGGAATAGGGAGACTATTAAAACAAGGTGAAAGTATAAATAAGAATTTAGATAGGTGAGTGATTGATTATATAGGAAACTTTAATGTGTTCAACTTAAGGAGACAAATGCTTTCTCTGCAAGTATCTTTTACCAAGAAGCATTTCTAATGTTAATTACAACCCCTTCTTATTGCAGGTTTTCTTATTTTTATTTATTTTAAGACAAGAGTCTCATTGTATTGCCCATGCTGGAGTGCAGTGGTGCAGTCCTGGCTCACTGCAACCTCTGCCTCCCAGGCTCAAGCAATTCTTGTGCCTCAGCCTCCCGAGTAGCTGGAATTACAGGCATGCCCCACCCAGCTAATTTTTTGTATTTTTAGTAGAGATGAGGTTTCACCATGTTGGCCAGGCTGGTCTCAAACTCCTGGCCTCAAATTGATCTGCCTGCCTCAGCCTCCCAAAGTGCTGGGATTACAGGTGTGAGCTACCATGTCCGGCCTCTTATTACTGGGTTTTAAGTTAAGGTTAACCTTACTTCTGTGTATTTTGAAAGTATTGGTCATTTTCTTTGGAGGAACTTTTTCCTTTTAATTTGGAGGCTTACCAAATAAATTAATCTGGAGTCAGTGATTAAGAAATATTTTATATCTTTCAACACTAGTATGTATTTGGCTGTATCACAGATTCAAAATACTACTTTTAATGAATGGGCTTTACTGTTAAGTTATATCTGAATGATTACTATTTTGAGATCACATTGGATGTAAAATTTTAGATAAATATGTGCTTTTTTTAAATAGCCTGGATCTAAAAAATCAGCAAATGGATCAGATGATAAAGCCAGCTGCAAGGAATCAAAGACAGGAAATCTGGACCCGTTATCTTGCATAAGTAAGCTTCCCTCATCTGTGCTCGAGATAAATTTGCGAACTTTTAATCTCAACAAAGCTCCCCACTCCTTTTGGTTTAAACACAGATTCGCCTATTTTTAGTCATGTTAAAATGTATGTTTTTATTAAATATAGGCACTGCAGATCTTCATAAAATGTATCCTACACCACCATCATTGGAACAACATATTATGGGATTTTCCCCAATGAATATGAATAATAAAGAATATGGTAGTATGGATACAACACCTGGAGGAACTGTTCTAGAAGGAAATAGTTCTAGTATAGGAGCGCAGTTCAAAATTGAGGTTGATGAGGGATTCTGTAGCCCCAAACCTTCTGAAATTAAAGTAAGTATGTTTTTTCTAGAAAAATAATTCACTTCCTATATTTTCTTATAGAATTAATTTGTTGCTATAGTCAAAAATTATTTTATAGTGGTTGCGGTTTTGTAGCTAAGTTGAGGACTGAATTATTGTTGTCACTATTAAGAATGCATTTAAGAAAATAATAGAATTGTATTTAGATTTTATTCTGTTTAAAGAAAGGAAAAAAGGTCCAGAGCCTGTTTGTTTATTTATTTTTTCCTCCTAGAAGATAAGATACTGAAAACCTACCATCTTTATATTGTAGGATTTTTCTTATGTCTATAAGCCTGAAAATTGTCAAATTCTAGTGGGATGTTCCATGTTTGCACCTCTAAAAACTCTACCAAGCCAATATCTGCCCCCTATCAAATTGCCAGAAGAGTGTATTTACCGTCAGAGTTGGACTGTTGGAAAATTGGAATTGCTTTCTTCAGGGCCTTCAATGCCATTCATCAAAGAGGGGTATGATTTATGTTGTTACAATAGTATGTGACTGCTTATACAGCTTTAATTTTTTTTTCATAGATTTACCTGGTATGCTGGAAAAATAAAATTGGTTTTTGAAAATTCTAAAAATTATTTCTGGTTAATCAATTATAGTGATTGGCTGGGAGCAGTGAATCACGCCTGTAATTCCCATACTTTGGGAGGCCAAGGCAGGCGTATCCCTTGAGGTCAGGAGTTTGAGATCAGCCTGGCCAACATACGAAACCTCGTCTCTACTAAAAATACAAAAATTAGCCAAGCGTGGTGGCGCATGCTTGTAGTCCCAGCTACTTGGGAGGCTGAGGCACAAGAATGGCTTGAACCTGGGAGTCAGGCATTGCAGGGAGCCGAGATCGCACCAGTGCACTCCAGCCTGGGCAAGAGTGAGACTTTGTCTCAAAAAAAAAAAAAAAAAGGTTAATTGGGTATGGATAAACTATTAGGAAACTTAAGACTATTATGCTTGATTTGTATTCCGAAGCACCTTTTCTTTTGGGCTGCAATTTTAAATTGCTCCCATTTTTACATTTGCCATCTTTTCCACACTTTTCACATTTTAACATCTCTGACTTGGTCAGTTTCAACTCAAGGCTAAAAGAAATCTGAATCTGAGATGTCTTATAAGTGGTAGCATTTTAAAATTACCATTTTTCCCTTTTTACACATGAGCATCTCTAAAATCATTTTTCTTTTTTTATAGTCAGTAGCATCTTAGAATCAAGGAAATATAAGTATTTCTAGTAAACAAAATTTATAGATAGTAAATATGGATGTCTAGGTATGCATTAGTGTATAGAGTGCTTATTAATGATTTTTGAACTTGTTAATTGATCCTTAGTCAACAACAATCACTTAGAGTAGATATGTTAACCAGAAATAAGAATTGACTGTGCTTGTAATTCTTGCAATACTTGTCCTTTCATAATTTTCTATGTAATTGAAAAACATTTGGGACGTTTTTAGTTGTATTTCACATTACTAATATGTTCCTTTATATATATATTTGATCTTCTTTTACCCTGGTGATGATAGTGATGGAAGTAATATGGATCAAGAATATGGCACTGCTTATACACCTCAAACTCATACTTCTTTTGGGATGCCTCCTAGCAGTGCACCTCCTAGTAACAGCGGAGCAGGAATTCTTCCTTCTCCATCCACCCCTCGGTTTCCAACTCCAAGGACTCCAAGGACTCCTCGGACTCCTCGTGGAGCTGGTGGACCTGCTAGTGCTCAAGGTTCAGTCAAATATGAAAATTCAGACTTGTATTCACCAGCTTCTACCCCATCTACATGCAGACCCCTTAATTCTGTTGAACCTGCAACTGTCCCTTCCATCCCTGAAGCACACAGTCTTTATGTAAACCTCATCCTTTCAGAATCAGTTATGAATTTGTTTAAAGACTGTAACTTTGATAGTTGTTGCATCTGTGTTTGCAACATGAACATCAAGGGTGCCGATGTTGGAGTTTACATTCCAGATCCAACGCAGGAAGCACAATATAGGTGTACCTGTGGCTTCAGTGCTGTCATGAACAGAAAATTTGGAAACAATTCAGGATTATTTCTTGAAGATGAACTAGATATCATAGGACGCAATACAGACTGTGGCAAAGAAGCAGAAAAACGTTTTGAAGCTCTCAGGGCTACCTCTGCTGAACATGTTAATGGAGGACTAAAGGAATCTGAAAAATTATCTGATGATTTGATATTATTGCTACAAGATCAGTGCACTAATTTATTTTCACCCTTTGGAGCAGCAGACCAAGATCCTTTTCCTAAAAGTGGTGTAATTAGCAATTGGGTACGTGTTGAAGAGCGTGACTGTTGCAATGACTGCTACCTTGCATTAGAACATGGGCGTCAGTTCATGGATAACATGTCAGGAGGAAAAGTTGATGAAGCACTTGTGAAAAGTTCATGCTTACACCCCTGGTCCAAAAGAAACGGTAAAGTATGCCAATAAAATACTTTTTTGTTTGCTTATTTCCCTTTAGTTACATTCTTAGGAAAAAGTAATAAAGGCAGTTTCCCATGTGGCAAATACATTTAAAGTTGGACTTAAAACTCTTTATGGATGATGTTTTTAAAGGGAGAATTTCTTAGCAGTTTAGTTTAATTTCACCAATAAAAGTATGGTTATTATAAATCTGTAATTATATACTTATGTAGGAATATGAAAGGCACATTCCATATATTTATTAGCATAACATTGCTAGTGGTCTGCTTTATTCAACATTCTTTCACTCATTAAGTATTTACTGGGCACCTTGTATGTGCCAGGTATTAGCCTAGATTCACTGTTGAACAAAGCACACATATTCTTTGCCCTTTTTGAATCTATAATTTAGTGGAGAAAATAGGAAATAAACAAAAAAGCATATAATAGATAGTAAGAAGTAATTTGGAGGAAAAGCAGAGTAAAACAGAACAAGACACCACATATGTACTATTTTAGATGTATGGTCAGATAAGATACTACTGAGGAGATAGCATATGGGAAAACTCCTACATAACATAGAATATGAGCTATGTAGTTAAATGAGGGAAGAGTGTTTCAGGCAGTGCAAAGACCCTGAGGGAGTATTTTGCTTTTACATGTTTGAGGAACATTAAGGTGACTGATGCTGCTGGAATGCTTTGTGTGATAGGGAGACTGGAAGGAGATGAAATTTAGGAGGTAGCCATTCACCAGCATCATTTAGAGTCTTATAGACCATGTAAGGCCTTTGTGGTTTATACTAAATGTGATGGGAAGCTATTGAACAGTTTTGACAAGGAAAGTAACATGATCCTTATTCTGATTGTTTTTTAAGAGATCTCTCAGTCTGGCACAGTGGCTCATGCCTGTAATCCCAGCACTTTGGGAGGCTGAGGTAGGCAGGTCACCTGAGGTCAGGAGTTCGAGACCTGCCTGACCAACATAGTGAAATCCCGTCTTTACTAAAAATTTAAAATTAGCTGGGCTTGGTGGTGGGCGCCTATAATCCCAGCTACTCGGGAGGCTAAGGCAGGATAATTACTTGAACCTGGGAGGCGGAAGTTGCAGTGAGCCAAGATCGCACTACTGCACTCCAGCCTGGGCAACAGGAGTGAAACTCCCATCTAAAAGAAAAAAAAAATGGCTGGGTGCGGTGGCTCATGCGTCTAATCCCAGCACTTTGGGAGACTGAGGTGGGCAGATCATGAGGCCAGGAGTTTGAGACCAGCCTGCCCAATATGGTGAAAAATACAAAAATTAGCCAGCATGGTGGGGCGTGCCTGTGGTCCCAGCTGCTCAGGAGGCCAAGGCAGAGGAGTTGCTTGAACCTGGGGGGCGGAGGTTGTGTTGAGCTGAGATAATGCCACTGCACTCCAGCCTGGGCAACAGAGCAAGACACTCTGTTGCTATTGTGTGGAAAATAGCGTTGGGGTTTGGAAGTAGTGAAAGTGAGAACAGAAGCAGGATAAATCAGTTGGAAGGCAGTTTCAGTAGCTTAGGTGAAAGATGATGGTAGCTTAGACAAGATAAGAGGCCAGCGAGATGTAAGTAATAGGTTTTAGGTTATTTGGGAAATAGAACCTACAGGGTTTGCCAAAAGACGTGTAAGGAAAGATGAGGCATCAATAATAGCTTGAGCACCTGGGTGAATGGTAGTACTAACTACAGAGGAGGGAAACACGGGGGAGTAAATCAGATACACATTTGGAGATAATATGTTTTAAATTCAGAGGAATGATTGGGTCTGGAGATAGAAAAATTTTGTGTGTGAGTTATTATGAAAAGCTGTGGATCTGGATGAAATAAACTGTAGAGTAATTGTAGATAGAGTAGTACAAGGATGGAGCTGACATTTATAAGTGGGGAGGGAGAAAAGGCACCAGGAAAGGAAATTGAGAAGGAGGTTGGAGGAAAACCAAGGGAGCATGGTATCCTAGAAATCAGGTATAGGGAATTTTTGTTTGTTTGTTTTTGTTTTGAGACAGAGTCTCGCTCTGTCACCAGGCTGGAGTGCAGTGGCGTGATCTCGGCCCACTGCAACCTCCACCTCCCGGGTTCAAGCAATTCTCCTGCCTCAGCCTCCCAAGTGGCTGGGACTACAGGTGCACGCCACCACACCCGGCTAATTTTTTGTATTTTAGTAGAGACGAGGTTTCACTGTGTTGCCCAGGCTGGTCTCGAACTCCTGAGCTCAGGCAATCCACCTGCCTCGGCCTCCCAAAGTGCTGGGATTACAGGTGTGAGCCACCGTGCCTGGCCCGGGAATATTTAGAAGAGAGTGATCATCTCTATCAAATACTTCGATACATTAAGGTGAAAACTGAGACAGGCTATTGGATGTGACCAAATAGAAGTTGGTGGTCACCTTGATAGGCAGTTTCAGTCAATCTGATTGGAGTGGGTTCACAAAAGAACGGGATGAGAAGCAAACTTAGACAATTTTCTGGGGACTTTTGCTGTAAATAGCAGAGAAATTGCATAATAGGGTTAAAAGAGAGGTTTATTATTATTTTATTAAAGGTGCATTGGGAGTGATCCTATAGAAAGGAATTTTTTTTAATTGACAGATATGGCTTATGGCTGTAATCCCAGCATTTGGGAGGCTGAGGCAGGCAGATCATTTGAGCCCAGGAGTTCAAGACCAGCCTGGTGAACATGGCAAAACCCATCTCTACTAAAAATACAAAAATTAGCTGGGTGTGGTAGCATGCACCTGTAGTCTCAGCTACTTGGGAGGCTGAGGTGGGAGTATAGCTTGAACCTAGGAGGTGGAGGATTCGGTGAACCATGATTGTACCACTGCACTCCAGCCTATTTGACAGAGTGAGATTTTTCTCAAAAAGAAAAAAATGGCCATGTTTGCAGGGTTGAGTAATCATGATAGTACAGATGGAATGTTATATGGCTTCTGAAAATGAATTACAGTTATGTATAACAAATAGATGAATCTTAGTGATACTATTGAGGAGAGGAAGAGGGAACAAGTCCCAGAAGATTACATATAGTCAGATACCCTTTAAAAATACCTCTTTAATGTATTACCGTTAATAAAGTTTTGAAACAAGCACAACTAAATGTATTATTTACATGCACATAAAATTGAGAATATTGGTTAATTCTTGAAATTTCACATGTGTCCAAAAATGACCAAGAGATAGGGATAGGGAGAAACATTTAATAAGATCGTTTTTGGTAATGTTCTAGTTCTTGGGCAGTGAGATTACAGTTGTTCATTTTATTATTAAAGAAAATTTTTGAAATGTAAGAGGACAACACATGGACCAGTGATTAAGTTCATGTATATGACAGTATCAGCATTTATCCAATTATTCATTCTCAGGGACCAAATTTAAAAAGGGAAAGACACAAATAAATATCATAGGTATTCAAAAAAAAGGAAAGATTATTTTAAGCCATATAGAGTAGTTAAGATCATAGGCTGTGGACTCAGACTGCCTGGGTTTGAAACATGACTCTAGCACTATATACTACCATGACTCTAGCACTATATACTACCTGCTACCTTGGGCCAAGTTAGTTAACCTTTCTGTGCCTTGATTTCTTAAAATAGGGTCAATAATAGATTTACTTTACAGGGTATTGAGAGAATCAAATGAAATACAGAGCAGTTGATCCGCCCACCTTGGCCCCCCACAAAGTGCTGGGATTCCAGGCATGAGCCACCCAGGAGTTTGAGACCAGCCTGACCAACCTAGTGAAACCCCATCTCTACTAAAAATACAAAAATTAGCTGGGCATGGTGGCGCATGCCTATAATCCCAGCTACTCGGGAGGCTAAGGCAGGAGAATTGCTTGACCCCATGAGGTGGATATTGCAGTGAGCCCGAGATCCTGCCATTGTACTCCAGCCCAGGCGACAAGAGTGAAACTCGGTCTGAAAAAAAATAAAAAAAATAAAAAGCAGTTTTGGAGGTTGCAATGAGCCTGAGATCCTGCCATTTCGCTCCAGCCCGGCAACAAGAGTGAAACTCGGTCTGAAGAAAAAAAAAAAAAGGCAGTTTTTGGCACATAGTAAGAACTCAGATGTTAGTAGTGGTAATGACAGCAGCAGGAGGATTAGTGGCACTCTTTATAATTATTTTGTTTTTAAGAACCAACTTATTTGCCAAATAATGGAAAATATTGAGCTTTACCTGGTATATGTTTTTTGAATAACAGTAAGCACTGATGTAAACAGAAAGCTGCAGACTTGAAAATGAATTTCTTAACAACTTGTCCAAAGAAAATAATTTAGTACAAGAAAGAGAGAAATGGGGCTGGGCACCATGGCTCACCTCTGTAATCCCAGCATTTTGGGAGGCTGAGGCGGGAGTATTGCTTGAGACCAGGAGTTTGAGAGAAGAAAGAAAAGCCTTTATATTTCAATTAAAAATTTTCAGTATTAAAAACAAATAATGGGCCGGGCACGGTGGCTCATGCCTGTAATCCCAGCACTTTGGGAGGCCGAGGCAAGTGGATCACAAGGTCAGATCAAGAACATCCTGGCTAACACGGTAAAACCCCGTCTCTACTAAAACTACAAAAAATTAGCCAGGCGTGGTGGCGGGCACCTGTAGTCCCAGCTACTCGGGAGGCTGAGGCAGGAGAATGGTGTGAACCCGGGAGGGGGAGCTTACAGTGAGCAGAGATGGTGCCACCGCACTCCAGCCTGGGCGACAGAGAGAGACTCCGTCTCAAGAAAAATAATAATGTTGGAAAACATAAATGTGCAATATTAGAATACTTTGATTAAATTATAGCAGCATCATGAAATGGTGGCAAGCTCCTGCATTAGAGCCCTTGGCATGTTTCCTCCCTCTTGGATACTCGTTTTCCAGATATTTATGTGGATAACTCTGTCTCCTTTAAATCTTGTCAGATATCATCTTCTCATTATAAAAATGCAAACCCTTCTTCTTGTTCTCCATCTTGCTTTTTTTCCATAGTGTGGACTATTACCTTCTAACATAATAAAATTTATTAATTGTTGTTTCTTACCCCCATTAAGTACACTCTTTGCAAAGTTCTGTGTAAAGGCAAAGATTTTTGTCTATAATCTAAACACCTAGAATAATGAACACAGTAGATGATCAGGATATTAAAATAGATGTTTGGATTTGTTTATTTAGTTTTAACATCTTGAAAGAAGGTTATGTTTGAATGAATTTAAAAGTCTACAAAGTATAGTTTGTATATATATGTATTTTTTCTGTTTTTTTTGTTTCTTTGTTTTTGAGACGGAGTCTCACTCTGTTGCCCAGGCTGGAGTGCAGTGGCGCGATCTCGGCTCACTGCAAGCTCCGCCTACCGGGATCACGCCATTCTCCTGCCTCAGCCTCTCCAGTAGCTGGGACTACAGGTGCCCGCCACATGCCCAGCTAATTTTTTGTATTTTTAGTAGAGACGGGTTTCAACGTGTTAGCCAGAATGGTCTCGATCTCCTGACCTCGTGATCCACCTGCCTCGGCCTCCCAAAGTGCTGGGATTACAAGTGTGAGCCACCGCACCCAGCCAGTATAGTTTGTATATTTTAATGACAACATTAATTTTGTTGAAGATAGACAAAGCTCTGTTCTAATTATAAAAAATACATACTTGCTGAACAAAAATTAAGAATACCATACAATTCACCCATTTAAAATGTACAGTTGGCTGCTTTTTAGTATGCAGAGTTGGACAGTCATCAACACAGTGGGTTTTAAAACATTTTCATATTAAACCCCCTACCCGTTAGCAGTCACTCCCTTTTTCCGTCCAACCTTCTTTCCTAGCTATAGACAACCACTAAGTCTATTTTCTGTCTCTCTAGATTTGCCGCTTTTGGATATTGCATATCAATCGAATTATATACTGTATGGTCTTCAGTGACTGGCTTTTTTCGCTTTCCATAATGTTTTCAAGGTTCATCTATGCTATAGCACATATTAGTACTTTATTGCCAAATAATATTCCATTGTATGAAGATACCGTATTTTATTTATCCATTCATTAGTTGATGGATATTTAGATTTTTTCCACTTTTTGGCTATTATGAATAAAGCTCCCATGAACATTTGTGTACAAGTTTTTATATGGACATGTTTTTATTACTCTTAAGTGGATTCACTGAGTCATATTCTGTTTAATCTTTATTTATTTATTTTTTTTTTGAGACGGAGTCTCGCTCTTGTTGCCCAGGCTGGGGTGCAGTGGCGCAATCTTGGCTCACTGCAACCTCCACCTCCCAGGTTCAAGCAATTCTCCCGCCTCAGCCTCCCAAGTAACTGGGATTACAGGCTCCTGCCACCATACCCAGCTAATTTTTGTATTTTTAGTAGAAATGGGGTTTCACCATGTTGGCCAGGCTGGTCTCAAACTCCTGACCTCAGGTGACCTGCCTGCCTCGGCCTCCCAAAGTGCTGGGATTACAGGCATGAGCCATTGCGCTTGGCCTTTGTTTTGTTTTGAGACAGAGTCTCACTCTGTCATCCAGGCTGGAGTGCAGTGGGGTACGATCTTGGCTCATTGCAACCACCAACTCCCAGGTTCAAGTGATTCTTGTGCCTCAGCCTCCCTGATAGCTGGGATTACAAGCATGCACCACCACACCTGACTGGTTTAATCTTTTGAGGAACCGCCAGATTGTTTTCCATAGCAGCTGCACCATTTTACATAACTACCAGCAATATATGAGGGTTTCACTTACACTTGTCACATTGTTTTTCTTATTATAGTCATCTTATAATCAAAGTATCTCATTGTGATACTTTGTGTGAAGTAGTATCTCATTGTGGTTTCATCTGCATTTCCCTAATGACTAATAATGTTGAAGATTGTTTCATGTGCTTGTTGTCCATTTGTATATCTTCTTTGGAGAAATGACTTTTCAGATTTTTTGCCCGTTTTTAAAATTAGGTTTTTATGTATTGTTGAATCCTGAGTTCTTTATATATCTTGGATACAAGGATATAAGCCCCCTTATCACATGTGTGATTTGCATATATTTTCTCCTGTACTCTGGATTGTCTTTTCATTTTTTTTTTTTTTAAGATACGGGGTCTTGCTACTTTGCCCAGGCTGGTCTCAAACTCTTGGATTCAAGGGATCCTCCCGCTGCAGCCTCCCCAAGTAGCTAGGACTGCAGGGGCCTACTATCACACTCAGCTTCTTTTCACTTTCCTGTTTTTCATATCTCCATAGGATGTGAAATCTTTTTACTTTCTTGATGGTATTCTTTGAAGCACAAACATTTTTAATTTTGATGAAGTCCAATTTATTTTTTCTCTTGTTGCTTGTGCTTTTGATGTCTAGGTCAGGACCTAACCCAAGGTCTTGAAAATTTACTCCTATTACTTTTTTGAAATAACTTTGTAGTTTTAGCTCTTATATTTAGATCTCTGATCCATTCTGAATTTTTTGTGTATAGTATATGGAAGGGTTCTGACTTCATTCTTTTGCATGTGGATATCTAGTTGTCCCAGAATCATCTATGGAAAAATGTTATCTTTAAGTTGTCTTGGTACCTTTGTCAAAAATCAATTTATCATAAGCATGAGGTTTGATTTCTGGATTTTCAGTTTATTTCTATTGATTGATTATCCTCCATGATCACTCCTTTTTTTTTAACTTTTAGGTTATGGGTACATGTGCCAGGTTTGTTATATTAAGTAAAAGGTAAACTTGTGTCCTGGGGGTCAGCATACAGATTATTTTGTCATGCAGGTAATAAGCATAGTACTTGATAGGTATTTTTTTGTGATCATCTTTATTTATTTATTTTTGAGAAAGGGTCTCGCTCTGTTGTCCAGGCTGAAGTGCAGTGTTACGCTATCATGGCTCACTGTAACCTTGACCTCATGGGTTCAAGTGATCCTCCCACTTCAGTCTCCTGAGTAGCTGGGACCACAGGCGTGTGGCACCATACCCAGCTAACTTTTTGTAGAGACAGGGTTTTGCCATGTTGCGCAGGCTGCCTGTGACCTCCTAAGCTCGAGCAGTCTGACTGCCTCAGTCTCCCAAAGTGCTGCAATTACAGGCATGAGCCACCACCCAAGCCCGGCCCGTTAGCATTTTCAACTACTAAGTAGTATTCTACTATGTATACAAAAGTTTATTTAAGCATATTACATATTAAGTATTGTATTTGGAACTTAGTTTTATCTAGTTCCGTACACTTTTTTTTGTTTTTGTTTTTGTTTTTTGAGACAACAGGCTCTCACTTTGTCACCCAAGCTGGAGTGCAATGCCATGATCTCGGCTCACTGCAACCCCTGCCTTCTGGGTTTAAGCGATTCTCCTGCCTTAGCCTCCCGAGTAGCTGGGATTACAGGCATGTGCCACCATGCCTGGCTAAGTTTTATATTTTTTGGTAGAGACAGGGTTTCACTGTGTTGGCCAGGCTGGTCTCAAACTCCTGACCTCAAACAGTCCACCCGCCTTGGCCTCCCAAAGTGCTGGAATTACAGGTGTGAGCCACTGGGCCCAGCCACTACACTTTTTAGGTATAGGAAATTGGGGCCAATAACGATAAACTAGGCAAAGGTAATAACGAATTAAAATTGAATAATTTAATATAACTGTGCTCAAACAGGTTTAGTGGTACAACTGGACCATTCTGGGGGCCACATTTATTATATCAATATCTTTTAGTGATTTTTCCTTTAGCCATTTGACATTTATGAGGAGCACCTTTCATACCCATTCTGATAGTTGGTCAGAAATGCAGGTCATAATTTGATAATTTATAAATATTTAAGATGTATAAGCTTATAAAATATTTATGGATAATATACTTTTTAGCAGTGTGAGCAAGTTACTGTATAATTTCTGTATTTTAGAATTGTTAAAGTCTACTTTTTTTTTCAAATTAAACTTTAATAATTATGACCAGTCTTTATTCACTTTACCATAGTAGTGCTAATGATGGGATATAATTTCAATGTGAGGCAGACTTCTTTCTGGTAAAATACCTACAGCACCAAAACAGCCAACATAAATGCAAAAAGAAAGAAATTTATTTGATTAATTTATAAATTGATTAATCAGCTAATGAATGACTTTTTATGGAAATAAGTTACAGTAACTTTTTATTGTGTGTCTTCTTGGTTGTAAGAATCTAGAAGAACCTTTTTACAGATCATCTTGTAGAACTTAATGCAATTCTCTGCACAAGTAAGGGTTTAATCTTCTTGATGCTGAAGACCTGAACTTCCCTATATGTGTTTTGTATTATCTTAAAATTTTATTTGTGTTGGCAATAGCAATTCTTAATTACTTGTTTTTTTTAAAATGCTTGTAGATGTGAGTATGCAGTGCTCACAGGATATACTTCGAATGCTCCTCTCTCTTCAGCCAGTTCTTCAGGATGCCATTCAGAAAAAAAGAACAGTAAGACCTTGGGGTGTTCAGGGTCCTCTCACTTGGCAACAATTTCATAAAATGGCTGGCCGAGGCTCTTATGGTAAGTAATTTATAGTGATATATAATGACTAATTTTATATCAGTCCTCAGATTTCTGTGCCCAACTAGAATAAGCACATTAGTTTTCTTTAAATATATTTGTGATATATTCTTAAGGCCACTGTGGTCCAATCCTAGCTTTTTTTCCCACCATTTCCAACATTCAGCTTACTCAACTCTCCAACTCCACTTCAAAAGGAGTGGCTTCTCTTAGGTCTGTTCTTACACATAGGGGGCTTTCCCTCAAGATTTTACATGAAGAAAGGGACATACTGCTTAGATTTTTTTTTTAAAGGCAAAAAAAATACTTTTGTTATTTATTTTACAAAATTAAATGAAAAAGGGAGGTGGAGTGGGAAATGAGGGTTATACTAGTGATAAAAGGCCCCCTAAGGTCTTCATTTAAAAAGAATTACAACTAAGAAGAAATTTGCTGGTTGTGACCAGAGTAGCAAATGAATTCTCATAATAGGTATGCAGATTTATTGTCAGCTGTGATGAAAATGCCATTCCAAATATTTGAATTATTTGTTGAAGATTGTCTCTGAAAGGTGGGCCGTAATTGGAGTTTTTCAGATATATTTGGAATGATACGTCTTGAAATCTTTGACTTTTGTGTATGGATTTGGAATGTATTACATATGAAAGTAGTAGATTTGCCTATATTTTCCTTTTCTCCCTCTTTTAATGGCTAAATAATTTAAATCTCATTACAAAACTAATATTCTGTGAAAAATGCAGGTCAATGAAAATATATTTTATTTTATTTTATTTTATTTATTTGGTTTTTTTTGGAGACAGAGTCTCGCTTTGTCGCCCAGGCTGGAGTGCACTGGCGCCGTCTTGGCTCACCGTAACCTCCGCCTCCTGGGTTCACACAATTCTCCTGGCTTAGCCTCCCGAACAGCTGGGAGTATGGGTGCACGCCACCATGCCCGGCTCATTTTTTTACTTTTAGTAGAGACAGGGTTTCATCACGTTGGCCGGGCTGGTTTCAAACTCCTGGCCTCAGGTGATCTGCCTGCCTCAGCCTCCCTAAGTGCTGGGATTACAGGCATGAGCCACTGTGCCCGGCCAGAAAATATATTTTAGTATAAACTTTTACATTATTTTAAAAACTAAGATGGTAGCCGGCGTGGTGGCTCACGCCTGTAATCTTAGCACTTTTGAAGGCCAAGGCAGGTGCATCACCTGAAGTTGGGAGTTCTTCAAGACCAGCCTGACCAACGTGGAGAAACCCCGTCTCTACTAAAAATACAAAATAAGCCGGGCATGGTGGTGCGTGTCTGTAATCCCAGCTACTTGAGAGGCTGTGGCAGGAGAAGAAGAATCACTTGAACCCGGGAGGCGCAGGTTGCCGCCAGCCGAGGTTGCCATGAGCCGAGATCGCGCCATTGTACTCCAGCCTAGGCAACAAAAGCGAAACTCCATCTCAAAAAAAAAAAAAAAAAAGTAGATATTTATTTATTTATTTCTGTACCTTAACTGATTTTGGAGATCATTTCTATCTGCACATATAGAGATTATCTTTTTTTATGGCTATATGTATTCCATTGTTCCTTACATATGATAATATATTTTACCAGTGCAGTGTTTATGAACATACAAATTGTTACCACCATTATCATTACAGCTACTTTTCAGTAATGCACAGATCCCTGGCTTTAAAGCATGGGTGTATTTTTATTTTATTTATTATTATTATTTTTGAGATTTGTTCTGTCACCCTGGCTGGAGTACAGTGGCACAATCATGGCTCACTGCAGCCATAACCTCCTGGGTCCAAGTGATCCTCTCACCTCAGCCTGCCAAGTAGCTGGTACTACAGGTGCTCACCACCACACCCAGCTAATTTTTGTATATTTTGTAGAGATGAGGTTTTGCCATGTTGCCCAGGCTGGTCTCCAACTCCTGGGCCCTAGTGATCTGCCCAACTCACCCTCCCAAAGGGCTAGGATTATAAGCACCCAGACGTGTATTTCAAGAAAAAAAAAAAAAAAACCTAAATAACTATCTGTAATGCCTTTTTTTTTTTTTTTTTTTTTTTTGAGACAGTCTCACTCTCTTGCCCAGACTGGAGTGCAGTGGCATGATCTTAGCTCACTGCACCCTCTGCCTCCCAGGTTCAAGCAGTTCTCATGCATCAGCCTCACGAGTAGCTGGGATTACAGGCATGCATTAACCACACCTGGCTAATTTTTGTATTTTTACTAGAGATGGGATTTTGCCATCTTGCCCAGTCTGTTCTTGAACTGCTTGCCTCAAGTGATCCACCTACCTAGGCCTCCCAAAGTGCTGAGATTACAGGCGTGAGCCACCATGCCCAGCCCCTGTAATATCAGTTTGAATTCCCACCAGTTAAAGTGCCTGTTTTCCCAAAGCCTTGCCTAGTAGGATGCTGATTCAGTGGATGAAAAATGGTTATTTCCCATTATAGTTTGAGAGATTAAATAGTACAGACTGTGGGGATAGATTTCTTGGGTTTAAATTCCTACTCTGCTACTTCTTGTGAAATGCTAGAGAAATTGCTTAACTTCCTCATTTATGTTTTCTCATCTCTAAAATGAAGTTAATAATAGTTTCTGCCTTATGTTTTTTGTGAGGATTAAATGAGTTAGTACATGCAAAGAGCTTTGAACAGTACCTAGCACATAGAATTATCATTGTTTGCTATTATTAATTTTAAATTGCTTTTTTAATGAGAAAGAGCATCTTTTTATGTGTTAGAGATAGTTTTGTTTTGTAATCTCCATGTTCTTAACCCATTTTTCTATTAGGTTGTTGGTCATTTTCTTTTAAAAATTTTTTTATTATGGTAAGAACACTCACCAGGCATGACGACTCACGCCTGTAATCCCAGCACTTTGGGAGGCCGAGGTGGGCAGATCACTTGAGGTCAGGAGTTTGAAACCAGCCTGGCCAACATGGTGAAACCCCATCTCTACCAAAAATTCAAAAATTATCCCGGTATGGTGATGTGTGCCTATAATCCCAGCTACTCAGGAGGCTGAGGTGAGATAATTGCTTGAACCCAGGAGGTGGAGGTTGGAGTGAGTGGAGATCGCACCACTGCACTGCAGCCTAGGCAACAGAGCAAGACTGTCTCAAAAACAAAACAAAAAAAAACTAAAAGAAAGAACACTTAACATGAGATCTGCGCTCTTAGTAAGGTTTTTTCTTTTTTCTATTTTTTAAATTATATTATTTTTAAATGTATAAATAAGGATGGTGTCTCACTATGTTGCCTAGGCCTCAAACTCCTGGGCTCAAGTAATCCTCCCACCTCAGTCTCCCAAGGTGCTGAGATTACAGGCATGAGCCACAGCACCTGGCCTACAGTGTATTTTTATGCCAATTTTTTGTTTGTTTGTTTTTGAGATGGAGTTTTGCTCTTTTTGCCTGGGCTGACGTGCACTGGTGCAATCTCAGCTCACCGCAACCTCCACCCCCTGGGTTCAAGCAATTCTGCTTCAGCCTCCTGAGTAGCTGGGATTACAGGCATGCACCACCATGCCCGGCTAATTTTGTATTTTTAATAGAGACAGGCTTTCTCCATGTTGGTCAGGCTGGTCTTAAACTCCCAGCCTCAGGTGATCTGCCCACCTCGGCCTCCCAAAGTGCTGAAATTACAGGTGTGAGCCACTGCACCCAGCCCCATGCCAAAAATTTAAATGCAGACCAGACGTGGTGGCTCCTGCACGTAATCCCAGCACTTTGGGAGGCTGAGGAAGGAGGATCACTTGAGCTCAGGAGTTTGAGTCCACCCTGGGCAACACAGCAAGATCCCATCTCTACAAAAACTTTAAAAATTAGCTAAGCATAGTGGCACACACCTGTAGTCCCAGCTATTCGGGAAGCTGAGGACAGAGGATTGCTTGAGCCCAGCAGGTTAATGCTGCAGTAAGGCGTGATTGTTCCACTGCAGTCTAATCTGGGCAATAGAGCAAGACCCTGTCTCAAAAAAATAAGTAAATAAAAAGACTTGTTTAGGAAATTCCTTAATGTTGAAAAGTCTTGACCACTGGCATTAAGTATTTTTGTCTCTAATAAAATATTTTCACTAATAATGACTTCATTAACTTTTGACATTTAAATAAAAAGGAGGCCGGGCATGGTGGCTCACACCTGTAATCCCAGCACTTTGGGAGGCCGAGGTGGGCGGACACAAGGTCAGGAGCTCGAGACCATCCTGGCTAACACGGTGAAACCTCGTCTCTACTAAAAAATACAAAAAATTAGCCAGGCGTGGTGGCAGGCACTTGCAGTCCCAGCTACTCAGGAGGCTGAGGCAGGAAAATGGCGTGAACGCGGGAGGCGGAGCTTGCAGTGAGCCGAGATGGCGCCACTGCACTCCAGTCTGGGCGACAGAGCGAGACTCTGTCTCAAAAAATAAATAAATAAATAAATAAATAAAAAGGAGACATGTCTTGTTTTTAAGTGTTTTCTTAAAATACATCTTTCTTATTTAGGAACTGATGAATCCCCAGAACCACTGCCAATCCCCACATTTTTGTTGGGTTATGATTATGATTATCTGGTGCTTTCTCCATTTGCTCTTCCTTATTGGGAGAGACTTATGCTGGAACCCTATGGATCTCAAAGAGATATAGCCTATGTTGTACTGTGTCCAGAAAATGAAGCCTTGTTAAATGGAGCAAAAAGCTTTTTTAGAGATCTTACTGCAATATATGAGGTAGGTGTTTAAAAAGAGATGACATTTTAAAACTACCTTACGATTTGTATTGTTGTATATACAGCATACTGGGCAGTTCAGTTGATTGGGACACAGTGATGATGTCAGATTAGATGTTTATTTCTCATACTAGCCAGTTACATTCTTTGCTGAGTTTGACCCAGTCTGTTAGATGTGTATGCCGTGGGTCAGAGTGGCTATCCCCCTATAGGAGGAAGAAACATTGAGGGCATATAGATATATATCCCTTTTAATGTGGCTTTTTCTAAAACAAAGGGTAACAATGTTAAATAGCCAGGAAAAAAGTTACATTTACAAAAATTCTAGTCTTTATTCTCTAGGATTTCAGGTAGTGACACTAGGCCTCACTTTCCTCATATGTAAAATAAATCTATGCTAGATATCACTAAGGTCCATTTCAGGTCTGAAATTCTTGCCTCTTCTTTTAAGTTATAATTCTCACATATCCATCACCAGGCGCAATAATTGTAAATTATAAGTGTTATGGGACATAAAGTCTTACTTTATTATTCCCTCCTTTTTCCACAAAGGCTTCGAAATTTAGTCTTTAAATTTTGATTCCTTATACAATCTGAATGTTAGTGTATGTTAGTTTAGCTTCCTTTTAAAATTTTCCACATAATTACAAGGTATTTGTAGTGTGTTTTTAATAAATAAACATTTCCCAAAGGGTGTTATTTGGAATATCAGTCCGGTAAAATCCTCTCAGAGAAAAAGTTCCATAGTTAAATAGGCTTGGGGAAACATTGTATATTATATTACCTTTTAGAGATTTACAATTCATATTAGGTTTTTAAAGGCTTTGAAATTCTTACAGTAAAGAACTCTTCTAAGTTTGCTTAATCCAATGTTTTAAATTTATTTAACATTGGGCTTCTAATAACAAAAATCAGTGACTCACAGAACTAGAGGGAGAAGGTGTATAAATATATTTGTATAACAATTTTTATTTTGCTTTGATTTAGGGATATTTGTATTCATAATTCATGAATTGGTGTTAATGTATACCTAAAATGACTGCATTTTTATGCTCACTTATGTCTGCATTCTGCAAGCTTTTATTCAAACAAAATGGTTCTAGTACTATTGTTATCTAGGTGTTTTTTCATTAGAGATATTTTAATTTTGAAAAAAAATTAATGAATTTCTAATGTAAAAATGAAAAAGACCTATGGCACCATTTCACCCTTGATATGTTTATTTTTTTGGCCTACTTCTAAAAACACCCTTGATATTTTTATCATAACTGTTAATTGCAAATGGTTAAGCTTATTTTAAGTAGCTTTCATGGTTGGTTTTATAATGTGTATCTAAATACAATAATAAATTTACTAATTCTGCTTTCTGTATGTATATTTGTAGTCCTGTCGATTAGGTCAACATAGACCTGTTTCTCGACTGTTAACAGATGGGATCATGAGAGTTGGATCTACTGCATCAAAGAAACTATCAGAAAAGTTGGTAGCAGAATGGTTTTCTCAGGCAGCTGACGGTAACAATGAAGCATTTTCTAAACTCAAGCTTTATGCACAAGTCTGCAGATATGACCTAGGTATTGAATTTGTATTTATTGTATAAGGCTGGTGTTAGCAAAATGTGGCCTGCTCCACCAGCTGTTTTTGTAGATAAAATTTTATTGGAACACAGCCATCCTCATTTATGTATTTTCTCTGGCTGCTTTTGTGCTACAACATTGGAGCTGAGTAGTTTTCATAGAGACTGTGTGGCTGCAAAGACAAAAATATTTATTATCTGACCCTTTACAGAACAAGTTTGCTGATCCCTAATGAGGGATCCCATCAGGTAGGAAGAAATTATGGGTTATAAATAAATTTTCTGTTGCCTCTGTAGGGTCTGATGTTTTAATAACTTGAAGATTCTTCATTTGTTACAGTTTAGAGATAAAATAATTTATAGTTAATCTCTACCAAACCAAGAAATAGTTCTTTGTTGTAGCTAAGAAAACGACAGCTGTTTAAGACTTGCTTGTTACATACTTTTTTTCTTTCATTCTACCCGTGCCTAACTGTATTGCTTATAAATACTCTTGAAAATAAAGATCAGTGGACTTCCTTTAGACTTAATCCAAAGAGATGCAGAACCAAAATATTGAATCTCATTAGACATTCCTATAATTTGAACCCCATAACATTATACCATTTTATATTTTAATTAGCTGTCAATGTAGTCAATATTTATTTGATTTGTGATTTAGAAACCCTTTGAATAGTTTGATGAATATTGCTAGATACCTTTTTTACATTTAATTATACTTAGAAAATAGAATTTTGTTACACTTTCATAGTAATCATTTCTTTAATTTTGAGTGAAAATTCTGGCTTTTTCAATTCCATTTTAAATATGTTTCTTCAGTCTCTAGGGGAAAATAGAAAGCAAGTGTAGGTCACACCATTAGCAAGCAATTTCGGGGCTATAATTACCAAGAAAACATCAACTGGATTATGATTCTGTTTACACAGTAGAATTTAAAAAAACCAGTCAGTGAAATAAAGAATTAAATTTCGTACCTGTTTTTATTCTTTAGGTCCTTATCTTGCTTCCCTGCCATTGGACAGCTCTCTACTTTCCCAGCCAAATTTAGTTGCCCCTACAAGTCAGTCTTTGATTACTCCACCTCAGATGACAAATACTGGAAATGCTAATACTCCATCTGCCACCTTAGCATCTGCAGCGAGCAGCACTATGACAGTGACTTCAGGTGTTGCCATATCTACTTCAGTTGCCACAGCTAATTCAACTTTGACCACAGCTTCAACTTCATCTTCATCATCCTCCAACTTGAATAGTGGAGTATCATCAAATAAACTACCTTCGTTTCCACCCTTTGGCAGTATGAACAGTAATGCTGCAGGATCCATGTCTACACAAGCAAATACAGTTCAGAGTGGTCAGCTAGGAGGGCAACAGACATCAGCTCTACAGACAGCTGGGATTTCTGGAGAATCATCTTCACTTCCCACTCAGCCGCATCCTGATGTGTCTGAAAGGTACCTTTAAAAATACTGATTTTTGCAGAAATATAAAAACTATGATGCTGCTTCTTTCTTTTTTTTTCTTGAGACACAGTCTCACTCTTTTGCGCAGGCTGTACTGCAGTGGTGGGATCTGCACTCACTGCAACCTCTGCCTCCCGAGTTCAAGTGATTCTCCTCCCTCAGCCTCCCTAGTAGCTGGAATTACAGGCATGTGCCACCACGCCTGGCTAATTTTTGTATTTTTAGTAGAGACAGGGTTTTGCCATGTTGACCAGGCTGGTCTCAAACTTCTGACCTCAGGTGATCCACCCACCATGGCTTCCCAAAGTGCTGGGATTACAGACGTGAGCCACCACGCCCAGCCATGCTGCTTTTTTTCTAAATAAGACGTTTTGAATGAGCATAAAGTGCTTTTTTATCTTAGTCTTGAAATTTTAGTTTGTATCTTTTTTTAAGACAAGGTCTCACTCTGTCACCCAGGCTGGAGTATAGTGGCGTGATCACGGCTCACTGCAGCCTCGACCTCCTGGGCTCAGGTGATCCTCCCACCTCAGCCTCCTGAGTAGCTGGGACTTACAGGCATGCACCACCATGCCCAGCTACTTTTTTGTAGAGATGTGGTTTCACCCTGTTGCCCTGGCTGGTCTGGAACTCTTGGACTCAGCAATCTGCCTGCCTCAGCCTCCCAAAGTGCTGGGATTACAGGCATGAGCTATCGCACCCGGCCTAGTGTTGAATATTTTATGTATAAAATTATAATGAGGACTTTACTTCATAAAGTATCATAGAATTCTAGAATCTGAGGGTGGGAATTAAGAGCTTGAAAACCATATAGTCCAGATACCCATATGACATTTGAGTCTTCTGTGGCATAATTGTCAAGTAGATTTGCCTGTGCAAATCACTCTGGTGATTGAGAAGTCACTATTGACCCACTCTATTTAGAGGCTTTAGAGTTGTACTGAGGTTTGAATCTCAGCTCTGCCATTTACCTGCTTTGTGACTTCGGGGAAACTCTAACTTTCTGAGCATGTTTTCTTATCTGTAAGATGAGAGTAATATGATATAATATACATTAAGTACTTTACACAGTGATTCCAAGTTATTTATAGTGACAAGAATGATTATGACAGCTCTCATTCCTTTTTTGATGAAGGTTTTGATCTTCCCTTTTGATTTATAGGCCAAGTTGGCCAGAGCTTAATTATATCTGTCAGCTACCCAGGATGCAGTTGTGCCCAAAATTATACTCATATGTGGGTAAAAACAAACCATTATCGAGATTGATACACTCATCTTGAACATATGAATAGATTTGAAGTGTAAAAAAATCAAATCACCCATCAAAGAATGAAACTTGTACACCATTGAAGCTGTAAAGTATGAAATAAATGTATATAGTCTAAAAATGGGACCAGGTGAAGTGGCTCATGCCTGTAATCCTAGCACTTTGAGAGGCTAAGGCAGGAGGGTTGCTTGAGACCAAGAGTTCAAGACCAACCTGGTCAACATAGTGAGACTCCCATCTCAAAAAAAAGATATATATATACACATATATAGAGAGAGAGAGTCTGAAAATGTACTAGAACATTAAATAAGTCTGGAAACGTGGTTTCTTTCTGGCCTAGCTCTACCTGTAGCCACCTTTATAAATTTGGTAAGCTATTTGAGATAGCCTCAGACAAAGAGACCTATCTTTGTCTCAGTTTTATCCCTTAAACTCTAAGCCATCTTTTGTATCTAATACCCTTACCCTATGGTTTTAAGAATTTTTTTTCTTTTCTTTCTTTTTTTTTTTTTTTTTTTTTTTTTTTTGGTAAATTTAAGGCAAGACCTCTTAAGGCAAGTGTCTTTATACACTGTGAAATTGTATGTACAATGTTTATGGTTCATTTTGGCGAGAAAGAAATGTCCTTCATTTTTAGAGAGGCTTTCTGACACCTTTCACCAAAAAAGAGGGAGGAGGGGGATATTAAGAACCTGCTTAGATGCTACCCCAAGCATATACAGTACAACTTTTTGTCTCATTTCTACCTTAAATTTTAGCACGATGGATCGGGATAAAGTGGGAATCCCCACAGATGGTGATTCACATGCAGTCACGTATCCACCTGCAATTGTTGTTTATATAATTGATCCTTTTACATACGAAAATACAGACGAGAGCACTAACTCTTCTAGTGTGTGGACATTGGGGCTACTTCGATGCTTTCTAGAAATGGTCCAGACTCTTCCTCCTCATATCAAGAGTACTGTTTCTGTACAGGTAAGAGTGATAGATGTTGTGAGTTAAAATTATGTAAAACAGTTTAATGTTGTCAGAAGTTTCAGATACTACTTTTCTGTATTCAAATTGATTATCTAAAAGCCAAGTTCTATTATATTGATTTTACTTTAATATCATAATATAAATCTTAGAGAATTTATAAAAGATAAACTTTATAGTCATATGACAGTAATAATACAGAATAAAAAAATTCCATTAAGTACATTAAATGTTTCTCCTGTGTTACTTTTATAAGCCAATTTTTAAATTCATGAGCCTAAATAGAAAAATGTAGCATGTACCTAAACAAGACAGGTTGCAAGAAAAGGAGAAAGCAATTAACCATATTAAGTTGTTAGAAGAAATTTTGAATTTATTTTATAGACTTCAACAGGACTAGTCAATGGCATTATTAATATAATTGTTATATAGAAAATTTTACAGTTTTTTGTTGTTGTTTTTTTTCTGAGACAGAGTCTCGCTCTGTCGCCAGACTGGAGTGCAGTGGCGTGATCTCGGCTCACTGCAACCTCCAGCTCCCAGGTTCAAGAGATTCTCCTGCCTCAGCCTCCTGAGTAGCTGGGACTACAGGCGCATGCCACCACACCCAGCTCATTTTTGTGTTTTTAGTAGAGACAGGGTTTCACCATGTTGGCCAGGATGGTCTCTATCTCTTGACCTGGTGATCTGCCCACCTCGGCCTCCCAAAGTGCTGGGATTACAGGTGTGAGCCACCACACCTGGCCAGAAAGTTTTATAGGTTTTAAATAGTCCTTTAATTCAGAACCCATTGGTAAAATTGGCTACTTATTAAAAGCCTACATAATAGATAAGAAAACAATCGTTAAATTTTCATTTAAATTAGGTTTTGTGTAAATTTTCTAGTAAAAAGTTTTTAGAGTTTTAGACCCACAGTTCCTGTTATTCTCTTTTGGAAGTTTAACATTTGTAATATTTGCCTATACTTCTTAGATTATTCCTTGTCAGTACCTGTTGCAACCTGTGAAGCATGAAGATAGAGAAATCTATCCCCAGCATTTAAAATCCCTGGCTTTTTCGGCCTTTACCCAGTGTCGGAGGCCACTTCCAACATCAACCAATGTGAAAACATTGACTGGCTTTGGTCCAGGTTTAGCCATGGAAACTGCCCTTAGAAGTCCTGATGTAAGTATATGTTTTTCATGACCGAAGTTCAATGACTATACATACCTTTTTTTTTTTTTTTTTTTTTTGAGATGGAGCCTTGCTTTGTCACCCAGGCTGGAGTGCAGTGGGGCAATCTCAGCTCACCACAACCTCTGCCTCCTGGGTTCAAGCGATTCTCCTGCCTCAGCCTCCTGAGTAGCTGGGATTACAGGCATGCGCCACCTTGCCCAGCTAATTTTGTGTGTGGGAGGAGTTTCACCATGTTGGCCAGGTTGGTTTCGAACTCCTGACCTCAGGTGATCGCCCACCTGTGCTTCCCAAAGTGCTGGGATTACAGGCACGAGCCACCGTGCCCTGCCAACATTTTTATGATACTATGCAAAACTAAGTGCAATTTTTGGCTTAGCTGTCATTTTCCAATTATCTTATAATTGGGTAGATAAGAATTACATTTTAAATGCAATATTTCTCTAAGATTGTATAGTATGATAATACCTTAATTTTTTATTTTATAGAGACCAGAGTGTATTCGACTTTATGCACCTCCTTTTATTCTGGCTCCAGTGAAGGACAAACAGACAGAGCTAGGAGAAACATTTGGAGAAGCTGGACAGAAATATAATGTTCTTTTTGTGGGATACTGTTTATCACATGATCAAAGGTGGATTCTTGCATCTTGCACAGATCTATATGGAGAACTTTTAGAAACTTGTATCATTAACATCGATGTTCCAAATAGGTATTTGTATTTCCCTAAATATATCATATCATTCCATTTGTAACATTTTGTTTCATTTTTAATGAATAGAAAACCAGTTTGAAGGTTTTATATATATTAAAATATTAAGATGTGGGGTTGTGGGTGCTTTTTACTTTTTTCTTTAGTGAATGTTTATATTGTATAACTAACATAATTAAAAATAATTTTGATTAATCTATTATATGAACAAAAAAGATTAAGGTCACTAACTTCTGTGTCATAAAGCTTGAGGCAATTATTTTAGCTGAACATTTTTGAAAGATGTAAAAAAATGGTCTAGTAAAGTATCTATAGAACATTTAAACTTTTCTCATGTACCATCTAAGATATAGCCCCTAATAAACTGAGTAAGTTAACTTCATTTACTAAAATTGGCGATTTAAAATTTTATCATTTAAATGTTAGGATGTAGCCGGGTGTGGTGGTGGTTGCCTATAATCCCAGCTACTCAGGAGGCTGAGGCAGGAGAATCACTTGAATCTCTGGGAGGCGGAGGTTGCAGTGAGCCAAGATCACGCCATTGCATTCCAGCCTGAGTGACAAGAATGAGACTCTGTCTCAAAAAAAAAAAAAGTTTGGTTGTCTTCAGAATATGATGACCATTTTAGAATTCTTGGCAGTAAATATCACGCCCAGTTATTTACGAAGGATATAACTAATAGGTCACAACAGGTGAGCCTCATTTTGAGTTATCACTTAATAAACATTTCAAGCCTTTAGTAGAGACTTGAAACATGTTTTCAAGGCTAGTGAACGCTGTACAGGAGAACCTGAAAAGCAAATTCGTGAAATGATTTTTAGTTTTAAGATTTGGGTTCTGGCCAGACGTGGTGGCTCCTGCTTGTAATCCCAGCACTTTGGGAGGCTGAGACAAGGCGGATCACTTGAGTCCAGGAGTTCGAGACCAGCCTGGGCAACATGGCGAAACCCCGTCTCTACAAAAATACAAATATTAGCTGGGCATAGTGGCCCACCTGTAGTCACAGCTACTCGGGAGACTGAGGCAGAAGGATCACTTGAGCCCAGGAAGTCGAGGCTGCAGTGAGCTGAGATTGCACCACTGCACTTTAACGTGGGCGACAGAGTAAGACCCTGTCTCAAAAAAAAAAAAAAAAAAAAGATTTGGGTTCTATCGTTTATTTTCTTCCTTATTATATAAAAGCTTGTTTTTTAGGTGAGAAGTTAAATATATGCAGAAATATCTAATGATTATTAGGTCTTTAATGGTGCTGGGGAAGCAGAAGATAGAAACATTAATTTTATATTATTGATTATAAACATTAACAAGTATGTTAAGCTTTATATTATAAACCTTAGAACAGTGCTTCGTATCTTATTTCCTTGATACAATTTTGATTTTTTTAATTGGATATTTATACTGATTAAGTGAACTCGGGAAAGAATATGCTAATCTGTGAAGTATGAGAAAGTAGAGAAAAAAAATACCACCCTTTTCATTATCAAAATAGTATTATCATTTTACTACCTTGATAAAGTAGAAGTGAGATAATGGTTAAGAGGGGCAATGATGGGGCTGGGCATGGTGACTCATGCCTCTAATCTCAGCACTTTGGAGGCCAAGGCAGGTGGATCACCTGAGGTCAGGAGTTCGAGACCAGCCTGACTGACATGGTGAAACCCTGACTCTACTAAAAATACTAAAAATACAAAAAAATTAGCCAGGCATGGTGGCATATGCCTTTAATCCCAGCTACTTGGGAGGCTGAGGCAGGAGAATCACTTGAACCCAGGAGGCGGAGGTTGCAGTGAGCCGAGATTGTGCTATTGCACTCTAGCCTGGGCATCAAGAGCGAAAGTCTGTCTTAAAGAAAAAAAAAAAAGAGGGGCAGTGATGGAGTCAGAGAGACCTGGGCTCAAATCCCAAACCTGCCACTACTGACCTTGGAAAAACTACCCTTATGCAGCTGAGATACAGCTTACTTATCTGTAAAGTCTAGAGGATAATTTTATTTGTCTCATAGAGTTGTTAGGATGAAATGAGGTATTACATGTAAATTGATTGGGCACAATGGATGGTACATAGTAAGTGCTCAGTAAGTCATAGCCACTGTTGGCTGGGCACGGTTGCTTATGCCTGTAATCCCAACACTTTGGGAGGGCAAGGTGGGCGGATCACCTGAGGTCAGGAGTTTGAGACCAGCCTGGCCAACATAATGAAACCCCGTCTATACTAAAAATACAAAAATTAGGCCTCGCATGGTGGCTCACGCCTGTAATCCCAGCACTTTGGGAGGCCAAGGTGGGCAGGTCACGAGGTCAAGAGATCAAGACCATCCTGGCCAACATGCTGAAACCCTGTCTCTACTAAAAATACAAAAATTAGCTGGGTGTGGTCGTACACGCCTGTAGTCCCAGCTACTTGGGAGGCTGAGGCAGGAGAATCCCTTGAACCCAGGAAGCGAAGGTTGCAGTGAGCCGAGATCACACCACTGCACTCCAGCCTGGCAACAGAGCGAGACTCTTGTCTCAAAAATAACCAAAAAACAAAAATTAGTGGGGTGTGGTCGCACGCGCCTGTAGTCCCAGCTACTCAGGAGGCTGAGGCGGGAGAATAGCTTGAACCCAGGAGGTGGAAATTGCCATGAGCCGAGACCATACCATTGCACTCTAGCCTGGGTGATAGAGTTAGACTCCGTGTCAAAAAAATAATAAGTAATAGCCAGCTGGGCGCGGTGGCTCACGCCTGTAATCCCAGCACTTTGGGAGGCCGAGGCGGGCGGATCACAAGGTCAGGAGATCGAGACCATCCTGGCTAACACAGTGAAACCCCATCTCTACTAAAAATACAAAACATTAGCTGGGCGTAGTGGCGGGCGCCTGTAGTCCCAGCTACTCGGGAGGCTGAGGCAGGAGAATGGCGTGAAATCAGGAGGCGGAACTTGCAGTGAGCTGAGATCGCACCACTGCACTCCAGCCTGAGTGACAGAGTGAGACTCCGTCTCAAAAGAAAAAAAAGTAATAGCCACTGTTGCTCAGCCAAAGAGTGCTTATGTTGCATATTTGGCTAGTGAAGGACATGTATGCAGAAAACATGTAACAATGTTGTTTGGACTGAGAAGTGTGGTGTTTTGGTCAGTCTTCAACTTATAGTATAGAACAGGGATTGCTTACTGCAGCCCATGGACCAAATCTGGCTATTTCCATTTGAAGTATTGGCTCTTTAAAAAAAGTTTGCTGGGTCAAGCAGGGTGGCTCACGCCTGTAATCCTAGCACTTTGTGAGGCCAAGGCGGGCGGATCACGAGGTCAGGAGTTCTAGACCAGCCTGGCCAAGATAGTGAAACCCCATCTCTACTAAAAATACAAAAATTAGCCGGGTGTGGTGGCGGGCGCCTGTAATCCCAGCTACTCGGGAAGCTGAGGCAGGAGAATCACTTGAACCCAGGAGGCGGAGGTTGCAGTGAGCAGAGATCATGCCACTGCACTCTAGCCTAGGCGACAGAGCAAGACTCCGTCTCAAAAAAAAAAATAAAAAGTTTACTGGGCCAGGCGCAGTGGCTCATGTCTGTAATCTCAACACTTTGGGATGCTGAGACAGGATCACCTGAGGTCGGGAGTTGAGACCAGCCTGGCCAACATGGTGAAACCCCCTCTCTGCTAAAAATACAAAAATTAGCTAGACGTGGTGGTGTGTGCCTGTAATCTCAGCTGCTCGGAAGGCTGAGGCAGGAGAATCACTTGAGCCCGGGAGGCAGAGGTTGCAGTGAGCCGAGATTGTGCCACTGCACTCCAGCCTGGGCGACAGAGTGAGACTCCATCAAAAAAACAAAAAATCCCTGGCGTAGAGCAGTATTGCTGATGAATTGAGGTGTTTTATAGACAAATTTTTTTAAAAATTTATATATTATAATGTGAAATAGAAAAGCAAACTCAGATGCCAAACCTATGATTTTATGAATATTCTCGCTTAGGACTTACGTAAAGGTTTTGTGAAGCACTAAAATTAAGGAGATCTGTTTTTCACAAATTTGAGCTCTCTTAAAATGTCGGGATGGCACGGTGGCTCACACCTGTAATCCAGCACTTTGAGGGGACGAGGCAGGCAGATCACGAGGTCAGGAGCTCGAGACCATCCTGGCTAACGCGGTGAAACCCCGTCTCTACTAAAAATACAAAAAATTAGCTGGGTGTGTTGGCACACACCTGTAGTTGTAGCTATTCATGAGGCTGAGGCAGGAGAATCACTTAAACCCGTGAAGGTGGAGGTTGCAGTGAGCCGAGATCGCACCACTGCACTCCATCCAGCCTGGGTGACAGAGTGAGACTCCATCTCAAAAAAACAACAACAGCAAAATCATATAAATTTTAGAAATATTTATGACACTCTCTTTATTCACACAATAGGGCTCGTCGGAAAAAAAGTTCTGCTAGAAAATTTGGTCTACAGAAACTTTGGGAGTGGTGCTTAGGACTTGTACAAATGAGTTCATTGCCATGGAGAGTTGTAATTGGTCGTCTAGGAAGGATTGGTCATGGAGAATTGAAAGGTAAAATTGTGCTTTTATTAGTATTTATATTTCCGTTTTATGTAAATTCACACACAGTTCTGACCACGTCTAGGTATATATGTTGAATAAAATGCAAAGGTTATCAAATAAGGAACCACATATGTCTAGGCCACAAATGGCTTAATTCAAATTTTAAAAAGACATTTTACTCTTATTTTAACTTTAATATCAGTCTTATTACTGCTGTTCTTAATTGTTTTCTGTTTTTTCCACTTTCTGATTGTTATTTAACTCATCCTCTGTTGAGCAGATACCAATTGAATTTGGTGTATCCTAATATTAGGGGGATAAAGAATGTTCAGTAGCATCAGCAGTAAGAATTTTGGCTTGATGATGACTCGTGTTGGAGGAATACACTAATTTAAAAGCCATTAACTATTTTTATATTTTAACTTTAACTTGGTTCTACAGGATATTAATAATGCTGTTACTTTGATTTTTTTTTTTTTTTTTTTTTTTTTTACTGTTGATACCCACAGATTGGAGCTGTTTGCTGAGTCGTCGAAACTTGCAGTCTCTAAGTAAAAGGCTCAAAGACATGTGTAGAATGTGTGGTATATCTGCTGCAGACTCCCCTAGCATTCTCAGTGCTTGCTTGGTGGCAATGGAGCCGCAAGGCTCTTTTGTTATTATGCCAGGTTAGCTATCTTTAGTTTATATCAGATTTAATTCTTTATGCAGTTAAGTTTTTAAGTATTATATACAATTTATTCTTCGTTTATTAAAAGAAAAAATGTCTTTCATTTTCAGATTCTGTGTCAACTGGTTCTGTATTTGGAAGAAGCACGACTCTAAATATGCAGACATCTCAGCTAAATACCCCACAGGATACATCATGTACTCATATACTTGTGTTTCCTACTTCTGCTTCTGTGCAAGTAGCTTCAGCTACTTATACCACTGAAAATTTGGATTTAGCTTTCAATCCCAACAATGGTACGTAATTTGTTCCATTTTGGTAGTCTGAAGAATACCCCCCAAAATAAATTCATGTCCAATACCTGAAACGTGTGAATGTTACCTTGTTTTACCAAAAAATGATTTTGCAGATGTGATAAGTTAAGGATCTTGAGATGGAGAGATTATCCTCAATTACGCAGGTGGGCCCTTAATGCGATAACATGTGTTCTTATAAGAAGGAGGCAGAAGGAGGTTTGACTACATAGAAGAGAAGAAAGCCATGTGGTGGAAACAGTGGGAAGCAAAGTCAAAGGGAGAAGATGCTATGTTGCTGACTTTGAAGATGGTGAAAGAGCCCATGAGCCAAAGAATATAGTTCTAGACTCTGAAAAAGACAAGGAAACAGATTATCCCTTTCAGCCTTGCCAACATCCTGATTGCAGTCCAACGAAACTGATTTCAGACTTCTGGCCTCCAGAACTGTAAGAAAATAAATATGTGTTGTTTTTAAGCCAACAGTTTGTGGTAACTTATTAAAGTGGCAACAGGAAACTAATACAATCATTCTTTCACCTTGTTGATATCAGAACTGGTGCTGTGAATTATCCCATAAATCTTTACTTTTTAAAAATTTTTTGAGACAGAGTCTCACTCACTCTGTCTCCCAAGCTGGAGTGCAGTGGTACGATCTCAGCCTACTGTAGCCTTCACCTCCTGGGTTCAAGCGATGCTCGTGCCTCAGCTTCTCGAGTAGCTGGGATTGCAGGCACATGCCACCATGCCTGGCTAATTTTTGTATTTTTGGTAGAGATGGGGTTTCACCATGTTGGCCAGGCTGGTCTCAAACTCCTGACCTCAAATGATCCACCCACCTTGGCCTCCCAAAGTGCGGGGATTATAAACATGAGCCACCATGCCCAGCCATCTTTACTTATTTTAAAAGGCAATAGTTGGTCACAAAATATTTGTATAGGTTTACCCTTGTGCTTTTGAGGTACCTGTACATGAACTCATTTTATATATCTCTTATGTTGATTTGCCAAAATAATGTAATTTATATAAACTGCCAAAGTAGGGACGTAGCTTTTCCAGGTGAATTTATAGATTGCATTTTAGTAGAAGAGAAAATAAAGAAGATTTTATTGTTATTCTGAGCTACCTTAAAAACTCTCACATCTCTAAAGTCACAAGTATGGTTATTATGCTCTCTTGTTTTCGTGTGTTATATAATAACTCGAATATTTTACTTAATAAAGAACATGGTATTATTCGTAAATACAGTAATCCTCCTTATCTTTGGTTTTGCTTTACATGATTTCAGTTGCCCATGGGTACAGTACAATAAGATAGTTTGAAAGAGAGAGAGAGAGACCACATTCACATACCTTTTATTATAGTACCTTGCTATAATTGTTCTAATATTCTCGTTGTTAATCTCTTACTGTACCTAATTTATCATTGAAACTCCATCATAGGTGTGTACGTAAAGGAAAAACCAGTATATAGGATTTGGTACTATCCTTGGTTTCAGGAATCTATGTGGGTATGGGGGTGGGTCTTGGGACATATTCCCCATGGATAAGGGGGAATACTGTAGTCCCACTTTAAACACATTTTCATTTTGTTTGTACTATGTTTGCTTTGTATTAGTTTCCTATTGCTGCTCTAACAAAGTACTACACATTTAGTGGCTTAAAACAACACGCATTTATTTTATCTTACAGTTCTGGAAGTCAGAAGTCCAAAATCAGTCTCACTGGGCCAAAGTCAAAATATCAGCAGGATTGATTACTTTCTGGAGGTCCTAAGGGAAAATGTTTCCTTGCCTTTGTCAGTTTCTACAGGCTACTTGCATTCCTTGGCTCATGGTCCCTTCCTCTATCCTGGATGCCAGCAGTATAGTGTCATCACATCTCCTTCACTGGCTCTAACCCTACTGCCTCCCTCTTATTAGGACCCCTGTGATTACATTGGACCCACCCGGATAATCCAGAATAATCTCCCCATCTCAAGATCCTTAGCTTGATCACATCTGCAAAGTCTTTTATGGTAACATATTCTTAGATTCCTGGGATTAGGATGTGGACATCTTTGGGGGGCCATTATTCAGACTACCACATGCTTGTTTATGCATAATTATTTGTACGGCTTTTAGCACAATACTTGGCACATGGTAGACACTCAGTAAATGTTGGTTAAATTAACCCATTTTGGTTAAAATTTCATTTATTTTGACCCTTTCCTGTGAATGACCATAGGATATGGAAAATGGAGTTTTAAATTTCTTTTCTTTCTCCTGTTTAGATGGAGCAGATGGAATGGGTATCTTTGATTTGTTAGACACAGGAGATGATCTTGACCCTGATATCATTAATATCCTTCCTGCTTCTCCAACTGGTTCTCCTGTACATTCTCCAGGATCTCATTACCCCCATGGAGGTGATGCGGGCAAGGTAACTGTGTTACAAGTTTTAGTTTTTCTCGGCCGGGCGCAGTGGCTTACGCCTAAAATCCCAGCACTTTGGGAGGGCGAAGCAGGTGGATCACGAGGTCAGGAGTTTGAGACCAGCCTGGCCAATATGGTGAAACCCCATCTCTACTAAAAATGTAAAAAATAGCCGGGTAAGGTGGCACGCACCTGTAGTCCCAGCTACTCAGGAGGATGAGGCAAGAGAATCACTTGAACCTGGGAGGCAGAGGTTGTAGTGAGCCGAGATCATCCAATTGCCATTCCTTAACTTAGTAATGGATTAATATATGAAATGCAATACTATTTTTCCTTGGAAATTAGCAAGAGTTGAGATTAATTAACAGTACATTCATGCATTTCTACATCATGGACATCAGTACTTTGAATTGCACATTTTTAAGAGAATCTCTAAGGCTCTACTTTCCCTGAATCCGTATTTTCTAGACCATTTGGCATTAGTCATTTTTTTGTAGTTTTTGTGGCAGTTCACCATAGCTTTTTACTCAGATGTAGGATCACAGTATCTTTCAGAATCACTATATATAACTCTAAGAGCAGCCATTCATATCAGGGCTGTGACAAGGAATATAATAAAAATATTAATTTTCTCATAAGACCAGATAAAACACTGACCATCTACTCCCCCTTTTTATCTTTAGCAGTTATGGAAGCAGGCTGTCTTGTCCTTATATTTGAAGTAAAAACGAACTGGGCTTCAGTTAATAACACCTCTCTATTTGAAATTATATATACTGGGCTGGGCGCGGTGGCTCACGTCTGTAATCCCAGCACTTTGGGAGGCTGAGGCAGGCGGATCACGAGGTCAGGAGATTGAGACCATCCTGGCTAACACAGTGAAACCCCATCTCTACTAAAAATACAAAACTTAGCCAGGTGTGGCAGGCGTCTGTACTCCCAGCTACTCAGGAGGCTGAGACAGGAGAATGGTGTGAACCCGGGAGGTGGAGCTTGCAGTGAGCCGAGATCGCACCACTGCATTCCAGCCTAAGCGACAGAGCGAGACTCCATCTCAAAAAAAAAGAAAAGAAATTATATATACTGGTGATTTGATTATTGTAGTATGCATAGGTATAAAATTTACCCTTTTAAAGTAAGGAAGGATCTTTCCAGTCTTACTTTGCATTCCTTCCTCCTTTTTGTAACTGCAAAGAAATTAGATAGGAAATACATATAACAAAAAGCACCAGTAATCCCACCACCTTAATAAAACCATTTTTACTTTTAAGCAAATTATCTTCTTTCCACATACGTTTATGTTGCAATTTTCAATAAGTATAATGAGGTTTTAAATATTGCATTTTTGCTATACCCTAATTTATGTCCTTCCCAAAATATTGGACATGTAAGATTTTTTTTTGTTATAGATAATGATGTAATGAACGTTTTCATGCATATTATTTTTATTTTATCTATTTTTAAATACCAAGAAATACATTAACTAATCCAAAGGATATGCATGTGACTTGGTAGTTGTCCCTTCATGTTGCCATAATAATTTTCACAACACTATTAACTGCATTTTATAGATAGTGCTAGATTAACAAAGCTAAATTGAATCCACCTTTTGATTGGGGTGTGGTTTTCAGGACTTAAAGGAATATTAGCAAAAAAGTTAAAGATGTCATTGAAAATTTTGTATTTTTTACTCATCTGTGAAGTTTTACAAACTTTCCCGTGAACTTGGCATAATAATACAGACTTGTTAAACAGTTGGCATATCATGCAATCCTTAAAATATGTTCTATTAATGCTTTTACTTATAATACTCCTAAGTACATAGAAACTGGTTTTTTTTCAATATCCTTCAGTATTTTATTAAATCGATGTCATAAGATAATGAGACTGATTGCTATGAGCCATTCTGTGTTTATATCTGGTACTTAGTTACACTGAGTGAACTAATATACTTTTAATTTTGTCTTTTTAAGGGTCAGAGTACTGATCGGCTACTATCAACAGAACCTCATGAGGAAGTACCTAATATTCTTCAGCAACCATTGGCCCTTGGTTACTTTGTATCAACTGCCAAAGCAGGTCCATTACCTGACTGGTTCTGGTCAGCATGTCCTCAAGCACAATATCAGTGTCCCCTTTTTCTTAAGGTATTGCCATTTCTGTCCCAGTTCCTAAATAATTCTGATTGACAGCCTAAGTCCTGAGAAATATAGAAGTGGCTTTTTTAAGTCTTATAGCTTGTCTAAGTTCTTAAATGCACTGCCATATGTGACTCTTTAAACAAGATCACGAAGGCACGGTGGCTCACGCCTGTAATGCCAGCACTTTGAGAGGCCGAGGCAGGCAGATTACCTCAGGTCAGGAGTTTGAGACCAGCCTGGCCAACATGGCGAAACCTCGTCTCTACTGAAAATACAAGAATTAGCCAGGTGTGGTGGCGGGCGCCTGTAGTCCCAGCTACTCGGGAGGCTAAGGCAGGAGAATCGCTTGAACCTGGGAGGCAGAGGTTGCAGTGAGCCGAGATCGTACCACTTCACTCCAGCCTGGGTGACAATATCTGAGACTCTGTCTCAAAAAAAAAAAAAACAACTAGTTTTTAAATTTATATTTTTAGAACTTTATTCCTAAGTCAAACTCCTAGGGCCCTTGTTGTTAGTGTAGATTGAGTATCCCTTATTCGAAATGCTTGGGACCAGAATTGTTTCCATTTTTGGATTTTTTCAAATTGGAGATGCTCAATCTGTTTCAACTGCATATATGGAAATTTAGAGCTGAGAGAAACTTTATATTACCTCTGTCTAACCTTCTCATTTTCTAGGTGAGCATATTTAAGTTCAGAAAAACTCACCTGTTTAAAGTCATAAATTGGTAATAGACTCAAGACTGAAACCTGGGTCTTTTAATGATTATTATGTTATTCTTTGAATTACATCATACTGCACTGCTGTTATGCTGCATTATTTTGGGGAATAAAAGATTTATAATCTTGGGCTGGGCGCAGTGGCTCATGCCTGTAATCCCAGCACTTTGGGAGGCTGAGGCAGGTGGATCACAAAGTCAGCAGTTTGAGACCAGTCTGGCCAACATGGTGAGACCCCGTTTCTACTAAAACTACAAAAAAATTAGCCAGGCGTGGTGGCACGTGCAAATTAGCTATTTGGGAGACTGAGGCAGGAGAATCACTTGAACCCGGCAGGTAAAGGTTGCAGTGAGCCGAGATCGCGCCACTGCACTCCAGCCTGGGTGACAGAGTGAGATTCCATCTCAAAACAAACAAACAAAAAAAAGATTTATAATCTTTGTAATACTTGATTTTTAGTTTCATTTACTACTTAAAAAAGTTTTTCTAGCTGTGTGTAGATTGCTGTGTTAAAAAAAAACTGAGTGGTTTTTAAATACAGTAATGAGACTCTCAGATTCATCGTGATTTATTACAACAAACTCAGGCTGGGCACAGCGATTCACCCCTATAATCCCAGCACTTTGGGTGGTCGAGGCAGGAGGATCACTTGAGGCCAGGAGTTTGTGATCAGCCTGGACAACATAGTGAAATTTTGTCTCTCTAAAAAGTTTTTAATATTAGGCATGGTGGCATGTGCCTATAGTCCTAATAACATGAAAAGCTGGGGCAGGAGGGAGGATCGCATGAGCACAAGAGGTTGAGGCTGCAGTGAGCCATGATCATGCCACTGCACTCCAGCTAGGTGACAGGAGACCCTCTCTCAAAAAAACAAAACCGAATTTGTTAGTAAGCAATGTAACATGAAGTGGAGATAAGTCACAAAATGAGATATAAAAGCCCTATACAGAATTATATTACTGCTGCTAATATTGTTCCAGAATAACAAATTTAGATGTGACTCACTTATTCTTTTTTTTTTTTTGAGACGGAGTCTCGCTCTGTCGCCCAGGCTGGAGTGCAGTGGCGGGATCTCGGCTCACTGCAAGCTCCGCCTCCCGGGTTCACGCCATTCTCCTGCCTCAGCCTCCCAAGTAGCTGGGACTACAGGCGCCCGCCACTACGCCCGGCTAATTTTTTGTATTTTTTTAGTAGAGATGGGGTTTCACCGTTTTAGCCGGGATGGTCTCGATCTCCTGACCTCGTGATCCGCCCGCCTCGGCCTCCCAAAGTGCTGGGATTACAGGCGTGAGCCACCGCGCCCGGCCGTGACTCACTTATTCTTATGTAAAACCACCGGAAGTTGACTGTTTTTAATCCACAAGTCATGCTAATTTAAATACTTGCTGCCGGGTGCAGTGGCTCACACCTGTAAACCCAGCACTTTGGGAGGCTGAGGCAGGCAGATCACCTGAGGTCAGGGATTTTCTATATACTAGTAGTCTTTGGTGTCTCCACAAAACAAAGGATTCTTTGGTCCTTTGGGAGGGTGCTACACATGCTATCTGTCCTCTTTTCTAGTCATAATACATGTATGCACACTAAAGTCTGAAAAACAGAGGTAAATAAGATAGTTTACCTAGCATTTCCCAAACTTATTAATACACAAGGAAAGGATTATTTAACACCTGTTAATAGTTTATTATCTTAGTGTTTCAGGGGATGTGTTCAGGAAACACAACTTTACAAAAAGTCCAAGGGACTATCTAGAGCTTTTCCTACTCAGTATTTATTTGCAGAAAGGATAGTATAAAGCGGGCATTCACCCTTAGATACATTGTAACAAGATTAGGACTTCTGGTTATGAACTATCACCTAAGGCATAATTTACCATACTTTTTGTTCACTTTTTTTTTTCATATATCTTATTTTAGTTTTATACTGTAGGCAGTAAAGCCACCTGGTTTGTTTCTCTTTGCTTGGAAATATAATGGGTTGTTAGCTAGATCCCTTTTTATCATAGGAATAGAGTACTGGTACTAATTACATTTTAAAAATTTGTAGTGATTTGCAGTGTGAGACTTGCTTATAACTCCATAAATCAAGAGTTTGTAGACAGTTGAAACATAGCTATTTTTGGTTATATTCCTAAATGTACTACATGAGTTTCTATATGTATTGCAGTTGCAGAGGAGAGAACACCTAAATATAAAATAGTACCTTATACAGTGTACAGAATGAGATCTACCAAGAGTTACTGCAGTGAACATCACCATTGTTTTATCATAGCTTTTTAATACTATATTGACTTATAAAAAAAATGACTCATTTAATTGGAGTGTGGAGTAGTTTATTCCTTTCTCCCACTATTCATTGCCATATCTAAATGAGTGTGCCAGTTTTTACCTACCCTCTATTATGAAATTGAGTGGGCAAAGCAGGCATCTGTGCACTGTATTACTTAGAGTGTTCTCAGTTCAACCGAAGATAGCTTGTTTAAGGTTTATTGTGCTGTAACCAAACTATTTGCTTATGCTTATTCCTGTTACTTTTTTCAGTGCTAGACGTAGGTATGTCTGCGTAGTCATAAAGGGTGTCATATATCTTAAGGACAGACTACTCAGGTTTAACTACTCAATTTAGTGCCTCCTTAAACATTTACTTTGCACATCTAGGCAAATTAGACTTAGCAGGTAATTAGAAATTCTTTTTCTAAGGATTATTGTATGGTCTCAAAAACAATAAAGCTAAAGAAAAGGAAATAGATTCAAAGTAAGTTTTGCACTTAAAAATCACTTCTGGCTAGGCACAGTGGCTCATGCGTGTAATCCCAGCACTTTGGGAGGCCAAGGCAGGAGGATTGTTTGAGGCCAGGAGTTCAAGACCAGCCTGGTCAACAGAACAAGAACCTGCCCCTACTTAAAAAAAAAAAAAAAAACATTTCTATAATGAATTAGTTAAAAGAGAACAAGCATTTTTATAGTGGCTTTCATTCATAACATAGGACTAAAATGTATTTCATCATTTTATAAGATATATTGGGAGAATAAGGTAAAACTAAATAGCAGATTATTTTCTGTTTGGCTGACTGATTGATTACCTGTTACCTTCTTAGGCCTCTTTGCACCTCCACGTGCCTTCAGTGCAATCTGACGAGCTGCTTCACAGTAAACACTCCCACCCACTTGACTCAAATCAGACTTCAGATGTCCTCAGGTACAACTCTTTTACCATTAACAGTTTGTCACTGCAACTTTAAAAGAATATAATGTTGATTCTTATATATTTTTCTCATTTTTGGCAAGAATTTACAGTTGTGTACCAGTGGATCTCTAGATAAACACTGCTATTCTAACTTGAGTAATCTACTTTTGAGAATAATTTTTATGGAAATTGCTTCTTTCCCCTCAAGGACTCTCTGTTACACTCTTTTTTAAGGTGACTTTGAGTCTTAAATGCCATAATTGAAAACTGCTTCCAAAATCTAGGTTGGAAATAAATAAATGACTTATGCAGTTTATTTGCTTTTCAGGTTTGTTTTGGAACAGTACAATGCACTCTCCTGGCTAACCTGTGACCCTGCAACCCAGGACAGACGCTCATGTCTCCCAATTCATTTTGTGGTGCTGAATCAGTTATATAACTTTATTATGAATATGCTGTGATCTTCATTTGATGGAACTGTGCAAGAAAAGAACAAGGAAAAATGGATGTTTCGCTGCAGGATTAAGTTACAATTATCTTCTCAGTGAAGGTCATTTGTGATGGGGTCTAATTCTTATTACTTCAACAAATATTGTTTTGACTTGGGGGGAGGGGCTATAACCCTGCTATTTTTCATTGACTCTATTGAACTCTTTAGGATGATGACTGATCATACAAAACGTATTATAACATTTTCGTAGCAAAATTAACCTTTTTTTTTTCCAGTCACAGTATTTGTGAAAAGTAATGAGCCATAGTACCCAGTCATGTTAAATGAATATTAAAAGCATGGAGAGGAAACATGAGGAACAATGAATTTCAACATATGGCTTCAGAACATGAAGATGTTCTTGTATGGATTATAGTATCTAGTATTCAAAAATGCCTGCATCTCTTCTCTTATTTATTGTAAGTTTTTAAATGTATAAATTGTCTTATATTTCTTAACCTCTTTTATAAAAATTTTCCTAGAAGGTTTATACTGCCTTCTTGCTTTAAAGCAATTGGTCTAAAATATATGTAATCGTCTTAATTAAAAAGTTGCAGTAGGGTTGCTTTTAGAGTATTATTTTTTTGTAAGGGGGTGGGTGGGACAGTAAATTTGTATTGTCTCGATGTACAGTTTAACGGGGATAGAGGGGGAATAATGTCCATACCATTGTGTGTGGAGGATTTACAGCTAAGCTGTAGTTGCAGAGTACATGTACAGTAATGAAGTTCACTGTGTTTATAAATTGAAAAGGTACCAGGTCTTACAGCATTTTATATATCACATCTTTACAGAATAACATGATGGCAATATACAAGTGGTATTGTTAGGTGGTTTAACTTAGAATAAAATGAGAATTCTTCAGTTATATTTTGTACTATGGTTTAGGGCTATGACTAATATTTCAGGCCATTTCCGGTGAAAGAAACTTAGTTTTACAAGAAAAACCATTTGCTACTGAATGCTTAAACTAATTTTAGTGTTTAATGTTACATGCTTAAATTTTTTTCAGTTTTAACAGTGGCATATTTAGGCATGGAAATATTATTATGAAATTTATTTTCAGGATCTGCTATAAGGTTGAAATTTAGCCCAGCTCTAGGCATTTTACAAATTATTTTTCAAGCAGTCATTCTTGATTGTTTGACTTTTTTTTTTAAATTAAAGATTGGGAATGTATGTGAGAGTATGCATATGTATGGGTGTGTGTGTGTGCGCGCAATCAAACTGTGGTGTAAATAGATTCTCAGTGAATTCTGGTATTCAGACTCTATTCCACTAGTGAAAGAACCATTTTTTAAACTTCCCTTGCCTTTTTTATTTATTTAATTTTCTTGGTTTGGAGATGTCAGTCCCAAACACCAGAGTCTGTACTTTTCTATAACACAGCTCAGATTAAGGTAGGGCATATGCCAAGGAGGTTCTCACCTCCCTAAAGAAGGGACTTGAATTTTAGGGACTTTAATTCACCCCTCCTTCAATACAACTTTCCCCCTTCTTGTTTGCACATGCCAAGATAACTGCTTTTATGCAGGCTGTACCCCCTTGAAAAATCCTTTCTACAGTGCTGCTCACAAAAGAGCCCAAGTTCGCCTCCTACCTGCATTGCTGACTTGAATTCACAGTCGCCGAGTCTACCTAGCTTTCTTGGAAGCAGTCTAGCAAAATTTCTATTTGTACGTTCACTAATTATCTACAAGGACAAAATCAGTTGTATTTACAAAACTCTACTTCAGTGTTTGTTTTAGTTTTTTTTTTTACTGAAACTTGTTTTTGTGAATACTCTGTGCTTAGAATTAAATATCACTTTCTTATGAACAACATAACTTCTTCAGATTGTGTATATGAAAACATTAGCAAGTCTTGTTTTTTCTATGAAGCAAACACAATTGGTGACAAAGGTTGTCAATCATTTCTTCAAAATTATAATGCAGTTCTAATGGTCAGCATATTTTGATATTAAATTTAAAGATCACCTCTCTGCATTTGTTTTTAAATTATGCTAATACACCACACATTATGTTGGTATGTTTTGTTCTGTACTTTCTTTAAAAAAAAAAAAAAAACTTGTCTGAGATTTGAAGGAAAATGTGCTTATTTGGAATTTCCATAAAAAGAGTATCCTTTTTATACACTTAATAGTGACTTTACAAAATAAAAGTTATATTCTCAGTTGTTTAAAATCACTAACCTATGATAACCACACCTCAATTTGAAAGTAGATTTAAAATTATTCCCTGACAGGTTATTTAATATGGAGCCATAAGGAGGGAACCCAGTACACAATTATTTTTTATTTGGGAATCAGGGAATAGTTCCCAAATATACAGGATTTATTGATAAGATTTTTTTTCTTCCCTTCATATATCCATTCAAACTCAATGGAAAGTTATTAAATAACCATTAGAAAAGCTCAGTAGACTTATTTGAGAAATTAAGCCTTGTGCAGGATGATGGATTTGACTTACTAATGTACTGTCACAGACAAATATGGGTAGTTTTGTTTAAATAGGTAAGCAAAATATTATACTTTATAGCAGTGGATTACCAACACCTTGACTTCTTTGTTACAGTGCTAACATCTTTTTTTTTGTGCAGGTATCCATGATTATTAAGCAGGGTGGAAGTTCAGTATTTTGTCATTTAAAAAGATTAGTTATATAATGTCTGCTTCCAGCCAGTGAGAAACATCTAGCCATACCTTTCTTATGCAAGCCATTGAGTTATCAGGACTGTGAATTAACACTGTATGAATAAATTTCTGTACACCTTATTGTTTGGCCAGAAGGCCACCAAGTGTACTTATATGTAATCCTTAAATTTTAAAGTAGCTGTAATTTTTAAATATTTCTAAACTTTTCTTAAACCACTAAAATTAAGCTCTTACTACTTAGTCAACTATCCTCAGCTGTATTCGTACTCAATTGTCAGTATGGCACAGATTACTGTATTAAAATATTCTCCTTTCGTCTTCATATTTACCTTCTGAGGTAATTTTTTAACTTAATGTGTTACTACAAAGATTTGCAGATCTTTAATCAAGCACTATGTTAATACTGTAATATCAGAATACTATGTTGCATTATTTAAAATGTTCAAATTGAATAGATTAAAAAGTTTTTAAATGCTATTGCATCATATAATTTGCTATTCATCCACTATGGCATTGCATATCAATCAGTTAATACACTTAATGTTGCATGAGTGATATTTTGGTCTGGGTTTCCTCTTAAGATTTTAGTTTGTCTGAATTAAGGAAAAATGTTTTTAATATACATTCTTATTTTGTCCCACCCCTCCAGAAATAAGCTGGAAATCTTAACTTTTTGGGGGGTCTTTTTTGGTGTTTTAATGGGCCCAGAACTGTGGTTTAAATTTTTATGTATGTATTTTCTTTTTTGTGGAGTATAAATTTAAAAACTGGATTTGGGACCTAAAATACTCCTCAGGTTGATGTATTCATGAAGTTTTAAAACATCTTTAGTTTTCAAAGTAAACTGGATATGTGGACCTTAAAGTTATTGAGTTTAAGCTACAAATTGTAACGTCATTACTGGACATGTCAGCATCAACCCTCTCAAAATAGCTTGGTCACTTTATGAAGGGGCGTTTTAAAGTTGTTGTTTAGCAGTGACATTTAATATGGTCCAATTGCTTTTCTTTTTAACGTGACAAAAAGAGAATAAGGAACAAACACTATTGCTGCCGAATGCCATAACACTGAGTTGTACAAATTGTGATTGAGGAAATGAAAAGGTTTATACTTTTTAAAAAAAAAAAAACAAAAACAAAAAACAAAACTTCAAATGGAATAAATTATTCATGAAGCCTTCATTGTTGTGTCTTATTCTGTTGAAAATATTTCCATATTAAATTTGTGCAAAATTAGTAGCAATATTTTTGTGTCATTATAAATGGAAAGGGACAGCCTAGAAACTGATTAATGGTCTTTTAATTTTTCTGAAGTATTTTATTTTAAAAAGGATTTTAATCACATACAAATGTACAGTATGTAGAATAATTGTATATTTGTATACCTACCAATTCCTTGTAGGCTGGCCAGTTAGGTATTGTCTAGTCCAAACAAGCTACCTTCAAATATTTAAAGCTTAGCTGTATCCTATTTTTATTTGATCATAAGAACAATGTTCAGAAGTGAGTAATCCATCAAAAATAGTTCTGCCCATGTTCTGTAAGCACACATTTAAAATATTTTTGTCCAGACTTAAGCCAAGTAAGGACATACCTCAAAATTATTGTGATCATTTTGAAATAGTTTTTGCTGCAAAAATTTTAAAAATCCTTTAAAAGGAGTTGTATGTTGTTTGAACCGCCTATCCTCGGTTATTTTCTGTCTGACAGATCTTTAATCAAGCACTATTATATTACCTCTGGTTTGTTTCTATCTTTTTTTTTTTTTTTACTATAGTCTTATGTATAGCGAAAAACTGCAAATCAAGCTTTTTTTTAAAGGGGGTATTCACTTGTAAAACCACACACATGGATATTTTTATTTTAAACTTCAAAATATATGAAAGTTTAGGAAACGGGAAAAATCACATAATTCAGCTACAGCCACAATGGAGCACCAATATGTATTAGTACATTGATAATTTTGGTACATTTGAAAATTTGGAATACCAAACATTCATAGCTCACTGCAGCCTTGAACTCCTGGGCTCAAGCAGTCCTCCTTGCCTCAGCCTCCTTAGTAGCTGGGACTTCAGGTGCATGCCAACACACCTGGCTAGTTTTATTTTTTGTAGAGATGGGATCTCGCTATGTTGCCCGAGTCTCAAACTCCTGGCCTCAAGCCATCCTCTCGCTTTGGCCTCCCAAAGCATTGAGATTACAGTCATGAGTTGCTGCCATACCTGGCTAAATCTAACTGTTTTGAGTGTATTCCTGAGGTGTCTATTCTGTTATTCTGCTTTTGCCAATATCTTCCTGTCTACTGTAGGGGAGTTATCAATCCTGGACTGAAGATTAAGAACCTCTACCCTTAGTGTACTATAGCTATAACCAGAAATTCTGCTTGAGATTAATAGAAATTGATACTGTTAGAGCTGGGTTTTGTTTTGTCTTTTCCTTCTAGAGCAACCCAACAGAACCGTCAAGAATGACCTTCTGTTTAGTTTAAAGTCTAGGCCGGGCACGGTGGTTCACGCCTGTTTTCCTAGCACTTTGGGAGGCTGAGGTGGGCGTATCACCTGAGGTTGGGAGTTGGAGACCATCCTGACCAATATGGTGAAACCCGTCTACTAAAAATACAAAAATTAGCCAGGCTGTGTTGGCATGCACCTGTAATCTCAGCTACTTGGGAGGCTGAGGCGGGAGAATCACTTGAACCCAGGAGGCAAGGTTGCAGTGAGCCGAGATCACACCGCTGCCCTCCAGCCTTGGTGACAGAGTGAGAAGATCCTGTCTCAAAAAAAAAAAAAAAAAAAAGTTTAAAGGCTGATGCTTTAAAGACTTCCTTATTTTGCTCCTACCTACTACAGAGAAAAAAATTAGAAGTGATAAATTTAAATCATGCCACGTGTCCAAGCCATATAATGTCTTACAGATTTGCATTCGGAATGTGTGAGTTTAAGTCTTGGTTTTGTCGTTTTCTTTTTGTTTGGAGCATATCTGATCAGTAAGACCAACAGTTACCTTCTACAAAAGCCACTTGGTCCCTAGAGAACAACCATTTGTCCCTTGTCACTGTGCATGACACTACCATCTATCCTGTTGTGCAAACCATAAACTCTTCCTTGCAACCATTCATCAAAAACTATCAGTTTTGTGTACTATCAAATATGTTCATTTCTATTTCTGCTGTCCTGATCTTAGTCTAAATTAGCATTATCCATTGCTATATAACATTAGATAAAACTACCTTATCTGAGTGGACCATTGCAATAGACAGGTACTCCTATCTGATCTCTACACTCACTGTGGTCCTTGGTAGCTGAAAACCTTTAGTAGCTGCTGCTTGCTCTAAAGATGAATACAGTCTCAAAATGGGCCTCTATGTTTTCCTCCTTGCTTTTTAGTCATTTGAGTTCCTTGAAAGACCCATGGGTATTTTTTGCCTTAAAGCTTCCACCTGATTTCCACATTACACCCTTGCTTCAGATCAGGCTCCCTTGTTACACACTCTTATTGTAATACCCTATATGGAGCCTTTGTTGTGTTTTTTTCTTTTTTTTTTTTCTTTTTGAGACAGAGTCTCGCTCTGTTGCCCAGGCTGGAGTGCAGTGGCGTGATCTCTGCTCACTGCAACCTCCGCCTCCCGGGTTCAAGCAATTCTCCTGCTTCAGCCTCCCAAGTAGCTGGGACTAGGCGCACGGTGCAATACCCGGCTAATTTTTTGTATTTTAGTAGAGATGGGGTTTGGCCACGTTGGCCAGGCTGGTCTTGAACTCCTGCCCTCAGGTGATCTGCCCGCCTCAACCTCCCTAAGTGCTGGGATTACAGGCATGAGCCACCTGCACCTGGCCTGTAGTGTTTTTCTTAGTTTACAATTGTATGATTTTTATTTTATTTATTTTTGAGACAATTTCACTCTTGTCGCCCAGGCTGGAGTGCAATGGCACGATCTTGGCTCATTGCAACCTCCACCTCCCGAGTACAAGCAATTCTCCTGGCTCAGCCTCCCCGAGTAGCTGGGATTACAGGTGCCTGCCACCACTCCCTGCTAATTTTTTTGTATTTTTAGTAGAGATGGGGTTTCACCATGTTGGCCAGACTGGTCCCAAACTTCTGATCTCAGGTGATCCACCTGCCTCAGCCTCCCAAAGTGCTGGGATTACAGGCGTGAGCCACCACACCCGGTCAATTGTATGATTATTTGTCATCACCAGACAACTCTATGAGGGCAGAAATTAGATCTATTTTGCTCATCATTGTATCTCCAGAGTCCAACACAATGCCCAGCATTGGAGTAAGGTATTTAAATATTTTAAAAAAATTTTTTTTGAGAGACAGGGTCTCCCTCTGTCACCCAGGCTGGGGTGCAGTGGCACCCTCATGGCTCACTCTAACAGCCTCCTGGGCTCAAGCAGTCAGAACTACAGGTATGTGCTACCACACCTAGCTAATTTTTGTATTTTTTTTATGGAGATGGAGGTCTCGCCATGTTGCCCAGGCTGGTCCTGGCCTCAAGCAGTCCTCCCATCTTGGCCTCCCAAAGTGCTGGGATTACAGGCGTGAGCCACTGTGCCTGGCCAACTTGAGTATTTTTGAATAAAAGCATTTTTGAATTGAGTTTTTGTGATAAAACACCTCAAACTACAGAACTTTGCTGAAGTGTGTTTTGCAAATACTTTTAATGAAGTTATAAAATTCTAACTACTTTGGACTCGTTTTAATATTAGAAGTAGTTTAGGATCATAGGATTAGGATTCCTCAGTTGTTAGGTTTGCCACATTTGTGAACTTGGGCAAAACACTTAACCTCTTGAAGTCACAAGTTGTTCATTTGTAAAAGAACATAACTATATCTTTCTAATTAGCTTTGTTAACCTCAAAGGAAATTGCAAAAATTTTGAAAATTATAAAATATTAGCTGGATGTGGTGGTGCACACCTGTAGCCCCAGTTACTTGGGGAGGCTGAGGTGGGAGCATCACTCGAGCCTAGAAAGTCGAGGGTGTAGTGGGCCATGATCGTGCAACTGCACTCCGCCTGGGCGATGGAGTGAGACCCTGTCTCAAAAAAAATTTATAAAAGTGTGAGAGATGATTGTTTAATACTTACGCTCTCTAGAAGAGCCAAATTCAGAATAAACTAAGGTTTACAAGAGAATGTCTACTTGGAAACATGAACATAATAGGTGGATAATTAAAGGCAACAAAAAGGACTTTTAAATATGTTCCAATAAGAGTACAGATGGGTAAGATAACAAAAAGTATTTAGACCTGACTGGACTCAGTGGCTCATGCCTGTAATCCCAGCACTTTGGGAGGCCAAGGCGGGAGGATCACTTGAGGTCAGGAGTTCAAGACCAGCCTGGACGACACGGTGAAACCCCGACTCTACTAAAAATACAAAAAAAATTTAGCCGGGCATGGTGGCAGGCCCCTGTAGTCCCAGCTATTCAGAAAGCGATGGCAAGGGAATCGCTTGTACCCAGGAGCTGGAGGTTGCAGTGAGCCGAGATCGAGCCACTGCGCTCCAGCCTGAGCGACAGACCGAGACTCCGTCTCAAAAAAAAAAAAAAAAAATTATTTAGATCTATTCAGATTTACCTCCTTTCTGTCCCTAGCCCCACCCCTCCACCCCCAGCTCAGCTTGGGTCTTCAAGCTCTAAATAACATGCTTATGATAGAATTCAAACCAAAGATAGTTAACAGATTTCAAGGAGCTAGTTAGTTGCTCAAGTCTCTGGATCCACAAGAATTACATCTTGGGTGCTGAAGGAACTTGCAGATATGATTTCAGAAATGGTGTGGGAAATGGAAAGGTCCTGCCAAAGTGAAAATGAGCAACTTTCTCAGTTTTAGTTTTTTTAATGTAGGTCCCAGAAATTCTTTTTTTTTTTTTTTTTTTTTTTTTTGAGATGGAGTCTCACTCTGTTGCCCAGGCTGGAGTGCGGTGGCGCAACCTCAGCTCGCTGCAACCTCCACCTCCTGGGTTCAAGAGATCCTCCTGCCTCAGCCTCGAGTAGCTGGGATTACAGGTGCCCGCCAACACGCCCCGCTAATTTTTTTGTGTTTTTAGTACAGACAGGGTTTCACCATGCTTGCCAGGCTGGGTTTGAACTCCTGACCTCAAGTGATCCGCCCGCCTCAGCCTCCCAAAGTGCTAGGATTACAGAAGTGAGCCACCGCGCCCAGCCAGGTCCCAGAAATTCTAACAAATTTACCTAACTTTACCAACAAGTTAATTAGAAACTGGCATAGTTTCACTAAAACACTGTTTGTTTGTACAATAAAATAATCTACTATACACTAGTTATGAGATACAAATCTCGAGCCAGGCGTGGTGGCTCACGCCTGTTATCCCAGCATTTTGGAAGGCCGAGGCAGGTGGATCACTTGAGGTCAGGGGTTCGAGACCAGCCTGGGAAAATGGTGACACCCCCTCTCTACTAAAATTACAAAAAAATTAGCCAGGTGTGGTGACATGTGTCTGTATTCCCAGCTACTCAGAAGGCTTGAGGCAGGAGAATCGCTGGAACCCAGGAGGCGGAGGCTGCTGTGAACCGAGATCATGTCACTGCATTCCAGCCTGGGTGACGAGTGAGACCCTGTCTCAAAAAAAAGAAAAGAGATACAAGGCCGGGCGCGGTGGCTCACGTCTGTAATCCCAGCACTTTGGGAGGCTGAGGCGGGCGGATCACGAGGTCAGGAGATCAAGACCACGGTGAAACCCCGTCTCTGCTAAAAATCCAAAAAAAAAAAAAAAAAAAATTAGCCGGGCGCGGTGGCGGGCGCCTGTAGTCCCAGCTACTCGGGAGGCTGAGGCAGGAGAATGGCGTGAACCCGGGAGGCGGAGTTTGCAGTGTGAGCCGAGATCGCGCCACTGCACTCCAGCCTGGGGGCCAGAGCGAGACTCCGTCTCAAAAAAAAAAAAAAAAAAAAGAGAGATACAAACCTCTGACCTTAAGCCTTCAGTATATTTGGAAACACACTTGTATGAACATAATTAGTTCGACAAGTCCTCTAAAGTGCTATGAATAACAATGCAGTACATACCTAAAAGAGAGTAACTGGAATCAATCTCTTATTTTATTTATTATTATTATTACTTTTTAGAGACGGAGTCTCGCTCTGTCGCCCAGGCTGGAGTGAGTGGCGCAATCTCGGCTCACTGCAAGCTCCGCCTCCCGGGTTCACACCATTCTGCCTCAGCCTCTTGAGTAGCTGGGACTACAGGCGCCTGCCACCACGCCAGGCTAATTTTTTTGTATTTTTAGTAGAGATGGGGTTTCACTATGTTAGCCAGGATGGCCTCGATCTCCTGACCTCGTGATTGGCCCACCTCAGCCTTCCAAAGTGCTGGGATTACAGGCGTGAGCCACCATGCCTGGCCCTCATCTTTTATTTTGACAGTATTGATAAACTAATTATGAGAATGAACATTCAGCAGGTTATTTAGTAAAATTCCATGGTATCTTTTTTTTTTTTAACTTTTAGGTTTAGGGGTACATGTGGAGGCTTGTTATATAAGTAAACTTGTGTCATGGGGGTTTGTTGTACAGATTATTTCATCACCCAGGTATTAAACCTAGTTTCCAATAGTTATTTTTCCTTCTCCTTAGCCTCCTTCCACCCCCACCCTCCACCCTCAAGTAGACCCTATTGTCTGTTGTTCCCTTCTTTGTGTCCATGAGTTCTCATCATTCAGCTACCACTTTTAAGTGAGAACACGTGGTATTTGGTGTTCTGTTCCTGTATTAGCTTACTAAGGATAACAGCCTCCAGCTCCATCCATGTTCCTGCAGAAGACATGATCTCATTCTTTTTTATGGC